>NC_000022.11:24959564-26209564 GCF_000001405.40 Homo sapiens
TACACACACACACACATATATATATTTTTTCCTTCAATGCAATGAATATTTTATTGAGCATCTTATGTGGGCAAGGCACTCTATTTGTGAAAAATTCAAAAGATCACCTGCCCTTAGGAATCCTCTGGTCAACTGTACGAGAAGAAGGAAGGGGGCAAGGTGAGACAAGTAAGCAAATAATTATGGACTTGACTTCTGGGCAGAAGCTATCACAGCTACATTTGTTAATTGCTCAGTTAAGTGACCTTTGAAATGTTCTATAGCCATGTCTCCATTAAGAATATGAAATACGGCCGGGCGCGGTGGCTCACGCCTGTAATCCCAGCACTTTGGGACCCCGAGGGAGGTGGATCATTTGAGGTCAGGAGTTCGAAACCAGCCTGGCCAACATGGTGAAACCCCGTCTCTACTAAAAATACAAAAATTAGCCAGGTGTGGTGGCGCCTGTGGTCCCAGCTACTCGTGGGGCTGAGGCGGGAGGATCACTTGTACCTGGGAGGGAGATTGCAGTGAATCGAGATCATACCACTGCACTGCAGCCTGGCGACAGAGTGAGACTCCGTCTCAAATAAATAAATAAATAAATAAATAAATAAATAAATAAAATAAAACAAATAATTTCACACGTGAATTAAAAATAGATTTAGGTACTTTCCCATTTCAGAATGTGTTGATTTACCTCATTATTTTTAAAAGCTGAATAAGGCCAGCTGTGGTGGCTCGGGCCTGTAATCCCAGCACTTTAGGCGGCCGGGCGGATCACTTGAGGTCAGGGGTTCAAGACCAGCCTGGTCAACATGGTGAAACCCCATCTCTACTAAAAATACAAAAATTAGCCAGGCATGGTGGCACGCGCCTGTAATCCCAGCTACTCGGGAGGCTGAGGCAGGAGAATTGCTTGAACCCAGGGAGGCGAGTGTTGCAGTGAGCTGAGATCGCGCCACTGCACTTTAGCCTGGGTGACAGGGCAAGACTCCGTCTCAAAAAAAAAAAAAAAAAAGAAAAAACTGAATAATTTCCAGTGCATGAGGTGCTATGAGCTTATTTAACCGATCCCCTGTTGATGGACATTGAGTTGTTTTTCAGGTTCTTTTTTTTTTTTTTTTTTTTTTGCTATGACCGAGTGCCGCAGTTAACATCCCTGTTGACATGTCTTTGCACATTTGTTGTAGTAGGCTGGAGGACAGATTTCCAGGATGTGGAACTTTAGGGAGGAAGGGTGTTTAGAACGTTGAAATGACCTGCCCAATTTCCCAGCAGAGTGGCTATACCTTTCACACTCTTACCACAGCTGTGCGAGAGACAGCCTCTTTGTATATTTCAGAGAGAAGGAACAGTGTTTGGCTGTCTCTTGTCTTTGGCCATAGGACATGGCCTCTGGCCTGAGGGAAGGTGAGAGTTCTTATAAGTGACAACATTTTGTTGCCCTTGGGGTTCTTTTTGTTGTTGTTGTTTTTGTTTTGAGACAGGGTCTTGCTCTTTCATCCAGGCTGGAATGCAGTGGTGCGATCTCAGTTCACTGCAGTCTCAACCTCCTGGGCTCAGGTGGTCCTCCCACCTCAGCCTCCCAAGTAGCTGGGATTACAGGCATGCACCACCACGCCTGGCTAATTTTTGTAGAGACGAGATTTTGCCACATTACCCAGGCTAGTTTCAAACTCCTCAAGCGATCCTGCTGCCTCAGCCTCCCAAAGTGGTAGGATTGCAGATGTGAGCCACCACACCCAGCCTGGCCCTTGGGTTTTAATACAAACTGCTGGAGACTCTGTCTCGGAAGATATTTGCCCATGTACACACGAGTCTTTCTGGACATACGTGGTCCCTGTATTAGTCAAGCTTTTCTGTGATCATACTGTGTAACAAACATCTCCTACATCGCAGTGGCCTTTAACAGCAAACATTTGTTTCATGCTCACGAGTCAGCAGGTAGCTTGGCTGACCTTAGCTAGGCTTCACCAGCAAGGCTGGCCCTAGGCTTTGGATTGGGTTCAGGTCTGGCTCGTGAATCTTCATCCAGATTCACAGGCTGAAGGGTGGCAGCCAGCCAGGGCGTGTTCTTCTGTGGTGGACAACAGAAGCCTCCGTTCTGAACTGAGAAGCTGTCACTTCTGCTCTCATGCTATAGGCTGAAGCAAGTCACGTGGCAAGCCTGACATCAATGAGTTGAAGTCTACTCCTCTCATGGAGGCTGAAGAAACATTTGCTGAGCAATAATAGAACCTGCCACAATTATGTTTCTGATGGGGTAGGACGGGTCCTTGCAGGAGTAGAGGGTCTGCCTGGAGGGCATGGGTAAGAATCATGGCTCATGATTTGTGTGGGACAAGTGGTCGCAGAGCAGAGGCTCTGGGTAAGGAGACCTGGTTTGAGTTTATAACCAGAGACAGGCAGTTCACCAACTGAGTCTCAGTTTCCTTATCTGGAAAATGGGAATAATTTGTCTTCTCTGGCGAGCTGCTGGGAAGCTCAGAGATATTACTGCATAAGAAGGTGCTTTATACCTGTGAGGCGAGATGGGAAATGAGGGATGATTGTCTTGATGATGATTTTTGTGCTGGAGCTGGCTTACAATCCCCTGAGCAGTGACACCTGTAGCCAGTAGAGTGAGAGAACGCAGCGACGCCAAGGTGAGACTGGGAGGGATAGGCCTGGGTTTGAATCCCAGCTGTGCTCGTTGTGGGCCACGTGACTTTTGATCAGCCTCATCACATCCCTCAGCCTCAGTTTGCCTGTCTGTAAAAGGGTCACAGTGTGCTTGTGCCCATTAACGAGGACTGTGAAATGCTTGGCATGAGGTAGATGATAACCAGATGGTGGCTGTGAGGATTGGCATGGAGCTGAGGGGGTCCTGATAGGGGCAGAATGAGGAATTCCGCCACCCATTCCCTTGGGAATATTGCAGGGAACCTGGAGCCGGACTGCTTGGATTCAAATCCCAGCTCCACCGCTTACCAGCTGTGTGGCCTTATGCAAGGCAGTTAACCACTCTGGGCCTCAGTTTTCTCATCTGTAAGCTGGGAGTAATAAGAGAGCTGGCCTCATGAGGTTGACAAGCATTAAATGTGTTAACACATATGGCACTTGCTAATGAATTTACATGAGCCTTAGCTAGTATCGTTAGGATTACTAGTATTATTATTAGTCTACGGAGGCCCAGAGAGGTTGCTTCCCTTCCTGGGAGCCACCAGGGCCTTGGGGAAAAGAATGATGAGAAGCAGATGCTTTTTGGGGCCCTGCATCTGAGCCGGTGCGCTTTCCCCCTTCTGCTGTAGCTGATACGGGTCAGTCCAGAGCAGGCCTTTGAGGATGGCCAAAGTGCCTTTACCAGCCACACAGCCCTCCTGAGTCCTGAAGCAGCCCTGACCCAGCCAGAAAAGAGTCACGGGGAGCTCTGATCTAAGAAGTATTCACATGGCGCCACTATGAATGCACTCAGCAGGCTTCTGGGAGCCCAGGTTTATGAGTATCCGCAGGGGTCACTGAGCTAGCTGCACGGTTAGAGGCCACTCACTCTCTCCTTCAGTTGGGCATCTCTCCATAAAAATGTGTCATGCATTGGGAGGCCGAGGCGGGCGGATCACCTGAGGTCAGGAGTTCGAGACCAGCCTGCCCAACATGGTGAAACCCCATCTCTACTAAACATACAAAAATTAGCCGGGCTTTGTGGCGGACACCTGTAATTCCAGCTACTTGGGAGGCTGAGGCAGGAGAATCACTTGAACCTGGGAGGCGGCTCTTGCAGTGAGCCAAGATCACGCCACTGCACTCCAGCCTGGGCAACAAGAGTGAAACTCCATCTCAAAAAAAAAAAAAAAAAAAAAAAAGTATCCTGTATTGATCTCATGCCAAGTCTGGGGAGAATGAGAATCTGCTGGGTGTCACGGGTGGGTTTCCAAAGTAAGCTGGGTGGGGAGGGAGCATCTGGGGTTGCTTCCTGTGTGACCCTGGGCAGCTGGCTCCACTTCTCTTAGCATTTCCTGTCTGCACATTGTTCAGATGGGCCACTGTGTCATTGGTGGTGAGAAACGGCAGCCCTTGACCTGTGCGCTGGCTTCTGCCTAGACTCTTTGCCTTTAGAAGTTTTGCAGGAGATAGGCCGGGTGCGGTGGCTCACACCTGTAATCCCAGCACTTTGGGAGGATGAGGCGGGCAGATCACGAGGTCAGGAGATCAAGACCATCCTGGCTAACATGGTGAAACCCCGTCTCTACTAAAAATACAAAAAATTAGCCGGGCGTGGTGGCAGGTGCCTGTATTCCCAGCTACTCAGGAGGCTGAGGCAGGAGAATGGTGTGAACCTGGGAGGCGGAGCTTGCAGTGAGCCAAGATCACGCCACTGCACTCCAGCCTGGGTGACAGAGCGAGATTCCATCTCAAAAAAAAAAAAAAAAAGTTTGCAGGAGATAACTGAGGCTGCCACTCATCTTTATGCAGACCCCACTTTTGAGAATAATAATGTTATCTGTAGTAAAACAAAAATAGGGCTGGACACGGTGGCTCACATCTGTAATCCCAGCACTTTGGGAGGCCAAGGCAGGCGGATCACTTGAGGTCAGGATTTTGAGACCAGCCTGGCCAACGTGGCAAAACCCTATCTCTACTAAAAATAGAAAAATTAGCTAGGCATGGTGGTGCATGCCTATAGTCCTAGCTACTTGGGAGGCTGAGGCAGGAGAATTGCTTGAACCTGGGAGGCAGAGGTTGCAGTGAGCCAAGATTGTGCTATTGTACTACAGCCTGGGAGACAGAGGGAGACTCTGTCTCAACAAAAAAACAAAAAACAAACCCCACAAAAAACAAAAATAACAAGTGAGTATTAACTCTGTCCTAGGCTCTGTGCTCATCATTTTCCTATGTACTTTTTTTTTTATTTGTTATTTTTGGTATTGTTCTGTCACCCAGGCTGGGGTCCAGTGGCGCTATCACAGCTCACTGCAACTTCCATTTCCCAGGCTCAAGTGATTCTCTCTCCTCAGCCTTCTGAGTAGCTGGGACCAAAGGAATGCGCCACCATGTCCAGCTAATTAAAAAATTTTTTTGTAGAGACAGGATCTTGGTATGTTGCCCTGGCTAGTCTTGAACTCCTAGTCTCAAGTGATTCTTCCGCCTCAGCCTCCCAAAGTGCTGGGATTAAAGGTCTGAGCCACCATGCCCTACCCCTATACATTGTTGTATTTGATTCTTGTGACTCCATTTTACAGGTGAGGAAACTGAGTTTTGGAGAAGGAGTCACTTGCCCAGGACCATACTACTGGGAATGGGGAATGTGGATCCATGTAGCCTGACTCCAGCCACCATGCTCTGAATCACTCCTGTTGGTGCCCTTCTGGTGGTGAAGCAGGATGGGCAGAGCCGAAAAATCCTAGTGTTAGATCCTGTTCCCACATGTTGATGCTGTGTGGCTTTGCACGAGTGATTTCACCTCCCTGAGCCTCAGTTCTTCTGCAGAAAGAAGATGACAAAATTTCTTCCATGAGGTCATTGTAAGATTAGATACAGCAACCATTTATAAAGTCTCTGGCACATAGTAGGCTCTTAAAAAAAAAAAAAAAAAGGGAGACCTCGGCTGGGGACGGTGGCTCACACCTGTAATGTGTGTGAGCACATTGCAAGGCTGAGACAGACAGATCACCTGAGGTCAGGAATTCGAGACCAGCCTGGCCAATGTGGTGAAACCCTGTCTCTACTAAAAATACAAAAATTAGCCAGGCATGGTGGCGTACACTTGTAATACCAGCTACTCGGGAGGTTGAAGCGAGAAAATCGCTTGAACCCGGGAGGCTGAGGTTGCAGTGAACTGAGATCACGCCAGTGCACGCCAGCCTGGGTGACAAGAATGAAACTCCGTTTAAAAAAAAAAAACGGGAGACCTCCCCCATAAAAAGATGAGCTTAGACCAGGCGCAGTAGCTCACACCTGTAATCCCAGCACTTTGGGAGGCCAAGGCAGACAGATCACGAGGTCAGGAGTTCAAGACCAGCCTGGCCAACATGGTGAAACCCTGTCTTTGCTAAAAATACAAAAAAATTAGCCGGGCATGGTGGCGACACCTGTAATCCCAGCTACTCGGGAGGCTGAGGCGGGAGAATCGCTTGAACCCGCGAGGTGGAGGTTGCAGTGAGCCAAGATTGTGCCATTGCACTCCAGCTTGGGCAACAAGAGTGAAACTCCATCTCAAAAAAAAAAAAAAAAAAAAAGAAAAGGATGAGCTTAAGGTTTTAAAAAATGTGTGTAAGTTGTCCCAAAGAATTATTTTATAAATCATAATGTAAATCTTCCTTGCTTGTTGTAGTAGCAGAAATAGCAACAATGGCAGTAATAAAAAGTAAAAACTAACACTGATTCACTGCTTCTTATAGGCCAGTTCCTCTGACATAGATTTTGTGTGTTTATAGGATCCTCATAACAACCTATGAAGAAAAATGGTAGTGTTATTCCCATTTTATAGATGAGGAAACTGGGGCTCCAAGAGGTGAAACGCCTTGCTTCGCAGCTAGTGGCAGGCAGGGAGGACTAGAGCTTTGTTATTAATACACGAGAATCTCATTCCAGTGTAATACCCCTGCCTGTTGGAGAAACAGCTGTATTTTCACAGGCCCCAGGTCAGGGCTGAGGCTCCCAGCTGACTTTGTGTTGATAGTTCTTTCCTTTTTGTTTTGCTTCCTCAGGGAGGAAAGCCTCTTCTGGGGAGTCCTGTTTACCGATGGCTTAGCGAGCACTGCCGAGGGAAGGAAATTTTGGGTCTGTAGGGCCTCCCTGCAGAAGGGGAGCCCAGCGGGTGCATTGGGTGCACCGAGGTCACTGTACACTCACACCACCTGGCCTGTCTGGACTTGAAGCCTGGGTTTTGGCAGGCACTGCCCGCTCAGCCTTGCCCAGTGCCCTGGGCAGGGCTGGGGAGTGGCTTGGTTAGGGAACTCCCAGTGCCCTTTGGCCTGGGAAGCTGCCCAAGTTTGTCTTTCCCTTTCATTTTAGGCCCCAGCACTGGAAAGTGCTTGTCTTTGTTTCTAGAATGCTTGCTCACCTGCATACCTGGGACTGTGCTTATCAAGTGAAGAGGTTCTAGGCAATGAGAGAGAATATAGAATGTATTAAAATGAGTCCTGGGCTGGGCATGGTGGCTCATGCCTGTAATCTTAGTGCTTTGGGAGGCCGAGGTGGAAGGATTGCTTGAGCCCAGGAGTTTGAGACCAGCCTGGGCAACAGAGTGAGACCCTGTCTCTACAAAAAATTTAAAAAATTAACCAGGCGTGATGGTGCACACACCTGTAGTCTCAACTGCTCGGGAGGCTGAGGCATGAGGATAGCTTGAGCCAGGGAGGTTGAGGCTGCAGTGAGCTGTGATTGTGCCACTGCACTCCAGCCTGGGTGACAGAGCAAGAGCCTGTCACAAATGAATGAACGAATGAATGAATGGGTTCTAGGCCTGAAGTCAGGCCTCCTGAGTTTTAGTCCAGCTTCTGTGCTGTGTGTTCTTGAGTATACCCCCTCCCCTCTCTGGACCTTTTTTTTACAGGAGGACAAGGAACTGGATAGGTAGATTCTAGAGCCTCTTATTTCTGCCATACATTCTGGGAAGAATTAAAACCAGCCTTTTAAAAGACAGGGCCTAGAAAAATCACAATTTGCTGACAGGGCCTACTGTGTGCCAAGTCCCTTGTTAGGGAGGTACTGTTAGGTGCCTTCTTGTCAAATCCTCGGAATGACTCAGGCAGTTGGTATTACCAACCCCCTTTACAGTTGAGGAAACGGAGGCTCAGAAAGATAAAGCCCTCCTCAATGTCATAAGCTTGGGGTAAGAGGCTGCAGAGCCTGTATTTGAACTCAGGTCTTCCTCCTGCAAAGCTCTGACTCCATCAGAAATACCTTCTCTCCCATCGGAAGTTCCAGTGCTGTGTGTCCTTTCTTCTCTTGGGATAGTTGATCATTTTCATCTTTGTTATTTGTTGAGCATCTACTGTTTACCAAGGCCTGCACTGGGCCTTGGGCCTCAGAGCTGCCTGGGGCCTGGCCTCCGCCCTCAAGGAGGACAGAGAAGAGGAGGCAGAGAGCAGCAGGCCTAGGGCTCTGATCCCAGCCTCGGCCCCATTGTCCCCCAGCCTTGAAGCAAAACCGTTTCCCTTGACACACTTAAGACTTGGATGAGGGCCGGGCGCGGTGGCTCACACCTGTAATCCCAGCACTCTGGGAGGCCAAGGTGGGCGGATCATGAGGTCAGGAGATCGAGACCATCCTGGCTAACACGGTGAAACCCTGTCTCTACTAAAAAATACAAAAATTTAGCCGGGCGTGGTGGCGGGTGCCTGTAGTCCCAGCTACTCGGGAGGCTGAGGCAGGAGAATGGCGTGAACCCAGGAGGCGGAGCTTGCAGTGAACCGAGATCATGCCACTGCACTCCAGCCTGGGCGACAGAGTGAGACTCTGTCTCAAAAGAAAAGAAAAAAAGACTTGGATGAGACAGGACGCTTTGGCAACCAGTAGACCACCTTCTTCTTGGAGAGGCGAGGTGCCTGGTTACTGTCAGATTTAACTCGAGAAAGGCAGTGGTAATGCTTCCAAGTCCTGCCTTGATGCAGATGTCTTAATCACAGCCCCTCTGCCTTCCTGTCCTTTAATTCATTAAAAGGTAGGGAAGGGGGGCGGCGGGGCAGGGGAGAAGGCAGCAAAAAGCATGGAGGAATTTTTGGAATGCCCAGAATGCTGGCTGACCTAGCAGAGCAGGTGTGAGCCATCTTCCCTGGCTTTGGTTGGAGTCTGTTGGGCATGCCTGGAGGCTCTCTGGGTGCCATCCAGTTCTTGTCCCTGAGGCCTGAGTCACCCCGGGAAGGTGGCTGTGCTGTGAATCCAGCTGCAGCCTATAGTAGAAGACGCCACCTGGGTCCGGAGCCATGCAGCCCGCAGTCATGTCCTGGCTCTGTTTTCTCCCCAGCCATGGGAATGGTTTCCTGTATCCACCCCAGCATCCACACCCATGGAATGGGGGTGCTGATCTCTGTCTTTCAGCCTGGCTGGGAGCTCTTAGCAGGGTCACACGGTGGACACTGGGACAAATGGAGTGTCCGTGCGATTCTATCTGGGTGGGTGGTGATGTTAAGTAAAGCCCCCACTGTGTGCATGGAGCTGTCTGGAGTACTGAGACATTCCCAGACTTTTATTGATTACATAATCTTATCCTTTGGGGGACCCGCCTGCTTACTTGGCTTCCCCTCCACACCATGCATGTGTTGGGCATGAGATGACTCTCTTTTTATTTTCCAAATTGATAATTTTTATGCTCTTTTTGTCCTTATTATGCAGCAATACATTTTTATTGTTTTATTGTTTTGTTTTGTGTTGTGTTGTTTTGTTTTGTTGAGACAGGGCCTTGCCCTGTCACCCAGGTAGGAGTGCAGTGGTGCAGTCATGGCTCACTGCAGCCTTGACCTCCCAGGCTCAGGCGATTCTCCCACGTCAACCTCCTGAGTAGCTGGGACTACAGGTGTGTGCCACCATGCCGGCTAATTTTTAAAATTTTTTTGCAGAGACAGAATCTCCCATTGTTGCCTAGGTTGGTCTTGAACTCCTGGACTCAAGTGATCTGCCCACCTCAGCCTCCCAAAGTGCTGGCACTACAGGTGTGAGCCACCGTGCCCGGCCTCGTTTTTGTTGTTGAACATTTCAAAATGTAGTTGTCCCTTGGTATACTCAGGGGATTGGTTCCAGATCTCCCTCAGATACCGAAATCTGAGCAAGCTCAAGTCCTGTATATAAAATGGTGTAGTATTTGCATATAACCTACGCATATCTTCTCAAATACTTTAAATCATCTCTAGATTACTTATGATACCTAATCCAATGTAAGTGTTAGGTAAGGAGATGTTACACTGTATTGTTTATGGAATAATGACAAAAAAAAACCTCTGTACATGTTCATTACAGACACAACCATCCATTTTTTAAAAACAATATTTTTCATCCGAGCTTGGTTGAATCCTTGGATGTGAAACCGACAGATACTGAGGGCTGCCTGTACAGATAAATAAAAAGGAGATAAAATCCATAATCCCACATTCTAAAGATAACTGGTGCTAATATTCTGGGCTGTGATTTAGACTTTTCATCACACTCTGCATACATACATATTGATTGAGATTTCAGCTCCGTGTCTTGGGGCACATGTAGAATGTGGGCTTTATACTGAGGCGGCTTATATTCCACCCTGGCTCTGTAACCGCTTGGCTTTGTGACCGTAGGGAGATCACTACCCAGTATGAACTTCAGCTTCTGCTCTGTAAAACTGGGTTGCTATGAGGATTAAATGAGTGAAGGTCTGTGCACTGTTTAGAGAGGGGCCCCTTCTATGGATGCTGTAATTGATAAGTAGTGGATTTAGACAACAGGCTTCAGAGAAGACCCCCTCCGCCAGGCACAGCCGAGGTGGGAACTGCTCAGAACGGGGCTTGGGCCAGGGAGTTTGACTCACACAAAGCACTCTGGGCAAACTCTCAAACCAGTCCTGATCTTTATCACTCCGGGATGCTTCCTGTCCCTGCTGAGGCCTGGGCATTGTCCAAGTTAAAGCCACCGGACAGTCCCAGCAGGCTGGGAGGTGGCCCCTGTAAAATGAGCTCACCAAGAACCCTTCCACCTCCCCCGCTGACTTCAGCAGTGGCTTCTGGAGGACAGGCTCGAGACACCAGGGGAGAAGGACAAGGTCGGCCCACTACCTCCAAGAAGGTCTGAAAGCCATGATGTCACCTGGACACTGCAGGATCCCAGAAGGCCAGAGAGAGGAAAGGGCTGGGGGAGCCATAGGGCAGGGCAGGTCATGGAGCCTGGTTTTCAGAGGGGAGTTTGGGGTTGGAGACATCTGTAGGGAAGTGAAGCTGTGCTGTACTAGTTCTGTGACCTTGAACCAATACATTATACAACCTGGGCCATCCTTGGTTTCCGTCTCTATAAAATGAGGCTAATGGTAGGGCTTACCTAATAGGGTAGATGTGCCTTTATCATGTAAAGGCTCCTAGCACAGCCAGGCACATCGTCAGTGCCTCTTCCTCCTTCTCATCATCATCATCATCTAGTACAGGGGTCCAATCTTTCGGCTTCCCTGGGCCACACTGGAAGAAGAAAAATTGTCTTGGGCCACACATAAAGTACACTAACACTATCAATAGTTGATGAGCTAAAAAAAAAAACAAAACAAAACTCATAACATTTTAAGAAAGTTTATGAATTTGTGTTGGGCTCATTTAAAGCTGTCCTGCAGCCCGAGGGCCATGGTTTAGACAAGCTTGATCTAGTATATTTATAACAGCACCAACAATGCAGACTGAGCCAGACCCTGTGCTAAGCACTTGCTATGCACTATCTCACTCAATCATCGTAATCAACTGTAGCTGCTGTAATTTATTTATTATTTACTTATTTTGAGACAGAGTCTCACTCTTGTTGCCCAGGCTGGAGTGCAATGGTGTGATATTGGCTCACTGTATCCTCTGCCTCCCGGATTCAAGTGATTCTCCTGCTTCAGCCTCCCGAGTAATGGGATTACAGGCACGTGCCACCATGCCCAGCTAATTTTGTATTTTTAGTAGAGACGGGGTTTCACCATGTTGGTCAGGCTGGTCTTGAACTCCTGACCTCAGGTGATCCACCTGCCTTGGCCTCCCAAAGTGCTGGGATTACAGGTGTGAGCCACCACGCCTAGCCAGCTGCTGTCATTGATACTACTATCTAGCTGTCTGATTCCACATGGGAAGTGATCAATGAAGGACAGCCATAGTGGTTATTCCTATTTTTGCTGGTACTACCCAGAGCTGTCCATGTGAGACATAGCTCCCTTGCCAACCGAATATCCACAAATTTGGGCATCTACCCCTTGTGTAGAAGTGAGTCTTCTCCTGGGGCTGTTCTTGAGAAAAGCTCCTTGTTTTTCTTGTTCATGACACCTCAATGCCATGCCAGGTTGCCTTTAGTTTATGATGCTCTGAGCCCTGTTTCTCTGTTTTAGTTTCCCTGAAGGATGGCTGCTAAATCTTGGGGTTATCCCCTGGGGTCCCCCAGTGTGAATGTTGTACCCACAACATGGTACATTCCCAGTGTCTCTCAAATTTGGGGGTGATCCATCTGGCTGCTGTGGGATGTGGTACTGAATTTGCACCCAGAAATTGGTATTTTTTTGGGGGGGTCGTGGATCATGAAGGAAAGAGTTTGGCTTGTAGGTAGAGGGTTGGGGGGTTACCTGGGCTTCCCCTGGGCTGTGGCCTGAGTGCTTCCTCAAACAGGCTGGAATTCTTAACGTGCCACAGTTTCCAGAGAGGTTTCTTTAGCAGTGCTTCCAAAGGGAGCATGAACTTGGGGGTTTCATGTTCCAGGGTGTGTCTAGTGGGAGGGGACTGAGGGAGGGTAGGTGCCTGGAACAGGCTAGGGTCCCAGCTGGTGACTCAGTTTCCCTTCTACCTGGTCAGGGCTTTGAAGTCCAAGATCATGCTAGAGAGAGATGGGAATCTTTAAACATAACTTTCTGTGGTGTTTATTCCTAAAACCATATAGGATCATTGCAGAACATGAAGGAAAAATGGGTAGGTAGGCAGGCAGACCAACATTATGCAAAATGTTATCACCCAGACAGATATATTACAGTGGTTAACAACAACTAAAATATTGATCATAAACATGGTTAATGGTTATTGAGCACTTGCTACATGTTTTATATGGTTTACCTTATTTCACTGCTCAGAAAACAGTGCTCATGAGAGATCTGCATTCAGGACCCTGTGCTCATAAGCATATGGTCAGAACTACCCATTCAGTCTTCTGTCTACCGTATAGCTGCTTTCCATCCATTCTTCCATCCATTCCTCCATTTTGTATTCATCCATCCACCTACCCATTCATCCACTCATGCATGCACGCATGCATGCATCCATCCATCCATCCATATATGCATCCATCCATATATGCATCCATGCATCCATGTGTGTATTCATCTATCATTTCATTCATCTTTCCTTCCATCCACATACCTGTACTTTCTTCCTTCTTTCCATCTACTACCTTCCATTCCATCCACTTATTCTTTATTTCTTTCTTTCCCTCCCTCCTTCCCTCCCTCCCTTCCTTCCTTCCTTCCAGCTCTTTCTTTCATCCATCCATCCATCTCATCTAACAATATTTGTTAAGTACCTACTCTGTGCCAGGCACTGTTCTGGGCACCAAGGATGCAGCAGGGTTCAGTGCCTTCGTAGTCCTGACATTCTAGTGGGGAGAAGCAGGCACAAAAGTCCGTTCATAAACCAGAACTTCAGATAATGATTAAGAGCGATGGTGAAAATAAAAGAAGGTAATGTGGAAGACGGTGTCTGCTTTCGATGGGGTGGCTAGGGGAGGGCTCTGGGAGGAAGTGACCTATGTGCTGAGACCTGAAGGAGACAAAGGGGCCATCTGAAGAGCCCACGGGGAGAGTGTTGTAGGTAGCAGGACCGGCAAGTGCAAAGGCCCCCAGGCAGGAGCAAGCTGGGCATTGTGCTGGAAGACCTGAAGGCACAGGGAGCAAGGGGGAGAGGTTCAGGGGGCCAGGCTAGTGCAGGGCAATGTGGGGTTCATTTTAACTGCAGTTGCCCTTCATGGCAGGACTCGGTTTGGGCTTTTAAAAAACCCTGACTGCTGAAAAGGGAATGGACTTGTGCTCAGGGGCAGAAGTGGAGGCCCGGAGGCCAGTGAGGAAGCTACATCTGTGCAGGTGGGGAGGGTGGTGGCACACAGGAAAGGACAGTCCTCCCCATGACCCGCCCATTCCCTGCTCTCGCTCCTCTCAGTACAGACCCCAAACTGCATATGATGGTTTTTTTTTTTTTTTTTTTTTTTTTTTGAGACGGAGTCTCGCTGTGTTGCCCAGGCTGGAGTGCAATGGCGTGATCTCGGCTCACTGCAACCTCCACCTCCCGGTTCAAGCAATTCTGCCTCAGCCTCCCAAGTAGCTGGGATACAGGCATGTGCCACCATGCCCGGCTAATTTTTTTGTATTTTTAATAGAGACAGGATTGTCTCTACTAGGCCAAGCTGGTCTCTAAGTCCTGACCTCAAGTGACCTGCCTGCCTCGGCCTCCCAAAGTGCTAGGATTACAGGCATGAGCCACCATGCCTGGTTATTGCATATAATTATTTATATATTTGTTTATCTAATAATATCTGTCTCTACTATGGAAATATGAAGCTCCAGGAGGGCAGGGACTTTGCTCCCTGCCATGTCCCAAGTACAGTTTCTGGCACATAGTAGGGACACTTAATAAATATTTGTCAAATGAATGACTAATAAGGTCCTCCCAAAAATCTGGGTGAAAATAATAATGATGCTGAATAATAGTGATGACTGTATATTAATAATAATAGTAGCAAGCCGGTGCTGAATGTGCCGTGTAGACCCGGGCCTGGCTCTGCCCACCCTCTGCCCAGCTGCACCTCCTTTGGTGGTTTGCACAACGGGACTTTCACCAGCTCTGGGAGGCCCTGTCACCTGGCAGGCCCTCAGCAAATGATTGGCTGATTTGCAGGCTCTGCTCCCTTTCAGGAAAGGATTTATCAGCCGGACTTGGGTCTGGGTGGGGCAGGTTTGGGTGAGGCCTCTCAGCTGCGTGGGAGATAGAACTTCTGGGTAAGCTGAGGACTGAAGTTCAGGTTTCCAGCCTGACTTTTCCCAGCCTTGTGACATTGGGCAGGTCTCACCCCCTCCATGAGCTTTAGTGTGTGATGTGATGATGGTGACAGGTACCAATGCTACCGTTTGTTAACCCATTAGGACATGCCAGGTACTGTGTTAGGTCCTTTAGTTCTCATGGTGACACCATGAGGCAGGAACTATTCTTATTTCCAGATGAGGAAAGTGAGGTGGAGAGAGCTTAAGTCATTAGCCCATGGTCAGTCGGCTAGGAGGTGGTGGAGCTGGGATTTGAACCTAGGTAAAGCTAATGCATGAGCTCCGTGTTTAAACTCCAAACTCCAGTCATTCTTGTATCACTTCGGGATTTTCTTGATATGTGTATACCACCTGGGCTGTTTTTCAAACATTTTTCTTGAACTCTTCTGTCTTTTCCAGTACAGCCTTATTGAGATATAATTCACTTATCATCCAGCTCACCTCTTTTTTTTTTTTTTTTTTTTTTTTGAGACGGGTGTCTTGCTCTGTTGCCCAGGCTGGAGTGTAATGGCGTGATCTCGGCTCACTGCAACCTCAACTTTCCGGCTTCAAGCAATTCTCCTGTCTCAGCCTCCCGAGTAGCTGGGACTACAAGTGCACGCCATCCTCGCCTGGCTAATTTTTGTATTTTTAGTAGAGGTGGAGTTTCACCACACTGGTCAGGCTGGTCTCAAACTCCTGACTTCAGGTGATCCATCCGCCTCGGCCTCCCAAAGTGCTGGGATTACAGGCGTGAGCCACCACATCCAGCCCAGCCCAGCTCACCTCTTTAAAGTGCACAGTTCAGTGGTTTTTAGTATATTCATAGATATGTGCAACTCTCAACCATGACTGATTTTGGAACATTTTCATCACCTCCAAAAGGAAACCCCATACCCATTAGTGGTGCCCCTTCACCAGTTTCCTCCTCGGCCTTACACAGCCACTAATCTACTTTCTCTATGGATTTGCCCGTTCTGGACATTTCATGTAAATTAGATCATACAATATGTGACCTTTTGTGACTGGCATATTTAACTTAGCAGAATGTTTTTGAGGTCATTCATGTCATAACAAGTATCAGTGATTCTTTTTTTTTTTTTCAGTTTTTTTTTCAAGACAGCATCCCACTGTGTCACCCAGGCTTGAGTGCAGTGGTGCAATCCTAGCTCACTGCACCTTCGACCTCCTGGGCTCAAGCAAGCCTCCTGCTTCAGCCTCCTAAGTAGCTGGGGTGCAGGTGTGTGCCACCATGCCTGGCTAATTTTTTTGATTTTCAGTAGAGATGGAGTTTCGCTCTGTTGCTCAGGCTTCTGAGTTCAAGTGCTGAAATTACAGCTGTGAGCCACTGCGCCTGGCTGTGACCAGTGCTTATTGCTGTCACCTATGTGCTGTACCCATGCACATATTGAAATATATGAAATTGCCATTTTCGTAGGTCAAGAATGGCAGATACCAGAATTTCATAGGGTTCAACCTCAGGAGGATCCCATCAGACAGGCAGTATTGATCTCTTTTTCCAGATGAGAAAACTGAGGCTCAGAGAGGGAATTGACTCCACCAAGGAAATATAGCCAAGGATGGTGCAGAGCGGGGGATCCAAATTCCCTGCCAATTTCATTCTATTCCCCTGGCCTCCCTTTGCACTTGGGGATGCTGCTGACTCACCAGCAGGAGATGAGAGCTTTGGTTAATTTGTCCAGCAGCAGAGATGGGTTTCCCCGCACCATCCACACTCCCCGCCACTATTCAGCGTGGGCTTCCCGTGTGGCTACTGTATGCCTTGTGGGAAGAGGCGGGCATTGGGGTGGGACTGGGAACCGAGTGAGTTTGTGGATTTCTGGTCTCTAGGGCCTCAGACAGCCTGGTCTTCCCACTCCCCACCCGTAGCCAGCGACTGCAGGCGCTTGGCCCTGCTGCAGCTGGGAACACTGAGCCGGGCACATCCCCCTGGGAAGGATTGCTCCACATTCGGCAGTTCCCTGTTTATGGAGCAAGACAGCAGAACCCCCAGGGGTGGGCATTGGATCCCAGCCCTAACAAGGCTGTCTGGATGTTCCTGCCTTTCTTTTGGAAGCTTTCCTTTTTAGAGAGGGAACAAAAGGCTTAGAGAGGATGAATATTTTGCTCAAGGTCATTCAGCCAGCCAGGAGCTGAGCAGGGACACAAATGCTAGGATTTTGCTTCCCAGTTCCTGTTTCTTTCCATCTGAGATCCCTCTCTGCCTACCCCCACCCTTCCTGGGACCCCCTGTTGTTGTGTTGGGGGCAGCATGGGGGTCTGTCCATGTTGGGGTGCGGAAGCCCAGGAGCTGTCTGGGTGAGGCTCGAACACCCACTGGCCACCTGCCAGACTTGGACACTCCCACCTGTGACGCAGAGAGCCCACCGGGCTGGTCGCGACATGAAGATGCTTTCAGCACCCAGCACCCCTGTGGGTGGAGGAACAGGTTTGGGCCCTTTCCCTGCCTGCTCCCCACATGCTGGGGCCCACCCCTAGCTGAGCCCATGGGGGACCTACCTCTGGCTGGGCCTGAGACTGCAGGAGTCTCGTGCAAGAGACGCACTGCCAGGTTGGGGTGCTTGGGCTGGGAAATGCAAGGGTGGAAACTCTGGCTTCCCGGGGACCTGCCAGTCATGAGTGGGACCTGCCAGTCAGGATTCGGACCATGTTATTGGGTCGGGGAGGATAGAGCAAAGCAGGTAGGCTCCCCTGTCCTGTAAGCCTGGGTTTGAGTCCTCTGCTTCACCACTTGCTGCCTGTGAAACGCAGGGGAAGTTCAATCCTCAGTTTCCCTGTCTGTGCAATGGGAACGATATTAATAGTAGAACCATCTCAGAGAGCTGTCATGAGGATTGACCGAGAGGCTGCCTGTGAAGTTCTGAGCCCAGTGCCGGGCATGTTGTCGGCAGCTGTTATTATGATTACTGTCAATGTGCTAATTATACTCACGTTTCCACGATCAGCATCAAACATATCCCTGTGTGTTTACTGGTGACCTTGCAACCTCGGAATTGTGTTTCTTTGAAAAAAGGGAAACTGACAGCGCAATGGAGGCAGGAGATGGATAATGTGACCCTTTAAAGGCCCTTTGTGTCCAGGACTTTTGGATAAAATGTTTGGCCCATGCCTGTTACCATGCGCTGTTGTCTGCTCCCCCAGAGCCTTGATAAACCGGGCTGGAGGCCTGGGTGAGGCTCAGCAGGGATGGTAGGAGGCTTCTTACCCCACAGCTGCCTCCTGGTAGCAGCTGCCAGGTCTGGCCTCATAGAGCCTGTGAGTCCAAACAGAAAGGCCTGAATGTGTCTGAGACCCTCTAACTCTGATTAGCTCAGGAATCCACCTCCCCCAGCCCACCCTGGGGCTCCAAAGGGCCCCACGGGTCTGATGTGCTGACACGCCAGGATCTTGGACTGGCTTCTCGCCCTTAGATTCCCAGGGTTGGGGGTTGAGGGGCAGGGCCTGCTGAAGCCTAGAGAGGGCAGGGCCTTGGCCTACGTCACCCTGCAAGTGGAGACAGAGGTTTTTTGGCTCTGGGCTCTGGGCAGGGACATTTTATTTATTGCTGAGTTGGCCTCTGTCCTCACAGTTTAATTTCTCAGCTTCCCCACATTCGGCACCGTAGTCCTTATTCCATACTCATAAGTGGCTTCTTGTCTTAAACAAACCAAACCAAAACGCTAAAAATGTCCCTGGACCTGCATAGCTTCTTGTGAGTGTCTTTCAGAACCTCAGGGCTCCAGCAGGGTGTGGAGCAGGAAATGATCATGGCCACCACCACCGTAATCATAGCAGTTAACGTATTGAACACATGCTGTGAACTGGGCACTCTGCTAGTCACTTTATACTGGTTAACTCCTTTCATCCCCGCAACAGCCCCAGGAGGCAGGTGATAGGGTTTGGCTCTGTGTCCCCACCCAGATCTCATCTTGAATTGTACTCCTATAATTCCCATGTGTTGTGAGAGGGACCTGGTGGGAGATAATTTGAATCACGGGGGCGGTTTTCCCCATGCTGTTCTTTTGGTAGTGATTAAGTCTCACGAGATCTGATGGTTTTATCAGGTGTTTCTGCTTTTGCCTCTTCCTCATTTTTCTCTTGCTGCTGCCATGTAAGAAGTGCCTTTTGCCTCCTGCCATGACTCTGAGGCCTCCCTAGCCATATGGAACTGTAAATCCAATTAAACCTCTTTTTCTTCCCAGTCTTAGGTATGTCTTTATCAGCAGCATGAAAATGGACTCGTACACCAGGCATTATTACTTTTATACCCATTTTGCAGATGAGGAAACTGAGGCACAGAAGCAAAGTAACTTCAAGGCTACCTAGCTAGCATGTCATAGAACTAGGTTTTGAACTCAGGCAGCTGGATCCCATGCCTGTGCCCTGGTGCCTGACTTGTTTTAAAAACCCCACTTTTAAAAATTGTGAAATATGGATACAGTTTACCATCTTAATCTTTTGTTTTGTTTTGTTTTGTTTTGTTTTGAGAGTCTCACTCTGTCACCCAGGCTGGAATGCAGTGGTGCAATCTTGGCTCACTACAGCCTCCGCCTCCTGGGTTCAAGAGATTCTCCTGCTTCAGCCTCCTGAATAGCTGGGACTACAGGCATGCACCACCATGCCCAGCTAATTTTTGTATTTTTAGTAGAGACGGGGTTTTCACCATGTCGGCCAGGCTGGTCTCAAACTCCTGACCTCAGGTGATGCTCCTGCCTTGGCCTCCCACAGTGCTGGGATTATAGGCATGAGCCACCACACCCAGCCAATCATCTTAATCATTTTTTTTTTTTTTTGAGACAGAGTCTTGCTCTGTTGCCCAGGCTGGAGTGCAGTGGTGCGATCTTGCCTCACTGCAACCTCTGCCTCCAAGGTTCAAGCGATTCTCCTGCCCCAGCCTCCTGAGTAGCTGGGATTACAGGCGCACATCACCATGCCTGGCTAATTTTTGTATTTTTTTTTTTTTTTTTTTTTTTTAGTAGAGATGGGATTTCGCCATGTTTGGCCAGGCTGGTCTTGAACTCCTGACCTCAGGTGATCTGCCTGCCTCGGCCTCCCAATGTGCTGGGATTAGAGGTGTGAGCCACCATGCCCGGGCAACCATCTTAATAATTTATTTTATTTATTTATTTATTTATTTATTTTTTTTTGAGACGGAGTCTCGCTGTTTTGCCCAGGCCGGACTGCAGTGCGGCTATCTCAGCTCACTGCAAGCTCCACCTCCCAGGTTCATGCCATTCTCCTGCCTCAGCCTCCCAAGTAGCTGGGACTACAGACACCTGCCACCGCGCCCGGCTAATTTTTTGTATTTTTAGTAGAGACAGGGTTTCACTGTGTTAGCCAAGATGGTCTCGATCTCCTGACCTTGTGATCCGCCCGCCTCGGCCTCCCAAAGTGCTGGGATTACAGGCGTGAGCCACCGCGCCCGGCCAATAATTTTTAAGTTTACTCCCGTTTGGTGGCATAAGTACATTCACATTGTTGTGCAACTGTTACCACCATCTATCTCCAGAACTCTCTCCGTCCTCCCAGACTGAAACTCTTCTACTCATGAACAACGCCCCATCCCATGCCGCCTCCCCACAACCCCTGGCAACCACTGTTTTATTTTCTTTCTCTATGAATTTGACTACTTTAGGCATCTGATACAAGTGAACCATACAGTATTTGGCCTTTTGTGATTGCATATTTTGCTTAGCAAAATGTCTTCAAGTTCACCTGTGTTGTAGCATGTAAGAATTCCCTTCTCTTTTTTTTTTTTTTCTTGAGACTGTGTCTTGCTCTGTTGCCAGGCTGGAGTGCAGTGGTGCGATCTTAGCTCACTGCAACCTCCACTTCCCAGGTTCAAGCAATTCTCCTGCCTCAGCCTCCTGAATAGCTGAAGAATTCCCTTCTTTTTAAAGGCTGGATGGATAATATTCCATTGTATGGCTAGACCACATTGTTTATTCATTCATTCATCAGTGGATGCTTGACTTGTTTCCACGTTTTAGCTAGTATGAATAAAATGCTGTAAAAATATCAGTTCAAGTCCCTACGTTCAGTTTCTTTGATTTTTTTTTTTTTTTTTTTGAGACGGCGTCTTGCTCTGTCGCCCAGGCTAGGGTACAGTGGCACAATCTTGGCTTACTGCAACCTCCACCTCCCGGATTCAAGCAATTCTCCTGCCTTAGCCTCCTGGGTAGCTGGGATTACAGGCACCCGCCACCACACCAGGCAAATTTTTGTATTTTTAGTAGAGACGGGGTTTCTCCATCTTGGCCAGGCTGATCTCGAACTCCTAACCTCCTGATCCACCCGCCTTGGCCTCCCATAGTGCTAGGATTACAGGCATGAGCCACCGCACCCAGCCCAGTTTCTTTGATTTTATACCCAGAAGTGGAATTGCTGGATGACATGCTAATCCTGTTTTTAACGTTTTAAGAAACAACCATATCATCTTCCACAGTGGCTACACTATTTTATATTCATACCAACAGTGCACAAGTGTTCCAATTTATTCACATCCTTGCCAACACTTGTTGTTATTATTATTTTTTTTTTTTTGAGATGGAGTCTTGCTCTTGTCACCCAGGCTGAAGTGCAGTGGCATGATCTCAGCTCACTGCAACCTCCACCTCCGGAGTTCAAGTGATTCTCCTGCCTCAGCCTCCTGAGTAGCTGGGATTACAGGCATGCGCCATCATGCCTGGATGATTTTTGTATTTTTAGTAGAGACGGGCTTTCACCATGTTGGCCAGGCTGGTCTCAAACTCCTGACCTCAGGTGATCTGCCTGCCTTGGCCTCCCAAAGTGCTGAGATTACAGGCATGAGCCACCATGCCCGGCCAACACTTGTTATTTTCTGTGTGTGTGTGTGTGTGTGTGTGTGTTTTTACTGTATCTATTCTTATGGGTGTGGCTGGCACATTATTTAATTTGTGGGGGATTTGTAGGCTCTGTATTTGTTGGGCCTCTGTGTCTATGTGAGCTGAGGTGCCGGGCAGGGGCTGGTTCCTGTTAGAATGTCGGTCACATCCTGCTGTGTTTTCTGGAAATACTTTGTTCTCCCTCACTGGACTGTGAACTTTCTGAGGATGTACCCTGGTGCCCCCAAGGAGAGCTGGCCTGGGTGAGATGCTGAAGAAATACTTAAGAACCCACTTCTCACTGACCCGGGGCACACCCTGGTGTGTGTCTTTGGTGGGAGAAAGGCTGGAGCCCCGCATCGCATTCTTCCAGGGTGCTCTATACTTCCTAGGGAAGAAGAAGCCCCTGAGTGCCTGAGACATGACTCTTAGCCCTGGATGCTCAGGAGAAACTCCCTGGGGAGCTTCAGAAAAATACAGATGCTGGGGCCACCATCTAGAGACTCAGGCTCAGCTGGTCTGAAGCAGGACCCTTGGGGATCTGTATTCAAAAGGAAAACTCGGCCAGGTGCCTGGCTCATGCCTGTAATCCCAGCGCTTTGGGAGGCCAAGGCGGGAAGATTGCTTGAGCCAGGAGTTCAAGATCAGCCTGGGCAACGTGACGAGACCCCATCTCTACAAAAAATAGAAAAATTAGCTGGGTGTGATGGCATGCTCCTCTAGTTCCAGCTACTTGGGAGACCAAGGTGGAGGACTGCTTGAGCCTGGGAGGTTGAAGCTGCAGCGAGCTGTGATTGCACCACTGCACTCCAGCGTGGGTGACACAGCAAAACTCTGTCTAACATAAAAGGAAAACTCCCCAGGTGATTCTTATGGCACCTGGCCTGGGAGGCATAACCATATATTACTGGATGCTGCCTGAATTACCTGAGGAGAGACATGTGTATATGTGTACATCATGGATAAAGTAAGTGAATGAATGAACAAATGAGTGTAGAGTCCCCCAAGCTCTGTCATCCACGCACCACTTGAGTGATGTTTCCACATCTTTTTACTTCTTATGTTATTATTCCTCTAATTATCTAAAACCACCCCCACCTCATTGTACTCAAATAATTCTATGTATTATTACTGTCAATTGATAACACCAGCGATGCTGGTTATAAGTAGATTACTTAAGAAATACAGGCAAAGGAAATCAAACAGTGTCATCAAGTTCCCACTAAATAAATGCCGCTTTCACTGCAGGTTTTTGGGCTAGAAGTGGCCTTACTCTCTCTTTGCTAAAAAGCGTGATTAGCAAGTGTCGCGGAAGTGTTAAAGACAGGCTGGCACCTCATGGAGACCTTCTCCTGGCTGGAATCACTTTTCTTCCGTGAGTCAGTGCTATTTAATGTCCATTCTCTGGACTGTGTGCCTCCCACACTCATCAATGCAGAGCTAGGGAATGAGGGTGTGTGAGGCAGGAGCCAGGTGGGTGCAGGGTTGTGGGTCTGCATGGGTGAGGGCCTGTTTCTTGAGCGGCCTTTGCTGGTCACTGGCATTTGCCCTGTGGGTGCTGGGGTAACTTGAGTCTAGGGCATCCCTTGCCCCACAGCAGCCCCAGAACCTCAGGAGGACCCAAGAGGCTTTTATCTCCAGGGTCACTGAGCTGGGATGGTCCCTGCCAAGGTCGTGGTGTTGGCTGGGCACAGATCCCAGAGGGCACAGGCCTGGAAGTTGGGAATTGGGAGGGAGAGGGAGCTTCTCCTGCCGGACCCAAGTCCTTGCAGGATGAGTGCCAGCGTCTTGGCTCCTTGAATCACTCATAGGGAGGCCAGTGGCCTGGGTGCTGGTTTCCCTGGCCTGCTTCAACCTGCTGTGTGACCTTGGATGAGTCCCTTGGCCTTTCTGAGCTTCCTTCCAGGCATCTGTTGAATTCATTTGGAAAGTACTCCTCTGACACCTGCTGTGGGCCAGGCTCTGTGCTGGGGGCTACAGGGAACCCTGCAGCTGAGATCCCTTCTCTCTTGGGGTCTGTGGGCTGGAGGGAGAGGCAGACCTGGCAGGAGGGAGAAAGAAGACCAGGATGCTTTGAAGAAAATGGGGGATGAACTTTAGCTGAGCTTCGGCTTGTGCTTTTCTGAGTGCACCTTAACAAATTATCACAATCTGGGTGGTTTCAAAACAACAGCACTGTGTTTTCCGACTTTCTTGAGGCTAATAGTGTCCTCAGAGCCACACTGCTTCAAAGGCTGTAAAAGAGAATCCCTCCTTTCTTCTTCAGCTTCCAGTGGCTTCCGGCAATTGTTGGCGTTTTTTGGCTTCTAGCTGTATGTCTGTGTGTTCTTTTTTTATAAGGACACTAGTCATTGGATTAGGGTCCACCCTAATGCAGAGTGACCTCATTCAGACCTAACTAATTACATCTACAAGGACCCTATTTCCAAAGAAGGTCGCATTCTGAGATTACAGGTGGACCTGAATTTTGGGGAGACAGTTTTTCTCCCATTACACTGAAGAAGGGCCATTAAAGCTCAGACTTAAAGGATGTGTGTATGGTGGGGGGGCGGGGGTGGTTCAAGGTGCGGTTGTTTGAAGCAGAGGGAACAGCTTGCGCTAGGGCTTTCTGGCAGGAGTGCGGCACAGAGGCCTGTGTGACTGTGCGGTGGGGGCTGAAGCTGGGGGTCTGGGGGCCTGGGGTATGGGGCCATGGAAAGGTGTTTGGAATTTTTTTTTTTTTTTTTTTTTGAGACAGAGTTTCACTCTTGTTGCCCAGGCTGGAGTGCAATGGTGCGATCTCGGCTCACCACAACCTCCGCCTCCTGGATTCAAGCAATTCTCCTGCCTCAGCCTCCCAAGTAGCTGGGATTACAGGCATGCACCACCACGCCCAGCTAACTTTGTGTTTTTAGTAGAGATGGGGTGTCTCCATGTTGGTCAGGCTGGTCTCGAACTCCCGACCTCAGGTGATCTGCCCGCCTCGGCCTCCCAAAGTGCTAGGATTACAGGTGTGAGCAACCGCGCCTGGCCGGTGTTTGGATTTAACTCTAAATGCCTCTCAGGGGCTTAAGCAGGGACATTATGTGGTTGCATTCCCTTTTGGAAGAAAGTCACTTAATTAGGAAGGGGCATGACAGTGACTGAGGGTACATGCCTTAAGGGTTACCCCCAAGCACACTGACATCCCTCCAGTGTTCTAAGCCTCAAATCCTTTGCAGATAGGTAGGGCAGTACTTTTATCTCTTGAGGAAATGCAGGCCCAGAGAGGTTAAGCAGTTTTCTTAGGGTCACACAGCTAGGGGAAAGAAAGCTCAAGGCCTCAGCTAACATCTTCAGTCTTGTAAGTTCTCAACACACCTGGAGGCAAAGGACCATCCTCAAATATAGCTGGGTGTCCAGGGCACGGGAAATAGCCCAGGACAGGGAGCACTGATTTTACACCTGTTGGTGAAGGTAATGCATCATCTGCCCAGTCAAGAGACGGTTTAGCTACTGGGCAAGGGATGAGGCAGCTTCAGCAACTTAATAAGCGTGGAATTAATTCCCTTATATGTGTGAGCTGCTGTGAGTCTTCCCATTCAGGACAAAGCTCAGGAGCAGAGGAGAAAAAGCAGGTAAAACTTTGGGAGGCCGAGGTGGGCGGATCATGAGGTCGGGAGATTGAGACCATCCTGGTCAACATGGTGAAACCCCATCTCTACTAAAAATGCAAAAAAATTAGATGGGCTTGGCGGCATGTGCCTGCAACCCCAGCTACTCGGGAAGCTGAGGCAGGAGAATTGCGTGAACCCTGGAGGCGGAGGTTGCGGTGAGCCGAGATCGTGTCATTGCACTCCAGCCTGGCGACAGAGCTAGACTACGTCTCAAAAAAAAAAAAAAAAAAAAAAAAAGCAGGCAAACAGCAATAAACGCTGACCTGTGTCCACCAAGGAGCATGTTGGAGGGTTGTTATAGTATCCTAGGCCCCGGGCCCAGATGAAATGGCAGGATAATTCCAACTGTTCCAGAAGCACGGAGCTGCTGTCTCTCTGATTTTTTGGATATATATTCATGTGGAAAAGAGCTTTCTTCTTATTGGGAAGTAAAAATATATCTCTATTCAGATAAAACATCTCTATTCACATTCCAAACTGGGAACATATCAATTTTCCCACACTGGGATTTAAAACGTAAATTAGGTGCTGTCTCCGAGGTATTGAGGATGCTAATATCCTCCTAAGAGATGGGCTTGTTGGCTGGATCTGAAATTCCCTGTGGAGTGAAAGGCCGTTATTTCCTGCTGTGTTTTGTTTCTTTCTTTTTTTTTTTTCGAGACAGAGTCTCGCTCTGTCACCCAGGCTGGAGTGCAGTGGTGCGATCTCGGCTCACTGCAAGCTCCGCCTCCCGGGTTCACGCCATTCTCCTGCCTCAGCCTCCCGAGTAGCTGGGACTACAGGCGCCCGCCACCGCGCCCGGCTAATTTTTTGTATTTTTAGTAAAGATGGGGTTTCACCGGGTTAGCCAGGATGGTCTCGATCTCCTGAGCTCATTATCCGCCCACCTCGGCCTCCCAAAGTGCTGGGATTACAGGCGTGAGCCAGCGCGCCTAGCCTTTCTGTCTCTTGTTTCTTTAGTTCCCTCTTTGTCTCAGCGCCTTTTGAGGGAGGAAGAGAGGGAGGGAGAGGGGGAGAGAGAGAGAGAGTGTGTGAGTGTGTGTGTGTATGTGTGTGTGTGTGTGTGTGTATGGTGAGGGGAGAGAGAGAGAGAGAGAAACAGAATGAGAGGGAGGAACTACTCTGTTCTCCAACACCAGGAGAAACCTCTCCCTCTGGAATAGCCCCTTCCCATTGAGGATTTTTCTCCAACTGTGTTTTGCGAGGGTTGTGGGGTAACCCTTCGGGAGGAAGCTGAGTCAGTAAGTGCCGATGCTGTCTCCTGACTGCTGGGTTGGGACTTGTGTGCGTGTGTGTGTTATGGGGGATGGGGACGTGTGAAAGACAGGAGTTAAATTTGGTCCCGGATCTGAACATGGGTTTCCTTCCTCTCCTAGTGAAAGGACTTATCTCAGATGAATCACGTCCTCTCTTTAGAGTTCTGGGCTCATGGAATGTCAAGGCCAGTCTGGCGCTCTTGGAGAGGTGCCTGCCCAAGGGATGTCAGATTCTGGTTTGTGACTCTGGAGGGGCGTTTGGCCACCCTAAGGGATGACGCTTGTGGCTTCAACCAGAGCATCTTCCCTATGTAGTCAGTCTTCCCTCGGTATCTGTGGGAGACTGGGTTACGGGATACCAAAATCCCCAGAAGCTCAAATCCCTGATATAAAATGGTGTAGTATTTGCATGTAACCTATACATATCCTCCCAGATGCTTTAAATCAGCTCAAGATTAATTATGATAGTTAATACAATGTAGATACCATGTAAGTAGTTACTATCTACATTGTTTATGGAATATGACAAGAAAAAAAAACTCTGTACCTGTTCAATACTGATGCAACCATCCTTATTTTTTTCCTGAATATTTTCAATCAGTGATTAATTGAATCCATAGATGTAGAACCCATGGATACAGAGAACTGCCTATTCATTTCATTCACCCACCCAACCACCCACCCACCCATCCACCCACCCACCCATCCACCCACCCATCCACCCATCCACCCACCCATCCATCCATCCATCCACCCACCCACCCATCCATCCATCCATCCATCACAAGCTTGATGCACAGCTCTATGCTGGGGGCAGGGCCTCATGGTAATTATCCACCATTTGTTATCTGATCATCTGTCAAGGCCCTGACCCCTTTCAGGCACTAGGGAGCATCCATAGAAATGAAGGACAAAGCCCCTTGCCCTCTGGAGGTCACAGCCTAAAGCAGGGGTCGGCCAGCTTCTCCTGTAGAGGACCAGATAGTAAATATTTTCAGCTTTGCAGGCCATAAGACCTCTGTCACACCTGCTGACCTCCGCCGTTTACTGCACAAGCAGCCCAGACAGGATGTAAACAAGTGGGTGTGGCTGTGGTTTGACTGCAATCACAACTTATGTATAGACACACACATTTGATTTTTATATGATTTTTCATGTGTCATGAAATACTGTTCTTTTGATTTTTTTCCAATGATTTATTTATTATTATTATTATTTTTTTTTTTTTTTCTGAGACAGAGTCTCGCCCTGTTGCCCAGGCTAGAGTGTAGTGGTGCAAACTCGGCTCACTGCAAGCTCTGCCTCCCAGGTTCACGTCATTCTCCTGTCTCAGCCTCTGGAGTAGCTGGGACTACAGGCGCCTGCCACCATGCCCGGCTAATTTTTTGTATTTTTCAGTAGAGACGGGGTTTCACCGTGTTAGCCAGGATGTTCTCGATCTCCTGACCTCGTGATCCACCCGCCTCGGCCTCTCAAAGTGCTGGGATTACAGGTGTGAGCCACTGCGCCTGGCCTATTATTATTTTTTGAGATGGAGTCTCACTCTGTTGCCCAGTCTGGAGTGCCATGGTGTGATCATAGCTCACTGCAGCCTCAAACTCCTGGGCTCAAGTGACCTTCTTTCCTGCCTCAGCCTCCTGAGTAACTGAGACTACAGGCACATGCCACCACACCTGGCTAATTATTTTATTTTTTGTAGAGGTGGGGTCTTGCTGTATTGCCCAGCCTGGCCCTAAGCAATGCTCCCACCTCAACCTCCAGAGTAGCAGGGATTACAGGTGTGCACCACCAATCCTGGCTAAATGACAGCTAGTCTGATAGACTCCTGCTAGATTGGGCATATTATGTCTGCTTTGCAATTGAGGATACTGAGACATGGGGAAGGAGAATGACTTTCTGAAGTAGAACCTGGATTTGAGCCCAGCCTTGTAGTCTCTGACCCCTGTCATGTCTGCCTTCTCTCCACACATCTCCAGAGCTCTCTGCCCTGCAGGGGGTCCATCTGCAGCATCACAGGACTGTCAAGACTCCTGCCTGGGCGGGGCACGGTGGTTCACGCCTGTAATCCCAGCACTTTGGGAGGCCGAGGCGGGTGGATCACCTGAGGTCAAGAGTTCGAGACCAGCTTGGCTAACATGGTGAAACCCCGTTTCTACTAAAAATATATTTTAAAAATAGCTGTGTGTTATGGCGTGCATCTGTAATCCCAGCTACTTGGGAGGCTGAGGCAGGAGAATCACTTGAATCTGGGAGTTGGAGGTTGCAGTGAGCCGAGATCGCGCCATTGCACTCCAGCTTGGGCAACAAGAGTGAAACTCCATCTCAAAAAAAAAAAAAAAAAGACTCCTGCCTGGATCTCAGCCCCCCAAACTGGGAGCACTTGTTATTTTTAGGGTATCTCTATTCTGACCCCCGCTCAGTGGGAAGGATTCCCATTTTTGCTTCATATGATCCTTTGGGTAGAAAATCACTATTTATGTTAGTTCTTCAAAAATGGGTTTGGGGCTGGGTGTGGTGGTCATGCCTGTAATCCTAACACTTTGGGAGACTGAGGTGGATGGATCACTTGAGGTCAGGAGTTCAAGACCAGCCACATGGTGAAACCCCATCTCTACTAAAAAATACAAAAATTAGCCAGGCATGGTGGCTAGTGCCTGTAATCCCAGCTACTTGGGAGGCTGAGGCAAGAGAATCTCTTGAACCTGGGAAGTGAAGATTGCTATGAGACAAGATGACACCACTGCACTCCAGCCTGGGTGAAAGAGCGAGACTCCATCTCAAAAAAAAAAAAAAAAAAAATGGGTTTGGGTGGTTTATCTCATCTGAGAATTGTGGTCCGGTGTCAGACCCAAAGATGGGGAGGGAATGGGGCAGGGAGCTACTGAACACCAGGTACTGTGCTGGAGTTTTCAGTGTCCATCTGGGTTTGGTATCTTCCCCATCTCACAGTTGGAAAAACTGAGGCTCAAAGAGGAGCACTGACTTGTCCAAGGTCATGCAACTAGTGATTATGGAGCTGGGATTGGAATCCAGGTCTCTGACTCCCTGTACTTTGTGCTGGTGTTGAACTCCCAGGCCCAGTACACTCACCACTTCTTCGTGGAGGGAGTTTTGAATCAATCTTTTTTCAAGGTCCCTTTGGTTCTGGTTTCCCCTGGTTTCATGTCGAGGGTGAGTAGGAAGGGGTGTTCATTGTCTTCCTCTCACCCTTGTGTTCAAAGCCACATTGTCCCTTCTCTTGGTCCCCACTGTCACTGAATTCATCTTGGCCACCCCGTCTCCCACCTGGAGGATGGCAGGAGTATCCTGCCCCAGCTCCAGGCTTCCACCTTTGCCATTTAGTTTATTCCCCACTGGGTGCCTGGTGTGCTTGCAGGGGGGTCACAGCCCTGCTGACAGCCTCCTCTTCATTGAGGTCTCAGCTCACATGGCACCTCCTCAGAGAGCCCTCCCCATCCCCTCATCTAGAGTTGCTGCCCCTCCACCCTGACTTCTTATAACCCTTGCTCTATCGCCTTCATAGCCCTGGTCAACTCTGAGCTCAGTCTCTTCACTGCTGTAACAAGGGAGCTAGGGCTGCATGGTCTCTAAGATGAAAATTCTGAACTCCTAAGCCCTGGGAATTTAGGGCTGGTCAGGGCTCAGGGGGGATGCACTGGCCCAAGGCAAGAGTGTGGGAGGAGGGCTGACCCTGAGCCACAGGAAAGGGAGAGTCCCTGGGTGGGGAAGAAACTATTTGGGATGAGTTCCCAAAGCTTAGCAAGAGCTCAAGAGCCCCTTTCCCCACCACTCCCCAAGAAAACACGCACTATTGTCTTAGCTGCAATTTTGGTGCCGGGAGGGTGTGCGGGGTGAATGTCCGCCCGGCAAAGGGACTTCTGCCAAAGGGACTCTTGTTTATTTGAGATTTGAACAAAAAAAGGCTGTCCTCTTAAAACCACAGCCCCAGAAACCTTGTTGGGTTTTGGGATCAAGGCAGAAGATGGTAGAGAGCTTTTTCTAGCTCTTTGTTAAACATTAAAAACATATTCTTTTGATAGAACATTATGAGCACCAGACGGCAGGAAAAGGAATATTCAGAAGCCCATCATCATTGGGGAAGCACAATGAAATTTTGGCAAGGTGATTTATTTTTTATTTTTTTATTTTTTTAGACAGAGTCTTGCTCTTGTCACCCAGGCTGGAGTGAGTTGGTGTGATCTCAGCTCGCTGCAACCTCTGCCTCCCGAGTTCAAGTGATTCTCCTGCCTCAGCCTCCCAAGTAGCTGGGATTACAGGCACCCGCCATCATCCCTGGCTAATTTTTTTATTTTTAGTAGAGACAGGGTTTCACTCTGTTGGCCATGCTGGTCTCGAACTCATGACCTCAGGTAATCCGCCTGCCTCGGCCTCCAGAAGTGGTAGGATTAAAGGTGTGAGCCACCTTGCCTGGCCTGTTTACTGTCATGTGTGTTCCTCCCTACATGACTCAGTACCTCCAAACATACACATATATCTCACACCCACCCTACCTCCTGGAAACATGTTCCCTGGCCCCACACACACCATGCACACACCATGCTCACACACATGTGCCTGCCCAATGTGCGCCCACGCCAGCAGCAGCCCTGGGTGGTGGTATGAGGTTTGGGCTGCAGAACCACCACCTCCAACCCAGCGCTGACATGGACAGGCCACCTCTGGAGCGTCACCATGTGGGACACAGCAGGCACCTGCTCACGTCCTGGCCTTGCCCTTCCTTGAAGGGTGGAGCAACCATGGTCCTCTGGTGACCCTACCTTGCGGGTGGGCAGCTTCATGCTGGTCTTGGATTCCTGCCAGAGGCTGGAGGCCTGGTCTTCCCTCCTCATTTGTAGGAAGGGCTCAGGGCTCGGTGGGTAAGCCAGACACTGAGCTAGGTCCTTCTTGCCCAGCTGGGGAAACCGAGGCTCGGGTGCCACAGCGGAGGTCACAAGCCAGGACCAAAGGCTTCTGCTTGACCACACTGTCCCACCCCTGGCCCAGGGCTGGCCAAGCAGCTCCAGTCACCCAGGCCTTCTCTGAGGAAGGGACCCTTTCTTCTTTAATTTTATTTTTATTTTTTTGAGGAGTCTCACTCCGTTGTCCAGGCTGGAGTGCAGTAGCTTGATCTCAAGTCACTGCAACCTCCGCCTTCCGGGTTCAAGCGATTATCCTGCCTCAGCCTCCTGAGTAGCTGGGACTACAGGCACACACCACCATGCCCAGCTAATTTTTTTTGTATTTTTAGTAGAGACGGGGTTTCACCATGCTGGTCAGGCTGGTCACGAACTCCTGACTTCAAGTGATCCACCCACTTCGGCCTCCCAAAGTGCTGGGATTACAGGCATGAGCCACCATGCCCAGCCCCTTTCTTCCTTATTTTTAGGAATGTCCCCTCTTTTTCTCCCAGTCCAGCAGGGCAGATCAGCTTTGTGGCTCTGGAATTGACAAGATGAGTCACCTTGGACAGACAGTTCATCTCTTTAAGCCTCAGTTTCCTCCTTTCTTGTTTGTTTGTTTTTTTGAGACAGAGTCTTGCTTTGTCCCCAGGCTGGAGTGGCAGGATCTCGGCTCACTGCAAGCTGTACCTCTGGGGTTCAAGCGATTCTCCTGCCTCAGCCTCCCGAGTAGCTGGGACTACAGGCACGTGCCACCACGCCCGGCTAATTTTTTTTTTTTTTTTTTTAGTAGAGACAGGGTTTTACCGTGTTAGCCAGGATGGTCACGATCTCCTGACCTCGTGATCCGCCTGCCTCAGCCTCCCAAAGTGCTGGGATTGCAGGTGTGAGCCACTGTGCCTGGCCCAGTTTCCTCCTTTCTGACGTGGGGAGAATAATAATCCCCATAGTCACTGAGTAATTGCGAGGGATCATGGCCATAATCTCCATTCAGAGTTTATTTTAGAGCCGGGGATGAGTGTAAATAAGCGTGGCGTGTGTGCTTGTTTTCTTGTTTGAGTTGTTATTTCCTCTGGTGTGGGGAGGTTGGGGACTGGGCTTTGCTCTGTCCCCTCCGGTCTCTTCCCATCCCCTCCTTGGCACAGCCACATCAGCATTTTGGGCCTGGGACACCCCTCCTCCCATTTACAGAGCGGGCAGGACATGACTCATGCCTACACTGGCAGACACCGCCCTTGGCATAACTGGCTGCGCCTGAAGCTAATGTCCTAAGAGATTGTCTCTGGGGCTTAGGGATTTTCCTTCGGGTAATTGGGACGGAGGATGGAGTTTGGACCCTGTAGGAGCAGAGTTACCCTAAAGAGCTGGATTCCTTTAGGATGTCCATGCCTAGGGCTCTGGCAGGAGACAGGAGTCTTAACTTTCAGGGTTCACATGGTGACTGGTAGGCTCCGGGCTTTTACTGGGGGACAGGGTCTCAGATGGAGGGAATGTACTTACCGTGTGCCTGTAAAATTTTGTCTCTCTTTGCCATTCCTGACTTCTGTAAACATTGGATTTCTTCCCCTGCCTGACTGAACACTGGCCCTGTCTTGTTCACACCTGTATCTCTGGCTCCTAGTACAGTGCCTGGCACATAGTAGGAGACTGGTAAAAGTTTGATCAATAAATGAACAATGGCCAGGCGTGGTGGCTCACTCCTGTAATCCCAGCACTTTGGGAGGCTGAGGTGGGCGGATCACTTGAGGTCAGGAGTTCGAGACCAGCTTGGCCAACATGGTGAAACCCCCTCTCTACTAAAAATACAAAAATTAGGCGGGTGTGGTGGTGCATGCCTATAGTCCCAGCTACTCAGGAGACTGAGGCAGGAGAATTGCTTGAACCCGGGAGGCGGAGGTTGCAGTGAGCCAAGATCACGCCATTGCACTCCAGCCTAGGTGACAGAGCGAGACTCCGTCTCAAAAAAAAAAAAAAAAAAAAAAAAGACAATGCCAAGTGCTTTTTGATGTATATTCTTAGCAAATCTCTCAGCTACTATTCAAAGCAGATAGGTTTAACCCATCTGAGAGGTGGGGAAACTGAGGTTTGGGAAGTTAAGAAACTTACCCATGCTCATAGAGGTAGGATTTGAATTTGAGTCTGCGCACTGTGGACTACCAACCAAAGCTGTCTCCTGACTCAGACTCCCAGTTGCCAGGTGCTGATCTCGAAGCCGCCCTCTCTGCCTTTCCCTCTAATCTGCCTTGAAGCCAGCAGTTATCACCTGGATGCACCAGACGGAGGATGCTGACATGTGAGATGCTGTCCCCCCACCGGGAGTGGGAGACTCAGTGAGGCTCCTGGCAGGCAGGCGGTAACTCCACCCTCTCCCACTCAGGAAAGCAGGTTGGAGTGCTAGGGAGGCAGGGTGAGGAAGGTGATTCTGGGAGAGCCCCAGACACACTCTCATAGATGGCCTCAGAGTCCTGCAAGACCCTGTCCGTTGTCTTCTCTCCAAAGTCAGCCCATGATACTTCCCTTCACTCTACTCCAGCTGTGCAAGCAGAAATTTCTGTTCCTTCCATGCCCCAAGCTCTTTTCTGACTCTAGACCTCATGGCTTTCCCTTGGCCGGCTCCCTCTGACTGTAGGTCATTCAGCTGATAGGTCACCTCCTCCAGGAATCCTTCCTGATCACCCAATTTGTGCAGCCCAGCTGCTATTCACATCACAAACCCTGTTCCCATCACCTCCCTTGTCACATGCTACTGTCTTTGTCTTGGTGCATGGCTTATCCATTGCCTGTCTTTTCCACCTTCCACCTGCTCTAAACTCCACGTAAACAGGAAATTGTGAGTTTATCCACATTGCTCTATCACCAAACATGGAGTATGGCACATAATAGGTCAATATCATCTTTTGGAAAAATTGGAAAAAGAGCAACTTTTAAAAATTCAGCAAGTGCAGCCGGGTATGGTGGCTCTCGCTTGTAATCCCAGCACTTTGGGAGCCAAGGCAGTTGGATCACTTGAGGTCAGGAGTTCGAGACCAGCCTGGCCAACATGGTGAAACCCTGTCTCTGCTACAAATACAAAAAAATTAGCCGGGCATGGTAGAGGGCGCCTGTAATCCCAGCTACTCAGGAGACTGAGGCAGGAGAATCGCTTGAACCCAGCAGGTGGAGGTTGCAGTGAGCCAAGATCACGCCATTGCACTCCAACCTAGGCAACAAGAACAAAACTCCCGTCTCAGAAGAGAAAAAAAAAAATTCAGCAAGTGCAAGTGTTACAACCTCATCATCTTGGTAGTCAGTGGTTTGCTGACACATTTCAAAATGGGGTGTGTCTCCCCACTGTGTCACGACACCTTAGGAGGGAACTTGTTTTCCAAGCCAGTCCTTCTATTGTGAGTCAGTGATTCTAGGAAAGAGTGGTGTCATAGGTTGGGTTCCCCCAGAAGCAGAGCCTAAGTCAAGGGTGCAAAGGCAAGCAGTTTATTTGGGTGGCAGTGTACCATTAGGGTGAGATAAGGAGCAGGTTACCTTGGGGAACAGCTGGGGCTCAGCTGTGCTGGGGACCTCTGGGAGCCTATAGAACATGCCATTAAATTATCCGACTTGAGTGCTAGGTAGCTGGGGTATTTATCCCCCAGCAACAGAAAGTTATCCACTAGTGCTGAGAGGATTTGGGTGGAGTCCAACAGTGTTTGGTATGACAGAGTAGGCTCTTCCCAGGCACCCTGTGGTGCCTGGGGTGGCACACCTCTTGTGAGGACCTGGCTGGCTCCAGCAGGCAGAGGGCGACCGTGGCTCAGGTGAACCAGCGCATGAGGTCAGAGGCTCTGACAAAGGAGTGGCTTCCCTGTTCCTGCTTCTGCCTGAGATCCAGGGCTGTTTGCAGAAAGGCGACTCTTTAGGCATGTAAGGATCTCTGAGCCCAGAGAGGTCATTTTCTTGGGGTCCCCTTTTAAGAATGAACTGTATCATCGTCAGAGCTGTTGTATCCTGAGCACCTGCTGTATACACTTTCCAGGCCTCTTTGCTTCCTTGCATCTTTTGGGATGGAGTTGGGGCGAGGGGTCCACTCTATCCCCTTGGGATGGGAGACAAGGCCTGTTCCTCCTCCTGCTTTCCAGCCACGTTCCTGCATTTGTGCAGAAGCTGTGCAGCCTAACTCCAGGCTCCTGCCTCATCCCGTCTCTGTTTGTATGTTAGGTTTTTTTTTTTTTTTTTAATTTGAGACAGAATCTCGCTCTCTCACCCAGGCTGGAGTGCAGTGGCGCGATCTCAGCTCACTGCAAGCTCCGCCTCCCGGGTTCACGCCATTCTCCTGCCTCAGCCTCCTGAGTAGCTGGGACTACAAGTGCCCGCCACCATGCCTGGCTAATTTTTTGTATTTTTTTAGTAGAGACAGGGTTTCGCCATGTTAGCCAGGATGGTCTCGATCTCCTGACCTCGTGATCTGCCCACCTTGGCCTCCCAAAGTGCTGGGATTATAGGCGTGAGCCACTGCGCCCGGCCAAGGTTTTTTTTTTTTTTCTTGGCAGGGGCAGGGTCTCACTCTCGCCCAGGCTGGAGTGCAGTGGTGCAGTCATGACTCACTGCAGCCTCAACCTCCCTGGCTCAAGCGATCCTCCTACCTCAGCCTCCCTAGTAGTTGGGACTACAGGCAGGAGCTACCATGTCTGGCTAATCGTTTTTGTATTCTCTGTAGAGACTGGGTTTCGCCACGTTGCCCAGGATGGTCTCCAACTCCTGAGCTCAAGCAGTCCACTGCCTTGGCCTCCCAAAGTGCTGGGATTATAGGCATGAGCCACCATGCCCACCCCCAGTCTCTTTCAATGATTAATAATAATACGGTTATGAGGACAATTACTGATGTAGGTGTTGACCATTGGCATTATGCTAAGCACTTCATGTATGTGATCTCATTTAATCCTCACAAAAGCATGTGAAGTACCTACCCTTGCTTCCATTTTATAGATGAGGAAGATGAGGCTCAGAGAGGTAGAGTGAGTTGCCCAAGGTCACACAGCTAGTACAGATGGAGATGACTGGCTCTGGAAGTCCCTGTTCTGAACAGTTGTACAGAGGGATACAGACAAGGGGAGGAGACTGGGGGCACCCAGCTGCTACTCCTGCATGTCATCCCCTGACCACAGTGTCCTCTGAACTAACTGGTGATTATGCTGGATAAAATTGGCATCTGGGAGAAGTGAGGGCAGGTGGTGTTCATCTGAATGCAGGAGAGTGTAGAGTGTTTTCTCTAACAAGGCTAGGTAAGTCATCTTCAGGGGAGGGGCTTACAAGGACTCATTGGGGAAGCGACCCCTGTGTATGCAGGTGGCTATGCTAAGAGCTGGTGATAGAGCAGGGTGTCTCGGTGGAGGGCTCCCTCTCGGACTCAGAGGCACATTTTAGAGCTTCATTGCTGGTGGCTGAAAAGCACAGCTTAGGTCCTTCTGTGTATCTTATAGAGATGAAAGTAAAGGGCATCGGGAACCAGCGAGGAGACCCTCCCCACATGTGCACTCACACGAGCCTTATGGATTACACGTTTCCTTACAGCATGGCCCCTGGGTTGGCCACTGGAATTGCCATTCCTTTTCAGACTTAGCTTTGGGAGGCAGTGTGTCAGCCTGGAGTGCGGGCGAGTACTTGAAAGCCTTAAGTTCTGTCTTATGTTGGGTTCCCTAGAAGGAGAGCTTGAGATAGGAATTCTGTGAAAGTGATTGATTTGAGTTGTGACTCATGCATCCCCGAGAGAGGGAGACAGGATAATAGGGCAGGGGAGGGGACATTTGGCCTCAGTCTGATCCCCTGGGGCACTCTGAAGCCACAGAGTAAGTCCTGCCTTGGGGCAAGGGTAAGTAGCCCCTCGTGTCCCTTGGAAGCCAGTCATTGGCTGTGGGAGTGAGGGATTTACCAGGAGGGGTGGAGACTGTAGGGCAGCATGTTGGAGGACAGCCCTCCTGGAAAAGGGTGTAACTGTAAACTGAGCAGACAACTGTCATAGCAGCTGGGGGATGGGTGCCGCAGCAGGAAAGGGGATTTGGGGGAGGGGCAGATCCAACAGCATCTCCCATAGGTTGCAGTGCTAGATTCATCCTTAATTGGCTGTGTGACCTTAGGCAAGCCTCTCGGGGCCGAATTTTACCTTCTGTATGCCAGGGGCCTGCATAGAGTCACTGTGGGCTCCATCCCATTCTTACCCTCCATGCAGTGACTTATTTTCTCATGTAAACATTGATTTGCTTCAGCAAATGTTTATTGTGTACCCATCACATGCCAGGCAAGGATCTCTACGACAAAAAGGATCTCTGCCTTCAGGAAGCAAGGCAGACGAGTAACCAGGCATAAAACAGTGGGGTTGGTGTCACAAAGAAACAGAGAGTTCTGGGAACCAAAGCCTACCTGGGCTGGCTGCAGGGGTCTGGAAGGCTTCCTGGAAGAAGTGGTATCTAATTAGGGACCCATGCGCATTAGCTCTCACGAGTACTGATGTCACTCAGGAAAAAGAGAAGGCGACTGGCAGCTTTCTGCGGGTCTCTTTCCCATCCCAGGATGGAATTCTTCCAGATTTTGACTTCTCCCATGTCTTGCTTGAGAGGGGAAATTGCCGGTATGAAAAACAATCATGACAAAGCTGACATGTCGATGTCCGGGATAAGTGAGTTAGGAGCTGGGAGGGAAAGGGTGCTGGTATAGGGGTTGTTGGTGTTGAGAACGCATGGCTTGTGGGAGGCTGGTGGGGCTGGTGCCCTGGGTGAGGGGCAGGAGATGAGGTCTTAGTGGTAGACAAGAACAAATAATGCAAGGCTGTGGTGGTGAGGGGTGTGGACTTCATTTTGTGAGCACCTGGAGGCCACTCGAAGTTTGGGGTTTGCCTCCTTAAGCATAACATACATACAGGAAAGTACACACATCTTAGGTGTCAACTAGACACACGTTTACGTATGTATACAAGATGTAATCACGCATATCAAGATATAGAACATTCTCAGGTCCCAGAGAGCATCTTTATACCCCTTCCTAGTCACAGTCCCCAAAAGTAATTGCTGTTCTACCTTCCGTTACCCTAGAGCTCACTTCATATAAATTTTGCCTGAATTTCATACACATGCCGTTTTACAGAACAGTTTAGAATGCTGCTTGTTTTGCAAACCTTAATGCCTGTCGTATTTATCCATGTTTTCTTCTTGTTGCAGTACAAATATTCTTGACTTATAATGGGGATACGTCCTGATAAACCCATCATAAGTCAAAAGTATTGTCAAAGTTGCATTTAGGCCAGGTGTGGCAATATACACTTGTAATCTCAGCGCTTTGTGGGGCTGAGGCTGAAGGATCGCTTGAGCCCAGGAGTTTGAGACTAGCCTGAGCAACATGGTGAAACCCCATCTCTACAAAAAAATAAAACACAACAACAAAAAATTAGACGGGCATGGCAGCGGAGGCCTGTAGATCCGGCTACTTGGGAGGCTGAGGTGGGAGGATCACTTGAGCCAGGAGAACAGGGGTACAGTGAGCCATGACAGCACCACTGCACTCCAGCCTGGGTGACAAATTAAGACCCTGTCTCAAAAAAATAAAAGAAATTGCATTTGGGCCGGGCACGGTGGCTCACACCTGTAATCCCAGCACTTCGGGAGGCTGAGGCGGGCGGATCACGAGGTCAGGAGATCGAGACCATCCTGGCTAGCACAGTGAAACCCGTCTCTACTAAAAATACAAAAAAATTAGCTGGGCGTAGTGGCGGGGCCTGTAGTCCCAGCTACTAGGGAGGCTGAGGCAGGAGAATGGCATGAACCCAGGAGGCGGAGCTTGCAGTGAGCCAAGATCGCGCCACTGGACTCCAGCCTGGGCGACAGAGCGAGACTCTGTCTCAAAAAAAAAAAAAAAAAAGAAATTGCATTTAATACTCTCATAAATGATCACCTATTGTAAAGTTTAAAAACTGTAAGTGGAACCATCACAAATGAAACCATCCTATGTTGGGGACTATCTGCAGGTTTTTTTTTTTTATTGTTGTATTATATGCCATTATGTGAATATGCCACAATTTATGTATCAAATGTAGTGCTGATGGACATTTGAGTGGTTTCCAGGTTTTGACTATTATGGAGGAAACTGTTATGAGCATTCATATATAAATTTTTCATGGACCCAAGCATTCATTTCCACTGAGTAGATACCTAGGAGTGGAATTGCCGGCTCACAGGTTAGGTGTCGAGATTCAGCTTTTATAGGTCCTGCCAGTCTTCCAAAATGTTCGTGCCAATTTAAAAGCAGCTTTAGTTCCACATCCTTATCACCACTTGGTAATGCCAGTCTCTGTAATTTTAGCCATTGTGGTAGATGCGTAGTAGTACAGTATTTTATAATCAATATAGTGTATAGTATACAGAGAGAGAGAGAGAGCACAATAGGGTCTTGCTCTGTCACCTAGGCTGGAGTGCACTGGCGCAATCATGGTTCACTGCAGCCTCAACCTCCTGGGCTCAATTCACCCACCTCAGCCTCCTGGGTAGCTGGGACTACAGGTATGCACCACTATGCCTGGCTAACTTTTCAATTTTTTGCAAAGACAGGGTCTCATCATATGGTTCAGACTGGTCTCAAACTTCTCGGCTCAAGTGATCCTCTCTCAGCCTCCTAAAGTGCTGGGATTATAGGCGTGAGCCATTATGCCTGGCCTGGAGTAGTATGGTATCTCATTTATGTGCTTTGGTTTTGTTTGTTTGTTTTCTGAGACGGAGTCTCACTCTGTTGCCTAGGCTGGAGTGCAGTGGTGCGATCTCAGTTCACCGTAACCTCCACTTCCCAGGTTCAAGCTATTCTCCGGCTTCAGCCTCCCAAGTAGCTGGGACTACAGGCATGCACCACTATGCCTGGCTAACTGTTCAGTTTTTTGCAAAGACAGGGTCTCATCATATTGTTCAGACTGGTCTCAAACTTCTGGGCTCAAGCGATCCTCTCTCAGCCTCCCAAAGTGCTGGGATTATAGGCGTGAGCCATTAAGCCTGGCCTTGAGTAGTATGGTATTTCATTTATGTGCTTTGTTTGTTTGTTTTTTGAGACGGATTCTCTGTTGCCTAGGCTGGAGTGCAGTGGTGTGATCTCAGTTCAGTGTAACCTCTGCCTCCCAGGTTCAAGCTATTCTCCTGCCTTAGCCTCCCAAGTAGCTGGGTCTATAGGTGCCTGCCACCACGCCCAGCTAATTTTTTGTATTTTAGTAGAGATGGGGTTTCACCGTGTTAGCCAGGATGATGTCGATCTCCTGACCTCGTGATCCACCTGCCTCGGCCTCCCAAAATGCTGGGATTACAGGTGTGAGCCACTGCTCCTCGCCTGTTTTTTTTTTTTTTTTTTTTTTTTTTTGAGACGGAGTCTCGCTCTGTCGCCCAGGCTGGAGTGCAGTGGCGGGATCTCGGCTCACTGCAAGCTCCGCCTCCCGGGTTCACGCCATTCTCCTGCCTCAGCCTCCCAAGTAGCTGGGACTACAGGCGCGCGCCACTACGCCCGGCTAATTTTTTGTATTTTTAGTAGAGACGGGGTTTCACCGTTTTAGCCGGGATGGTCTCGATCTCCTGACCTCGTGATCCGCCCGCCTCGGCCTCCCAAAGTGCTGGGATTACAGGCGTGAGCCACCGCGCCCGGCCTTTTTTTTTTTTTTTTTTAAATGTAGCTTTCGATGTTGTTGTTGTTGTTTTGAGACACGTCTGGCCCAGGCTGGAGTTCAGTGGCGCAGTCTTGGCTCACTGCAACCTCTGCCTCCTGGGTTCAAACTATTCTCATGCCTCAGCCTCCCAAGTAGCTGAGATTACAGGTGCATGCCACCATGCCTGGATAATTTTTGTATATTTAGTAGAGTTGGGGTTTCATCATGTTGGCCGGGCTGGTCTTGAACTCCTGGCCTCAAGTGAATCCGCCTGCCTCGGCCTCCGGAAGTGCAAGGATTACAGGAATGAGCCACTGCACCTGGCTTTTTTTTTTTTGAACAGAGACAGGTTCTTGCCATGTTTTCCAGGCTGGTCATGAACTGGCCTCAAGCAATTCTCCTGCCTCGGCATACCAAAGTGCTGGGATTATAGGCATGAGCCAGACCCTCATTGTATTTTTGTGTTTTCCCGATGACCAGTGAAGTTGAACTTTTTTTTCATGTGCTTATTGGTCACGTGGAGATTTTTTTCTGTGTATGTGTGTAAAGTAACCATTCGAGTCTTTTGTGCTTAAAAAAAAAAGAAATACAAAACTGAGTTGTCTTTTTTCTTATTGATTTATAGTTCTTTATATATTCTGAATAGAGTGCTTTGTAAAATGTGTGTATGTGTATGTATGTGTATATATACGTGTGTATATATGTGTGTATGTGTATGTATGTGTATATATGTATGTGTGTGTATATGTGTGTGTGTGTGTATGTGTGTGTATATATATGCATGTGTATGTGTGTGCATGTGTATATACATATTTTTAATTCCAGTCTATGATTTGCTTATATCATTCTTAATGGTGTCTTCTAATGAACAGAAATTTTCTTTAAGATCAATCTATTCCATGTTTTCCTCTAGAAACTTTGTGAAAAATTTTCACTGAAAGCTTTTTATGTAGGGGATGAAATGTTTACAGTGGCATTTTGGAAAGTTGATGCCTGCCCCAATGTGGACCAGGCCAAGGGGGAGGCTGATAGAGTCCTCCAGGCAGGAGAAGGTGGTGGTCTGGACTGGGGTGGGGGAGATTGGCCCCAGGGGTAGATGCAGGGAAGTGGGGGATGTGGAGATAGATTCAGAGGCAGATTGAATAGGATTAGAGTGGGACATGATCTCTCAGAATCCTTTAGGGCACTTTCTATTTTAAAAAATGCTAACTCACGAGTCCCTGGACCAGACCATCTTGCCAGGCTTGTCCAGCCTTTCTCCCACACTGGGCAGGCCTGAGTGCCTGTTGGTTTTCAGATGATACCTGCTGTGTGGTCCTGTTGGCCCATAACACAGGATTCCTGTAGCTGGGAGAACCTGCATTTATAGCATCCTTGGGCTAAAGCAATTTCTACATTATGTAAATAAGTATATATTTTTATGTTATATAAATATATGATATAAAATATATAATCATGTATGAGTCCACACATTTATATACATATACAGACATACATATATATACATACACATATTGCATCAGGAATCAGGAACTCCAAGTTCTAGTGGTAATTCTGACTGGCAAGTGTCCCACCTCTGGTTAGGAAAAACACTTCTCGAAACCCTTTCCCATTGTCCTGCCCTAAAAAACGAGCAGGCTTGCCTTATTTTTGGACTTAGCATTTGTCATGGAGGTGCTGTGGTTTAATGATCCAGGAAAAAAACCACTTTGGAGTTTTTGCTCCTGGTAACCATTGGTAACCAGTGGGTAGGGGAAGCTGAGCATGTTCAGCTGTTTCAGGTTAGGCTCCCCCAGAAGCAGGCCCAGAGACAAGGATGGGAACATGAATGGCTTTTTGGGGAGCTGACTCTGGCAGCACTGTTTGATCAGAGTGGAAAGTGAGACAGGGAAGGCAGGAAGCTATATACAATGTTAACAAAACCACACACCTCAGGCTTCCTCCCCAGAGGAAGGAGGGAGCTGGGGTGTTGATACATCAACTTCCTTTAGTCTTTGGTGGAGGGCTGCTCTGGGGCATTAATGGGCTGCATTTCTGACCTGAGTTGCTCCCACAGCCAAAAACCAAGCCTTTAGCCAGAAAAACTGCAGATGTCCTCAGGCCACCTTCTGCATCTAGAGGTGAAAACTGCAGATGTTCTTAGACCACTTTCTGCATCTAGAGGTGAATGCTGAGGGCACAGGGCTGGGCACCAGTGGTGGCTGCTGAACCCTCCCTGAGAAACACTTGGATGCTGTGACATTTGTATATTTGGAAATTCAGTCCATTGAACTTTGTGTTTTAACTTCGTGGCTTTTTTTTTTTTAAAGACAGGATCTCACTCTGTTACCCAGGCTGGAGTGCAGTGATGCAATCTCAGCTAGGTGCAACTGCCTCTTCCTGGGATCAAACAATTCTCCAGCCTCAGCCTCCCAAGTAGTTGGGACTACAGGCACAAGCCCCCAGTGCCCAGCTAATTTTTGTAGAGATGGGATTTTGCCATGTTGCCCAGGCTGGTCTCGAACTCCTGAGCTCAAAGTGATCCATCCGCCTCGGCCTCCCAAAGTGCTGGGATTACAGGCATGAGCCAATGCCCCTGGCCTCTTTGGCATTTGTTTTAAACTTTTTTTTCCCTCTTATTACAAACACATTCATTTATCAGAAGGCAACACAGTAAAGGAATCAAGAGAGTGGGCTTCATGGTCTTAGTGTCTCTGAGCCTCAATTTCCTCATCTGTAAAATGGGAGTAAAATACTACCTGCCTCCGAGGTTGCTGGGAAAAACCATTTTTTGTTTGTGAAGCATTTCATATAGAAACTGGCTATACATCCAAACACAAATACTTATCTTGTTATTATTACATAAAACTTACAACTACACAAAAAAGATTAAAATTAGCCATAGCCTTATCTCCTTTCACTTGGAGAGATTTTTTTTTTTTTTTTTTTTTTTTTTTTTGAGACGGAGTCTTGCTCTGTCGCCCAGGCTGGAGTGCAGTGGAACAATCTCAGTTCACTGCAAGCTCCACCTCCGGGGTTCACGCCATTCTCCTGCCTTGGCCTCCTGAGCAGCTGGGACTACAGGCACCTGCCACTACGCCTGGCTAATTTTTTTGTATTTTTAGTAGAGACGGGGTTTCACTGTGTTAGCCAGGATGGTCTTGATCTCCTAACCTCATGATCCACCCACCTCGGCCTCCCAAAGTGCTGGGATTACAGGCGTGAACCACTGCGCCCGGCCCACTTGGAGATAATTTTTGTAAACATTTTCACATGTGTTTCTCTAATACTTTCTCTCAGTATCCATACATTCAAATTTATATACCCATCCATGTGCATCTATATCAAATAGAAAATAGGATTTTTTTTTTTTTTTGAGCCCTGTCACCTGGGCTGGAGTATAGTGGTGAGATCTTGGCTCACTGCAGCCTCTGCCTCCTGGGTTCAAGCAGTTTTCCTGCCTCAGCCTCCTGAGTAGCTGGGATTACAGGCGCGCGCCACCACACGCAGCTAATTTTTTGTATCTTTAGTAGAGATGGGGTTTCACCATGTTGGCCAGGCTGGTCTCGGACTTCTGACCTTGTGATCCGCCTGCCTCAGCCTCCCAAAGTGCTGGGAATACAGGCGTGAGCCACTGTGCCCGGCCATTTTTTTTTTTTTTTTGAGACAGGGTTTTACTCTGTTGTTCAAGGTGTTGTGCAGTGGTTTTATCGTAGCTCACTGCAGCCTTGAACTCCTGGGCTCCAGTGAGCCTCCGACCTGAGCCTCCTGAGTAGCTGGGTCTACAGGTACACACCACCACGCCTGGCTAATTTTTGTATTTTTTGTAGAGATGGGATCTCATTATGTTGCCCAAGCTGATCCTGAACTCCTGGCCTCAAGTGAGGCCTTGGCCTCCTGAAGCGCTGGGATTACAGGAGTGAGCCACCATACCCAACTGAAATGGGATCTTCATGTCCATATTGTACCTAAATGTTTTAAAATTTAACTTTTATTGATTTGGCTAATACATTGACAAGATTCAAAGTGAAAAGTTACCAAAGTATAGACAGTGAAAAGTCTCTCTCCCATCCTTGTCCCTCCATCTGCCCATTTCCCTGCCCTCCAGGAAACAAATTTAAAACTCACTTTTAATTGTATTTTATTTTTCCCCTGAAACTCTTTGTAACTGCTTTTAGCTAAAAGTGTAGAAGAGGCTGGGCGCGGTGACTCACGCCTGTAATCCCAGCACTTTGGGAGGCCGAGGCGGGCAGATCATGAGGTCAGGAGTTCGAGACCATCCTGGCTAACATGGTGAAATCCCATCTCTACTAAAAATACAAAAAATTAGCCGGGCGTGGTGGCGGGCACCTGTAGTCCCAGCTACTCGGGAGGCTGAGGCAGGAGAATGGCGTAAACCCAGGAGGCGGAGCTTGCAGTGAGCTGAGATGGCACCTCTGCACTCCAGCCTGGGCAACAGAGTGAGATTCTGTCTCAAAAAGAAAAAAAAAAGTGTAGAAGATTTGATTGTACTCATTAAAACTCACTAACTGTCAATCAGTGAATCCTGAATGAATTCCTTGTAGGTGGCAAAGGTTATATTAGAAATGGAAAGGTTGGCTGGGTGCAGTGGCTCACGCCTGTAATCCCAGCACTTTGGGAGGCTGACGTGAGCGGGTTACAAAGTCAAGCGATCGAGACCATCCTGGCCAACATGGTGAAACCCTGTCTCTACTAAAACTACAAAAATTAGCTGGGCGTGGTGGCGCGCACGTGTAGTCCCAGCTACTCAGGAGGCTGAGGCAGCAGAATCGCTTGAACCCGGGAGGCGGAGGTTGCAGTGAGCCAAGATGGTGCCACTGCACTCCAGCCTGGGTGACAGAGCGAGACTCCATCTAAAAAAAAAAAAAAAAAAGAAAAAAAGAAATTGAAAGGTTACTCCAAGGTGTTTTGGTATCATTCCGCCCTGGAGATAGAGATTTTCCTAGTGCTTGTATGCTAGTTAATACGGATGATGGATTTGGGGGTTGAGGGGCAGTGGTGGATCATGCAAACTTGTTGCACTCGGCAGTCTAAACCACAAGTGCTCTGTGCCTGTAATAATAACTCACTTCATTCGTTGGATCCTCCGCTAAGCAGAACCCTTCATTAACCCAAGACCTCTACTTTACCTGCCTCGTGGTAGTGTCCCCTGCATTTAAGGCAGAGGGACAAAGACGCCAAAATAAACTCTTGTCAGTGATGCCAAAGGTCATACATAGTTCCTTCCCGTGGGGGAGTAATTTGTGGTTAAATTAAATAAGGTTGGGCCTGGGGTCAGACCATCAGCCCTGTGTCTTCTCTGTTGAGAAGGCAGAGAATGAAGCTAGAAGATCTAAGTTTTGTGTGCTAGCTCTGCCTTTTCCTACCCAGGTGACTTCCTCTCTCTGAGCCTCAGTTTCACATCTGTATAATGGGATTCTACAGTGCTGTCCAGGAGAACTTTGCATGCTCTCCAACAGCATACCTAGCATCGTGTGCCTGTGGAGTGCTTGAAATGACACCTGTGCAGCTAGAGCATTGAATAGCCAATTTTATTTATTTATTTATTTTTCCTTTTTGAGATGCAGTCTCACTCTGTTGCCCAGGCTGGAGTGCAATGGCGTGATCTTGGCTCATTGCAACCTCCATCTCCTAGGTTCAAGAGATTCTCCTGCCTCAGCCTCCCGAGTAGCTGGGACTACATGCGCCCGCCACCATGCCTGGCTAGTTTTTTGTATTTTTAGTAGAGACGGGGTTTCACCATGTTGGCCAGGCTGGTCTCGAACTCCTGACCTCAGGTGATCCACCCACCTCGGCTCCCAAGGTGTTGGGATTACAGATGTGAGCCACTGTACCTGGCCTTAATGACATTTTAAATGAGCTGATATTTAAATTTTAGTAAATACATGGGAAGTACAGTACCAGGACCTACCTCCCAGGATTTGATGCTGTGAAATGCTTAACAATTGGGAATGGGGGAATTAAGGTGTCTGGTCGCCTGGGGGGCGACCGAGACAAAGAACTTCATAGAGATGTGGGCTTTGGGGTTTTTCAGGCAGCCATTCAGCTCAATGCTGCCTCTTTCAGGAAGCCCTCCCCTTCTCTCCCCAGGCAAGTTAAGCTCTGTATGCGTTTCCTATTGTGCTGTAACAGATTCTCACAATTCAGTGATTTAAGCAAATTTCTTACTTCACAGTTCTGATGGTCAGCAAGAGTGTGTCCCTTCTGAGGCTCTTGGGGAGAATCCATTTCCTTGCCTTTTCTGTTTTCTAGAGGCTGCTTCATTCCTTGGGTTTCGGCCCCACATCACTCTGTTTCTGTCCTCACGTTCTCTCTCTTTGACTCTGACTTTCCTGCCTTTCTCTTATAAGGACCCTTGTGATGACATTGGGCTCAGAGAATCCAGGATAATCTTCCTGTCTCAAGAGCCTTAACTTAATCACATCTGCAAAGTCCCTTTTGCTATGTAAGGCAATATATCTGCAGGTTTTCGGGATTAGGACCTGGACATTTTTGGGAAGCATTATTCTGTCTACTGAAAGCTCTTCTTCTTGTGGGTTTCAGTTATGCCTCTGAGCCTCACACTGCTGTGGTCACCATCTGTGGCCATGCCTGCCTCCAGCACCAGACCATGCCTCAAGGACAAGGATGTTCTGCCCCCAAAACTTGCCAGAACACCTGCTGTAAGCTGGGTGGGACCTGTGCTACCCTGGAGTTACAAGGTCTGCTAGTGTTAGCCAGGTGCGGTGGCTCACGTCTGTAATCCCAGCACTTTGGGAGGCCGAGGCGGGCGGATCACGAGGTCAAGAGATCGAGACCATCCTGGCCAACATGGTGAAACCCCCTCTCTACTAAAAATATAAAAATTAGATGGGCATGGTGGTGTGTGCCTGTAGTCTCAGCTACTGGGGAAGCTGAGGCAGGAGCATCACTTGAACCTGGGAGGTGGAGGTTGCAGTGAGCCGAGATCACGCCATGGCACTCCAGCCTGGTGACAGAGTGAGACTCGGTCTCAAAAAGCAAGGGAAAAAAAAAAAAAAGTCTGCTAGTGTTGAGGTAGGAGGCGGGACTTGACTCTGGAGGTGGGGCTCAGACTCTGGACCACACTGAAGACTAGCTGAAACAGGGAAGAGGTGACAGACCCTCTCCATAAGACATGTCCACCAGTGCCATGTCAGTTTATCGTTGCCATGGCAACATACAAATGTTATGTTCCCTTTCCATGGCAACCACCTGATGACCTGGAAGTTACCACCCCTTTTCTAGAAATTTCTGCATAATCTTCCCCTTGACTTGCATGTAATTAAAAGTGGGTATAAATATGACTGCAGGATTGCCTCTGAGCTGCTACTCTGGGTGCCCTGCCTATGGGGTAGCCCTGCTCTGCAAGGAGCTGTACCTCTGCTGCTGCTGTACACTGCCACTTCAAGAAAAGTTGCTGTCGGCCAGGCACGGTGGCTCACGTCTGTAATCCCAGCACTTGGGGAGGCTGAGGCGGGTGGATCATCTGAGGTCAAGAGCTCTCGAGACCAGCCTGGCCAACATGATGAAACCCTGTCTCTATTAAAAATACAAAAATTAGCCGGGCGTGGTGGCAGGTGCCTGTAATCCCAGCTACTCAGGAGACTGAGGCAGGAGAATCTCTTGAACCTGGGAGGTGGAGGTTGCAGTGAACTGGGATCGCGCCACTGCACTCCAGCCTGAGAGACAGAGTGAGACTCCGTCGCAAAAAAAAAAAAAAAAAAAAAAGGAAAAAGAAAAGTTGCTGTCTAACACCATTGGCTCACCAATTCTTCCTGGGCAAAGCCAAGAACCCTCCCAGGCCAGGCCAAGCCCCAGTTTTGGTGCTTGTCTGCCCTGCCTCAGCTCACTATGTGGTTGACCTCTGTAAATCACTTTGCCTTTCCAAACCTCAATTCACCACCCTGTAAAATGGGGTTAATAATAATATCAACCCCAGGAGGGTCGTTGAGGGTATTAACAGACATGCATGTAGAGCCTTTGGCATGTCACCCAGCACTTGGGTAGCACTTAATAACACAGCCACTATTGATGCTTCGAGGATATATAAAGTGGGATTTAGATTGAGGCCACCTGATTTCAAATCCTGGCTCCACCACATGGGCCAGTTGCCAAACCTCCCTTGTTGTCCTCATCCATGAAATGGGCCTCATCATGAAACCCAACCTCAGAGGGTGGGTTGAATGGGGAGATTCATTTAACGTGCTGTCTGGCACAAAATCATTGTTAATGATTTGAGGATGATAATGACTAATAACCAGACTTTCCCAGGGCCCAGCACTTACAGATCTAAGGACAGTGGAGCCCAATAAACTTGCAATGGTTCACTGAATTCCCTTTTTGTGGTTAGGCCAAGTGTGTCTCTTCAGCTACACAGAGGCCCAGAAATAGGTCTGTTGTCATGCCCTGAGGCTGGCAGTGCCAGGCCCTGATGCATTCATGGAGCCTTCGACTTAGGTGTGGGAGGAGGAGGAGCCAGTGGTTGCCTGAAGGGCATGGGAGGCACAGAGATACTCCTGGGAAAACCAGGAGAGGACCTGTCAGCTGTCATTTTGTCACTTTGGGTTTATTGGTATAGATGGCATGGAAACGGGAATGTGGAGTGGAGGGGAGAGTGCAGTGCTGTGGACAGAGATGGACCCGAGACTTCACAATACCAAGACATGGGTTCAGTCTCAACCACCCTTTTAGGCTTTTCTTGCCTCCTGGCTTAAGGGGATGTTGTTTGGTGTTTATATTTCTTGGCACTCTCCCTTCCCCACTTTTTTTTTTTTTTTTTTTTTTTTTTTTTAAGACAGAGTCTTGCTCTGTCACCCAGGCTGGAGTGCAGTGGAGCAATCTTGGCTCACTGCAACCTCTGCCTCCCAGGTTCAAGTGATTCTCCCGCCTCAGCCTCCCAAGTAGCTGGGATTACAGGTGCCTGTCACCACACCCAGCTAATTTTTGTATTTTTAGAAGAGATGGGGTTTCGCTATGTTGGCCAGGCTGGTCTCGAACTCCTGACCTCAGGTGATCTTCCTGCCTCATCCTCCCAAAGTGCTAGGATTACAGGCATAAGCCACTGCACCCAGCCCCCTTCCCCACTTTTTTTTTCTTTTTTTTTTTCTTGAGACAGAGTCTCACATTGTCGCCCAGGCTGGAGTGCAGTGGTGCGATCTTGGCTTACTGCAACCTCTGCCTCCCGGATTCAAGTGATTTTCCTGCCTCAGCCTCCTGGGTAGCTGGGACTACAGGCGCATGCCACCACGCCCAGCTAAATTTTTTGTATTTTTAGTAGAGACGAGGTTTCACTGTGTTAGCCAGGATGGTCTCGATCTCCTGACCTTGTGATCCGCCCTCCTCGGGGCCTCCCAAAGTGCTGGGATTACAGGCGTGAGCCACCATGCCTGGCCCCTTCCCTACTTTTAATCAAGAACTGACAAGTGACAGACTGGTGTGGAACACAGGCCAGACTTGTGAACAGTATCTGCTTACCCATTTGTCCCTCATCCCACTCTCTCCACCTGTGAAACAGGACATGATTCGACAGTGGATAAAGGTAGACTCCCTTGAATTACTGCCTCCCCAGATTGTTCTGTTAGAGAGCTATTGCTTTGGATCTTAAACATTTAGGCAGTTCCCCTCTCCCTGCCCGCCTGCAATCCCATCAACTCACAAATACATCTGTGAGTCTTTATATTATATTTGCACTTTTTTTTTCTTTTTTTGAGACAGAGTCTTGCACTGTCGCTTAGGCTGGAGTGCAATGGCGCGATCTCGGCTCACTGCAACTTCTGCCTCCTGGGTTCAAGCGATTCTCCTGCCTCAGACTCCCGAGTAGCTGAGATTACAGGTGCCCGCCACCACGCCCAGCTAATTTTTTGTATTTTTAGTAGAGATGGGGGTTTCGCTATGTTGGCCAGGCTGGTCTCGAACTCCTGACCTTGTGATCTGCCCGCCTCAGCCTCCCAAAGTGCTGGGATTACAGGCATCACCCACCGCGCCTGGCCTCTATTTGCACATTTATTGTGCATTTGTAGAGACCTACTATGTGCGGAGTCTGCTGGTAGGTGTTTTACATGCACTATCTCTTTTAATCCTCAGATTTGAAGTAAGTATCATTGACCTTACTCGTAAAGAAACTGATCTTTGAGAGGTGAAGTGGCTCCGTTAAAGGAACCACAGCCACTGTGTGCACTTAGAAGACATTTGTCCACTGAATCCATTTGTGCCAAGCTCCGTGTTCATTAAGAATATTTTTGCCTGCATGGAATAGAAACCCAAACCAACAATGGCTTAAATGGGTATATTTTATTATTTTTCACATAAAAAATCAAGAGGAGAGTAGTTCAGAGTTAGGGCAGTGGCTTAACTATATATCAAGTTATTTTCCATGTCACTATCCTTAAATTGGCTTGTGGTTTCTTGGTCCCAATACGGTTGCCATGACTGCAGACATCATATTCTTGATCCAGGTAGGAAGGAGAGGCAGCACCACAAGCTGCATCTGCCTGGATTTTTTTTGAGACAGTGTTTCACTCTGTTGCCCAGACTGGAGTGCAGTGGCGTGATCTTGGCCCACTGCAGCCTTCACCTCCTGGGTTCAAGTGATTCTCATGCCTCAGCCTCCTGAGTAGTTAGGATTATAGGCACCTGCCACCATGCCTTGCTAATCTTTTTTTTTTTTTTTGAGACGAAGTCTCACTCTGTCGCCTAGACTGGGAGTGCAGTGGCACGATCTCGGCTCACTGAGACGTCCGCCTCCTTCCTGAGTTCAAGTGATTCTTCTGCCTCAACCTCCCAAGTAGCTGGGATTACAGGCAAGCACCACCACGCCCACCTGATTTTTGTGTTTTTTTGTAGAGATGGGGTTTCACTATGTTGGCCAGGCTGGTTTCGAACTCCTGACCACAGGTGATCCATCCACCTTGGCCTCCCAAAGTGCTGGGATTACAGGCATGTGAGCCACCGTGCCTGGCCTAATCTTTGTATTTTTAGCAGAGATGGGGTTTCACCACGTTGACCAGGTTGGTCTGGAAACCCTGACTTCAGGTGATCCGCCCACCTCAGCCTCCCAAATTGCTGGGATTATAGGCATGAGCCACTGAGCCTGGCCTGCCTGGTTTGTTGTTGTTATTTCTTTTTCTTTCTTTCTTTTCTTTTCTTTTTTTTTTTTTTTTTTTTGGAGTTGGAGTTTTGCTCTGTCGCCCAGGCTGGAGTGCAGTGGTGCGATCTTGGATCACTGCGACCTCCGCCTCCTGGGTTCAAGCAATTCTCCTGCCTCAGCCTCCTGAGTAGCTGGGATTACAGGTGTCTGCCACCATGCCTGGCTAATTTTGTATTTTTAGTAGAGACAGGGTTTCACCATGTTGGCCAGGCTGTTCTTGAACTGCTGACTTCAAGTGATCTGACCACCTTGGCCTCCCAAAGTGCTGGGATTACAGGCGTGGGCCACTGCACCTGGCTCACGTCTAACTGTTTTATTAGCAAAGTAAAAGCCTCCCTAGAAGTCTTTCCCATTTCCCCTTAAGTTCTTAAATATTTTTTAAATCAGAATTGGGTCACATGGCCACTTTTAGCTGCAAAGGAAGCTGAGAAAGCAAGTCTCTGGCTTACTAGTTTTAAGGAGGGAAGCTGCCAGAGAGCTTGCATCTGCACTGTTGACGCCAATATCATGTTCTTTCCACTTTACTGGTGATTTTCCCTGTTCAGATTAAACACATAAAAACCCCAAGAGTTATTACTGTATCCACGTAACCCTTGTACTGTTGTTTTATTTTTAAATTTTCCCTTTTCTTTTCTTCTTCTTTTTTTTTTTTCTGGAGACGGAGTCTCTCTGTCACCCAGGCTGGAGTGCTATGGCATGATCTTGGCTCACTGCAACCTCTGCCTCCCCAGTTCAAGTGATTCTCCTGCTTCACCCTCCCGAGTAGCTGAGACTACAGGCATGCGTCACCACGCCCAGCTAATTTTTGTATTTTTAGTAGAGAAAGGGTTTTACCATGTTGGCCAGGCTGGTCTCGAACCCCTGACCTCAGGTAATCCACCTGCCTGAGCCTCCCAAAGTGTTGAGATTACAGGTGTAAGCCACCATGCCCGGCCACTTTTCCCCTTCTCAAAAGTTAAATATGTTTGTTTTGAAAGGAACCTTGCAAAAACTCTTTTGTAAACAAAACCAGTGTTGCTTGCTTTAAGTAGAAAAATAACAGTAAAAATTAAATACAATAAAAACAATCAGCTGCTACTACAACAGCTAATAGTCTGAGCATGAGGCTGTATTCCTCTGTTAAATTGGGAGATGAGCAGATGATGGAGATGTAGGTGTTAAAGTCATAGTGGCACCCAGCAGAGACTGTCTAGCAACTTCTGAAAGCTCCCATGAGGATTAGAAAGGAAACCATGCGCTTTAGTGCTGTGCCTGGATACCAGAGCCTCCTAAAGTCGTCTTGTGTCCCAGGTGGCTACCTCCCACCTCTCAGGATCTCAGCCCTGCCCCACTCAGTCTATCCTGTGCCAGGCACTGACTAGGTTCTAGGAAGGGGAACTGAGAGTGGAGGGGTGTATCCTCTGGGTAGAGTGGGATGGGGTTGGATGAGTGATGTAAATTGTGTTAGGGGGAGAGTCTCAGGCTTTTCTCCTATGCAAGGCATTGAATCAAGTCAATTGCCCTGGAGGGTTGGAAGTCATTTTGGCCCAGGAAATCAGCATAGGCTTCCTGGAAGAGGCCTTATTTAAACGGCTCTAAAAGGATGGGTGGGAATCAGGCAAATGGACATTGTGCTGGGGGTAAAGGGCTGTCTATGAAGAAGGAATAGCATGAAAAAGACACTCAAGTCATTGTATTTATTTGAGATTGTGAGACTGTGGTCAGGGTCTGCTGTATTGACTAGGTTGATTGTTTTTTGGGGGGTGTTTGGGAAGGCTTGAATACCTTGCCCAAGGCAAGGGACAGTGGGAGCTATTGATGATTTTAGTGCTGGGGAGTGATCAGACAGACCTTCCCAGGATTTGGAGCTTTGCCAGCCAGTGTAAGCTTATTCTTTCAGAAATCTATTTGTACTTGGAGGGAATTATTTCTTTATATTTCCTGCAATGCAATATGCACATCTCAGTCTCCCTAAGGAGAGAGCGTGTTATGCTTAGATTTTTCTGAGTCAAGCATTGTGCTGCTGTGTTTTATGTTGAATTGAGCTTTGGGGTTGAGTTTCCTCTGCAGTGAACACCAGTTCCAGGGCTGGGTCTTCCTTCCTGCCCCCTCTTCCTACACCAGGCTGGACACACACAGCCTCTGGGCTGGTTCCAGACTCACTTGTCTCTGTCAACTGTTCCAGTTGCCCTTGGAAACCTTCTAGTCAAGCTTATGATGATCCTGCCATAAAGCAGGGCCAGTAAAACTCCAAGTGAGGGCAAGGCCTGGTTTATTGCTCATTAGACATCTTTACTGGGTCTGCCCCAGGGGAGGGAGTAAGAACCCTGACCTCCAAAGCTTTGAATTGAGTCACCATGGGAGGTGTTTTCCTTACGTGTGATTCTGCATATATCCAAAGCTCCAGAAGAAACGTGCACCCTTGGAACCAAATAGCCCACTTCTAGGCAAAATTTCACTTGGGAAAATAATTGTATGTGGATGTTCATTGCAATGTTGGTTTTAAGGTTCACTAATTGACAGGTTGACCATTAAAGATCCAGTAGTGGGGGATGGGTTATCTAATATTTATATAATGGAATACGATGAAAGCTGTAGAAACTGCTGTATAGGGTGTATAGCTATTGTCCTGAAAGATGGTCATGACATAGTTTGAAATGAAACAATAACAACAAAAAACAAATTTCTAAATAGGATGCATGATCTGATTCCATTTTAATTTTGACCATGAGTTCCTGTTTTTGTTGGAAATGTCAACGTTGTTGTACATCAGAATAGTGGGATTTAGGAATTTTTTTTTGTTTTTTTTTGAGACAGGGTCTTACTCTGTCACCCAGGCTGGCGTGCCATGGTGCAGTCATAGCTCACTGCAGCCTCAAATTCATGGGCTCAAGCAATTCACCTCAGCCTCCCAAAGTGCTGGAACTACAAGCATACACCACCATACCCAGTAAGTTATTTTATCTTTCTTTCATAACGAATCTTGCTATGTTGACCAGGCTGGTTTCTAACTCCTGGCCTCAAGCTATCCTCCTGCCTTAGCCTCCCAAAGCATTGGGATCACAGGTGTGAGCCACCACACCTGGCTGGATTTACGATTATTAAAAACACTTTTGTTTGTGTGTATTGAATTTTTCTGTCGTTATCATGTGGAACGCCTAAAGAAGTCTAGTGGAGGGGTGAGGCTCAGCCAGAATACTGTAAGAGCTTTGGGTATTTGAAAGAGGACATCACACCCTTGGGGGAAGTCCAGTCTCTCAGGAGGCTAAGATCTCCTCAATCTAAAGCAGGGGTCAGCAAATTTTGTCTGTAAAGAGCTATAGTATGTATTTTAGGTTTTCTGGGCGATATGGCCTCTGTAACAACTACTCAACTCTGTCACTAAGGCAGAGTCATGGATAAAGGCTCTTGAAGGAAGCCATAGATAGTCTGGGCAACATGGCGAAAGCCCTTTTCTACAAAAAATTTAAAAAATTAGCAGGTCATGGTGGTGCATGCCTGTAGTCCCAACTAGTTAGGAGGCTGAGGTGGGAAGACTGCTTGAGCCCAGGAGATTGAGACTGCAGTGAGCTGAGATCATGCCTGGGACACACAGCAAGACCTTGTCCCTTAAAAAAAAAAAAAAAAAAAAAGGCAGCAGCAGCAGCAACCATAGATAATATGTAAATAAATGGCTGTGGGTGTGTTCCAATAAAACTTTATTTGCAAAACCAGGCAGTGGGCTAGTTTGGCCTGTGGACTCTAGTTTGCCAATTTTGGATCCAGAGAAAAACACGGGGGGAAACAGCAGCTTAATTAATGGTTTCAGTGAGTGGTCAGCCAGTCCAAAAATAGCATAAATTGTAGGAAGGAACAAGCCAATGAAAGTTGAAAAGGCGGAGGTTAAGCAGAGGGGTAAAGATAAGTTGTAACATTGTTTCTCCAGATCAGCAGCTGCACTTGGACAAGCGGCCTGGGGTGAGGCAGTTTGGATTATGCTTTAGAGGGCCTAAAAGGCAAATCAGCATATTAAAGGTTCTGAAAAGTCCTGCTGGAAAGACACCTGTTTATTCCCATTGTTGAACCCAGCATTTCTCACAGTCTTTTAATATACCACAGAATGCTTCTGTGGGTAATGGGTGTGTCCTACCCTACATCCCATGGTCCAGGGGAAGTTTGGGGAAGGCCATCTCAAGCTGTTCCCCTGGATCCCAGAGTCAGAAACACCAGATGTACCGCACTCTGATGGAATTTACACAGGAGTCAAGACTTTGCTAATTATGTCAATTCTTACAGAAACAGTACACACTCCGTACGAAAATGAGCTCTGCTGCTGCTGTCATTGCGAAGTAAGAATTTGATTTAACTCCCTCAACTATTTTTTATTGAGCACTGACTTTTTAAGGAATCACAGGGGCTTCTTTTTTTTCTTTTTTTTTTTCCCAGACGGAGTCTCGCTCTGTTGCCCAGGCTGGAGTGCAATGGTGTGATCTCGGCTCACTGCAACCACCACCTCCCGGGCTCAAGCGATTCTCCTGCCTCAGCCTCCCAAGTAGCTGGGATTACAGGCATGCGCCACCAAGCCTGGCTAATTTTTGCATTTTTAGTACAGATGGGGTTTCATCATATTGGCCAGGATGGTCTCGATCTCCTGACCTCGTGATCCGCCCGCCTCGGCCTCCCAAAGTGCTGGGATTACAGGCGTGAGCCACCGTGCCCAGCCAAGAATCACAGGGGCTCCCTTAAAAGAGACTAAGAACACACATCTCACAATCCAGAAAGTTGTTCTCCCTCCGGGGAATGTGTCAGTTGCAGAGAGAAGTGGAAAACACAGAACCGATGAGTCTTGGGGTTGAGCCGAATCAGAATCACGGAATCTTAAAAATGACAGGAAATTTAGCAAACCTGCTCAACCTCTTGTGTCTGAGGCCCAGACTAAGGCAGGGAGGGGCTGGCCCAAAGCCGTCACTGCAGGTTCGTAGAGGAGGTGGGACAAAAACTAGGGTGGAGGACATGGATTCCATTTTTACAAAATATCCAGAAATGACAAATCCAGACAGAAAGATTAGTGGTTGCCACGGGCTGGGGAAGAGGGGAATGGGGAGTGACTGCTAAGTGAGTATGGGATTTCCTTGGGGGTGATGAAAATGCTTTGCAACTACATAGGGGTGATGGTTGTGATGCACTTTAGGCCAGCCCCAGAATTGGGGCTTCACCTGGGAGGGTTCTTAGATTCACCCAGGAAGGAATTCAAGTGAGCCAGCGGTGTTAAACAGCAACTGTTATTGAAGCAGCAGCATACAGCAGCAGAGGTGCTGCCCCTCGCAGAGCAGGATTGGCCTATAGGCGGTGTGCCCAGAGTAGCAGCTCAGAGGCACTTCTGCAGTCATATTGATACCCACTTTTAATTATATGCAAATTAAGGGGGTGGTTTATGCAAAACTTCATAGAAAAGGGTGGTAACTTCTGGGTTGTCAGGTTGTTGCCCTAGAAAGGGGTGGTAATGGCTGGGCGCGGTGGCTCATGCCTGTAATCCCAGCAGTTTGGGAGGCTGAGGTGGGTGGATCACCTGAGGTCAGGAGTTCAAGACCAGCCTGGCCAACATGGCAAAACCCCGTCTCTACTAAAAATACAAAAGTTAGCTGGGCCTGGTGGCAGGCGCCTGTAGTCCCAGCTACCCAGGAGGCTGAGGCAGGAGAATTGCTGAAACCCAGAAGGCAGAGGCTGCAGTGAGCCGAGATTGCGCCACTGCACTCCAGCCTGGGCGACAGAGCAAGACTCCATCTCAAACAAACAAAAAAAGGGGGTGGTAACTTCTGGATGTTGCCATGGCAATGGTAGACTGACATGGCACACTGGTGGGCAGGTCTTACAGGGAGTTACTTCTGCCCTGACCTGTTTTAGCTAGTCCTCAATTTGGTCTAGTGTCTGAGCCTTGCTTCCAGAGTTTAATCCCACCTCCTACGTCAGTTGCATGATATAAATGTACTAAATGCCACTGCATTGTGAACTTGAAATGGTTGAAATAGTAAATTTTATGTTATGTGATTTTTACCCCAATTTTTTAAAAAGTAGGATGATTGAATAATTTATTGCCCAAACCTAGACATCTTAGAGAGTAAAATGGGCTTATCCCAGGTAAACCAGAAGGTGGGATCACCCTGACTAAAACCATCTTGTTCTGGCTCCTAAGCCAGGGCTTCTTACTCCCCCATGCAACCTGGACTCAAGTTTACAAAAGTGTCTTCGGTGTAACAAGTGTTACATGTGCCCCATCAGGGCACCTCCCATTTTTAGAAAGTTGAACTTCTCCACAGTCCTGCTTTCCCCCACAGAGGGTAAATGAATAGTGCTTGCGCTCTAATAACCATGTTTATCTCATGCCTTTGGGCCTTTGCATATGTGTTTCCTCTGCTGACACCAACCTCCTCCTCCTCCTCCTCCTCCTCTGCTTGGCTGGCTTCTCTCAGTCTCAGTTGCGATACCTTCTCTTCTAGGAAAGCTCCCCTGACCACTCTTTCTTTGGGCTTCTATAACCCCCCTGTCTGCCCCCATCAGGGCACCTCCCAAATTTCAGTGTTTCCTTTCCTCCTCCCCTACTAGAGTGTGTCACCACTGTGATTAGGAACGTTCCCACCGCATTCCCTGTCCAGGCATAGCCCAGCGTAGACCATGAGGGCTTTTAATAGAGATTCGCCTGAAGGGCATGGGCCCCCCGACGTGGTAATTAGAGCTTAAGCATTTGGTTCCCGTTATGTTTGTTTTTTAGTTGTTTGTAGGTTTTTGCTTTTTTTTTTTAATTGCAGTAAAATGTCCATCACCTGAAATTTACCATTTTAACCATCTTTAAGTATACAGTTTGGTGGTATTAAGTACATTCACATTGTTGTGTGACCATCATCACCATCCATCTCTAGAACTTTTTCATCTTCTCATTTTGAAACTCCGTATCCATTAAACAATAACTCCCCATTCCCCAGCGCTGGCAACCACCATTGTACTTTCTGTCTTTATGAATTTGCCTATTCTAAACACCTCATGTAAATGAAATTATGCATACAGTATTTGTCCTTACATGTCTGCTTATTTCACTTAGCAAAATGTCTTCAAGGGTCATCCGTATTGTAGCATATTGTAGAATTTCCTTCCTTTTGAAGGCTGAATAACATTCCATTGTATAAGGATAGATTATATTTTGTTTATCCATCCATTGATGGACATTTAATTGTTTACACGTTTTGGTTATGATGAATAATACTGCTTCAAACATTGGTGTACAAATATCTGCTTTCAATTTTAGGGGGGTATACTCTTAGGAGTAGAATTTCAAGATTCTGTGTTTAATTTTTTGAGGAACTGCCATACTGATTTCCACAGTGGATGTGCCATTTTATATTCACAACACCAGCAAGGTATAAGGTTCCAGTGTCTTCACATCCTCTCCAATAGTTGTTTTGTGTGTGTGTGTGTGTGTGTGTGTGTGTGTGTGTGTGTGTGTTTTAATTAAGTAATAGCCACTCTCATGGGTGGGAAGTGCCTTTTACATTTGAACACTGTAACAAGCAGTTGTTTTAGTTAAGCCCATGTGGATTTTGGTAGAAATCTGACAGGAAGGCAGGGGTGGGATCCACAATTCCAGCCACCCATGGGCAAGTCACAGCACTCCTCCAGCCTCAGTTTACTCATCTGTAGAATGGAAGTTGTAATAGGACCTGCCTCTTTGGGATGGTAAAGGGATGAAATGAAATAATCCTTGTAAAGCATTTAGTGTAGTGTCTGGCACATGGTGTGAGCTTAATAAACGATAGTTATTTTTATGCTTTGCTTCTGAAAGCAGGCAGGAGACAGTCTTAGCACCTCTACCTTTCAAATTGATGATGGAAAGACAGCTCAGAGGAAAACCTCTGGTATTGAGATGTAAAAAAAAAATTGCACAAACAACATTCATGGACATAAAAGGAATTTAAAAATTTATCAACAAGTCCAACCCAGGTCTCCAACATGTTTTTTTTTTTCCATTGTCCCTGTTCTCTTCCAGACCTCTGTCATTTGTATAAACAACCTTTGCTATTGTCATGACCTTGAATACAAAAAAAAAAAAATCCCTTCTGCTTCCCCTACCAATTATCCTAAGTGCTTCCACTTTCCTGTGCATACCCCCTTACCTTTGGCTGAGATATGTTCTTTAAGAGTTTCCCTATTATAGTTAAGGCAACCATTTTTTCTGATTCCAAACTAAAGACTTGTGATGTGATGGGATTTTTGTGCAGGCTGGGAATTGGAGGTCTGCTCTTCCTACTGACAGGTTGCAGCTTTTGTGACATTTCCCATGCTTGTAAGTCCTGGGTTGTTTCAACTAGGTGTTATTGCCTGTGGTATGTTCTTGCTGTGTTTGGTTAGATAACACTGCAAAGGACATCTTTGTGCATATAACTTTTCTTTTGGATTACTTCCAGAGGATACATTTTTAAAAGTGGGATTACTGAGTTGAAAAGAAGTAAGTGTTTTGCCCGGGGTGAGGGGAAAATATTTGATTTGGAGTCAGAAGACCTGGATTCCAACCCCACCTCTACCCCTCACTAGCAGTGGGAACTTGAACTGGCTGTTTCTGGACCATATTTTTTTTCTCATCTGTTAGAATGGTGGTAATTAATCATTTGAACAGCACAAGTTGTTGAGAAGATGAATGAGAGAAGGCACAAGATGCACAGTCATTTAGCATGGTGCCTAACTCTTGATGTGGGTCTCAAAAATGTTGTTGAAAGTGAATATTGCCGAATTGCTTTTACAATTTACATTGTCGCTAGGACCAGGTAAGGAAATCCATTTTCCCACACTCACGTCTACATTGAATATTATTTTCTTCTCTTCAGGTGTTTTTTGCACACCGACTTTATGCCCCTTATGGTTCAGACTCCAGATATAGCCATGAACAGGACCCAGGACCCTTCTTGCTAGGAGCTCACAGTCTAGTGGAGGAAACAGAGGTAGTCACCAGGTATTCCTCAGTGCTGGGTGAAGGGGAAGCAGGAAGTGAGATATTGCAGCACAGAGGAGCACCTGAACAAGCCCCACTCATGGAGCATTAGAGAAGGCCTCCTGGAGGAGGTGGCATTGAGATTAGCTAGGCAGTGAGCTAAGGGCAGTGCAGAGGCATGAAGGCGAGAAAGCGTACACTGTGTTTTGTGGCCTGTCTGGGGTTCATTGTGCTGAAGTACGTGAGTGTCTGTGACAGACAGATGGGGTGGTGTCAGTCATTATAATGAAGCTGGGGAGACGAAGAGGATCTGGATCCTGTAGGGCCTCGGGGAAGAAGTGTGGCCTTTATTCAGAAAGCATCAGGGAGACACGGGGGCGTTAAGCAGGGGAATGACATCCTGGCGCTTGCACGTTGGAGACACCCCTGGCTACTGCTAGGTGAATGGATTGGAGGAGGCCACAGCTGAGGCAGAATCGTCAGTGAGGAGGCTGATTTTATTTTATTTTTAAGACAGGGTCTGGCTTTGTCATACAGGCGGGAGGGCTGTGATGTGATCTTGGCTCACTGCAACCTCAGCCTCCCCGGCTCAGACAATCCTCAGCCTCCTGAGTAGCTGGGACTATAGGCATGCACCACTACACCTGGCTAATTTTTGTATTTTTTAGTAGAGATGGGTTTTTGCCATGTTGCCCAGGCTGGTCTTGAACTCCTGGGCTCAAGTGATCCTCCCACCTCCGCCTCCCAAAGTGCTGGGATTATAGGCATGAGACATTGCGCCTGGCCAGAGGCTGATTTTAAATGTCCCTTCTCAGTGAAATCTTCCCTAGCTAACCTTTCTCACATTCTCTCTTTTTCTGTCACTTATGTAACATTCTGGAGCTTGTCCTTACCTTTTTTTTTTTTTTTTGTCCTTTTTTTCATCTTTGTGAATGTCCATTCCATGGGAACAGGGTTTTCTATTTGTTTTGTTCACTGCTGTGTCCCTAGCGCCTGGCCCAGAGCCTGGTACATAGATGCTTGATAATTGTGTATTGGAAGGAAGGAAGGAAGGAGCTAGGGCCACAGTCATGAGGATACAGATGAGAGGATGCACATACTCCAGTGATACTTGACATTTTGATTGGGGCCCTTTCTGGAGGACAGACCTCCTGTGCACAGCAGCCCTTCTCTGGGAGGACACCAGCGTGCACTTTGCCAATCCGTTCCTGGCTCTTTTTCATTTTTTTTTTGGGATGGAGTCTCGCTCTGTTGCCCAGGCTGGAGTGCAGTGGTGCGATCTCAGCTCCCTGCAAGCTCCACCTCCCGGGTTCACGCCATTCTCCTGCCTCAGCCTCCCGAGTAGCTGAGACTACAGGCACCCGCCACCACGCCCAGCTAATTTTTTGTATTTTTAGTAGAGATGGGGTTTCACCGTGGTCTCGATCTCCTGACCTCGTGATCTGCTCGCCTCAGCCTCCCAAAGTGCTGGGATTACAGGCCTGAGCCACCGTGCCTGGCCCCGTTCCTGGCTCTTTGCATGGCTCACTGCACAGGATGGATTTGCAGATTTGGGGACTAAGGTCACATTCCGGAAGATGCTGGAAGGTGTCAGGACCAGCCCACGCCCCTCACCAGATGGTGGCATTCCCAGGAGGTGGCAGCCAGAGACGACTGAATAAATGACTGATAAGCTCTCAGATCGAATTTAAGGGTGTAATTATGAAAGATCTTAAACAGCTGTTAGAATGAATCAACACCTCTGAATCTGGGAGAAAAGCTGCCAAACTGTTTGGTTTTGAATGGAAGTGCTTTTCTTCCCTTCTCTCTTGTGAGGCTTCAAGCTCAGTGGCTGTGTCCCCAGCACCAAGTACAGAACCTGGTGCTTGGGAGGGAGGCAGTGAGCATTGGCAGAAGTAGGGTCACAAGAGTGGACAAATGAATGCTTTCGAATGACTCCTGTTGAATTTCAGCACCTGTTGCTCTTGGGTGACCCCCTTCTCAGACAAATGATTTTTTTTCCTGCATGAAATAGCAGAAAATGGGAATCTTGCACTTTGCAAATTAAGCTTGGGGAGATCAAGCTTGTGGACTTGGCAAGTTCAGCAACAGTAGAGAAACACTCATTGCTAGCCCACTGCCTGGGGTCAGCCTGATGTCCCCTCTCTCACGGTCCTGCCACAGCCTCCTGACCTTCCCAGATGGATGCCTTTGTTCTCCATCTGTTCACCGTGCTGCCCTCCATGATAATTTACATACATATGAAACTAGAGGTGGCTCAGACTTGGTTTCCCTTCTTTCTCTGGGGAGGTCTTGTTGACTTGGCTTTGGTCATAATGGTCAGCTAATACACTGTTTAAAAAAGAGGCCGAGGCCGGGCGCGGTGGCTCACGCCTGTAATCCCAGCACTTTGGGAGGCCGAGGCGGACGGATTACGAAGTCAGGAGATCCAGACCATCCTGGCTAACACGGTGAAACCCCGTCTCTACTAAAAATACAAAAAAAAATTAGCTGGGTGTGGTGCTGGGTGCCTGTAGTCCCAGCTACTTGGGAGGCTGTGGCAGGAGAATCACTTGAACCTGGGAGGCGGAGGTTGCAATGAGCTGAGATAGTGCCATTGCACTCTAGCCTGCGTGACACACCGAGACTCTGTCTCTAAATAAATAAACAGCCAGATGTGGTGGTAGGTGCCTGTAATCCCAGCTTCACGGAGGTTAAGGCACGAGAATCACTTGAACCTGGAAGGTGGAGTTTGCAGTGAGCCGAGATTGTGCCACTGGACTCCAGCCTGGGCTACAAAGTGAGACTGTCTAAAAATATAAAAATAAAAAATAAAATAAATAAAAAATAGTGGACATGTCCACCCCAAGAATAAACAGCATCTAGCCTCTCCGTGAGTGGGCTTCAGAAAGGTTTTCAAAGAGGCTAACATCTCTTAAATCAAGTGTAACATATGTGATAACATTTAAAAGAAGACTTCAAAGCATACAGTTAAATTGGTTTCCCTGTATTTTACAGCAGGTTAAATGAAAACCTGAGAATCATAGGTTTCTAGGTTTGGCTAGGACTTTAAAATATTACGGAGCCATCTACTATGGTGGTTTAAAAACTCCTTTTACTAGGCCGGGTGCGGTGGCTCAATCCCAGCACTTTGGAAGGCCGAGGCGGGCGGATCACAAAGTCAGGATTTCAAGACCAGCCTGGCCAACATAGTGAAACCCCGTCTCTACCAAAAATATAAAAATCAGGCAGGTGTGGTGGCATGCACCTGTAGTCCCAGCTACTCAGGAGGCTGAGGCGGGAGAATTGCTCGAACCTGGGAGGCAGAGGTTGCAGTGAGCTGAGATCACGCCATTGCACTCCAGCCTGGGTGACAGAGTGAAACTCTGTTTCAAAAAAAAAAAATCCCAAAAAACTCCTTTTACTTTTCTTTGTTCATTGATTTATTAATTCATTCATTGACTCATTTGTGCAACTGTGTTTACATATCAGACATCTGCTAGGCATTTGCAATGGTAACTTGAGAGGCAGTTCAAGATACAAAGCAGATGACGGGTCACAGAGGCACTGTTTGGTGTAGAGGAGCGTGGACCAAGGGACTTAATTTATCTTGTCCTTCTCCTTTTACTTCCATGCAGTATAGTCCCTGAGGTGGGTTCAAGGTTCCCAAAGTGGGGTGACATTTGTGTACCATTGATCCTAATTCAGCAAACAGTTGCTCTTGGTGACTCTTTTCCCAGGAAAATCCATGCAGAGAAGCATTCATTCCACATTTGGGCAGGTGAGCTGGTGTGACAGTGTGAGGTTAATGTGGATGTAGCAGGTGCCTGCCCTCGGGGTGGAGCTCCTCTGTGTGGCCCAGTGAAACTGATAGAGGTCTTTGGGTGAGGGTTGGTAGATTGAGCCTCTGGCTTGTGAAACTGATAGGGGTCCCTGGGTGAGGATTGGTGGATTGAGCCTCTGGCTGAGCACTTCACAGCTTTTTGATTCTGTCATTCAGTAGCCACAGCCACAGCTAGAGTAACTCATCTTATGTCCCAGATTGCTTAGAGTCATTTGGCATGAGACTCATGGTATCTGGACTTATTTAGCATCTTAGAGAGTGGGCAGCAGGGGCAGAAGAATATTTCTTCATTCATTTACTTATTAACTCAGCAATGATTTATTTCTCTATTCAGTAATCATGTATCTGGTGCTTTTATGTGCCAGGCTGCTGTGCTAGCCACTAGGGATTTGGGGTGTCCTCTGGCGGGGCTTACCATTGAATGGGAGAGGCTGATGTGAAGGATGATGTCGTATTAAATGTAACAGTGTAGCTATGCTAAGTCCTGCCAAGCCTCCGAGTGTATGTGGTGCTCTGTGAACAGGTAGGAGGGGGTTGTACCGGGTTGAAGGGAGACAGAGATGTGTGAACTGTGGTCTGTGTCTGTGTGTGAGCAAGATGGTTGTCCCAGAGAACAGGCATAGCATGTGCAAAGGCCCTGAGGAGGCATTTGGAGGGCTTCAAAGAGGTACAATGTCCAAATACCGCTAATGTAGCTACCAAGTGAAGCACATCACTTGGTAGCAGCTACCAAGTGAAGCACATCACTTGGTAGCAGCTACCAAGTGAGTCAGCACCTCGAATGCTCAGTAGCTACCTCCTCTAAGTCAAGTGAGTTATGCAGGACCACCAGTTCCAATTCTAGGCAATCAGTCCTATTTGCCCCCACATCCTGCATTTAAAAAGTGACATTTGTTACCCAGTTGTAATTGCTTGTGTGTGTATGTGTGTTTCTTACAGAAGACTGTGAGTTGCATGGTTGCAGGGGATGTTTCATGCTCATCTTTGTACACACCGTAGGTGCTTAATAAATGTATCAGAGAACAGGGAAGATTTTTATTGAGCACGTACTGTGGGCTCAGCACTATTTATGCACACGTACATATAAGGCTACAAAATCGAAAAGCCAAAAGGAGCATACGTTTTACAAGCTGGAGTAGATGCCAGCGGATGCATTTGGAGCTTGAAAGCTTTTGTGCCGTCTGTTCCCATACTGCCAGAACTCCGGAACTGAGGCTGTCATCCTGTGTCTCCTTAGACCTGCTGAAACTCAGCCTGCTGGGACGAGTCTTCTTTCCCCCTTCTTGTTTCTGCCATGGAAGTGTGTGGACAGCCCCATTCATGATGACATGTGACACTACTGGCTTTTCCCGGCAGTCACACCCCCTGACCCAGGGCCTGCCAGCTTGGGTAAGTGGGGCCCATGCTTGACCCAAGCTTGAGGGCTGGAGTGTCCAAGGGCATGGAGAGTGCCTGTGAGTTCTGCCAGAGAATTTTCTCTCTGTCCTTTGAATCCTGTCATTGTTCTGTGTCTCATGTCCTGGCTATTACATATGTATCCTCAATCAGGGTTTCCAGAGGTCACAGCTGCTCTCCCAAAAGGCCAATGGCCCTGATTCTGGGTGGGATTCTGGAGCCTTAGAACTCTGGTTGGGATCTTTGTGTATGGAAATTCTCCAATTCTCAGATTCTTCATATCTGTCCCTCCATTCTACCTCTAACCGTGTCTAGACAGTGTTCTCCAGTTTGGGGAGATGGAATCTGTTAGCACCATCGAGCGTGTAAGGAAGAGAAAATATCAAAATCTGTCTGCCTTTCTTTCCTGGAGGCTGCTGAGTGAGTCAGAGCCGGGGGAGCAGTGTGGGGCCCCAAGGAAGGGAAGTGGAGAGGCTTGTGTTTAACTAAAATACCTTCTACTTTTTTAGTCCATCTAGGTGGGGGCTGGCTGGGGGCAGTTTCACAGGGAAGAAAACACTGGCATGAAGAGAGCCTGGGGGATCGAGAACAGCAACTTACCTGGCACTTTTTAAGACCAGAAAGGAATAAAAAATAATTTTTAAAAAGACAGAGCTGAGGCTGGGTGTGGTGGCTCAAGCCTGTAATCTCAGCACTTTGGGAGGCTGAGGTGGGCGGATCCCCTGAGGTCAGGAGTTCGAGACCAGCCTGGCCAACATGGAGAAACCCCACCTCTACTAAAACCACAAAATTACCTGGGCGTGGTGGCACATGCCTGTAATCCCAGCTACTCCGGAAGCTGAGGCAGGAGAATGGCTTGAACCTGGGAGGCAGAAGTTGCTGTGAGCCAAGGTCGCGCCATTGCACTCCAGCCTGGGCAGCAAGAGTGAAACTTGGTCTCAAAAAAAAAAAAAGACAGAGCTAAGTGGGTGGTGGACTTGAGGTTAGGTTTCAGCTGGGTGATCGTAGGCAAGTCTGGCGACCTCTCTGGGCCCTTTCCCTTCATCTCCATGAGGGAGATAACGATCATTCCTTCATTCTTGACTTTTGGAGTTGCTGGAGGGTTAATGAGAGAGGAGGTCCCCTGCTTTGCGAAAACAGATCTCATAGCAGGGTGAACAAGAGGCTTATGCCCCAAGCTACTACAAAATGGGGTCTCCTAATTGTACCCACTAAATAGGGTTGTGAGGAGGATGAGATGTATAAAACACAAGAAGCATGTGGCATAGCTCGAGATCTCACTCATGGGAAGACCTCACTGTTGGGCGTTTCTCTTTCTATTAAGAGTATGAAGGCAGTCAGCATAATATGCGTGTTCAACAGAAAAGAACCACAAAGCAAACAAATAATGAAAGCAGGTTGAGTGAGAAAAATGAGAATGGCTTCTTTTTATGGCATCTGGAAGGGTGGGGGAGGGGAAAGAAAAGGGACAAAGGGATGATTGGGTGGGGTTGGTGCCTAGGGCATGGGTTCCAAGGTCACTAACCAGCTTTGTGCTCCCAGGCACTCCTGAGCTGCATTGCTGTGTGACCTGCAGCAGGTTACTTGCCTTCTCTGTGCTAGATGCTTAGCACACACTTGTGATTAGGATCACCTGGGATGTGGGCAGGCTCTGCAGTGGGAAAACAGGGTAACAGGAGTGAGGGAATGTGAGGACGCTCCCACTGAGGCCTATTCAGGGAGGAGCATGTGTGGTGTGAATTTGGTGTCAAACCTGGTTTTAAGTCCTGACTTCGCCTCTTGCTTCCTGGGTGACTCCAGTTACTTGGCCTCTCTGAGCTGGTTTCCTTATCTGTGTAGCAGAGATCACTGCTTTTTGCCATTAAGTGCTGGCCTCTAGATTAGCTGTCAGGGGAAAGTCCTCCAGAGTGTTGATGCCTTTTCTACACCCTTGGAGCTGGAACGAACTTCAGGGATGGGCGTTTAGTCCACTCCCCTCGTCCAGAGCTCAGAGACGGGGAGAGGCAGGCCCAAGCCTGCCGGGTGAGGTCAGCAGAGGGCTGTCGTATGGAATCTGGGGCTCAGGACTCTGTCCCATTTCTCTAAACCATTCTGCTTCAACCCAGACACTGACTGTTTTCCAAATTTACTTGTTTGTTTGTTTTGTTTGTTTAGCAATTGCTTCTCCATTCTTGAAGTTCCTAACCCCCATGAATCCACAACCATAACCATGGCCACGCGGGTCGAGGTGGGCTCCATAACGCCCTTGACGGCCGTGCCAGGCCTGGGTGAGATGGGCAAGGAGGAGACCCTGACGAGGACCTACTTCCTCCAGGCCGGCGAAGCCTCTGGGGCTCCCCCAGCCCGGATCTTGGAAGCGAAGAGCCCCCTGCGGAGCCCGGCCCGGTTACTCCCTCTGCCAAGGCTCGCCCCCAAACCCTTCTCGAAGGAGCAGGACGTGAAATCTCCTGTCCCGTCTCTGCGGCCCAGTTCGACTGGACCTTCCCCCTCTGGGGGGCTCTCTGAGGAGCCAGCAGCAAAGGATCTGGACAACAGGATGCCCGGCTTGGTGGGGCAGGAGGTGGGCAGTGGGGAGGGCCCGAGGACGAGCTCGCCCCTCTTCAACAAGGCTGTGTTCCTGCGGCCCAGCTCCAGCACCATGATTCTCTTCGAAACCACCAAAAGCGGCCCCGCTCTGGGGAAGGCGGTTAGTGAGGGGGCGGAGGAGGCCAAGCTAGGTGTGTCCGGCTCCCGGCCTGAGGTGGCTGCCAAGCCCGCCCTGCCCACCCAGAAGCCTGCGGGGACCCTTCCCCGGTCAGCTCCCCTGTCTCAGGACACAAAACCACCTGTACCCCAAGAGGAGGCAGGCCAAGACCATCCTCCCTCAAAGGCCAGCAGTGTGGAGGACACGGCACGCCCCCTTGTGGAGCCCAGGCCTCGCCTGAAGAGAAGGCCCGTGTCTGCCATTTTCACGGAGTCCATTCAGCCTCAGAAGCCAGGCCCCGGCGCAGCGGCCACAGTGGGCAAAGTGCCACCCACCCCTCCCGAGAAGACGTGGGTGAGGAAGCCCAGGCCCTTGTCCATGGACCTCACGGCCCGGTTTGAGAACAAAGAGGCCTTGCTGAGGAAGGTGGCCGATGAAGGAAGTGGACCCACAGCAGGGGATATGGCTGGGCTAGAGAGGCCCAGAGCAGCGTCCAAGCTGGACAGGGACTGTTTGGTCAAGGCGGAGGCTCCTCTTCATGATCCTGATTTGGACTTCCTGGAGGTGGCCAAGAAAATCCGTGAACGGAAGGAGAAGATGCTTTCGAAGCCGGAGATGGGCAGCCCCAGAGCCCTGGTGGGGGGCTCATCTGGGGTCACCCCCAGCAATGACCAGAGTCCCTGGGAAGAAAAGGCCAAGCTGGACCCAGAGCCAGAGAAGGCTGCTGAGTCCCCCTCACCCAGGCTGGGAAGGGGCCTAGAACTTGCTGAGGTTAAGAGCAGAGTGGCGGATGGGGAGGCCGCGGCAGGGGGAGAGTGGGCCTCCAGGAGGAGTGTCAGGAAGTGCATCAGCCTGTTTCGGGAGGACAGCACCTTGGCCTTGGCAGTGGGGTCTGAATCTCCCCTGGCCACCCCTGCGTCCCCATCGGCGGCACCAGAGCCGGAGAAAGGGGTTGTGAGCGTTCAGGAACGGATCAGAGGCTGGACTGCCGAGAGCTCAGAGGCTAAGCCCGAGGTCAGGAGGAGGACGTTCCAGGCTCGGCCGCTGTCGGCGGATTTGACCAAATTGTAAGTAGGCACATCCCACACCCCTCTCTCAGCCGCCCACCCACACACCCTGAGGAAGACGGAACCAGGCTCCATGCTGGGCACTTGTCACCCCCCCTCAGTTTACCCATAGCCCAAGAGGAGGTAGTGGCAGTGTCCATTTCTCAGATGAGAAAGGTGAGGTGCGGAGAGGCAGTGCAGCTCTCCTCTGGGTATGGCCAGCCGGGGGGCCCGGAGCCCAATTTTCATGGCTTTTCTCAGCTTCAGATGTAGTGTGTGAGTGAAGTGGGCGGTATGTGCCCATTTCATGGAGGCAGGGCAGAAGGGTGAAATACTGTGGGGAGGTGGGAGCTGGATGGCATTCCAGCTCAGCCTGTCTCCATAGCTAAGCCTTTCTTCCCTGAAGTCAGAGAGAGAACGCTTAAGATTGGGCCTAAGCCTTTATGAGTGGCCCAAAAAATAAACTCAGAGGAGTCAAGGTAACTTGGGCTAGTCAGTTGGTTAATACTGATATTCTACGTCATTTGGTTAATAATGATATTCTAAGTCAGTTCGTTAATACTGATACTCTTAAGTCAGTTGGTTAATAATGATACTCTAAGTCAGTTGGTTAATACCGATGTTGTCAATCAGTTGGTTAATACCGATGTTCTAAGTCAGCTGGTTAATACCGATGTTCTAAGTCATTTGGTTAATAATGATGTTCTAAGTCAGTTGGTTAATAATGATGTTCTAGGCCGGGCGCGGTGGCTCATGCCTGTAATCCCAGCACTTCGGGAGGCCGAGGCGGGTGGATCACAAGGTCAGGAGTTTGAGACCAGCCTGGCCAACATGGTAAAACTCTGTCTCTACTAAAAATACAAAAATTAGCCAGGCGTGGTGGCAGGCGCCTGTAGTCCCAGCTACTCAGGAGGCTGAGGCAGGAGAATCGCTTGAACTCGGGAGGCAGAGGTTGCAGTGAGCCGAGATCACACCACTCCACTCCAGCCTGGACAACAGAGCAAGACTCCGTCTCAAAAAAAAAACACCAAAAAACAAAAACAAAAAAGATATTCTTAGTCATTTGGTTAATACTGATGTTCTAAGTCAGTTGGTTAATACTGATGTTCTAAGTTAGTTAATAATGATATTCTAAGTCAGATGGCTAATAATGATATTCTAAGTCGGTTGGTTAATAATGATATTCTAAACTTGGCCCACTTCCGACATCTCTTCTTTGTTTTCCCACAAGTGGCCACAACAGAGAGATGCCACTCGGCATGATCGACTGGCTCTTAATGGCATGCATGCCACTGACATACTTTGTCCAGGGTGGAGCTTGCAAAGGCAGGATCTCTGGGCAGACTGCCCTCCCGGCCCTGGGAACCAGGACAGCCAGCCAAGCCAAAGCTAGACCACTGGCCCTCAGTACTTTAGAATAACCGGAAAAAATACCAGTGCCTGGGCCCCACCCCTAGAGATTCCGATTCACTTGGTCTGGGGAGGGTGTTCTATTTTGGTAGTTTTTATTTTATTTTTTATTTTTATTTATTTATTTATTTTTGTGACCCAGGCTGGAGTGCAGTGTTGCAATCTCGGCCCACTGCAACCTCCACCTCCCGGGTTCAAGTGATTCTCCTGCCTCAGCCTCCGCAGTAGCTGGGATTACAGGCACGCGCCACCACACCCAGCTAATTTTTTTTTTTTTTTTTTTTTTTGAGACGGAGTCTCGCTCTGCCGCTGAGGCCAGAGCAGTGGCACGATCTTGGCTCGCTGCAAGCTCCGCCTCCCAGGTTCACGCCATTCTCCTGCCTCAGCCTCCCAAGTAGCTGGGACTACAGGCGTCAGCCACCACGCCCAGCTAATTTTTTGCATTTTTAGTAGAGATGAGGTTTCACCGTGTTAGTCAGGATGGTCTCGATCTCCTGACCTCGTGATCCGCCCGCCTCAGCCTTCCAAAGTGCTGGGATTACAGGCGTGAGCCACCACGCCCGGCCTAATTTTTGTATTTTTAGTAGAGACGGGGTTTCACCATGTTAGTCAGGCTGTTCTCGAACTTCTGACCTCATGATCTGCCCGCCTCAGCCTCCCAAAGTGCTGGGATTACAGGCATGAGCCACGGCACCCGGCCTGTATTTTGGTAGTTTTTAAAAGCTTCCAAGTCGATCTTATGTGTAGCCGGGGCTGACAACCCCTGAATTAAGATATCAGAGAAGGACACCTATGCCACGGTCCTAATATGCTTCCTCTCACTATGTCATGGAAGAGCCTTGGAGAGGCCGTGTGATTATCCCCATCTGACAGGTGGGGAAACTGAGGCTCTGAGTTTAGACAGAACTCCTCTCAGCCTCACATATCCCAGGAGACAGACCCTGGGTTGCTGAGTATGGGTTAAGTTTAAGTGGTTTGATTTCTCTCCCTTTCCTTTTCTTCAGTCCCCAGCTTTGAACTAAACACGTGCTACATCTTCAGGTATTTACACCAGAATGCTCTCCAGAGATGGAAAGATTCTAGCTCCACACCCTCTTCCCTTTTTGAGGTGGGGAAAACGAGGCCCAAAGAGGGCCCTGGTGATCCAGAGAGGCAGAGACAGACCTGGGCCCCCACACATTCCCTGACAGCCCACTACCCTTCAGTCTGGGGGCTGCTCTGAGGTGGGGCTGCTGTTTTACCTGGCACTGCTAACAACAGCCATTCATTATCCCTCCTGGGGCATCTTCACTCTTCCCTAAACGCCCTCACGTAGCTATTAGGGCCTTGAGTAGCCTCTTATCTGCCCCATAAAAGGGATGGGGAGGTGTTAATTATCCCTGTTTTATAGATGAAGAAACAGAGGCTCAGGTGAGGTCACAAGCCTAAACCAAGCTCCCCCAGTGAAGAGGCAGTAGAGCTGGGACTAGCACCTGGGTGTCTTCCCCCAGCTGGGGCTCCTCCACCCCAGTAATGCTGTGTTTGAGGTAGGCTCTCCCCACTGGGCAGTTCTCCTTTTGGTAAGTGGAAAGGAAATGTCCTTTCTGAAGGTTACTTGGCCTGGCCTCCTGAGCTGGTGTGTGGGCTGGGGGGAATAACAGCTTCCAGCTCCATGAAGGTAACTCAGATCTCTGTACCAGGTTTTCAAGTTCAGCTTCCAGCAACGAAGTCAAATATGAGAAGAGTGCTGAGCTGAGCGGCGAGTTTCCTAAGGAACCGAGAGAAAAGGTAAGGAGTGGCTGTGTAGCACGTCTCTCATTAACCAGCGGGCAGTTATGGCTGCTGGAGAAAGAGCCTCCATGATCTTCTAGGCCCCAGGAAGACTCAGAAACATGTCATGCACACGATAAAACATTTTTTCTTCTAATGTTGGGACTTTGAAGTCCCTTTTGGCATGAAGAGTTGTGATTCCCTACTCCCAGGTGTTAAATGCTGTTTACAAATGTTATCAGGCATTTTTTTTCTTCGCAAAGAGGCAGAGGGGCATGGCTTTCTTATATAGGAGTGCCTGCTTTGTTAAAATACTAAAATTTAGGTTTAAGATGTTAATAGAAACTCCTTCAAGGTCCTTCATAGTGGTTCTTATTGCCTTCCCCTTACTTACCACCTAGCCATAGAAGGAAGAAGTAGGTGGCTGGGCACAGTGGCTCACATTTGTAATCCCAGCACTTTGGGAGGCTGAGGTGGAGGGAGGATTGCTTGAGCCCAAGAGTTTGAGACCAGCCTGGGCAACATAGTGAGACTCTTATCTCTAAAAGAAAAAAAAAATTTTTTTTAATTAGCCAGATGTGGTTGTGCATGCCTATAGTTCTAGTTAAGGCTGAGGCAGGAGGATTGCTTGAGCTCAGGACTTTGAGGCTGCAGTGAGCCATGATCATGCCACTGCACTCTAGCCTGGGCGACAGAGTGAGACTTGTCTCTAAAAGAATAAAAATGTAAATTAAAACAAAAAGAAGTAGGTTACCAGCAATTAAATTGCTTGAAAAGTATTTTTATTTCATCTTTTTAATAAGAGAAAACTCATAAAATTGTCTCCTAGCGAAAACCGGTTTGTGGTTGATGCTTTCTGCAGAGTCTTAGTTGTTTTTTTGGTTGGTTTGTTTTCGTTTTTTTTTTTTTTTTTTTTTTTTGATGGAGTCTCCCTCTGTCGCTCAGGCTGGAGTGCAGTGATGTGATCTCGGCTCGCTGCAAGCTCCGCCTCCCGGGTTCAAGCAATTCTCCTGCCTCAGCCTCCCAAGTAGCTGGGACTACAGGTGCCCGCCACCATGCCCGGCTTATTTCTTTTGTATTTTTAGTAGAGTTGGGGTTTCACCATGTTAGCCAGGATGGTCTCGATCTCCTGACCTCGTGATCTGCCCGCTTCGGCCTCCCAAAGTGCTGAGATTACAGGTGTGAGCCACCGTGCCTGGCCCAGTTTTTTTAAAAACAGCTTTGAGATACAATTGACATACAGGAAAGAGCACAGATTTAACACATTCAACTTGGTGAGTTTCCTATGTGTGTACAACCTGTGAAACCACCATCACAGTCAGAATAGCGAACATCTCCATCCCAGGCAAAAGGTTCCTCATGCCACTTTGTTTTTTTTTTTTTTTGGAAACGGAGTTTTGCTTGTTGCCCAGGCTAGAGTGCAGTGGTGCGATCTTGGCTCACAGCAACATCCACCTCCCAGGTTCAAGTGATTCTCCTGCCTCAGCCTCCCGAGTAGCTTGGATTACAGGCACCCACTACCACGCCTGGCTAATTTTTGCATTTTTAGTAGAGACGGGGTTTCGCTGTGTTGGCCAGGCTGGTCTTGCACTCCTGACCTCAAGTGATCCACCCACCTCGGCCTCCAAAAGTGCTGGGGTTACAAGTGTGAGCCACCACACCCGGCCACGACGTTGTAATCTCTCCCTTCCCCTGCTCTTCCCAGCCCATCACAGGTCTGCTTTCTGTCCGTGTAGATTAGTTTGCATTTTCTAGACTTTAGTATAAATGGAATCAGTCCTCTTTTTTTTTTTGCCCTTGCTTGTTCACTCAGAGTAATTATGTTGAGATCATTCATGGTGTAGCATGTATCAGTAGTTCATTCCTTTCTGTTGCTGACTAGTATTCTATTTGTGTGAGTAGACCACAATTCGTTTATCCATTCACCTTTTGATGGACAATTGGGTTGTTATCTGTTTGGGGCAATTACCAGTGAAGCTGCTGTGAACATTTGTGGACAAGGCTTTGTAAGAGCTTCTATTTCTTTTCTTTTCTTTTTCTTTTTTAATTTTTTAATTTATTATTATTTTTCATTTTTGAGATGGAGTCTCGCTCTGTTGCCCAGGCTGGAGTGCAATGGCGCGATCTCGGCTCACTGCAAGCTCCGCCTCCTGGGTTCACACCATTCTCCTGCCTCAGCCTCCTGAGTAGCTGGGACTACAGAGGCCCGCCACCACGCCTGGCTAATTTTTTGTATTTTTAGTAGAGATGGGGTTTCACCGTGTTAGCCAGGATGGTCTCCATCTCCTGACCTTGTGAGCCACCTGCCTCGGCCTCCCAAAGTGCTGGGACTACAGGCATAAGCCACTGCGCCTGGCCTTTTTTTTTTTTTTTTTTTCTAATTTTTGAGACAGAGTCTTACTCTGTTGCCTGGGATAGTACAGTCACGTGATCTCAGCCCACTGCAACCTCTGCCTCCTGGGTTCAAGTAATTCTCCTGCCTCAGCCTCCTGAGTAGCTGGGGACTACAGGCACGTGCCTCTATGCCCACTTAATTTTTTGTATTTTTAGTAGAGATGGGGTTTCACCATGTTGGCCAGGCCAGTCTTGAACTCCTGACCTCAGGTGATCTGCCTGCCTTGGCCTCCCAAAATGCTGGGATTATAGGTGTGAGCCACCGCGTCCGGCCAGGACTTCTATTTTCTTTTCTCTTGGGTAAACATCTAGGAGTAGAATGGCTGGATCATATGGTAGATGCATGTTTTATGTTTTAAGAAACTTCCGTGGAGTTTTAAAAATAACACCAGTGCTTGGTTTCAAGCTTGTACCCATCTCAGTACATCACCAACAAAAGTGGGCTGGCTTTGAATGGCAATACCCACCACCACTCTTGGAGGCAGCGGTTTGCCCTGCAAGTTTTATTGTTGCATTTTCTGAATCATTTCTTTGAAAATGGTTAGGAGTGATACCATTTAAGTAATTAAAGCTCCTTATATTTGTATTAAAATGCTGTAGTGACAGCAGCAGCAAGGGCAAAAAGGCTGTGTGTGGCGAGAGTGGCAAAATGTTGATTGTCATTAAATTGGGGGGATGGGTTGGGCAAGTTCATTATTTTCTCTGTAATTTTGTGTATGTTTAAAACTTTAAAGAAAGGAATAGTTAAGAAATAAACCCTTGCTTTACATGTGATGAGATTTTATCTCTATAAGTAGACTTTATGTGTGTGTGTATGTGGGTGTGTTTATTGTAGTAAAATACACATAACAGGCTGGATGTGGTGGCTCATGCCTATAATCCCAGAACTTTAGGAGGCCAAGGTGGGAAGATTGCTTGAGGCCAGGAGTTTGAGGCTGCAGTGAGCTCTGATTATACCACTGCACTCCAACCTGGGCAACAGAGCGAGATGCTGTCTTTATTTTATTTATTTATTTATTTTTTTAGAGATGGAATTTCGCTCTTGTTGCCCAGGCTGGAGTGCAATGGCACAATCTCAGCTCACTGCAACCTCTGCCTCCTGGGTTCAAGCGATTCTCCTGCCTCAGCCTCCTGAGTAGCTGGGATTACAGGCATGCGCCACCACACCTGGCTAATTTTGTGTTTTTAGTAGAGACAGGGTTTCTCCATGTTGGTCAGGCTGGTCTCGAACTCCCGACCTCAGGTGATCCACCCGCCTCGGCCTCCCAAAGTGCTGAGATTGCAGGCATGAGCTACCGTACCTGGCTGAAATCCTGCCTTTAAAAAGAAAAAAAGTACACATAACATAAAATATATCATTTTAACTATTTTTAAAGAAAAATAATGAATTTGTGAAATTTACAAAATTTACAAAGTTTCAAAAATTCGGTCTTTCTAATATATATATAAATAATACAAAGAGAGTTCTGAAAGGCTCTTCAAGGATCATAACCCATTGGTAATAGCTGTTATCCAAGAAAAGGGACTGGTATTTGAACAAGGGAACAAAAATGATTTGAACTTTGGCCGGGCGTGGTGGCTCACACCTGTAATCCCAGCACTTCGGGAAGCCAAGGTGGGTGGTTCACCTGAGGTTGGGAGTTCAACACCAGCCTGACCAACATGGAGAAACCCCATCTGTACTAAAAATACAAAAAAAAAATTAGCCAGGCGTGGTGGTGCATGCCTGTAATCCCAGCCACTCGGGAGGCTGAGGCAGGAGAATCACTTGAATCTGGGAGGCAGAGATTGCGGTGAGCCGAGATCGCGCCATTGTACTCCAGCCTGGGTGACAAGAGCGAAACTCCATCTCAAAAAATAAAAATAAAAAATAAAAAAAGCTTTGAACTTTGTATTGTTTGGATTCCTTTACAATCAAAATGGATTCATGTATTGTTTATGTAAAATTTACGTATTAAAATATAAACAGTCCAGGTGCGGTGGCTTGTGTTTGTAATCTCAACACTTTGGGAGGCTGAGGCAGGTGGATCACTTGAAGTCAGCAGTTCAAGACCAGCCTGGCCAACGTGGTGAAATGCCGTCACTACTAAAAACACAAAAATTGGCTGGGTGTAGTGATGCATGCCTGCACTTTCAGCTACTCGGGAGGCTGAGGCAGAAAAATCGCTTGAATCCGGAAGGCGGAGGTTGCAGTGAGCCGAGATCGTGCCATTGCACTCCAGCCTGGGCAAAAGAGCAAGACTCCATCACAAAAATATGTATATATGTGTATATTGCAAAAAAATATATATGTGTATATATGTATATATGTGTATATATGTATATATGTATATATGTGTGTATATATATGTGTGTGTATATATTTCAACAAAGGTTTACAGTCAGTGTTTTTAGAGCACTTCAATGGCATTCCATCATCTACAGTAGGGGTTAGCAAACTGTGCCCCTGGCCTTATTATAACCATTTTAAAGTGCACAACTGAGTGGCATTAAGGACGTTTTCAGTATTATGTAAGCATCACCACTATCTAGTTCCAGAATCTTCTATCACCTCAAATGGAAACCTTGTGTCCTCGTCTCCCATTCCCAGGCATCCAGTAATCCACTTTCTGTCTATGGATTTACCTATGATGTGTATATATATTTATATTTATATATATGCTGTATATAAATGGAGTCTTATATAGCTTTTTGACTGGCTTCTTTTGCTTAGCATAGTATTTTCAAAATTCATCCACGGTGTAGGATGAATCAGTATTTAATTCCTTTTATTTATTTATTTTTTTAGACAGAGACTCACTCTGTCACCCAGGCTGGAGTGCAGTGGCACGACCTCGGCTCACTGCAATCTCCGCCCTCCAGGTTCAAGCAATTCTCTTGCCTCAGCCTCCTGAGTTGCTGGGATTACAGCCGTGTGCCACGACACCCAGCTAGTATTTTTAGTAGAGAACGGGGTTTCACCATGTTGACCAGGCTGGAGTCTTGAATTCCTGAGCTTAGGTGATCCACTTGCTTTGGCCTCCCAAAGTGCTAGGATTACAGGTTTGAGCCACCGCACCTGGCCTTTAATTCCTTTTAAAAGATTATTATTATTTTATTTTATTTTTTTGGTGTAGACAAGGTCTCACTATTTTGCCCAGGCTGGTCTTGGACTCCTGGACTTAAGCGATTCTCCCATCTCAGCCTCCCAAAGTGCTGAGATTACAGGCGTGAGCCACCGCGCCTGGCTGGATCTGCCTCTTTCTGTGGTAACAAATGCCTGTGCAGTAGTCCATCGTTTGGAGATAATTGAAATTTAGCCAATGCTTTTCCAGTGAGCATTCAGGTTGTTTCTGTGTTCTTTTGCTTGCACCAACGGTGCTGTCTCAACTTTCTTGTTTGTGTAGGCTTGTGCATGTGGACAAAGTCCTGGGAGGAACTTGGCCGGATAAAAGGAAATGAGTATTTTAACATCAGGATAGATACATTGCTTTGCCCAAAGTCGGGTTCATTTATGTTCTCTCCAACAGTATCTGAGTGTCCATTTCCCCACATCCTCACCCACACTGGGTGTGTTCATTCTTTTCAATTTTATGGTATTTCATTGTTTTAATTATACAAGCAGCCCTTTCAATTACTCCACTTTTTCCTTTCCATCTCAAATCCTTAAACACTGAGGTGTTTCTTTTTCTTTTTGTTTCTTTCCAGCAAAAGGAGGGGCACAGTTTGGATGGAGCATGCATCCCGAGAAGCCCCTGGAAGCCTGGGACACTCCGGGATAAGTCCAGGCAGACGGAGCAGAAGGTTAGCTCTAACCAAGACCCCGACAGCTGTCGCGGTGGAAGCTCAGTGGAGGCCCCGTGCCCTTCTGACGTCACTCCAGAGGATGACCGGAGCTTCCAGACTGTGTGGGCCACAGTATTTGAGCACCACGTGGAGAGACACACAGTGGCTGACCAGTCGGGACGTTGTCTCTCCACCACACCCCCTGGTGACATGGCCCATGCCCGTGTCTCAGAACCCAGGCCGAGGCCTGAGATGGGCTCTTGGCTGGGCAGGGACCCACCAGACATGACAAAACTGAAGAAAGAGAACTCCAGAGGGTTTGACAATCCCGAGACGGAGAAATTGGGACCAACCACCCTTTTGAATGGTGAACTGAGACCGTATCACACGCCTCTCCGGGACAAATACCCTTTGTCTGAAAACCACAATAATAACACCTTCCTCAAACACTTGGAAAATCCTCCCACATCGCAGAGAATTGAGCCCAGATATGACATTGTGCATGCAGTGGGAGAGCGTGTGCACAGCGAGGCCATCTCACCGGCACCGGAGGAGAAAGCGGTCACGCTCCGCAGCCTCAGGTCTTGGCTCTCACTGAAGGACAGGCAGCTGTCCCAGGAGGTCACCCCTGCTGACCTGGAGTGTGGTTTGGAAGGTCAGGCGGGGTCCGTCCAAAGGGCCAGTTTGATTTGGGAAGCTCGAGGCATGCCTGAGGCTAGTGGACCGAAGTTTGGGGGCAATTGCCCGTTTCCCAAATGGACAGGCGGGGCAGTGGTGAGCTCGCACAAAGCCACCGTGGCAGTCAGCGAAGAGCACTGTGCTCCCGGGGCCACCTCCGTCAGGGCTATCAAGGCTGCCATCTGGGAAAGCCAGCATGAGGGGCCAGAGGGGGCCAGAAGCAAGCCAGGAGTGGGAGCAAGGGGCCCACCCCAGGGATGCCCCCTCGATCCTCTTTCCAGGGCTACGAATGGGCCTTCTGACTCCCAAGCACGAACACATCCAGATGCATTTGCTGTGCAGAAAGGGCCCTTCATTGTAGCCGCCAGGGAGGGTGATCCAGGGCCGGCCCAGGTGCCACAGCCTGCAGTCAGAATGCGGAAAGCCGGCGCCATGGACCAGAGAATGGACAGATGGCGGCGGCGGACTTTACCCCCCAACGTGAAATTTGATACATTCAGTTCTCTTGTCCCAGAGGACTCTCCACATGTGGGGCACAGACGAACAGATTATGTGAGCCCCACAGCCAGTGCCTTAAGAAAACCTCAACTATCCCACTACAGGGTGGAGACCCAGGAGGTGAACCCAGGTGCTTCACGGGACCAGACTTCCCCAGCAGTGAAGCAAGGGTCACCTGTGGAACCCAAGGCGACATTTTTTGCAGTCACCTATCAGATTCCCAATACTCAAAAGGCAAAGGGTGTGGTTCTGTCAGGAGCTGAAAGCTTGCTGGAACATTCTAGAAAAATCACTCCACCCTCGTCTCCTCATTCTTTAACATCCACTTTGGTTTCTCTTGGTCATGAAGAGGCATTGGAGATGGCAGGCAGTAAAAACTGGATGAAGGGACGAGAGCATGAAAATGCAAGCATTTTAAAAACTCTGAAGCCAACAGACCGTCCATCATCTCTTGGGGCCTGGAGTCTGGACCCTTTCAATGGAAGAATCATTGATGTGGATGCCTTATGGAGTCATCGGGGATCAGAAGATGGCCCTCGTCCTCAAAGCAATTGGAAGGAAAGTGCGAACAAGATGTCCCCCAGCGGCGGAGCTCCCCAAACCACCCCGACTCTGAGGAGTCGTCCAAAAGATCTTCCTGTGAGAAGGAAGACTGATGTGATCAGTGACACGTTCCCAGGTAAAATCAGAGATGGCTACAGATCCAGCGTTCTTGACATTGACGCCCTGATGGCAGAGTACCAGGAGCTGTCGCTGAAAGTCCCTGGGGAGGCTCAGGAGAGGAGGAGTCCCACCGTGGAGCCCAGTACGTTGCCTCGGGAGAGGCCTGTTCAGCTGGGCGGGGTGGAGCAGAGAAGGAGGAGCCTGAAGGAGATGCCCGATACCGGGGGTCTCTGGAAACCGGCCAGTTCTGCCGAAATAAATCACAGTTTCACTCCTGGCTTAGGCAAGCAGCTGGCAGAGACCTTGGAGACAGCCATGGGCACCAAATCTAGCCCTCCCTTCTGGGCTCTGCCACCCTCGGCTCCTTCTGAAAGGTATCCAGGGGGCTCTCCTATACCTGCGGATCCCAGGAAAAAAACGGGGTTTGCTGAGGATGACAGAAAGGCCTTTGCCAGTAAACATCATGTTGCAAAGTGTCAGAATTACCTGGCTGAGTCAAAGCCCTCTGGTCGGGAGGATCCAGGCAGTGGGGTCAGGGTGTCACCCAAATCGCCCCCCACTGACCAGAAGAAAGGGACCCCAAGGAAATCCACCGGGCGGGGAGAGGAGGACAGTGTGGCCCAGTGGGGTGACCACCCACGTGACTGTGGACGGGTGCCGCTGGATATCAAGAGGGCCTACTCAGAGAAGGGGCCCCCTGCCAACATCCGAGAGGGCCTGTCCATCATGCATGAAGCCAGAGAGAGGAGGCGAGAGCAGCCCAAAGGGAGGCCCAGCCTTACTGGAGAGAATTTGGAGGCCAAAATGGGACCCTGTTGGTGGGAGTCAGGGACTGGAGACAGTCACAAGGTAAGTACCGAGACACTTTTTAATTTTGTCAAACATGGTTTAAACATCTAGTCTAGGGGGCCGAAACTCAGATTTTGTGTGGCCCACTTTGGGTACATAAATGAGTGGAGTCAGGCTGGGTATGAGGCTCCAGGGAGGGGTATGGATTGTGGCAAATGGAGAGCTCATGCCCTATCTGAACTGGACAACTGCTGCTTGGTCCCACCTGGTTCTTTGTTTGTTTATTTGTTTGTTTGAAACAAAGAGTCTTGCTTAGTTGCCCAGGCTGGAGTGCAGTGGCATGATCATGGCTCACTGCAGCCATAATCTCCTGGGCTCAAGCCATCCTCCCGCCTCAGCCTCCCAAATAGCTGGGATGACAGGCATGCGCCACCATGCTTGGCTAATTTTTTATTTTTTGTAGAGACAGGGTTTTGCCATGTTGCCCAGGCTGGTCTCAAACTCCTGGGCTCAAGTGATCCTCCTGCCTCGGCCTCCCAAAGTGCTGGGATGACAGGCGTGTGCCACCATGCCTGGCCCAGCTGGTTCTTCACAGGCAGGAATGCTGGCCTTGAGATGGCAAACCTCATTTATCAAGAGAATCTGAAAATCTAGATTTTTATGTGTAATCCTCCCATTAGGAAATGAGGAGGACTTATTTTTAAAAATGCTGTTCAGCCCAAACAAGACTTGTCTGCTAGCCCCATGCAGCGCGCCGGCCACCTGTTTTACACTTCTGTCCTACAATGACGATAATGATAGATATCAATGGTAGCTTTATTGTGCTCCTGCTGTATAATAGCCTGTTGTATCCTGTTCATTATTATGTCCCCAGAATCCAGCATCATGCTTGACATACTGTGAATGTTCAAGAAGTATTTGTTGAATGAGTGAACAAGTGATCTTACGTGAGCCTCAAAAGAGGGATCACCATGGTTTTGGGTTCCAGCAGTCCCTTGTTTTTTTTTTTTTTTTTTTTTGAGACGGAGTCTCACACTGTCACCTGGGCTGGAATACAATGGTGTGATCTTGGCTCACTGCAACCTTCGCCTCCTGGGTTTAAGCGATTCTCCTGCCTCAGCCTCCCAAGTAGCTGGGATTACAGGAGCCCGCCATCATACCCGGCTAATTTTTTGTATTTTTTTTTTTTAGTAGAGACGGGGTTTCACTATTTTGGCCAGGCCGGTCTTGAACTCCTGACCTCGTGATCCGCCCACCTTGACCTCCCAAAGTGCTGGGATTACAGGCGCGAGCCACTGCGCCCGGCCTGTAAGCACTTTTTAAGGGGGTGATCCCAGGAAGAACCAGTAGGGGAGAGAAGAAGTGAGGCAGGTGCTACAGGGGCCATGGTTGGCCACAGAGGCACATCTCACTGGGGACCCCGGGAGGCAGCATGGAACACCTCTGAAGTTGTCATGTCCAGGGGTCAAGGGACCTGGAGTATGTATTTTCCAATCCCTCTGTCCTTGCCTGAGGCTGTTTGTGGGGTCATGAACATTCAGACTTTTCCATCCTGGCTGGCACCATGCACAGCAGAAGAAAGAAAATCTGGCTTCCTTTGTTCAGTGAAGAACAGAGAGAAAGAGAAGAATGGATGGCAGGGTGGGGGGTGGGGAGGAAAGGAGGAAGGGATCACTTTAATTACAAGCACACCCTTTTGGGGGTACATAAGCAGAATAGCTGTGAAGAAACCCTCACCCAAATAAGCCACTTTGTTTTTAACACACACACACAAATTCAAATCTACCCAAATATCTATCAGTGAGGCTCTAGGGTGTTGGCAGAGGGCCCCTTCTCTTGATCTTTGGCATATACCTGAGTGTTGGGCAGAGTGCTGACACTACCTACTGCTGTGTGATCATCTTCCTGTACAGATGGGGGGAAAAAAACAGAGGCTCAGAGAGGTGAAATAACTTGTCCCAGGTCACACAGCAGTAAGTAACAAAACTGGTATTTGAACCCAAATCTGGCCTTAATTACCCAACTGGGCCATATTCTAGGAGACCATTCTGGTGAAGAACCACGAAGGTGGGGAAGAAATCTGAGGCATAAGGACCACCCTTTGAAGCTTCTGATCTCTGTGGGGAGATGGGCCATTGTGATCCAAGACTGGGGAGTGATGGGGTGCAGAGGGAGGCACTGGAGAGGTGGCCCAAGGTGTCCTGGAGGAGTCGGTGGTCTCAGCCCAAGCTTGAGGGTTGGCCATGCTTTTGGGTGGGCTGATGAGGGGAGGTGAGGGCATTCTCAGCAGGGCACAGCATGGACAAAGGTTTGGAGGTGGGAAGAGCGTAGAATGTTGTGGGGGACATGTGGAAATGGACTTAGCACCGCCCTGTGTGATGTGGCATCAGCAAATCAGGCCACAGATTCTTCCTTTGCCACTTGCAGCTGAGTGATACAGGGCAAAACCTTTCACCTCCCTGCACCCGAGTTTTCTTGTCTGTAAAAGGGACTAGGTGGCCAGTCTGGAAGTGGATGCTGCAGAAAGGAAACTCTAGGATACAGTCAGTAATGATCATGCGGTGAGGATTTGCCTTCAGTTAAGAGTGGGTAAGTGATGGAGTCAGGCTTTGAACCCATGTCTGTTCCCAAGAGGCCAAGCTCTCCAACCACCATGTGCAGGATCACGCAGACTTGGCATCTGAATCTCCACGCTGCTACTTGCCTGCTGTGTGTAAAGCAGCCTCTTGGCCTCTCCTGGCCTCAGTTGCCATGCCAGAGTTAACAGGGATTCCTGCCCCAAAGCACTGTTATTAGACTGAATTGAAATAAAGCACCGAACTTGGGCCATCCCCGTGTGCTTCCTGAGAAGGGTTTCATCTGTCCCTACCTGCAGGCTGATGTTGTGGTAACAGTGGAAGAAGGAAGAGGCCAAGGAAATGCGACACTTATGTTTGCCAGCACCTTGCTCAGGGCCCGCTGGTGGTGGGGGAGTCGGGATGTTGTGGAGGGGGGATCCTGGGCTCAGCTCTGTCCCGCAGCCCAGCCTTGGATGCCTGCCTGGAGCACGCAGGCCCCAGCAGTGCTGGTTGTCAGGGGATCTGTTTTCTCACCACGGGATTGGGAAGCCTTGGACCAGCTTCCCGTTTCTCTCTTGTCTCCTGCCAAAAGATCTTTGGTTCTTTGATCTTAAAAAAAAAAATAAAAACACACCAATACAGAAGGAAAAAATGTTGGTTGTTAAAATTTTGAACCTTACAGGGGTATAGAAAATAAAAGGTGAGTGTTCCCCCAGAGGCAGCCACCATTACATTGTTTATGTCCTTTCGGACTTTCCTATATTGACAGTCACTTATCAATCATATATATATGCATAATTGTCATGCTTTTCATATTGCAACAGTAGCGAATGCTTGCGTAAAATGTGAAATACTGGCTGGGCACGGTGGCTCATGCCTGTAATCCCAGCACTTTGGGAGGCCGAGGCGGGTGGATCACGAGGTCAGGAGATTGAGACCATCCTGGCTAACACGGTGAAACCCTGTCTCTACTAAAACTACAAAAAAATTAGCCGGGCACAGTGGCGGGCGCCTGTAGTCCCAGCTACTCCGGAGGCTGAGGCAGGAGAATGGCGTGAACCCGGGAGGCGGAGCTTTCAGTGAGCCAAGATCACGCCACTGCACTCCAGCCTGGGCGACAGAGAGAGACTCCGTCTCAAAGAAAAAAAAAAATTTTGAAATACTATAGAAAAATGGTGTAGAGAGAAAATCTCCTTTAAATATTGAGCGTGGTGCATAAACTGGGGAACACCCCTCTAGGCCCATTAGTGGTTTTTAACTATGGGCAATTTTGCCCCTGGGGCACATTTGGCAGTGTCTGGAGACATATTTTGTTGTTGTCACACCCTGGGAAGAGGTTGCTATTAGCGTCTCATGGGTAGAAGCCAAGCATGCTGCCCAACATCCTACAAGGCACAAGACAGCCCCCACTGCAAAGAATGCTCCAGCCCCAAGTGTTTGCAGTTTGTAGGTTGAGGAACCCTGGTCTAGACACAGACATAGATAAAGGTAAATGCATAGACTTAGATATAGGTAAATACATAAGCTTTCTATGGAAAACTACAACAGTCTATAGAAAATCTTGTGGCTTACTTTTGTTTTTTGAGATGGAGTTTTGCTCTTGTGGCCCAGGCTGGAGTGCAGTGGCAGGATCTTGGCTCACTGCAACCCCCGCCTCCCGGGTTCAAGTGATTCTCCTGCCTCAGCCTCCTGAGTAGCTGGGACTACAGGTGCACACCACCATTCCTGGCTAATTTTTTGTATTTTTAGTAGAGATGGGGTTTCACCATGTTAACCAGGCTGGTTTTGAACTCCTGGCCTCAAGCAGTCTACCTGTCTTGGCCTCCCAAACTGCTAGAATTACAGGCGTGAGCCACTGCACCCGGCCTCCCCTTCCTCTTTTTAATGGTTGCGAAGTATTGTATTATGTGACTGAGCCCAATCTATTTTAACCTAGACTCTCATTGATGGGTATTTGGGTGGATTTGAATTTTTGTGTGTGTTAGAAACAGGGTTGTGCCGGGTGCAGTGGCTCACATCTGTAATCCCAACACTTTGGGAGGCCGAGGCTGGCAGATCACTTGAGGTCAGGAGTTTGAGACCAGCCTGGCCAACATGGTGAAACTCCATCTCTACTAAAAATACAAAAATTAGCCGGGCTTGGTGGCGGGTGCCTGTAGACCCAGCTACTTAGGAGGCTGAGGCAGGAGAATTGCTTGAACCCAGGAAGCGGAGATTGTAGTGAGCGGAGATCGTGCCACTGCACTCCAGCTTGGGCAACAGAGCGAGACTCTGTCTCAAGAGAAAAAAAAAGAAGAAGAAAAAGAAACAAGGTTGGTTCCTTGGGTGAGGGTTTCTTGATTTACAGCCCAAAAGGGTGTGATGGTCATTAAAGTGATTCCTTCCTCTCTCCATCCCTTCCTCTCTCCATCCCTTCCTCTCTTTTTCTCTGTTCTTCACTTAACAGACATTTATAGAAACTGTTTCCCAGACCCAACAGTATTTCATTTATTTAAATTATTTATTTTAGTTTTAAGAGAGAGACGATTTCACATGGCTCCACTCCAAAAATACTTAAAAAACATTCCCCTGATACCTGCCATGCTTACATTTCTTCCACCCGGTAATCACTTTTATTCCTTTTTTTTAAATTCCTTTTTTTCTTTTGAGGCTTCTTTATGAAAATACAAGCACATAGAAATACATATTTTTATTTTTGCTTCACTTTTCCATAATAAAGAGCACTTTCTCTAAGTGGTTGAAACTTTGGTTGCCTATGGGAGTAACACAGGGAATCCTAAAAGATATCAATGACTGGGCCTCTCTCCAGGCCAGTTAGGTCAGAATCTCTGGGGTAGGACCTGCCTTTGTTAGTTATGAAGGCTCCCCAGGGGAATCTTGGGTTGAGGATCTCTGTTGAACCCACAGATTTTCCACCTTTCTGTTTTTCATATAATGTGTCTTGAGAGTTTTTTTTTTTTTTTTTGAGCCAGCGTCTCACTCTGTCACTCAGGCTGGAGTGTAGTAGTGAGATCATGGCTCACTGCGGCCTCAACCTCCTGGGCTCGAGCAGTCCTCCCACCTCAGCCTCCCAAGCAGCTGGGACTACAAGCACATGCCACCACACCTGGCTAATTTTTTTTCTTTTCTTTTTTTTTTTTTTTTTGAGACAGAGTCTTGCTCTGTTGCCCAGGCTGGAGTGCAGTGGCATGATCTCGGCTCACTGCAACCTCCACCTCCTGGATTCAAGCAATTCGCCTGCCTCAGCCTCCCGAGTTGCAAGGATTACAGGCATGTGCCACCTTGCCCAGCTGATTTTTATATTTTTAGTAGAAATGGGGTTTCACCGTGTTGCCCAGGCTGGTCTTGAACTCCTGACCTCAAGTGATCAACCTGCCTTGGCCTCCCAAAGTGCTAGGATTACAGGCGTGAGCCGCCACCACCACCATGCCTGGCCTCTTTTCCTTTTTTTTTTTTTTTTTTTGAGATGGATGGAGTCTCACTCTATTGCCCAGGCTGAAGTGCAGTGGTGTGATGTCGGCTCACTGCAATCTCCACCTCCTGGGTTCAAGCAATTCTCCTGCCTCAGCCTTCCAAGTAGCTGGGATTACAGGCGCTCGCCACCATGCCTGGCTAATTTTCGTATTTGTAGTAGAGACGGGGTTTCACCATGTTGGCGAGGCTGGTCTCAAACTCCTGACCTCAGGTGATCCACCTGCGTCGGCCTCCCGAAGTGGTGGGATTACAGGCATGAGCTACTGCGCCTGGCCTTCCCTTTCTTAATGGTACCCTTTAAAGCACAAAAGTTTTTAATTTTGAAGAAGTCTATTTTATTTATTGTTCTTTTGTTGTTTATGCCTTTGGTATCATATTTAAGAAATCACTGCCTAAGCCTAGCTCTTGAAGATTTACACCTCTATTTTCTTCTAAGAGTTTTCTAGCTTTAGCTCTTACATTTAGGTCTTTGATCTATTTCAAGTTGATTTTGGTATATAGTATGTCAGATTTGCAGCATGTTTTGCAGGTAGAGTCTCAGCTTTGCTGATGCAGTGGAGAAAAGTGGGAGAGAATGGGGAGGAGAATGGAGGGCAACCCGAAGGTCTTGGCCTCCCCAGCTGGGGGATGGATGGGCAAGGTGTGGGAGGAGCAACTGTGGAGAGATGGAATCAAGACGCATGTTTTGAGCACGTGGATCTGAGATGAGTGTGAGCTTCCAAGAGATGTTGAGTGAGCAGTGGGATCTCCGAGTCTGGAGTTCCAACACTGAGAAACAGAATTGGCAGGCATCTGGGTGTAGATGGGATTTATTTAAAGCCATGGGGGGCGTGAAGAGAGATCCCAGAGGGAATGATGTAGCAAAAGGAGAAATGGCTCTGCGGCTGGCCTGGGACATGTGGGGACACTGATCAAAAAGAGCCAGGGGGTTAGGAGGAAAACCAGAGGGTCTCTGAAGGCATCCAGAAAAGAGGCTGTGAGGGAAGGGATTAGAAATCCAGTCTTCCTCTTCCTGGTGCTGTGTGTTCTTAAGCAGCTCCCTCCCATCTCTGGGCCTTTGTTTCCTTGTCCACGCAGGGAGAGTGTGAAGCATATAAAATATGCATCCTGGAGTCCTGGCCTGTGAATGTTTCCCCTATATATAACTAAGTGGAAAAAAACAGCAGGATTCCAAGTAGATGTACTGGAGGTGCTGTGCTGTTCATGCACCGTTTCTCTGTGTCTATGCATGTGTGTTTGGGTGCATAAAGAGATGATTAAAATAAGGTCACCAAGAATGACCACTGGCAGTAATGAGGCCAGCCAGCATTTATGGAGGGCTCCCCAGGTGCCAGGGATGGAGGAGGCTAGGGTAAGCCAAGCCAGGTGCCCAGGACTTGTGCACGTCTGCCCCCTGGTGGCTATACTGCATCATGTACATTCCATGTGCTGTTTCTTAGCGCCTAGAAGCTGGGTGCTGTCATCATGGGGTTCCTTTCCCAGATAGTTGAGGCTCAGAGAGGTTGAGGCACCCACCTGAGGTCACACAGTTATTAAATGGCTGAGGCTGGGCCACTGGAACCCAGAGCTACCGCCCTACATGTTACCTCTGATCATTAAAGTGGGGGATTTCTGGGGGTTTAATTTTCTTCTTTGCCCTTTTTGGTACAGAATGGACTCTTGGCATAATATATTTTTTCCTGTAAATGAGAAGGCTCCCAGTAAAGTCCTTTTCTTGTGCTCTGTGTTTCAGGTGCTGCCACGGGACCTGGAGAAGGAGGATGCCCCCCAGGAGAAGGAGCGACCGCTCCAGCAGGTGTCCCCTGTGGCCTCGGTTCCCTGGAGAAGCCACAGCTTCTGCAAAGACAGGAGGAGTGGGCCCTTTGTGGTGAGTGATGCAACATGGCTGGAGAGGATTGCACAGGGGTGCTGGTTGCTGGACACTGCTGTGAATGTGGTTGGTGGAGCATCTGGACAGCCCAGGGCCCTGACGGGGTTGAGGGCAGCAGGCAACTGTCCAGGAATCTGGTGTCACCTGACTAGCTGTGTTGTGGTTCTTGATGTGGAGGGTGTTTGGTGGCTCTGCTGGGGAAACCTTCTTCCTCTTGAGTTTCCAGCCCAGCACTGCCTGGCATGGAGTGGTTAAGGGAACATAGACTGGTGTTGGAAAGTCCTGGGTTCCAATCCCAGCACGGTCTCCTGTCAACCTCTTTGAGATTTTGAGCAATTTACTTAATTTCGCTGCACTTCAGTTTCTTCACCTGGAAAACAGGATCTTGATTCCTATCTAGCTGTGTTGCGAGGATGGAATAAAAGTGTGTGTGGGGCCCAGCACGTCATAACACATTTAGGAACTGACAGTTATGGTGATAACAGGAGGCAGCAGAAAGCTGGTTCCAGAGCCAGATTGCCTGGGTTCAAGTCCCGGATCTGCATACATTCACGTGTGACCTTGGGCTGGCCTCTGGCTTCAGTTTCCTCATCTGTAGAATGGGGATAATAATAGTATCTACTTTACAGGGCTGATGTGGGGCTCAGATGAGAGAATTCATGAAGTGCTTAGCATGCTTCTGGGTACATAGCAAACAATAAGTGTCATCGTCACATAATTATTACTCTTGCTGTTACTGGTACGACTGTCCTTGTTTTCAAGTCTCCCTCTGGCTCTTGCTTATCTCTGTGTCCTTGTGCCCTCTTCCCCCTCATCCTGTTTCCTTACTTGTGAAAGGAGGTGAGTACACACTGAGCAGGCCCCAGGGACAGCTGTCCCATTCAGAGCTTCAGTGTGCCCACATGGGTTCCAGGGCTTCGCCACCTCCAGTGAGTTTCTTTTCGGACTTTAGTTCCATGCTGTTTGGAGTTTTGCACTTGCTCATGAAGCCCCTTTCCGGCCCAGGTCCTATACAGGGGCATCGAAGACAGGGCTCCTAAGGCAGCGACACTTCTGCCCACAAAGGCCTCTTTGGTTGCTCAGCTCCACAAGCTTCAGGGATACCTGGGCCTGGTCTCACGTTTTGGAGACATATGATTTTGTGCTGAAGCTCCATTGAGAGTCCATCCCTTCCAGTTTTATGGCCACAGGCAAGAAACTTTGCTTTCCTGAACCTCAGTTTCCACTTCTGTAAAATGGGGGTAAAGAAGATACCCTGGCATGGTTTGTGCTAGGAGTGATGCAGAACAGCCACAACGTGAGCCCGACTGTGGGGCTGAGGGAGACGGGCCGGGGAGGAACTCAGATCCCAGCTAGGTGTTTACTGAGCAGCCCAGGAATTTTCCTCGAGGATCCAGATCCTAGCCAAAGATTCACACACATTTGAAACCTGCCTGGATTTTTTGATAAACATTCCCTTCCATTGACTTCTTTCTCAGCTATTTCTCCAGTCCCTCTCAGATAGCTCTGACTTAGCTTATCTGATTGTACTTGAACTTTTATGAGTGTGTGTGTGAAGACAAAGGTGATGGGAGAGAAGCATTTTAAACCTGTCTTTTTAGAGTCTGCTTGCTGGCATCCTCCTTGGCCGTCCTGCTCCTCCTCTTTCACTCTCTGTCATTGAAGAGCTTTTGTCCTTGGAGTCCTCGGGCAGCTTGCCTTGGCTCTTTCCTTCTGGCCTCTGAGGCCCCTGCCCCACTCTTGCCTGCTTGATTTCCTCTCCTCAGAGGTAGGTGGGTGGAGGGACTTAGCATGAACCGGAGAGTGCTGGGGCCTCAGACCTCATTTCCCTGCTTTTGGGACTCATACCTGCAATTCTGGGGAGTGGCCACAAGGAGGAGGTGGTGTTCAGCTCCTATCCTGGTGCCTCCAACAGCCCATCCTAGAGGGACCTTTTAGTATTGGGCTCTGGAGGCTGAAAGAAGTGGCTTTAAGTTCCAACTCTGCCACTGTGTGACCTTGGGCAAGTGACTTCATGGACGTCACTAAATATCAGTTTTTTCTTCTGTAAGATAAGGATAGTTCTCTATGACCTCAAGAGTATTTTTGTGAGTAGTAAATGAGATCACCCAGCACATAGTAAATTCTCAATGTCTCAACTGCAGTGGTAGCTTTTGCTTCTTTCTCCCTCTTCCCTTCCTCCTTTCCTGATCCTTTCCATCTCTTCTACTTTCCCTTCCCTTTCTCATCCTCCTCCTCCCCTTCCTCTCCTCTGCTTTTTTTCTCACCTGTCCAATTCTCTTTTTATAAAAGGGGAAAGTGAAGCCAGGAGAGAGGACCTGACTTAACCAGGGTGACCCAGCAGAGGAGGGCTGGGGTCCTGAGCCCCTGGTGGCTGTCCCTGCTCCTCTGGAAATTGGTCATACATGCATTTTGTGTCTCATGAGGTGTTTGAAGGGATTCACTGTGTCTGCTATGATTCCCATCACTGCTTTGATGAATGACTTTGTGCTGTTATTTTCCCATTTAAGTTCATGTTCATCTTCATTTTTTGAGCCTCTCAGGCCTTGCCAATTCCTACTTCAGCCTCATGTTAGTGACCATGAATCCTATTTTGCAGAGCAGGAAAGTGAGGCTCAGAATGCTTCAGCCCCTTGCCCAAGGCCACACAGCTGCTGGGGGAGCTGGAATGGAAACGGGGCCTATCTCACTCCAGCCTTGGCCCCAGGCCCTTCCCGCCATGGGCCTGTGCTTTTGGCCTATGGCCAACCCCTGCCAGCCCCTGCCAGCTCCTCTCTCTCCTGGGCCTGCAGCACTCCGTGCATTAGCTACATGAGGAAACAAGACACCCTGAGCCCTGGGACTCCTCCTGGAGCTGAGAATGTGATATTTGCTCAGCCCGGGGTTGGCCATCAGCTGCTGTGCTGCTGCTGTCTTGCAGAGGGTGCCTGGGACCTGCCAGGCCAATGCCCTGCTGATTTGCATAGCCCTGCCCATGGTTGCTGAACTACAGACCCTGCCACTTGCTAGAGGCCTTGAGCAAGTGAGTTTACCACTCAGGGCCTCACTTTTCCTCCTCTATAAAGTGGATAGTGATAGCAATAACAAAGCCTAACACTTACTATCGTTACATGTCATGTAGATACTGCTATTATTTCCACTTCACAGATGGGCAAACTGAGGCTCAGAGCCATTAAGTGTCTCTTCCAAGTTCTGGGTCTGCAGTCCATGCTCTTAAGTGTCTGCTGAACTTTCCACTCGTCTTACGTGGTAGCCCGGTGGGAGGACAGAGCCCAAATGAGATGATGCTTACAAAGCTCTTAGCACAGTGCCTGACACCGAGAAATGGCTTCACAAATCATAGCAGCTATTATTATTATTATTATTTGAGATGGAGTCTCACTCTGCCGCCCAGGCTGGAGTGCAGTGGCATAATCTCGATTCACTGCAGCCTCTGCCTCCCGGGTTCAAGTGATTCTCGTGCCTCAGCCTGCTGAGTAGCTGGGACTACAGGCGTGCACCACCACACCAGGCTGATTTTTGTATTTTCAGTAGAGATAGGTTTTGCCATGTTGGCCAGGCTGGTCTCAAACACCTGACCTCAAGTTTTCCGCCAGCCTTGGTTTCCCAAAGTGCTGAGATGACAGGTGTGAGCCACTGCACCCGGCTTATTATTATTTTATTATTATTTGCGGCCAGGTTTTTTTTCTATGCTCTCCCAAAGAGCTGATGGGAAAGACAAACATCCATAGCCTTAGAAGTTTTTCTGCAGTTGAGGAGACAGGCCCAGTGTAGGGAAGTGTCTTGTGTATGGTCCTGTGGCCTCTAGAGGCAGAGCTGGGGCTGGAGTTCTTCTTTGTGACTCCTTGGCCAGTGCTCTCTGTTTCTCCCCATCTCCCTTGTTACTTTCAGGGTTCCCCTCAGGACCTCGAGTCCACATGGCGAATCCAAGTCCTGTATCAGGCTTCCTCCCTCTCCTCTTTTCCCCAGGAAGTGAGCTTTGGTCTGCATTTTCACAGGGACCATAAAACACAGTGACTCAGTTGTGGACTGTGACCTCGAGTCACAGTTTACCCTGGAGGCCCATCTTGTGACGATGAAGTCAGAGATTCATCAGCTGGGAGGCTTCCTTGCAATGGGCCAGCGGGAGGGCCTCTGGTAGTCTCTAGAATTTTCTCCCAATCCCTGAAACCTATTGGTTAGCATATGCTGGCTCATTTGGTTCTTGAGTTTATTTCTTTTTGGGCCTACTATGCGCCAGGCCCTGCATGATGGGGCCTGGAGATTTTCTCCGTCAGCCTCCTGGAGTTCACAGCCCAGGGGTCTGAAAATGACCTGGGAGGGTCCAGTTAGGTGCAGGAAGTAGGAGGGGAGACATTTGGGACTGAGAACTCACACAGACAAAGGGGGGTGCTTGGAGGACCAGTTGGGCTGAGGTAGAGTGTTTAGGGATTTTGCTCCTTTTTTTGACAAATATTTATCTGCATGTGGTAAGTGCTATGCTGGGCAGTGGGCTACAGTTATGACTAAGGCATAGACAATTAAGAAGGTAGGTAAATAGGCCAGGCACAGTGGCTCACGCCTATAATTCCAGCAGTTGGGGAGGCCTAGGCAGGCGATTCGCCTGAGCTCAGGAGTTCGAGACCAGCCTGGGCAACATGGTGAAACCCTGTTTCTACTAAAATACAAAAAAAAAAAAAAAAAAAAGAAGAATTAGACTGGCGTGGTGTTGCGTGCCTGTAATCTCAGCTACTCAGGAAGCTGAGGGGCAGGAGAATCACTTGATCCCAGCTACTCAGGAGGCTGAGGCAGGAAAATCGCTTGAACTCGGGAGGCGGAGGTTTTAGTGAGCTGAGTTTTCGCCACTGCACTCCAGCGTGGGTAACAGAGTGAGACTCCATCTCAAAAAAAAAGAAGGTAGGTAAATAATTGCAGTGGGTTCTAATAGCTAATTTTCTTTTTTTTTCTTAAACAACAGAAATTTGCTTTCTCACAGATACACAGGCTAGAAGTCCAAGATGAAGGAGCTAGCAAGGCTGGCTTCTAATGAGGCTCCTCTCCGTGGCTGACAGCTGTGTCCTTCATTTGTCTTTGCGTAGCCTCTTCTGTGTATGCAGGGTGGGAGGTGGGTGATAGGTAGATGTCTCTGGTCTCTCTTCCTCTTCGTTTGCCAGTTTATTACAAAAGATAAGCTGTAGAAGCAGAGATGCGTAGGGTGAGGTATGGGGGAGGGAGTGCAGAGCTTCCATGCCCTCCCTGGGCACGCCACCCTCCAGGAACCTCCCTGTGTTCAGGTATCCGGAAGCTCCCTAATAGCTACTGTTTATTGAACATTTACTATATGCCAGGCATCATGTCATGTGCTTTAATTTAATTTGAATTTGTGTAAAGTCTCCCTGGAGGAGGGAGGGGGTGTCTCCACTTGGGGAGGGCTAGCTGAGAAGCAGGAGTTCGAGACCAAAGAGTCTGAGTTCTAAGTCTTGAAGGCTGAGCAGGTGTTTGCCAGGTAACTATGGTCTGGGGAACAGTGGTTTGCCCCTGATCGAGGGAACAGCATGGGCAGAGGTTTAGAGGCGTGAAATTGTGCTCTATACAACGGATGTCATCTGGGGTCCTTTAAACTTGACTTCCACGTGACCCTCCTGGACACCCGCAGTGTTTGGTTTTACACTGAGCTCAGACTTTCCCACATCTCTAACTGGTGAAACTGTGGCCCTTTGCTTCTGAGGCTGGTGCTGTGTCATCGTCATGCCAGCATCTTTGTACGCAGGATCTGCCAGGGCAAAGGTTGAGAGGTTTGAGAGCATTTGGACCTGATGACTTTGTTATTAAGACTGGAAAAAGGAGGGGAGGAACATTTGGATTCTGCTGACAGCAGTGGTAGTCCTTGTGAGTGTAATCAACTTGAAATAAGTGGGAACTTGTGAGGTGGCCCCCGCCCAAGAACATATCCTGGCTGCTAGTTAGAGATTCCCTCTAGATTTCAGTTGGTTGACAGCGAGTCCAAATGAGAAGGAAACAATCAAAATGAAAGACCACACAAGGACTGCTGAAAGTAACTCATCAAAGGTTGTGACTGAAAAAACAAGTTGTGGGCTGGGCGCCGTGGCTCATGCCTGTCATCCAGTGACTCAGGAAGCCAAGATAGGAGGATTGCTTGAGGCCAGGAGTTCCAGACCAGCCTGGGCTGAACATAGTGAGACCCCTGTCTCTAAAACAATGAATAAATAAAAATTTAAAAATTAGCCATGGTAGCTCATTGAGATATTTATTTTCATTTCCCTAATGACTAATGATTTTGAGTATCTGTTCATATGCCAAATGACCAGTTGTATATCTTTTTGGCAGAAATGTCCGTTCAAGTCCTTTGCCCATTTTTGAATCAGATTGTTTTTTCTTTGTTGTTGAGTTGTAGGAATACATACACACAAACATATATATAGATAGATATAGATAGATATAGATATAGATATAGATATAGATAGATATAGATACAGATACAGATATAGAGAGAGAGACAGGCAAACAGACAGACAGGATCTGGCTCTGTTGCCCAGGCTATAGTGCCGGTGGCATGATCTCGGCTCACTGCAACACCTCGTGAGTTCAAACCATCCTCCCACCTCAGCTTCCCAAGTACCTGGGACTACAGGCATGTGCCACCATGCCCAGCTAATTTTTTTTTTTTTTTTTGTATTTTTGGTAGAGACGGGGTTTTGCCATATTGCCCAGGTTGGTCTCGAACTCCTGAACTCAAGTGTTCCTCCCACCTTGGCCTCCCAAAGTGCCAGGATTACAGGCATGAGCCACCACGCCCAGTGGAATATTTTATATATATATTCTGGATATTAATCCCATATCAGATATTTGCAAATATTTTTTTCCCATTCTGTGGGCTGTCTTTTCATTCTCTTGATAATGTTCTTTGATGCACAAAATTTATAACTTTGATGAAGTTTGATGACGCCCAACTTTTTCTTTTGTTGCCTGGAAAAGGATTTTTAAAATTGAAGTGTGAGATGAATACAGAAAAGAGCTCATATCCTAAGCCAGATGGCCTGGGTTTAAATCCCAACTCTGCTACTTACCAGCTATGTGACTTTGAGTGGATTGACATCTCCGTGCCTCAGTTTCCCCATCTCTGAGACTGGGATTATAACAGAGCCTACTTGTTAGAAATGCGGTGAAGTGGCCGGGCGCAGTGGCTCACTCCTGTAATCCCAGCACTTTGGGAGACCGAGGCGGGGTGGATCATGAGGTCAGGAGATCAAGACCTGGTCAACATGGTGAAATGCCATCTGTACTAAAAATACAAAAATTAGCTGGGCATGGTGGCAGATGCCTGTAATCCCAGCTACTCGGGAGGCTGAGTCAGCAGAATCGCTTGAACCCGGGAGGTGGAGTTGCAGTGACCCAAGATCGGGCCACTGCACTCCAGCCTGGTGACAGAGTGAGACTCTGTCTCAAAAAAAAAAAAAAAAAAAAAAGGCAGTGAAGTGAGATGAGCTCCTATGCACAAGGTGCGATGAACAGTGCCTGACACCTGGTAGGTGCTTTGTAAGTGTTGGCTATTGTTGCTGTGACTATGTTAGACACTGAGTTTCTATGTGGCAGACGCTGTGCTAAGCACTGTGCAAACACCATCCCATTATCCGTCTTCATACTCCCCACGTTCTACATGAAGTTCCATTTCCTGGCACTTTTCCCCTAAGTGACTTCACTATATTCTGAAGTGCCAAGAGGATGCCCATTTAAGAGATTCTGAACCTGAGGCTCAGAGAGGGGAGGTGACTGGCCCCGCAACATGCAGTGAAGAAACAATGATGGCTGGATTGAATCCAGACCTGTGGACTTAGCCCTTGCAACTTGGGAGGAGAAAGGGTGTCTCTAGTGGGGCAGGATCCCCAGGTGGAAGAAGGATGGCTGGCTTCGGTTTCAGCAGTGCCACCTGGAGCTCCGGGGCTCTGTGGGCTCCCAGGGACCAAGGCCACGCAGGGCCCCCAGCTGGATGCCGACCGGCCCGCAGGAGAGAGATGAGTGAATGACAGGGACACCTGTTCCTTGCAAAGCCTCCCTTGTGGAGTAGGCCAGCATCCTGGCGTGCGCGCGTCCCCTGGTGGAACAGCGTGGGATTGCGGGCTCTAGAGGCTCCCCTCACTGTTGGAAGGAGACCCAGGAGAGTGAACCTTTTCCACCTGTTAGCCCATTAGCTCACAACGCACTGCCGCCATCTCACAGATCAGGAAAACGGAGGCCCAAAAGGGTAACGTCACATGTCCAGTGCGCTCTGCTGGGCATTTTTTTTTTTTTTTTTTTTAGACAAGGTCTCACTCTGTTGCCCAGGCAGAAGTGCAGTGGCACAATCATGGCTCACAGCAGCTTGGACCTGGGCTCAAGCGATCCTTCTGCCTCGGCCTCCCAAGTACCTAGGACCACAGGCATGCGCCAGCATGCTGGCTAATTTTTGTATTTTTTGTAGAGACAGGGTTTCGCCATGTTGCCCAGGCTGGTCTTAAACTCCTGGGCTTGAGCTATTCACCCTCCTGGGTCTCCCAAAGTGCTGGTATTACAGGCATGAGGTACCGCACCCAGCCTCATCCCTCCTTTGAATAGAATCCATCCTAGCACCCTGTGGCAGACATGAGTTATGGAAAAAGCAAGTTTAAGACTTCAGGGTGTGATGAAGGATCCAGATTCCAGATGCAGCCCCACCAGTTGGAACCTAGATTTCTTCTTCTGGAAATGGAAATAACTCACTCAGGGAGATTTTCAAAACTTAGATACCCAGGTCACATCCCAGAAATTAAATCTAAATGCATGGGGGCAGGGCCTGGGCATCAGTGTTTTTTAAATAGACTTGACTTTTTAGAACAGTTTTAGATTTACAGGAAAATTGGAATGATGGTACAGAGAGTCCCCATACACCCACACCCAGTTTCCAACTGTCATCACCACCTTGCCTTAGCATGGTATGTTCATTACCATCAATGAGCCAATACTGATACATTCCTATTAAATAAAGTTCATAGTTTATTCCGATTTTCTCAGTTTTAATGTTACGTCCCATCCAGGATGTAGTATCAGACTTTTCTTTGTTTTTCATGAGCCTGGCAATCTTGAATAGTCTTGGTCAGGTATTTTTAGGATTCCCCCCTATTGTCTGGGTGTCAGTATTTTTTAGAGATCCCCGGGGGATACGGCACTGTTCGGAAACTGCTGCTCTAGGGCCTTGTGTGTGTGTCTGGGTGGGGATGAGTTGTTTATATAAAAACGAGTTAGCCTAAAGAGTAGAAGAGGAGAAGTAATTTCCATGGTCCGGTGATCTGTTGTTATAATGAACCATCACAGAACTTAGGGGTGTAACAGGGTCATGGATTCCGCAGGTCAAGAAGCCAAGCAGGGCTCTGTGGGTACAGCTCTTCTCTGCTGGGAGCCCTGAACAGCTGGGGCAGGAATCATCTGGAAGCCTCATCACTTACGTCTGGTGCCCGGGCTGGGATGACTCGAAGGCTGGGCTCCTGGGACTGATGACCAGAGCACCTGAGTGAGGCCTCTTCTCAGGACCTCTCTAAACTCAGATGTCACCCCTGGGCAAGGCCTTCCCTGACACCACCTCTGCATAAGGCCCGGGCCCCCATTATTCCCTCACAGCACCCCCATTATCATGTGCAGTGTCCTTCTGATATCTGCCTCCCTCATCAGGGTGGAGGCTGTTTGCTGACTTCTTATCCCTCCCCCACCAAACAAGAATTGCAGGACTGTAGGGCTCTTGAAGCTCTTGTTCACTTTTGTGTTTTCAGTGCAGAGTTGAAGCTAGGTGAATATTTTTTAAGTGAGGGGCCAGGCATGGTGGCTCATGCCTGTAATCCCAGCACTTTGGGAGGCCAAGGTGGGAGGATCGCCTGAGGTCAGGAGTTCAAGATCAGCCTGGCCAACATGGTGAAACCCCGTTTCTACTAAAAATACAAAAATTAGCTGGGTGTAGTGGTGGGTGCCTGTAATCCCAGCTACTGTAATCTCAGCTACCTGGGAGGCTGAGGCAGGAGAATCACTTGAACCCAGGAGGCAGGGGTTGCAGTGAGCCAAGATCACACCACTGCACTCCAGCCCTGGCGACAGAGTGAGACTCCATCTCAAAAAAAAAAAAAAAAAAAATTGTTGAATGAAGGAGTGAGTGAGTTCACAGCCGAGGAAGGGAAACAGACACACAACAGACAGATGCACAACAAACTAACCCGACAGAGGAGGGAGTAATTGGCTCTTCCTTGGCCTGGTGGCAGGGGAACTAGAAAGACTCATCTTGCCCTGGATCCTGACAGGGGAGTAGTTTGGCCAGGCGGAGGGAGGGGCAGGAAGGGTAACCCAGGTACCAGTCTGCACAAGGCCGGGAGGCTGGACAGCTTGTGTGGCAACAGTACCTTGCTGCCCCTCCCATGTAGTTCCTGGGAGGGGACCCCTGCACTCTCAGGGTGCCCACTCATCACTGAGCAGAGAGAAGGGTTCAGAGGGAAAATGGAGAATTTAGTTGGGGGCAGAATTCTGAGGGCAAAGTCCCTTCCAAACTGCCTCAGAAATCCCTGATCTGGGGATTCCTAAATGCCAGGCCTCCTGCAAGGCACCCGGGGCACCTTGGGGCTTGGAACCCGGATTTGCAGGCCCTTTCCCGGGGATTCTGCATCGGGAGCTGTGCCCGGAAGCCAGGCCAGGCAGGGATGGGGATTTCGTGACAAATGGTGGGGAGGAAGGAGCTTCCCTTGCATCCCAGCTCTTCCTTGCCCAGAATGTTGGTTGGATCGTCCAGTTTTTCAAGCAGAACTGATGATCCTGATTTTATTTTATTTATTTATTTATTTTGAGATGGACTCTTGCTCTGTTGCCAAGGCTAGAGTGCAGTGGCATGGTCTTGGCTCACCGCAACCTCTGCTGCCTGAGTTCAAGTGATTCTCCTGACTCAGCCTCCTGAGTAGCTGGGATTACAGGCGTGCACCATCACGCCTGGCTAATTTTTGTATTTTTAGTAGAGACAGGGTTTCGCCATGTTGGCCAGGCTGGTCTCAAACTCCTGACCTCATGTGATGGTCCACCTCGGCCTCCCAAAGTGCTGGGATTACAGGTGTGAGCCACCGCGCCTGGCCCAATCCTGATTTCAATGTGACATCTCACCATGTGCTCAGGCCACATTCTAGCTGCCTTCGGTTCACACTCTGGGTATCAGAGGTCTTGTTATTCACACTTGTTATCTCACTGGATCCTTGCCACAACTCTGGGAGACCCACGGGAAACTGAGGGTTGGCAAAACGAACTGACTTGGCCCAGGCTTCGACACTGGGCAGGTAGCACAGGTGGGGGCTCAATCCAGGGCCGCCAGTTTCTGTTTTACCTGCCTCATTCTCCTCCCAGGTGAAACAAGGCACTGGTTTTCTTGTGCATCATTCAGAAATGACCACAAGAGGGTAGGATGGAGACGGTCTATTTTCCACATTTCGTTAATTTGCTTTTAAGCCGTTTTACATTCGGGCCTCCATTCTAAACCTGAAACATCCAAATTTTCCATGACCACTTAGATTTTCATCTTTTCATGCAGCCCACTAATTTCGGTAGATGTGTCACTGTGCTCTGTCCCCATTGGGCCCCATGTCAGTTTCTATTTTGTGAACCTGACATCAGAGCTGCCCAGCTGAGCTTAGGATGTTCCTCTGCAGCCTTCACAGCCCTGGCTGCCCCATTTATTTTCATGGATGATATTTTCTCTTCCGGAGAAAGTATTTTTTGGGAAAAAAAAATTTTGTTTTTGTTTTATTTGTAAAAAAGAGCGTGGGGTATGGATAGCCGAGCCTATAGTGAGAAACTTATGGTTATAGAAACAGCATTTTTCTCTTAAGGAGATGTATTTCCAGAGATGCTGAATCTTCTACTTGAACTCGAGGTCTCTTGAGAATAGGGACATTTTGTCATATTTCAAGCCTGGGTTCTGTGCCACCTTCTCCAAGAAGCCCTCCTGGGTTGCACCCTATCCTGTGAACTCCTCCATTCCAGGCCCTCTAGCCTCTAGTGCTGTAATTTATTCCCAAGTGCTTCTCTTACAGACCGTGAGCCCCGCTGAGGGCAAGAATCCTGCCTCACTCATGTCCCTAATGCTTCACACTTTATCCTCAGGGCCTTCATTGATTGAGCAGTTGCAGTCAGCCTGCTGAGTGCTTTTCTCATATCATCTGACCTCTGCCTCACTGCCATCCTGTGAGGGAGGAAATTATCATGATTGTTGTTGTTATTCTCAGCCTCATTTTATGTCTGAAGAAACCGAGGCACAGAGAAGAGAAGCAGGTTGTCCTGGATGACAGTGTGAGGCAGGGCTGTAGTTGGGATTTGAACCCCAGGCCTACCTGAGTGCAGATCCCTGCTCCCAGCAGCTTCGCTCCCAGCTCCTGGTAGGGCTTAATCATGTTCACTGACTGAGTGGGGAGGGAGCGCTCCAGCCAGGTTGTAGGCGCTGCTGGCCCTGCGCATGCCCAGGCAAGACCTTCTAGCTTGCTTCTCCCTCTTTTCTCATCCCTTGGCACGGTTTGCTCCTTCTCCACTTCCTTCTTTTCCTCCTCCCTTTTCTCTTCCTCCCTCTTCTCTTCCTCCTGTTTTTTCTCCTCCTTTTCCTCTTCTTCCTCTTCCATTTTTATCTCTTCCTCCCTTTTCTCCTCCTTCTGCACTTTTTTTTTTCTTTTTAAAAATCAAGACAGGGTCTGGCCATGTTGCCAAGGCTGGTATTGAACTCCTGGGCTCAAGTGATCCTCCCACCTCAGCCTCGTGAAGTGCTGGGATTACAGGCCTGAGTCACTGCACTGGGCCCATCTCCTCTTCCTCCTCCTCTTCCCCCTCCTTTTCCTCTTCCACCTTTACCCCTTCCTCTCTTTTCTCCTCCTCCTCTTTTTTCTTCTTCCTCCTCCTCCTCCAATAGCTTATTGAAGTATAATTTACAGAGTATAAAATTCACTCGATTGAAGTGTACAGCAATTTTTAGTAAATGTACCAAGTTGCCCAGGGATCACTCTCTAGCCCAGAACATTGTCCTCACCCCAGAAGGAAGCACTGTACCTATTAGCAGGCACTCCCCCCAGCCCCCACCCCATCCAGCGGAAGCCCCTGGCAGCCACTCGTCTGCGGCCTGTCTCTGCAGTCTTGCCTTTTCTGCACATTTCCTGTCAGTGGGCTCATGCAGCATGGCTTTGTTGTGTCTGGCTCCTTTCACGCAGCACGGCATTTTTTTTACGCATCTGCGTTGGTTGTATCAGGACTTCAGGCTTTTCGACTGGGCTGCTGCTTCTTGCTGGGTCCTGTCTTCGCTGACCCCATCTACCCCATCTGCCCCTCCGCATGGTGGAGAGAACCGATTGGGGCCAGGAGGGCAGTTGTTGGGTCAGGCTGGGAACTGAGAGGATGGAAAATGTGTTTGCTGTTCCCCCCCTCCCAACCGGCACCCACCCCCGCCCCCCGCCACCCGCCACTCCCTAGTTGTGTGTTTTCAGTGATTTCAAATGTGCTGCAGCTGACAACACTCTTAAGGGCTCTGTGGGTTGGCTCTGCCCTGGGATTGGCTCAGAGATGCCTTTTTTTGGGGCAGATAACCCCCTTTTCTGATGGGCTGGCCCCAGTTTGGGCTCCCTCTTATTGCTCTGCTAGCCAAGGGGGCTGAAGTGGATATGCCATTGTTACCAGAGAAGAGGGTCTTGAAACGGACCCCAAGAGAGGGTTCTCGGATTTCGTACAGGAAGGAATTCAAAGCAAGTTCCGGAGTGCAGTAAGAAGGGATGGTTGATTGAAAGCTACCCTGTTACAGAGTAGAGCATCCTCAGAAAGTGAGAGGAGGACCCACCGCCCGGGTTTGTTTTTAAGTTTTTCTTATAGAGGAGTGTTGTCCATGTAAAAGCTAAGCTAAACTGTGTCTACTTGCAGGTGAGCGCACGGCATGACAAAATTGATTACTTTATTGATTTAAAGAAACGTGGCACGTATGTATACACCATGGAATACTACTCAGCCACAAAAAAGGAAGGGAATAATGTCTTCTGCAGCAACTTAGACGGAGCTGGAGACCATTATTCTGAGCGAAGTAACTCAGGAATGGAAAACCAAATATTATATGTTCTCACTTACAAGTGGGCGCTAAGCTATGAGCATGAAAAGGCATAAGAATGATATCATGGAATTTGGGGACTTGGGGGGAAGGTTGGGAGGTGGGTGAGGGTTGAAAGACTACATATTGGGTACAGTGCACACTGCTCGGGTGACGGGTGCACGAAAATCTCAGAAATCATCACTATAGAATTCACCCATGTAACCAAAAACGACCTGTACTTCCCAAAATTATTGAAATATAAAACAATCTTGAAAAGCAAAACAAAAACCATCCTTGACATTTTAGTGTGTGAGTATACCGAAGCGTAACTATAATTATCTTGCAAGCACATACTGTTATGGGTATTGGGACACCTGGACTCTGTGCTGATGTAGGAGTACGTCCTTGTAGGTATCTTTAGGCTGTTTCCTCAACTGTAAACATCCCATGACTATCTTGTGACCAGCAAGGAATGTGGCTTTTTAGTCTTAAGATGGAGTCGAATTGAACATGGCCTTACTCTGGCTCTACCAGGCGCCTGCTTCCCTAACACGACCAGGCACTCACAGCTAAGATTTTTTTTGTTTGTTTTGTTTGTTTGTTTTTTGTGTTTGTTTGTTTGTTTTTTGAGATGGAGTCTCGCTCTGTCACCCAGGCTGGAGTGCAGAGGCGCAATCTCGGCTCACTGCAGCCTCTGCCTCCTGGGTTCAAGCAATTCTCCAGCCTCAGCCTCCCGAATAGCTGGGATTACAGGCATGTGCCACTATGCCTGGATAATTTTTGTTATAGTAGAGACGGGGTTTCGCTCTGTTGGCCAGGCTGGTCTCAAAATTCTGACCTCAAGTGATCCACCCACATTGGCCTCCCAAAGTGCTGGGATTACAGGCGTGAGCCACTGCACCCCGCATAAGATGTGTTGAGCCCTTACTGTGTACTGGATTCTGAACACTTTGTACGTAGTACCTCATTCATGCCTCCCAGCGACCCTGCGGGGGCAGGCACTGTCATCATCCTTATTTTACGTGAAGGAGTGGGGGCCCAGAGAGATTAACCAGCTAGCAAGTGTGGGAATGAGGCAATCTAACTCCATCCACACCCTTCCCCTGGGCCCAGGGATGCCTCTGTAATAAGACACCTCATCCTCTCCCTAGTCCTCAGTTTCCCTCTTTGGGAACCTGTTCTGTCTGCGCCCTGACCTTTCAGGGAATCACAAACTGCTTGAAGATGGGCACATGTCTGGCTTCCCTGGGTCCCCTTTGGTGGCCGACAATGCAGTGCACACAGTGGGTCTGCCATCTTCATGCCTAGATCTAAAGATGATTTCATTGTGAGCAAGACTGGTGCTGGGACAACTGGGAATTCTCTGCCTTTTGGGGAACAGTTACAGAGGACCTACTAAACCCTTGGCTGGTGCCAGGCCCCGAGACCACAGAGATAACCTGGGACCCAGGCTCTGCCCATGGGGAGCTCCCAGCCCTGTGAGGAAGACAGGCCATCCTCACCCAGCACATCCTACTGTACCCGAAGAGAGGGCGCAGTGACTCATTTTTTGCCGTTGGCATTAGGTTTAAAAGATGGTTGAACGTCCACAGAAGGAAAAGGAATTCCTGGCAGAGGGCACTGCCTGAGCATAGGCAGGGAGGCTGAGCAGCCACGTGTGCTTGAGCGCTGGTTTGGCGAGGCAGCAAGCGGCGGCTGTATGGTGAAGGGTGTTGAAGGCTGAGCCAGGAATCAAGGCTGCTGGCCACAGACGCATTGATGATGGATGACGTGCTGGTGGGGCTGAGCACCTGAAAAAAAAGGGTGTCAGTTCCCAAAGCAGGGCCTGGCATACAGTAGGCCCACAGGGAGAGCATGAGGAATGGGTGGCCGCCTGGGGTCCTGGAGAGTAGTATTTCGGATGTCTGGGCTGTGGGATGTGGGAGGAATGTCACTGAGCCATTCCTCAGGTGGCACATGCCATTCCTGCCCCGTCCCCACATAGGAATGCGGGCCACTTCTCACAGGCTGGAAGATGGCCTTGCTACATGCGAGTCTTCTGATGTTTAAATGTTGGTTAGTAACTAATTCAAACAAAATGGTGCACCACCTTCCTCTTTCCCCCCAAAAAAGAAAAACAACACTCAAACAAAATTATGTCTAAGGGGACTACCATTTTTCAACTTTTTTTAAAGAATTATTATTATTATTATTATTTTTTTTTTTTTGAGACAGTCTCGCTCGTCGCCCAGGCTGGAGTGCAGTGGTGCGATCTCGGCTTACTGCAACCTCCACCTCCCGGATTCAAGCGATTCTCCTGCCTCAGCCTCCCGAGTAGGTGGGATTATAGGTGCCTGCCACCACGCCCGGCTAATTTTTGTACTTTTTAGTAGAGACGGGGTTTCAACATATTGTCCAGGTTGGTCTTGAACTCCTGACCTTGTGATCCTCCTGCCTTGGCCTCACAAAATGCTGGTATTACAAGTGTGAGCCACTGCGCCTGATCGAGACTGGGTACTTTAAAGAAACAGAGATGTATTTCTCACAGTTCTGGAGGCTGGGAAGTCCAGGATCAAGGTGCCAGCAGGTTTGGTTTCTGGCAAGGACCTGCTTGCTTGTAGATGGTGTTGTCTAGGTTTTCTCATGTGGAAATGAGGGAGGGGATGGAAGGGGTGAGCTCACCCCTTCAAGCCCTTTTATTTTTGTTTTAAAATTATTTTTATTACTGTTTTTAAAGACAGGGTCTGGCTCTGTCATCCAGGCTGGAGTGCAGTATTGCAATCATAGTTCACTGCAGCCTCAAACTCTTGGGCTTGAGCAATCCTCCTACCTCAGCCTCCTGAGTAGCTGAGACTACAGGCACACACCACCACACCAGGCTAAGTTTTCCATTTTTTATAGACACAGGGTCTTATGATGTTGCCCAAGCTGGTCTTGAACTTCTCACCTCAAACGATCCTCCCACCTCAGCCTTCCAAAATGTTGGAATTACAGGGGTGAGCCACCATGCCTGACCTCAAGCCCTTTTATATGGGCATCAGTTCCACTCATGAGGGTGGAGCTGTCATGGCCTAATCACCTCTCAAGTGTTCCATTTCTTAACACCCTCATCTTGGGAATTAAGTTCCAGCTGATGAATTTTGGAGAAACACATACATTCAAACCATAGCCCTGGAGAATCCAGGCTGATCTCACCTCATGACCCTTAACCTCGACATCTGCAAAGACCATTTCCAAATATGGTCGCATTTGCAGGTTCTAGGTGGACATATGTTTTTAGGGGTCTCCATTCAACCCACTTAGGGGAGGAAGCCTACTTTCGACAGCATGGGCAAAGTCTTTATGGGTGCCTGGCTCACAGGGTGGGGTCAAGTGGTGGGAGGTGCACAGGGGCCTGGGGTGGGAGGGAACAGGTTGGATTTTCTCCCAAGAGTGATGAGGAAGCAAGGAAAGCATCTAAGATGTGTGTGTGGAGTGCCTCGGTCACATCTGTGCTTGCAGGTGGCCCCCTGCCATGGAGAAGGGCCCCTGGGGGCGGGAAGAGAGGACACTGTTCCACTTCGTCAGCCTCTGACTTCTGATGCAGCCACACTCCCCGGGCTGCCTCGGCCCACGGGTCAGGGTGGTGGTCAGGGCGGCCAGAGCAGGATAACCAGGACTGGGCACTGGGGGCAGCTTCTCCTGGGGGTGTGCCCTGGTGCGTCTGACCACCTCTGGTTGGGAGATGGGGACTTGGGGGTCTCCATTGTTGGCACCTGCCCAGCGGTGCTCCCCTCCCCACACCCCCCACCTGGTCCTAGATTGGCTCTGTCTCCACCTTGGACTCGCCGGGTCTTGGACCTTTGAACGTCTCTTTTTATTCTTAGCCCCCTGCCCTGTCACCATTGTCACTGCCACCTCCAGCTTTCTCCCCGGCTGTTCCTGGTGCTCTTTGTCCCTGCCCGCCTCCCGGGCCATCAGTCTGGCTTACTTTCTCTGACTTCCTTTGGGGTTCATCCCTTGCCCTGCCTGTCGCTCTCCCATCAGAACCCCTACCCCACCCATCTCCCTCTCCTCTCCCTCCATGTCTCTCGTCTTTCTCTTTTTCTCCTTTCACCCTCTGTGTTCCCTGTCTTGCCCTTCCCTCCCTGTCTCATGCCTTTCCTGCCTGTAACTTCCTTCTCCTTCCTCCCACCTTCCTCCCTCTGCCCTGCGCCTGGCCTGCCATCCTCTCTTCCTCTCTCCATCCCGCCTGTCTCTGGCATCCTGTCTGCCTCCTTCCAGCCCCTTTCTCTCCGGGCATTTCTCTGTCCTGGGCTGATAGGAGACCAGACAGTCAACCCTTAGCAGCCTCCATGCTGACTGTGGCCCCTGTCAGCCAAGGGGTGTCAGAAAGGCCCTGGCGGGCCCCTGTGTTTATGGCAACAGTCATTCAGTAGGGCAGCCGCGAGCGCTGCATGCCCCACTTCTATTAATCCCTCAGTTAGCGGGGCCTAACCCCAGACTTGACACTCATCAGCCAGTCAGCCAGGACACGCAGCGCCAGGGGTACAGCCAGGCAGCTGGCATCATCCCTCCAGCGGTGCCGCCAGTGCAGAGGAACCAGCCCTTTTGCTGCACTTTTGTCGGTCAGCAGGACCCAGTGCTCTGGCTATGCTGTCAGCTGGGGCTGTCCTCTGACTGGTACTGTCAGCTGGTGAGCAGGGCTGGCTTTTCAGCTGTACTGTCTGGCAGTTAGGGAGCAGGGCCGGCCTTCCGACTGTGCCGTCAGGGAGCAGGGCCAGCCTTCCGACTGTGCCATCAGGGAGCAGGGCCGGCCTTCTGACTGTGCTGCCAGTCCCTGGCTCTGCCATCGCTGGGGCCAACCCCTGACTTGTCAGGCAGCGAGCAGCTGAGACCCAGTGCCTGCTGGGAGTGGGGCGCTGAGAATCAATGAAACCACAGGCCTGCCTCTGAAGAGCTTTGAAGCTACCCCGTGGTTTTCTCAGCTGCTGCACCCAGCACCCTCTCCTTGTTTTTTGTTTTTTTGTTGTTTTTTTTTTTGAGACAGAGCCTCACTCTGTCACCCAGGCTGGAGTGCAGTGGCACGATCTCGGCTCACTGCAAGCTCCGCCTACCGGGTTCACGCCATTCTCCTGCCTCAGCCTCCCGAGTAGCTGGGACTACAGGCGCCCGCCTCCGCGGCCGGCTAATTTTTTATATTTTTAGTAGAGACGGGGTTTCACCGTGTTAGCCAGGATGGTCTCGATCTCCTGACCTCATGATCTGCCCACCTTGGCCTCCCAAAGTTCTGGGATTACAGGCGTGAGCCACCGTGCCCAGCCCACCCTCTCCTTATTTAAGTGAGTTTCCTGTTAGATGCTCTGCCTGGTGTCCAGTGGTGAGGCTGAAGGATGCAGCACAGATGGGCCCAGGATGTTGCTGGGGCAGTCAGTGTGCCAAGCTCCAGCCTGGGGGCGGGAGCCTGGTGCAGAACCCAGGGCCTCTGCCTGGTGCCTCTGTGAACACCTCCCCCGCCTCAGTTTTCCCCTCTCAGCAGTGAGAAGGACCTTGCCTCAGAAGCACAGCTGTCTTGCATCCGGCGCTCACTTGCCGGAGTCTCTGGGTTATGGCCTCGGCTTATGAGGAGCAGGTGTTGAGTAGGGGATCCAGGAGCGTCTGGCTTGTATTTGAATCCCTGTCTCACTGTTTAGCTGCTGCTCACCTCAGGAACCTCTTTTGACCCTGTGAGTTTTGGTTTCCTCATCTGGACAGTAGAAGTGATGATACTGCCCTCATGATATGACCATGAAAACTAAACTAGATGGTTTGGCAGGATTCTACCTTGTTGAATCCTCAAAGCCCTGAACACAGGGATAATTTGTCGCATTTTACAGAAGGGGTAACTGAGGCTCAGGAGGATGAGGTGACTTGCTAAAATCATGCTCTTTTGAAGGAAACATCTGGGAAAGTTTGCCTTGGATTTGCCCGAGGTGTGCTTTTATTGCATTTTAATCTCTGAAAATTGACATTCTCCTCACTCCCCACCTGGTGCAGCTGGCAGCTGGTGCCTCAGGGAGCTGATCCCTCCCTTTGCCAGCACCCCACTCCCCATGCTGGGCTGGGTGTCCACAGGAGTGGACGGGCCCAGGAATCATGGCTGGGAGGCCTGGGTTCCAGCCTTGCTTTAGCTACCAACTCACCGCGTGACCTTGGCCAAGTCCCTTGACTTCTCTGGGCCTCGGTTTTCCTCTCTGTAAAATGGGGATGGCCACACCCTCCTTCTGGGGGGATCAGAAGCTTAGCTGAGTTTAAAAGGAACATGACTGACATCAAAGGAGCCCGGTAAACCAATGGGATCCTGAGTTGATTTCCTTCCCTGTAACGAGTGGCAGGGCCTCCTTCTCCTCATGTGGTTTGGGGAGGAGGAACCACATACATTTGGGCTCACACGCACAGCACACAGTCAGTCCACACATGCACAAAACACACTCGTATGCACACATGCACACATACTTGACTCCACGTAAAAGCATGTACACACACACTCCTTCATGCATAAACACACACACACACGCGTGCACACATTCAGTTCCCGGGCATCACCTTCTCTCTTCTTGCCTTCTTGCCGTACAACTGAAAACCCTAAAACCCTCCGTGCCTACGGCTCCCGGGAGGGTGAGGGTCCAGGCAGCTGGGTTCAGAAGGATCCACCCCTGGACCCGCCCCACTGGACGAGAAGCCAGAGATGCCCCGGGCGGGGCTCATAGGACCGAGTGGTGGCTTCTCAGTTCCCCAGGCAGCCGTGGCCATTAGTGGAGCCGACTGGCTGGTCCCCTGGCCGTGAGCCGGCTTCTGAATGATTTATGCCGCCTTGAACTTGACTCCAGCGTGACAGGAGTGAGAAGAGCCGCTCCCGCTAGAGGAAAGCTGGAAACCGTACTGTGCTCACCACATAACCTCTGGGTGCTGGAAATGGAGTATTACTACTGCCCCAGCCTGCTGAAGCTCTTGCGCTACCTCTGGGTGAGTGGCGGGGGGCAGTGCAGGCTCCAGGACGGGGTCACGTCCTTTCCCTCTCCTCCTGCTTCCTGTCAACTTTGCTTTTTGGCTGTGTCTGGTTAGCAATGTCTCTGTTTTCTTTAAGAAATGGTGGAGGTTACAAGGAAGAGAGAATGTTGGGGAAAAAGGAAACGGGCTTGGTTTGGGAGGTAGCACAGGTTTGTAGGAAGAGCTGAGACTCCTGAACAGGAATGAAGATCCTGGATCCGATGTGGGCTTTCCTCCAGTCCTCAAGAAAACAGGAAGAACGAGAACCACTTCAGTGAGTTTTTCAGAAAGCAACATTTATTTGATTTAAAGGACTATTCTTTATTCTGAAATTACATCCCTCTTGCCTCTGTGTGTGTAAGAATGTCTGTCTTCTATGGGATGAAAATAATAGATTTTGCTTTCCTTTTCCTGAACCTACACAGTGATAGAAGAAGTTGGGACCCCTTCCCCACTAACACTCACACTGTGCTGTCTCCTCTGGATAACAGAGGAAAAAAACCAGAACATTTTCTGATGAAATGCCAAAGTCAGGGAAGCTGTGCAGAAGTGCTTTGTGAGGTATAAAATGCTTTCAGGTCTCACTTTGACTTCGCAACTGGTCTGTTTTCTGTGCCTGGGCAAGTTACTTCTCCTCTCTGGGTTTCTGTTTCCTCCTCTGTGAAATAAGGAGTGGGTGTAGGTGATTCTGGGTTGTGTGACATCCATCAGGGCTCTGGGAATAGAGGGACTTACCGAAGAATTGTCATGGGCTGGTCTCAGAGTTTTCCAGAATATTTGCCACTGGTTTCAGCACACCCAAAAGGGAAAGTCTTAGGAAATATTATCTTTCCCATTGCTGAGTGTTTGCAAATACTTCAGATGCCTTCTTGCCCAGAGAATTTTCCAGCGCTCCTAAAAATACAACTTTAGGAAACATTGCCTTTTAGCCGCCAGTCCCAGAGTGTCTCACCTCCCTCCTGAGCCCCCCAGAGCAGTGGGGAAACAGGAGATCCCCCCAGTCCATATTGTTCAATCATTGGCCTATGAACATTCTTATATAATAAATGTAAGGCAACATTGATTGATTGATTGATTGATGTTTTAATTACAAAAATAATGCATGTGCATGGTAAAAAGATATGGAAAATTCAGACAGGCACAAAGAAGAAAAGAAGTCTCCAATAATCGTATTTTTGAATTGTGTGGTTTGCAAGGTCTGGATAACCTTGATGTGCCTGGCTGCGTGTTGGGCTCTGGGCTCCATGCTGGAGATGCAGAGATGACTAAGATACAGTCCACGGTCCCCAGAACTTAGAGCTTGGCATAGGTGTTGAACTCATTGACAAATGGCTACGATCTCATGTTCATTCAGCACACACTTACCAGCAGTAGTTTGGAGCTAGCGCCAGATACTTGGAATATAGGAGCAAGACGGCATGGTCCCCTGACCGCATGGAACTTAGTCTGGTGAGAATTTGGACTTTGCTCAAGGAACTGAAACAAGGACCATGTATGTGTTAGGATGGGGGTGGTGCACAGTGCCTCAAGGGATATGGTCTCGTTGGGGTGCAGGGGCCAGGAGAGCCTCCCCAAGGAAGCTGAGTGCTGGAGGATGCCTAGGAGCTGGCAGTTGATGCTAGGGTAGGGGTCCAGGGAAGTGTGTGCCAGGCAGAGGGAACAGCATGTGCAAAGGGCTGGGGTGGATGTCAGAAAGAGCAAGAGCCCATGGCATGCCCATGGTACATTCCAGGTACTGGCCTAAGCTCATCCTGGCCAGTAGAGGCTGGGCAGTAATGCCCTCAGCCTCCTAGGGGCAGCTTTGTGGAGTGACAGAGTCACAGCTCCTCACCTGGCTGTGTCCCACCTCTCTAGTGACCTTGGGCAAGTCTTTTCCTCTCTGGGCCTTGGTTTCCCCATCTGGACCATGAAGAGGTAGGATGAGGCAGTTTAGAAAGTCTTTCCTAGATGTGATAATGAGAGAGATTTTCATTTGTCCGCTGCTTTCTGTGGGTGACCAGGTCCTGGGGGAGTGAGGAGCCACATAGGCCCACCGCTGGTTTTGCAAATTACCCACAATTTCTCTGTCTCTCTGAGTCACTGAAGACAGCCTGGCACACGTGTTAACAAGACCGGGATCTTAGATTAGCCCAGGTGTCTGCACTTCTAAACTGGAAACTCTTGCTTGACCTCTCAAGGAAGCTTGGGAATGTGGACCTGGATTCTGAGGAAGCCCCGTGGCCTTGGGAAGTCCATTTCAGCTTCCCAAACTTCAGCTTCCTCATCTGCAAAGCGAGGCCCCGCTGCCTTCCTGATTTGCTTCTTGGGGCAATTCCTTTGAATTCTCTAGCTCATTTCTGAAACCTAGAAGCTGCTCCCAGAATGTCAGTTCCTCCTGCTTCCCAGGAGGCCACCGTCAGATTTGGTGACCAGCTAACCAGGAATAATTGCAGAGAGCCAGGTGGAGGTGCTCGCTCCCCTGCCACTCCTGTAGCTTCGCATAGCTTGAACATGCGTTCATCCATCATTTCTTCAGCATGGGCCCCTCCTCACTGCCCCTGGGCCCTGGTAATGTTGCCCATTCACTAGGGTCTTCCCTGGTGAATGACCCCCTTCCCTTCTGCATTCTTTGTCCTGTTATTCTACCTTTTTGTTTGTCTGTTTTTAGAGATAGGGTCTCACTCTGTCACCCAGGCTGCAGTGCAGTGAATGATCATAGCTCACTGCAGCCTTGTCCTCCTGAGCTCAAGTGATCCTCCCACCTCAGCCTCCAGAGTAGCTGGGACTACAGGTGCGTGCCATCATGCCCAGCTAATTTTTTAACTTTTTATAGAGATGTGGCCTCACTATGTTGCCCAGGCTTGTCTTAAACTCTGGAGCTCAAGCGATCCTCCCACCTCAGCCTCCCAAAGTGCTGGGACTACAGGCGTGAGCCACCATACCCAGCCTGCAAATTTTTAAAGTTTTAAATAAATTTTAAAATGTTGTATACATTTAAAGTGTGCAACCAGATGTTTTGGTATATATACATATACATAGTGAAATTAGTACTGCAGTCAAGCAAATTAACATACCTATCTCCTCTCATAGTCACCTTTTATTTATAGACTGGTAAGAGCACCTGAGATCTACTCTCTCAACAAATTTCCAGTATATAATACAATACCATTAACTATAGTCACTATGCTTCAGGTCTCTAGACATACTCATCCTTTAGAACTGCAACTTTGTACCCTTTAACATCTTTCCATTCCTCCCCCTACACCCCTCTGCCCCATTCTGGGTTTGTTTGTTTTTTAGGTAGTCTTGCTCTGTTGCCCACGCAGGAGTGCAGTGGCATGATCTTGGCTCACTGCAACCTCTGCCTCCCAGGTTCAAGCAATTCTGTCTCAGCCTCCCGAGTCGCTGAGACTACAGGTGCGTGCCACCATGCCTGGCTAATTTTTGTATTTTTAATAGGGACGGGGTTTCACCATATTGGTCAGGCTGGTCTCAAACTCCTGACCTCAGGTGATCTGCCCGCCTGGGCCTCCCAAAGTGCTGGGATTACAGGCATGAGCCACTGCGCCCAGTCCTGCCCCATTTTGTTTTTATGTATTTGACTATTTTAGATTCCACATATAAGTGAGAGCATGTAGTATTTTGTCTTTCTGTGCCCGGCTTATTTCACTTAGGTCTTCCAGGTTCAATCATGTTGCAAATAACACGATCTTCTACTTTTTAAAGGCTGTATAATCTGTTGTGTGTATGTGTAGATATATATAGAGAGGATATATATATATTATTGAATATATATACATAAAGAAATTGAGGGGTGGCTCATGCCTGTAATACCAGCGCTTTGGGAGGCCAAGGAGGGTGGATCACTTGAAGTCAGAAGTTTGAGACCAGCCTGGTCAACATGGTGAAACCACATCTACACTAAAAATACAAAAATTAGTTGGGCATGGTGGTGTGTGCCTGTAGTCCCAGCTACTCGGGAGGCTGAGGCAGGAGAATTGCTTGAACTTGGGAGCCGGAGGTTGCAGTGAGCCAAGATCACACCTCTGCACTCCAGCCTGAGCAAGGCTGTGTCTCAAAAAAAAAAAAAAAAAAAAAGAAAGAAAGAAATTGAGGCATATATATATGTATATGTGTATATATATGTATATATGCATATGTGTGTGTGTGCGTGTATATATATATATGGAAACATGTGTCCATGAAACATGGAAAATTCAGATGAGTACAAAGAAGAAAAGTCTCTGATAATCTGTATTTTTGAATTCTGTGGTTCACAAGTATATTTATCATCTATCTGTCTGTCTGTCTGTCCAACTATACAACTATACATGCCACAGTTTCTTTATCCATTCATCTGCAACTGGACACTTCGGGTGTGTCCACCTCTTGGCTATTGTGAAGATGCTACATTGGAGCATGGGAGTGCAGATATCTTTATGGGATACTGGTTTCATTTCCTTTGGGTATATGCCCAGAAGAGGGATTGGTGGATCTATTCTCAGTTTTTTGAGGAACTATCATACTATTTTACGTAACAACTTATTTTAGAATACTTGAGAAAAGTTACAAAGATAGTAGCGGGAGTTCCTGTATACCCTTCGCCCGGTTCCCCTAATGTTAGCATGTTACTATAACCATGGTTCAGTTATCAAAAGAAAGAAGTTAACATTGGTGCATTACTGTGAACTAAACTCCAGACTAAATTCCAGTGGGGGTGATTTTCCCCTGCAAGGGACATTTGGCAATGTCTGGAGACATGTTTGATTGTCACAGCTGAGGACAGGGGTGCTACTGGCATATGGTGGGTAGACACCAAGGATGCTGCTTTACATCCTATAACGCACAGGACAGGTCCTTCCCTCCCCTCCCCTCGACAGCACCAAGAATGATCCTGGCCAAAGTGTCAATTGTGACAAGGCTGAGAAACCTTGTCTTATTCTACTTTCACCAGTTTTGTCACGAATGTTCTTTTTTGGTTCCAGGATCTAGTTCAGGGTCCCACATTGTATTTTTTCGCTTTTAGTTTCATCCCTAGTAGGGCCTCATCACTGCCAGCTGAATGAGTGAATCAGTGCGCATCTTTTTTTTTTTGAGATGGAGTCTCTGTCACCCAGGCTGGAGTGCAGTGGCGTGATCTCGGCTCACTGCAACCTCTGCCTCCTGGGTTCAAGCGATTCTCCTGCCTCAGCCTCCCAAGTAGCTGGGACTACAGGCACGTGCTACCACACCCAGCTAATTTTTTGTATTTTTATTTTTAGTAGAGATGGGGTTTCACCGTGTTAGCCAGGATGGTCTCTATCTCCCAAAGTGCCAGGATTACAGGCGTGAGCACTGCACCCAGTCATCAGTGCGCATCTTTTTTTTTTTTTTTGAGACAAAGTCTCACTCTTGTTCCCAGGCTGGAGTGCAGTGGCGCGATCTCGACTCACTGCAACCTCCTCCTCCCGGGTTCAAGCGATTCTCCTGCCTCAGCCTCCCGAGTAGCTGGGATTACAGGCGCCTGCCACCATGCCCGGCTAATTTTTGTATTTTTAGTAGAGATGGGGTTTCACTGTGTTAGCCAGGCTCGTCTCGAACTCCTGACCTCAGGTGATCCACCCGCCTTGGCCTCCCAAAATGCTGGGATTACAGGCGTGAGCCACTGCACCCAGCCTGTCAGTCCTTATCTTTTTGTGTGTCCACTGGCAGCATAAAAAAATCTGCCATGTTATTTAAAAAGTTTGTAACCATGATATTTAATAGCTGCTTAATATTCCTACCTGTTGTCAGCCTTGGTTTATGGGGTACTGGTTTCATTTACTTTGGATATATACCCAGAAGAGGGATTGGTGAATCTAGTAGCCAATTCTTTGTGGTTGGAAACTTAGGTTATTCCCAGGTGTTTATTGTATGCATAATTGTTCCCCGCCTTAAATCTTGATTCACATTTCGAGCTGTCTCCTGTGTCAGCTTCTTAGAAGTGGGGCCAAGCGTGGGCTGCAACAGGTTTTCTGCAAAGTTGTCACTTGGTGGTGGGATGTTTTTAGCTTCCTGTTGGCAGCCTGAGTCCTTCTCATAGCTGCACTTCTCTTCTGGGGGGAGAAACCACTATCACCATCAAGCTTGGTGCTGGTCCAGCAACAGTTGGGGCATGGGGAGAGAGATTAAGTTTCTCTTTCAAACTATTAGTAAGAATAGCTGAGGGCTACAGCCTCTGGTGTGGCTGTTGTGAGTTATTTAATCTCCTTTGTTGCTGAGATAACCTCGCCAGACGGTCCCAAGGCCTGTGGCCTTGCTAGGGGCATCAAGCTGCTCTCTTGGGGTTATCAATTACAGCAGTAGTAATTAGTGATATAAGCAATAGTCATATGATGATAAAAGTCACCATCACCACCACCACTCCTACTGAGTGCTCACAAAATCCTGAGCCTGTACTAAACGCCTTTCAGAGGGGTCTCATTATATCCTTATAAGAACCCCAATGGGTTGATCTCATTATTACCTGCATTTTGCAATTAGGGAAACTGAGGCCTTGAAAGGCTAGGTATCTCCTCCAAGGTCCCCGGCTAGGAAGTGCTAGAGCCTGTATTTGAACCCAGCTCTCCCTCTATTATTTTTACTACTTCGTGGAGTCTGATCTTCTGGTTTCTCAGATGGGGAAACTGAGGCCCATGGTGTTGAAGCAACTTCCCAGCCTACAGGAAAGCTTTCTATGCATATCAAGCTTTGCAACGAGGAGGATGACAGAAGAATGTGGCACTAGGCGAGGCGGGGCTCTGGAGGGAGAACCCTGGCCTAGAATCCTGGCCCTGTCTCTACTGGGTGTGTGGCTTTTGGTAAATCACATCATGGCTGTGGGCATCAGTTTCCCTCTCTATAAGTGGCAGTGGTCAGCCCCACCTTGGAGGAACTGTGCTGAGGATTAGCTAAGAATAAGGGGCATTAGTGTCCTTGGCACAGGGCTGGACTTAGAGTGGGCATTTAATATGGAGATGGTGTTTGTTGGGAGCTGGGGAGGGCTCTGATATAATGGCAGGGACCCCCACCTCCTGTCCCATGCTCTTCCCAGCTGCCTCTCCAGCCCCGCCCAGGGTCTGTGAGGCTGACTCTCGCAGGCTTCCTCTACTCCAGCCTCCCATGGCAGAGGTGGCTGCTTTCAGTGTAGTGAGGAACTGCTGAGTGGCCCGTGGGGCGTGACACCCCAGCTGGGGCTTCTGATAGCTTCTTGGGGAAGGTGCAGATCCCTCACCTGCCCTTTTAAGATCCTCCTGCAGGGTCCGTGTTCCATGCCTTGGTCTCCCTGGAGATGGGAAATCACTGTGGTTTTCATTGTGTTTCTAAGCTTCATGTCCCCACGTTTGACTCTGTGACCAGATTTTTGAATGGAAAAAATCTAAATGTGGTTAGTTCCACTGTTTTCTCCCCAGACCCTCTTGCTACTTGTTCATTTGGCTGTGGCCCTCACTCAGCGTGTAATCACCTCTAGGTGACAGTAGTAATAATAATAGTCATGAAACAGCAAAAGATATTATCCTCTTTGACGCTAAGTGCCTCAGTGTGTGGGATCTTGATTAATCCTCACAAATAGCCCTGAGGGGTGGATTTTATTATTATTTTACCGAAGAGAAAACTGAGATTCTGAGAGGCTGAGTAACCACCAGATATGCAACAGCTGGCCAGGGGCAGAGCTGGGATTTGAACTTGGAAATCTGACTCCAAAGCTAATTTGATGACTACATGCAGTCTCTGTCAGGCAGGGAGGTTGCTTGTGTGTTTACCACTGAACTCTCAGCCCTTGGCCCAGTGCCTGGCACATAATAGGTGCTTAATAGATGTGGGCTGGCCAGGTGCAGTGGTTCACGCCTGTAATCCCAAGACTCTGTGAGATCAAAGCGGGAGGATTGCTTGAGCCCAGGAATTTGAGACCAGCTTGGGTAACACAGCAATACTCAGTCTCTACAAAAGAATTTTTTTTTGAATAGCCAAGTATAATGGTGTACGCCTATAATCTCAAATACTCAGCAGGCTGAGGCAGAAGGATCACCTGAGCCCAAGAGTTCGAGGCTGCAGTAAGCTAGGATTGTACCACTGCTTCCCAGCCTGGGAGACAGAGCAAGACCCTGTCTCAAAAAGAAGTAAAAAATAAAAATAGATGTGGGCTGATGGACCACCCTGTTGACCTGACATGTTGAAAGCTATTGTGGGGACAAATGGCCTTATCGTAGTGCCTGGCACTCCATACGCACACCGTAAGCAATTACTGTTACCAGCTTCTGAATCTCAGATCATAGTGGCTTCAGTTTGTGCCAAGGGTCTGGTTTGGCTTTGTCTCAGCAATGTCTGTGGCTGAAATAGAAGAACTGACTATTTTTGTGCTGTTTGAGTTGGGCCTGAGGTTTGGGCCATGGAACAGTTTGCATCATGAGAGATTTTCATCTGACTTGAGCTGTGGGCGCCTTTTTAGACCCAGTCATGGAGGCAAAAACGGGCTTGGAGTCAGTCTCTCCTGGCTTCTATTCCCTACTGGGCCACTTATTAATAGAGCATGGGGCCTCGAGCAAATCTCTTAGCCCTCCCAGAAACTCAGTTTTGCCATCTATAGAGTAGAAATATTGATAGCAACTTCCTCGTGGGTTGGCCTGAGGACTCAGTGAGGCGATGCAAACAAAGCCAGGCATACAGTAGGTGCTGAATAAGTGGTGGCAGCCGATGCTGGTGCTAGGCACCTGATGTGTCCTCAGTTCAGTTCAGTTGCATGCACCAGGCCCTGTTCTAAAGGTTTGGGATACATCAGTGCACAAGACAGCCATGTTTCCTGCCCCAGGGACTAACTTTTTTTTTTTTTTGAGATGGAGTCTCGCTCTGTCGCCCAGGCTGGAGTGCAATGGCACCATCTCGGCTCACTGCAACCTCCGCCTCCTGGGTTCAAATGATTCCCCTGCCTCCGCCTCCTGAGGACCTGTGATTATAGGGGCCCGGCCAGAATTAACATTCTAGTGGGGTGTTCAGGCAATCAACAATGGGTATGTGTAAGAACGTTGTATAGTATGTCAGGAGGTGGGCTGTGCTGGGGAAAGACAGAAGGAACCAGGTAAGAAGGTTCTGGAGGGCTTGGGTGTGTGGGGCCTCTGCCTCTCTAAAAAGGTGACATTTGAACAGAGACTTTAGAAGCAGGGAGAGCATAGGCCAGGGGAGCTTGGGGGGAAACAGGAATAGTCAGTGCAAAGGCTTTAAGGCCCAAGCATGCACAGGCACATTTGCAGAACAGGAGGGATGCCACGGTGGCTGCAGCAGACTGGGTGAGAGGAGAGAGTGGGCAGTGAGAGCAGGGAGGTGACCATGCCGGGCCTTGCAGTCACTCTAAGGACTGTGCCTCGTGCTTGGGGACACCAGAGCCATGGGGGAGTGACCCTTTGAATAGGACTGACACAACCCAGCTTGGCCTTTGAGTAGGTCCCTCTGGCTGTCATGTGGGGAACAGACTCAAGTAAGGGGACCAGTAAGGAACCACTGCAGTGGTCCAGGTGGGAGATGATGGCCGCTCAGACTGGGGCAGGAGAAAAGGAGAAGTGGGCAGATTCTGGATCTAGTTGGAAGGTTGAGCCCCAGGATGTGCTCATGGATTGGACATGGGATAGGAAAGACTTGAGTCATGGATGACCCTGAGAGTTTGCCATCTGCTAAAAGATGGAGCTGTCATCAGCTTTCATTAGGAAAACTGCAGGGTAGAGGGTCTTGGGGGCAGATCGGGACCCAGGTTTGCACTTGTTGGTTGAGTTTGAAAAGTCAGTTAGATACCGGTGTCAGCATACGTTCTCCACCTCTTCCCGTAGCTCCCCTTCCCCAGCTGTACAATGGGAAGGGTCTTTCATGCCCTGCCCATGCCTAAGAGTTGTTGGGATACTCAGGTGGGAGGGGAATTGTAAAGGATTAAAACACAGGGATTAAAACACCAATCCCTGTTGTGAGATTCCTCAGCCCCTTGGAAAATCCTCACCATTTCTGAGCTACAGGAAGAGGTACCCAGAGCCTTTGGAGCAGAAGGCCCTGCTCACATCCACTAGAGGGTTTGAGAATTCAGCTGAGCCCAGGCCAGCTCCTCTCAGCACCTTCCTCACTGTGACAATTTCAGACTCTTTGTTTTTTATTTATTTTTATTTTTTTAGAGACAGGGCCTGGCTCTGTCACCCAGGTTGGAGTGCCATGGTGCAATCATAGCTCACTAAAGCCTCGAACATCTGGGCTCAAGTGATCCTCCCACCTTGGCTTCCCAAAGCACTGGGATTACAGGCATGAACCATCACACCTGGCCAATTTCAGACTCTTTGTCTGCCTGTTATGGCCCCTCCAAGCAGGACCACTGCCCTGCCTGTTAGTCCACAGGGTCTTTGCCATATGTAAAATAGATTGCTTTTTACAGTAATAAAAAGAGAGCCATGTGGTAACAATGGCTCCCCAAGCCTAGACTTCCACTTTTTGGTTCTTGGTGGGCCTCAGTCACCTTCCCGTGCTGTTGGGAGCTTTGTCCTGAGAGGCTGAAGTGGACCCCACTCTCAGATGGAGGTCTTTGAGGCCCCAGCCCTAACTGTTCCAAAGCAGTCATTGCTGGGTGTCAGACATTCCAGGGCTTAGAGCAGTTAGAAGGGGCATGCCAATCTCGTGACTGCTGAAAGGAACCGTAAATGCAAGGCAGAAGCTTGGGAGGGCTGGACATGTGGGCAAAATACTTCTAGGAGCCAGGATTCCAGGATGCAAATGCCATGTGACCCTGAGCAACTATTTGCCCTCTCTGGGACTCAGTTTCTCTGTAGGTATAATGAAAGATTGGACTGGAGTCTCTTAAAGTTTCTTCCTGTGCACAATCTCCCAATTCTAAGAGTCCAGTAAGGAGTGGAGCTTCAGAGTCAGACAGATGTGGGTTCTAATCCAGCCCTCGCTGCTCTGTGACATTGAACAGGTGACTTCGTGTCTCTGATCTTGTGTCTCACCTGACGATGAGAAACTCCCTGTCTCAAATGAGGATTGTGTAAGCATTTCATTGTGGAGACCAGTGGGGAGAGCACCTAGCACACAGTAGGTGCTGTCTTTCCACATATCCAAGGGAGGAATTGAACCCACAGTGTAGAAGTTGCTGGCTGCCTCGAGGGTGGAATGACTTCTCGATTGAGGCACTAGAGGGCACCCCTGTTCTAACAACAGGGGTTAGATGGGCAGCTGCTTTTTTTTTTTTAAGCATGTGCAGAGCTACACACTTTCACACCTGAGTGTGTGTGGCTGTCTCAACAGCCAGTGAGGCAGGGGTTCTGACTGTCCAAATTTTGCAAATGAGGACACCGAGCAAAACCTGACTTGTCCAAAGGTTGCACAGAGCCTCTGGAAAGTCCAACATCAGGAGAGAATAGTGTGGAGTGTAAAAAGAAGGAAGGAGAAGGGAGGATCATTTGAGGCCTTGGAGTTCCAGACCAGCCTGGGCAACATAGCAAGACTCCATCTCTACAAAAAATGTAAAAATTACCCCGCTGGGTAGTGCATGTCTATATTTCCAGCTACTGGGGAGGCTGAGGCAGGAGGATCACCTAAGCCCAGGAGTTGGAAGCTACAGTGAGCTATGGAAGGCTTGATGCAGGTTGATGCCCTCTCCGTGCCCTCTACCCGCACTGTTTGCTGCTGGTAGGCAAATGGATTTTCCAGAGCTGAAAAAGGACTCAGATTTGGGGGTTTCAAGCTGAGTGGACATGTGGTTTCTGTGTTTGAGACAGAGTTGATGAGTGTGGAGCCAGGATACTGTGACCTTGTGCCAGCCACCACCCCCTCTGGGCCCAGCATCTTCTTTGTTGAAATGCATTAACTTATCTCATAGTTGGCTTGCCGTGCACGTGTATTGAGTGCCTACCCTGAACTAGGCCTGAGCTGGGTCTTAACACCTGAGTAGGACAAGAGAAGATGGGCATCCAAGAGGCTGAACCACAATGCGCAGAGGCCAGGCACCTCTGGAGGAAGTGGGAGATTTGAGGGTGTCATTGATTTTATCACTGTGATTGGAGCCCAGAGGACACAATGTAACCATTTCAGTGGTTCAGTAATGCATGGATGACAAGGTTTTCAAGGAATTTGGTCTGAATTATTACAGTTTAAGAAAACCTGATGTTGGCCAGGCCTGGTGGCTCATGCCTGTAATCTCAGAACCTTGGGAGGCCCAGGTGGGAGGATCACTTGAACCCAGGAGTTAGAGACCAGCCTGGGTAACATAGCAAGACCCTGTCTCTACAGAAAATTTAAAAATTAGCTGGGCGTGGAGGTGCATGCTTTCAAGTCTCAGCTACTCAAGAGGCTAGGCAGGAGGATCACTTGAACCCAGGAGTTGGAGGCTGTAGTGAGCTATGGTTGTGCCACTGCACTCCAGCCTGGGTGACAGAGCAAGACTCTGTCTCTCTAAAGAACAAAAAAACAAAAAACACCTGATATTTTATATAGAAATTCTGAGGCAGGGACATACAACTGCAGGTGTTTCATATTGTTTTAATATTTCATATCAAACATTTATATTAATAAAATATAGGCATGTTCATGTTGACCTAATATTTTGTTGCTATAATATAAATGTAATAATATCGTAATCAGAGATTTTTATTTTGCTCCTCCTATGTGCTGGTGTATTAGTTTTCCAGGGCTGCCATATTAAAAAACCAGAGACTTCTGAATGGCTTAAACAGAAGAAATGTATTTTCTCACAGTTCTGGAGTTTACAAGTCCAAGATCAAGGTGTTGGCAAGTGTGGTTTCTCCTGAGGTCTCTCTCCTTGGCTTGCAGATAACCACTTTCTCTCTGTGTCCTTACACCATCTTCCCTCTGCGTGTGTGGGCTCCTGTCTGTGTTTCCAGATTTCCTCTAATGACGTTAACAGTCAGATTGGATTAGAGCCCAACCTAACACCCTTATTTTAAACCTAATCACAACTTTACAGGCCCTATTTTCAAATAATAGTCACCTTTGATGTACTAGGGGGTTAGGGCTTCAATATGTGAATTTGGGGGGAATATATTTCAGTCCATAGCAGCCAGGTACTAGGAAAAGCACTTTAGAATGTTTCTTTTTATCCTCACAACAGTCTTAGAAGGGAGGCACTGTTATTATGTGCATTTTACAGATAAGGAAAACAAGGCTCAGAGAGGTTAACTCACTTGCAGAAGATCACACAGCTGGTCAACAGTGGAGCCAAGATTTGATCCCAGGCTGTCTTACTCTGGAGCCTGCACTGTGTTAGTTTATGTCTTTAATTTGACCTTAATCCTAGGGATACCTTTTCCACATTCTATTGAATTTACCAAGCTGTCCTCATGCCTCATTTTACTCTGCCCTCTCCCTGTTAAGGCCTAGATTGGAAAAGACCCAGATAGCAGGGAAGAAAGCCCTTTGCCAGACCCCCTGCTGCCCCAGCTTGCCTGGGCCCCACCTGGCCTGTTTGGCTACCTGCCCAGGGGGGAGTGCCTGGGGCCACCCCCTTCCAGCTCTGCCCTGACCGCCCCTATTTGCCGAGAGCAGCCTGGGCCCAGTGAAAGCCGCCTTTGTCCTCCAGTTCATTCCTCCTGGAGGGATGACCTAAGTCTTGTCTTGAGGACAAAGCGGCGGCCTGCCACGTGAGTGCAGGTCAGTCCCAGTAGTCTGCAGAGTCTCCCAGCCTAACTGATGGGAGTGGCAGCCTTAGTTATGGTTTGCCAAGTTTAGTGTGGTCAGGAAGGCTGCAGAGCCCCCTCTGTGTCCTGAGAGATAATGCCAGTGGCTCCTGTGTGTATAGAACTTGACAGTGGCTTACGTCTGTAATCCCAGCACTTTGGGAGGCCGAGGCGGGCGGATCACCGAGGTTAGGAGTTCGAAACCACCTGGCCAACATGGTGACACTTCATCTCTACTAAAAATACAAAAATTAGCCAGGCATGGTGGCGCACGCCTGTAATCCCAGCTACTCAGGAGGCTGAGGCAGGAGAATCGCTTGAATCGGGAGGTGGAGATTGCGCCAAAGCACTCCAGCCTCAGCGACAGAGCAAGACTCTATCTCAAAAAAAAAAAAAAAAAATTGACAATGTATAAAAGGTATTTTATGGTTTCTGGTTTATCTGATCCTCCCAGATTCTGCAGGGTGTGCAGGGCAGGGACCTGTTGAAGAAATGCCTCCAGGCCAGTTATCAGTTGCCATAACAAACGACTCCAAAACAGCAGTGCAAACCAACCACTGTTCATTATGTCCATGGATCCTGTGGGTCAGAAATTAGGCAGGGCTCAGTGAGAGTGTCTGCTGCCTGTCTGGAGTGTCAGCTGGGAGCCTCGAACAGTTGAGTGATAGAACCATCTAGAGTCTTCTTCACCCATGTGTTTGGTGCATGTGATGGTTCAAAAACCATCTAGAGTCTTCTTCACCCATGTGTTTGGCACACGTGATGGTTCAAAAACCAGGCTTCCCTGGGACTGTCAACCAGAGCACTGAAACACGGCCACTCCTGGTGGCGTGGGCTTCCTCACAACATGGCAGCTTAGGGCTCTGGAAGTGAGTGTTGTGGCAAAGAAGGCAAACGCCACACTTCCCTTTATGATGGCTGCAGCCACAGGACTTACATAGCGTCACTTCTGTTCTCTGCTGGGCCATGCAGTGACAAGGGGAGGGGACATGGACCCCCTTCTCAGTGGCAGGAGTGGCAGAGAATGTGTAGCCACATTCAAAATCACTGCATCTTGCAGTAGATCAGATGTGCCCAGGTGACATTCACTGAGCACCTACTCTGTGCTGGGCACTGTGCCAGGGACTTCATGTGGACGCTTTTCTCAGTCCTCTCAGCAGCCGATTCAAAGCCATTGTTTTCCTGGCAGGCATTTGGCCTGGGAGGGCAGAGGAGCCAAGGGGAACCAACACTGCTGCTGGCAGTTTGGTGTTGAGTATGCCACAGTCAGAAGACGTGGGCCGATCTTTTTCTCTTCCTCCTCTGAACTTAGAATATTCCTTGAGTTCTTGAAAATCCTCACTGAGATGTCTGAATCACCTCACTCACCAAACCCTCCCTCTGGTGTATATTTCCAGCAGTTTCTCTCTCCCAGTGTGCTGAGGGGCCCCCACCTCCCCCCCCATAACCCCCTGTCCGTCCTGCGGCTCTGTAGGAGGGACGTGTTGCCTGCTGCTGGGAGCTTTTGAGGAACCATTGGGTGGGTCCTCATGGCCCTGACAGGAACCAAATGATGCTCACCCTGTGTGTGTGAGCTGGTGTGTCTATGACTTCCTTCAGATCCAGGCCTGGGATTCATTCCTCTGCCTCCGCACAGCCTGATAGACAGTAAGTGTCCAATATATGTTGAGTGAAGCAAACTGATAAGTGGTGAAGGAAGGAAGGGAGGAAGGGAGGGAGGGAGGGAGGGAGGGAGGAAGGGAGGAAGGCTGTTCAAGAGCAGAGATTCTCTCGTATGCACATCTGTGTCCCTGACACATAGTAGGCACTCAATAAATACTCACTGCACTGGAGGAATGAAAGAATGAATGGATGAGTGAGACTCTTTGCAAGCAGAAACAGCCCCTATCTTTGTATCCCTGTCACGTGACACAGTGCCTGACATCCAGGAGTTTCCATCAATGAATGTTATGCTGAATGAATGAATGAACCACTGAAGTGAACTCTATCAGTAGTGGCTGTGTCTTGTTTCATATCTATATGCACAGTGCTTAGCAGAGGGCTGAGTACACAGCAAGTGCTCATTAATCATTTACAGAACTGAATGAAAGAGTGAAAGAAAACAATGAATGCGAAAATGAAACTTTTCATCCTCAGAGAGCATGTCTTGTTCATCTCTGTCTCTCCACTTCCTAGCTTAAGGTCTTGCACACAGCAGGTGCTCATTAAATGTTAATCTGAATGAGCGAATGAGTGGGTGAGTGAAAAAGTGGTTCTTGTGGGTAGGGACATGTCTTGCTCATTAGTTTCCCCACTTCCTAGAACAGGGCTTGGCACACAATAGGTGCTGAATAAATAAATATGTGTTGAGCTGAACGCAGGAGTGAGTGAGTGCATAAATGAACTTCTTGAGGAGAGGAATGTATCTCGTTCATCTTTTCCCTCAGATCCTAATGCAGGGCCAGGCATAGAGCAGGTGCTTAGCAAATGCTTCCTGCACTGCCCTGACCTTTGTAGGAGCATCCATCTGTGAATGAATTGAGAAGGGAAGCCCAGCTGGGTGGACCTCGCCCATCTCCATCTGCCCCGTCCCATCCACCCAACCCCACTGCAGACTTTTCCTGTTGTTCGGTCTGCACAGGTGGACAGGAAATCCCCCAAAGGCCGGCCAGAGAGCTGTTTCCATATTTTCTCCACACCAGGCTGGCTCTGAGTGTGACCAAGGCGCCAGTCCGAATCCCAGCGCCGTCTGGCTGTGGAACAGTAACCCCCAGGGACCCCTCTTCCTGACCATGTTAGCAGTTCTAAATTTAGAGCCGGCTGAGCAGCTTGCACCAGGCAAGTAAAGCCGGGGAATGTTCTACTCACAGCCAGCCTAAAGTTACCATGTTCAGCACTGGCCAGGCCTGTTAACCCCCAAACAGCTGAGCAGTAGGCATGGAGAGAAGAGTTAAGGCTTTGGGGTGCAACGGAACAGGGTTCAAATCTACCTCTTTGACTTCAAATTTAGAATCCATGACAACAAAAATCACTTATGTGAGCCTCAGTTTTTCTCATCTGTAAAATGGGCATAATAAACCTTTATTCTGCCCCTCCCACCCCCCACCCCGCCGCTGCCTCCGGGATCTTATTTACCAACCTCAGCTACATGTCTTGCTTTTCCAAACTTCTCATGCTGAATCTGCCCACTCTTAGAGATTTAGTTTGGAATCAGTGGATACCCAGAAACAGTTTAAAAAACTGTGTTCCTGCTGGGCACAGTGGCTCATGCCTGTAATCCCAATACTTCGGGAGGCCGAGGTGGTGGATTACCTGATCTCAGGAGTTCGAGACCAGTCTGGCCAATGTGATGAAACCCTGTCTCTACTGAAAATACAAAAATTAGGCAGGCATGGTGGCGGGCGCCTATAACCCAGCTACTCAGGAGGCTGAGACAGGAGAGTCACTTGAACCTAGGAGGCGGAGGTTGCAGTGAGACGAGATCACGCCACTGCACTCCTGCCTGGTAGACAGAGCGAGACTCCTCCATCTCAAAAACCAACCAACCAACCAAACAACAACAACAAAAACAACTGCGTCACCTTGTTGATTTTGCAGAGCAGTGTCTCAGGTCGGGTTCCCAGAAGCAGACTCTGAGGTGGGGATTTGTGTGGATGTGATTTAGTGACAACAGCTTGAGTCAACGTGGTCCATTCAGGAGCTTTGGCGGGTGAACAGCATCACAAAATAAGTCCTACTTCAGAGCACTGGGGCAGCTTTTTCTCCACTGCCCACGGTCTGGAGGAGAGGGGGCTGTGAGCCATAGCAGCCAGAGCCCCCAGCACCTGGGGAATGGGCGCCCCAGCCAATAAAGGAGATCTGGCAGGGAACCAACAGCATCTACCACCTTTAGCGAGGCTTCAGGGTATTGACTCAATTAAATGAGATGCTGGGTATAAATTGGCTAGCATGGAGTAGTTGGTGCTCTGTGAGTGGTCATTTGGTAAAATGAAAGCTCTTAAGAAGATGGAAGTGGTTTCACTGGTGTTAATGATGTCTTTCTTTTCTTTCTTTCTTTCTTTTTTTTTTTTTTGAGACAGAGTCTCACCCCGTCGCCCAGGCTGGAGTGCAGTGGTGCAGTCTCGGCTCACTGCAACCTCTGCCTCTGAGGTTCAAGCGATCCTCGTGCCTCAGCCTCCTGAGTAACTGGGATTACAGGCGTGCACCACCACACCCAGCTAATTTTTGTATTCTTAGTAGAGACAGGTTTCACCATGTTGGCCAGGCTGGTCTTGAACTCCTGACCTTAGGTAATCCACTGGCCTTGGCCTCCCAAAGTGCTGGGATTACAGGCATGAGCCACCACGCCTGGCCAATGTTGTCTTTCATTCCTCAAACACTTACTGAGTACCCACCAGGTGCCAGGCTCTGCAGAAGGGTACAGAGGTGCGGCCACCACATTCCCCACCACTAAGGAAGGGGTGACAGACACATAAATGGATACACGTGTGATGATGCAGTAACTGGACTGTCTTCACACACTGGAGGGAATTTAAGTCACCTTTTTAGGGACAGAACATTTAATACAAGTGATGAATAAACATTAAAAATAAATAACTTTTTTTTAATTGGAAAAGTAATACACAGACATGTTTAACATTTCCAACAGTGCAAAACAGTGTTCTAAAGAGAAATTGGTCTCCCTGCCATCACCTCCAATCTGCAGTCCCCTCCTCCGGAAACTGGTGACAGGTTCATGTGTCTCCTTTTGAAAATATTCTCTGCGTACATAAGACAATGTCTGTGCCTATATCTGCGTCTGTACCCTCCCATATGTACATATGTACACACACACACACACGTGCACGCACACATGCACAATTTGCCCTTTGTATCCATGGTTTCCGTATCCGTGGATTCAACCAACCATAGATCAAAAACATTCGAAGAAAAATGTATGGTTGTATCTGTACTGAACATGTACTGACTTTTCTTTTCTTGGCATTATTCCCTAAACAATACAGCATAACAGCTATTTACTTAGTGTTTACATTGTGTTAGGTATAAGAAACCTAGAGATGATTTAATGTGTGTAGGAGGATGTGTGTAGGTCCCATGCAAATACTACCCAATTTTATGTAAGAGACTTAAGCATCTGTGGATTTATGTATCTGTGGGGGTCCTGGAACCAATCCCCCACAGATACCAAGGGGTGCCTGTGTGTGTGTGTTTAATTTTTTTTTTTTTTTTTTTTTTTTGGAGACAGAGTTTTGCTCTTGTTGCCCAGGCTGGAGTGCAGTGGCGCGATCTCGGCTCACTGCAACATCTGCCTCCCGGGTTCAAGCAATTCTGCTGCCTCAGCCTCCCGAGTAGCTGGGATTATAGGCACTCACCTCCATGCCCAGCTAATTTTGTATTTTTAGTAGAGACGGGTTTTATCCATGTTGGTCAGGTTGGTTTCGAACTCCCAACCTCAGGTGATCCACCCGCCTCAGCCTCTCAAAGTGCTGGGATTACAGGAATAAGCCACCGCACCCGGCCATGTGTGTTTAATTTTTAACACAATCAGATCTTGCTATGCATAGTTATCAATGTCCTGACTTTTCTTTTTCTCATAATGATGAGATTTTTCTATATCAGCATAATAGGTCTATGCCATTCTTTGTTAATGGCTTTATATTCTTCCTTGCACTGTAATTTTTTGAACCAGTTGCCTCTAGACAGACATGTCGGTCATTTCCAGTTGCGTGCACTATAAACAATTCTGCAGTGAACATTGTTGTGCAGACACCTTTGCGCCCTTGTGTGTTTTGCTGCAGGAGAAATGCCTGGCCGTGGCCTTTCTGGGTCATCTAAAGATTGAACAGGGGTTTTCTAGGTGGGCTGGGACTGGCAGGGGTGATGGAGCTATGCTCAGGCATAAAGAACGGCGTGTGTAGGTACAGAGGCTAGAAGCTGAGAAGAGGGTGGTGCGCTGTCAGACATAAACCAGGTCTGCTGTCTGCCTCCTGGCTCCTGGGCTCCAGCCTGATGCTCAAATGCCCCCACCTCTGCCAGGGTTTCACTCCATCTGTGAGGATCCAGGGAGTGCGGGCAGCTCCTTAGAAGAAGTCTCTGGCCCACCAGGCTTTTCTTGCTGTCAGGCCTCAGGGTTTGCACTGGAGTGTGCTGAGCTCTGGAGCCCTTAGCTCTACTGCTATGCCGGTCGAGAGACCGTAATTTCTTTCGTCAGTCCCTGAAGTTCCAGTCTCACCCTGCACGTGGCCGGTGTGGTGAGAAGCCCACAATGGCAGGCTGTTCTCAGCATCCTCCATCCTCATATTTTGGAGAATTTAGCTGGGACCCCACCCTAAACATGTTCAGGACTCTGGCCTCATTTGTTATCTGGGTAGCTGTTAGGTTAATCTGTTTCCTCTTCCCTGGCCTTTCCTGCACATTTATTTTGAAAGTTGAAATCTCAAATGTCTCCCAGACTCCCTCAGTCCTTTAGAACATAGGCAGTCCTTTGGGAAAACCCCACACTCGGAGAACTTTTCTGAGGCCTTGTCGAGAGAAACAGCCAGGGGCTGGCCCCTTCTGCCTCTGTAAGGCAAGAAGAATGACTAGTTACTGGGTGCTTGCTGCATATCAGACACCACACAAGGCACTTTTTCTGTCATCTCATTGGGTACACGTAGCACCTTCATCAAGCAATATTGTTATCATCATTTTATCACAGGCTCAGACATGTGTAGTGACTTGCCCAAGGTCACAAAACCAATGGATGGTGGCTCTGTTATCCCACAGGGCTGTCTTTCTGTTCTACTGTGTTTCTCTCCACTATTCCTTATTGGGAATTCCATGCTGTGAATGTTCTTCCATTGGACATCTGTCCTATTGGACTGCAGGCTCCACAAGGGCAGGGATCCTCATCTGTCTTGGTTCACTGCTGTATCCCTGGAGTCTAGCACAGGGCCTGGAACACAGTAGGCAATCAGTGAACTCTTCTTAAATGACTGCGTGAATGAGTGAAGGTTAGATAAAGTACTAGTCCATTTTTTTTTGAGATGGAGTCTTGCTCTGTCACCCAGGCTGGAGTACAGTGGCGTGATTTTGGCTCACTGCAACCTTTGCCTCCCATGTTCAAGCGATTCTCCTGCCTCAGCCTCCCGAGTAGCTGGAATTACAGGCGCCCACCACCATGTCTGGCTAATTTTTGTATTTTTAGTAGAGATGGGGTTTCACCATGTTGGCCAGGCTGGTCTCGAACTCCTAACCTCAGGTGATCCACCCACCTTGGCCTCCCAAAATGCTGGGATTACAGGCATGAGCCACCGTACCTGGCCTGGTCCATTCTATTTCAAGCAAAGGTGTTGTTTGTTTGTTGATGATGGTGATGATGATGAAGATGATTTTGTTCTACCTCTCAGAATTGAACTCACGCTGCCAAAAACAAAACTCTTCTTTCTTCGTAAACCAGTTTACCTTATGGGAATCTGGTATTTTGCATTTTTCCTCTCCAAGCCAAATGAGAATGCCTATTCTATATCAGCAGAGATAGAAATCTGAACATTTCCTTTAGAAATTTCTGCATAGAAAACTAAAGCGAGGCGGAACTGCGCTTGAAGATTTCAGTTGCCATGGCTACGGGTAATACAGTGAATCATGTTCTCACATGCGTTCTTCCTTGGGCCTTCAATTGCTGTATCTCCGTTACAGGATTTTGACTATTAAATGCATTTTATTCAGTAAGGGGTTGAGAGGAGATGCCCGCTGCTGAGCCCCCGCTGACTGAAATGCTTCAACCAGCAAGGATTTATTGAGCATCTCCTAGGCTCTGGTTCATCAGGGTTCATCTTCATCACCGTCTTGTGGGTGTTGGGGTTACCACCTCTGTTGTAGAGATGGACAAGTACAGCCCCATAGAGTTTGGCTTGTGTGTGTGTTCATTTATTCATCCTTTAGTTTATTTGGTCATTCATTTACTCCTTTGTTTATCCACTCAACAAATACGTATTGAGTCTTTTCTCTGTGCCCGACGCTGTTATAGTCACCAAGCATCAGAGGGGAATACGAAAAACAATTCCTGCCCTGGCTGAGTGTGTGTTCTAGTGGGAGAGACAGCTAATATATATGAAAGATAAATAATTCCAAATACAGATAAATGCATGAAGACAAGGAAACAGAATGATGTGACAATAAAACAGGTGATGAGACTGGGAGGAAGCGTGACTGGAATAAAATTTGGGTGGAGCCCTGAGGGAAGGAGCCAGCCACGCAGGGATGTGGGGAAGGAGGCTGCAGGCAGAGGGAACAGCACGTGCAAAGGCCCTGCATTGGGAACAAGCTGAGACAGGTTGAGGCATAGTAAGGCCAATATTGCCAGCCTTCCATTGAGCAAGTAGGGGAAGCAAGTGGGAGCCTTGTGGGCCAGGGCAGAATATGTAGAGTTTATTCTGGCTGTAGTGGAGAGATGAGGGAGCATTTTTGGTGGAGGCTAACCTCGTAGGATGGAGAACTGTCAAGCCCAGCCAGGCTGATGTGTGGGGAGTGGACTGGAGGGGCAGGAGGTAAAGCAGGGAGGCCAGTGGCAGTGGGGACTTGGGTCCAGTGCTGGGGTGGGATGGGAAGCAAGGAGAAGTGATCGGGTTCAGGCTGTAGTTTCAAATTCAAGCCATGGGAATGGATTGGAAGATCTGGGGAGAAGAGGAACTACGGAGGGTCCCCAGTGTCTGGCCCGAATAACAGGCGAGTGGTGCCAAATTTTACTGCAACAGGGAAAAGAGTGTGGAGGGAGCAGCTTTAGATGCAGGGGAGCTGTTGCGAGTTGGTGGGAAGAGATGGCATCAGAGCACAAGAGGAGAGGCTGGCCTGGGCTGTGAGTGTGGCCCCTCGGCCCCCTGCACTGGAGGGAGTCAGGGTGGCCTCCCAGATGCAGGGAACAGGGAGGGTGAGCTCAAGGTCACCAGCTGAGTATGGATGGGGGAGTTGCAGATTAGTGGAAAGAGAATTTACTGAGTTTTGGAAGCAGACAGGTTCCTGGGTTTAAGTCCAGCCGGCAAGTGACTATGTTCATTGAGCACTTACTGTGTGCTAGGTAATCTCTAGGCAGTGTCTCACACAACCCTCACACAAACCCTACAAAGCAATCGCTATTGTTATCCCCATTTACAGATGAGGAGACTGAAACTCAGAGGTGCAGTAACTTGTCTGAAGTCCACAGCGCATTGGTGGAGGGGCCAGTTTTGAGCAGGCAGCCTAGCTATGCTTCACAGCCTAGGAACCAGATCAGAGGCTCAGATTTCTCATCTTTCAAGAGGAGAGACAAGACCTTGCAGGGCTGTTAGTGGAATGCCATAAAATAATGGATGGCAACCCCTATAGAGTGCCTAGCACTGTGCTCAGGCACAATAGGTGCCTAAGGGACAGCCACTCCCTCCCCTGACCTGTTTCTGTCCACTTGGTTTCCATTAAGTGACACTCACTGCTGGCAGTTCATTACTGCACAGTGTGTTCAATTGCTTGGAGAAGTCCTTCCTCCAAGGGATCTCATTAAGTCCATTTTGAAATGAGAACACTTGGTGGGGAGCGGGGAGGCAGTTATTATTATACCCTGAAAATCAGTTGTTTGAGTAAGAATGGAGAGGTACCGGGATCTTCCCTGCCCCCCGACACACACACACACACACACACACACACACACACACACACACACACACACACACACTCTCTCTCTCTCTCTCTCTCTCTCTCTCTGTCTCTCTCTCTCTCTCTCTCTCTCTCTCTCTCTCTCTCTCTCTGTCTCTCTCTCTTTCTCTCTCTGTCTGTCTCTCTCTCTCTCTCTCTCTCTCTCTCTCTCTCTCTCTCTCTCTCTCCCTTCTGCTTCTGCTTCTGCTTCTGCTCCTGACAGTGATGCTGGTTTGCAGGCACTTTGCCAGCCCCCGCCTTGCCTCCCAGGACTTCTCACTTTGGGTTAAAGAAGGGAGGGAGGACAGAGAGATATATGGGGCCACCCTGAGGACTGTATAGGTGTCCACATCCAAACACGAAGGCTGCTCCCAACTTAAAGCATCGTTCTTGTTTTCGAAGAAAGCGAACCATCAACTCAGACCTTCTTGAGAGAGGAGTTTTTCTGTCAAAGCTCCAAACAGGGCATTTTCTGTTGCCTTCTTGAGACTTGGGATGAATGGTGGTTAAACGGGAGCAGGGAGGCCCAGTTTAAATGCAGGTGTGGGTCATTTGCCCAGAGCTTGGAGCCCTCCAGAGCTCCCTCCAGAGGGACTGGCGTGTTGTGCTGCGGGTGGTACATGCAGACCCCCAGGGTGGCTTTGTGGAGTGAATGAATCCGGGATGGAGACCTGAAGGGCCCTTATAGATCATCATGGCAACCCCTCCTTGTTGGCTGAGAGGACACAGGCCCAGGTCTGTCCAAGGCCCCTCAGCAGGTGGGAGGCAAGCAGGCCCTGGGGTGGGAAGTAAAAGGTGAGAGTGAGAACACCCCTCAAGAGAACTTGAAGAAGGAGCAGAATGGGACCAGTGAGTTCATTTTAGTGAAGGCTGATGCAGCATAACCCCCGGGCCTTCCTCCAGCAGCCTCTCCAGGCCTCCTTTTCTTTCTGAAAGGTCTTAGGGAGGTAGGATTAAAGCTCCAGACAGCGTTGTAAGAAAATATGTCATGTGCCTTGAGAAAGGTGATTGTGAAAATGAACACTTAGGAAGAGGTGTCACCATTACCGTCTGAGCCTGGCCCCAGGAGGTACACATCCGCATTCTCACGACTTTGTGTTTTCATGAGCACAGCCTGTGTCCTGGGTGGATCTGGGAGCATCAGGAAGCCAGCCCTTCCTTCCTCTCTCTCCCTCCTCCCTCCCTCTGATTCTCGCTGAGCATCATTATTTGCTATGTCCACTTGTTTGTTCCCCAGCTCTTTATTGAGTGTTTTAAGGAGTGGGGATACTGTAGTAGACAAAACAGACAGATATGAGTGCGCTGAGTCTGTCTCAGGTGGTGTTTCTTGAGACATGAGGAAGGCCCCCTCCAGAGTGTATATACAAAAGTTCACCAGCCTTCAGACCAGACAAGCCCAGGTCCAGGCCTCATGCAGTCATTTCCTAGCTGAGTGACCTTGAGCACAACACCGAACATCTCTGAACCTCAGTTTCCCCCTCTGTAAAATGGCAGAGGTACCATCCAGTTCACTCTGTGATTCTGGAGATTCTGTGGGGAAAGGTAGGTGTGGTTCTTATGAAAGGCAGGGTGCCGTGCGGTCCAGTCTCTGCACAGACTCACATTCCAGCATCTGGGAGCAAAAAACAATAAAAATTACAAATGCTATGCATCTCTAAAAGAACATCAAGAGGCCGGGCACTGTGGCTCACGCCTGTAATCCCAGCACTTTGGGAGGCTGAAGAGGGTGGATCACAAGGTCAGGAGATCAAGACCATCCTGGCTAACATGGTGAAACCCCATGTCTACTAAAAATATAAAAAATTAGCCAGGCATGGTGGCGGGCACCTGTAGTGCCAGCTACTCGGGAGGCTGAGGCAGGAGAATGACGTGAACCCAGGAGGTGGAGCTTGCAGTGAGCTGAGGTCGCGCCACTGCACTCCAGCCTGGGCAACAGTGTGAGGCCACATCTCAAAAAAAACAAAAACAAAACAAAAATCAAGAAACATGTAAATGATGATAAGCTGTAGGAATACTGATGACTGCTAAGCCCCCCTAGATTCATCCCCTTATGCCCAATCTCGCACAACCTCATCTTTGCTCCTTTTCATGGTTCTGTTTCCTGATCCTTTTTGACTTAGCATGACCTCACCGTTCTGGTTAGCCTTCGGCTTTCTCCTCCCTTGTTTCTGCTCCTGTTCTTCTGTAGCCAAGATAAAAAATTTCTTTGAAGGTGCAGCACCCAATGGAGGAAGCCTAGGTTTTCTGCTGGGCCTGACAGCAATAGCACTGTCCCTGGGATCAGACGGAGAGGGAGGATTTGGAGCTGCAGAGCCAGATGTGTTCCCTGCCTGCCGCAGATGGTAGTTGGGGAGCTAAGCTGGGAGTTCTTCCTGTCCTCTCTGTGATGAGTCGGGGAGAAAAAGCCTAGAGCTCCTGAGGAATTCTGTTGTGTGTCCCCGGCCTTGTCAGATGAGGAGAGACCATCTGCAGGGTACACGGCGAACCTGACACTCGACACACCAACTCTAGCATCTCAGAACTCCAAAAAGTGCTTGTGGCTGTTTGGCACAGCCCACACAGGGCCTTGAGGCTCCTTCGCCCCACTGGGGTCAGGGTGGCAGTGGCAGTTACAGCCGCTTGTCCACGGGCTGTCTCCGAGGGCTGCCTCTCTGTGCCTGTTCACCAAAGTAGCTGAGGAGCCTGGTCTCACTCGTCCTCAGCTACGTAGGAGTGGACAGAGGTGGTCTTAGCAGTCACTCAAGACACACAAGATCTTGTGGGGCCCCTGGCTTCTCAGGCTTCCATCTTCCCTCCCTGTTGCCCGTCCGCTGGTCTTTGGGTGTTTCCCATTTGTCTAAGACATTCCCATCCCATGTCCTTTGCCCTCAAAGTTCTGCCTATTACAAGAGCCAACACCATTATTATTTTTTAACAGTTCTGAAAAACCCTAATTGACATACAATAAACAACGTTTCAAGTGTACAATCTGATGAGTTTTGACGTATGTGTATTCCCGTGGAACCGTCACGGCAGTGAAAATAATAAGCACGTTCCACACTCCCTGAGGCCTGCTCCTGCCTCTTTGGAATCCACCCCTCCTTCCATCCTGTCCTCAAGCAACCATGATCTGCTTTCTGCCACTGTGGATTAGTCTGTGTGTTGTAGACATGCACGTGAACGGAGCCGTGCACTCTGCAGTCTTCTTCATCAGTGTCTCTCACTTAGCATAATTATTTTGAGATGTGTTCACGTTGAGGCACATATCAATAACTCGTTCCCTTTATCAGAGCACTTTTCCATTGCATGGATGTGCCAGTGTATTCATCCCTTCTCTTGTTGACCGGCATTTGAGTTGATTCCAGTTTAGAGCTATTATGAATGAAGCTGCTATGAACATTCCTATACAAGTCTTTGTATGGACAAATGCTCTCGTTTCTCTTGGGTAAATACCTACAAGTGAGACGGCCTTATCATATGGTAAGTGTATGATAAACTTGTTAAGAAACTGCCAAACCCTGTCAAAGTATTTGTAGCATTTTGCACTCCCACCCTCAGGGTATGAGAGGCCCAGTTGCTCCACATCCTCACCATTGTCATTTGGTACAATGGTGTTGTTTCATCAGTAGAGATGCTGAAAGTAACAAAGACCCCCATAAAAATGGGTCTGACAATAAGGACGTGTATTACCTCGCACAGTTCACCAGCTGGTATTAGTATGGGGTTCGGCAAACTATGGCCTGTGAACCAAGAAGGAGTTTTGCACCTTCAAAAGGTTGTAGGCTGGGTGCAGTGGCTCACGCCTGTAATCCCAGCACTTTGGGAGGCTGAGGCAGATGGATCACGAGGTCAGGAGATGGAGACCATCCTGGCTAACATGGTGAAACCCCGTCTCTACTAAAAATACAAAAAATTAGCTGGGTGTGATGGCGGGTGCCTGTAGTCCCAGCTACTCGGGAGGCTGAGGCAGGAGAATGGCGTGAACCTGGGAGGCGGAGCTTGCAGTGAGCCGAGATCGCGCCATTGCACTCCAGCCTGGGCAACAGTGCGAGACTCCATAAAAAAAAAAAAATCGTAAAATAAACCAAAAACCACTCAAAACACAAAGAAGGTATGACAGAGACTGCATATGACTTGCAACACCTGAAATATTTACCATATGGCCCTTTACAGGAAGTTTTCCAAGTCCTGGATGCATAGATCCACCCAGGTTCTTCCCATCTTCCTACACTTTTCTTGGCATCTTATTCCCTCATGGTCCCCAAATGGCTGCCACAGTTCCAGCCATCCTCAGGAGCCCGGACAACATCCCACCAAGGAGGAGGGTGCATCACGAGGAAGACTTCTCCCTGTAGTCCACCCAGCAGACTTGCCCCCAGGTCCCCTTGGCCAGGATTTGGTAGGCAGAGGGTTGTGAAAATTGACACTTACAAAATGGCAAAGAGAACACTGTGATGGGAGAAGCCCAGGAGTTGAGCACAGAGAAGGCACTTTACTTGGAGGAGAGAGCAGCAGAGAAGGCTTCCTGGAGGTGGTGACATCAGCACAAAGTAGAAATTGGCCAGAGAAAGGGGCAGGGAAGAGAAGGCAAATAGTAGTTCTTCCATCCCCTCCCCTCCCCTCCTCTCTCTCCCCTTTCGTTCCCTTCTTTACTTCATTCATTTATCCATTCAACAAAGACTTACCGAATGCCTCCAGTGTGCCAGGGACAGGGGGCAATAGCAGAGACTAAGACATAGAAGATTTCTGTTCTTATAAGCCTTCCTTAGAGGGACAGTAATAAATAAACAATTAGGGAAATACCAAGTAATTGTAATTATTAAAGTGTAAGCGGAAGGGTGCTGTGATAGGGTCTGGAGAGTAACCTTAGAGCTGTGACTCAGAAGCAAGAAGCATCAAGGCTGCGTAGGATCTGCAGGCAGCTCTGGGTTGGAAACAACTGGGTGGAGGGGGCGGGGGGGGGTTTGCTCTGATTGCCCTGATGCCAGGGGCTCTGGAAGAGACTAAATCTAGGCTAGCCCAAGGTCTAGGACTCTGAGGCTGTGGAATGTGCATTGTACCCAAAAGATGGGCTGCCATGGGGACCTGTGGAGTGACACCCCTTTGTCAAGATGCCAGGGCTGCCTGGCTGCCCCATTCCCTGCCCTCTCCGCCCACCCCAGCATGGCTCCTGGAACAGCGTGGGTGGCGCAAAAGAGAGGCTCCCCATGTGCAGAGAAGCAAGGTATGTGAGAACAGACCTCCAGCTGGGTCAGGAGAAAGCACTCCTGTGTGGAGGCGTGCTCTGCAAGTGGAGACCATTCCTCACAGCAGCTATGAGATGAGAGAGAGGTGGGGGCTGCACAGCTGAGTGATGGAAATGACGGGGGTGGGGCGTGGTACCACTGTTGCCTTGCCCAGAGAGTGGAAGCTGTTGAGCACAGGCCTCCAAGTCAGACTTTGCCACTAAGCCGCTGCACAATCTCCAGCCTTCACTCTCTGCCTCAGTTTTCTTCTCTGCACAGTGGGGATGCTTGTTTTGTTCCCATGAGTTGGTCAGAGCATATGTTACCACCACTGGTAAGAAGGGTACCGTTTTTCTCCCCTTTTAAAGGCAGAGAAGGTGAGGCTCAGAGAAGGTAAGCTACTTGCCCAGGATCACATAGCAAGGAGCTGGAGGGCCAGGCAGTCAGACTTTGGAGCCCTGCCCTAAACCGTGCTTGTGAGGATGACATGAGATGATGTGGGGCCTGGCACACACAATATGTCCTGTCAGCTCTTAGGAAACATGTACCCTATCGGAGCAGCCTTTGGATGAGTGTTGATTTAGCCTGGGGAAGGGGGGCATTTCTCTTTATAAGTTTGTCTTTCAAAATGTGGGTTTTTTTGTTTTTTTTTTTTTTTTTTTTTTTTTTTTAGATAGAGTCTCGCTCAGTCACCTAGGTTGGAGTGCAGTGGTGCAACCTTGGCTCACTGCAACCTCTGCCTCCCGGGTTCACAGGTGTGCGCCACCATACCTGGCTAATTTTTGTATTTTTAGTAGAGATGGGGTTTCACCATGTTGGTCAGGCTGGTCTCGAACTCCTGACCTCATGATCCACCCGCCTCGGCCTCCCGAGGTACTGGTATTACAGGTGTGAGCCACCGCACCTGGCCAAATATGGGTACTTAAGCCACACTCGTTCCAATGGTGGGATTCCAATGGGGCAGTCCCCATTGGAATATCCATGCCTGTTGCTGGGGGCCTCCTGTGTGCTCTTGGCTTGCACTGATACCTGGGAGGTAGGTGTCATGATTTCCATCTGCAAAAGGAGGCAGCTGAGGCAGGAGAAGGTGGTGCAAGGGCCCCAGGCCATACAGTATTTGTAACTGGGTCTGGTGGCCTTGCAGAGGAAGGTGGAGGATTTTGAGTTGGTCTTTCCTGTGGTCTTCCTGGGTAACCCCCTTGGGGAATCACGTCCCAGAGAGGAGGGGAGCATTGCCTGGGGCCCCACAGTGGTGTGGGGCAGAGCCTGGCTCTTCCTCTCCATTCAGCCTGGGCAGGAGGGCATGGAAGATGCCCTCTGAGGCCACCCAGACCTGCTGGTCACTGGAGCTGTCGATGTGGTTGAGTTTTCGTCAGAACTGAGTATGGGAGGGGGTCCCCAAAGCCATGTTGGTGAACCTTGTGTTTTTCACCATCAGGCTTCAGTTGGGGTTCACAACCAATCTAAGTGTGAGTGGGAGAAAGCCAAATGGAGTGGAAGGGAGGAGGAACACAGGGCAAGGTCTTCCCTCCTATGACCACATCTTCTGTACCCCATAATCCAGCTGACACAAATGGGGGTATTCACAGGGGCAGGGTAGCCCGGTGGTTAAGGGCCCAGGCTTTGAGTTCCACCCAGCCGTGGGTTGTGTCACAGCTCTGCACATAGCAGATGCATGACTTGGACTAGTGATGTCATTGTCCAGAGCCTCTGTTGTCCCATCTGTACAATGGAGATTACAGCCTTCCTGGGTTATACCTGTCAACGAGGCAGTAGGGCGCACAGTAGGCCCTTGGTGAATGACAGCTACTGTGAGTTGAGACTATGCTTACTACAAACCCCAAGTAAAATAGTTGCACAGGCTAGGGATTGGGTCTTTGGCTTCCCTGCTATAGTACCTGGTTCATAGTAGACACTCAAGAAAGTGCCTGTTGAAGTCAGAAGGATGGGAGGGAGGAAGCAAGGAAAGAAGGCCAGAAAGGCCTTCTCATTTTTTCAATCTTTTATGATACTCATGGAGACCTTTATAATCTCGGAGTGTTGCTTAGAGGGCAGTTCAGCCAAGTAAAGCAAACTCACTGGTCAGAAATACATTGCTTAGGGGAGGTCATGTGTTCCTTATCCCATTTCTCATTTGTTGTTTCCCAAGAACATCTTGCTTTGTTTTGCTAACCGAGCCAACAGTATGGAACTTCAGTCGCTGTGGTGGAAAGAAACGTGTTGTCCAGCCCCAGGCAGTGTGGCCAAAGATACCAGCAGAGCTCCCCTCCTCTTTCCCAGGGTCTGATTGCCCCCAGAACCACCGGGTGGCCCAGGGAGATAAGTCAGGCAGGGGAATTAGGTGGGGGCCTGCCGCCTGCCTTTTTCCATTTTAGAGAAGGCCAGGGTTTGCAGCCTTGTAAGAGGCCTGGCTCTTGGAAGAGGGGCTGTAATTACAGATTGGCTTTGCCATGCCAGGCAGGGCCACATGGCAGACTCTCCACAGCATGGAAAACGCTGCTTTCTACTTGAGCTGAGGGTGGGGCCTGATAAAGAAAGGTGATGAGTTTCTGTCTGTTTCTAGAAAGATTTCCTTGCTAGATGATTTTTATTGATTGATTGATTGATTGATTGCTCATCCCAAGGTTAAAGACATCTTAGGTCACTAAAATGACTATTTGAAGAAGAATGTGATAAATTAACACAAGGAAATAATCTTGGGCTTGGTTTATAAATAATCTGGGATTGACTTGTAAAATCAAGTCATTTCTATTTTTTTTTCTTTTATCTGAATTCCTTTCCCTGTTGCCTTGGAAACAAGTCTCCCAAGAAGGATGTTTGGAGTCCTGTGACTTGGGTTCAAGCCTCAGTGATTCCTTCATCTCACACAGTGGGTACGATGAGAGCCTCTTCAGGATGTTGAGTGTCAAGGGTGGACAGGACACGTCCCTGCCGCCCACAGGCTCGGGACCTGGAGGGGAAGACTGATGGGTAAACCAAATTATGGCCAGGTAAACTGTGTGATTCGGTAGGGGTTACATAGGCAGAGTGGGACCCCAGAGGTGCCCCCTGCCCCCATGGATATAAGGAAACGGGAGGTGTCTCAGAGGCGGGAGTATCTAAGCTGAGCTGTGGTGGACTAGATGCTGGCCAGGTGAGGAAGGGGTGGAAAGGTGTCTTAGCCAGAGGGAACAGCATATGCAAAAGGCTGAACCAGAGATGTCATGGCACATTCCAGGATTAACATCTGTCCAGTTTGTTCAGGGTAGAAAGAAGCTGGGAAACAGGTAATATGTGAGGTTGCAGACGCTGTCAAAGTTCAGATCATGCACATTTCCTAGGAGATATCAGAGAGGGCGCCTGCTGCAGATGGACTGTGAGGCCTTAGGGCAGCCCTCGGTCTGGGCCTGTTTCTTCAGTTTAGTGGGAAGGTTGGCCTAGGTTGGTCCCTGCTGGTGTCTTGATTCTGACTGTCTAGGGTCCTGTGATTCATTTGAACAGTGAGATGATAGGAATTATAATAGAAAAACGATCATCCCTTGTGGTCACCATTTATTATTTTGTTGTTGTTGTTGTTTTGAGACAGAGTCTTGTTCTGTCGCCCAGGCTGGAGTGCAGTGGTGCCATCTCCGCTCACTGCAACCTCCACCTCCCGGGTTCAAGAGATGCTCCTGCCTCAGGCTCCCAAGTAGCTGGGACTACAGGTGCACACCACCATGCCTGGCTAATTTTTGTATTTTTAGTTGAGATGGGGTTTCACCATGTTGGTCAGGCTGGTATCGAACTCCTGGCCTCAAGTGATCCACCTGCCTCAGCCTCCCAAAGTGCTGGGATTAGAGGTGTAAGCCACTGCGCCCGGCCTTATTGAGTGTTAACTATGTGCCAGCGGCACAAATTATCTCAGTTGTTTTTTTTGTCACAACCTTTTGAAGGGGGTGGGCCTCATACAAGATGAGAAAACCATGACTCAGGCGATGCAGGCCTTACGCGGAAGCCCTGTGCCATCCGCTGCCTTCTGACTGACGGTGTTGCTCCACCTGAAAGAGAGAAAAAAGTAGGTTGAAGCTGAGTTCATGAGCCAGCCCTTCCCACACGTAGTCCTGGGAATTTGTCTCCAGGCCAGTCGACAAGAAAGGGAAACTAATGCAATTGGCAACTGGGCAAGCCCTTCTGAAGGCTTTTCCTGACCCTCACAAGAGGCCTGGGGAACAACCCAGGTAAGTGCAGAGAAATGAGGTGGTGAAAGGCTTTGGGATCAGACAGGTCTGGGTTCAAGTCCCAGAGCCCTCTTGCCAGCTCAGTGACCTTGGGCAAGTCCCCCCCCAACCGCCTTTTTTTTTTTTTTTGAGAACGGCGTCTCGCTCTGTCACCCAGGCTGGAGTGCAGTGGTGCAATCTCAGCTCACTGCAACCTCTGCCTCCCAGGTTCAAGCGATTCTCCTGCCTCAGCCTCCCGGGTAGCTGGGATTACAGGCACGCACCACCGCACCCGGCTAAAGACGGAGTCTTGCTCTGTTGCCCAGGCTGGAGGGCAGTCGTGTGATCTCAGCTCACTGCAAGCTCCGCCTCCTAGGTTCACGCTATTCTCCTGCCTCAGCCTCCCAAGTAGCTGGGACTACAGGCGCCTGCCACCACGCCCAGCTAATTTTTTGTATTTTTAGTACAGACGAGGTTTCACCGTGTTAGCCAGGATAGTCTCTATCTCCTGACCTCGTGATCTGCCTGCCTCAGCCTCCCAAAGTGCTGGGATTACAGGTGTGAGCCACTGCACCTGGCCTTTTTTTTGTATTTTTAGTAGAGATGGGGTTTCACCGTGTTAGCCAGGATGGTCTCAAATGCCTGACCTTGTGATCCGCCCATCGCGGTCTCCCAAAGTGCTGGGATTACGGGCGTGAGCCACCACAACCAGCCCAGGGCAAGTCCTTTTGGCTTTTTAAACCTCACTGGCCTCTGCAAAATGGGGAACATCACTAATACGACTCACGCTCAAGTGTTGTTTTGAGGGTTAATGAGGTGAGATGTGCAAGTAAACGTTTCCTGGGTACACAGTAAATCCTCCATTAGTGGTTATTATTTCCACTGTACCACCTTCTTTTTTGTTTGTTTGTTTTGTTTTGAGATGGAATCTTGCTCTGTTGCCCAGGCTGGAGTGCAGTGGCGCAATCTTGGCTCACTGCAACCTCGGCCTCCTGGGTTCAAGCGATTCTCCTGCCTCAGCCTCCTGAGTAGCTGAGATTATAGGAAACTGCCACCACACCCAGCTAATTTTTGTATTTTTAGTAGAGATGGGGTTTTGTCATGTTGGCCAGGCTGGTCTCGAACTCCTGACCTCAGGTGATCCACCCGCCTCAGACTCCCAAAGTGCTGGGATTACAGGCATGAGCCACTGCTCCTGGCCCCACCTTCTTTATTAACATAATATTAGTGTACCTCTTAGTCTAGGATGCACAGTCCTGGAATGTCCAATCTTTTAGGAAGCAGGATGTGAAGAGGGTCATATGAGTGGGACCTCCTGCGGGAGATCTGGAAAAAGCCGAAGGTTGTCTTGGAGGTGGGAGAGGAGGGGAAGGCAGCTGTAGGCAGGGATGCCACATGTCCAGAACTCCGAGGGCAAGACTGAACGTGCCCCGACTTCCTGGCCTTTGCACGTGGTGTTCTCAATTTCAGCCCTCTTGGAATACTCCTATTTATCCTTCAAAACCCCACCCAGATACCCTTCTTTTGATTGTAAGTCTTTAATAAGTGATCATTTCCCTGTGACCTTCTTTCCTCAACCTTTGAATTTCTTGGTTGGGGTTCACCCTCCCTATTATGTTCCCATAGCATGTTATTCACTTGTTCATCAGAACCCTTGGCAATTGTTCATTTTTTTTTTCCTATTTCTTTCTTCCACCAGACCAGGGATTCTTAAAATTATACATTTTTGTATTTGATTTTGGGGAGAAAATGGGATAGCCTCAGATTTGAGTTGGCCTTCCACCCTTAATGGCTAAGAATCAGATAGATACACTGAGCTCTTCAGAGACCATAGGTCCCCTCAAGCCCAACACTGAACTTGCAGAAAGTAACTGTCCAGGGAATGTTTGTTGAATGAATGAATGACCGACATATTCTGATTTCTTCTTTCTCTTTCTTTCTTTCCTTCCTTTTCTTTTTTTTTTGAGACTGAGTCTCGCTCTGTTGCCCAGGCTGGAATGCAATGGTGTGTTCTCAGCTCATTGCAACATACCTCCCGGGTTCAAGCAATTCTCCTGCCTCAGCCTCCCAAATAGCTAGGATTCCAGGTGCCCACCACCACTCCCAGCTAATTTTTACATTTTTAGTAGATATGGGGTTTCGCCATGTTGGCCATGCTGGTCTCAAACTCCTGACCTCAGAGAATCTACCCACCTGAGCCTCCCAAAGTGTTGGGATTACGGGCATAAGCCACCACGCCTGGCCCATTTTCTGATTTCTGAAATCACACGTGATTGTCTAGAAATGGCGATCTCTGTGTCTCGCCTCACATTGTAAAAGAAATTCCCATTTACTTCCTGGATCTCAGCAGCTTCTCCAGCATTTTTTGGATTAATTATGTAAGAAAAAGATGGTTTTCTTTCTTTTTTGATGCCCAAAACATCCCAAGAGTTTCCTGGAGAGAACAGAAGACTTTGCAGAAAAAGTCCTCTGGGGGGGAAAATGCTTGTGCTGCCCCAGTTTTCAGGAAGCGAAGCTTTTTATAGTCACACTTGCAGACCGCTCTGTACCTAAAGGAAGCCAGGAGGGAACAAGCAGGAATCTGGCTTTGTAGCTCACTTCTGCACCCCTCTCCCCTTTCTGGAAGGAGGCAGAACTGGATGATCCCACCTGCCATTTGGTCTCTGCTTTTCTGGGCGCTTGTCGCCATCCAGACTGATTTGGTGAGGGCCAGGATATATAGCTTGTCACAGGTATGAAGTTGGGGGGGGGGGGTGCCAAACTCCACCACTTAATAGCTGTGTGACCTTGTGTTGGTCATTTCACTTCTTTCTGCCGTGGTTTTTCCATCAGTAAAATGTGAGTGATAACCATATTAATAGTATCAGCCTCCTTTCATTGTTGGGAGGAGCTGATGGTGTAATACAGTGATGCAATGTAATGCCTGGCACATAGTAAGTGCTCAGTTAGCAGTAGTGATGGTGGTGATGGTGGTGGTGGTCTTTGGTCAGGTTCCCTAGAAGCAGAGACTGACATGAGGATTCTGGTGCAGTGATTCATTGAGGGAAAGCTCTCAAGCGAAACCCATAAGGAAGAAAGGGCAACAACTGGGGCAGGGGACAAAGCTAACTACAGATGTGGTTTCAGCTGAGCCCCAGCCTCAGCCCAGTCCCATGGGGACCCCTAGAGTGTGAATTGCATCACTGAGTTGGTGGTGCCTTGAGGCAAGGAGACCTGAGTGTTGTGTTCTGTATTGGTCAGTCATTGGCTGTGGGCATCTGGACATAGCCTTCAGTAAGGGCAGTTCTCCAGAGGAGGGTAGAGCTCTGAGCCTTTCGTAACCAGCATTCACAGCAGCTGACGTGTGTGTGTGCACCTTCTAGAAAAGGGGATCTTAGTCAGGGGAGGTACTAGCTGCATCGATGGAAATGATGAGTTTGATGACTTCATCTCTGAAAACCAGAGAAGTCAAGTAACTTGTTCACCGTCACACAGCTAATAAGAGCTATAGCTGGGTCTCCAAACCCTTAATCATGATGCTATACTTATTTAGCAAGGACGGGGTGGGTCTAGAATAAGGCAAGTGAGGTGCTCACATAGGGCACAAAATTGGGGGACATCAAGAAAAGTCACTGATCACTGAATAATATTTCAATTGTTTTTAAAAAATTAAAATTAATGCAAAAATTTGTGATGAGAAAGGAATCAGAACTATAAATAAAAACAGGATGAGTATTACTTATTTTTTTCCTTTTGCCTCTGGCGCCAGCATGGCTTGCACTGCACTGAGCAAGTCCCTTTTTGAATAATTAGGTTCTTACACCTTTTCATCATTATCTATGTGACTGTGATGAACATTCTTATAGCAAAATGTTTGTATATTATTATTGTTATTTCCAAAGGAATTCCTGTGTGTGGAACTGGATCACTAACTATAGGGTCAAAAGTTGGACACAGTGCCCCCCCACCCCAACCTTTTGTTATGAAAATGTTCAAACATATAGAAAAATTATATAGGAAAACACCCATCAGCTAGATTCTATAAAATTTGCTATGTGGCTGGGGTGCGGTGGCTCACACCTGTGATTCCAGCACTTTGGGAGGCGGAGGGGGGCAGATCACGAGATCAGGAGATCAAGACCATCCTGGCTAAAATGGTGAAACCCCCCCATGACCAGGTGTCTCACAGGAAACTTAAAAATACAAAAAAATTAGCCGGGCGTGGTGGCAGGCACCTGTAGTCCCAGCTATTCGGGAGACTGAGGCAGGAGAATGGCGTGAACCCAGGAGGCGGAGTTTGCAGCAAGCTGAGATCACACCACTGCACTCCAGCCTGGGCAACAGAGTGAGACTTCGTCTCAAAAAAAAGTGCTATGTGTGCTTTATAAAAATGTAGCCATCCATCCATGGCACTTTTTTTTTTTTTTTTTTTTTTTGAGACAGGTTCTCACTCTGTTGCCCGGGCTGGAGTGCAGTGGTGTGATCACAGCTCACTGCAGCCTTAACTTCCCAGGCTGAAGCAATCCTTCTACCTTAGCCTCCAGAGTACTGGGACTACAGGGTTCAAACAATCCTCCCACCTTGGGTTCCCAAAGAGCTGGGATTACAGGTGTGAGCCACAGCACCCAGCACTCCATTTTTTGTGTGTGTGTGCATTTCAAAATAAATTATTGGCCGGGCATGGTGGCTCATGCCTGTAATCCCAGCACTTTGGGAGGCCGAGGTGGGCGGATCACTGGTCAGGAGTTCAAGACCAGCCTGGGCAACATGGTGAAACCCCGTCTCTACTAAAAATACAAAAATTAGCCAGGCGTGGTGGTGCACACCTGTAATCCCAGATACTCGGGAGGCTGAAGCAGGAGAATCGCTTGAACCCAGTGGGAAGAGGTTGCAGTGAGCTGATATCACGCCATTGCACTCCAGCCTAGGTGACAGAGCAAGACTTTGTCTCAAAAAAAAATTATAGATATCAGTACATTTCAGCTGTACATTTCAATATGTATGTCATTAACTGGCAAGCCATTATTTTTTAAGACTTTTGATTTAGGGTGTTAAATTTCTTCCAGGAAATATATATCAGTTTTCATGTCCATCTGCTGTGGACATATGTGTCTTGTTTCACCACAACCTTGACAACACTGGGTATGATCATTTTAAAGGTGTTTTACTTTCTATTTTGATTTAACATTTTTCCTCCTGAGGACCCCAGTGGATTTCCCACCCCGATGTCCAGATGGTCTGTTAAAAAGCTGTGTGCCATTCCAGCTTTCTAGGTATTTCTGGTGTGACTTTTCTGGGGCCAGCGGGGAGGACTCAGCTCTTTCTCAGGTCTGTTCCTGTTTCCACTCTGGACGTCCTGGGCCTGCGTAATGAGGGAGCAGACCATGAAGAGGACTTCATGGTGTAGGAGCTCACTATGGGCAATCTGTGTGGGGAAAATGGACAAACTTTGGAGGCCCACTTTGGATGCCAGAAGTCCTGGGACCTAGGAGGCTGCATGTGGTGGAGGGTGGAGCCAGGCACTCATGGAAGTGCGACCTAGCCCTGTGTATGTTTCCTGTGTATGTTTCCTCACCTGCATGGTGGAGTAATACTTCTGGATATATCAATGTAAGGTATATAGGCTGCTGCAAGAGCCCCCCACCCCATCTTTGCCTTCAATCTTCAGTTTTCTCATGGACCAGTTACCTACTTGCCTCTGGGCACTTGTATCTCTGTGATGTCTATGGGCCAGGAATTTGGGAGCAGTGTGGCTGAGTGACTGTGACTTGGAATTTCTTATGACGTTGTACTCAAGATACTGGCCAGGTCTACGGTCAGCTAAGGGTTTGACTAGAGATGGAGCATCTGCTTCCATAGTGGCTCACTCACATGGCCAGCAACTGGTGCTAGCTGTTTGCTGGGGGCCTCAGATTCTCTCCATGTGGGTTTCTGTGTGTGACTGCTTGAGCATCCTCACAACATGGCGGCTGGCTTTCCCCAGTATGACCTCAGAGAAGAAGGTAGAAACCATGATGCCTTTTATGACCAAGCTTTAGAAGTCCTACACTATCACTTCTTTTTTTTTTTTTTAGACGGAGTCTCACTCTGTCACCCAGGCTGGAGCGCAGTGGTGTGATCTCAGCTCACTGCAACCTCTGCCTCTCGGGTTCAAGCGATTCTCCTGCCTCAGCCTCCCAAGTAGCTGGTATTACAGGTGCCTGCCACTGTGCCCGGCTAATTTTTGTAGTTTTAGTAGAGACGGGGTTTCACCATGTTGGCCAGGCTGGTCTTGAACTCTTGACCTTGTGATCCACCCGCCTCGGCCTCCCAAAGTGCTGGGATTACAGACATGAGCCGCCGCACCTGGCCCATCACTTCTTCTTTACTCAGACGTGAGCCACCGCGCCCGGCCCATCACTTCTTTATTCTGCTAACCACACGGACCAACCTTGATTCGTTGTGGGAGGGGACCACACCAGGTTATGAATAAAAGGGGGCAAGGATTACTGATGGTCATCTTGGAGGACATCTATCAGCCATAACCTTGGTACATGATTTCACCTCTGTGGATCTCAGTCTCCTCTGTCAAATGGGTTCATGCAAAAAAATTCATTAGTTGATTCCTGTGAATGCTTAGAAATGGTGTTGGACATTTAGTTACCTCTTGATAAATATTAGCCACCACTGTCATCCCCTGCTGGGCTGTGAGCCCTCTGCTCTTAATCTCTATGCAGTGCCTGGCTCAGAGTAGGCACCCTCTGAATCTTTATTAAATGAATGAATGAAAGAATGAATGAGGCTGGATGTGGTGGCTCATGCTTGTAATCCCAGTACTTTGGGAGGCTGAGGCAGGTGGATCGCTTGAGTCTAGGAGTTCGAGACCAGCCTAGACAACATGGTGAAACCCTGTCTCTACAAAAATTACACACAAAAAAAAATTAGCTGGGCATGGTGGCACATACCTGTAGTCCTAGCTACCGAGGAGGCTGAGGTGGGAGGATCGCTTGAGCCTGGGAGGCCAAGGCTGCAGTGAGCTGTGATCATGCCACTGCAGTCCAGCCTGGGCAACAGAGTGAGATCCTGTATCCAAAAAAAGAAGAAGAGAGACAGGGAGAGAAAGAGAATGAATAGCTGTAAGGACTGGGAATACATAGAAAAGAAAGAGATCTGTTGGCCATATTGCCAGAGAGTCCTTTGTGATAAACTTTCTCAAGTGAGGCCCTTTGACCAGTGTCTAGAAAACAAATATTTGTTCAAAACTGAAGTGAGGTGGTGGTGGAAAGGACATAGGATGCATTCTGAGCGACCTGGGTTTCAATTGTGTACTTGGTGTCCGAACAATAAATATTTACAGAGCCCTGACTCTGGGCCAGGTACCATGTCAGACCTGGGAAAACCTGGGGTGGGAGCAGCTCTGGTGCATGCCTGGTGACATCCTTGCTGTGTGACCTTGGGCAAGTGAATCTATGTCTCTGAATCTGCATTTCCTTGTCTGTAAAAGTAGTGGGGTTGGGGGGACATGGATCCCTGCTAGAAGGAGAAACCTCCTTTAACAGGTGTGCCTGACCTCCAGGATCCAGCTGCTGCCCACCCCCTTCTAACAACCCCTGACATGTTTGGGATCTCCAGGCAGAGGACAGAAAACCTGCATGGGTCAGATGAGCGGGGCCTGGCCGAGGACAGTGGGTGTTAGGGTCTAGTCGTACCCCCAACCCCTAGTACTCCAGCCCTGTAAGGGTTAAAACCCAGGGAGCTCACGTGACCTAGTGTAAACCATGAATCATTCCCATTGCTCCCAGTGCTGAGCCTGCTGCCCAGGACAGGGCAGATGCTGTGCCCCGGGTTGCCATGGCAACTCCGCCTGTACTGAAATACAGCCCTCCCCAGTCCTTCCTGGGGGACCTCAGAGGCTGTCTCACCTGGATCAGTGTTGCCTTCCAGAGAGGGAGGGAGAGACAGCTGAAAAGGAGAGAGAGAGGAGAGACGCTTAGAGACAAGCAAGTGGAAGTTGAGACACAGGGAGAGGGAGGAGAGCGAGGCTGAGAAATCAACAGAGAAACAGACCACGAGAGGGAGACAGACTGACAGCCGACCAGAGGTCCCAAGACGCTGCCTGTAACCTTAGAGGCAGAAGCCGTTTCCCAGCAGTGCTAACCTTCCCGGGGCTGCCAGATCGCCGACATACACGCACACACACACAGAGTGCACACACATGCACACACGTGCAGCCGCATTTCCTGGTGCGCTTGCTGTGAGGGCACAGGGGTGGGTAGGCTGGCAGGCACGTGAAGTTGCCATCAGCCCCGAGGGACCGTGAGCGAGTTGGGACTTGGGGGAGAAAAAAATGGGGGCGGACGTCAGCTCCCTGGGCGGCCGCCGCCACCGCCTCCGCCTCCCCGAGGCCCCTCCTGCATTCCTGGGCAGCGAAGCCCCTCGCTAAGACGGGGGCTGATGTCATCCCGGGCTGCTCAGCCAGGGGACCCGGGGGCCCTGGTGGCTGCCTCCGGAAGTGAGCTAGCCGCCTGCCGGCCGACAGGTTTGGAATCTCCAGCCAGAGGACAGAAAACCTGCATGGGTCAGGTGAGCGGGGTCTGGCCGAGGGCAGCCGGGCAGGGGGCAGCAGGGTGCGGCAGCTTGCCCACCGGAACCTCCCAGGGTGCACCTCAGGGGGGCTGCCTACCTGAAGGGAAGTGAGGACGAGGGTGCCCAAAGGCCGCCCCCTCCACCCCCACCCCCATCCCCATCCCCCGCCTTTCGGGACCGTCACGCCCTGGAGTGAGTGCAGCCGGCTTGTTCCTCAAAGCTCCTTGTCTCGGCCGATCAGCTGGGTGAGCCCTGGAACTGGAACCTGGACTGCCCAGTGTGTTGACTTTATAACTCCGCTGGGGTGGACTCCCAGCCTGGCACTTAGCTGCCTCTTAATTCTGAGCGGCACCCGTGGATGCAGCCGGCTCCTGGCTCAGGGATGTTTACTTACCCTTGGTTTGCCTGAAGAAAGCTGCTGTTTTTAATTTTTTTTCCTCCAAGCAAGCCCAAAACTTCCATGAGCAAAAGAGTCCAAAGAGGCAAGAGGACACTGGCGTTTTAATTGCTCTCTCCCTCCCTAACTTCCTTCTTCCCTCTCCTCCTGGCTGGCCCCATGGATTACCTGGGAGATAAACTCACAGTGGCCCAGACCCACATGACCCAGTGGATGGGCACCGTGAGGAGGTCCTTCCAGGAAGCCCTCAATTTGGTGACCACCACGGTGGGCCACGAACGGACGAGTGCAGAGTCGGCCAGCCGGACCCCCTTCAAGCGTACTTCCTCCTTCCGACACCTGGCTTCCCGGAGTCGGGAATCCTTCCGCCGCTTCTCTGCTCGCAGCCAACAGAGATTTTCTTCACTGAGGAAAAGGCATACAGATTCGGAACCGCCAGATATTGTAAGCTTATTATGTTTTAAAAAATATTAAAACAACACTGAAAGCTCCTCCCCTCCAGTCCTCCCAGGGAGGGGGTCCCAGACATCAAACCGGGGAAGTTACTTCTTCCAGAATAGTTGTCAGTCAAAGCCCAGGCACTTCCTGTCCCCTGTACCTGGGAAAGAGGCACGTAGCAATAATTCCTCTCTCCTGAAGTCAGTCAGGACATTTTTGCTGGAGTCGACGTCTGTGTGGACAGGGCCAGCACGTGAGTTGGGCTGAATTTGCCAGTTGATTTATGTTTAAGTGTGAACACCCCAACCCCCGACACGAAAGCTCATCCTTCTCCCTATTTTTAGGGTGGATTAGTGGCACCTGCCTCATCTCCTCTCACCCTCCTAGGAAGCACAAGTGGCGGTGTCATGTGCACGCTGAGTTGTAGCTTTTGTCGTTCCACCGAGCTTTCATTGGATTGCCAAGGAAAGGGTCTTAGGAGACCGAGGTGTGGTGGGCGAGTTTGCCCGCTGGCCGTGAACCTTGGGTTTGGTGTGAGTGGGCCAGGGAGGGAGGCCTTGATTTCTTACTCAGGCAGGCTCGGGAGGGCTTGGATTGGGACAGCAGGGTGGAATGACAGCTAATGATTAAAACCTTGGCCTGTGTCCTGCTAGGCGACAGTGCAGAAACAATCGTAAGGTCCTTCTGATGATTTGGAGAGGTGGGACTGGGCCCAGAAAGCGAAAGTGCCTACTGTGGGGGAAGCACAGTGAGTGAGTGGCAGAGCCAGGTCCCGAACCCCAGGCTCTGACCTCCCCATTCACGGCTCTTTGCAGTCCAGCTCCCAGCAGATGTTCTCCCCAGACCCTCCCAATTAATTCAGGGCTGCCCAGGTCACTGACCAGACCTGAGCCTAAAGAGAGGGCCTGCCATTTTCACATAGGAGACTTCTGCCACCTGACTGTGTTGGCCCAGTTTATGGGAGCACTTGAGGACAGGCGAAGGGCTAAGCCAGCCCCTTTTTCTGGGTTCCTCCTAGCCAGGAGTGCTATAGTCATTAAGGGACCCAGCATTTAGGGAGGAGCCCTGAGCTGGCCCTCCCTACACTCGAGGTGGCAGGGCTCACAGCTGCCCTGCCAGGTGCAGGGGCTCAGTATCCCCTCTGCTGACCCAGAGGTGTGACTCACCCCAGGTCACGCAGCAGCCAGAGCAGGCAGTTGCAAATGCAAGGCAGGAGCCGAGCACTTGGGCATGACACGTGTCTCGTTCACAGGACGTCTCCTTCACAGTGGGTCTGTGCTTCTTTGTGGCCCAGAACAAATTAGTGGGGCTTGGATTTATGAGACAGATTCCCCAACCTCTGGAAGGTGTGACTTGCCACAGGGAAAGAAGGCCCCTCATTCATTCTGTCTCCCTCTGTGTGTATCTCTGTCTCTGTGATGTGTCTTTCTGCCTTGCTCTGTCTCTGTTTGTTTCTCTGTCACTCCTGTTCTCTCTCAGGGTATGGGGTTGGTGACAGGCAGGCTCTGTTGGCATCCCTCTTTCCCCACCCTGGGGAGTGGTGTGACCATGGGCATTGGCATGAATCCCCTAGGCGTCTTACCCTGTGTTACAGGTTGGTGCCACTGGCAGGAGTGGCCTCTCCAGCTGGTTGAATAAATGAAGTTGGGTGGTGCAGAGAACCATTCCGTGTTGCGTCGAGATGCCACCAAGAGTGTAAATACATGCTAAATACATTCAAGCTTCAGGCTCCTTCCCATGTAGCCACCCTACTGGGTGGTAGGCACCAGCTGGCCTTGGCCTTGACAGCTTGAATCAGACTCCTGGCTGAGGAGCCCTGACCCATTCTTAAGCCTCAGTTTCTTCCTGTGTCCAATGAGGAGAACCAAGGCCTTGGTATGAGATTGAAGCAAGCCCCCAGCACAGTGCCAGGCACACAGAATCTGCACACTTGTGAATGCTCTCTCTCTGTTGCTTGCCTAGATACTCTGCCTGAGCAGGATAAAGGCAGAGTTAGGATAGGAACATGTGCAGTGTTGCAGATAAGTCAACGAAACGCAAGGCCAGGGACCCCCTGCCTAGGGGTTGAGTCCTGGCTCTGCCGCTTCCCAGCTGTGTGATCTTGGACAGACTCCTTCCCTCTCTGTGCCTTGATTTCCTCCTCTGTGAAATGGGGATGATCGTGCATTGATGTGCTGGTAAATGTGTGGTGAGCGTGGCCGTTCTTAGCTTGTGGTGCTTAAAAATTAGTTCTTGTGGCAACCAAACCTTTCCTCTCAAACCATCACTTCAAAGATTTTCAATGAGCTGGAAAACCCACACACGCCCTTTTTACTCAGGGACTTCACTTAAATATTCGTTTTATGGGAAGAAACTTTTTAAAGCCACAGACAATTACTTAAGAGTTTGGGACAACAGCAGTATCCGTGGCTGGGGCTGGGAGGGGGCAGGATTTTAGTCTTTCTGACCTTGTACATGATTTATCTAAATAATCCATTCATTTCATCCTGGTTCCTGCCTCCGGCTTGTATTTACTCAGAGCAGTGTAGAAGAATCTATTGCGGGCACAAAATAACCCTCAAAGGCGTGCCCTGAAATGTTTTCTAAAGCCAGCCTTGAAGTAATTTGCTAATGGCCTGCCTGCTTCTGTGTCCAAGGGATAAAAGGGGGAAAGAGGGAAAACAAATGCTTTGTCTCTGAGCCACAAAGGCAGGAAGAGGCACGTTTATGCTGCACTCCCATGTGAGCCTGAGAAACACGCCTGGTACTCCAGGTTTAGCCGAGGAGACAAGGTGGACTCCAGTTAGAGGCCAGACAGAAAATTCCAGAACCCAGGAACAATGGCAGTGGCACAGGGGCCAAGACTGGAATAAAAGCGGGAAGTGGGGGGTCTCTGAGGCCATGGGGTGCCGCACCAAGGAGGGCTTTGGAGTCAGACAGACTTAGGCCTGAGTCTCAACTCACCACGTGCAAACTGAGTGACCTTGGGCAGCTTAAATCACCTCTTGCAGCCTCAGTGCCCTCATCTGAAACATGGAGATTCAGCTGGGACTTGTCTGGTGGGTGGTTCAATGGGACAGAGTGGACTAAGAGCAAGCATAGCCCTGGCATGCAGGAGGTGCTGAATAAATGTTCGTTCCACGTTGCTTTTTGGGGGGCTCAGACTGTAATGTGAGTCCTACCTTCCTAGAAGGCTAGACTGGTGCCTCAGGGAAGCAGAGTAAGAGCCTGATCAACCTGTGTTTGTATTTACTGTGTGCAGGGCTCCATGCTAAGCATCAGGTGCATATAACTTGCATGTCTTCATTAATTCACTCATATTTTCATTCAACCAGTATTTATTTTTATTTATTTATTTAGAGACAGAGCCTCACTTTGTCACCCAGGCTGGAGTGCAGTGGCACAGTCTCGGCTCACTGCAACCTCCACCTCCCAGGTTCAAGTGATTCTCCTGCCTCAGCCTCCCCAGTAGCTGGGATTACAGGTGCCCTCCACAACACTGGCTAATTTTTGTATTTTTAGTAGAGACAGGGTTTCACCATGATGACCAGGCTGGTCTCGAACTCCTGACCTCAAGTGATCCACCCGCTTCAACCTCCTAAAGTGCTGGGATTACAGGCATGAGCCACTGTGCCCAGCCTATTTTCATTTACTTATTTTGAAGACAAGGTCTTGCCCTGTCACTGGAGCTGGAGTGGAGTGGCACGATCATAGCTCACCACAGCCTCGATACCCTGCGTTCAAGCCATCCTCTCACCTCTGGAATAGCTGGGACTACAGGCATGTGCCACCACACCCAGCCATTTTTTTTCTTTTGTGTAGAGACAGGGTCCTGCTATGTTGCCCAGGCTGGTCTTGAGCTCCTGGCCTCAAGTGATCCTCCCACCTCAGCCTCCCAAAGTGTGGGGATTGCAAGCATGAGCCACTGTACCCCACCCCCTCCACCAGTATGTATGTATGTATGTATGTATGTATGTATGTATGTATGTATGTATGTACGTATTGAGATGGAGTCTTGCTCTGTCCCCTAGGCTGGAGTGCAATGGTGCAGTCTTGGCTCACTGCAACCTCCGCCTCCTGGGTTCAAGCAATTCTCCTGCCTCAGCCTCCTGAGTAGCTGGGACTGCAGGCGTGTTCCACCACACCCGGCTAATTTTTGTATTTTTAGTAGAGACAGGGTTTCACCATGTTGGCCAGGCTGGTCTCGAACTCTGGCCTCAGGTGATCCACCCACCTCAGCCTCCCAAAGTGCTGAGATTACAGGTGTGAGCCACCACACCTGGCCCCCTCAGTCAGTATTTACTGAGTATCTACCACAACTCTGGTGCAGGAGAAATGGCTGTGAACGAAAGAGACAAAACTCCTGCCTTCACAGAGCTGCCTTCTAGTGAGGCTGATAATAAAACACATCAGAATGTAAATATGTCATATATGTGCTGAAAATGAGAGAACTATCTTAAAATATCAAGGGTCTGTCTTTAACCTCAAACTATTGCTGTATATTAGAGTTTCTCAGCCTCAGCTCTAATGATATATTGGGCTACATAATTGTTTATGGCTGTGGGGGGTAAGGGGTAGAGTCTGTGCATTGTAAGCTTATCCCTGGTTCCTACCCACTAGAAGCCAGTAGCATCCCACAGTTGTGACAACCAAAAATATCCAGACATTGCCAAGTCTCTTGGGGGCAGAATCACAATGCCCCCTCCCAGCCCCCATCCAGGTTTGAGAACACTGTCGTATATAATGTGGTGTGGGGCACAATAATTGTAGCTGGGGTATATTCTCCCAGTGACTTAAATATGGGGAGAAGGGCAGGGATCCCACATCCATGAGCCTCTCCTGCTTGCCAGGAACCACACAGCTGCCCCTGTGGGGTATAGCCCCATACTTTGTGAATGGAGAAATCTGAAGCACAGAGAGGGGAAGTCACAGGACTGGGGATCCATGAAGTGGGGACTCCATCCAGCATGTGTCGGCCTTGCTGGGAGCATGACCACACCCTGCACTGGGGATTCACTATTAAACATCGGCCCCAGAGCTGAGCGTTCAGTCCTCCAGCCCAAGGCCGAGTGGGAGTATTTGCTTCTGTGTTAATTATGGACTGTAATGGAGGCTTAAAATATTCAGCAGGGCTCAGCATCTCCCCCAACCACACACACACACACACACACACACACACACACACACACACACACACACACAGACACACTGCTTCAGCAAGTGGGGGAGAATTGCAAGGAAAGGATGTATAGAACTCCTGCCTTCAGAAGCTGCATTTCAGCCCCATCTCCATCAGTACTCTCTCCCTACTGGGGTCCTCCGGCTCTGTAACAAATTACCACAAACTTGGTGGCTTAAATTAATATAACTTCATCTCTCACAGTTCCGGAGTCCAGAAGTCCAAAATCAAAATGTCAGCAGTCGGCCGGGTGTGGTGACTCACCTGTAATCCCAGCACTTTGGGAGGCCGAGGCGGGCGGATCACCTGAGATCGGGAGTTCAAGACCAGCTTGACCAACATGGAGAAACCCCATCTCTACTAAAAATACAAAATTAGCCCAGTGTGGTGACGCATGCCTGTAATCCCAGCTACTCAGGAGGCTGAGGCAGGAGAATTGCTTGAACCCGGGAGGTGGAGGTTGCAGTGAGTCGAGATCACACCATTGCACTCCAGCCTGGGCAACAAGAATGCAACTCTGTCTCAAAAAAAAAAAAAAAAAAAAAAATGTCAGCAGTCAACGCCTCCCTCCAGAGGCTCTAGGGGAGCATCCTTTCTCACCTCTTCCAGCTTCTGGTGGTTCCAGGCATTCTTTGGCTTGTGGCCACATCACCCCAATCTCTGCCTCTATCTTCATGTCACTATCTCCTCTTCTCTGTCATCTCCTTTCCTGTCTCTGGTAAGGACACTTGTCCCTGAACATGGGAGCCTCCTGGATTACCTAGGATGATCTCACCTAGGATGATCACCTCAACCTCCCAAGTAGCTGGGACTACAGGTGTACACCACCACACCTACCTAATTTTTTTGTATTTTTAATAGAGACAGAGTTTTACCTTGTTGCCCAAGGTAGTCTCAAACTTCTGGGCTCAAGGGATCCACCTACTTCAGCCTCCCAAAGTGCTGGGATTACAGACGTGAGACACTGCATCCAGCCAACGTATCTTTTTAGGGGCCACTGTCAGCCCCCCACACACTCCCCACAGCTTACACTCTGGCCCCTCCCATCCAGTCCATTCTCCTCCCAACAACCCAAGAGATCAGGTCATTCCCCTGCCTCACCCCAGACTTAGATGCCCAGTTTTCCTGTGCGACCTGGCCCTGCCTCCCTGCTAACATCAGCTCCTACCTCTGTCCTTTATGCTCACTCTGACCTTGCCCCTCTGACCTCCTGCTCTTCGTCAGTCACCCCCTGCTCCTTCCAGACGCCAGGACTTTGCCATCACCATTCCCTCTGCTGAAATGCCCTTGCCCTCTCTTCACCTCTGCAGAGAGGCTTCCCGACGTTCCAGGCTGTGGTGAACTCCCTGCGTTTCCCTGCACCCATCCTACATTTCTTCCTGGGACCTATCTCATTCTATACTTATTTCATGTCACTTGTTCCCTGGTTTATTCTCTGACTCCTCTACTAGGATGTAAGGTCCATGAGGGCCAGGGCTTTGGCCGTCCTGGTTCACCTTGATATTGCCAGTACCCAGAACAGTGGCTAGGAGCTCACAGAGTATCTGCCTTCCTGAAATCCACTGTCCTTCATTCTTGTGTCCACCCTGTGACACCACCTCCATATTATAGATGGGTAAACTGAGGCCTGGAGAGGATAAGTGACACAGCCCTGGTGTACACCTCTTAAGAGATGACAAGAAGTGTACGGCCACATCACCCTGAATGCTCCCAGTCTCATCTGATCTCAGAGTTGACGCCAGGATTCTAGTCCAGGGAGGCCTGGAGTTCTTTCCCTGTAGAGGGCAGGATGGAAAATCTGAAGTATAATGGTAATAAAAACCACTCATTCATTCATTAGGAATTTTTAATTGAGTACCTGTTTTGTACCAGATACTGTGCTCAGTAGAGGAGAAAACAGGCAGGGTCTTTGCCCTCATGGGACTCATAGGAGCAGGGAGACACATTAAACAATTAAGTAAACCAATGAATGAACAAAGAAAGTACTCTCAGATAATGGTGAGGGCTCTGAAGAAAATGTAACAGGGCATGGGGACCCATGGGAGTGTATTTTAGGAACAGTGGTCAGGAAAGTCTTCTCAGGAGGTGACATTGGAGCAGAGACCTGCATGAGTGAGGGGATGAGCCCCAGAAAGTTTGGAGGGACATTGGGACAGCAGGAAAGGCAGTGCAAAGGCCCTGAGGCAGGTTCGTGCCTGGTGTGTTTGAGGAGCAGCAAGGAGCCCAGAGTGACTGGAGCAGCACAAGTCAGTGGGAGAGGTGAGCTCAGAGAGGTGGGCCAGGGGCCAGGCCGGATAGGGCCAGGGAGGGGGATTCTGATAGGATGTCAGATTTTAGCATTGGAGGGTACTGAGCAAGGGAGAGCTATATCTGTGCCTCTGTGTGGAGTGTTGGAAGAGAAGAACAGAATAACAACTCTAGCTACCACTTCTTGAGTGCCTGCTGTGTGCCAGGCACAGGTTGTTACTAATACATTTCTCCTGGAGATCTGGGCTTCAAAGAACTGGGGTCCAGCTGCTGTGTGCCCTTCCCCCATCTCCCACTGCCTGTGCCAACTGCCAACTGCCACCTGCTACGTCATGTCTAGAGCCCTGCCAGGTGCCCTGGTCTCGGGCTGCACCTTGGGGTTTGGATTCAAGGGGTTAGACTTAAAGCCAGCCCCAAAGGCCAGCATGATGTCACTTCATTCTCTGCTACAGTGTCGCCAGGCAGGCAGGACAGGCTGCTTTCTTTTTGGCTGGCCTCACCCAATTTCAGGTCTCCTTTCACCCTCCTGGCAGCAGAATGATGTCACCCAGAGAACAATGGTTCCTTTATAGATCTAGCCTGGGCCAAAGTCTGGGTCTCAGAGTAGGAGCCTCTGGGAGAGACCTGGAGTGAATGGAGGGGCAGAACAGAGGGCTTGGGTGCTCCACAGGGATCTGCTTTTGTTAAGTAATGTTAATCTCCTTTCCTGTCTCCCCAACCAACAAAATACGGTGTGCTCAATGTATTCTTGGAACATATAGAAAAATGTAAAGAAAACAAAGCCCACCCATTCTCCTAACATCACATTGATGAAAACCACTCCTAGCATTGGAATGCATTTCCTTCTTGTCTTTTTCCCCCCTCTTCCAAACAAAATTGCCAACCCTCTTTCTCTTTATATCCTTTAAAAAATGTGAAAGTTTTGTATGTCTTTATGACACTTTTAATGCCCTTGCAACATTTGTGTGCTCCATAATTTATTAACCTGTCTGGCTGGACATTTGGGTAATTTCCCGTTCTGGGCTACCAGGAGTGACCCTGCAGGGGCGGGGCCTGCATGTGTACTTCTTCATCTGGATTTCTGAGAGGTCCCCGAGGTTTAAGTAAGCTCACGTTGCTTTCTGTGATCAGAAGGCCCCTTTGTTACTCTCACTTTTCTCTCCCTCTCCCTGCGTTTTCTAATCTCAGATGTTTTGTTCAGACAAATGCTTCTTGCTTCCTCATCAGGAAGTCAGAAATTTCAGGAAGGAAATCTGGATTGATACGCATCACAGGGAGTGTTACGTTTTCGGATTTCATGAAGAATGGAGTCTTTAGTTGGCCGGGCGCGGTGGCTCACGCCTGTAGTCCCAGCACTTTGGGAGGCCGAGGCGGGCGGATCACAAGGTCAGGAGATTGAGACCATCCTGGCTAACACGGTGAAAACCTATCTCTACTAAAAATACAAAAAATTAGCTGGGCAAGGTGGTGGGCGCCTGTAGTCCCAGCTGCTCGGGAGGCTGAGGCAGGAGAAGGGCATGAACCTGGGGGGCGGAGCCTGCAGTGAGCCAAGATCACGCCACTGCACTCCAGCCTGGGCGACAGAGTGAGACTCCATCTCAAAAAAAAAAAAAAAAAGAGAATGGAGTCTTTAGCAAGAGAAGTCCTTACAAGAGAAATAACAGATTAGTTGTAATGGTGTGCTGGTAAAATGTTTAACAACCCCGTCTTCTTGGGGAAAAAGCTTTGATTGGTAGCATTTGCGCAATTTGGTGGTATAAATACTCCCACCATAGCCAATTGTAAGCTTCTAACTAGTTTTCACTAAACACAAAGTTGGGGAAAGATGGGCAGTAGATTACTGTTCTTTAGTATTTTTACCACACAGATATAATAGACATAAGTGACGGCAAGCCCGTGGAAAATAATAAAATGTAGCAAAGTAATTAGGAAGTGATGAGATGGGAATATTTATTACTTTTGCTTTTAATGTGATTTCTTTAATTGTAAGTTTAGATCGTTTAATCTTCAGTAATGGCTGTGTTTAATACCTGGCTCCTGAAAATTGCAGTTGTCCCTCAGGGGCCAGGACAAGCCAGCTCCAGTATACGCAGCTGGTTAAGAGAGTGAATTGTGGGATCTGGGAGTTGTGAGTTTGAATCCTGGTTCTGCGTCTCCCTTGCTATGTGGCTTTGGGTAGTTTTCCTACTTTTTTAAAGCCTCAGTTTCCTCTTCTGTAAAATGAGGCCAATAATATTATTCCCCCACAATTGCAGTATGTGGAACTGCAGCACAACGCTTGGTGCATAATAGTGAGGTAGGAAGTGGGACTCGACTCCAGAGGCGGGGCTCGGGCACCGGACCACATTGAGGACTAGCTAAAACAGAACCAGGGCAGAAGCAGCTTTCCAATCAGACACGCTTACCAGTGTGACATGTCGGTTTACCATTGATTGCCATGGTAACACCTGGGAGTTACTGTCCCTTTCCCATTGATTGCCATGGTAACACCTGGGAGTTACTGTCCCTTTCCATGGCAATGACCCAATGACCCAAAAGTTACTACCCTTTCCCTAGAGATTTCTGCATAAACTGCCCCTTAGTCTACATGTTATTAAAAGTGGGTATAAATGTGACTACAAAACTGCCCTGAGCTGCCACTCTCTGCCTGTGGGATAGCCCTGCTCTGCTGGGGCTGTCACGGAGCTGGAACACTGCCACTTCAATAAAGCTGTTTTCTTCCATCTCAGCTTGCCCTTGAATTCTTTCTTGGACAAAGCCAAGAACCCTCATGGACTAAGCCCCACTTTGCCTGTCCTGTATCAGTAGGATCTCAGTGAACAGTCATTATTGGCCGGTTGCAGTGGCTCACGCCCATAATCCCAGCACTTTGGGAGGCCGAGGCGGGCCGATCACGAGGTCAGGAGATCGAGACCATCCTGGCTAACATGGTGAAACCCCGTCTCTACTAAAAACACAAAAACATTAGCCAGGCGTGATGGTGGGCGCCTGTAGTCCCAGCTACTCAGGAGGCTGAGGCAGGAGAATGGTGTGAACCCGGGAGACAGAGCTTGCAGTGAGCTGAGATCGCGCCACTGCACACCAGCCGGGGCGACAGAGCAAGACTCCATCTCACAAAAAAAACAAAAACAGTCATTATCATCATCACCATTGTTATCTGATCAGAGCTTAATAGTTGGCAAGGCACAGTCAAACATGATAGCCTCTAAGGTGGTCCTCTCAGTGATTCTTGCCTTCAGTTATTCACACTGTTGTGAAGTCCCCTTCTATGCTGTACTGGGTTGGTCAGTGTGACCAACAGAATACATGGCATCACTTCTGAGATGAGGTTTTTTTTTTTTTTTTTTTTTTTTGAGATGGAGTCTTGCTCTGTCGCCCAGGCTGGAGTGCAATGACGCAATCTCGGCTCACTGCAACCACCCCTTCCTGGGTTCAAGTGATTTTCCTGCCTGGGGACAGTAGCTGGGATTACAGGTACGTGCCAACACACCTGGCTAATTTTTTGTTTTTTCAGTAGAAATGGGGTTTCATCGTGTTAACCAGGATGGTCTCGATTTCCTGACCTTGTGATCCACCCGCCTTGGCCTCCCAAAGTGCTGGGATTACAGGCGTGAGCTACCGTGCCCGGCTGAGATGAGGTTTCAAAAGACACTGCAGCTTCCCTCTTGATCACTCCCTTTCTTGGAGCTTTCACTCTGGGGAAAGCTGCTGTGTCTTGAGGACCCTCAAGCAGCCCTGTAGAGAGGCCCATATGGTGAGGAACTGAAGCCTCCAGTCCACCACCAGCAAGGAACTGAAATCTGGCACACAGGTGAGCTTGGAAGCAGATCTTCCAGCCTGCAGGTGAAACTGCACCTCTGGCCAACAGCTTGACTCCAAACTCATGAGATACCCTGAGCCAGGACCATTCACTGAAATCCTTCCTAGATCCCTGGCTTCCAGAAACGGTGTGAGATAATAAATGTTTGTTGTTTCCACCCACTGAGTTGTGGGGCTATTTGTTACGCAGCCAGAGATAACTAGTACACATTTCTTCTCACTTACGCTTGTGGAAATAGTCCAAGGATGGCCAGGGAGTATTATTTAATGCCTTGTCTTGCAGATGAGTAAATTGAGGTGGGAAGACCTGCCCATGGTCTGTAATGTGTAGGTGTTGGTATTCCCAGTGGATACCTTTCTTGTCTCATGTGTTCTTGCCCATAAAGGAGGCTGGCTGCTCAGCCAGCCTGGGGTCAGGCTCCCAGGGGCTTTTGAGCAGCTCACCCTTTTAGGAGTTGGCATGAATCTCCCAGCATGGGATGGAATTTGTTTCTTGGATTCTAAGTGCCCATTACCCCACTTAACTCATCAAACATTCATTGTAAGAGCTGGGCCATAAACAGCAGCGACCGCTATGCAGAGATATGAGAGCATGGTGGCTTTTCTCCAGCATCAGTTTCTAGTCCAGAGAAGTTCTGTCAGATTGCCCTGCTCCCTTGGAAGGAGGGTCTGAAGCATACCTTATTACTAAGAATTAAAAATTGCAGAGTTTGTGAACACCTTTGACTTTTGTTTTCTAAGCATAGATTTGGTATCTTCTGCTGTTCTTTCTTGATGGCAAGAAAAGAGGGGTGCAGGTAGAATTAGCTGAGTACAGTTCAGAGCTTGGCTCTCCCTTCAGACAGTCCTTAGTTTGAATGCCAGCTTTGCCACTAGTCAGCTTTGGGACCTCAGACAGGTGACTTTAATTCTGCAAGCCTCAGATGCCTTGTGAAGTACCCAGCATGATGCCTGGAACCTCGGAAGTGCATAATAAATGCCAGGCACAGTTGCTATCCTTACAACCTTGATACATTAGTCAGATTAGAGTATGCTATGCTGCAGTAACAAACTGCCAGCTCTCAGACACTTAACACCAAGTGTGTGTTTGTTTTGAGAGAGGGTCTCACTCTGTTACCCAGGCTGGAGTGCAGCATTGTGATCATAGCTCACTGCAGCCTCGACCTCCCAGGCTCATACGATCCTCCCATCTCAGCCTCCCCACTAGCTGGGACTACAGGCATGTGTCACCATGTCTGGCTAATTTTTTGTAGTTTTTGTAGAGATGGGGGTCTCACTATGTTACCCAGGCTGGTCTCGAACTCCTGGGCTCCAGCAGTCCTCCTGCTTCAGCCTCCCAAAGTGCTGGGATTACAGGCATGAGCCACTGTTCCTGACTGTTGGTTTCGTATTCATGCAAAGTTAGCTGCTGGTCCAGGGGCCATCTATAGCAGGCGCCTCTCCAGGTTGTTCGCATCTGGCATCTAGGCCATCTGGGAAGATGTGACTTCTTTGTAAAAATTTCAGAGGAAAAAACTGGAGGGCCACATTCAAGGCAGAGGCTATTGTCCCATTTTACAGATGGGGAAATTAAGGCTTAAAGAGTAACATATTTTAAGCATTGACCATGTGCCAGCCACTGAGCTAAGCAGATTGTCTTAAATCCCTATAGAAACCCCATCCAAGAGGTATTATCTATGTCGGGTCTGTTTTACAAATGATAAAGTTGAGACTTGGGGAGAGGTGAGTTGCCCAGAGTCACCTAGTTCATAGTCGACCAAGCATGGACTCCAGCCCAGGTCTGCTGACGTCTCATTTCTTGTGCCTCCCATTTGAGGAAGTGGATTGAGAGATTTGGGGTTCGTTTCCTGAGAGGTACCATGGTGTAGAACTGGGTTTCACACCATGGTGACATTGACGTTCGGGGCTGGATAATTCTCTGTCATAGGGAGCTGTCCTGGGCACTGTAGGATGCTGAGCAGCATCCCCGGCCTCTGCCCACTAGATGCCTGCACCATCCTTCCCATCCCCAGTTGTGATGCCCAAAAATGTTTCCAGCCATTGCCAAATGTAAGGGGCAAAGTCACCCTGGTTGAGAACCACTGATGTAGATCGTAAGAGCTCATCCTGGGATGTGAGTTCACACCCCTGCCAGTCCTTAAGTAACCATGTGGCCTTACCCAACAGATTCTGGACAAGGCCAAAGTATTAGTAGTAGGCCTTTGGAATACCCTTTTAGGTAATAGAACCTTTGATTCCTGGTGTAATTTTGGGCAAGTCTGTCTGCTCTGATAAAGCGTTTTTCTTTTGCTACAAAGTGGCGCAAACAATATCAGTTCACGGAGTTGTTACGAGAGTGACAGGAGATGCTGGTGGAGGGCACATAGTTCTTTATAAACAGTGGCTTTTATTGTCATTCTAGTTATCACCTGTCAAAGGGGAGGTTCAGATGGGGGCAGATTTTCTGGTGTTTGGAAGTACTCTTCACGGTCTATTAATTCCCAGTCCCTCATCTCCTGGCTCCATGTCCAAATATTTGCTTTCTGCCAAAGCCAGAAGTTATCCAGCACCTCACGTTCCCACCATCACCAGCCTGATTTCTAGAAACAGCCCTTCCCTGGGCACACCTATGATTTAACACCGGTAATTCCTTAATTCGTAGCTAGGAGCCTGTTCTTTTCTTCTTGGTAATTGCCTTCTGCTTTGGGAAGGATGAGGGTTGGATGTGGCAGCCACGTTGCAGACATCTTGGCAGGAAAAACCTGGGATGTTCTGGAGCCTCTGGTGCTGCATTTGAAGAGCGTACAAAGGTAGCCATGCTGGCAGATGACGTGTTGAGTTTCATTATCCATAAATGTTTTTAAATGAGCCCTAGGTGCCCATGTAAACAGGTAGCTGAGGGGCATGAGGTTGGTGTGGAATTGTTCTTCATGGAGGAGTTCCTGAGCCTTGGTTGTCAGAACATCTAGATCCTTCCAGTTCACTTCTTTTTTTGTTACAGCTGAGGAAGCCAAGGCCCAGAGAGGGAGAGAGACCTGTGCAAGGTCACACAGCAAATTGATGACAGACACAGGACTGGAGCTTGGGTTTCTAAATTCATTGTTGAGGCATTGGAGGCCAGGTGATTCTCAACTTTGACATCCTTTGGAGTTGAGCCACAGACAATTACTGAGCTCCTATCATTTGCAAAAAGCCCTGTAGTCAGCTGTGTAATATGTTAAAAATAATGAGACTCCGTCCCTGCATTTGGGTTTTTAGAAAAGTGAGCATATGTGTATCCCAGTTGTGCAGCTTTGAACCAATGTCCTCTCCATTACACTGGCTATGGGCCTCAGTTTCCCCATATGTTTTTTAGAGGTTGTGGTGTGACCTCTTAAGATCTTTGCAGTAAAATCAGCTCAGATTCAAATCCCTGCTCCCCTGTCTACTAGCCATGTGACTTTGAGCAAGACTTTGAGCAAGCCTCAGTTTCCCCATCTGTTAAAAGGGAATCATAATACTCTTCATGGTGGTGAGAATTCCATACAGTAACGAGTGTGCTGGGCACACTGGTAGGTGCTCAGTAGCTTCACTCTGCCTGGCCTCCCTTTTGGACCACCAGGGCTGCTCACAGCTTGGCAACAACATTCCTTCCTCCCAGCTTTTGCACAAGCTGTTCCCTCTGCCTGGAATGACGGAACCGTGGCACAGGCTCCACTGGTGTTTTAAGAGGGTTAAGCCTCTTCTTCAAATGGTGCCATTTTCTCTCCAGAGTGACCCCCAGCCTCGAGTGTTTTAGTTGTTAGAAGGGAGTGAGGTGGACACATGGGCCTGGCATAGAGCCAGCAGCCCCATCCTCTTCTTCCCGGCCTCTTTTGCATCCACTTGGCTTCCCTGCCCCCCTTGCAAGATTCTTCCCATCCCATCCTGCCCCACCCCACCCCTAAGTTGCTACTTGATGATCAAAGCATATTTGTGTGTCATTAACAGCCACGGCTAATTAGGAAGGAAGGGTTAAGTAGGAGGCATTCCTATACACGCCTGGGAGCTGAACAGTTAGAGATTTTTCATATGCTATGTTGGATTTTCTTTTCCTCTTCTCATGCATAAATACAAGTCCTTTTGTGGGGGAGATGAAAAAAGAATGGAGGTCATTAGAGATCTGCTTAGTGAGTTTCCTAATCTTTTCATGGGATGCGGAGCCCCGTGGATTTTCAACAACTTAGTGCCATTGGTTGAAAAATGGTTTCTGAGCTGAATTGTGGTGAAGCGGCTGCTGTGGTTCAGTGGTGTCTGATTGCTGGGATGGGGGTGGAGGAGGAGACAACAGGGGTACAGATGGGCCTGAGTTCAAATCCTGGCACCACACTTCTGACATCTAGGACCTTGGCCAAGGGCCTCAACCTCTTTGAGTTGTGATATCCTTGCATTTACAGAGGGCTAAAGATATGAAGATTGAACTCAAACTTGGGTGGGCATCAGATATATCTTGGGTCCTGGTGCCACGAGGAGAGTACCAGGCAGGTGCCTTGGGGGTCTGAGGAAGGACCCAGAATCTGCTTTGTGTGGCAAGAGCTCTAGGTGAGCCCCAGGTAGAGATGGTTACGTGGACACCGCCCTTTAAGGACCAATCCCTTAATGTTTCTTCATGTTCATAAAAATAAGTAAATAAATACATATCTGATGGATGAATACATGAATGCATGGACCAGTGCATGAACGGATGCCAAGCTCCTAGCTGGCTTCACACCAGGTGTTGGGTGGATGATGAGGGCCCAGCAGAGCTGTGCTATCTTGCCAGGAACATGATTTGGAGAGGCTCAAGATTATAATTCTGAATTTCCTGTTCAACAGCAACTTGTGTCCATGAGGGCAAGTCTCCCTTCTCTGAGGACTACAGAAGACTGTGGGTCTGTTGTGGTCCAGTCTCAAGAACTCAATGGTCAGTCCTTGTCCTGACCAACCGAGAAAGTCTGGTTTTGTTCTCACTCCCCTAATTGGTACCCTCCAGGCTATTTGGGCTTTTCTGTGGGTGCCCCAGCCCCAGCCCCATCTCTTTGCACCCCCATAAGCCATTGCTTTAGACCCAGAGATTCTCACAGCAATGCTAGACTCACAGATCTCCATTTATGTAGCTGTGTGGGACTGGAATCAGGCAGTATTCCCCAGAGTGAATCTGGAATCCTTTCTGAATTAATATAATACAAGGCTTCTGATTAGCTGGTTTGGATTCCGTCCTTGGCTCATTTATGCAGCTAACCTACCCCTGTCAAGCACCTGCTGTGTGCCAGCTGCAGTACCGGGTGCATTTGCATACCTGATGTTGGACGTTACTTAACCCTCATAATCCTCCTGAGGATGGAGACCAAGGGAGGCAGCCGCACTTAGTGCCAGGGCCCTGGGTGCAGAGGCTGGGGTTCTCCCTGCTGTCTGTGCTCTGTCAGTCCTTTGAGCCAAGTCAGTGGTCCTTTGTTATGTTTCTCTCCCAAGCATGGAGTGCCATGAGGATGGTGGCGGCATGGTGGGCGGGGCGGTGGGGGGGCTCCCTATTTTGCAGAGTTAAAAAAAGACTAGTTAGTGCTAAAAGCACAGATTCTGGGCTGGGTATGTTGGCTCACGCCTGTAATCCCAGCACTTTGGGAGGCGGATCATGAGGTCAAGAGTTCGAGACCAGCCTGGCCAACATGGTGAAACCCCATCTCTACTAAAAATACAAAAATTAGCTGGGCATGGTGTCATGCACCTGTAATACCAGCTACTCGGAAGGCTGAGGCAGGCGAATCACTTGAACCCGGGAGGCAGAGGTTTCAGTGAGCCGAGATCGTACCATTGCACACCAGCCTGGGCAACAAGAGCAAGACTCCATCTGAAAAAAAAAAAAAACCCACAGATTCTGGAGCCAGAAGGCCTGGGTTTGAATCACAGCTTTTCCCAGCTTTGCAATCTACCAGCATGTGACTTAAGCAGCTTGCTTGATGGCATTTGTGCTTCAGTTTCCTCCTCCTTTCTTTTCTCTTTTCCTTTTTTTTTTTTTTTTGAGACAGGGTCTTGCCCTGTTCCCCAGGCTGGAGTGCAGTGGCATGATCTTAGCTCACTTACTTCAGGCTAGAACTCCTGGGTTCAAGGACTCTTCCTGCCTCAGCCTCCCAAGTAGCTATGATTATAGGTGCAGGTTACCATGCCCAACAATTTCCCTAGCTCTAAAATGGAGAAAATAACAATATGTTATGGACATGTTGTGAAGAATACATCTGTTGACGTATACAATGCTCATAGAACAGTGCCTGGCACATAGTTGGCTCTAAAAGTGCTTATTAACAGACAGGGTGCAGTGGCCCATGCCTGTCATCCCAGCACTTTGGGAGGCTGAGGCAGGACGTTCGCTTGAGCCCAGGAGTTTGAGACCAGCCTGGGCAACGGAGTGAGATGTCAGCTCTATAAAAATTTTTTTAAATAAATAAGCAATTATTATCAATATGATTATATTTACTGCTATCTTATAAGAATATTATAAATAAATACATAAACTGTTATACATAAATATTTTGGAGGTATGATTTACATACAGCAAAAGGTATATATCATAAAGGTATAGCTTGAGTTTTGACAAATGCACATACCCGTGTAAGTCACACCCTGTTAAGATCTAGGACATTCTCATCTCCCAGAGAAAGTTCCCTTAGCCCCTTTCCACTTAGTCCCTGCTTTTCTGGCTCTCAATAGACATTTCTTGAATGAATGAGTAGGTTAAAGAATGTGTACTGAGAATCCATCGTATTTGATCCCAAACCTCTTCATGCCAATTGTACTACTTGTAATCGTCATTACATAACCCGATTAGCTGTTATATAAATGTATGAGATACAACTGCAAAGAGAAAGAGATTTGTCATACTCTGAAAACTTAATTAAACACTTTGAAAAGATTCCATACAGGCAAATTGCTAAAAAAAGAAGTCCCATCCTGTGAGGGGCGGGGGACACTGTCAAAGACAAGGGTGAGGAATCGTAAACATCTAGATGAGTTCTACACTCCCTGCTTCCTTGGTGTCTGGGCCTCCACTCGGAGCTGTGCCTTTCCCGGCACCTGCAGCACAGGTGACCCAGCCTCTGGGTGGAGAGCTCCTCTCCCCACTGCCCTCGAAGCCTGTCCCTCCTGGGGAAATAGCACAGCTTAGAGGCTTAGAGTCCCATGCCTGAATGTCAGGGGCAAGGCATGGGTGACCAGGAAGACAGAGGTAAGATTCCAGGGCCCCACCTCCCATAACTTACCCACCACACCCCAAACCAAGGTTGCTCCTTGAGGTTTTTAATATATTGGACTAATATGATTTTGCTTAAAGAGATTTTTTTTCTAAAGCTCAAAAATGGAAAAGAAAGTAGAAAACCAGTGATGTGGTGCTGGTCACCACCCCCAGTCAGAAATGAGGAGACTTTCAAACAGGGTGGGGGCCTTGCCCAGTGACACACAGGGATTGCTCTGGAAGAGACTGGGCTTCCAACTCAGAGTTCTTAGCATTTCGTATGGTGATTTCCATGCAGTGATGAGGAGGGTGCCATCTGGGTGTTTTCCAGCCCTGGAGAGCTGAGGCCATGCTCAGGGAACACACCTACAGCCTGCGAAGGTCCCTTTTCCCTCCCTGCCCCCATGGTACCCTCTGCAGAACTGGAGTTTTGCACAGGTTTGGGGCTTAGGATGCACAAAGTGCCCGGCACGTGCCTGGTACCTCTTCAGCTCACAGGTAGTGCCCACACCCATGGGCCTAGCAAGGTCCCTGCTGCTTCTAAGGGGACTAGGGTCTTTGGCTCAGGTTTTCTCCCTCTGGGGCCTGGCAGGTGGCACGGGGCTGCTCATCCCTGAGGGAAAGTTAGGGATGAAGTCACCCTTCAGGTCCCTGGCCTGGTCAGGCGCACAGGCCATTTGCATGGGCTCAGGCTGATGTCACCCTGGGAAGCCATTCAACACTGGGGGCCACCTTCAGCCCTGGCTGCCCGCCTGCCTGTTGCATGTGTCCTGTTTTGTTTGTCGTGTGGGGCAGGGTCAGGGAGGAGCCCTGTGGTGGAGACAGTTTTCTGTGCTGTCTGAGAACAGGGTGATGCCATCCTTCTTCTCACTGAAGCATCTCAGGTTGGGAGCAGGCTGGTTCCCTGTTCAGATCCCAGCTCTGCCATCTGCCGGCTGGGTGGCTGTGGGCAGGTTACTTTGCCCCTTGGTGCCTCACTGTCTTCCCCTCTGAAGGGGATGGCCGGGGCATAACCGCATAGAGTTGTAAGATTGACACGAGTTGATGGGTGTGAAACTCTTTAGCGCAGCATTGGCCATTAGGAACACCTGTTAGCCATTGTTGTTGTGATTATGGTGGTGGTGATGGCTGTGGTAATTGTCTGGGAGATGTTTATGAGTGCTGTTATATTATTCCCAGAATTGATTGAAGTCACACTTTTCAAAGAAAACAGACACATTTGTCCCTTCTTGGATCCCCACTTGTTTTAAATCAATGCAACTTAACAAGACACATATAATCTGTAAGCAGGGGCTTGCATTGTTTCCAAAACCTTTACTAAAGCTCTCACTCACCCTTCCAGTTTGCAAACTATTGTTAGAGAACGGAGGTTCTCAAACAATGCAAGTACCCAGGCCCCACCTCCTAGACATCTGACATAATTGGTCTGAGATGCAGTCCAGGCGGTTGGAGTTTTAAAAGCTCCTAGGTGATTCTAAGGTGCAGCCAGGGCTGAGACCCACTGGGGTCAGGGGGCATAGCAGAAAGAACACAGGCTGTGCAGTAAGAAAAACCCCAGATCAAATCCCAGATCTGCCAGTTACCTCCTGAGCGACCCGGGGGCAAGTTTCTGCCCCTCTCGGAGCCTCGGTTTCTTTATCTGTAATGTGTTTCAGGAGTCTGTTGGGAAGTACGTGAGATTCATGTGAATGGTACCTCTTATGGGGCTGGTGAGTCCAAGTGGACATTTCATAGATACATCTCCAGAATATCAGGGCTTGGAAGTGACCTTAGACCCTGCCAGCTGTTCCCACCTTGTCTCTCTACTGAAGATCCCTGTTACAGGTTCTCCTCACTTTCACAGCCTGGACATTTCCCAGAGTTCTTCATGGAAGCACCTTAATGAGTGTTCCATGGATAAAGAATACCAACGCCTGTAATCCCAGCACTTTAGGAGGCCAAGGCAGGCAGATCACCTGAGGTTAGGAGTTCGAGACCAGCCTGGCCAACATGGCGAAATCCCATCTCTACTAAAAACACGAAAATTAGCGGGGCGTGGTGGCAGGCACCTGTAATCCCAGCAACTTGGGAGGCTGAGGCAGGAGAATTGCTTGAACCCAGGAGGCAGAGGTTGCAGTGAGCCGAGATTACACCATTGCATTCCACCTGGGTGACAGAGTGAGACTCCATCTCAAAAAAAAAAAAAAAAAAAAAAATACCAGAGACAATATATTTAAGAATCACTTGGTTAAACAATGTTTTTAATGCAGGACTTTTCAGAGCCTTTTATTATGCAAATATACATTAGGAACCTCCAGACGTGGTCCTTGGCACCCTGCTGTATTTCTGAGATCTCAGATGAGAGAATTGTTGCAGATTTGCTCACTGACTTGATTGGGGAAATCTCACTACACTGAACGTACACACCAATGGTAAGATTTCCACTTTCAGAAATGCTAAGTCTGGGGGAGAAATGTGCCTCTAACTGGAAGGTTTCAGTAGCATGTGTTGACCACAGAATTCACAAAGCATTTCACTAGGTTGTATCTTGCATAACACACTTCAAATGGGCCTGGTCATTTTGTTTTCCTTTTAGAAGTAGATAGATTAGCTTCCATCAAAAGACTCTGTTCTTCGAATTGTCTTTATATAGTCAATGTTAGTTCCTTCTTCCTGTATTTTTATTTTTTTGTTTGTTTTTAGAGACAGTCTCGCTGTGTTGTGGAGGCTGGAGTGCAGTGGTGCAATCATAGTTCACTGCAGCCTCGAACTCCTGGGCTTGGGCGACCCTCCTGCCTCAGCTTCCCGAGTAGCTGGGACTACAGGCACCCACCATGGTGCCTGGCTAATTAAAAAATTTTTTTTCTTGTAGAGATGGGGTCTTGCTATGTTGCCCAAGCTGATCTTGAACTCCTGGGTTCTTGCGATCCTCCCACCATGGCCTCCCAAAGTGCTGGGATTACAGGTGCGAGCCACCGCATCCTGCCCCTCCTTGATTTTTATTGGGCGGAGAGGAAGGTACATGCATAGATGTATACATCACCCTCAGTCTAGACATTGGTGTCCCTTCCAGATGCAAAGATACTGGCCTGAGAGGGCCTTGAGATTCCACAAGGGGAACTTTCCATCTGGTACAGGACCCCCTTTATTTAGAGAAGAGAGCCTCAGCCCAGACAAAGAAACAACTTGGCCAAGGTGACACCGCCTCTTTGGAGCAAGCCTGAAGGCAGAGCTTTGCCGCAGAGTTGGGTTTCCTTTTGCTGCCCTCCCCTGTGACTGAGTACCTTGCATGCTGTTTTTTCAGCCTGAGCCTGGTTGGCCTCCAGTTATTATTGAAATGAGTGGATGTTTCCGGGAACACAGCAAATCCATAGAGTTTAATTAATGAATGTGCCAGAGGGCTTGGCAGCTGGATTCTTGTGTTTACCATGGGTTTGGCTGGCAGGCAATTCAGGAAGAACTTTAAGGAGGGTGGGGTCCATCTCCCTAGCCCTGCTTGCTCTCCTGGTATTGGTATGTGTGTGTGTGTGTGTACCCGAAATCTGATTCTCCCAACACTTTTATAGGCATGTGATGCATACGGTTTTTTCATTATTGTTTTTAAAAGTACTGGCATTTTATTTTTTGCATTTATCAATTTGTCAAAACAAAATCATCTCCACAATGACCTTGGAAATAGTAGTTAAATGTCTCTGACTTACACAGACCTAAGTAGGAGTTGTGTTGTCTCTTCTGTCGTCCCAGTTGGGGTTGTGAAATGAGCAATAAAGCTCAGATCACCTTGCAGCCTCCAGCCCAGAGAGTTGGAGGCAGCTCAGGAGAGCAGCAGCCTAGCCATGCTGCCGCTCTGCAGCTTTGCAAAGCTGGGAGGCCTAGTGGTTTCAAGGCTTGGATTGAGACAGACCAGAATTTAAATCCCAGACCCACCACTTGCCAGCTCTGTAACCTGGGGTAAACTCCTTAACTTCTCTGAACCTCAGTTTCTTCTCAGGTAAATTGAGGATAATAATATACAGGCAGACCTGATGTAAAGATTAAATAATACAGGTAAAGCACTTAGCACCATGTCACGTAGCAGACACTCTATACATGTTAGCAGTTATCCTAATCATCATACGTACATTCCATTTTCTAGGGGTGACCACTGAGTTCTGGGTAGATTCATTGAGTTGCCAAAGGATTGATGTAACATGACAGTAAGGCATTTGTTTGTGACAGTCCCTATCCCTGCCCCATCTCATTTAGTTTATATTCACAAGAATTTGAGGGCTAGTCTGCACTTTGGGCTGTTAGTGCCAGTGGCTTTCCCTGCATGGATTTTGCGATTTTAGTTTTGTTTTGTTTGAGATGAGTCTCGCTCTGTCACCCAGGCTGGAGTGCAGTGGCGCAATCTCAGCTCACTGCAAGCTCCGCCTCCTGGGTTCACACCATTCTCCTGCCTCAGCCTCCCGAGTAGCTGGGACTACAGGCGCCCGCCACCAAGCCTGGCTAATTTTTTGTATTTTTTAGTAGAGACGGGGTTTCACTGTGTTAGCCAGGATGGTCTCGATCTCCTGACCTTGTGATCCACCTGCCTCGGTCTCCCAAAGTGCTGGGATTACAGGCATGAGCCACTGTGCCCAGCTGATTTTGGGATTTTTGTGTGTTTCTTTGTGTAGTATTGGCTGTTTGTTCTTCCCTCTGTGTTCACAGTTTTGAAATTTCCTTCCCACTCTCGAAGTCTAAAGAATTGAAGTCAGACATGTGACTAATTAACACCTCTTAATTGGGGAAATATGACCTTTTAGATGTTATTATAATAAAATGGCAGCTACAAAAAGAAGGTGATTCTGCCCCTCACGTGGCTGTCTGGTGGGTGTCAGCTCCAGAAAAGGACAGGGAGAGCACATCCTCTTGGGCTGTCCTCTTTGGTTCTGCGTTTCCAGTTCACTGCAAAGTCAGACAGCAGCCACGTCACGACAGCATCACCACAGTACTGATGGCTGACGTGCATTGAGCGCTTACCATGTGCCCAGGGCACTGTGCTAAATGCTTCAAGTCCTTTGATGCTTTGCATCCTTGCAGCCACCCTGCGAGGTAGGTATTATCATCCTGCTTTACAATTGTGGGAACTGAGGCTCAGGAAGGTGAAGTGGCTTGCCCAAGGTCACACAGCTGGCAGGCTACAGAATCAGCATTTGAACTAGGGCTTGCACTTGAGACCAGGAGCACAGCCTATCCCAGAGTTGTGTACTCTGCAGCTAACTTGAGCTCTGAGTAGGAAACTTCCTTGGCCCTATTTAGAGGAGAAAGACAGGGAGGGAGCTCATGTTCCTTAGGTATCTACCCTGCTTCATGTGCCTTTTATATATCTTTCATTTCATTCTTGGTTTTAAACACCCCCTCCTCTCTCTCTCTCATACAGACACAAACACAATCAGCATTATGATCCTTGCTTTTCAGATGAAGAAATCAAGGCTCAGAGACAACAAGGGGCTTCACCCAGATCACACAGCCAGTAAGCATCAGATTTTGAACCCAGGTGTGGCTGATTCTGAGCTCTTGCTTTTTTCTACACTGAACCAGACTGTGGCATTTCTGATTATGTTCTCAAAGGGGAGAAGGGATAATGTGAATTCAGAGCTTGGCATCACGCAAACAGCCCTAAACCGTGAGTCAGGAAGCCTGGGATTTCTGGGCAGTACCCTGCTGGGATTTCTGTGGCAGTACCCAGAAAATCCTGCCCGTTTTTGCCTCCATTTGTCCCATTTGTACCACAGGGACGTGGTCTCCCAGGTTTCTGAGCCTCTTCTGCATGTCAGCATTTCGTGTATATTCTGATTATAGCCAAAGATGCTTGTCTGTGTATCCTGGAGGAGATGGAGCTTGGGGCAGAGCTATAGACCTTTGAGAGGATCCCTGGAGTAGGTGAATGTAGCACATCATGCCTCTCAAGGCAGAACTTAGACCAATAATGGTTTTTTTCTTTAAAAACCAAAGAGAAACTTTTCCCTAGTTGGGGGATAGACAAGTAGTGAGTTTCCCATTAAAAGGGTACATTTTTGAGGCATTCAGAATGATACGGATACTTCAGGCATTAGGAAATGTGAAATAGTGAGGTTTAGCAAGTAGAGGCTGGGCACTCTAGATGCAAATACCTTTCAGCTCCGCAATCCTATTATTCTGTTCAAAGATAACCAGGTGGTGAGCCTATAGCAGGGTACCAAGTGGCTTTCCCTATATTTGCTAACTCTAAATGACTGGGAGTCGCTGCCTGGGGTGCAGTGTTAGGGATTCTCTGAGATTATCTAAGCTCACTTCTGTAATTGATTATTGATGTCTGCCATGGGCAAGGGAGTGTTACTGACTTTCTGATTTCATCTTTGCTGTTTTCAAAAGGGTACCCCTTTGTGTTTCCAACACGAAATTGTTACTTTTTTTTTCAATCAGGGAACAGGAGGACATGGATGTCAGCAAGAATAGGAATAGCAGTCACCAAATCCCACAGCCCGAATTCTCTTCCTATGTTACCAGGCCTGTGGTAACACCTCTCTGTAAAGGTCAGAGGCTAAATTTAGGAAAGTGTCATGGAATCATGGAATGGTTATTATTCATGATGACTGTCCTTTGTTTCCCTCAGTTCGGGAGAATTACATAATGGCCAATAATTGATGTTAAAAAACAGGTGATAAACAAGAACATTTGAGATTAATCTCTTGTTTCTTAAAGAGGCACTTTTGTATACCTGCCTGATTTTCAAAGCTGTCCCCGATTGTTAGGTAAACTGGACATGTGCTGAGGAATCGAATGGGGCACAGTTTACCAACTTCTATAAGTGTGTTTTTCACTTTCTGCTCAATCACTGTTATTTACCATTGTGTCCTCATCAAGTGATTTTCTTTCAAACCAAAATAAAAGTTGCCCAACCCTTTCTGGGAGAGTTTGTCCTCCTGCCAGTACCTGCCTGCAGCTGGGAAAGTTTCCAGTAAGTAAACAGTTTACAGTGGAGGAGATTGAGGCCCAGAGAGGTTAAGTGACTTAGGCCTAACATGTCACACAGTCAAAGAGTGGCAGAGCTGGAATTAGAACCGAGGCCTGTTTATCTCAAAAGTTCCTCCACTTAAATATGCCAAGTGAATGGCTGTCCTGCAGTAGATTCTCAGTGTACAATGACTCATTTTTCTTGTGCTTGTCTAAAAATTGTTTGCCTCTGTATCTGTCAGGATCAGCTAGGTTGTGCTGCAGTGACAAATGGCCCTCAAAACTTCAGTGGCTTAAAACAGAAAAATAGGTTTTGTTTTTATTTTTTGAGCATTCTAAATGCCCGCTGTCATTGGCTGTGTCTGTGTTCCATGTCATCTTTACTCTGGTGGCCTAGGTTGATGGAATAGGTTGCCTGTGGGAACAGCCGGCTGCATGGCTGATGGAAGGAGATCATGGCCAACCAGTCATTGGCTCTTAAAGTTTCTGCCTGGAAATGAGTGACAGCACTTTTTGCTTGCATTTCATTGGCTAGGGCAAGTCACATGACTGCACCTGAGACCAAGAGGGGTATATAATCCTTCGGTAGGGAGTGACATTGGATGTATGTGCCTTGCAGTATGGTCTGCCTGACACAGTCTCAACATGATCTTTATCAATTCATTTGTAGAAATAAGTCTGCCCAAGTCCATTTTCTCCTTCTCTGAAGCATGAGCCACCCTTTTGGATTAACTCTGCTCTTGTTGCTTAGATTGATTAACGATCCCTGAGTTGAACATTCACCTATTCTCATGTACAGCCCCATCTCTGATTTTGATATATTCATTCATTTATTCATCTGTTGGTTCATCCTAGAGATGGACTGGAACCTGTGATGTGAAAAACAAAAACAAAAACAAAACATCAACCTTCAAATACTAGAGTTCTTCAAAGAAATTCAGAGTTCTTTCAAGATATTCAGGCCCATATCTCTTCAACCCACCAAAGTGTTGCTGAGTAGCTCTTGGTGCCTGCATTTCTCTAGGTGGGCAACATTTATCGAGTGTCTGCCATGTGCCAGGTGCTTCCATGACCCAGGAAACTTCCAGAGATCTCAGGAAGATGTTTTGTCTTTGGGTGCTTGGGAATCCCACCCCCTTCCTGGTCTTCCCTCTGAGGGAAAGGAAAAAACAACTTCAGTGCTTGAGCAGAGAGAAGCACCAGCCACTGCACACCACCCCCAGACCCCAACTGAGAAGTAGTGGAGGAACAATTACTATGGCTTTTAGGCAATGTTGTAATGGGTCTCCTGGGCATCTGTGCTCATCTTTTCTCAGTTGGGAATTCTGGGGATGCTGCTTGGAAGATATTTATAGAAGAAATGCTCATTGCCTGGGGTTCTCAGAGAGGCAATTACATAGTAAGAAGGGGGAGCCGAGGCCCCCCTGATGGGGCTCACCCTGGGAAGGCTGCAGGAAGATGCAGGCTTGGCAGGCTGCCTTATCTTGGCGAGGAGCCCTGAATCAGAAGCAGGCCTCCCTGGTTACAGAGGAGGCCTCAGGAAGTGGAGGGAGGCTGTATGGTACAAAGGTGGGGTCCAGCAGACTTGGCCTTGAATCTGGATTTTGCCACCTACTTGCTGTGTGACCTTGAGTAAATCACGTGGCCTCTCTGAGCTTTAGTTTCCCCTTCCATCCAGTTGTCAAAGATGTGGTAAGGCTTTAATGACACCATCTATCTCCTCAGCAGATGCTTGTTGCATGCCTACTATGTGCTGGGGATTTATCAGAGAACAGACCATTTACTTTCTAGTTGGAGTTGGGAAGAGAGGCTATAAACAACAGCAAAAGCAGTCTAATATCATGGGTGGTGAGTGCTGTGAAGAAAAGTAAAGCAAAGTTGGGGAGATAGGCATGGGTTTTGGGGGACATATGTACTTTACACAAGAGCTTAGGGAAGCCCTCTTTGAGGAGGGAACATAGAAGAAATGAAAGAAATGAAGCCCAGAGCTCTGCAGATATCTAGGAAAAGGAAGAACATGCCAGAAGTGGGAACAGCAAGTGTGAAGGCCTAAGGACGGAGTGTGCTGTTCTTGGCTTACTTTAGAAAGCACATGGAGGTCTTTGTGGCCAGGTGGCAGTGAGTGAAGCTGAGAAGTGGTGTGGTGGCAGTGCAATTGATTAGTACTGCTGCGTAACAAATGATCACAAACTTAGTGACTTAAAATAATATAAATATCTCACAGTTTTTGTCAGTCAGGAATCCAGGCCCAGTTGAGGGGTCCTCTGCATAGAGTCTCACAAGGCTGCAATCCGGGTGTTGGCTGGGCTGCATTCTCAGCTGGAGGCTCGACGGGAGAATCTGCTTCCAACCTCACTTGGGTTATTGGCAGAATTCATTTCCTTGGGGTAGAGGACTGACGGCCCTGGCCACTTGCTGGCTGTCAGCTGGAGTCCAGCCTAGAGGCTGTCCGCAGTTCCTTGCCACATGGGCTTTCTCATGGCCATTTGCTTCATTAAGCCAGCAAGGAGTATCTCTAGAGTGAGCCTGCTAGCAAGGTAGGGTTTTCTCTTTTTTTTTCCTTTTTTTTTTTTGAGACGGAGTCTCGCTCTTTCGCCCAGGCCGGACTGCGGTGGCACTATCTTGGCTCCCTGCAAGCTCCGCCTCCCAGGTTCATGCCATTCTCAAGGCAGGGTCTTCTATAATGTGATGCCGCAGGGGAATAACATCCCATCCCCTTTGCCACATTCTGTTGGATGAAAGTAAGTCATGGGTTCTGCCTGCACCCAAGGGGAGGGGCTCACACAGGGCGTGAACACCAGGAGGCAGGGATCCTGGGAGGGGCACCTCGGGGTCTGTCAGCCACATGCAGTGAGCCGTGAGGGTCGATGCCAGAGAAGTGGGGAACAGGGAGCAGTGGGCAAGGGCCCCATAGGATGCAGTGAGGGCATTGGGACTTATTCTGTGTATGACAGGCATCCGTAGGAGGTTCTTGAGCAGAGGCGTGGTATGAGAAATTGTCCGTACCTCAAAGAGTGCATTTCATATGTGGTCACTGTCATCATGAATGGTTATTCCAGCTCCTGGACAGGTCATTGGTCAAAAATATATGGGAAGGAGAAGTGAGGGGGAGTTGGAAGAGTAGAGTTATTTTTCAGGCTCTTCCTGGGACTTGCTGTGGAACTTCCTACAAGGCCCTCACGTCTCAGAACCTCTGGCCCTCATAAGACTGTAAAACAGATAAGACTGGGCTCAGAGGAGCTCCTCAGCCTACTGGGAGAACCAGACGTTAAACATGTAATCACCCTGCCAAATTACCCCTATATTTTTATCCTAGCTTTATAAAACAAGGATCAAAGAATGGGCAGGAAGTAAATTCACCCACATTTTAACAGTGATTCTCTTCAGTGGTGAGATTGCATGTTTTTGTTTTTGTTTTTTGTTTTTTTTTGAGACAGAGTCTCACTCTGTCGCCCAGGCTGGAGTGCAGTGGCATAATCTCGGCTCACTGAAAGCTCTGCCTCCTGGGTTCACGCCATTCTCCTGCCTCAGCCTCCTGAGTAGCTGGGACTACAGGCGCCTGCCACCACACCTGGCTAATTTTTTGTATTTTTAGTAGAGACGGGGTTTCACCGTGTTAGCCAGGATGGTCTCAATCTCCTGACCTCGTGATCCGCCTGCCTCGGCCTCCCAAAGTGCTGGGATTACAGGTGTGAGCCACCACACCCTGCCCATTTTTTTCTTTGTAAATTTTTATTAATATATGTATCTTTATATCTAGATCTATATTTATATTTTATAGTGAAAAATGTATAACTTCTGTAATCAGGGGAAAAAACCCTAATCACCAGGGTTTGGGAGTGACATATCTCTTTTCTAACTACCCTCCCCTACCTTCTGGGAACAGCCAATCCAGGCCTACGCATGTCCCCACCTTTTATTTAAAGAGGTGATGCATCACGGGATTTTCCTTTCCCAGCCTGCTGAAGCCGAGGTCCAGAGGTTCTGACTTAGACCACAAGTTCACGAGCCTGTCTGGCATCTTCCAAAGTGTGGCATTCAGTAGATGTGATTTGGAACCCTGGCTCGGTGATGTGTTAGCTCCGTGACCTTGGTCAAGCTCCTATGTCTGTCCATGTCTCAAGTTTCCCAGTCTTTAATGATAATGCTATATAACCTTTACCTTACAGGGAAAATGAGGAGAGATGGGATGGGGTGAATCCCTGGGAAGCACCTTATAAGCCATGAGACACCACCAAAATGGTTGCTTGTTCAAGATTAAGAATTCATGAGCTGCCAGTTTCCCCATCAGGCACTTCTGCAGCAGGCCCTTAACCTCTGCAATCCCTGCAATTCCACACTAGCATCCTAGGGGTTGGGGGCACTGTGTACTTTAGCGGCAGCCTCTGGTTGCCTAGCAACAGGAAATCCATCCTGGTTGATACTCTTAATTCGTGGGAATGTTCTGCCCACTGAGATGGCGCTGATACTCAGTTACACGAGAAGGGGAAAATCAGCAGTCTGCACAACTTGCCCACAAGTTGCCGAATCCGATCCCTTCTCAGAGTCCTCTCAGCCATAAATAAGATGCTGGAGGCCACAGTAGAGTCACAGCTCTGGCTCTTCCCCAACAATTCCATGGTCACCAGGATTTCTTGGCACCATCCCCCTGCACTGGTTCCAGCTGCCATCTTCGCCAGAGGGTCTGGTTTGAAATGCTTTTTTGGGTCCACAGGGGCTGAGGTGAGTGGGATGTTGTCCATGTGTGCTTCTTTTAAACCAGATGGATGGACCGGGCATGGTGGCTCACGCCTGGAAACCCAGCACTTTGGGAGGCCGAGGCGGGTGGGTCACCTGAGGTCAGGAGTTCGAGACCAGCCTGACTGATATGGTGAAACCCCGTCTCTAATAAAAATAGAAAAATTAGCCAGGTGTGGTGGCAGACTTCTGTAGTCGCTACTTGGGAGGCTGAGACAGGAGAATTACTTGAACCCGGGAGGTAGAGGTTGCAGTGAGCCAATCTCATGCCACTGCCTGGGCAACAGAGCAAGACTCCATCTCAAAAAAATAAATAAATAATAAAATAAACCAGGTGAATGAATCCAAGGTGCTCCTGTGCCTTACCTGGGAAGTAAGTGGGGACTGGCCCTTCAGAGGCAGGCCCCAGCTGCGCTTCCGTTCTCAAACTCAGAGCTCTCCAGTGTGAGGACTCCTTGGTAGGGACACCTGGGCTTCTAAACAAAGGCTGATGAGGGGCTGTGATCTTTTCACAAGCCTTCACCCTTTTCCCACGTCTATTTACTCAGGTATTTTTCAGGCTCTCCCCGTCCTGGGCACCGGCCAAGGTGCCAAGGAGACAGTGGTGAGTGACATTCACCTTCCCTTCAGGGAGTTGCCAGTCAGCCAGGGGAAGAAGGCCTTGAAACAAGAAAACCAGCAGACACACAAGAACTCCCAAAGGGTTAGGAAGGAAACAGATGGAATGTGTGGGCCTCCACTCTCAGGGGTCTGAGGAGGAGTCTACGCCAGCACAGGGTTGGGCAGGCTGAGCACATGGCAGATGTGTCAGAAAGCAACTGCCTTTTGTTCTGAAATGGTGTTTGTCATTATTTGAGGATGTTAACATGTCCAAATGTCCATTTTGAAATGAATTCGTATAAAATAAAAACATTGCTGTGAAAAGCTCACAGTCCAGGGTCTGTCTTTCCTTCCTTCTCTCCTCCCTTCCTTCCTTTCTATAAATTGTCATGGGCTGTGAAATGTGAGATGCTGGTCTCCACTCATCTGGTTCCAGCTTCTCATCTGACAGATGTGGTTCCTGAGCCCAGTGGCCAGCCAGACCTTAGCCACCATCACATGCCCCTAACTGTCCTCTGCCCCATTTTCCCTGCAGATGACATGCACCAGGCTCCCCAACCCTCACCACAAGCCCTGAGGGCCCTGGATAGCCTAGGAGTCTAGAAACCTGGGCCTAAGATTAGACTGGACCAAGTTGATCCTGTTTCCGCCATTTATGTGCTGTGTGACCTTGAGCAAGTGAATTAACCTCTCTGAACCTTTGTTGCCTTGTCTGTAAAATGAGAATGATAGGCCGGGTGTGGTGGCTCATGTATGTAATCCCAGCACTTTGGGAAGCTGAGGTGGGAGGATCCCTTGAGTCCAGGAGTTCGAGACCAGCCTGGGCAACATAGCAAGATCCCATCTGTATAAAAAAAAAAATGAACTAAAAAAAATGAGAATGATAATAACAGTACCAATGTCATAGAATTGTTCAGGGGCTTTGTTGTAAAAGTGTTTGATTGGTATGTAAGAAACACATGTGTTCTCACAGTCTCTTTCTCTCTCTTTCTCCTGCCCCTTCCCTTTTTTAACTGGTATTTTCTAGTTTTTAAAATGCTTCAAGTTTTTCTACCTTTACCATGTGCTGAATGGTCTTTGTTCCTATCTTTACCTCTTGGCACTGCCTCTATCTTCTGAGGTCCAGTTCACATGCCTCCTCCTCCAAGTAGCCCACTGTGCTTCACCCACCCACTAGACTAATCCCCACTCACTCCGGGTAACAGACTCCAGTGGTCTGCAGATACACCTGGCTCCCCTGATGCTCCTGTGATGGGGAATGTGACCTCCTGGCTCCCAGCTCTCTGGGGGTTCAGGGCCTCACTCCCTTTCCATAGGGCCCAGTTCAGTAAGTGACATTTTCTTATTGAGGCCACAGGACAAACTCATAAAGTAGCTCTATGGTTTAACAAAACAAGAGTGTGGACTTGGGCTGGAATACCCTTCGGAGTCTCATGGCCTCACATGGGAGGCGAATCAGATTTAACAAACCCTAAACAAATATTTGTGCAGGCTTTACAGCAACTGAGTGAAGTGTTTCTTTCTTGTCCCCATTGTGTAGGTGAAGAAACTGAGGCCCAATGAGACAAAGGGACTTGCCCAGGGCCCCACTCCCAGGCATAGAAAGGGAGGGACTTAGGATTCAAGCCTGTCTACACCAGGGGTTCCCACCCTGAACCTCCTTCTCCTGGGAATCCCCAGACAAGCCCCATCACTGTTAGTTAACCCATACCTTTTCAGGGCTCTGGTGTGACTGGATATTATCTGATGTTTCCATGCAAGAACAAAGAAGTAAGGGGTATGTCTGCCATCGGAGGTCTGTGACTTCCAAATTCAGGGGAAAATGCCCTTTTGCTCTCAGAGTCCTTGACTAACCTGCTTTTAATTCCCCTGGACCATGCACATCTTTGTCCAGGTGCTGTTAGGAGTCCTTTCCCTTTAGGGATGGTGGATCCCTGAGGTCCCCAGAGCTACCTGACAGCCACAGGGCCAGCCTACCTGAGGCCTGGGGCCCAGCGTGGGTTCCCTAATTATTGCTGAAAACCATCTCTCGCCTGTCAACATTCTATAAATAGGGACCTGGAGGAAGAATAAAAAATACCACCGGCTCTTTTCCCCAGTGGGGGTGGGTTGAGTTAAAAAGCCTCTGAAATAGCAGCATCAATGGCGTAGGAAAGCTGGAGGGAGTTGGGAGAGCTGAGAGGTCACCTGGGACTGTTTTCATCCCTCAGAGGACCTGCCTGTGGGCCATGAGGATGATGGTGGTTTCCCCAAGGCCACACAGCATGGCCCTGTCTGATTCCTATTCCCCCAGGGACATGGTGTAGGAACATTTGGGATTGGGGAAGACTGGGCCTGGTGATCCCCAACCTGTGCTTCCTCCAGGTTTCCTTTGAACATGGCCATCTCTGGCTTTGTCACCTGTGCAGGTTACTTCCCCTTCCCTGGGCCTCAGATTCTGTGTCCCTAAAACAAGGTCCTTGCCAGCTCCAAGTCACTCAATGGAAAACCCAAGCTAGAGGCCGGGCACAATGGCTCACGCCTGTAATCCCAGCATTTTGGGAAGCCGAGGCGGGTGGATCACTTGAGGTCAGAAGTTTGAGACCAGCCTGGGCAACATAATGAGACCCCATCTCTACAAAAAAAATTAAAAACTAGCTGCATATGGTGGCAGGCACCTGCAGTCTCAGCTACTCAGGAGGCTGAGGTGGGAGGATGGCTTGAGCCCAGAAGTTCAAGGCTGCAGTGAGCTATGATCACGCCACTGTACTCCAGCCTGGGCGACAGAACACAGCCCTATCTCTAAAAGAAAAAAAAAAAAAAACAACAACAAGCTGGATTAATGCTGAATACCATCTTTTGTCAGTGGCAGTGTGCATGAGTGTGCACATGTGTCTGTATGAATGCAGTTCTCTTTAAAACTCAGTGACACGCTCAGGAAATTACCTGTGCAGAGAGTCAACTTATTACTAGTTAGAAGGCCCTTTGAGGGCAGAGTTTATAGAATCTCATAGTAACACTATACAATAATAATAATATAAGTTCTAGTCATGGCTACCATGTATGGCCTCAGAGAGGTTTATCGAGTTGCCCAAAGTCACACGGCTGGTGGGCAGCAGAACCAAGACCCAACCCAGGTCTGTCTGACCTCAGACCAGTTTTAACACCTGGACTTCCATATCAAGTAGGCTTTGTAGGATAAGTCGCTCAAACAAATCCCTTACCTGCACTTCTTTTGTTTTTTGTTTTGAAAGGCAGCACCCTGCTTTTCCTAGCCTTGCCCCCAGGCCTCACCAACAGAGTACTGACATGTTATTTATCATGAAAACATCTGAACAATAGCAGTTCCCAGAGCCAACCTTGCTGCCAAGTTGTTACCATGGGAGATATGTAGAATATGTGGGGGCAAGGAAAGAAACTTAGGAAGTGACATTGAGTCTGGGCTGCCTGGCTTTGACTCCCAGCACTGTGGCTTTGTTCCCCAGGGCAGGTGACTTCCCTTTGAACTTCAGTTTCCCCATCTGAAAAATGGGATACTGGCAATGGATAATGTTCCCCCCACTCCTCCAATGGGAGCAAAATATTTGAAGCCCTTGGTGTTCACATTTGGAGATCATATTTATTAATGCACTCACCAAAGGATCTTGCATGTAGACAGTCAGTGCCCAATCAGTGTTTAAAAACAAAATAGAGGAGAGCAGAGTACAGTGGGGACTGTTTGGGAACCCAGGAGCTAGTTGAGCTGGGCAGACCTCAGCCCTGGTCTCCTGCCCCTTTCATCTCCCCTGGAGCTTTGACTTATCTTCCATCCTGCAGGGTTGGAGCAAACCTAACACTTTGTGTGCCTAATCCATGTGTGTGTTTGGGAAGCTCCAGGTTTAAGAGCAGATGAGGGCAATATGATTTAGGGAAATGAGAGAGGGAGGGAGGGTGAGGGATGCTCCACCCCCTTCCTTGCTCCTTGATCCAAACGTCAAACATGCTGTCTGTGCCATGCAGCATTTTATTTTATTTTTTACTATTTTATTTTATTTTATTTTATTTTATTTTATTTTATTTTATTTTATTTTATTTTAGACAGAGTCTTATTCTGTCACCCTGGCTGGAGTGCAGTGGTGCAGTCTTGGCTCACTGCAACTTCCACCTCCCAGGTTCAAGTGATTCTCCTGCCTCAGCCTCCTGAGTAGCTGGGATGACAGACGTGTGCCACCATGCCTGGCTCATTTTTGTACTTTTGGTAGAGATAGGGTTTCACCATGTTGGCCAGGCTGGTATCAAACTCTCAACCTCAGGTGATCCACCTGCCTCGGCCTCCCACAGTGTTGGGATTGTAGGTGTGAGCCACCGCACCTGGCCCCATGCAGCATTTTATAACAATACCCCCACCTCCAGTCCTTTGCCCTGGCCATGCCCTCCCCCTGGGATGCCTTCCTCCTGGAGGTCCTCTTGGCTGAGGCCCTCATCTCTTTGCTCAAATGTTACCTTTTCACAGGGACTTCCCCTGACAGCCAGCCCTATTTAAAATCATAACATTCCCTCCTCTCCCACTCTTCAGCCCCTCTTTCCCTGCCTCATTTTTCTCCACAGCAGGTATCACCTTGCAGTGTCATTTGTGATCTGCTCTGTTCTGTGAAAGAGGGGAAGAAGAAGGGAGGGCTGGCAGGTGGGCTTCCTGTGTGCTAGGAGCTCTCATTCACTATTGCATTTAGTCTGTAACAACTCGAAGAGGCGAGCTCTGTTTTTCCATTTTTGTAGATGAAGACATTGACACTTGGCATCTTGGTACCTTTATATTATCTGGATTCTAGGATCTGTCCTTCCTCCTTTCCTTTCCTCCCTTCCCCTCCCTCCCTCCCTCCCTACCTCACTCTCTCCCTTTCTTTCCCTTGCTACCTCTCTCCCTCCCTCTCTCTTCTCTCTTTTTTTTTCTCCTCTCTTTCTTTATAAATTCATTAAACACATTGTGCCAGCTTTGGCCCTGGGAAGAAGGAGGTAAGCCTAGTGTGGTCCCGGCACTCCCTCAGAGGCCAGCCCTGCCTCAGTCCCAGCCCTTTCTCAGTCCCAGCACCCCCCTCAGTCCCAGCCCTTTCTCAGTCCTGGCACCCCCCTCAGTCCCAGCCCTCCCACAGTCCCAGCCCTCCCTCAGTCCCAGCCCTCCCTCAGTCCCAACCCTTCCTCAGTCCCAGCCCTCCCACAGTCCCAGCGCTCCCTCAGTCTTAGAGTGGGGATGGGCAAAGCTGGCACAAGCCCCTGCTGTCCAGGGTGCTAAGTGGTCTCAGAGAGTTATGAGTAAGGAGAGTGTGCTCCCTGGGCTGTAGAGAGTAGGAGCCCCCAGCAGTTGGAGGCAAGGAAGGGCAGTCCATGCAGGAAGTTCACAGCAGTGGGCAACTGTAGGGCTTATCAGGGAACAGCACTCTGTCCTTTCTCGCTGAAGCAGGACATGAGTAGGGAGGAGCATCTTGTGATGGGCCTGGTGCAGAGCCAAGGAGCTTGAACTTTATCCAACTGGCACCACGAGGGACGTCAGCCTGGGAGCTTCCAGCTCACCTGGAATTTTTGCCCTTCAGAGCCTTGCAAAGGCTTGGGATGTTAGAAGGGCTCAGCTGAGGTTTCTCACCCAGGATTCTCCTGCCCTGACCTTGAGTCTTATTTGCATCTCGCTCCCGTAAGTGCTCTGGTCTACCCTTCAGAGAATGAACAGTGTTTACTGCAAGGGCTTTATTTTCCAGAAGCGGAGGGTAGTCACTGCTGCAATGATTCTTACAGTTCCTATAAATTTCACCAGCTCCTCTGACTGGGCTGATCTATACCAAGAGTTCTGAAAAGAGCGAATTCCGAAAAGCTCCTTGTATCATCCTGCCTCTTGGGCTTGGTGTCTCCTGCTGGTTTCAAAGAGACACAGAACTATGATTCTGACTCTTACGAGCACCGTAACAATCACAATCATTTCCTGAGCACCTACTATTGCCAGGCACAGCCCTTAGCACTTCTCATAGATCATGAGCTCATCCAGTGCTCACCTCGACTCTGGACATTGGAGCTGAGGCTCAGAGAGGTGTGGTGACTTGCCCAAGGCTGCACAGCTTCTAGGTGCCTGGGAACCAGGATTGGAGCCTGGGTCTGCCTAGCTCCAAGGCGCCTGCTGACCTGGGGTTCCTCTTCCCTGAATCCTCGTGACCTTCATGGTCTGCATCTGACGTCCTGGCCCCTCAGGGGACTGAGACCACCTCTTTTCTTCTTCACTCCTTCAGGAATTCATTGGAGATAGAGAGAAATTTCAGGGAGGAGGAGAGTGGAAGATTTGATTTTCTGGGGTGCTGATCACCATCCCTGGCTTGAATCCTTTTCCCTCCCCTTCCCTAGAGCTCTCCTTCCTGCCCTGTCCCTGGTGCCCCAAGCATCTTGCCTCCTCCCTTCTCTGAGCCCTTCCTCCTTGCCCCTCCCCAAGATTGGACCCTGGAAGACCCCCCACTTTTATTTGCCTTAAATGCATTTGCTTCTCTTTATCGCTTTGCCCTGCCTTGGGTCAGGCCTCTGTGGCCTCTCACCTGGACAGTGGTGGTGGTCTCTCCACTAGTCCCCGGACTCCTCTCTTGCCCTCTCCAGCCCATCCTACGTACAGCAGGTAGAGTGTTAATCTTGTCCCTTGGAGTGGTAATTCTGTTATATAAGTCGCACATGGTCCCTGTACCTTTGCCCTAACTGCTCTTTCCCTTCCCTGGCTAATTCTTAGTCTTCATTAAAGACTCAACACAAAAGTCACCACCTCCAGGAAGCCTTCCCTGACCCCCTCCCCATGCCCTTCGTCTGTGTTGCATCCATTCCATCCACTCCAGCCTCGGCCTTTGCGCTTCCCGTGCCTGGTTGAAATGGTCGGCTTTAATATCCATCTCCCCAACTTGATTTTAAGCTTCTCCAGGGCAGCTGTCTGAGGCATGTCAGATCCTTAGCATAGTTCTGTCATACAGTAGGTGCTGATGAAGTGCTCAGTGTCCTGAGCGAGCACCAGACAACCTCTGAGCTCCCTCTCTATCCTGAGTCCTCGATCCCGTGGTTTGTGAGGCAGACGGGCATTGTTTTCCTCTGCTGTTCTCATCACTGCATGATGATGTTGCAGAGGAGGCCACCTGATGGGAGCAGCCACAGTTGGCCTAAGAGGGTGGCTGCTTTCTGCCTGGCAGCAGAACCCCTGGATTCTAGGGATGGACCCCCATTTTACAGAGGGGGAAACTGAGGTCCTGAGAAAGTGACTTACCTGAGGCCATACAGCCAGGGACGCAGGCTCTGTCGGCCCTCTGAGCCCTTTCCCTGTGCTAAGCCATGGCAGTGGGTGGCAGTCCAGGGCAGTGGAATTTTCAGGAAGGTGCTGCCTGCACTCTTTCGGGCTGCCCCTGCCTCCCCCGACACCCCAACACCCTTCTCTAAGGCCTAATCTGCCTGCTCCTCACCTGGACTCTACCTCTCGCTCTTCCCTGGCATGGTCTCATAAAATACCAAGACTCGGGAAATAGAACTCGGGCGTAGCTGGATGCCAGGCAGAGTGAGCCGGTCTGTAACCAACACAATGCCAGCTCTCATGGCGGTGGGGAGAATATGCAAATTGGGGGCTGAACAGCACCCCGCTCCTCAAGTCCGTGGGTGGGAAAATCATAATGTGTGCGTAACTGTGTTGGTTTATGACTGTGTTCTGGGTCCTTTGCTTTTTTTTTTTTTTGAGATGGAGTCTCACTCCATCGCCCAGGCTGGAGTGCCGTGGCGCAATCTCGGCTTACTGCAAGCTCCGCCTCCCGGGTTCACACCATTCTCCTGCCTCAGCCTCCCAAGTAGCTGGGACTACAGGCACCCGCCTCCACGCCCGGCTAATTTTTTTTGTATTTTTAGTAGAGACGGGGTTTCACCGTGTTAGCCAGGATGGTCTCTATCTTCTGACCTCATGATCCGCCTGCCTCGGCCTCCCAAAGTGCTGGGATTACAGGCGTGAGCCACTGCGCCCGGCCCCTTTGCTTATTTTAAAAGAATTACTCAAGCAAACCATGCCCATTGTAGAAAAATAAGTTTATAGAGAGAAACAAGAACAAGGTTATTTAGCATCCCATCCCCTGGAAATGATCCTTATGACATATCTGTATCCTTTAAGAATTTTTTGCATTTATATATGCAACATATATACATATATGCATATATAATAAATATATAAATAAATATATATGTATACATATATTTTTGTTTATATACACATATGTATATATAGACAGATCAACAAAGTCCAGTTATACAACATCAACATGAACTCTTTTTTTTTTTTTTTTTTTTGAGACGGAATCTCACTCTGTCACCCAGGCTGGTGGAGTGCAGTGGTGCAATCTAAGGTCACTGCAACTTCTGCCTGGGTTCAAGCGATTCTCATGCCGCAGCCTCTCCAGTAGCTGGGACTACAGGTGTAGTCCACCACACCTGGCTAATTTTTGTATTTTTAGTAGAAATAGGTTTCACCATGTTGGCCAGGCTACTCTCCAACTCCTGGTTTCAAGGGATCTTCCCGCCTTGGCCTCCCCGGCCTCCCAAAGTGCTGGGATTACAGGTGTGAGCCACCGCACATGGCCAACTCTTTTTTTCTTTTTGAGACAGGTCTTGCTCTGTTGCCCGGGCAGGAGTGTGGTGGTGCTATCTTGACTCACTACAGCCTCTGCCTTTCAGGTTCAAGCAGTTCTGGTGCTTCAGCCTCCCGAGAAGCTGGGACTACAGGTGTGAGCCACCACGCCCGGCTAGTTTTTGTATTTTTATTAGAGACTGGGTTTTGTTATGTTGGCCAGGCCGCTCCTGAACTCCTGGCCTTAAGTGATCCGCCCGCCTAAGCCTCCCAATGACATGGATTCTTTTGTAGCTAGTGTCCGTTCATTTTCCCTGCTTTGACTGACTTCCTGTGTCAGTGAATATAGACCAGCAGCCTCATTTTCAGTAGCTGCGCTATATTCTATTTTTCAGGTTACGCCCACTTTATTTCGTCAGGCCCTGAATGATTTTTGGATACTTAGATTGCTTCCAGTTTTTCTGTCTTATAAATAATGCTGCAGTGAACATTACTGAGTATTCATTCTCACACACCTGCATAATCAGAACAACTTTTAGCAGTAGAGTGACTGGGACCCAGGCCAAGCCCATATGCAGTTTTAAGGCTGTGCTGCACATTGCTGAGTGGGTTTAAAAGTCCATTTTCATGGCCATTTACATGTGTGTGTGAGGTGATTAAATCACTCCCATGTCAGCTAAACCTTGCTGTGAGCACATGTGTACACACAAACACAATGCATGCAGGCACACAGACACATGCATGTACAGAGGAACATACACTGACTAGTTGCCTAATTTCTCTGAGCTTCAGTTTTCTCCTGTATAAATGCCACACCAGGTTTGCAGTCCCCAATCCACCCTTCTGAAATTCAAAAAGCTCTCATTTGAGCAAAACTTGCCCCTGTACCAATGCACCTGGGTGAGTTGGTCTGTCACCCAGGCTGGAATGCAGTGGCGCGATCTTGGCTAACTGCAACCTCTACCTCCTGAGTTCAAGCGATTCTCCTGCCTCAGCCTCCTGAGTAGCTGGGATTACAGGTGCATGCCACCACGCCCAGCCAATGTTTGTATTTTTAGTGGAGATGGGGGGTTTCACCATGTTGGCCAGGCTGGTCTCGAACTCCTGACCTCAGGTGATCCACTCGCCTCGGCCTCCCAAAGTGCTGGGATTATAGGTGTGAGCCACCATGCCTCGCCTAATTTTTGTATTTTTATTCCTGATTTTTTTTTAATGCCACATGGTAAGGCTCTTCCTATGTGTCATGAAATATTAACATGTTTGCTTGTGGAGTGTTGTCCTACTCACATGTTCATGAACCTTGTTTTCATTTATCATCCCCTAAGGGGCCTTTCTAAACATTTTTTCCCTAGTTGCCTTCCCAGTAACTGTACTACCACATAGTATAGTATATCAATAGTATATCTGTACTGCCACAGATAAATTGTATATCTGTATATGTACCATATGCATATCTGTGCATTATACATTGAAAGATATTTTTCCCACACATCCCCCAAGAAACAATTTTCCCCGCTTGGGGATAATACCACTCCTGTTGAGACTGCACCAACTAGACCAGTAGTTCTCAACCTGGTGTGACTTTGCCCCCAGAACATTTGGCCTTGTCTGGAGACATTTTTGGTTGTTGTGATGGAATGGGGTGCTACTGACATTGGTGGCTGGAGTCCAGGGATCCCACATTGCACAGGACGGCCCCCACCACATGTCCGTAGTGCCATGGTTGGGAAACCCCATCCTAGACCTCACTGGGGGAATCTCACAATATGCAATATACCCATGCATTGCCTTTCTAAAACCTGAAAAGTCCTGAGTTGGAAACATACCTGGCCCCTGGGTTTGAGATTGGGGCTGGTGGAGCTGTGACAGTAGAACCCGCCTCACGGTGTTGGTGAGAGGCCCCTTTGGGGGCTGGCATAGTCAAATGCATTGCTGGGCACCTGCCCCACAGTGTGTGCTCGCCCAGGAAGAACCCAAACGCCTAGAGTCCTGGGCACTCGGATGTTGCCCTACATTGAGAAATGGGCCCTTCTGCCACAGAGCATCCTGGCTGCAGCATCCCAGAGGCCTTTGGGAGCCTTGACGAATCAGAGAAGTGCAGTCCCTGCCCAAGGCTGCACAAGCTTCTAAGTGCTGGGGAGCCAGGATTGGAGCCCGGGTCTGCCTCACCCCAAGGCGCCTGCTAACCTGGTGTCTCTTCCATGAATCCTGTGACCTTCAAGGTCTGCAGCTGACATCCTAGCACCTCAGGGCCAAGAGACTACTTCTTTTCTTCGCTGCTTCAGGCATTCTTGGGAGGTACAGAGAGGTATCAGGGAGGAGGACAGTCTAGGTGTGACTTCTCAGTCAGCCAAGTAAGGTCCGGCTCCAAGGATGTCCAGGGTTTCCCTACGTGCCCGAAAGCCTGCCTATGCAGTGGGTTTGTTGTTTTATTTGGGGGCTTTGATCCAGGCACTGTGTCTGCCTGAACTGGCCTCTGGGTTCTCCACATGCACCAGCTTTGCAGCCAGCTGATAAGCTGCCTTCAACGGCCCTAGTCCCTGTCTGTGTCTCAGGGCTCACAGTTGTGGCTTCCAGAGAGCTCACCAGATTGCTCTGATCAACTTAGGACCTAACACCCATATGATGCGCAGATAATCACTTGCTCATTCCTCCTCAGGACAGACAGGAACCACTGCAGGAGCTCGTTCTGTCCTGACTTGGGCATTGTTAAGGGTTGGCCAAAGATATACCATCCACTTGGGTGTTTTCCAGGGCCTCTGGCTTACCATGGGGTGGATTGGGAAATGGGGTGGGTGGAGCTAGCTGTGAGTTAGAACAGACAGCACTCTAGGCCTGGGCAGAGTCTTTGAACAAAGCCACAGGCTGGGCTGAGCACCAGAAGGAAACAGAGCCCTTGGCTCTGTCTCAGGCAATGGAATGTCAGCCCGACTGGTTTTCCCCCTTTCCCTGGGGTGGGGTGTTCATCAACAAAGGACTCTCCTTGCTGGTTGACAGCCTGAGGTTCCAGGCACCCCCTCAGCCCCACTGCGAGGTCCCCAACTCCAGAGGAAGAGAGACTCCATTCATGCTGAGCTTCCTATAGGCCCCAGCTCTGCCAGGCCAGCCATGCAAGGCTGCTCTGCAGGGCAGATGAGAGGGGGCTGTCCAGGCACACAAAATAGTAGGCTCTTAATAGATACGATGCTTAACTTCCCCAGGCTGTTCCTTCTGGCTGCTTTGCCTTCCCTGATATCCCCACCTGTCTTGTCACACCCTCCTCAGAGCCCTCTGTCACCTGCCACTCAGGCCTTCTGCGCCCTCTCCCCCACTCTGTCTGAGGCCCAGGGGACCTTGGATACTTGGGATAGGAAACTTTGATTAATCAGCGGACCTCAATTTGAGATGGCATTTTCTGCCCCTTGCTCTTTTTAAACCTATTCATAATAATTTTAGCATCTTTCCACATCAGCCCTTCAATTTCTACCTTCTGAAGAGGCAGTCATTGTTTTGAATGGAGACACCATGTTAATTCCCTTGCACTGATAAGCTATAGTTTAGGTATCAGGTGCTCTTGTGGAAGGGCAGTTGGGTTGTGTGTTTGCTGTTACCAAAAACAGTGCTGCTGGGACCATTCATTTGTGTGTGCATTTGTGTGTGTATTATATATGTTTTGTGTGTATGTGTATTTGTGTCTGTTTCTATGTATTTGTGTATGTGTGTGTGGGGGGGTTTTTGTAGGTATGCATTTGTGTATATTTGTGTGTATGCAGCTGTGTGTGTGTGTGTATTGGGTGCATGTATTTATATGTGTTTTTGTGTTGTCTATTTTTTGTGTATGTGTGTGCATTGGTGTAGATGTTTGTGTGTGTACATTTGTGCATGTGTATGTGCTTGTGTATATTTGTGTTTGTGTGAAAGTGTTTTTTGTGTATATGCATTTGTGTGTGCATATGTAAGTATTGTGTATGTGTGTATGCATATCTGTGTGTTTATACATGTGGTTATGTGTATATTTTTGTGTATGTGCATTTGCATGTGTATATACCTATGTGTGTATTTGTATTTATGTACCTGTGCTTGTGTGTATTTGTATATATGTGTGTTTATGTATATTTTTTCTGTGTCTATGCATTTGCCTGTATATGTGTGTATTTGTATGTATGCACCTGTACTTGTATTTGTGTATGTGTATGTATATAGTTTTTTTGTGTATATATATTTATATAAATATATATAAATACACACATATATATGTATGTGTGTATTTGTGTGTATCTTTTTTGTGCATGTATGTGTGTATGTGCTTTTTTTTTTTTTTTTTTTTTTTTTTTGAGATGGAGTCTTGCTGTGGCACCCAGGCTGGAGTGCAGTGGCGTGATCTCGGCTCACTGCAAGCTCTCACCTCCTAGGTTCATGCCATTCTCCTGCCTCAGCCTCCCGAGTAGCTGGGACTACAGGCACCCGCCACCATGCCTGGCTAATATTTTTGTATTTTTTTAGTAGAGATGGGGTTTCACCGTGTTAGCCAGGATAGTCTTGATCTCCTGACCTCGTGATCCGCCCTCCTCGGCTTCCCAAAGTGCTGGGATTACAGGCATGAGCCACCGTGCCTGGCCTGTATGTGCTTTTTATGTATATGTAATTGTGTGCATATATGTGTGTATTTGTGTGTATGCATTTGTGTGTGTTTATATTTTCATGTGTATATGTGTTTGTGTGTATATGTGTGCATATGTGTTTGTGTTTTGTGTACATGTTTGTGTGCATTTGTGTGTGTGTGCATGTGTTGTGTTTATATGTATTTGTGTGTATATATGTGTATGTGTACATCCGTATGTGTTTTTGTGTCTTTGCATGTGTGTATATATACATATATGTGTGCATCTGCATGTGTTTGTGTATGTGTTTTGTGTATATGTGTTTGTGTATATACTCATGTATGTCTGCATCTATGTGTATGTGTTTTGTGTATATACATTTGTGTGTATATACATGTATGTGTGGATCTGTGTGTGCGTGCATCTGTCTGCTGGATGGACTTCCAGTAGCAGGGATGGTCAAGCCACTTTGTGACATTGGAATGTCATCATTCCCATAGAACACAGCTGAGTTGGTGGCAGTGTTCTGGCAGGGAGAGAGAGACCAGGCCTTGGGCTGGAGGATTTGGGGTCCTCAGTCAATAGGGAGACACACCCAGCGCCCTGCCTCCTCAACAGGTTTACACGTACGCTGCAAGGCTGCAGTTCTGTCACCTGACAAGTTGAGCCCTAGCCTGAAATAAACTGTGAGAGAGATGTTTTGACATGTGATGTTTCAAAAAAAGAAGTCAAATTGGGCTTAGTCTGTTTTAAGAATCCCTCCAAGAGGAGCCAAGTTGGGATCAGTGGGAGCAGATTCCATTAAAAGGAGATGCTGGGAAACGTAAAAGAATTATATACTTACATATAATTATACATTTTCAAAATGTACTTTTTATATCACTAGCCACAAATGTTACAAAATACAAAAAGAGGTAGAATAAAAAAAAGTCATCTCTCCTCGTCCTCTAGTCACGCAATTCCTCTCCTAGAGACAAGTATGATTGCAGTTTTCTTGTGTCCTTAGGTATTCTGTGCGTTTTGGTCTTTACTTTTTTCCCCCTCACGAATGGCAGGGTCTGCCACCTGTTACTTTGCACCTTGCTTTACTCACTAGACAGTGAATCTTGGAGGTCGTTCCATGTCAGTAAACTTATGTCTGCCTCATTCTTTTTAACTATTCTTTCTAACAATTAAATAGAGTTCTACATTATAATTGTTCTATACTTTAGGTTAAATACATTTTTTAAAACTCCAGATTCTCTTTTCCCTTGACTCATCGTAACCTTAGAACTGTAGAGCTTATATTAACAGAAATTCTGAGTTAAAAAGAACATCAAATTTGTCTATCTCCATGCAAGAGTGCCACAGTACTTCTAGAATGTTCTGTGCCCCTCCCCTCTCCCCTGATTATTTTGGGCATTTTTCTTCTCCCTCAGGATCAGTCTCTCCTATTTTGCACCTAAATGTATCACACAGGCCACCCCAGTTTCACTGTCAGCACACTGCACATAGTTTTTTTTTTTTCCTGTTCTTTTTATTTTTTTTTTTATTCAGATGGAGTCTCCCTCTGTTGCCCAGGCTGGAGTGCAGTGGCACGATCTCAGCTTACTGCAACCTCCACCTCCCAGGTTCATGCCTTTCTCCTGCCTCAGCCTCCCGAGTAGCTGGGACTACAGGTACCCACCACCACGCCCGGCTAATTTTTTGTATTTTTACTAGAGATGGGGTTTCACTGTGTCAGGCAGGATGGTCTTGATCTCCTGACCTTGTGATCCGCCTGCCTCGGCCTCCCAAAGTCCTGGGATTACAGGCGTGAGCCACCATGCCCAGCCCACATAGTGTTTTATAAAAAACAATTTGTTTTAAAAAGCAACAAGAATTAAATTTTAAGGACATATATAAAAGCAGATGGTCCTGTGATATATCAAGAGGGTCTGGGTAAATAGCAGTGTCATTCTGACATTAGAGAGGGGACAGGGAGTCATTTATGGGTTCATTCACTCCATCCATCCATCCATCTTCACTTGCTTCCTGTCCACTGTGGCTGTCTCTGAACTTGTCACTGGCATTTGAGGGCGAACAGACCCCAGTTCCTGACCTCAGGGAGCTTACAGTTTAGAGAACACAGTCAAACGATAATCACAGCCCAGCCCAATAATTTCTATGATGGGGTGAGCACAGGGGGTTCTATGGGGGTCCTAAGAACCCACCTGGGGATGGGGCCAGCCAGGAGAGGCTTCCTGGGGGAGTGGATGCCTGGGCCGCATTTTAGGGACACATTCCAAACAGACCCCGGGCCATACTGCCAGCAGCCGACACACTGGACCAAGGAGTACTTCCTGGGTAAAACTGCAGTGGGCGTTGGTAGAGTGGGGAATCGCAGGCCACTAACTTGAAGCCCAGCCACCTGGGTTTGAATGGAGCTCCTTCCTCTCTGTGCCTCGGTCTTCTCATGCAGAAAGTGGGGATAGTAACAGTACCTGATTTCTCGGATTGTTGGGAGGACTAAATGTCACGGCCCAGCATGCAGTAAGCACCATCCAAGTGTCTGCTATTGTTACTATTTAATGTGTCAGAACTTCAGCTCACTTATCTGTGAAATGGGGATATTAACAGTATCTATTATGGGAATTAAACTTGATGGTCTACATAAGGAATTTGACATGGTGCCAGGCATGCAGTTGGCGCTTCTTAGGTGTTTGTGGCTGTTACTATTCTTATTGCCTCCCTGCCTACCTCTGACACCCACAGCGCAGGCTCTAGGGTGCCCACTGGGCTTCTTGGGTCTAGGGGAACCCTGCCTCTGAGGCCGACAGGAGCCTGGGCCTCCCAGCCCAGCTGTTGTTTGTGTTTATAGCCTCCAAGGAAGCCCCCACTCAGAGCTTTGTCAGGCACTCCCAGCCGGGAAACCAAATACGCCTCCTGCAGACCAGCTGCAAACTTGTGTTCCTGTCACTTTGGGTAACGCTTGTCCCATGGAGACAGCATGTCTCTACCACAGGCATCATTTTGCAGCCTGCACACCACGGTGGATGACTCATCTGCCCTGCAGAGCTGGGGCTGCGGATCATTATGCGATGTAGGACCTTCCCCGGGGTGCCCTTGGAGGGAGTCCTAGTCTCCCTGGACGTCAGGTCCAGGGAGATACTGGGGGATCTGATTTAGGTAGCCACTCTGGTTCTTAGCTGAAAGACAGAACTGTCAGGCCTCATCAGAACCTGTTAGCACCTTGTCATGATGTTTGTTAAAACGATGTGTTTGGGAACTGAACAGTGGACACCAACATCATCATGTGGACTGGCATCTGTTTGGCACCGACCACATGCCAGGCATGTGCTAGTTCTCCCCAGACATTGACAGAATCCTGCCAACACCTCCAAGCTTCCCATTTTACAGATAGGGAAGTTGAGGCTAGAAAGGTTGAGTTGTTGTAGCTAGCAAGTGGTAGAGCTGGATTTGCTCTGGTCTGCTCGGTCATAGAGCCCTAGCTCAGAACTGCTAACCTGTCCCACCTGCAATACATCAGAGCATCAGGATAGGTTAATTTTATATCTGCAATCTAAAAGTTTGTGGTTTAGATTGCTAATCAGTAAGGGCTGTTAGCATATCTGTGGAATGTTTATAAAAACTGGTTTTATTGAAGCCCCAAGGAGTGAACCCCATTATTTCATCATTAATTAGGTGGGTGCACCGCCAACACTGTGAACAATCTGAATACATGCTCATTTAAAGGGGAATGAGCCAAACCCTTTACACTGACAGTTCACGCAGAACGTTTTGTAAACACTGGACATTAGCCAGCAGTCAGAGGTTAGCCATCAAGCTGCAGAGAGCTGCTGAGACCTCCAGTCCCAGACCATTGATCACCAACAGAGTAAACTGAGGCACAGAGAAGGGCAGGGCCTTGCTTGAGGTCATCTAGGGAGTGGAGCCGGAGCTGAGGATGGCACCTGTGCTCATGACAACGGGTCAGGAGGTACAGCTCAGCCACATGCACACAGGTGCACACGGGTGTGCCCCTGTGGGTGGAGCCACAGAGCCGCAGCCCAGGTGGGCCCATCCAGCCCCCTCATTCAGAGGCTTGGGCACCCCTCCACCTCCCTGTTACTCTTGCCCTGTGTCTCTCTGCGCCCGTCTCCGTGCTTCTCAGTCTTGGGCTTGCTCTTTCGGTTCGGTCTTGCTCCCATCTCTGTCCTTGCTGCTTCTCTATCTGCCTCTGACTGCCTGTCTCTGTCTCCCTCTCCTCTTCTGCTCTCCCTCCTCCACACCAGGCTTGCACCAACCCCAGAGATGACCGCAAGGCCTTCCTGCCCCACTGAGTAGTGTCCACAGCATGTCCTGAGTAGCCTGCAGCCAGGAGATCAGCCCAGACCCTGGACCATCCCCCTGCCTCAGCCACCACATCCAGCCACACCTGACTACACCTGGCCACACCTGGCCCAGCCAGGCCACACCTACATTGTTGTCCTTGGAGCCCACTGAGGGGGAGTCAGTGGCTGCTGTCCCACAACTTTCCCTAAGAAGTGCCATTCCTCCCCTGACATAGAGCTGGGGATGGGGCAAGACTTGGCTTGTGCTGTAACCAGAGGTGACACAGTGGTCTGCCCGGAAGCCCATCATACATCCTGACTTCTCTCTCAGCTGGGACCCAAGTCCATGGGAGGGGATGTTGTGCAGGTTTTTGCTGGCAGCTTTGAGAGAGGGTCCTGAGGGGTCTGCCCAGCCTCATATCCCATCTAGTTCCTTCTAGTCTGACCCCCTTCCTTCCCCTTCCCTTCCCTCCTCACCTCTCCCTTCTTCTCCCATCCCTTTCTTCTGTTTCTCCCTTCCTAACTTTCCTTCTCCTTCTTTCTTCCCTCCTTCCCTCCTTCCTATTTACTGAGCACTTACTATGTGCCAGGTACTGTAACTAAGCACTGAGAATTGTGACAAAAAACAGCGACCCCCTTGGAGACTGCATGTGCTGGGAGGGACACACATTCAACGAGTCATACAAATAGTTTCAGTACCACCAACTGAGGCCAGGGCTCTGATGGGGAGGATGCCCACGTAGACCACTGGGGATCAGGAAAGCCCCTAAGAGGAGCTGACATCAGTGTGCCATCTGAAGGATGAGTGGGCCTGGGCCCGTGGAGGCAGCATCCTAGGCAGAGCCAACAGCTCAGACAGGGGCCTGTGGCACGATGGTGCCTTGTGTGTGTGAGGATCGCGTGGCCAAATCAGAACAGATGAGGAAAGAGGGTGAGATAAGGGCACCAGGAGTGAGTGCCGGTCAAGTGGGACCCACAGGGCCCAGTGAGGACCCCGGCTTTATCTTCAGAGTGCTGGAAGGGAGCTGCTGGAGGGATGGGAGCACGTGTGCCGAGGCCTTGCTGGACCTTCTGAAAAGACGGTCCTGACAGCTGGGCGTGCAGGGTGGATGTGGGACAGACTGGGGGACTTGGCCAATCCTTGGTCTCCAGCCCCTCCCCTTCTCCTTTTCCTGGGCCCAACTGAGACCACACCTGTGGATGCACTTCGGGATGGCCTGTGGTGACCAGAGCACTGGCCAGGGAGTCAGGACACTGGGTTTCAGGCCTGGCTGGGCATGCCTCCCACTGCTTGGTCCTTAGTTTTCCCCTCTATAAAATGGTTATTGAGGACCCAGGAAAGCTCTCAGTGTCAAGCCAGAGCCAGGAGAATGTGCTGTCTTTGGATGTCTTTGGGTGCCAGGCAAACTCAGGTTCAAATCCCAGCTCCACCCCTTCCAAACCATGTGACCTTGGGCATGCCAGATCGACTCCCTGGGCCTCAGTCTCCTCCTCTGTGAAATGGGTTCCTCATGGTTCCTACTTTATAGGCTTCTTGGGAGCTTTCCATGGCATAATGATTGGCACATTGTCAGCGCTCAGGAGTGTCAGCCCCTGCCATTATTGTTACTCTTATTGCTTGGCCATGGTACTGGTCTGGCCTGGACACAGGATGAGAAGCTGCCTGGGCCCACAGGGGCACTGGGACAGAGCGTGTGTCCCCCACGCTGGCCTGGGCCCCATGACCACAGTGCTCCCTGCACAGCTGGGGGTATAGAATTGCAGAGGGGATTGGGACACACTTCTGGAATCTCTCAGAACTGCTCTGTCAGCTGTGTGCCACCGAGCACTGCCCTGACTCAGGGTTCTTTCTTAGGCGGATGTGTCAAACACCCCAAAATACATGCAGGTGTAATATTTTCTCTTTTTCCCATCCCCTGTGTAACTATGTCACCTTTTCTATTTAAGAAACTCATGGTTACTCACTGCAAAAATATTATTCTCAGAAACATATTTCTCCAACAAATGTTTATTCCACAACTACTAGAGGTGAGGTGTTGTTCTAAGTGCTGGGGTACTGTGATGAATGAAAGAGCCTCTATAGATCAGAGATCAGCAAACTACTGCCTGAAAGCAAAATCTAGCCGGCTACTTCTTTTGTAAATAAAGTTTTATTGGGACACAGCCATGCACACTCATTTAGCTATGAGTCTTGTGCTGCCTTTGCATTAACAACAGCAGAATTGAGTAACTGGAACAGAGACCATCATGACCCACAAAGCCCAAAATATTTACTATCTAGCCCTTTATAGAAAAAGTTTGCTAAACTCTGGTGTAGATTGACTAAGAGCCTGTTTCTGATTGGTACTTAACTTATGATGTGTACATATACTCCCATTTATGTGTTTGTTTTCACAAAACTGGTGTCACAACACACATTGTTTTGTTACCTTAAAAAAATTTTTTTTGGCCTGGCATGGTGGCTCAGGCCTATAATCCCAGCACTTTGGGAGGCAGAGGCAGGTAGATCGCTTGAGCCCAGGAATTCAAGACCAGCCTGGGCAACACGGTGAAACCTTGTCTCTACAAAAAATACAAAAATTAGCCAGGCATGGTGGCACATGCCTGTAGTCCCAGCTACTCAGGAGGCTAAGATGGGAGGATCACTTAAGCCTGAGGAGTCGAGGCTGCAGTGAGCCGTTGACAGTGTCACTGCACTCCAGCCTGGGTGATAGAGTGAGACATTGCCTCAAATTTTTTTTTTTTTTTTTTTTTTTTTTTTTTTTTACATTTTCTAGTTTATGGCAGACATCTTTCTGTGACAGTAAATATTACTTCTGGACATTATTTTCCTTGGCTGTATTTTTTTTTTTTTTTTTTTTGAGATGGAGTCTCACACTGTCACCCAGGCTGGAGTGCAGTGGTGCGATCTCTGCTCATTGCAACCTCCGCTACCCGGGTTCAAGTGATTCTCTTACCTCAGCCTCCAAAGTAGCTGGGACTACAGGTGCACGCCACCACGCCCAGCTAATTTTTATATTTTTAGTAGAGATGGGGTTTCACAATGTTGGCTGGGATGGTCTCGATCTCTTGACCTTGTGATGCCCACCTCGGCCTCCCAAAGTGCTGGGATTACAGGCATGAGCCACCACGCCCGGCCATTCCTTGGCTGTATTTATCCATTGCATGGATATTGTATTTCACCGTCTCCTGCCTTATTGAACATTTAGGTTGTCTCTCGTATTTTGCAATAATAACTAATCCTGCAGGGCGGTGTCCATGTTCATAGATCTTGGCAGGTATCTCTGATGGTTTCCTTGAGATAAATTTCTGGAGCAAAAGTTACTGAATTAAGGCTATGCAGATTTTAAATTTGGGGACATATATTATGGGTTGTTTTAATATAGCCTTTAGGGGGTACATGTTACCCTGTCTCCCCAAAGCTGTCCACTGAGGCACTTGTCTTTGCCTGCAAGACAAGGGCCCAGAGTTCTCACCTTCCAGTGGCTTTGGGGCTTGGCAAGCCAGTCCAGGCAAGTGGTTTTTAAACCTGCCAAGTCTTGAGGTTTTTCAGAGCATTGTAACCTACATCTCTTTCTGAGAGCCTCCTGATGCATCATAGAAAAGGTGGGGCAGGTAGAATGTTGGTGGCAGGAAGGAGCACTGGGAAAGGAGCCCAGAGCCTGGGTTCCAGTCTCCCCAGCTCCGCTTCCCACTCACCAGGAGAACTAAGAGCCCCATAGCTGTTCCTGCTTCTGGGCTTCCATTTTCTCATCTGAAAAGGAAGGGCCGACTGAATGGACTCAGGGGGTCCGTCCAGGTGTACATTACAGTATTCAGTCAACCTCATTTGACATACGACCAAACCAAGGTAGAGATTGGAGACTTGGATAAATGGAGACCAATTCAGGCAGAGCTCTCTGCCTGCCTTTTAATTCATCATGTGTATTTTCAGAGTATCTTGTATATTATCCACCTGCCTGCAGTCACTAAGGTGTTTTTTACAGCAGCCTGTGAAGCAAAAGAGTTGGAAGAATATCCTGCCTTAAAGCTAATAAAACAACCTGACTTGTAGAAAGTGAGTTGCAGGGGCCCGGTATGGTGGCTCATGCCTGTAATCCCAGCACTTTGGGAGGCCAAGGCAGGCGGATCATGAGGTCAGGAGTTCAAGACCAGCCTGGGCAACATGGTGAAACCCCCTCTCTACTAAAAATACAAAAATTAGCTGGGCCTGGTGGCACGCACCTGTAGTCCCAGCTATTCGGGAGGCTGAGGCAGGAGAATCACTTGAATCCAGGAGGTGGAGCTTGCAGTGAGCCGAGATTGTCCTATTACACTCCAGCCTGGGCAACAGAGTGAGACTGTCTCGGGAAAAAAAAAAAAAGAGAGAGAGTTGCAGGCGTGTGTGTGTGTGTGTGTGTGTGTGTGTGTGTGTGTGTGTGTGTCTGTGGTTGATTTTGAGGCCTCGTAGCTCTGGGGCTAAGCTCAAGTGTTGATTTGAAGTCCCGCCAAGTTCTGGTAGAATGATGAGGCATGAATAACTTGTAATGCACAAGGTTACCAGGATACTAACTAGAGAAAGTGCTGATTAACAGCTTGCTTTCTTAAACTGCATTTACAAGATGAATTCCCTTAGGTAACCCTAGCCCCTGCATGACTCCAAATTTGACAGTCTGTGTTAAAGAGCAGAGAATGCAGTTATATTCACCATAACCTGCTTTGATTGAACATTGAGACACAGAGAAGTAGCTCGTCCAAGGTCACATAGCTACTATGTGGTGGTCTCTGGATTCAAGTCCAGGTGTTCTGGCTCTGGAAGCAGTGTTTGTTCAGGGAAGACTGCTGAGAAACTGGTAAATGATAATTATTATACTGTGGAAAGTTCTACAGCAGTGCTGTACACTACAGCTTTCTACAGTGATAGAAATGTATTCTCCATGCTGTTCAGCATGGTGGGTGGCTGTGGAGCTCTTGAAATATGGCTAGTGCCACAGGGGAACTGAATTCTTAGTATTAGTTAATGTCAATTTAAATTAAATTCAAATAGTCATAAGTGGCTAGTGGCTACTGTATCAGATGGCACAGATGTAGAGACCTGAGGTCTAGGGGACAATGGGAGCCTGGGGCCTCCTGAGCCAGCCCTCAGGGTAGGACGGTGGGAAAGTTCTGGGAAGGCTTCCTGGCCATCAAAGTTGAAATCTGAATGGTAACTTGGAGGTGGTGGCTGCTCCACCAGGCCTGGAGGTGAGAGGGAGGAATGTGAGGGGAGGGAAATGGGGCTGGAGGAGCCAGTGGGAGGGACTGGGGGGTGAGAGGAGGGGTATGGGAGGAGGGAAGCAACACTGAAGGAGCTGCTGAGCCCACCAGGCCCCGCACCCATGCAGGTCCCGCAGGCCGTAACCCTTTCCCTAACCCCAGCCCTTACCCGGAGGGACGTGGGGGGCTGTGGAAGGGCTTTGAGCAGGGACCTATTCAGTTTTGGAAAGTAGAATGAGAAGCACATACAGGGCGAAGGATGCCAGGGGAGGTCCCTCGGAAGCTGCCGCCGTGGGTGAACAGATAGCTGGTCATAGCTGGAAGGAATGTTGTTCGAGAAAGAGACTTTGAAGGACTGAGGATCGATGCAGTATGGCAGTGAAGGAGAGAGAGGAGGGAGCAGCGCTGGCCTCAGGACCCTCAGTCTGGCATTAGGCGGTGGAGGGAGAAAACCCATCCATCCCTGACTCTTGGAGAGTTCAGATCCCTGAACCTGAATCCCAAACCTCTGTGGGGGAGGGCACACAGATGGTTGTATAAAGGGAAGCCACCATGTTTTGGTTGGACACCATTTATCCCCAGGGCCATCCGCAAGAGGTCTGGAAACTGCCCCCCTGCCGCCTGCCCTGGTTTCACCCTCAGCAATGGACTTGACCTTTTGGTTTCTAGGGGGCCCCTGCAAATTCCTTCTTCCATCACTCAGCCCTGAGGGGGATCCCCCTCTCTCAGGGATTTTAAGAACCTTTTGCCAAGGCTCCATTCCCCTGCCTGACTCCAAAGAGGGCCTGAAAATTGCTGTCATCATGACGGTTCCCATCTCCTGGGTACCCATTTATGTGCCAGGCAGTGAGCTTAACACTTTCTGAAGATTATCTGTTGATACCTCAAAACAGTCCTTGTTTTTCCAGTGTGAAAACTGAGGCTTGGATGGGTGGGGTCACTTAGCCAGGCCACACAGCTGGGCAGAGCAGAGACAGCAAGCCCTGCCCTGCGTCCCCACCCTCGCTATAAGCTGTCACTCCTCTGCCTCCCGCTGAGCTTAGCATACACAGGCACAAGCCCAGCATCCACCTTGCAGCCTCGGGACAACAAGCTGCTTGGGACAACGATGTCTTGTCCTCCACCAGAAACAACCCCTAAGTCCCCAGCATCTGGCCTCTGAATCTGACCTCTGAAGGGCATTAAGTTAGGGAATGGCCAGTTCCATCACATCTTTGAAAACAGTAAGGAGCTGGGAGCGGGCTCAGATGACCACTTCTAGCCCTGCGTCCCAGGGAGAATTCTGTCGATGGTGCTGTGCCTCTGAGTATATCAGGTGACCTTGCCTTGCAAGGCAAAAACATAACACTCCCCAGCAGGGCCTGAGTGCATCCCTACAGCGTGCTAACAGCTATCCCTATGTGCTGCCCGTAGGCTTGGAAGTTAGGCAGCCTCTTCCAAAGCTGGCTTGCTCATCTGGATCCCAAAGCCCTTTGACCTGGTGACTCTATACCTAGTAATTTCTCTTACGGGAATAATTGCAGAGATGTGTTGATTTAGCCTCAGGGGTGTTCGTCATATTATTGATTATAGTGGTGAAGAAAATCCTCAGCAACCAAAAGTCCCAGCACTTGGGGACTGGTTAATTGGAAGATGCTGCATCCGAAAAGTGAAATATTCTTCAGCCAGTAAAATGGTGATGTAGGTGAATTGATCCTGAGAAAATTCCGGGCAGGACTATGAGAGAATACTGTCTTTGGGTGATAAGTTCTTTTAAAATGTATTCTTTGTGATTTTCCGTTACTCCTAAATGTTTTACAGTGAGTAAGGTGTTATGTTGTAACTAGAGACAGAAAAGCTTCTACAGACAGTAGAATTAAGAGTGGACAGCAGCTCTTATTTGGGTCTATGAGTGTAGCCATTTAGCAGGGGTGACTGAGGGATTTATTCTGAATTCCCGTCCTTGTATACACCTCATTCACAGTATTCCCACGAACATCATGGGGTACATGAGTATCTCTAAAAGGCAAGAGAAAGAGAATGGAAAGGAGGTGACCATTTATGGGATGTTTCCTGAGTGCTGGGCCCTGTTCTAGGAGCTGTCAAGTTTGCGCCTGTGCCCTGGGGGTGACCATTATTTTCTCACTGAATTCTTGTAACTTCTCTGCAATTCAGAGAGGGAAGCCAGAGCCCTGAGGCCACACAGCAGGCTTTTCCCCAGGTGCCCACTCATTCTGCAGGACCACATGGACCACAAGTGCTGTCTCGGCTCAGTGTGGTTCCAGAGAACCTGAGAAGAGGCTGGCTCCCCTGCCTGGGAAGAAGATAAACTGCTGAGGAACAATCAGCCCACCTCCGTTAACTAAGCACCTACTGCGTGCCAGGCAGGCTCCAAGAGGGGAACAGAAACATTGGAGCATCCCAGTCTTAAAGGGCACATCTGATGAGTTGCAGAATCCTAGAGCCTGCGTCTGTGCCGTGACCTCCCACGCCCAGTTCCCCGGTGCCTAGCATGTAGTAGGAGCTCAGTAAATATCTGTTGTGTAATATAAATTATGTGTCACGTTCTGCCTGGTACAATTGATAAGTCATCCAGGGTATACAGTGGTGGCTCACGCCTGGAATCCCAGCACTGCGGGAGGCCGAGGTGGGCGGATCACCTGAGGCCAGGAGTTCGTGACCAGCCTGGGCAATGTGGTGAAACCCTGTCTCCACTAAAAATACAAACAAATTAGCCAGGCATGGTGGTGTGTGCCTGTAATCCCAGCTACTAAGGAGGCTGAGGCAAGAAAATCACTTGAACCTGGGAGGCGGAGGTTGCGGTGAGCCAAGATTGCACCACTGCACTCCAGCCTGGGAGACAGGGTGGGACTCCATCTAGGGAAAAAAAAAAAAGTTTAGGGAGGAGATATCACCATGGGTTGCAATAGCTTTGTTTAAGAAGGATGGATAGGGAGGTGGAATGATACAAACAAGGCTGCAGAGGCCAGGAGTGTGTGAGGCTTGTGTGGGTATGGTATGTAGTAAGCCAAAGAGTGTGGGATAGAGAGTTTGTTTGGAGCAAGGGTAGGGGATGGGATCAGACAGGAAATGTGGGGGCTCACTTTCAAGGGGCCTTGGATTTCTACGTGAGGACAATAGGGAACCCCGGAAGGTTTTTGAGCAGGAGATGATATGAAGCATATTCCAGCAGAATGTGCCTCCTGATCTCAAATGGAACAGAACGTAAGGAGTAAAGATGAGCCCCGTTTGTCTTTCTGGGCCAGTCTTATGCCCTAACCCCCATCTCCAAATTCCTCATCAAAAGACAGTGACTGGGGCTGGGCGTGGTGCCTCACCATGCAATGTAATTGCAATGCTTTGAGAGGCTGAGGCAGGAGGATTTCTTGAGCCCAGGAGATTAAGACCAGCCTGGGCAACATGACGAGACCCCATCTCTACAAAAAAATTTTTTTAAATAGCTGGGTGTGGTAGTGTATACCTATACTCCCAGCTACTTGGGAGTCTCAGGCAGGAGGATTACTTGAGCCCCAGAGGCCAAGGCTGGAGTGAGCTGTGATTGCACCACTGTACTCCAGCCTAGGTGACAGAGTAAGACCTTGTCTCAAAAAAAAAAAAAAAAAAAAAGGTGACTGAGAGCGTCATTCAAAGCTTCAAAGCTCAGGCAGCCAAGGCCGTCTGAGTCATCAGTGTGCCAACGGCCCATCCAAGGATTGGACTTTTGGTTTTGTCTTGAGGGCACCAGCTTCTCCCCACTCAACAAAGCACAAGCCTAAGTGGCAGCCACTTCAGTGGCCACATCACAGGGAATGGGCTTTTAATTTGCGAAGCAGACAAATGAGGGAAGACAGCAGTTCAGTCATTTAATGGGGATTTATGGCCTTTCCACCGTGTGCCAGGCTTGGCCCTGTGGTCAGTTCTGTGCTAATCAGCACCCTTGCTCCCTGCGTGCCCTCTCTGAGTGCCCAGGCCGAGGGCCGAGACCAGCAACAGACCGGGTTGCAACAGCCCAAGGGATTGATGTTGCCTGAAGCGCAGTGGTTTGGACCTGGGGGTTGAATTCCACTTCGCTGGCTGTTTACTGGCTATTTGATTTGGGGCGTGTAATTTCATGTTTTTTGTTTGAGATGGAGTGTCTCTCTGTCGCCCAGGCTGGAGTGGTGCAATCTTGGCTCATTGCAAGCTCCGCCTCCCGAGTTCACGCCGTTCTCCTGCCTCAGCCTCCCAAGTAGCTGGAACTATAGGCGCCTGCCACCACACCCAGCTAATTTTTTATATTTTTAGTAGAGATGAGGTTTCACCATGTTAGCCAGGATGGTCTCGATCTCCTGACCTCGTGATCCGCCCACCTCGGCCTCCCAAAGTACTGGGATTACAAGAGTGAGCCACCATGCCCGGCCGTAATTTCATGTTTTTAAGCCTCAATTTTATCATCTGTAAAATGGGGATCGTAATAAGATCCACCCCATGGGATTGTCGAGGGACTGTAGTTCAACCAGGTGATCTCATGTCAAGAGCTCAGCCCAATGCCTGTCCCAAGTTCGGTGCTCCATGGATGTTCTGTCTGGTGATGCGGTTGGGAAACACGGTGGTGGTAGGAACCTGGGCAAGCGGGTGCATGGAGCTTCCCCCAGCCAGATCCATGAGTCTGAGTAACACTGAAGATGAGAGAAGTGTGCCCAGGCTGTACTGTGAGGAGGAGAGAGGGCCATTGAGGTGGGGGCCAGGCGATGCCCTGCAGGGCTCCACATGCCAGGTAGGGTGACCACTTCATCCCAGTTGGCCCACTTTTAGCACTGAAAGTCCTGTATCCTGTGATATCTTGGTAAACCAGGACGATTGGTCACGCTAGTGCCCAGCCAAGATGTCTGGCCCCACTTAGGAAGGCAGCGGGTTGCTGGGATGGGTTTGAGCTGGGGGCCATGCGATCTGATTTGTGTGTCAGCCGGGACGGGGGTTCTGAGTACATTTCCTGGTAGAAATCTCACATCTGGCTTGTCTTTGCAGGACCAGCTGAAGCAGTGTTTCTCCCGGCAGCCCACTGAACCCAAGGACACTGACACCCTCGTGCACGAAGCCGGCAGCCAGTATGGGACGTGGACAGAGCAGTGCCAGAGTGGGGAGAGGTAGGACGCGTGCGACGGGATTCTGGCTGCAAAGGGGGCAGCTGGGCTGGAGTTGCTGCAGCCCACCCACCTCCTGATTTCTATATTGCTAAAACCTCCAGTCTGTAATTATAAAAGGAACCCATTCTTCTTTTAAAAAGGAAATTAGGAAGTACAAAAAAATAATAATAAAGATTATGGGCCGGGTGCGGTGGCTCACGTCTGTAATCCCAGCACTTTGGGAGGCTGAGGCGGGCGGATTGCCTGAGCTCAGGAGTTCGAGACCAGACTGGGAAACATGGTGGAACCCCGTCTCTACTAAAATACAAAAAATTAGCTGGGTGTGGCAGCGTACCCCTGTAATCCCAGCTACTTGGGAGGCTGAGGCAGGAGAATCAATCACTTGAACCTGGGAGGCGGAGGTTGCAGTGAGCCGGGATTGTGCCACTGCACTCCAGCCTGGGGGACAGAGCAAGACTCCGTCTCAAAAAAACAAACAAAAAAAGATTATGGGTCAGCCACAGTGGCTCACACCTGTAATCCCAGCACTTTGGGAAGCCCAGGCGGGCAGATCACTTGAGGCCTGGAGTTTGAGACCAGCCTGGCCAACATGGCGAAACCCCATCTCTACTAAAAACGCAAAAAAAATTAGCTGGGTGTGGTGGTGGGCACCTGTGATGCCAACTGCTCAGGAGGCTGAAGCACAAGAATCACTTGAACCCGGGAGGTGGAGGCTGCAGTAAGCCAAGATTGCGCCAATGCACTCAATCCAGCCTGGGCGACAGAGAGAGACACCTTGTCTAAAAAAAAATAATAATAATAATAATGATATATGAAATATCCAAGATAGGCAAATACCATAGAGACAGAAAACAGATGAGGCGCTGGGGTGGAGAGGGAATGGGGAGTGGCTGCTTCGTGGGTATCTGGTTTCCTTTTGGGGTGATGGAAATTTCTAGGATGACAGTGATGATGGCTCCACAACACTGTGACTGTCCTGCATGTGACCAATGGCAAATTGTATTTTACCACAGTGATAAAAATGATAAAGTCACCAATATTAAAGTTGGCAGGAGGGTGATAGAATTGAAAATGGATAAGAAAAAGTAAAAGGAAAGCAAAGGTTTTTTACAGTGCCCGAGAAAGCTGTTTTTCCCACTGACCCATGAAATATGTGTTTAGTTATGAGCTTACTTAAATTTATCTAGAATACCCCTGCAAGAGCACTGGACTGAGAGTCTGGAAACCCAGGTCTTGGTTTTGCACATGTCACTGTGTGACCCTAGGAGCCCGTTCCTCTCTCGGGGTCTCCATTCCCCAGTTCTGACTCAGGACCTGTGGGACCTGGAGTGTGGACTTAGGTGCACCCCTGAGGGGGTGCTCCCTGCTGTCCTGCAGAGACAATGCAACTTCCCCTCCTCGGGCCACCCCAGGAGCATGGCACACCCAGCCTTGGACAGTGGTGCCACCTGCTGTCTCTCAGTGCTGTTACCTTCATCCCGTGTGGATTTGCCTCAATCCACCTTACAACCCTAACATCCTCCATATGACAAGTAATAAAATCACCCCAGAGCTGACAGAAAGCACGATGAAATGCCAGCACACCTGTGGAAAGTTCTGCTCAAGGGAGCAGACTGGTGGTCTTGAGAGTAGGCCCACTTGTCAGGTGTGCCCACCTGTCCTTTCTCAAGGCGAGGGTTTCCCATGACCTGGAGGCTTTGCTAGGCTATTGGCTTAGGTGTTCTTTTTAATATGTGGATGGAGGCAGGGCAGGAGGTTTTTAATGACTTGAATTATCTGTAAATTTTCTATCTTACATTATTCCAATGACCCAAGTGATACCTGATTATATTATCATAGGAAGAGATTTCAGAAGTAGGAGAGAGCCAAGGACATGGACGCTGGAGTCAGACTGCCTGGGCTCAATCCCAGTCCTGTTGCTGGGGACAAGCTAATTTACATCTCTATGCCTCAGTTTCCTCACCTTTAACAAGGTGAATAAGAATACTTAAGTTCATGAGGCCAATTATATTAGTCTGTTTTCACACTGCTATACAGAACTACCTGAGACTGGGTAATTTGTAAAGGAAAGAGGTTTAATTGACTCACAGTTCTGCAGGGCTGGGGAAGCCTCAGGAAACTTACAATCATGGCGGAAGGTGAAGGGGAAGCAAGGCACGTCCTACCTGGCAGCAGGAGAGAGAGAACGGGAAGGTGCCACACACTTTTAAACCATCAGATCTTGTGAGAGCTCACTCACTATCATGAGAACAGCAAGGAGGACATCTGCCCCCATTATCCAATCACTTCCCCCCACCAGGCCCTTCCTCCAATTCGACATGAGATTTAGTTGGGGACACAAATCCAAACCATGTCACCAACCCTAACTTGTAGGATTGTGGCAGTTATAGGCTAATCCTCATAGGATTATTGGAGAGGACTGAATGACACATTTTTTAGCACAATGCTTGGCACATAGTAAGTGCTCAGTAGATTTTTATTAAATGACTGAATGAATAAGTGAATGAAATAATGCAGGTCCCACCACCTGCTCTTCCATAGGTAACTGCTGATAACAATTTGATCTACATCAGCACTGCCCAGCAGAAATACAACATGATGATTTGATCCTTATGCAATATATACATGTATTGAAACACCACTCTGTACCCCGGAAACGTGTAATTACTATGTATCGATTATAAATAAAAAAGAATTATAATGTAAGCTGCAAATGCAAGACATATATGTAATTTAAAATGTCCTGGTAGCTACACCAAAAGAATAAAAAGAAACAAGTGAAATTCAATTTAGGGATGTATTTTATCAGAACCAAGGGATCCAAAATACTATCATTTCCACATGTAATTAACATGAAAAGTTATTAGCGAGGCAGTTTACATTCTTTTTTTCTATTCAAAGTATTGGAAATCCAGTGTGTAAGGTATAGGAAATCCAGTGTGTAAGATGCTCACGGCATATCTCAGCTCTGTCACTTGCTCCATTGCAAGGACCCAACAACCACCTGTGATAAGCAGCTTCCGTCCAGGACAGCGCAGGGCCAAAGGATCTTGAGTGGCACAGGACTGACTCCTCCCATTCTGCACCTGGCCAGGTGTTCCAGGCAGTGCCTTAGACAGCACCTCGCTGGCACATCTTGTGCTGTTTCCAAAGAGGGTCTTCTGCTGGGATGTTCTGTCTGTTGTTACTTGGCTTATAAAACATAACCCAAGCTATGCTGCCTGCAGCATCCTTCACTTGAAATCCCGTTCTCTGAAACGTTCTCCATAACCATGTCTCCCTTCATTCCCTTTTTTGGCAGCTTGGCCACTGAGTCCCCAGATAGCAGTGCCACATCGACAAGGAAACAGCCCCCCAGCAGCCGTTTGTCTTCTCTGTCCTCCCAAACGGAGCCCACCTCGGCAGGGGACCAGTATGACTGCTCCAGGGACCAGCGGAGCACCAGCGTGGACCACTCCAGCACTGACCTGGAATCCACCGATGGGATGGAGGGGCCGCCTCCACCGGACGCCTGCCCTGAAAAGAGAGTAGATGACTTCTCCTTCATTGATGTAAGTCAGTGGCCAGGAGCATTTCTTCTTAAATGGAAATTCCAGCCTCTCTCTGTGAATTGCCACTTCAGGTGTAGGATCTGTGTGCCAGGGACCCTTGGAGTGGGTACGGAGGGCACTGTCTTTGAAATGGGACTCACTTATGCATGTATCTTGGACCTGCCATACACCTGCTGTGTGTCTTGGGGCAAATGTCTTCACCTCTCTGAGCCTCAGCTTCCTTATCCACTTGTAACCAGCATCATCAGCTCCACAGCCTCAAATACAATTGCATGCATTCAAATTAAAACTGATCTAAGCCCTTACCTGCTAGGTAAGCAGGGAGTCTGACCACTTACCCCTGGGAAGTCACCCTGAGGTTTATAGTTGCAAGCATGAAGAGGCTGGAGTTTGCTCAGAATGATTCTGCTGAACGTTCTCACTAAGGTCTTGCTTGGTACAACAGTGTCCCTGGTATCAGGGGATCCGACTGTCTCTGTAGTGGCTCTTCCAGGACAGAAAGTCCCCTCAGGCATGGGCACCTTTCATGGAGGTCCCAGGGGACAGTCCCTAGCACTCAGCTCTTTCAGGTCCCAAGCACAGCCAGGATGTCAGCTGCCCCAGCATAGCAGGTCAAACGGTCTCCTGCTCTAGCATCTTCCAGACCAGAACTTATCCTCCTTTCCCCTGGGAGCCCCACCTCCAGGGGTCAGGCAGGTCTTCCTTTTCAACCCTTGAAACCCAGGGGTGATGTCATTATTCTCCTCGCGTAACAATAGGGCTACCTGCCCACTTTCTGGGGGATGGAACATCTGCAAAATGTGAAAGGGACCCTCTCTCCTGGCAGTAAAGCCTCCCACCTACACACTTGGGCATGGCTACCCACATTTCCCCAGAGGAGGAACACCGCTGCTTTAGAAAAAGGGCTTCCTTTAGGGCTTCAAAGAGGATTCTCCTTCAGTATATGGCCAAGGTCTCTCGCTGGCACCTCTAGATCAGGGCGGAGACAAAGAAAGACACAAGTTGAGTCTTGATTGGGGAACCCCATTATATAACCATGGCCATGCCCACCTCCCTGGGTGTCATCAGGATTTAGTTAGGTGATATATTCAGTTATTCACTCAACAGACATGTATTGAGATCTTGCTGTGTGCCTTACATGCCAGCATCATGTCACTGCATCATGAACTTTCCTGCTAGAACGCTAAGTGGTTCCTTCTTGATGTCCATTATAAACAACAATCAGTGAGTGTTGACCACTGGCCCAGGCACATGTTAATAACCCCAGAGGCAAAACTGCCTGCGCTTTTTGCAAATTAGCAAATCAGAGTGGCCATGGAGTGACTCTAAATGCTGGTGTCCCGAAGCATAGGTCTAACGCTTACTGAAATTATACTGCGGTTTATGTGTGATGCCCACCACGATTTGGGTCTCCTGTGGGGATACTGAGGTTTATGTATGGTGCCAACCATGATTTAGGTCTCCTGTGGGGACGGTTTGGAGGCCAAATGGGGAGGCGGAGGCGGAGCACTAAGGAATCCAGTCTCTGTACCAGGCTGAGGATGCAAGGGTGGCACCATCTTCCCCTCCAAGCCAGCCCCTCTGTCAGTGTGATTCTGTCCTGCTCTCTTGGAGTCTGAAAACCTGGCTCTGTTAAGTGGCCGGAGAAGCAAGCCTGCCTCTAGGTGCAGCAGGCACTTTCTGATTTCCGTCTTTCCCCCTCTTTCACTGGTCCCGTGCAAGTCTCCTCACAAGATACCACTGTGGCTGGTTTGGGAAGTAGCTATGATCAGCTCCTTCCACCACCCCATTGGGACTTTTGTTACTTACCATTGTTGGGAAATGATTCATTGAAATTAGCCTGTCATCACTGACTTAGAAGGCCTTGGGTGATGGAATTTCTCCAAAGTGGACCTAGGCGGAAGAAACCAACATTTCATGTAAGAACGTGAGCTTGCCGGAAAGAGCTCTTGGCTGTGAGCCGTGGTCAGGCTCTGTCTGAAACAAGGGCTTTCCACACCTGAGCACAGGGAGTTCTCTCAGCCACTGTAGGAAGGAGGCACTCTGTTTATCTCCTTTTTATAAATAGGGACACCCAAGCTCAGAGAAGTGAAGCTCATTGCCCAAGGTCACATAACCAGGATTCGAACCCAGCAGGGTTTGAACCCCAGCTCTGAGCACTTCACTGCTGTCTCCCGGGAGAATTCTGAGCCAGGCACTTCCCATCTCCTTACTGGGGCCCACCCAGATGGTCTGTGCTCCCCACCCTTTCACTGGGGGGGCCCTCACCAACCCCCCACCTGTCGCAGCTCCGAGTGTGAGTCTTCAGGGATGCCTGAAAATGGACTCCTGATGTTTAGTAAGCTGCCCCCTCCCTTCCCACCTGCACCCTAGATTATGTGAGTAATGGAGGAATTCCACGGAGAACGTCTCAACCCGGGGACTCTGTGTGAATACAGTTGACAGAAGGATTTAGTTAGATGTTGAATCCATTATTCATTCAACAAACAAACATTAATTGAGCTCCTGCTGTGTACTGATCATTGCTGTAGATTACATGCTTGTGTGGTGGATGTCACTGGGAGGGAAAAGGCATTTGTATTATGTGCCTACTGGGTGCCAGGAAGCCAGGCACTGTACTAGGGCACTCAAGGTTCATTGTTCCACCTGACTTTTGTCATCAGCCTATGGGGTATGTTTTATGGGGAAATTTAGGCTTTGGGTGTTAGGTTACTATTAAAATGTGGAAGCCCTGGCCTAGGTACCACCTAAATAGCCTCTCATCTGTCAACGAAGCTGTGTACCGCCAACTGTGTTGTGGTACCCTCCATTGATGGTTCCCTTGATTTTTTTCCTCTTCCTCCCTGCTGCTCCCAAAGCAAACCTCAGTCCTCGACTCAAGTGCCCTCAAGACCCGGGTGCAGCTCAGCAAGAGAAGCCGCCGCCGGGCCCCCATCTCCCACTCCCTCCGGCGCAGCCGATTTAGTGAGTCCGAGAGCAGATCACCTTTGGAGGATGAGACTGACAACACGTGGATGTTCAAAGACTCAACGGGTATGCCATGACTTCTCTCCTCCTCAGATAGCACATTGAACAGCAGGAAGGATTTAGACTAAGCCCTATGAAAAAATTCCTGACTTGGAAGGCTGTAGATCATTAGAACACAATTACATAGGAAACTGATTTTTTTTTTCATGTCTTAAACACACAGGTGTTTATTTAATTGTTCATTTAATTTTTAAGTTCACTTTACTACATGGATGAGATGGGTGCATATTACAGTAGGCTTGCACTATGAGAGCTGCCACCATGAGTAATATCCCAGCCCTCGGTTCTGCTTCCCTTTCTGAGTCCCACAAAAGCCACATGTGGGCAGCCTTGGGTTCCCATCCCAGCTGGCTGCTCCTTCTGGGGCTGTCTTGGTGGGGAGAGGGAGATGGGGCAGTGGGTCCGTGCTGACCCCTGAGCCCTGCAGGGGTCAGGATCCTCCCGTGGTCCCTGGTGTGGCTCTGGAAGACGCTGGCAGTGCCCGGCCAAGGCCTCCCGCAGGATGGAAGCTGAGGGCCCTGGCTCTGGGTCCTAAGAGAACTCAGCCACCCCCTTCACATTTTACAGCAAGGGGTCGGGCAGCAGCTTTGGGATGGGGCTTCTGTGGAGAAGTGGGGGATGCTGCAGTGGTACAAAGACAGCCTCCCCCACCGCCGTCCTCCAGCTGACCATCCTCCAAGGCCAGCACTGGGCATTCAAGGGAAAGAAGGAACTCAGCCCAGAGGGTGTGGGCAGGAGAGGCCTAGAGTCAGGCCTCGACCCACAGCCCCCTCTGGGTGCCAAGTGGGAAGGGTGTGGGGGCTGGCTTGGGAACCTTACCCACTGCCCTTCCAACACCTGGATCTGTGGGCAGCGGTCCCACAAAATCCCCCTTGGGGCTCCCTGAGGAGGACTTGTGGCTGCCACTTCCACCAGGGCAGAGGACACAGGAGGGGCCAGCACTCCAAAGGGCTCTAGGGTGGGTCTTTCAAGGACATCTGCAAAGCCCTGGTGGGGAGGGGCGGCGGGGCTGTCCCACGGAGGCGCCTGGGCCAGAGGCTCTTTGGAACTCTTGCACTTCTGAGTGGGGGACTGTCCATGCTGCCCACAACCTCTAGACCATGCAGCCTGCTCATGGGTCCCTGGCAGAGAATGCCCACTCCCCAGCAGACTCAGGGCAGGTCCCCAACTGCAGGCTTCCAGGAAGGCCCAGGGTGTCCACCTCAGGCCGGGTGGTCTCAGAGGACCCCTGTGCAACCACATTAAGGAAAGCTGCAGCCCCCACCCACCCCCTGCCAGTTCAACAAGCTCCGGCTGCACACGCAGGCTCCCAGACACCATCACCCGCCTCCCCCGTTGCCCCTCCCTCATGGGGAGCCCCTTCCTCCTGGAAAGACAGCAGGTACTGTAGCCTCGCCTGCTGGCCAGGGGCGCCGGCTCAGAGGACCTGCCCTGACCTGCACGTGCTGACCAGACAGCCCAGCGTAAGGACCCGCGATCCCACGCCACCGCCCTGGGTTTACCACGGTCACCGCCACCTCTCTCACAGGGCCCCCGGGGGACCCAGCCGCGCCCGGCCTGGTGTCTGCACCGAGGGACCGCGTCTCACGCCCGGCGGCTCCTGCAGGGGAAGCCGTGGTCAGCGACTCACCACGAGGACAGGGCAGGGCGGCTGAGTGCGGAAGAGAAGCATGAAGCTGGGGGCGGGGGTGGGGGAGGAGGAACAAAAGTTGCATCTAGACAGAGGTGAACGAAACAAAACCAAAACCCGAACGTGTTCTCTCGCAGGATGGGCGCCGCCCGTCCCGGGCCCTTAGCCCGACATCTCCTCTCGCTGCTCCTTGTTCCTGCGCACCTCGGCCGCGTGCAGCTCCTCGCGCAGCCGCTCGCGCAGTGCGGCCAGGTGCGCCTCGCGGATCTCCTTGCTGAGCTCCATTTGTAGTTGAGCTTCTCCTCCGCCTGGCGGCTGAAGTTGTTATTCTCCTCCAGCGCCTTGTGCAGCACCTCCCGCTCGTGCTCGCGCGGCTCCACCAGCTGCTTCAGCACCTGCGCCTCCTGCGTTGGGAAGGGAACGGAGCCGCTTCCCCTGCCCAATGCGTTGGCCTCCAGGGTGGCACTCCCAAAAGTGGAAACTGATTTCTTGTTATGCAGAACTTATCAGAAACTAGGTAAAACAGTGTTTTGAAGGTTAGTATATTAATTGAGGCTCTTTGAGTTACAAGAGACAGAGACATAGCTTAATAAGGTTTTACTATTTCTGCTTTTATTTTGATTAAATCCACCCCTGTATTCTCTTTAGGTTTGCTCGCTGGTCTTTTTTCTGTATTCCTGAGTTGAAAGATCAGTCCATATATTATCAATCTTTTCTGTTTTCTAATGCATCATTTAAGGCTATACATTTTCCTCTAAGGACTATTTTGGCTGCTTACCGTATCAAAACCTGAGCTGAATCTTGAAGAATGGATAATAATGAGTTAGGGAAAGTTATTCCAGGCAGAAGTATCAACAAGATCAAAGGGACAGAGATGTGGAAAGAACATTCTGAAAGAGGCAAGACCTGGTGCTCTGGAGCCCTTGGGCTACCCGAGGAACTGTGTGTGTGGCAGGAGCATCCCTAAACAGTTACGTGTTGCTCAAGCTGGGAATAGCAGGATATGCTGGAAAGGTAGGCAGGGGCCAGATCATGGAGATCCCTGATGCTTTGCTAAGGAGTTAGATTTCGTCTGTAGATGGAGAGCCATGAAAGACTTTTAAGAAGAAACAGGCAGGGCGTGGTGGCTCACGCCTGTAATCCCAACACTTTGGGAGGCCGAGGTGGGTGGATCACGAGGTCAGAAGATTGAGACCATTCTGGCCAACATGGTGAAACCCCGTCTCTACTAAAAATACAAAAATAGCTGGGCATGATGGCACGTGCCTGTAATCCCAGCTACTTAGGAGGCTGAGGCAGGAGAATCGATTGAACCCAGGAGGCGGAGGTTGCAGGGAGCCGAGATCGTGCCACTGCACTCCAGCCTAGCAACAAAGCTAGACTCTGTCTCAAAAAAAAAAAAGAAGAAAAAATTTCTTCTTGCAATGGAAACTAGAGCAGCTGACCTGCCCACTCTATGTAGACACAGCCTTTTTAGTCCTCAAAAACATCTTGTAGGTGCCTTTGTTCATTTGGGATTTGCCCATAGCAAACATTAGGATGTCAGACCAGGCTCTGAGCTGAGTGAGGGGCATTGCTTCTGACCAGATACCTTAAAGAAATGCTTGGAGAGTTCTCTCTCCCACTCCTATCCCATTTCTGTTATTAAAGGAAATGTTTAAGTGCCTCAGGTGAGACCTCTCTGCACTTTCTTGGTTTTCTGAGCCAAGTTCTATTAAGCCACCTGGAGCAAATGAAGACCATAATAGGGACAAAAGCACACAAATACCCCCAGCTGGAACGTGGCAGCAGCACCTCTGGCTCCCATCAGCCTGGAGGAGCCGGCCAGGGGCTGGATGGGGAAGGCTGGGTCTGTGTTTTCTTAGCGTACCTCAGTTCCTCGGGTAGCCCAAGGGCTCCAGAGCACCAGGTCTTGCCTCTTTCATCCCCGCCCCCTCCTCCAATCCTCACTGTGCCCATGCCAGCATCCTGGTCTCAGAGAAGTAGAAACTCCTCCCATATCACTCCTGGAAGAGTGGGATAGGCAGCCCATCACCCAAAAGCTTGAGTGATCAGCTCAGCCTCAAGCACGGGTCTGGGGTTAAGTCCTGGATAGGGGAGTTGGGGTCAAGGAAAATGGCTTCCTGGTCCACCTTTGGGCCGCCTTTCCACAAGACACATGAAGCTCTCCACATTCTCCTCTGAGAGCATAACCTCGGTGCATTGTTGGCTGAAAGCATTCCTATCTACTTTCCTGCCTCTGCCAAAGATTTCCTTCTATTCCCTGACTTGGAATGAGCCAAGGGCCCAGGAGATGGGTTTGCCTCTGTCCTCCCGCAAAAGAAAACCTACTCTGCCTGTTGTCAGTATCTTCTGGCAAGAAGCAGAGTTGTGAGAAGAGAGAGCATGAAAGCAGGCACCTTGGTGGTCCTCATCTGTAAAATGGGCCATAGCGTCTTCTGTGCAGGTCTGATGTGAGCATTGCATGAGATACTGTGTGCAAATTATCTGGCATGTAGGACCTCAATACATGGCAGCTGCTGATGAATTCAGTGCCCTTTTCTTTGCAACAGAGGAGAAATCACCCAGGAAGGAGGAGTCGGATGAGGAGGAGACGGCATCCAAAGCTGAGAGGACCCCTGTCAGCCATCCTCAGAGGATGCCTGCGTTTCCAGGCATGGATCCGGCAGTGCTAAAGGTACCAGACCTCTCACCAAGAGTCACCTGGTGGGCATGATCCTCAACCTTAGCAGTGTAAAGAATAGATTCCGGCTGGGTGCAGTGGCTCACGCCTGTAATCCCAGCACTTTGGGAGGCCGAGTTGGGCGGATCACGAGATCAGGAGATCGAGACCATCCTGGATAACATGGTGAAACCCCGTCTCTACTAAAAAATAGAAAAAAATTAGCCGGGCGTGGTGGCGGGCGCCTGTAGTCCCAGCTACCTGGGAGGCTGAGGCAGGAGAATGGCTTGAACCTGGGAGGCGGAGCTTGCAGTAAGCCGAGATTGCGCCACGGCACTCCAGCCTGGGCGACAGAGCGGGACTCCATCTCAAAAAAAAAACAAAAAACAAACATATTCCTTCCTTCCGTCCTTCCTTCCTTTCTTCCTCCCTCCCTGTCTTCCTCCTTCCTTTTGTCCCTTCTTCCTCCCTCCCTTCCTACCTCTTTCTCTTTCCTCCCTCCCTTTCTCCTTCCTTTTCTCTTCTTTCTTTCCTCCCTCCCTTTCTCTTCTTTCTTTCCTCCCTCCCTTTCTCTTTTCTTCCTTCCTTCCTTTTTTGTCCATCCTTTTTTATCCTTCTTTTTTTCCTTCCTTCTCCTTCCTTCATTCCTTCCATTTTTGAAATAGTTTAAGTTTCAAACGGAGTTGCAAAAATAACTCAGGGAGTTTCTCCATACCCTTCACTCAGCTTCACCCACATGATAGTATTTCACATGACCATAGCACATTGGCAAAATTAGGAAATTGGCTTCTACCATTAACAATACTACCAACTTACTTGGCTTTCACCAGTGGCCCTGTGTTGCTTAATCTCCACTTTCTGACTCTCCTCCGCCCCCAAACCTGCTGCTCTGGTGTCATAGCTAAGCCTTGGTTTGCTTATCTGTAAAGTGGGCTGAGAATCCAACTGGTGACGCTCACCAGTGCTGAACATCAGGGAAGCAGGAGTGAACAAACCCAGGCTCCTGAAGCCCTTGAGGAATCCGGTCTGCTGTGGAAGGCAGGCACAGAAAATGATCATTTCAGTACCAGATGACACAGGAAGCCAGTGCTGGAACCAAGTCCCAGTCTCCCAAATTGCACCAGAATGCCAACTGTATTATGCAATGCTGAGGGAAAGGCTGAGCTGCCTCCCTCCTCCCCACGTCCAGCTCTCACAAGTGTCTCTCATAGTCCTGGAACCAAATGGCACTTAATTTGGGTGAGGAAAGAGGCCCTTTTGCCCCCCTGTTTCAGACATCATGTGCTTGCAAACTCACTTTATGCTCCAGCAACCTTGCAAAAGGTAGCTCTTCGTTCCCCTTTTATTGAAGAAGAAATGAAGGCAGACAAGCCTGAATTGTTGGTGGAATTTCTCAACTCTGTGTATGCCATGCAGGCCACACAATCCCCATGTGGGAGCGCCGTGACTCTGTTGCTCCTTTAGTAGACGGAAGTTTTGCTTTTCTGTCATTTCTTCCACGAATAGAAAATCAGTCAGTAGTGGATGCGTGCTTGTGTCTGTAATTGATTTTACAGGCCCTTACAGTGTGAACATCTTTCAGTCACTAGAACTAGGTTAGAGGTTTTCTGACTTTCTTTCCCTCCCTCCCTCCCTCCCTCCCTCCCTCCCTCCCTCTCTTCCTTCCTTCCTTTCTCTTTCTCCTTCCTTCCTTCCTTCCTTGTTCTCTCCTTCCTTCCTTCCTTCTTCTTTTTTTGTTTTTTGAGACAGTCTCTCTGTCACCCAGGCTAGAGTGCAGTGGTGTGATCCACTGCAAGCTCCGCCTCCCGGGTTCAAGCGATTCTCCTGCCTCAGCCTCCCGAGTAGCTGGGACTACAGGCGCCGGCCACCATGCCTGGCTAATTTTTTGTATTTTTAGTAGAAACGGGGTTTCACCATGTTAGTAAGGATGGTCTCAATCTCCTGACCTCCTGATCCGCCTGCCTCGGCCTCCCAAAGTGCTGGGATTACAGGCGTGAGCCACCGCATCTGGCCTTCCTCCCTCCCTCCCTCCCATCCTTCCTTCCTTCCTTCCCTCATTTTCTTTCTTGCCACAAAGCAAATGATCTTATAAGGTAGCCTAACGCAGGAGGCAGACAGCCACAGGCCCTGGGTGTAGGTGAGATGGAGGCCCTGGGGCTCCCATGTGGATGCACCGAGTAACTGCTGAGGCAGATCTTGGGATTCCAGAACACAGCTCCAGTCCACTGTGCTCTGTGAAAACGGGGCTCTGGCCATTCATTCATCAGTGTTAGCTTAAACTTCAATCTCTACCACAGCAGTGCTAGGCGATTATTAACAACCAGGGGAGGTTGCAGGGCTTGTCCTGGAAAGAACCCTGGAGTTGGGCTGCGGGCAGACCCGGTGTGAATCCCAGTTCATAAAAGCTGTGTGACTTCGGGCTAGACCTTTGAGCTTTGGGCTCTCTCGCCCTGTAAAATGGGGAAAGCCAGGATCTGCCCTAAAAGAATCATACACACATGGAACGAACTCACATTTGTCATATTTCTTGAGCCTGGTAGAGCAAAAGTGATGGGTGATCAGTGCACAGAAGCTATCAGTGGACAATGGTAATGACTGCTGTTGCTGGGGGCTGACCCAACACGGCCTGGGAGAGAGAAGCCACTTGCCACCACTCACACCTCAGGTCCCGCAAGGGAACTTTATGCACACCATTGTATTCCATTCCCAACATGCCCTCCAAAAATGGGTGGATATTTGCCCTCCGGTTTTCTTATGGGACTCTAATAGACTGTCGAAAACTTCATTTTATTTACATGGCTCCAGGAGTAAGGAACTGAACGGAGCTAAGCTGCAGCTGTTGGATGGAGGGAGCTGCTCTCTCCATGTAGAGTTCTCAGGGTGGCATGCCGTGTGCTGAGCACACTACAAATGGTGGCTTTTCAGCAAAAGAGAATGTGATTATGTGGGGTTTGGGTGGTGATTCGATCTTGGGGGTCGAGGGTGGCTGCTTGGAATGCCAGACTGACATCTGACTTTTCTCAGCCCCCATGTTTCCTGTCTGGGTTTATTCCGATTCAGGGGGCCCCGAGTGTTTGCAGAAGGCTCATTGTACCTGACATTTGCATGGGAGGGGGCCCTTCCCCAGACAAAGGGCAGCTTATAGACTCAGCTCTCTTTTCTCCCCAGGCTCAGCTGCACAAGAGGCCAGAGGTGGACAGTCCTGGCGAGACCCCCAGCTGGGCACCCCAACCCAAGAGCCCCAAGTCCCCCTTCCAGCCTGGGGTGCTGGGCAGTCGCGTGCTGCCTTCCAGCATGGACAAGGATGAGAGGTGAGGGGTCTTGGGGAATGGGGGTCCCTCTCCTTCCAAACTCAGGCTATACTTCTAGAGAGGTGCTCGCATAGGTTTTAGAGCTGAATAGAAGAGAGTTACAACTTTTTAATTTTCTCTAGCAGCAGAAGCTTTGTTCATGAGAATTCTCAATACTCAGATACCTAAAAAGTACAACAGAGGCCGGGGAAGGAGGCCAGGAATCAGGCCAGCTGGCCTCTCCTCTTCCCCGCCCACTGCCACCTGCTACATGGAACGCCAGGGCACCATTGCTGGAGAACTACTGATCTAGTTTAGCCCTCTCCAGACCGATGGGGAAACTGAGGCATTCTCCCTCCTCTTCCCCTTTGGGGAAGTATCTTTATTATCAGAGATCTGGAGGACCTGGGAAGGTGGATCAAAGGGCACGGCCAGGTTGAATGAGATCGGTTTCACTCCCTTCGTGGAACAGCTATCCCGATCCTGGGCTGTTCTGTGTAGAGACGAGCACAAAGCAGCTTCTGCCCCCCAAGAGGCTCTCAGGCTCTCAGAGGGGTGTTTCAGCAGCTGGAGGTGGAGGTTAAGAACAGGGGATCTAAGGTCACACAGCCAGGGTTTAATTCCACCATTGCTGCTTAAGAGCTGCATGATGTGGGAAAAGGTACTTGACCTCCTGAACCTCAGTTTCCTCAACTGTAAAGTGGGTTTTCTAACCTCCTAACCTTCCGAGGTGGTCATGAGGATGAAACAAGAGTGTGTCTAAAGCCCTGTGCCTGAGCCCTGGGATGTAGAAGTACTCAGTGAAGCAGAGTGGAAATCTTATCATGAGCACTGTTAATCCATGAAAGTTAGGGATTGTTCCTGATGCTAGAGTTGTAATGATAGTAAGTGCTGGTTGGATCAGAGCAAGAGTGGGTAAGCTATGGCCCACAGGCTAAATCCAGCCCACATCAGTTTTTGTAAGTAAGCTTTATTGGAACACAGCCACATGCATTCATTTATGTATTGTCCATAACTGCTTTAGTGCTACCACTGCAGAGTTAAGAAGTAGCACAGATGTCCCACAGCCCACAGAATCAGGAATATTTTACTCTCTGGCCCTTTCTCTGACCCCTGTGATGGAGGGAGGCAGGTGAAGGGCTCATAATGCACACTTGAGGATGGGCGGCAGAAAAGACTTCCAGCTGGGTGCAGTGGCTCACGTCTATAGTCCCAGGACTTTGGAAGGCAGAGGTGAGAGGATCACTTGAGGCCAGGGGTTGGAGTGCAGTGAGCTATGATTGCACCATTGCACTCCAGCCTGGACTAAAGAATGAGACCTTGTCACGAAAAATAAAAAAAGAAATAAAGAAAAAAAATTAGCTGGCTGTGGTGGTACATGCCTGTGGTCCCAGCTACTCCAGAGGTGGAAGTGGGAGGATCCCTTGAGCCCAGGAGATGGAGGCCATGATCGTGCCACCGCACTCCAGTCTGGGCAATGCAGTAAGTCCCTGCCTCTCTAATTAAAAAAAAGAAGCTTCCAAGAGAAGGAGATACTTGAACTGAATCATGGTGGACAATTGGGTCTTAGCTGGACCACGGGCAGTGAGAGGGGATCCCAGGCTAAAGCCACTGCACATGCAAAGGCCTGGAGGCCAGATGTACCTGGGAGCCTCAGGCAGTGTAAAATACATAGCGCAGAGTGGGCTGTGGGAACCAGAAGGTGAGACATTAGAGAAAGACAGGGCCATAGTTGAGACAGTGCCTCCCTGCTCTGGTAATGCCAGAATTCTGGCTCCAGAGTCAGTGGAGGGCTCCAGCATTTCTCTGTGGCTGGAGAAACCCCCAGACTAGGGCCTCAGAGGCACCTCTGGAGGCCTGGGCTTGTGTCACCACTATTAGGCAAAGCTTGGCTGAAGTCTGGAGTACCCTAGACCCCCATCTGCCCAGGGGGCCCTCTTCTTCCTCATTCCTAGGCTGGCAGGCATAGCAGTTGAAGGCCTGCCCCTAGACTCCAGAGTCACCTAATCTCTCACCCCCTCAGGTGCAGACCCCCACTGTACCACCAACAGGCCAGCATCTTTTCCGACCCCTCCAGGGCCACGGGTCTCAGGAGCTTTCTCTGAGAACAGAATCAGTCACGTCCTGTGTGCATGTGTGTTTGATTATAAAAGCAGTGACTGTAGAAAATACAAAAAGAATACAAAGGGGAAAAGAAAATCATCCACGATCCTACTGTGCAAAGACCATGACTGTTGATATCTGGGCATCTCTCCTTCCATTTTCTTTTTCTTTGTAATGTAGCTGAGATCACGACGTTTGCGTAGTTTGATTCCCCTGCTCCATGTTCCATATGAATGTTTTCCCGTGCCCATTTAACAATCTTCATAAACGTGATTTTTTTTTTCTTGAATAAAGTTTTAAACAATGGTGACTTTATTGTTTTTTGTTGTTTTTGAGACAGGGTCTCACTCTGTCACCCAGGCTGGAATGCAATGGCATGATTATAGCCTCGACCTCCCCAGTCTCAGGTGAATCCTCCCACCTCAGCCTCCATGAGTGGCTGGAACCATAGTTGTGTGCCACCATGACTGGCAAATTTTTGTATTTTTTTGTAGAGACAAGATTTCGCCATGTTGCCCAGGCCGGTCTCGAATTCCTGGATGATCCTCTGCCTCCCAAAGTGCTAGGATTACAGGCATGAGCTACCGTGCCTGGCCTGACTTTATTGTTTTTTATTAAAATGTTGTGTTCTCATTATAAGAAATTCTGAGAACACAGAAAACTGCTAAGAAGAAGGTTAAAAAATAAAAGTCAAAAGTAGTACCATGTAGATGGTGGCTACTCAGATGTATTCACTTTGAGAAAATTCATTGAGCTGTGCACATTTTGATTTGAGTACCTTTCTGTATGTGTTCTTCCATTTAAAAACGTTTGAACAGGCTGGGCATGGTGGCTCACACCTGTACTCCCAGCACTTTGGGAGGCTGAGGTGGGCGGATCACAAGATCAGGAGATCAAGACCATCCTGGCTAACGCAGTGAAACCCCATCTCTACTAAAAATACAAAAAAATTAGCCGGATGTGGTGGCGGGCGCCTGTAGTCCCAGCTACTCGGGAGGCTGAGGCAGGAGAATGGCGTGAACCCAGGAGGCAGAGCTTGCAGTAAGCCGAGATGGCGCCACTGCACTGCAGCCTGGGCGACAGAGAGAGACTCCGTCTCAAAACAAACAAACAAACAGTTTAAACAAATCTCACCTCCCCAAAACAATTATTGTTGACCTTTGATAAACAAAAGGCAGCTCTGTATGCTGTATGTCTTATGGGCATTGTATTGTTCAGAGTTCTCCAGAGAAACAGAGCCAATCGGGTGTGTGTGTGTGTGTGTGTGTGTGTGTGTGTGTGTGTGTGTGTGTAAATAATACAGTTGATCCCTGAACAAGGCAGAGATTAGGGGTACTGACTTCCTACTTAGTCAAAAATCTGCATGTAGCTTTTGACTTTCTAAAATTTAACTACTAATAGCCTAGTGTTGACCAGAAGCCTCACTCATAACCACATACGTATATTTTGTATGTTATATTTTATATATTCTTACAATAAAGTAAGCTAGAGGAAAGATGTTATTAAGAAAATCATAAGGAAGAGAAAATATATTTCCTGTTCATTAAGTGGAAGTGGATCATCATAAAGGTCTTCATCCTTCATCCTTATTGTTTTCCCATTGAGTAGGCTGAGGGGGAGGTGGAAGAGGAGGGATTGGTCTTGCTGCCTCAGGGGCGGCAGAGGCAGAAGAAAATCCAAGTGGACCCACACAGTTCAAACTGTGTTGTTCAAGGGTCAGCTGTATATACATGTACGTATATAGATATGTATGCACATGTAGACACACGTATGTATGTATAGAGATTGATTTTAAGGAATTGGCTCATGTGATTGTGGAGGCAGGCAAGTCCCAAATCTGCAGAGTAGACCAGCAGGCTGGGGATGTGAGGAAGTGTCGAAGTCCAAAAGGCTTCCCTCTTCTTCCTGGGAGGCCAGTCTTTTTCTTTTTTTTTTTTTTTTTTTGTTTTGTTTTTTTGTTTTTTTGTTTTGAGACGGATTCTTGCTCTGTCGCCCAGGCTGGAGTGCAGCAGAGCCATCTCCACTCACTGCAACCTCCGCCTCCTGGGTTCACACCATTCTCCTGCCTCCACACCATTCTCCTGCCTCAGCCTCCTGAGTAGCTGGGACTACAGGCACCCACCACCACACCCGGCTAATTTTTTTTTATTTTTAATAGAGACAGGGTTTCACCGTGTTAGCCGGGATGGTCTTGATCTCCTGACCTCGTGATCCGCCCAGCTCGGCCTCCCAAAGTGCAGGGATTACGGGCGTGAGCCACCGTGCCTGGCGAGGCCAGTCTTTTTCTATTCAGGCCTTCAACTGAGTAGATGAGGCCCTTTTATATCACGGAGGGTAGTCTGTGCTACTCAGCGCCTACTGATTTAAATGTTAACCTCATCTAAGAAAAAATATCTTTGCATAAACATCTAGAATAGTGTCTGACCAAATATCTGGGTACACATTAGGTTTAAGTTGATGCATAAAACTAACCATCACAGACACTTACCTGGATAGAGAGATGGAAGGATGAATAGCTATTTGCATGACAAATGGATGGATGGAAATAATTTTATATAGGACGAATTTTTTGTTTGTTTGTTTGCTTTTTGTGGAGAATGGGGTCTCACTGTGTTGCGTAGGCTGGTCTCAAACTCCTGGGCTCAAGCTATCCTCCTGCCTCTGCCTCCCTAAGTGTTGGAGTTACAGGCATGAGCCACTGTGTCCAACCAAGATAAATTTTTATAACTGCAGTTTATCTCATAGAACAGATATATCGTGATTTATTTCAGCGGTCCCCAACCTTTTTGGCACCATGGACCAGTTTTGTGAAAGACAATTTTTCCACAGACCAGGGGTATAGGGGGGTGGTTTTGTGATGATTCAAACACATTACATTCATTGTGTACTTTATTTCTATTATTATTACATTGTAATTAGAATGAAATAATTCTACAACTCACAGTAGACTCAGTGAGAACCCTGAGCTTGTTTTTCTGCAACTAGATGGTTCCATCTGGGGGTGACGGGAGACAGTGACAGATCATCAGGCATTAGATTCTCATGAGAAGCTCGCAACCTAGATCCCTTGCATGCACAGTTCACAATAGGGTTCACACTCCTATGAGAATCTAATGCTGCCGCTGCTCTGACAGGACGCAGAGATCAGGTGGAATGTGAGTGATGGAGCAGCTGTGAATACAGATGAAGCTTCGCTCACTCGCCCACCACTCACCACCTGCTGTGTGGCCTTGTTCCTAACAGGCCATGGACCAGTATCGGTCTGTGGCCCAGGGGGTTGGGGACCCCTGATTTATTTAATATTCCCCATTGTTGGACACTGTGGTTAATTTCTACTTCTTGCTTATCAGTCCCGTTAATATGGGCATCTTTACCACCTCTGAGTGCTTGCCCCAACCCCGCCTGGGCCCAGGGATAGACAGTCGGATACCACTCAGTCCTGCCCGCAAGGAGCCCACAGTCTGGTTTCAACTAGTCTCTTACTGGCTTTGTGGTTTCAGGTCGGATGAACCCTCTCCCCAGTGGCTAAAGGAATTGAAATCCAAGAAGAGGCAAAGTCTTTATGAGAACCAAGTTTGACCAGGTATGAAGGGGCTCTGTTGGGGAACCTGGGAAGAGCCCTGCAGTCACAGGAATGGGGAACTCAGGGGGGCCACGCTTCAGAGACTGGGGCTGTTGTACCCAAGGAAAGAGGCTGTGTAAGGGGAAGAATGAGGGGTGGGGGGTGTTCTGAGTTCCTGTAAAGAGGATGGTTATGTCTGTTTCCATTTAGGGAGAAAACAAAGCTGGGCTGCCTGGAGTGGGTGAAAGGTACCAGGCCAGGAGGCAGGTGACTGGGGCTCTGGTCTCATGCACTTGGCTGACCCTTCTAGCTGCATCACAGTCCCCTCTGATAAAACAAAAGGGCGGGGACATCAGAGGTTAGCTTAATTAGAAATGGTTACTTTTTTTTTTTTTTTTTTTTGAGACAGAGTTTCGCCCTTGTCACCAAGGCTGGAGTGCAATGATGCAATCTCGGATCTTGGCTCATTGCGGCCTCTGCCTCCCGGGTTCAAACGATTCTCCTGCCTCAGCCTCCTAAGTAGCTGGAATTACAGGTGCCTGCCACCATGCCCAGCTGATTTTTATATTTTTTGTAGAGATGGAGTTTCACCATGTTGGACAGGCTGGTCTCGAACTCCTGACCTCAGGTGATCCATTCACCTCTGGCTCCCAAAGTGCTGGGATTATAGGCGTGAGCCACTGTGCCCGGCCAGAAATGGTTACAGTTTTTATAGGGGGAGTGTTTCATATACAACCTATGTAGTTAAAAATGAATTTGAAAAAATATACATTAAAAATTACGATTAGATAGGCCCTGGTGTAAGTTGCAAATGACTGAACATCATGAACTTAAGTTTCCTCATCTGTAAAATGGGTTAGCAGTGTCCACACCACCGAGTTGTCCTCAGGGCTCACTGAGAATGCACCTGTGGTGCTTGACTGAGTGCTGCCTGTTTCTCCTCAGTATAGGAGCTCATGGTACGTGCACCATCAAAGTCAGCGTTGATGTGATGAGCACAAGAGACTCACCATCCCTTATCCACAAAGCCAAATTCCAGAAAGCCCTGCAAAACAAAGCTTTTTCCTAAGTCAGTGGTAAAACCTGACCTGAGTGAATATAATTCTACTTTGACTCTATTTTCCCCACTTTATATGAATGTTCATAATACACTGCAGGAATATTATCTGCTTGATTATGGTGGTGTTACATATGTATATATATACATATGTGTATATATTACATGATTATGTATGATGCATGTGTGTATGTATAATAAATACTAAAAATTATAAATTCCCAAATAAAACTATGCTCAAGGGATTTGGATAAGGGATCGGGACCTGTGTTTATTTTGTGTTTGGTGCAGTACATGTAATATCTCATTTAAGCCTCCAGCAACCCCTTTGAGGAAACTGAGGCTCAGAATTGAGACTGGAACCCTGACCTGACCCTAAATTTCATGTTGGTTTCACTGTATTCCATGCCTGCCACCCTCCTCACCTCCCCTTTCCACCCAACACAAAAAATCTCTTTTGTGACCTTAGGCTTCTAGGGGTGACTTCATTGGAGAATATCAGGTGAGATTTTAAGGACTGAGGGTAGAGAGCAATGGAGCCAAATGTTCCCACTGCTGACACCAGTACTGTCCCTTCCTCTCCAGGCAGGGAACACTGCCACATCTACGTAACAGAAGCCTTAACCATCAGAACCCGCAGACGAGGCCGAGCTGCTGCCGTTTCTTCCTGCACAACGCTTACGTGCCTGGGCCCTTCCCATTGGATTGAGAACGCTATCCAGTGCCCCTGTCCTCGCCAGGCTCTCCCTGGATCCAGACGGGAAGACCCAACCTCCAGGAGCACTCGCTCATCTCCCCAGACAGCACTTCAGGCTGGGAAAGGAGCCAGGCTGCCCAGAAACGTCCATGTGGGTGGTTTTGCTTTTTATGTAAAAATTTGCATTTCTACCTATTTTAGACACCTTCATCAGCTCCAAGAACATCAGTGTGAGGCTGGAATTGTCTCCCCAGGTTCTGAAAAACACCTGCATTTGTGAAAGCACCTCCTCACCCGACCCCGGGGCAGGTCTTTTTTTGGAAGGACATTTCCAAGGAAGATCAAACTGTTCATTTTCTGCTGTAGTCTCGGTGCAGGGTATTACCGCTGGGTTGAGGTTTTCTATTCTTTTTTTTTGGTGAGTTCCTTCTTCCCCTTGAGGAATCAGCAGTTCCAATTTTTAAACATACTCTCCCTGATTATGTGTATTTCTCTTTCTAGTGGGGCTGTGTGCATCGTTGGCCTATGTTATTGTATGTCATTTTTGTTTGCTTTAGAAGGCGATAAAGCAATAATTCAGCTAATTTTCTTTGAAACTTGATAGGTATATATGTGTTTACGTTAAAGGACAGGAGGAAAGATGTGCGAATAATTTGTTCTGAAGTATCCAGTCACCTCAGGTTATCTTATCCCTATCCAAGCTGTTTAGAAGTTATAATTGTCACTCTTGTATTTATTTCCATGGCTTCTTTTCATTTGAGCTCTGGTTTCGGTAGGGTGACCTTTGCCCCTTGGCCTTAAGGGTTCATAAACTGCAGCCCAAGTGGTGGTGCCTTTGCTTATGAATCATCAGACCTGCCCTAGTAATCTTTTTCTCCAGAGTCTTCTTTGAACATGACGTGGGCTGCTGGCATGGAGGAGTTGTTCCAAACTGGCCTCAGAACAGATGCATGAATGAAGGGTACTTTTTGCTTTTGCTCACCTCATTTTCCTTCATCTTTCTTGATGAATCCATTATTTGCAAATGCTGTCAAAACATGCTTTCCTTCTCCCTGGCTACCTCTCAGGAGTTCATTTGTCTCTCTGTCTCAGCTTCCTCCCTCATCTTCCTTTACCCCTCTTCTCTGTCTTAGTGGGTGGATGGGCATGGATAGAAATCCTCTGTTTCTTTAGGTTAGGATAAACACCTGGGCCCTGGTGAGGCAGTTGCTGTTCAGCACCAGGGACAGCAACTGCAGGGCTGTGAGGCCGGAGCCCACCTTGTGTCCTGTTCGATGAGCTTTGGTTACTGATGAGCAATTGCCAGATCATGTCACCCACCCAGCCTTTTACACCTGGGAGCCTCATGCATCTGGGTTTGGGAGTTTGGCCCTGCTGATGATAGTTTGTTTTCTCTTCATTCCCTGAATTAGTCATCAGTTCTCCGTGGCCATTTGGGGATTCATGCCTGCAACTGCTTCAGTCGAATTCTTTTTTAAAGATCCAGTTTATGTTTTATAATAATTTTGATCTTATGGCTTTCAACGTCAATAGGATCCCCTTTAAAAATACCCTGCTAGTGTTTTGTTTTGTTTTGTTTTTCTGAGACAAGGTCTTACTCTGTTGCTCAAGCTGGAGTGGAGTGGCACGATCATAGCTCACTAACACCTGGGCTCAAGTGATTCTCCCACCTCAGCCTCCCAAGTAGCTGGGACTACAGGTGTATGCTACCATGACCAGCTAATTTTTAAATATTTTTGTAGAGACAAGGGTCTTACCATGTTGCCCAGGCTGGTCTCGAACTTCTGGGCTCAAGCAATTGTCCCTCCTCAGCCTCCCAAAGTGCTCGGATTACAGACATGAGCCACTGCACCTGGCCTGAAACACATTCCTAGTCTTTTGATCCTGACTTCTTATCTGGGCTGCTGTCTCTCTTTCCTTCAGGTGGAAAGGACCCCTTGGTACCATCTCAAGCAGTAGGAAAGGACCTGCTCTTACATATATTGATGGTCCTCATGCAAAACTCTCAATTCTTAATTAGTCATGTCTCAGCTCAAGGATATCAGACAGGAATGAAACACACTTGAAAATGAGATTGACCTGGAGATTTTTTTTCCCTAATCTCTCATACCTTAATTGGAAAAATAATCAATTAATTCTATGTTAATTAGGATATACAAAGTTCACCCTCCTTGAAAGTGACTAGGGCAAGCCCTGAAGATCTTCCTCACCTCCTTTTATTTTTCTATAACCTTGTCTCCTCCAGCACCACAGGGAAGACAATCACAGTGGGTCAAGAGCGACCCTCTTTCACGTGGGCTCTGCCATGACCTCTGAGACCTGCTTATGATCAGTGCAATGAAGTTAGAAGTAACTGATGATTGGGAGCCTTTGCAGATAGCTGGGCAAATGGGTGATTTACTTATCCCCATTCTAAATGGAGTGAGCTCTCTTTGAGGCTAAGCAAGGAGGCGTTGTATGCTAGTTTCTAGACTTTGCCTGGAGACCCCTTTGGAAATCTGTCTTCTTTTTAAACTCACTTAATATGCCTTAATCATCTGTGTGTAATGGAGTCATCCGCTCCTCAATCTAACCCTCCTCCCCTGGGGCTTTGGCTGTCCTCAATGAGAGTTTCATGCAGAATGGAAAATCCTCTATATGTACAATCTCTCTCCCCCTCATTTCTCTTCCTCCTCACCTCCACCACCCCTTTGCACATCAGCATTTTAACAGCTGATCTTTTGAGAAGCCTGTATCTTTTTCCTCTTCAGTAGATACCCTTCTTCATGGTCCTTTGCCTAATCAAACAGAGGCTTTTGGCCTTTGAAAATCCATGACAAGGCCTCAGAAATCAGTGTTGTGGAGGATTACTCCATGCCACCGGAGAAACTCTGGTGAAAGAGAAACCTCGTGGTCTTTAGGATGTTGGGATTTTGAGTGAACCTGACCTGATAGCCTCAGGATTCAGGGAAAGGACAATCAGATGGCGGTGTTTTCCAGGGGGACGCGCCAAATCATGTGGTTTCAGACAATTGTGTTTGCCTTTGTGCCTCCCTGGAAGGGAGGCCAACTAAGGGTATCACCAAGAAGCCAAAAGAGAAATAGGCATGAGCCTGTGGTTTTAAACTTTACAGGCTGGGCAAAGGATTTAGAAAGACCCTTAGCATGATTTTCCTAAAAGAGACCTTAGCTGCTCCAACCTGGTGCTGATAGCTGCTTTGTTGATCTATGCTTTAAAATTTTTCTTTATAATGCCCCCAGATGGCTCCTGGAACTAGTCGTAATTGCAAACTGTAAAAATCCCTCCTCCCCAGTGTAGATATTTAAACCAGAGTAAGTGATGGGGAGACATTCTGTGGTCTCTGAATGTGCCTTCCCCCTCACCGTGTGTTAAAACACAAAAGCCGAAGTTCCATGGCATCATGATTCCGAGGGGCTGGAGGGATAGGACCCACTCCACATCTAAAGGGGATCTGCTTTGGGCTCGGTCCCATTAGCGAGTGGGGGACTCTTGCTGTGTGCTAAGAGGCTGCTAGGACTCACCCAGTTGGAATTCTGGGTGGGCTCAGGAAGTTTAGAGCCACGTAAAAAGCTGGTAGGCATGAGTGTGCCAGGTCTTTGCCAGCCTGCGTCTCCTTTTGCACCCCCCAATCCAGAGTTTGCTTTCTTTTGACTAAATTGGCTCCTGCAGGGGGAAGGGCAGAAAGCTAGGCCCTCTGCTCTGGAAAGTCGGCCTGAGGTTTCCGGCAAGTTAACCCTTAAAATGGACACCCCTCAGCCCGCCCTCCCCTTTGGCCTTCCCAGAATCTCCTTCAGTGGTTGCTCTCACACCTGTGCCATAACATCATCTTCCATGACTTGGACGGGCACTTCCTTGACAATTCCTATTGGCATCACACGGGCTACAAATTATGCTGTTTTCTAAAGAATTTGAACTTTTTTTTTTTTCTTTTCTTGAGACACGGTCTTGCTCTGTTGGCCAGGCTGGAATGCAGTGGCACAATCATAGCTCACTCCAGCCTCCAACTCCTGGGCTCAAGCAATCCTCTCATCTCCACCTCCAGAGTAGCCTAGATGACAGGCGCACATCACCACGCCCAGCTGATCTTTTAAATCTGTTTTGTAGAAACAGGATCTCACTATATTGCCCAAGCTGGTCTTAAACTTGGTCTCAAGTGATTCTACTGCCTCAGCCTCCCAAAGTGCTGGGATTACAGGCCTGAGCCACCATGCCCAGCTGAATTTGAGCTTTTTAATAATCTCATTCCACATAGCCTTATAGATCCTGTAAATAGGGGGGGTCACAAAAGTAATATATTGTGTTATGGAAGATAATTTTGTACTGTGCTGTTTCCTAAATCATACCAATATCCTAAAGTCATGCACTTCCCAGATGATCGTGATCCTCCAAATGCTTTGTAAGATGGGGCAGGGCGTGGAAATATATATATATACACACACACACAGAGACACACACACACACAAGTATAGTATATATTTTCCTAACCTTTCTTCTGGGTCCTTCCTCAGATCTTTGAGTCACGATAGAAAAGGAGCTCGAGTTCTTTGTGTAGGAAAGTTAAGCTTCCTGCCTGCGGTGTTCTTGCAATTGCCTTAGGAATTCACAAGCTCTAGGAGTTCTGAACGGAAGGCAGACGAGAGGCACTTTATCCAGTCCCAGAAAGAATCTCTAACCGTGTGACTGAGAAGTCATCTAGAAAAACTTATATTTTTAATGTAAAAACAAATGGGGCTTACCAGACCTCACAGAGTATTGGACGTCTACAAGTGCTTTTATATTTTGTAACTGTAAAGAAGTTTCATATGCACAGAAGAGCAGTTGGAAATCTGGTCGACTGCAATAAAACAAGATGACCTTTGCATGTACAAAGATGTTGCATTCAGACTATGAAAATAGCAAATAAAGCTTTGGTGCAAGTTGCATTGGAGAAGTCGGTGCGTCCATGTGTGAATGAATAGAGTCTCCCATGCATGCAGGCCCTGACTGGGGCTGGCTGAGTCAGTCTGTCCTGTGCTGAGCTGTGGGCCAGCCAGCGAGAGGGCAGAGCTGGGGTCCTGGGAGAGGGTGTCCATGCAGAATGGGAGGCCATGGAAACAAGGCAGGATTTCCATTCAGACTGACAAGGGGTTGAGTCCTCCTCCTGCCACCCTCTGGCTGTGGGATTTCTTTTAAACATTGGTTCTCCTTAGCTATACAATGGGAGTGGTGATCAGGACATTTTTGCAGGTAACAGTTTAAGGTGGTGGTTCTCAGCTGGGTGGATTGTGCCCTCCAGAGCATGTCTGGTAATGAAAGGAGGCATTATTGGTTATCACAAGAAGGAGAGAAGATGCTCCAGGAAGTGAGTAGAGGCCAGGGATGCTGCTCAGCATCCTGCAGTGCACAGGACAGCTCCCACCCCGACCCCACCACAAAGAATGACCCGACCCCAAATGGCAGTAGTGTCAAGGTTGAAAAGTCTAGATTGGGGAGATGTGGTACATCAAAGTGCTGAGCGTGCAGTAGGTCTGCAAGGTCCTCAAAGATGTGATGGGAGGGGGAGCCACGCCATCCCCACCTCTGCCTTCCTCCTTCTGTCCCAGCTGGTGGCAACTACATCCCAACTCAGGGGGTCCAAACCGACTGCTTTCTGTGACCTTCAGCAGGAAGTAGCCCCTTGGCTTGAACTGTCCAGAGTAGGCAGGATGCTGGGAATAAAAGTCAAAAATAACAGATACTGTGCGCAGTGCTTTGCTTGCATGACCTCCCAAAATGGCCCAAGTGGAGAGAAGGTTCTCCATTTATGGTGAGGAGACAGTAGCTCTGAGACCTTCAGGAACTCGTCCAAGGTCACACACATCTGCCTGACTCAGAGTCCAGCTGTCATCCACAGCATCTCACCACCATCTCCCTCTAGGGGGTACAGGGTAACTGTGTTTTTGTTTGTTTGTTTGTTTTTTGAGACGGAGTCTTGCTCTGTTGCCCAGGCTGGAGTGCAGTGGTGCGATCTCAGCTCACTGCAAGCTCTGCCTCCTGGGTTCACACCATTCTCCTGCCTCAGCCTCCCATGTAGCTGGGACTACAGGCACCCGCCACCACACCTGGCTAATTTTTTGTGTTTTTAGTAGAGACAGGGTTTCACCGTGTTAGCCAGGATGGTCTCGAGCTCCTGACTTCGTGATCCGCCTGCCTCGGCCTCCCAGAGTGTTGGGATTACAGGCGTGAGCCACCGCGCCCGGCCTGTAACTGGGTTTTATGCTGACTTGAGGATTTTAGCCAAAAACAAATACCAACAACAACAAAAGAAAACCTTGTTAACTCACTCCTTTGCTCCAATATAATTTTATTCATAAAATAATCACTTATTAGATATTGATTACAGGCAAAATTATACTTTGTTAGACACTTAAAAAATTCCTGGAAGCTGGGTGCAGTGGCACGTGCCTGTAGTTCCGGTTATTCAGGACACTGAGGAGAAAGGATTGCTTGAGCCCAGGAGTTTGAGTCCAGCCTGGGCAATGTAGCAACAACCTATCTCTAAAAAATAAAATAAAAATACCTGGATCTACCTTTTTTCTTTGGTCATAAATAAGTTGACTGTGATGGTCACTTTTATTTCTATTGAGGCTAAGATCCCAGGTCCTGGAGCAGGCCAGCCCCTTCTCTCTGCTGTGTGATTCTGAGTAAATGGGTTCACCTCTCTGAACTCAGTTTCTCCATGTATAAAGTGGAATCAGAATTCCTCCCCTAAGGATGGCTGGATGAGAATTCCATACAATGCTTGTGAAGCTGGCACAATGCCTTGCGTGTAGTAGGTGTTCAAGAAATGGTAGCTATTATTCGTGCGTGTCTTCTACATGAAGAAAGTCAGTCTGTGAGTTCTGTGACGGCATCCTATGGAAACGGTTGGGTGGATTTGCGCCCAAGTTGGAGAGTATGGTTAGCGTGATCTGACTTAAAACTTAGGCCACATGGCACATGGAAACTGGAGAGTGTCTGGGGTCCCTCACTTTAAGAACTAGAATTTTTCCAAAGGTTGCGTGTGACTCAATAGGAAATGGTGACCCCAAGAAACCAAAGAAAGGGAGTTGGTGGTTGTGGGGAGACACGGGAGAGCTGCACACCGTGCCCCTTGCCTGGCGCTGCTGGGCTTCCCACAAAGCCAGTGAGGTTCATCTGTCCCCAGGAAGTCATCAGAGACGGTGGCTGAGGAGACAGGCACTGGGGGCCTCCGTGGACCCGCTATTGGAGTGAAGTGGCCTGGATGGAATTGGGTGGACAGGGTGCTGCCTCAGCAGGCTGGGATGTGCTGGGCTGTCAGAAAGTGCTCATAAATAGCATGCCCCTTGCGAAGACAGGCGAGTCTGCAGACGGCCGTGGCTCCTCTGTTCTTCCCGAGGCTACAGCAACAGGTTCATTCTGGGATGGGTTGGGGGTGGGGAGGCAAAAGCCACCCTGGCAGGCCCGGACCTTTTGTAGTTTCTGTGGGACGCGCATGGCTGACCGCCTGCAAAGAAAAACAGCGCCTCCCTTAAGGGTCAGGTCCCAGTGAGAGGACCCTGACAGCCCAGCTGGGGGTGGAACGAGGGACCCTTGTCTGCAGTGGCCAGGGTCCAAGCCCCTGGACATGTGCTTAGGGCAGGGGACCTTCCAAAACAGCTCCTCTGAGGGAGGGGAGTGGGCACACATGGTACCTGCCAAGTCCCCCGAGAGTCCCCTGTGAGCTGGACCAAGCCCTGTTTCCTGCTGAGGCTAGGAGAGACAGAACCGACAGCCCGCAGGCTGTGCATGGTTAGGCCCACATCCAGAGTATGTGGGCTGTGCAGCTGTGCATGCTGGGGTGGCCGTGCTGGGAGCCGTGGGTGGGTAACAGTTGGATGTGGGGTGTAGATGTAGGTGCCTTGTTTACCACTGTGGATGTCTGAAATGGGCAGGGATGTGTGTGTGTGAGGAGAGAGAGAGAGAGAGAGAAAGAAGCTGTCCTGTGAGCCCATGGGTGAAATATAACTGATAGTGACCATAGAAACTTTTGCGAGTGTGTGCACCTATGTGTGTGTGCTGACAAACAGAACAGTCCTGTGTGTGTCCATGGGTGCAACAATGATGAGAATCCTTCCATGTGACTGCGGCAGGGGCCTGTATTGCGTGTCACTGTCCCTGTAGCAATGAAGAACTGTCGGTGTCTGGGTCTTGAAGTGGCTGGTACACAGTCGTGTTCAATAAATGCTTAAGGAATGAGTAACCGAACGCAGGGAAACTGACCTGGAGCAGGTGTCCAACGACCTGGTCTTACAAGCCTTTTCTCTAGAGGTCTGTCTGTCCACCTCCCGACATATGGGGTCTCCTGTCCCTCCTGGTCACCCAGCCCAGAGCCTGGCACTGTGTAGGTGCTCATGGAATATTTGTTGAATAAAGTAACCAGTGAACAAAAGAGTTCCTGGAGTACGGAGGTGGGAGAGACCCCTGTAGAGGAAACTCCCTGAAGCCCACCCTTTAGCCAGGTTCTGGGGGTGGGACATCTGCAGAGAGCTCTGAGAAACCTGGGTTTCGGGGAGCATCTGGATCAGGGGAAAAGGGCACGGGCTTTGGAGCCAGGCCCGACCCAGGCCACTTCCTCACTGTGTGCTTGAGGAAGTGGCCTCACTTTGCTGAGCCTCAGAGTTCCCCTCTGTACAATGGGGCTCCTGATCCCACTGTCTCAGTCCACGTGGCCCATGGCAGGTGCTCAATGGATGTTTGCTGAATGACTGAATGTCGATCATAAGTTACAGCCACGCCCCATGGGCAGCAAGGCTCTGTAGCTCATCCTGGACTCCAGTCACATCAACACCTGGCTTCTCCCGGGTGGATCCAGTGAACCATTTTCTTTTGGTTTGAAGCCAGAGGTGTTCCTGGGGAGATGGCGGAACAGCACGGAGCACCCGAACAGGCTGCAGCTGGCAAGAGCCATGGAGACCTTGGGGGCAGCTACAAGGTACTGGGCAGGGAGGGGGTCAGAGGGCCCAGGCTACTCCTGGGCCTCAGGGTCATCTTCCCAGCCAAGCAGCACCTCTGCAGGAAGGAAGAGCCATCCTTCCAACCACCCAGGCCAGGACAAAACGCTCCGGGTGGGTCCTCTCACTGCCACCCTCCCGTTAGAAACTTGCTTCATGACTTTGCTGCATCTTCCCTCGTCTGCAAAACAGAAATGGTCACCCACATCCTGCCTGCACCAATGGATCAGAGAGGCCCGGGGGTTTCTGGAAACGGCTCTGAGCTCTGACTCTCCTGTCTGACCTCAGCCTGGTGTCTTGCCCACTCTGGGGAAAAGGGCACAGGGTTTGGAGGCTCTCTGGGCCTCAACAGCCCCATGTTTGAAATGAGGATGGTGCCCAGATATTGTGCCCAGAGTTGGTGTAAAGGCTGAAAGACATGAGTGAAGCCAGCTAGCAGAGGGAGGCACACTAGAAATCTGAGAGAAGGTTTGAATGTGTTGGCTCTGCCCTTTCCAAACCATCTCCGGGGTCTTTTTGGGAAACTATTCCAGACAGAGTCTAAGGATGGGTCGAATCCCAGTGCCTCCTCTTAACTTGCTGTGCAGCCCGAGGCAAGTATCTTACCCTTTCTGAGCTTCTTTGATCCCTTCTGTAAAATGACTAGAACAGATGTTCCCTGGGGATCTTCTACAAAGTCAGTTTGTGTTTCCAGGTGGGTGAGAGAGGCAAAACCTTGGTCTGCCTTTGCAGCCCTTCTCTTCCTAGGCTTGGGGCAGGCAGAGGTCTTCCCCGAGACTGCAAACAGGTGTTTTCATTTTTTTAAGGGGGAAATTTCCTATTAAGGAAAATACAGATTTCTGACCTCTCTTGAAAAAATTGGAACTGGGACCTCATTCCCTCATCGCCAGAAGCAGCTTCATTTCCCCACCGACCTCTCGGGTTATTTCAGTCCGCTGGACTCCCCACCTGGCTCCTGCTGGACATCAGAGTTGCAATCACTAGTTTAATTGGTCTCATTGAAGTTCCTGAAGGCGTTTCCCTCCATGACCATTAGAGGGCAGTGCAGGCCCACCTCAGTGCCAGCTCCAGGCTGGAGAGATGCAGAAAGCAGAGGGTACCTCCCTCTAATGCCCAAAGGAGGGGCAGAGGCTGGAGCTGGGAGCCTAGCAGAGGTGGGATGTTTAGGACTCTGCTCTTCTAGGTGATCTTGTACGAACTAGAGAACTTCCAAGGCAAACGCTGCGAGCTCTCGGCCGAGTGCCCCAGCCTGACCGACAGCCTGCTGGAGAAGGTGGGCTCCATCCAAGTGGAGTCCGGGCCGTGAGTACCTAGACCCCCAGTCCCTCGCCACAGCCCTGAGCCTTCTGGGAGTGTGGAGGCCCCAGTCTGAGCTCTAGATCTGTTGTGGGGCTTTTGACAGCTCCCCTGCCTTCTCTGGCCTCGTTTTCCGCATCTGTAAAATGAGAGTTGAAGAATTCTCTAGAATCCTAGATGTCTGCAGAAAATCCCAGGATACCTGAGGTTGGAAGAACAGCAAGGTCAACCTAGCACCTAACTCAGTGACTGGAACATGGGATTTAATATTTATAATTTTAATAATAATTGTAACACCTAAAATTTAACATGCATTATGTCATTGAATCGTCATGACCCTGTGACAGAGGTATCATTCTTATTCCCACTTTATAGATGGGGAAACTGAGGCCAAAGTTGGTAAGTGTCCCATCCATGTCCACAAGGCAGGCAGGTCTCCCAGCTGGGCCCTGAATTCCCGCCTTTGGATTGCAAGTCCAGGCTCTGGCACTAACCATCTGGGTGATCTTCGGCAAGTTGCTTCACACACCAGGCCTCTGTTTTCTCATCTGTTGAATGGGGATAACAATGGTACGTACTTCAGAGAGAGTTTTTATGAAAATGAATGGAATGATGCAAATAAATACATATTAATAACAATACAATACAAAGAAGAGGAAAAGGAAGAGGAAGAAGTCACTGTCACCTATGGAATACTTACTGTGTACCGGGCATTGTGCTAAAGACTTTTCTGGGTACCTTGCACAGAGGCTAGATTCTCAATAACATACCCTAGGATGGTTTTCTGGCCCAGAGTCTCAGACAGTTCCCGGTATGTCCTAGCAGCTCCTTTAATTACAGGTCCAGGAATTAGCAGTAGGGTTGGAGGGAGGGTACAAGGTTCAAGGTCAGCAGCTCTTGGACACTTCTCTCACTAAACTTGAATCCTTCCTCAGCTGCAGCAAAGGTGACCCAGCCAAGCCTCTTCCTCCCTCAGGTGGCTGGCATTTGAGTCCAGGGCCTTCCGCGGGGAGCAGTTTGTTCTGGAGAAGGGGGATTATCCTCGCTGGGATGCCTGGTCCAACAGCCGTGATAGTGACAGCCTTCTGTCCCTCCGGCCTCTGAATATTGTGAGTGTGGTTCCTGCTCACTTCTGGGTGTTCCTGGAAGCAGGGTGCACTGAGAGCTGGTCAGGCAGCTCATTGCACAAGCTGGGCTGAGGGTTTGGCCCATATGGACCTGGCCTGGGAAGGGCCCTCATGTTTCTGATTTGAACAATTGTGTGGGACAAGAAGTGGGATATTGAAGGGACATTCGGTTGGGGATTGAGACACCAGGACTCACATCTTGAATTAAACCAGCATAGCACTGGGACTTTTCTTTGTAACCGTACTAAAACGATGAGCCACATGGCCCAGTCTCAAATCAGTATTGTTATCAAAGAAATGCAGTCCAGGAAATAACTTCAGAAAGTAGCCAAAATACTTTAAGTTCTCCACTTGTGTTTTTCTAGCACCTGAAAGGGACACAGTCCACAGTGACACTTTTTATTTATTTGTTTATTTATTTATTTTTCGAGACAGACTCCTGCTCTGTCACCCATGCTGGAGTGCAGTCTTTCTCTCTCTCTCTTTTTAAACATTTTTATTTATGTATTTTTATTTCATTTTGAGTTGCAGTCTCGCTCTGTCACCCAGGCTGGAGTGCAGTGGCATGATCTCTGCTCACTGCAACCTCTGCCTCCTGGGTTCAAGTGATTCTCCTGCCTCAGCCTCCTGAGTAGCTGGGACTGAAGGCACATGCCACCACGCTGGGCTAATTTTTGTATTTTTAGTAGAGGTGGCGTTTTGCCATGTTGGCAAAGCTGGTCTTGAACTTCTGGCCTCAAGTGATCTGCCTGCCTCGGCCTCCCAAAGTACTGGGATTACAGGCCTGAGCCACCACGCCCGGCCCACAGTGACACTTTAAACACCACCCTTCTCCCTCCCCTGCTTCACTCACACCCCGCAGCTGCTCCAGCCCTTTCTCTTTGTCACATAACTGAGTCCTCCTTAGAGGGCAGTGGAAGAGGGGAAACTGGGAAGATTAAACCGGCATCTGGTTAGGAAAGAGGGAAAGCTCATATGTTGATACTTTTGATCTCTGTCCACCCTCTCCTGGCCTCAGTTTCTCTATCATTTAAATGATGGGATTGAACAAGATCTGGAAATTCCTTTTCAGTTTTATAATCTACGGCTCTAGGTTCCTAAATCAACCAGCTTTGGAGGAATCTCCCCGTCCCTCCTACAGTGAATTTGGGGGTGGAGGCATCTCCTGAGGCCCTTCCCTCCTGCAGCAGGTTTGGGGGTGGGTGTTATTTTGTGGTGACCTGTTGATTCTTTCCGGCATCTGGAGCCTCCTTGACCTCTGTTCTGGATATGGGAGCAGCCGCTCACCCCACGATATTGCCCTCAGGATAGTCCACATCACAAGCTGCATCTGTTTGAGAACCCAGCTTTCAGTGGCCGCAAGATGGAGATAGTGGATGATGACGTGCCCAGCCTGTGGGCTCATGGCTTCCAGGACCGTGTGGCGAGTGTCCGTGCCATCAACGGGACGTAAGGGACCCAACCCTCACCCTTGCCCCATCTTCTGGTCAGCCATGCCTCTGGCTCCAAACAGAATCAGTGCCCATAGTTTCTTATTATTTTATTTATTTATTTATTTATTTTTGAGACGGAGTCTTGCTCTGTCGCCCAGGCTGGAGTGCAGTGGCGCGATCTCAGCTCACTGCAAGCTCCGCCTCCCGGGTTCATGCCATTCTCCTGCCTCAGCCTCCCGAGTAGCTGGGACTACAGGCGCCCACGACCACGCCCGGCTAAGTTTTTGTATTTTTAGTAGAGACGGGGTTTCACCGTGTTAGCCAGGATGGTCTCAATCTCCTGACCTCATGATCTGCCCGCCTCGGCCTCCCAAAGTGCTGGGATTACAGGTGTGAGCCACGGCGCCCGGCCATCGGTGCCTATAGTTTCTTGCATGATTCATGTTCCCTGCACTCCTGTACTGTTGAGATTTCTAGGCAGCCTTGACTTAAAACAAGTAAAATCTGTTCTCTCCACCTGTTCCCATCTGAGTCCTTCCTGCTTTTTTAAACATCCCCACACCCTTGAACTGATTCTTGAAATGTTCTTCCCCCTCACAACTCTTGTTCTTCTTAACAAGGGGCCCAGGATGTATGCAGTTATTGAGATGTGACACAAGTTGTACAGAGGAGAGCAGGCTTATCACCTCCCTCTTTCTAGGCTTAATATCACCGTTGATGCAGTCTTAGGATCACCTGCTTTTTGTAGGTGGTTACATCTCACTTGTGGGCTTGTAATCTGGGGTTGGGCCTTGAGAGGTGCCACCTATCCCTGATAATAATTTATTCAACAATTTTTTACTGAACATCTACTATATGCTGGTGTGCTGATACAGAGAACAACAAGAATGGCACATCCTCTGGCCCTCAAAAAATTTGCGTAGTCTGGGGCTCACGCCTGTAATCCCAGCACTTTGGGAGGCCGAAGTGGGCGGATCACCTGAGGTCAGGAGTTCATGACCAGCCTGACCACCACGGAGAAACCCCGTCTCTACTAAAAATACAAAATTAGCCGGGCATGGTGGCGCATGCCTGTAATCCCAGCTACTCAAGAGGCTGAGGCAGGAGAATCACTTGAACCTGGGAGGTGGAGGTTGTAGTGAGCCGAGATCACGCCACTGCACTCCAGCCTGAGCAACAAGAGCGAAACTCCATCTAAAAAAAGAAAAATTACATAGTTTGATGGAGAGACAGACAAAGTAACAGGTATTCACAACGTATTGTGATCAGGATTGGGACTGGGATGCACAAGGGGCTCTGGGAGTCCCAGTGAGGTACTCGATTCAGCCTGCAGGAGTCTGGAGACATCTAAATTGAGCTGTAATGGATGCAAGTGGAAAAAAGGGGGAAGGAGAGGGATGAGGTGAGCAAGAGTGTTCCAGGCAGAAGGAATCATGCATACAAAGGCCCCCCAACACAGCAGGTTCCGGGAAAGTAGAATAAGAGAGGCCACGGTGTTGAGTGTGAATGGGATGTTGAGAGATAAGGCTAGAGATGCTTTGTTAAGGGTCCTGTGAGCAGGGTAAAGAGTTTGGATTCATCCCAAGGGCTCTGGGGAGCTAAAGAGGAATGTAGGCAGGCAGAGTGCATGGTCAGATGCTGGCTGGAGGCAGGGTGACTGGAAGCAGACCGTCCACATCTCAACCTTGGTCTCCCGGCAGGTGGGTTGGCTATGAGTTCCCCGGCTACCGTGGGCGCCAGTACGTGTTTGAGCGGGGCGAGTACCGCCACTGGAATGAGTGGGACGCCAGCCAGCCGCAGCTGCAGTCTGTGCGCCGCATCCGTGACCAGAAGTGGCACAAGCGGGGCCGCTTCCCCAGCAGCTGAAAGGCACCCAGACTTCAAGGACCCAGACCCACCCTGGGGGGCTGCAAGGGCAAGAAGAGGAGGCTCCAGGGTTGGGGCGAGGGCCGACCTGTCCACCCTTCCCTGGAATCTGCTCAATAAAGCCTGGGGTTGGTCCCCCACCCGCCACGTTCCTCGGCATCACTTCCTGAGGGAGCCAGGCCTGGGGCGGGACCTGTGGGAGAGGCGTGCTGAAGGAGGCTGGGGCTTGAGTGTTCTGAGACTCCCAGGAAGGGGCTGGGAAATTTGCCCATATCCTAGGCTCTAATCCTTTCAGGCAGAGCCATGTGCCCCTACTGCCCTGATCTTGTGTTTGTCTGCTGCTGCATGTTTCCATCTGAATGTCTGTCAGTCTGCCCATCCACTCACCCATCCATCCATCATCCTTCCACCCACCCACCCACCCATTCATCCACCCATTCACCCACTCATGTGCCCATCCATTCGTCTACTCACCCATCCATCCATCCATCCACCCACCCATTCATCCACCCATTCACCCACCCATGTGCCCATCCATTCATCTACTCACCCATCCATCCATCCACCCACCCACCCATCTACCCATTCATTCATCCATCCAACTACCTACCACCCATTCATCCATCCATGCATCCATCCATCCATCCATTCATCCACCCACTTACCCATCCATCCATTCATTCTTCCTTCCATCTTCCTATATTTGTTCTTTCCATTAATTCATCCATTTTTCCTTCCACTCACGCATCTTTCTATCTATCCTTTTATCCACTTATCCATCAATTTTTCTTTCAATCTACTTGTCCATCAATGTGTCCATCTGATCTTCCTTCCTTCCTTCCTTTCTTCCCTCCTTCCTTCCATTCATCTATCCATTATTTCCCCTTCCACCTCTCTGTGGGTCAGTCTCTGTTGTCATTAATGTATTCAGCAAATGCCATGCCCTGTTCAGTGTATTCAGCAAATGCCATGCCCTGTTCAAGGCCTAAGGACAGGGCACAATGTCCTGCCCTCCAGGTTCTCACCTTCTGTGGGAGAGACAGAAAGTAAATAAACAGGTCGATGAGGGCTATAATGTTGGGAGGCGGTAAATACCAAGAACAATAAAGCTGGATAAAAATATGGAAGTGATGGGGGTGGTGGCCAGGAAACTCTGTGCAAAGGAGCCGAGTCCTCAGTGAACCACCAGAACATTCCAGGCAGAGAAATAACAGGTGCAAAGGCCCTAGGCAGGAGTATGCTGGCCTAATGGGAAACAGCCAGGGGCCCAGCAGGTCTGGAATGGAGTAAAAGACTGGGGATAGGGTTCAGAGGGAACAGGGTCAGGTCATTTAGGGCTTTGCAGAACCTAGTGGACTTTGCTTGTTCTCTGAGGGAGGTGGGAGCCATGGAGCATTTGAGCAAAGTGAGCCGTGGTCTGCAGTGGGGTTTAATAGGATCACTCTGGCTAGGGTGCAAATCATACACTTAGTGGCCAAGGAGGGATGCAGAGAGACCAGTTGGGAGGCTACTGCAGAGAGTCTCGTGAGCTGTGTTTGTGCGGTCCACCTGAGCCTCTCTCTCTCATGCCTCAGTATCTCTGTCCCCTTGCCCAGAGGCCTTCTGCAGCCTCGCCTGGGGTACTGAGTGCCCATCCCACCTCCCCCCACTGACCACTGCTCTGGGCCCCCGTGGCTTCATCTGGGCAGTGGGAGTTGCTGAAGAGCTGAACAGAGACACTGGGGCAGTGCCAGGCATAAATGAGGCCTTTGTTTGTTTGTTTATTTAGAGACAGAGTCTCGCTCTGTTGCCCAGGCAGTGGCGCAATCTCGGCTCACTGCAACCTCCACCTCCTGGGCTCAAGCAATTCTCCTGCTTCGGCGTCCCAAGTAGCTAGGACTACAGGTGCGCAGCACCACGCCCGGCTAATTTTTGTGTTTTTAGAAGAGATGGGGTTTCACCATATTGGTCAGGCTGGTCTCGAACTCCTGACCTCAGGTGGCCCACCCACTTCGGCCCCACAAAGTTGCTGGGATTACAGGCATGAGCCACCATGCTCGGCCATAATTGAGTCTCTTCTGCCCCCAGGTGGGAAGAGGAGGGGCCTCCTCTCTGATAGCCAGCTGACAACGGACTTCCTGCAGGCAGGCCCCGGCACCACCCCTCACCCGTCCCACCTCCATGAGCCAACTCTGCATCATTTCCCTGACTTTGTTCCCCTTTTGTGCCCAGAGCCTGTCTCAGCCACCTGCAGCCTCCCATTGGGTGATGTAGCTGGTGTGTGGGAGGCCTATGGGGGCCTCAGGAAGGGGTTGAAAAGGATACAGTAATTTTCAATTAATTTAACCTGCATATTTTACAAATGAGGTGAGAAATCACCTTGACTTTTCCGAGTGTATGGGAGACCTGGGCTGGGCATCAGGATCAGAGGGGGCAGGGGTGGCCCAGCCATGAGACAGATGGAAGGCAGGGGCTTGACATCCCCAGTGCGGAGATACAGCACCCCTATTGCTCACCCCTTTCTCCCCGCTGGACCCACCCCTTCCTCCCTTTCACAAGGAGAGGCCTTGTCATGCTTTATTCTTTTTATCTTTTGAGATGGGGTCTTGCTTTGTCGTCCAGGCTGGAGTGCAGTGGCGTGATCATAGCTCACTGCAGCCTCGAACTCCTGGTCTCAAGCAATCCTCTTGCCTCAGCCTCCCAAAGCACTGGGATTGCAGGCGCACACCACCATGCCCAGCTAATTTTTAAAATGTACTTTTTGTAGAGATGAGGGTCTTGCTGTATTGCCCAGGCTTGTCTCAAACTCCTGGCCTCAAGTGATCTTCCCGCCTCAGTCTCCCAAAGTGTTGGGATTATAGGCATGAACGAGATGCCATCCAGTCTGTTGTGCTTTTTTTTTTTTTGAAGCAGAGTCTCACTCTGTCACCCAGGCTGGAGTGCAATGGCTCGATCTCGGCTCATGGCAACCTCCGCCTCCCAGGTTAAAGCAATTCTCCTGCCTCAGTCTCCTGAGTAGCTGGAATTACAGGCATGTGCCACCACACCAGGATAATCTTTGTATTTTTAGTAGAGACAGGGTTTTACCATGTTGGCCAGGCTGGTCTCAACTGCTGACCTCGTGATCCACCCATCTCAGCCTCCCAAAGTGCTGGGATTACAGGCGTGAGCCACCGCGCCCGGCCTGTCATGCTTTATAAATCAGTGCTTACATCATCTCACTGAACCCTAAGAATGTCATTGGGAGGTAGGTGTGGTTATTAATTCTATTTAACAGATGAAGAAACAGGCTCAGGGAGGCAACATCACCTTCCTAGAGCCACACAGATAAGAAGTGGTAGAACTGAGACCTGAATCCATTCCTGAGTGCCATACACTCTGATGTATCCATCAAGGACCGTAAGTCACCAGGGAGATATAGATGAAAATAACATAAGCAGTTGCAGCAGAAACAACGGTAATAATAGCTGCCACTGTAGAGCTGCGGCTAAACCCCAAGCACATTATTGAGTGCTCTAGAGTTTCATCTCGACTCTACAGACAGGCAATAGTGATCCTCATATGCAGGGAGAGAAACTGAGGCCCAGAGAGCTGAAGCAAATTGCCCCAAGTGCCACAGCTCTTAAGTGATGGGACCAGGACTCATATTCAGGTCTGTCTCCAAAGCCCGTTTCTCTATATTCATCAGCTGTTGATGCTGTGCTCGGCCAACCTAATGCCACTGCTGGTGTGGGCAGTGACTTCATTTATTGAGCATGTACTATAGTCTAGGCACCAGGCCACAAGCTGTCCATGCCTGATCTCAGTTAACACCAACAGGCCCCTTGACTGGCTCCTGGGTAACAGGAAGGATTACAGGGAGGCTGGCTCAAGTGTGAGTCAGTGTGCCCACTCACCATGCCCACTCCCAGGCCAAACGCAGCCCCAGGATCTGGAGTTGGGTTGATTCCAGAGGTGGGGTTCAGCTGCACTGCCAGATTCATGGCAGCCCCAGGCAGTCACTGATGTCCAAGTGACTCTTTCTGAAGCCTCACACCCATAATAACCATTTGTGCCAGGAAGCTCTTGTTATTTGCAAGTACTCCCATACATTGTCTTGTTCAGTCCTCAGCTCCAAGAGGCTCAGAGCGGGGAAGCCAACTGCTGAGGTCACACAGCCAGCGAGGGGCAGAACTGGGATTTGACCGCAGGCCTAACTCCAAAAGGCTGCTCTTAGCCCCAACCTAGACTCAAATATTTTTTTTTTTTTGAGATGGAGTCTTGCTCTGTCACCCAGGCTGGAGCACAGTGGTGCAATCTCGGCTCACTGCAACCTCTGCCTCCATGGTTCAAGCGATTCTCCTGCCTCAGCCTCCTGAGTAGATGGGACTACAGGTGTGCTCCACCACACCCTGCTAATTTTTTAGTAGAGATGGGGTTTCACTATGTTGGCCAAGTTGGTCTGGAACTCCTGATCTCATGATCCACCCACCTCAGCCTCCCAAATTGCTAGGATTACAGGCATGAGCCACTGCGCCCAGCCCTCAAATTTTGTCTTCTATGGGGCAGAACCTGAGAGTGACAGTGAAGCAAGAATATCCCTCAGTTATAAGCGAATGAGGTTTAGCGCCAAGAGATCATTTTACCAGCTTAATTGAGAGGCAGTATTGCTCAGTGATTGCAGGCAGTAGAGTCAAGTGATAGGAGGCAGAGTGGCTGAGTTAGGCTCTTGATTTACACCACCTGGTTTCCTCTCCTAGCTCTACCACTCACTGTTTGCCTTTGGGCAAGTCACTTAACCTCTCTGTGCTTCTGTTGCCTCATCTGTAACATGGAGATAATAATGCTACCTATCTCATAAGGTTGTTGCCGGTAGTAACCGGAGTTTACTTTGCAGAAAGGGCTTAGAACAATGAGTAAAACCAAGGACGTGCAATATGAGTGTTCATCATCCTCTTCTCTTGATCATTTTTTGACAAGAAGGAGGGCAACAGACAGGCTTCCAGAGCTCCGTTCCAGACACAGGATGCTGAAGACATGCTCCGTAGTTGTATGGAGCAGAGAGACTTTGCAGTTCCTCAATAATGGGGGTTTATTCTAAAGACATCTGTAGAAACAGGGAAATTAGAAAACTAGGCTACATGGCCACACTCAGAGAGTCCAAGTGAAAGCCCTACAAAGAGGTTCATGGCAGGGGCAGGGGGCCAGGACCCAGACAGTGAACAGGCATCATGGAGAGAGAAACTGGAGCCTGAGAGCTCCTGGGAGCTGGAGAGCTGGCTCTGTGGTCACTGCCCCCAGGAATCCACCATTAGGGGGCCTCAGCAAATGCATCCCCAAGTCTTGGCTCTCTTGGGAGGACCTTCTGGCCATTTCCTGTTGCTAGCTTCCTCTTTCCCTTGCCTTTCCGTCGGACATCTTTGATCTGCTGTCTGGATTGTAAAAGATGCTGGCTGTGCTTTTCCTACTCTGTAGACGTTACAATGTTGCTGTGTGAGGGCCACTTCCACCAGCCAGCATCCACATGCCTATGTGCCTGGAAACTCTCTCCTGTGCCTGGAGAGGTGGGAGGCAGCTATAATCTTGGCGGAATGAATACCTACTAGGAGCAACCTTCATCCAATGACTAACAGGAGCTGGGGTATCAATTCCCCAGCTCCCAGTGCTCAGGTGAGAACTTTACCAAGCATTCTTTACCATTTTGGAAGTTAATGTCACCCATGGCAATGCTACATGAGTGAATGAAAATGTCTAACGCATATTAAGTTTAATATTAGCTTCCTGTCTAAGTGTATGCATTGTAAATAGGAATAATTGCCTAACTGCTTTCTTACATCATCTGTTTGAAGCTTTTACATACCAAAATACATATTTTTATACATTCTATCCTTATTATCCTTTTATAATACAGTTAGAGTTAGGACATTTTATTATTAATTTATTTTGAAAGCATGCACGTAGATGGGTTACATTATCAATTTTATTTCAAGAGAGTAAAAGGGCTGTTACAAAAAATTGTCGTAAGAAGGGAGTGTTGTTTCTGATAGCTATGAGAACACCTTTTGATGATCTCAGAGCCTCCTTCCAGCTCTGACTCTTTTGTATCTAAAAGTTAAATATTGTTTGTCCAAGGGGAACACCAAGACCTATTCTCCTCGTGGGAGCAAGAAGATGAAGTGGAGAGGAAGGTTTGAGTCCTTTCTCTCTATGTATCTGTCAGGCTATGCTGCAGTAACAAACAGCCCCCAATTCTTGGTGGTTGAAAACAACGAAACTTATTTCTCACTCATGAAAGATGTCTAGTGCTGGTCAGCGGGGGGCTTTTCTCTACAGAGTCACTCAGGGACCCAGGCTGGTGTGGGCTCTGCCATTTTGCAATGTTGCCATCTCAGGACAGCAGAAGAGAAGAGAGCACTAGAAAGTGTGGCTCCTGTAATAAGATGATTTCACCTGGAAATTACACCAGTCATGTTTGTTCAGAATCCACTGACCAGAATGAGTCACATGACACCCCCTAATTTTAAGAAGACCCAGTGATAACCCGCTCACTAATATACCCTGAATTGCCTGCCTTCCTTTCTCTGGCTCGCTTCCCCACTCCCTACTTCCTGATGCCCTCTGGGATCACTTTCCAAATAAATTATATGCACCTGAACTTGTTGTCTTAGCGTCTGCTTCTGGTAGAGCCCAAATGAAGACACCCCTGCTCTTTATCATTAATTAATTCAGTCTGTCAATACGTATTTTCTGAGCACCTACTATGTGCTAGATCCTATGTAGGCACTGGGGGCACGAAGATGACTGAGCCATGGCTCAGCTCTCCACGACCTAGCTCATTGGCTAGATGAGCAAACTACCCAGGTCACATCAAAAGCCTTTGCTTTTGGGCCAGGTGCAGTGGCCCATGACTGAAACTCAAGTACTTTGGAAGGCCAAGGCAGAAAAATTGCTTGAGGCTTGGAGTTCGCGACCTACCTGGACAACACAGTAAGACCCTATCCCTAAAAAATTTTTTTAATTAGCTGTGCACAGATGTGAAAACCTGTAGTCTGAGCTACTCAGGAGGCTGAGACAGGAGGATCACTTGAGCCCAGCAGTTGGAGCCTGCATTGAGCTGTGATAGCACCACCATGCTCCAGCCTGGGCAGCAGAGCAAGACCCTATCTCAAATTTTTAAAAAGGCAAAACATTTTGAGATCATAGGAACCTATGGGCTGTAAGTTGCACCAAGGTGGGGACCCTATCTGTATTGCTCCCCACTGAGTTCATAGTTGACACATTTGCTTGAAGTAGAAATGAATAATGAATTAGTAGAAAGAAACAGGCAGGTTGCTGACGGTCTCTGTCTTGGCACCTACTTTGAGTGTGGGAGTGAAAAGAAATAAAAAGTCTTTTAAAACATTGCCATCCACACAGATGTAATAATAATGAATAGCATAAAAGCTATAGTTACTGAGCGCTTTCTATAATATTTGTAAGAGCCGCTACTGAGGGCTTCACATGATTGGCTCATTTACAAAGGGTATAATTACAAATACTATAATGTCCATGGGCCAAAATATTTAATTCTTCGCAAGTGTGGGAAACTGAGGTAAGAGAAGAGAAGTAGGCTAGGCTGAAGGTTTTGGAGTCTACAAATCCTGATCTCTGAGTTCAAATCCCAGCTCTACCACTTCGTGGCTGTGAGCCTTTGGGCAAGAAAGTCTCCTCTCTGAGCCTCACTTTGCTTATCTGTAAAAATAGGAATAATAAACATCTCCCTAGCATGTTTTACCACTCCTATCAGCCAGTGAAAACCCTGACTGCTTCCTCAATGAGAATAATAGGTTGGTGCAAAAGTAAATGTGGTTTTTCCCATCAAAAGTAACGCCAAAACCCATGATTACTTTTGCACCAACCTAATACATGGTGCAGGGACCAAGTGTTGGGAACAGGCCCCCAAAATCTGGCCATAAACTGGCCCCAAAACTGGCCATAAGCAAAATCTCTGCAGCACTGTGACATGTTTGTGATGGCCATGATACCCACGCTGGAAGTTTGTGGGTTTACCAGAATGAGGGCAAGGAACACCTGGCCCGCCCATGGTGGAAAATCACTTAAAGGCGTTCTTAAACCACAAACAATAACATGAGCAATCTGTGCCTTAAGGATATGCTCCTGCTGCAGATAACTAGCCAGACCCATCCCTTTATTTCAGCCCATCCCTTTGTTTCCCATAAGGAATACTTTTAGTTAATCTATAATCTATAGAAACAATGCTTATCACTGGCTTGCTGTTAATAAATACATGGGTAAATCTCTGTTCGAGGCTCTCAGCTCTGAAGGCTATGAGACCCCTGATTTCCCATTCCACATCTCCATATTTCTGTGTGTGTGTCTTTAATTCCTCTAGCGCCACTGGTTAGGGTCTCCCTGACCGAGCTGGTCTTGGCACCAAGGACCTCATTTCTTATGGGGAAATTGAGGCCTGGAGAAGAAAAACTTCACTAAATTCCCAGAGCTCAGTAGGAAGCTTTATAGTTTAAAAGTTAAGAACGTTTATCTTGAAGTCAGACTGATGTAAGTTCAAGCACTGGTCCTACCACTTCCTGGCTGTGTGACCTCGAACAAGTTACTTAAGCTCTATGAGCCTTAGCTTCCTTATCTGTATTAGGGGACATTAATAATACCTACTTCAAAGATAGTTGTGAGGATTGAATTAATGGAACCAGACAGTTTCAGGGCTTAATCCATAAAGCCTAGTCCTACTACTCACTAGCTGTGCAAATTTGGGCAAGTGGCTTAGTCTCTCTGAGCCTCAATTTTCTCTTTTATAAAATGGAATGATCAATAAATACAATACTTACATCTTGAGTTTGTTGGGAGGATTAAAAAAAGATGAGTATGGACAGTGCCTGACTCATGTCAAGCTCTGATACAATCGAAATGTTAGGAATTCTTTCTTATTTATAAGGACACAGCCAGGTCTTGAATCCATTCATTTACTCAACAAATATTAACTGAGGTCTATTATGGGCTGACCTGTGTCCATAAAAGATATTCCAAAGTCCTAACCCCCAGTACCTCAGAATGTGACCTTCTATTTGGAAATAGGGTCTTTACAGAAGGAACCAATTTGAAACAAAGTCATCAGGGTGAAGTTGCCTAGTGAAGTCACCTAAGCCAACATGACTGGTATCCTTATAGGCACAGAAATTTAGACATAGAATCAGCCATGCACTAAGGGAAGATGATGTGAAGATACAGGGAGAAGACAGTCACGTGATTAAAGTGATGCACCTCCCATCCAAGGAACATGAACAATTACCGGCAAACACAAAGGGCTGGGAGAGACAAGGAAGGACCCTCACCTAGAACCCCTGGAGCAGGCATGGCCCTGCTGACAGCTTGATGTCAGGCTTCCAGCCTCCAGAATTACACAACAATAAACTTCTGGGGTTTTTTGGGGGACATTTTTGTGGTAAAATACTGCATAGCATAAAATTAACCATTTTAACCATTTTTAAGAGTACAGTTCAGTGGCATTGTTATGGGACCATCACCACTATCCATCCCCAGCTTTTCCATCATCCCAAACAGAAACTCTGTACCCATTAAACAATAACTCCCCATTCCCCGCTCCTCCCAGCCCCCAGTAACCTCTATTCTACTTCCAGTCTCCATGAATTTGCCTACCCTAGGTAACTTATGTAAGTGGAATCATACAATATTTGTCCTTTTGTGTCTGGTTTATTTCACTTTGCATAACATTTTCAAACCTCATCATGTTGGAGTCAGAATTTCCTTTCTTTTTAAGGCTGAATAATATTCCATTGTATGGATAGACCACATAGTGTTTATCCATTCATCCGTTGATGGACATTTGGGTGGTTTCCATCTTTCGGCTATTGTGAATAATGCTGCTATGAACATGGGTGTGTAAATATCTCTTCAATTCCCTGCTTTCAATTCTTTGGGGCACGTGCACAGAAGTGGAATGGCTGGCTCATATGGTAATTCTATGTTGGATTTTTTTTTTTTTTTTGAGACAGCCACACTGTTTTCCGTAGTGGCAACACCATTTTACATTCCCAATTTCTGTTGTTTTTAAGCCACTTAGTTTGTGACACTTTATTACAGCAGCCCTGGGATTTATTTTATGTTATTTATTTATTTATTTTCTTTGAGACAGAGTTTTGCTCTTGTTGCCTAGGTTGGAGTGCAATGCCATGATCTTGGCTCACTGCATCCTCTGCCTCGTGGGTTCAAGTGATTCTCCTGCCTCAGCCTCCCGAGTAGCTGGGATTACAGGCATGTGCCACCATGCCCGGCTAATTTTGTATTTTTAGTAGAGACGGGGTTTCTCCATGTTGCTCAGGCAGGTCTCGAGCTCCCAACCTCAGGTGATCCGCCTGGCTTGGCTTCCCAAAGTGCTGGGATTACAGGCGTGAGCCGCTGTGCCCGGCCAGCCCTGGGATTTTAAAACAAGTACCTACTATGCGTCAGGCACTGGGCTCTGGAGATACCATGGTAAACCAGGGGGACAACTTCTTTGCTTTTGTGGTGCTTATCTTCTCATTGGAAAGACAGAAAATAAATGAGTAACAGAATGTTGGGTAGTGATGAGTGCTGCAAAAGGAAAAGCCCAGCTAGGGGGCTGGGGCATGTGTGTGTAGTGTGTGTGCATGCGTGTGCATGCATATGTGCATTAAGAAAATGAGAGACAGGGGAAAGCAGGTATACTTGACCCAGTCTCCAAGCCTCAGATTGGATCAAGACACAGCCTGGGCTGCAAGGAAGGTGTGTGCACTAAAGAAACATGAGTAAAGGCCGGGCGCGGTGGCTCACGCCTGTAATCCCAGCACTTTGGGAGGCCGAGACGGGCGGATAATGAGGTCAGGAGATCGAGACCATCCTGGCTAACACAGTGAAACACCGTCTCTACTAAAAATACAAAAAATTAGCCGGGCGTGTTGGCGGGCGCCTGTAGTCCCAGCTACTAGGGAGGCTGAAGGAGGAGAATGGTGTGAACACGGGAGGCAGAGCTTGCAGTGAGCTGAGATCGTGCCACTGCACTCCAGCCTGGGCGACAGAGCGAGACTCCATCTCAAAAAAAAAAAAAATAGAAAAGAAATGTGAGTAAAGGCTGGGCACCCATGTGGCAGCGATGGGGCCAGTGGTAGGGATCTAAGAGCAACTCACTCTAGGACAGTGGTTAAGAAACAGGCCGGGTGCAGTGGCTCATGCCTGGAATCCCAGCACTTTAGGAGGCCAAGGTGGATGGATTGCCTGAGCTCAGGAGTTTGAGACCACCCTGGGCAACATGTCAAAACCCTGTCTCTAACAAGATACAGCAAAAAAAAGAATTTAGCTGGACCTGGTGGCGCACACCTGTAGTCCCAGCTACTGGTGAGGCTGAGGCAGGAGAATCGCTTGAACCTGGGAGGCAGAGGTTGCAGTGAGCCGAGATCACACCACTGCACTCCAGCCTGGGTGACAGAGTGAGATTCCATCTCAAAAGAAAGAAAGAGAAAGAAAGAAAGAGAGAGAGAGAGGGGGAGAGAGAGAGAGAGAGAGAGAGAGAGGGGAGAGAGAGAGAGAGAGAGAGAGAGAGAGAGAGAGAGAGAGAGAAGAAAGAAAGAAAGAAAGAAAGAAAGAAAGAAAGAAAGAAAGAAAGAAAGAAAGAAAGAGAAAGAAAGAAAGAAAGAAAAGAAAGAGAAACAGCCAGGGGCCTTGAGAATAAAATGCACTCTCCATAATTGGCCTCCCTGGCCCTGCAACATCAGGCCCTGCCCACCTTGGCCACCTGGCACAGGCCCTATTTGTCACATGTCATGCTTTAGCTTTGTTAACCTGTTTTCAGGTCTTCTTGAAATACACCATGCTGGTTCCTTGTATATGGACCCTTTCTGCTTGGAACTGTCCCCCCACCCTGTTCCCAGGCTTCCTCTTCTCCATCCCTGAGGGATGCGCTACCTCCCAGGAGCTTTTCTGAATGGCCTGGGCTGGCGTAGGTCCTCTTCCTGACACTCCCCTGGAACAGAGATTGTCACCAAGTGGATGCCCAACAAATATTTGTTGAATGAATAAATGGGTAGATGAATGAAGCCCAGACTCTGCCAAACCACCCTTCTTTACTTGTTCTTCCCCAGGCCCACTGAGATGTTCCTCTGTCTGCCATGCCTCACGGCCTGACTGACCGTACCAGTGAACCCAGCGTACCCCTGGCCCTGGCAGCCGGACGGCTGATGCATGCAAAGCGGGCATCTCCTTGCCCAGCCGCCTGACCGCCCTGGCGCGGCCGAATCTGAAAGCTAATGACATTATTGTGCAGAGACACAATGTCTGTGGGCATTTGCTGACCCGAGCTTTGGTGAGAGCTTAATCCAGCATTCTCACCCTGCTTTTCGCAGGAGCACAGCGGTCACTCATCTTGGCACCGGCACTTCTGGGGAAGGTATAAATGCCACCTCCCGCTGGCCGAGCTTCACGGCACTCGCAGGGGCTGGTGTCACTGGTAAGATTGCCTCTCTTGCTTGTCTTCCCTTCTTTCTCTCATCCTCACCCCTGTCCGCAAGCATGGGAGCACCCAGATTCTGACAAGTGACTTTGGGCAGAGACTTCAATGCTGTTAGCCTCAGTTTTCTTTTCTGGTAACTGGGAAGGGGGTTAAAAAGCCTTCTTTATTGTAAGGATTCAAGAGAAGTTAGGGGATCATCCAGCACAGTGCCTGGCACACAGTGGGCATTGGGGCAATGTTCTTTATTATTAATATTAAACAGACTATCAGCATCCTTGTTTCGCCAGTCGCTGAGGAGGAGAATGTAACTGAGGGTTTTGCAAGAATCAAACCAGTGACAGTTCAGCATTGTTTCTAGGTGGGTGAGTCAGTTTTCCTCCACATCTGCAATTAGGGGGCACCCACTCTGTGCCTAGCCTCTGGGAGTGCTAGGGGATAGGATGCAGCCACAGGTATGTGACAGGTCCCAGCAACAGGTGATTTCAATGCCACTAAAGCATGGTAGAAATGACTCTAATAATGCCACAATTGCTGCCATTTGCTGCATGCTGAGTGTGTTCTGGGACCACGGCCAAGTGCTTCCGGTTTTATACATTACATAATTGAATCCTCACAACCTGTTCACAGGTATTATTAGACATCATTACTGTCCCCATTTTATAGAACAGGAAGTTGAGGCATAGGGAGAGGATGAGACCTGCCCAGAGTCTCAATTCTGGCAGGCAGCAGAGACTGCTCCTGAACTGGACCAACTGAGCTTCTTCAGTCTGTGAACACTCAGGACTGGGAAGTGATATGGCAGGACCTCAGGCACTCTGACAAGCCCAGAGGGCTGGTTTCTTGCGGGAGAGCAGTAGATTTGGCTGCCAAGGTGCTTAACTGCATTTCTTCCTCCTGGGAAACATCCAGTATTGGCCTTTCATGTGGAAGGGGCTTCTGGAAGCTGGCGTTATCTCTGAAGAGGGAGGCCAGGCTTCCTCTCTTACCCCTGGGGAAACACAGCCTGGTTTGACCACCCCTTCTGCAGGAAGGGGGAAGAGGCTGACAATTTTCCAGGCTTTTCTGATGTTCTCACTAGCTAAGGCAGGTCTACCCTGCTGCCTGCCACAGTGCCTGGATTTCTACCGTCGCACCCATTTCTTCTCTTTCTTGTAATGTGGGTTCTGTATCAGATGATTTCACTAATGGGGGAGTAAAACCAGTGGCAGAGAAGAGAAATCTAGGTACCAGGATGGGGAGAGGAGTCCCAGGGAGAGGGTGGGAGAAGGAGCAGGGGAACAGGGAACTTTGTGAGTTCCTAAACTGGGCACCACCACACCACCAAATACAGCCAATGCATAGGTTTTGTTTGTTCCACACAATTTTATTTAAGAAATTACTGCATAAAGGCAGAAGTTCTGGGATTGACCATTCTATATTCTGTGTGGTATCCATTGTCTGGGGTTGAGTGTTGGGAACCCACTTTGGACCTCATTTAAGCTCTAGTTTATTACTGCTCTCTTTCTTTGAGTAGACCTCGTTTTTCCCTCCTCCTGCAGCTGGCCTGGATAGAAATAAATGAAGCTAAGGACAGAAGTTGAAGTAGCTGCTTACGGACCCCACAGCTCTGGGACAGTCTGAAACCAGGAGAAAAAGAGAATGTTTGGGGCCAGAGGGGAGTGGTCTCAAGGCCCCACAGAGTGAAAAAGCCAGTGGCCCCTCCAGGTCCTCACTGCTGCTTCCCATGTCTTCCAGGTCATTCCTGCACAGGACAGTCCACCATGGCCTCAGATCACCAGACCCAGGCGGGCAAGCCACAGTCCCTCAACCCCAAGGTGGGTACCTCTCAGAGGAGGGGGCATGCAATGCTCCTCCCCCAGACTTAGTTGCCCTTCTGTAAAATGGGCTTGGCATCTTTCTTCATGGGTACCCCCTCTCGACCCCTGCCCCTCTCTGGGACTCAGTCTCCTCTACCCACACAGTTGGAGCTGATACTGAAAGTCCCTCCCCAGCCCATAGCTGGCATGCTGGGATTCCCAGTACCAGCCTCTGGCTTTGGAGACTTCAGTTTCTCTCTCCCTTACCTGTTTTGCCACACCCTATTGTCTACAGGGCTCCCTGAAACTGGAGCAGACCCTCATTCTCAGTCAGAGATGGGATTAGTAGATGGAAGGTGGGTGTGAGTCCTGGCTCTGCACCTGCTGTGTGATCCGGGCCAATTATTTGATCCCTCTGAGCCTCAGTTCCATCTCTATAAAAGGAGGAGTCAGATTTATTGCACAGGGAAGTTGTGAGAGCCAAAGAAACCAGGCTCAGCCTAACACCCGGCCTGGGGTGCGCATCCACCTAACACCAGCAAATAATGCCGCCTTTGATTTCTCATCCACCTGTCCACCCAAGGGCGGCAGGATCTTATCCCAACGTCAGAGGCTTGTCACACCCAGTCTGCCCTCAAACCTCTATCTAGGCACGGCCACCTGACTGCCCTCCTGTGCCTCCCTGCTTTGGTAGCCCCGGGCACAGGTTCCTTCAGGAATGGCCCCTTTGTCTGACTCAGTGCCTCCTGGGCCAGGGAAGCCTGAGCAGATACAGCCCCTCACCTGCTCACCCCAATCTGTCCCTTTTAGGGCTTACTTTCCAGAAGAAGGACAGACAATAAATAAATGAATATATGATTTCCAGTAGTGAGAAGTGCTACAAACAATTGTAAACTAGGGGAAGGGGCTCCTGAGAGTCACAGTGGTTGTGTTAGCTCAGGTGGTCCAGGAGGGTCTCTCTGAGGAGCTGACTTTGAGCAGACACCTGGGTCAAGTGAGGAAGCGGCTATATGAAAATTGGGGGTGCCTTTGCCAGGCCGAGGTGGGAGGACTGTTTGAACCCAAAAGTTTGAGCCCAGCCTGGGCAACATAGTGAGATCCCATCTCCACAGAAAAATGAAAAATGGGGGTCAGGGTTGATGAGAGCATCCAGACAAAAGGAACAGCAGGCGCAAAGACTCCGAGGTGGGAATGAACTGGGTGAGTTTGGAAAAAAGCAAGAAGCTCTGTCCACTAGACCTATAATGTGAGCCACATAGGTAATGCAAAATGTTCTAGTAGCCACATCATAAAAAGTAAAAAGAAATAGGTGAAATTAATTTTCATATTACATTTTATGAAACCCAATATATCCAAAAGATGAGCATGTTAATGTATAATCAATATAAGAATTATTAGGCAGATATTTTACATTATTTTTTCCATTCTGAATTTTCAAAATATGATGTGTATGTTACGCTTATAGCACAGTATAAGTAATAATATGGACTAATTACATGTGCTCAGTAGCCATATGTTACTAATGGCTGCTGTGTGGGACAGTGCAGGCTTAAAGGATTGGATAATTTGTAAAATTTTGCCCTCTACTCTATTGATTAATAACAACGCTATTGAGCTCCTGGGTCCTCTGAGCTTCTGGGCTTTCAAATGCATGGAGAAACTGCTCTTCCTCACCTGCCTACCCCTATTCAGGTGGGCACCCCAGGCCTGCTACCTCAGAAACTGCATTTGATCAAGATCCCAGTGTTGTGTGCACAGGTTAGAGTCTGCAAAGTGCTGCTTCAATTTCATCTGCATCAGACAAGTCTGGGCTTCAATTTCAGCTCTTCCACTTATTCACGTGGGATCTGTAGCATGTCTTTTAATTAACATAATTATGTCTCCCACAAGCAGCGCAAATACTATGTGCTAACCACCCACAAGCCCTGGTCTCCCAGGCCAGGGTAATAATAAACTCTAGCCCCGAACTTCCACATTCTTGAGTCCCCATTTGACAGATGAGGGACCTGAGGCCCAGAGTATTGAATTGCTTTTTAGGTTTGTGCAACTGGATGTAACAGAGGACACATTGGAGCCCTTGTCTCCTGACCCTATCTCTGGCCGAGTCAGTGACCGTAAAGGGCTGGGTCACTGACTGTAAAGGCTGGATTGAGCCCGTGGAATTTGCCTCTAAGCCCTGTGCCTTTCCCTTTCTTTGTGTGGCTAATCCCAGGCCTGGGAGAGAGGGCTATGTTTACCCAGCCTGTGCTGACCGTGTCGATTCTGTAGCTGCCCCGACTGAGAGTGTGCTGACCTGAGCCCATCTTTTCATCCAGGGGCAGTTTGCTGGGGAAGTGTGGCTGGAAAACCTCTGCCTCCAAAATTCTCACTGGAGGCCGGGCGCGGTGGCTCACGCCTGTAATCTCAACACTTTGGGAGGCCGAGGCAGGCAGATCACGAGGTCAGGAGATCGAGACCATCCTGGCTAACTTGGTGAAACCCCATCTCTACTAAAAAAATACAAAAAAAATTAGCTGGGCGTGGTGGCAGGCGCCTGTAGTCCCAGCTACTCAGGAGGCTGAGGCAGGAGAATGGCGTGAACCCAGGAGGCGGAGCTTGCAGTGAGCCGAGATCGCGCCACTGCACTCCAGCCTGGGCGACAGAGTGAGACTCCGTCTCAAAAAAAAAAAACAAAAAACCTCACTGGAACCATGAAAGGTGGCAGCTAGCATCATGGTTAATGCTTGGATGTGGGATGTTGGGTGGGTCCCTTCACTTTGCAGAGCTTCAGTTTCCCTGATGGGGATCCCATGAGCCCCCTCCCTTGGGCTGATGAGAACATTAGGTTTGAGTGTTAGAATTTGCAACATGCTGCTTCCATTTCAGCTGCATCAGACAAGCCTGGGCTCCAGTTTCAGCTCTGCCACTTACTGGAATCTGTACCATATTTCTTAATTAACATAATTATGTCTTAATTATGTCATAATTAGTTCTCCCACAAGCAGAGCAAATACTGTGTGCTAACCATTATGCTCCCCTGAATCCTTCTAACAAACAATATCACAAGGCAGTTTCTCTCTTTGTTTCTTTTTCTTTTTAAAAAAATTAGAAGTGGGGTCTTCCCATCTTGCCCAGGCTGGTCTGGAACTCCTGGGCTCAAGCAATCCTCCCACCTCAGCCTCCCAAAATGCTGAGATTACAGGGGTGAGCCCACCACACCTGGCCTAGGTTCTGTCTTTATTTCCCATTTTACAGACGGGGAGACTGACGCTCAGAGAGGAGAAATGCAGGCTCAAGGTCCCACGGCTGCTTATAGCCAGAGCCAGGGCTGTTTGATTTTATGTTTGATTTGTCACTCTGGAGGTGAACCCTTCAGCATCCTTTGGGTTCTCTGAGCTCCCTCCCCACGTCTACCACCCAGTTCTCACTCCTCTTCATCGTGATGAGGGTCTGAGTCTCGCTTCCTCTTGCAGATCATCATCTTTGAGCAGGAAAACTTTCAAGGCCACTCGCATGAGCTCAATGGGCCCTGCCCCAACCTGAAGGAAACTGGCGTGGAGAAGGCAGGTTCTGTCCTAGTGCAGGCTGGACCGTAAGTACCTGGGTGGCCTCTCCTGGTCAGGGACTTTGGGTGAGGTGATCAAGTTGTGGAGTGGGGGAATCTACCCTTGCTCCTGTCTGCAAATCTGGGAACCAAGTTTTGGGGTCTGGCAGCCTATGGAGATAATTCATGCTTTGCAGTCAGATAGAGCTGGGTTCAAATCCAGGTTCCACCCCTTCTGGGTTGTGTGGTGTTGGACCAGGACCTTCCCCCTCTGAGCCTCAGTTTCCTCCTCTGTAGGATGAGGCTAACCATGTACTCTGGGGATGAAGGGAGAGGGTCATGTGGAAAGCCTGATACAGAGGTCAGCCACTTCCTCAAGGCAGGAAGATGGACATAGTGACTGATGAAGCTTTTAGAACTGCCAATCTCTGGCTCCAGGAGTGTCCTCACTCCTGGGAGGTTTAAGGCTGGATGTTCCAGCCCTGCATCCACTCCTCCCTTCCCGAATCCTGACAATGCTGGGTCTTTACAGATTTTTTGGCACACTTGGGGGCCAGGTCTCTATCCAAGAGAGAAGGGGAGCTGAATGGTTGGCTCACCTTATGTGATGTAGCTGAGCATAGTCCTATGTGAGCCTGCAGAGTCTGGGACACAAAACCACAGTTTCTCTCGTCACTCCTTCTCTGTAAAAGCCTCAGGATGTAGGAATGTCCGCTGGTGGCCAGTAAGTCAGATATGGCTGGAAATCCTAAGGTGACCTATACCACACCTCAAGGTTCTCAGGGAATTTTGCAGAGTTCCATGGTCCTACATAGGTCAGAACCTGAAGATGTGCAGAACACAGCTAAAGCAGTGGCCCTGCCAAGCCTTGGTCATCTGACATGCTCAGGGAATCTGTTGTGTCCAAGAGAATCCCTTTCTGGATAGCTGAGATTTGACCGTTTAAGCACCACATCTGACTTTCAGCTGCCTTTTCAAACATTTTGATGAAAAAAAATTTCCCAAAGAGATTTTACACTCTTCTTCTTTCTTTTTTAAAAAATATAACATTTAGTATTTTTATTAATTATCGTTTATTTTAAAACTAAGAAGATATGGTTTAAGGCAAAAAACCGTATGACTTGTATTCACTACTCAGAAGTAACCATTATTAAGATTTTGGTATGAATTTGGATTTCTCTGTGTGTGTGTGTGTGTGTGTGTGTGTGTGTGTGTGTGTATAATCAAATCAAACTTGGATCATACTAAACATAATGTTTTATTACTCACTTTGGAAACTTTACAAGGTAGCATGGACTCTCTCCATGTCATTAAATAGCATTTTATGTTGGTGTTTTTCAAAGTAGTTTGAGGAAAATTAGCATCAGATTCACAGAAGGGAGATGCTTTAAAATGGAGGTTCTTGGGCCCCACTTAAGCCCCACTAAATCAAACTGAGCTCTGGAGCCTGGAATCTGCATTTAACAAGCTTACCTGGTGATAGTTACGCCAATTACATTTGAGAACCCACATCCTATGTCATTACTTACCATGGCTTTGTAACAGTCCATGATTGAATATGCCATATCCAGGTCCTGATTGTAGGATGTTTAAGTTTTTCAGTTACTGGATATTATAAACAATGCCACAGTGAACAGACTTATTCAGATATCTGTGACCCCTTGACAACTGTTTTTGTTTGTTTGTTTGTTTTGTTTTGTTGAGACAGAGTTGTAGCTCTTGTCACCCAGGCTGGAGTTCAATGGTGCGATCTCAAGTCACTGCAACCTCCGCCTCCCGGGTTCAGGCAATTCTCCTCCCTCAGACTACTGAGTAGCTGGGATTACAAGCATGCACCACTGTGCTGCCTAACTTTTTGTGTTTTTAGTAGAGACGGAGTTTCACCATGTTGGCCAGGATGATCTCGAGCTACTGACCTCAGGTGATCCGCTCACCTCGGCCTCCCAAAGTGCTGGGATTACAGGCGTGAGCCACAGCGCCCAGCCCCTTGACAACTGTTTTTTAAGGACCAATTGCCTAAAGTAGAATTGCTGGATCAAGACTACTCTTCCAAAAGAGGACAATAAACACGACCTCCTCTTTTGTTAATGACTTAGATCATTCCTCTGAACAGCCATTATTGCACATTGCTGAAATGTTCGCCTCTGCACTGGTTGGTCCCAGAATGCTAATCATTTTGAGATTTGTGCCTTCTTCCTTCTATTTTCTGCTTTCCTCTATTAGCCATGCCCGACCTGAAAGCCATCCCTTCCTCTTTAATGTACTATTTTTCTTCTAATGTGGATCTACAAAAACAGAGTTTGGGCAGAGTCTAACAACAGGAACAAGAGAAGAAACAGATCCAAAGAGAGGGGCTTTGGGCACAGCGATGTTCTGGAGTCAGTTCTCAGTGGTGAAGGCTGACTGTGCATCTCTCTTCCTAACTTCACTTGCAGCCGTGTCATATTGATAGCTTGAAATCTGCCACAGTGGGAGCATTTACACCATGGAAATTGGCAAACGCTACAAATCAAGAGTGTTAATTTTCGTTTTGTTTTTTGAGAGTTGGCTATTAACTTACCAGCATACTATTGGCTTTAGTGCATGGCGTCTATATATTGGTATTTGTTGCTGGGCCGTTATTTAGACTGCCTTCTTATTTCTTAACTGTGTTCCAGGTGGGTAAAGGCAGCATAGCACTGAGTTCTAGATAACTGAGGGGATTTTGCACTTGGATTTGCTGTGCTAAGGTTTGGGTGGGGCTATTACATCTTGCCGGGCTGGGCAAGAGTGAACCCTAGGGGTCAACATCAGTAGCCAGGATTCTGCCATAGGAAGCTTGGAGTGGAACTGACCTGCCCCCTTTCTCTCTGTCTCCATGGCAGCTGGGTGGGCTATGAACAGGCCAACTGCAAGGGCGAGCAGTTTGTGTTTGAGAAGGGTGAGTACCCCCGCTGGGACTCATGGACCAGCAGCCGAAGGACGGACTCCCTCAGCTCCCTGAGGCCCATCAAAGTGGTGAGCCCCCTGCCATCACCCTACTCCCTCTCTCTGCCCATCATCCTACTTTCTCTCTCTGCCACCTTGGAGCTGGAGGTCTGGGGACCAGGAAGGGGCCCGCCCCTCTAGCACTGTGCCCCTTCTGATTGGTGAGGAACCTCCTCACTGGGTGACCTTGCAAAAGTCATTTTACTTCCCTGAGCCTCAGTTTCTTCATCTGTAAAATGGGCATATTGGTATCTACTGTCCTGAGGTTCCAATGTGCTTATTAGCTTGAGGGTTGTCACACTGCAACTCCAGAAGGCTCCAATCACAAGACTATGAAATGCTCCAGAGGGCACTATTCACATTCTATTTTAGGTGGTTGGTGCCCGCCCCCCGCGCCCAAGGGTTGGGCAACTCCCGTCATTGCTCAATAACCAATAGCCATCAGAAATACTACAAGAAATTATGAGTTTGGGGCTGGAGGAGAAGGTGGTTTAGCTCTTCTTCAAGACTCGTGCCAGTGTGAGTTTTCAGTGCTTCTGAGATCCTGATTCTTACTAGTGTGTGAGAGTGTCAACTCTCAGGAAGGGGACAGGGCCCATCACTGCTCAGTTATACTCTCAAACCCTCCAAGCCCAGTCTAGCTCCTCCCAGGACCTACTGGAAGGTTGGGGAACACGGGACTTGGCACCCCACAGACCTGGGTTCCCAAGTTGGCTGTGCTGCTCCCAGCTGTGTGGCCTTGAGCACGTCATTTGACCTCTCTGTGCCGCGCTTTCCTCATCTGCTAAATGGCATAAGAGGATTTTATGTCTGAGGGATAAGGGTTTTATGTGTAAAGGATGAGATGAGATAACTAAGGAAAATGTCATAGGGACAGGAGGATGGGAAGAGATGTAGAAATGAAGAAAAATCAAAATATCTCAGGTGCCTATTAGAGGCACAGTTAGCCTGTGCGTGTGTGTGTACATGTGTGGGTGTGCACGTGTGTGCGCGCAAGTGTGTGCGTGTGTCCATGTGTGTGTGCACGCATGTGTGGGTGTGCGTGTGTGTGCAAGTGTGGGTGTGCACGTGTGTGCGTGCGTGTGTGCAAGTGTGGTGTGCGTGTGTGCATGTGTGCGTGTGCACACATGTGTGGGTGTGCATGTGTGTGTGTGTGCATGTGTGGGTGTTCACATGTGGGTGGGTAGGTATATCGTAGCCACCATTTATAAAAGAGAAACTTGAGGAGGAAAAAATGACATTTCAGAATCAAACATTCCCCAAAGTGTTGCAGAGTGTCTGTTACATGAAAATGGCCCAGTAGAAACTTAACAAACGGCTGTGATCCAACAGCAGTGGTCATAGACACGTAGTGGGTGCACTGGGAAGAGAGTGATGTGTGGGACATGCTGATCCCAACTCTGGGGCATGAGCATGGGGTGGGAAGGCCAACCCTGGGCCCCCTCACCCATACTCACTTCCCCCCATCCTCTGCCAATAGGACAGCCAAGAGCACAAGATCATCCTCTATGAAAACCCCAACTTCACCGGGAAGAAGATGGAAATCATAGATGACGATGTACCCAGCTTCCACGCCCATGGCTACCAGGAGAAGGTGTCATCTGTGCGGGTGCAGAGTGGCACGTAAGTGCGTTGCCAGCCCTGGCTCACCCTGCCCCAGGAACTGAGACTCTGGGGTCCTAAGTCCTGCTCTGCCCTGTACACGCTGGTGATCTTGCACACATCAGTGTGCTCTGCTGACCTCTGGCTTCCCACTGGAAAGTAAATGGGAATTCTCTGCCCATAGGTGGCTTACAGCCGCTGAATTTCTTTCTAGAGCTGCCTTTGGGGAAATGGTATGCCTTTGGAGTGGAGAAACCTTGGCCTTAACCTCAGCCCCAGTGAGCAAGACATGTATGTCAGAGGGGCAAGTTGAGGCAGAGGGAGGATTAGGTTGAGGCAGGAGGGAAGGAATGAGTTGAGTAGTCTGAAAGCTATGAGAAGCAGGAGGACCAGCCCATGCTGCCTTTGACCGCGTGTGTCCCTAAGTTTGGGAACAGGAGGTGTCATTTTCCACTGAATCAAAGTTCCTGGGCACATCGACCCTGGCCATCAGCAGTGAGGGATTTCTCATGGTAATAAATTTGGATTCCATGGGGGTCCACAGATGAGCTTTGGGCAGCGGTGTGCTGGAAACAGCTTATACCAGCTTGTAAGAACTTTTTTTTTTTTTTTTAATTGAGACGGAGGCGCGCACTTTCGCCCTGGCTGGAGTGCAGTGGAATGATCTTGGCTCACTGCAACCTCCGCCTCCCAGGTTCAAGCGATTCTCCTGCCTTATCCTCCCAAGTAGCTGGGATTACAGGCGCCCACCACCAAGCTCAGCTGATTTTTTGCATTTTTAGTAGAGACAGGGTTTCACTGTGTTGGCCAGGTTAGTTTTAAACTCCTGACCTCATGACCTGCCTGCCTCGGCCTCCCAAAGTGCAGGGATTACAGGCGTGAGCCACTGTGCCTGGCCTGGAACGGACTCTTAAATTTTCAGAATCTGTGTGAACTGGTTGACTAATCATTGGTAGCTTGAAACCAGCCACAGGGTGCATTTACAGCATAGAAATCAGCAAGTGCTGCTAATTAAGGCTCTTTCCCCACAACAGAACCAATTTAGCCAAACATACTGGCTTCTTGGGGTTTGTGAAACTCCTAAAATAGTGTGCAAAGTTCTGTGCTCCTATTCCCCTTCATTCCCTCATTCATTCATTCATTCATTCAATCTGTCAGTGCTGCCATATGCCAGGCATTGTGTTAGGTGCCCAGGGTGAAGGAGATTAAAGAGATCTGGCTTCTGCCCTGTGTAGCCAACAGTCTAGAAGGGGCAACTGTAAATACTTTAAGAATTCACATGAATCTAAGCTACTTCCTTGGAGAAAAGATTCTTGAGCTGAGATCTCAAGGAACAGTAGGAATTGCAGGGGTAAAGAGGCCAAGGAAGAGCATCCCAGACAACGAGAGCAGCATGTGCAAAGGCCCTGTGGTGTGTGTGGGGGAGCCTGGTAGGTCTGAGAAACTCTACAAAGGCCATGGTGGCTGGAATGCAGAGATGTGGGAGCATAAGAATGCGAAGTAGAGCTGGAGGTGTCCACAGAAACTGGCCAGGCAGGTCCTTGCAGGCCAGGCCTGTGTGACATTTTCTGGAGAGAAGACCAGCACTTTCATTAAGTAGCCCCTGGAAACTCTTTCATCAGAAGGCCCCTGGAACCTCCCCCAACTCTTCTTTGACCTTGTAGCTGGGCTTGGAGGTGGGATAGGACTGGAGGGAGACGGTTCAAAGGCCTGGCTTATTCTAAGCTTCAGTGAGCTTAAGATATCACCCCCTTGCTCTGACCCCAGTACAGTACAGTACAGTACAGTACAGTACAGGCCTTCAGTCAAAATTTGCTTCAGGAGGCAGTGAGCTCCCCATCAAGAGAAGGAAGAAAGCAGAGGCTCAGTGCTGGAAGGGTGGGGTGGAAAGGGTGTCCTGCTTACCCTTGGGAAGTGGCAATGGTTGGGAGGCTTCACCCTTCCTAGTGGCTTATGGATGCTCTATCTCTCTCCCCTCGCCTCTCTCTCTGTCTGCTTCTCTTCCTGTCCCCCTCGTTCACCCTCCCATCACCTCTGGCCCTGCAGGTGGGTTGGCTACCAGTACCCCGGCTACCGTGGGCTGCAGTACCTGCTGGAGAAGGGAGACTACAAGGACAGCAGCGACTTTGGGGCCCCTCACCCCCAGGTGCAGTCCGTGCGCCGTATCCGCGACATGCAGTGGCACCAACGTGGTGCCTTCCACCCCTCCAACTAGTGCCCTCCCCACCATGCCTCCTTCCCAGGACCCAGGTCTGCTGCCCAGGAACCCTCCAGACCTCCCAGAGAGTGAATAAAGTGTGACTTGCAACTTGTCTGCTGTGGGTCTTTGATCTCCCCTGGCAGCTGGTGTGTGTGTGTGTGTGTGTGTGTGTGTGAGAGAGAGAGAGAGAGAGAGAGAGTGACAGCGAGAGAGAAATGAGAATCAGCAAGTACCTGTGCTAGGAGTAGGGCAACAGAACCCTTACTGAGTCTTACGGTTCTGCAGCTGCTTAGCTGTGTGACCTTGGACACAGTGCCCAACCTCTCTGAGCCTTTGTTTCTTCACCTGACTTGCAATTCCCTTGCCTCTGAGTGGCTGGCTTGGTTGAGCTCCTGAGCTCCCTGTTACATGCTGGTTGCTGAGCACAGTCACTCTCAGGGGCATGTGATGGGTGCCCCAGCCCTTAAAAACATATCCACTGCCCGTCAATCTCACATTATCACATTGTCCCCTTGAGTCTGGGGGTCTTTTTGGATCTGCAAGAGAAGCCAAGAACCCTGAAACCCCCACTCCAGCCCGGAGAGGTCAGAATGCCATGTTTGTGAGTGTGATCATTCATTCATCATATGGCTGAGGGCAACTGTTAGTAATTGAAGAATCTACGCAACCTCTAAGCTACTTCAATGAGGAAGAGACTATTGAGCTGTGAGGATCTTGGCTGTAGCCAGGCTCAAGGTGATGCAATGATCTGGGAATGAAGGCTGGGTTTACACTGCTGTTCTGGGGCACTGGCCAGGGATAGAGGCTCAGGCAAGTCCTTTTGCCTTCAGAGCTTTGATGTTTCTACTCAGGAAGATGGGAGAGAAATAGTACCTTCCTAACGCGGTTGCGATGGGGCTGAAACAAGATGCTGCAGGCCTTCTGTCTTTAGACTCAGCTTTTGTTGGTTAATTTGTAGTGCAAATATCCGCTTCCTGGGTACAGCCTCTTGTCACTTTGTTTTTGGTATCTCTTGATGACATTTTAAATTTTAATGTGGTCAAACAGCAATATTTTCCTTTAGGGTTTATGCCTTTCAAATCTCCTTGAAGAAATTCTTTCTTTCTTTTTTTTTTTTCCCCCCAAGACAGAGTCTTGCTCTGTTGCCCAGGCTGGAGTGCAGTGGTATAATCTTGGCTCACTGCAACCTCTGCCTCCTGGGTTGAAGCAGTTTTCCTGCCTCAGCCTCCTTAGTAGCTGGGATTACAGGCATGCACCACCATGCCTGGCTAATTTTTGTATTTTTAGTAGAGACGCAGTTTCACCACGTTGGCCAGGCTGGTCTTGAACCCCTGAAATTGTGATCCGCCTGCTTCAGCCTCCCAAAGTGCTGGGATTACAGGCATGAGCCACTGCCCCTGGCCAACCTTGAAGAAATTCTTTCTAATCCCTGGTTACAAAGAAATTCTCCAATATATTTTCTTCCCCTAAACTTTTAAAACTTTTGCTCTTCACATTTGCGTTCTTAATCCCTCTGGAGCTGATTCTTGTATGTAGTGTATGGTAGAGATTCAGTTTCTTTTTCTTTTTTTTCCACTTTGGACGTCCAGTGTCCTAAAATCATTCATGAAGGGGTCCATTTCCTGCACTGTGGTGCAGTGTCACCTTGCTGATCTATCCCCTTCCCCACAGGTGGGGTGATTTTATAGGCCCTCCACCCCCGGGCCTCCGGTGGCCTGGAATGGGGGCTGCACAGCAGGAGGTGGGGATTACAGCCTGAGCTCCGCCTCCCGTCAGACCAGCGGCAGCATTAGATTCTCATAGGGGTGCAAACCCTATTGTGAACTGCACATGGAAAGGATCTAGGTTGCATGCTCCAATGAGAATCTAATGTGTCCCCTGCCCACAGCCCATGAAAAACTGTCTTCCACAAAATCGATCCCTGGTGCCAAAACATTTGGGGACCACTGCCCTATAATATGATTCTTCAGGAATGTTTTAGGTATTCTTGACCTTTCAGGACTCCACTTAGAAGCATCCCCTCACATTTGGAAAAGTGGAAAACCTTGTTGAATGAGCTAAAGTGATTAAAATGATTATCATAAAGGTAGAAACCAATAAGTGCTCCATATACACCATGGAATACTATGCAGCCATAAAAAAGAATGAGTACATGTCCTTTGCAGGGACATGGATGCAGCTGGAAACCATCATTCTCAGCAAACTAACACAGAAGCAGAAAACCAAACACCACATGTTCTCACTCATAAGTAGGAGTTGAACAATGAGAACACATGGACATAGGGAGGGGAACATCACACACAGAGGCCTGTCATGGGGTGGGGGACAAGGGGAGAGAGAGCATTAGGACAAATACCAAATGCATGCAGGGCTTAAAACCTAGATGACGAGTTGATGAGTGCAGCAAACCACCATGGCACATGTATACCTGTGTAACAAACCTGCACGCTCTGCACATGTATCCCAGAACTTAAAATATTAAAAAAAAAAAAAGGCAGGGCAAGGTGGCTCATGCCTGTAACCCCAGCACTTTGAGAGGCGGAGGTGGGCAGATCATGAGGTCAGGAGATCGAGGCCATCCTGGCTAACACGGTGAAACCTCATCTCTACTAAAAATACAAAAAATTAGCCGGGTGTGGTGGCGGGCACCTGTAATCCCAGCTACTCGGGCGGCCGAGGCAGAAGAATTGCTTGAACCCAGGAGGCAGAGGTTGCAGTGAGTCGAGATCGAGCCGCTGCACTCCAGCCTGGGCGACAGAGTGAGACTCCATCTCAAAAATAAATGAATAAATACATAAATAAATAATGTTAAAAAAAACCAGTAAGTGCTCAATAAATGTTACTATCATCTATTTCTTCATTCATTCTTCAATCAATACCCATTGAGTGCCTATTTGGATACTTGGCTTAGTACCTGAGTGATGAAATAATCTACAGCAAACCCCCATGGCACTAGTTTATAACAAACCTGCACATGTATCCCCGAACCTAAAATAAAAGTTAAAAAACAGAATCTGCACAAGTCTAAGCTACTTCCTTGAGGAAAAGACTCGAGCTGAGATCTCAAGGAGGAGTAGAAGTTGCAAGGGTAAAGAGGCCAAAGAAGAGTGTCCTGATGACAGTGGCACGTGCAAAGGCCCTGTGGTGGGAGGAGCCTGGTAGCTCTGAGAAACTCCACAAAGGCACGGTGGTGGCTGGAATGCAGAGATGGGGGGGGGGGTGGCACATGGAAAACCCTGTTAAAGTGGTTAAAATGATTATCATAAAGGTGGAAATTAGTAAGTGCTAAATAAATGTTACTCTCATCCATTTCTTCATTGATTCTTCAATCAATATCTATTGAGTGCCTATTTCACTCCTGGAACTGGGCAGAGTAGGGATACAAAGTAAAACAGATTCCCTGCCCCTAGAAGCTCTCACTCTGGGGGGATTGTAATAGTTGGAGAGTAGAGCAATGGTGATTATTATGGGTTGAATGAGAACCCCCCAAATTCATATGCTGAAATCCTAATCCTCAATACCTTAGAGAATGTGACCTTATTTGGAAACTGGGTCATTGCAAGTGCAGTTTTTTTTATGCGATAGGGTCTCACTCCGTTGTCCAGGCTGGAGTGTGGTGGCACAATCATATCTCACTGCAGCCTCCAACTCCTGGGCTTTCAAGTGATCCTGTTGCCTCAACCTCTGGAGAAGCTGAGACCGCAGGCGTGTGTGACCACACCTGCTAACTTTTTTATTTTTTATTTTATGTAGAGATTTGGGGGGTGGGGGGGTGTCTTACTGTGTTGCCCAGGCTGGTCTCGAACTCTTGGCCTCAAGCAATCCTCCCGTCTCCACCTCCCAAAGTGCTGTGACTGCAGGTGTGAGCTACCATGCCCGGCCAAATGTAATTAGTTATTTTAAGAGTAGATCACACTGGAGTAGTGTGGGCCCCTAATGGAATGTGACTGGTGTCTATGAAAATGGGAAACTTGGAGACAGCCACGCACACAGGGAGAATGTCATGTGAAGATGATGGGGTGATGTTTCTGCAAGGCAAAGAGTGCCGCAGATTGCCGGCCACCCACCAGAGGCTAGGAGAGAAACACGGAGAAGATTATCACTCGCAGCCCCCAGAGGGACCCGACCCTGCCAAAGCCTTGACCTCGGATTTCCAGCCTTCCTGGTGACTTTCCTAGAGAGTGCCCTGTCCGTCCTCGCTGGCCCTTTCTTCCCGTCCTCAAGGCGACACTTCCCCTGCAGCCACCAGGTGTCAGCAAAACGTCATCCTCGGGGCTCCTGGCCGGGCGGCCCGAGCTGCGCAGGCCCTGATTGGAGGCAAGCGCCGTCAGTCACAGGCGGGCAGCCCACGCTGGGCGGGGCCTCCGCGCCTCGCCTCCCTCAGTAGGGAAACTGAGGCTCAGAGGGCCTGGAGCTCAGACAGTCTTGCCCCTGGGCCGCTGACAGTGCCTGGGCAGGCCTCTAGAATCCCGTGTCTTTCTGCAGCCTTGCTTTCCAAAACTTGTTGGGAGGGGGAGAAAAAAAAATCAAATCCACCAACCATTCTTTGCCTTAGGAAGGTTATTCCAAGATTCCGAAGCGCTTTCTCACTCACGATGTCACTGGAAGCCGCGGAGCAAAGCCCGCCACTCAGGTAGGTGACAGAGCAACCGCTCCGTGCTTCAGTTTCCTCTAAAATGGGAGCAATAATAGTGCCGCTCAGAGGATTGCAGTGAAGAGTCCAGGACATGACGCTTGTGAAGTTTAGGGCAGAGCCAGGCACACAGCAAGGCCCTGGGTAAAGGAGCGCAGTGTGAGAAGTGCTCAGAGGTGGCTGTGGGGGTCGGGGTGGGAGCAGGGAAGGCTCCCGGGAGGAGGAGGCTTGGGTTTTGTAAGAGGAGTAGGAGTTTGCCAGATGGCCTGGATGGAAACCCCTTCCACATGTTCATTCACCAACTCATTCATTCCTGTCACAAAATTACAACAAATTTAGTTTAAAGGCCTTAATTGACTTTTGTTTGTTTGTTTCTTTTTGTTTTTGTTTTTGAGATGGAATCTCGCTCAGTCACCCAGGCTGGAGTGCGGTGGCACGATCTCAGCTCACTGCAACCTCCACCTCCCGGGTTTAAGCAATTCTCCTGTCTCAGCCTTCGGAGTAGCTGGGACTACAGGTACATGCCACCACCCCCGGCTATTTTTATTTTTGTATTTTTAGTAGAAAGGGGGTTTCACCATATTGGTCAGGCTGGTTTTGAACTCCTGACCTCAGATGATCCACCCGACTCGGCCTCCCAAAGTGCTGGGATTACAGGCGTGAGCCACCGCGCCCAGCCCTTAAATGACTTCTATTTGCCATTCTAGAATTGGGCAACACCTCATTCTGTAAAGTAGAATGTGTGTCCAGATGAGTTGAACAGAAGAGATTTCTTTACAGATGGCAATGGGCAGAAGGAAGAAGACACAGAGAACAATAAAGCAGAATGGTCCTTTCAAAGTTACTTTCGTTGTAAAGGTTAAATCCTAGGGAACTTCGTTCTCCTATCGGCTGAAACTGGAAGGCAGGGCAAACACCTTGGTTTGGGCTTGCTGGTGTGGCACGTAAGCACGAGCAACTCCATTTTGGTTTGGTCTGTGGGGCCTAGGGCAGGAGCTCAGTCCAAACCAATGGCTCCTATAAACTTCTTGAGCACTCCCATCTTCCTCCTGCCGCCCTTCCTCTGCTTCCCTCTTCTTCTTTGCCCTTTCCCTGCTCTTCCTCCTGGTCCTATGGTTTCTCCTGCTCTGCAGCCCCACTTTTCTCCAACCTCCACCTTCTCTCCTTCCTCTCCTCCTCACTGTCATGTCCCCAGGGTCAGCTCAATCCCAGATGCAGCCACTCAGCCAGGCCCCAACCTCATCCCCTAGCCTGATGTGGTGGAGGGACGGGCAGCTGGAGCAGGTGGGCTTATGAAGGTGGACAGACGCTGTCTCTAAGCAGCCTGCGGAGGGCCCTCCTGACCATCTGTATGAGCCTTGGGTTTCAGGGCAACTAGTTCTTGGTGTTGGAGAGCCGGACTCAGCAGCCAGACTAGTCCCTGGGAAGTGGGCTGGAGTCTGGCAGAAACAGGTAGGAAGCCACAGGGCAGCCCTAAGAGAGGCAGTGAAAACAGCCCCAAGTCAGGCAGTGGAGCCAGAGGCCCCTGGAGTCAGGCAGGACTGGAGTCAAGTCCCAGATCTCCTACTCATTGACCCTGTGACGGCAGGCAAATGACCTTACCTCTCTGAGACTCTCTTTCCTCATCTGACCAAGGGCCATACGGGGGTTTTTATTCCATTGGTAATTCTCAGACACCTGGTCACCGAGCTGACACGAAGTAGTTGCTCAATAAATGACAGCCTAGTTGCCTTTTCGCTCTTCATTCATTCATTGAATAGTGATTGGGGAATCTCTTCCACGCTGCCACTGCTCCATGTACCAGAGACACAAAGCAAAGGAGCCTGCCTGTCAAGCCTACCTTGTCACCTGTTGCCAGGGAGTCCTGCTCCCTCCTAGGGCAGCCCCTGGTTAGTGGAGCTGAGAGAACCCAAGATGCTGAGCCGTGGGGTGTGCATGAGAACTGGGAGGGAGGTTTTATGAAAATCAGGTCCAGGCGCAGCCCCAGGCCAGGTCAGCTCAGAGGGGGTGGCGGGGGCGGGGCGGGGGGTGGGCAGGCAGGTGAAACTGGAGGAAATTGGAGATACAGCGGGAGGGAGGGGGAAAAGGTAAAACCTCTCGCCTCCCCCTCAATGCTTACAAAGGTCTGAAGCTTGCTCAAAGCTAATAATTTTAAACCCAAACTCAGACATCAGCCAATACTAAATGTTTGCAAGGATTGGGGAACAAAAACTCTGAAGCGCTTCTGCAGTGATGTAAATTGGTGCCATCACTTTGCAAAAATTAGAATTTGACAGATTCTAGTAATATTGAAGATGCAGAAATCTGGAGACCCAGCTATTTCTTCACTGGGTGTTTACCCTGGAAAATCTCTCCCACATCTGTACCAGGAGATAGGTTCAGGATGCTCAGAACAGCATTGTCTGCGCTAGCAAAAAACTAGAAATAACCTACATGTCCATGAGAAGGGGAATGAGTAAATAATCAGCATGCAATAATATCATCATGCAACAGAGAAAACGGATACACAAGACCTTACATATTCAACACGGGCATAACTCAGAAACATTCCCGGAGGTAAAAAAAGAAAAAAAAAAAAGGCCAGGCGCGGTGGCTCATGCCTGTAATCCCAGCATTTTGGGAGGCTGAGGCGGGCGGATCACGAGGTCAGGAGATCGATACCTTCCTGCCTAACACGGTGAAACCCCGTCTCTACTAAAAATACAAAAAATTAGCCGTGCGTGGTGGTGGGCACCTGTAGTCCCAGCTACTCGGGAGGCTGAGGCAGGAGAATGGTGTGAACCCAGAAGGTGGAGCTTGCAGCCAGCTGAGATTGTGCCACTGCACTCCAGTCTGGGTGACAGAGTGAGACTCCATCTCAAAAGAAAACCAGGCAAGTTACAGAACAATATTTGGTTTTTAGAAGAATGTTTTTAAAATGCACATTATCTGTAGTGAGGGATCAGTTTTTGTGTTTCACCTTTTTTGATACCTTATGGACTGAAAAGTTAGTAGAATACAACAAAAATCAATTATCAGAAATGCAAAATGAAAATACAGCAATCATCCCCAATTTTAAATTTTTTAATTAACAAAACAGACTGTCAAATTATTCAAAGTCTTATTTTTTTTAAGAGATGGGGGTGTCTCACTATGTTGCCCAGGCTGGGCTTGAACCCCTGGCCTCAAGAGATCTTCCTGCCTCAGCCTCCCAAAATGCTGGGATTACAGGGGTGAGTCCACCATGCCCAGCCAAAAGTTTCTAAAGTCTTACTCTCAATTTCTGTGTTTATCTCATCGCAGATTGGTAACAAACAATTACCACCGACCAGACTTTGAGTAGGTGTTGGCAAACTTTTTCTGTAAAGAACTGGGTAGTAAATATTTCACATTTTGGGGGGCAATATGGTCTCTGGCAACTACTCAACCCTGCTGGCATCACGTAGAAGCAGCAGTAGGTAAATGAATGGGTGTGGCTGTACCTCTGTAAAACTTCATGAACGCTGAAATTTGAATTTCATTGTCATGTATTACACAGATTTTTTATTACTTTTTACATTTTAAAATATATTGATATTTTGGGGTAGATGTGATATTTTGATACACGTATACAATATATAATGATCAAGTCAGGGTAATCAGGATACCCATCCCCTCAAACATTTATCTTTTATCTTTTCTTTGTGTTGGGGACATTACCCAACACAATTTTCCTCTTCTGGGTATTTTGAAATCTATAAGATGTTATTGTTAACTATAATTTCCCTGCTGTACTATTGAATACAAGAACTTTTTTTTTTTTTTTTTTTTTTTGAGGCAGGGTCTCGCTGCGTCGTCCAGGCTGGAGTGCAGTAGCGTAATCTTGGCTCACTGCAACCTCCACCTCCTGGGCCCAAGCAAGCCTCCCACCTCAGCCTCCTGAGTAGCTGGGATTACAGGCACGTGCCACCACGCCTGGCTAATTTTTGTATTTTTTGTAGAGACAGGGTTTCACCATGTTGCCCAGGCTGGTCTCAAACTCCTGAGCTCAAGCGATCCACCTGCCCCTGCCTCCCAAAGTGCTGAGATTACAGGCATGAGCCACAGTGCCCGGCCTGAATACAAGAACTTATTTCTTCTACCTAACTGTATTTCTGTACCATTATCCAACTTCTCTTTCATCCTTCCCTCCCCACCTTCCCTTCCCAGCCTCTTGTAATCACCAGTCTACTCTCTATCTCCGTGAGATCCACTTTTTAAACTCCCACATATGAGTGAGAACACGCGAGTTTCTTCCTGTGATTTTTTCCCCAACCGTTGAAAAACGTAAAAACTATTTTTAGCTTGTGGGTTGTATAAAATGAAGTATTCGGCCAGATTTGTCCTGCAAGCCATGGTTTGCTGACATTTCCTTTAGCTTATCTGGCAATAGACACAAATAAACATAATGTTTGTTTGTTTTTTCAGAAAGATTTAACATAGCTGCTATCCAATTTTCTAAACAAAACGCTAATGATTTTGATATATGAGTTACATAATTTTTTCAAAGTATGCACATAGAAAAAAGACTGGAAAACATGCCAGATTATTAAAAATGGTGAGTTTGTGGTCTGGGCCATTTAGGCAATTGTTACTGTTTGCTTTGTGCTTTTCTGTTTGTTTGTTTGTTTGTTTTTTTAATTTCCAGGAAGTTTCTCTTTTCATCATCATGAGTCCTCGAAGGGTGCTGTGTTCGGTCCCTCTCACTCCTGACTGGCACTGACTCTAAAAAATGCCCCATCTGTGAGGAGGCCTTGGAAAGTAGAAGTGGAGATGCAGTCACTGCTCTCGGGAGAAGCTGAAAACACAGTCACCTGCCCTAGGAGAGGGATTTTCTGCACTTCCTTGGCCATCGCTGGCCTCTGGGGTGTTTCAAGTTTTTCTGGAAAACAGGATCATTCTGTGTGTGGAGTGAGTCTCAGGACCTTGACATGGGAGGAACAAAACTTTTCTTGCTTTTTTGGTGCACCCTGGGCTGAAATAAGAAAACCACCAGGAGTGAGTCTTCAAAGCAGAGTCAACCCAGGTGAGCGGAGTGGTGGGGAGGGTTTAAAAAAAACACAGATGGAGAGGAGCACGTTCTCTCTCTCAGATAAGATCTCATCCAGTGGGGAGAACCATGCGTGCTCAGGATGGGATGCCTGCCTCAGAATCCCCTGGAATATGGATTTCCACTCCACCCATCTTCTGCTACAGCAATGGAATTGGTTTCTATCAAGGTGAGACTGAGGTGCTGGGCAGGTTGACCATCACCTCCCAAGTGATGAAGCAGCTGGCTGGGGATGTGGATGGGAAGGAGCTCAGAGGCTGCCCCAAGTTCCTCCCAGCACGAAGCTGAAAAACAGACCCTTCTGCCCCTAAGAGGCTGTCGAGGGCTTCCTGGCTCCCCTTGTGAGGAAAGAGACTCAGTGAAGCAGGGCTCATATTAGTGAATCCCCAAAGGCATTCCCAGCTGCCCTGAAGCCGCGGTTCTCAGTGTGTGAGCCACAAACCAGCATCACTGGCATCACCTGGGGTCTTGTTAGAAATGCAAGTTCTGATCAGGAGCCGTGGCTGAGGCCTATAATCCCAACACTTTGGGAAACTGAGGTGGGAGGATCGCTTGAGGCCGGGAATTCGAGACCAGCCTGGACAACATGGTAAGACCCCATCTCTATAAAAAATAAAAAAAAATTAGCTGGGCGTGGTGGTGCACAACTGTAGTCCTAGCTACTCAGGAGGCTGAGGTGGGAGGATCACTTGAGCCTAGGAGTTCAAGGCTGCAGTGAGCTATGATTACACCATGGTACTCCAGCCTGGGCAAAAGAGTGAGAACGGGTCTCAATAAATAAAAAGAAATGCAAGTTCTCAGTCCTACCCTAGATCTACTGAATCACAATTTGGGAGGGAGGGGTGTCCCAACTGTAAACCCAAGTTTGAGAACCATTGCTTTGCCGAGATAGGGTCTTGCTATGTTGTCCAGGCTGATCTTGAACTCCTGGCCTCAAGTGATCCTCCTGCCTCAGCCTCCCAAAGTGCTGGGATTATAGGTGTGAGCCATTGCATCTGGCTACCATTGCCTTTGGGTTTTGTATTTCTTTAAATTGTTCGCCTTTCTGCATCTTTCTTTCATGAAAATAGGTGGGTGATATGTTCATTTTCCAAGACCAGTTTATAGTTAATGCTGTTTCTTCATAAAGTTATTATTATTTTTTCACTAAAGAAGGCAACATTGAGTGGATTGGGCATAAATTTTCTTTCTCTCCATTAATCCAGGAATTAGGAAACATCAACCAGGTGGCTCACGCTGCCATTTCCCGAGATAGCAGTTTCTGTCCAAAAGATTGGTCCACATATTGGCCAAATCCTCCTTTTCTTCCAGGCATACTTTATATTCATCATTATTATATATTCAGGAGGCAAACTATATTCTTCTTTTTAGAGATAGGGTCTCACTCTTGCCCAGGTTGGAGAGCAGTGGTGCCATCACAGCTCACTGAGCCCTGATCTCCTGAGCTCAGGTGATCCTCCTGGCTCAGCCTCCCATGTAGCTGGGACTACAGGTGTGCACCATCATGCCCGGATAATTTTTTATTTTTATTTTTTATAGAGGTGGGGTCTTGCTATGTTGCCCAGGCTGGTCTCAAACTCCTGGGCTCAGCTCAAGCAATCTTCCCGTCTTGGTCTCCCAAAGCACTGGGATTATGGGTATGAGCCACGGCCCCCAGCCTTCAATTTTTCTTTAATGTTGGTTTCCCTGTTAGAATGAAAGCTCAGTGAAGCACATCTTGTTCACAATTGCATTACCACCACCGCGTACCATGACAGGCTCACAGGAGGCATTTATTAAGTGATTGCTGGCTGATGTCCTCACGCTTCCACCTATGACCACCTGTGGCTTATTCCCATTTTCTAGGGGAGCCCCTGAGGCTCAGAAGGGGGAGATGATTTGCTCAAGGCCATGCTGGTGGAAAATGAAAAAGCTGGGTTTGAACCCAGGGCTCTATCCCACACAGGGTGGTCAGTCTCTCTGGCTTTCCTTGCACCACAGCATTCCAAAACCTCCTCCAACCATGCTGGAGGCCTCTCTCCTGGCTGCCCATGGTCACTGCACAGCCCTGTGCACAGAGCCTGTCTCTGGTGCTGGGCTGGCGGGAGGTGAAGTTTTTGAAGCTTCCAGTACTGGAAATGTTGGTGGTGGGCAGGGCACCCTGACCCCGGCTTTAAAAATAGGAAGCCTGGCCTGGCGCGGTGGCTCATGCCTGTAATCCCAGCACTTTGGGAGGCCAAGGCGGGTGGATCACCGGGTCAGGAGATCGAGACCATCCTGGCTAACACCGTGAAACCCCGTCTCTACTAAAAACACAAAAAATTAGCCAGGTGTGGTGGCGGGCACCTGTAGTCCCAGCTACTCAGGAGGCTGAGGCTGGAGAATGGTGTGAACCCGGGAGGCGGAGCTTGCAATGAGCGGAGATTGCGCCACTGCACTCCAGCCTGGGCAACAGAGTGAGACTCCGTTTCAAACAAAAAAAAGAAAAAGAAAAAACTAAGCCTGAAATAGTTCTTTCTGGGCCTCCCCTTTGCTGTGGCCTTTGAAGCCCCCTGAGTGTGCAGGGCTGAGAGTCCAGGCGTCCTGTGGCTGCCCTGGACAGGCTCTGCAGGGAATCCGGGCTGGAAGCCAGGCCCAGGTGGGAGCCACAGTCCACCACAATAGTGGCTTCCTAAAACCAAATCTTTGCTCCCCGTCTCGAGCAGGGGAGTTGATTGGTGATAGTCACAGGCATCTGGGAGCCTTGGCAGGGCAGCCCTGAAGGAGATCCCAAAAGAAGGGTGTATGAGTTCTTCATGCAGCTCTCCTGAACTTCCATCACCCATCTAAGCTAATGAATTTCTGTTAAATTCACACACTTCTCACCAATCCCCTGATCCAGGCCCGCATCCTCTCTTGTTCACACAACCCCAGCAGCACTTCTCACAGGTCTGTCTGCACCCCCTCTGTCCCCCTAAAAATCCCACGCAGAAGTCAGAGGGATCACAAAATGCAAATCTGATCATGAGACCCTCCTGCTTAAACCTGCCATGGCTCCCCTTCACCCTCTGGATACAAATCCTAATTACTAACTCACAAGACCTGTGTGGACCAGCCCTTGCTTTGTCTCTTTAGCTTCCTACCATGTATATAAACTTTTTTTTCTGTCCTGTGTACCCTTGATGAGTCCTCCAGCCACAGGACTCTGGCACATGCTGTTTTCTCTTCCTGAAACATATTTTCCCCCAGTTTGCCTAATTATCCCTATTATTATTATTATTATTATTATTATTATTATTATTAGAGACAGAATCTCGCTCTGTCATCCAGGCTGGAGTGCAGTGGCATGATCTTGGCTCACTGCAACCTCCGCCTCCTGGGCTCAATCAGTTATCCTGCCTCAGCCTCCTGAGTAGCTGGGATTATAGGTGCACACCACCATGCCCAGCTAATTTTTGTATTTTTTAGTAGAGGCAGGGTTTCACAATGTTGGCTAGGCTGGTCTCAAACTCCTGACAGATCAAGCAATCTGCCTGCCTCAGCCTCCTAAAGTGCTAGGATTACAGGTGTGAGCCTACTACACCTGACGTAAGTATCCCTCTTATGCAGTCTTCAGATCTCAGCCCAGCATCCTCCGTGGCTTCCATGGCCAGGCCAGTCCTCTGATGTGCAATTTTCTGCTTTGCTCACCTCTCTTTGGAAGCCCTAATCACACATGTTGCTCTATATGTATTTGTTTAGTTCTTTGATTTCATTTCCATCTCTTTTCCTAGGCTCTATGAGGGCAAGGGCCAGGCCTGATTTTGCATTCAATATATCCACAGAGCACAGTATATAGTTGAGGCTTGATAGGTATTTATTGAATGAATGAAAGATCAAACGAATGAATGAGTAGTCAAACCCAGAGACTAGGACTTGACCAACAGGAAAGACTCCTTAGAATTAGTCACTTCCAAGCACGAAGCCATGGAGACACCTGTCATTGTAATGAAAATCAAGCACTCGGATAAAAAGCTTGTCTTGTTCTCTCAACATGTGCCGATTTCTTCATCTGAAAACAACTCTCATTGTTCAGGCACAAATGCTTCCCTCTCCTCGAGTTAGTGACCACCCCCATTCCTCCCTTCCAGAGCACAGACTCCAGAATCTGTTACAATAACTCTTCAGAACTGCGTGTTTTAACCAACCTTGTCTCAACATTCTCATCTGGAAACAGGGTGCATGTGGCTTGCTTGGCAGGAGATGTGGCCTACAAAGTGATGAATCCATAGCCTGGTGCCCAGCTGCTGCATAAAAACATAATTTCTCCATTTTTAAACTTGTAATGCTTCCTCCTACTTTGGGTACCACCAGAACGCTCCAAGCATCTCAGTCTAGAGAGTGTAAAGAAAAGTATCCAATAAATGCTTTCATTCTAGGCAGGGCTACTCATTCTCAACTTCACCATTTTTTTTTTTGAGACAGGGTCTCACATCACCTAGGCTGGGGTACAGTGGCACCATCAGGGTTCACTGCAGCCTCAACCTCCCTGGGCTCAGGTGATCCTCCTGCCTCAACCTCCTGAGTCTCTGAGACCACAGATGGACCACCACGCCTTGCTAACTTTTTTATTTTTTGTAGAGATGGTGTTTCTCCATGTTGGCCAGGCTCATCTTGAATTCCTGAGCTCAAGCGATCTGCCCTCCTCGGCCTCGCAATCAACTTCACTCCTCTTGATGTGTGGTGGGGGCTGCCCTGTGCACTGCAGGATATTAAATGCACCCCTGGCCTCTACCAGCCAGTTGGCCAGTAGCAACCCCCAACACGTGATGACCAAAAATGTGCCCAAACATTGGCAAGTATCGCCTGGGAGCAAAATCACCCCAGGTTGAAAACTGTAGGGAATTAGGGATATTCATACTAGGGATAAGGACATTTCCAAAGAGGATAGTGGATGGGGTCACTAATGGGATTTCCAGCAGGATTGCAGACAGGGAGGTGAAAATTTAGGACAAATCATGCAAAGTAGGTGTTTGCCTCCACCTTCTACATGAGACAGACTCAGATAAACGGTTAGGGATGAAGGGGATGAAGTCTCCCATTTTATAGATGGGGAAGTAGAGGTCCACAGGGAAGGGCTTTGTTATCTGGCAAGCAGTGAGACCTGGGTGCCTAAAACACACCCGTACAAATGCATATGCATGTAGTATGTGCATATGTATTAGATAAATATTTGACATGTATTATATGTAGCAACTCTATTAGAAATGGAACTCTGTTAGAAACGTAGAACTCTTGAGGCCAAGACTTCGAGACCAGCCAGGCCAATGTGGTAAAACCCTGGCTCTACAAAAAATACAAAAATTAGCTGGGCATGGTGGTGTGCACCTGTAGTCCCAGCTACACGGGAGGCTGAGGCACAAGAACCTCTTGAACCTGGGAGGTGGAGGTTGCAGTGAGCCGAGATTGCACCTCTGCACTCCAGCCTGGGTGACACAGCAAGATCCTGTCTCAAAAAAAAAAAAAAAAAAAAGATATGGGGTCACAAATAGGAGAGAAATTTTTTTAGATTTCTTTTTTCTGTGTACCCATGTGTGAGCACCCATACACTCGCATACACGCATGCACACACAGATACAGGTGAATCCTAACCTCCTTGCTTCCTTTTGTTAGTTCAGGGAGGAGAAAGTGGGGGGAATTTGGGGTGTATTTACTACCCGCAGTATTCCTATTTTGTGTGTTACAATCCATTACTACTATCAGGGCTAGCTGCATAATTTGTGGGGCCCAGCACAAATGAAAATGCAGGGCCCGGGGTGGGGACAAGGAAGCTAATTTCCTCTTCTCATAAACTGGATTTTCCATTTGATGCAAAGGGACAATGCCCAGGGAACTGTACCCTCCATGCTGGTTTGTTCTGGATTGTTGGATGGCACTGGTAAGAGGCCCTAGCTGAATGGCCTGCAGAATGTGCTGTGCTACTGTCAGATTAGTGGAGGGAAACTGCCTTCTTGATCACCCCATGGTGCTATGAAAGTTGCAGATACAGGATAAAGTCCACTCTACTCAGACCCAGACAAATTGGAGCCAGGAGAGCACAAAGGAGAGGAGCTCATCCTTGCATGTCTAAAGCTAAAAGCTGTTTCCAGGCAATAACCCACAAGAAATTCTCTCATCTCCTTCATGCATCTTATGCTTTGCACGGCTTGCATGTTTCACACACATGCACATATTTCTGTGAAACGATTTCTTTTTTTTGTTTTTTTGAGACGGAGTCTTGCTTGGTCGCCCAGGCTGGAGTGCGGTGGCACGATCTTGGCTCACTTCAAGCTCTGCCTTCTGGGTTCACGCCATTCTCCTGCCTCAGCCTCCTGAGTAGCCACACCAGCACGCCTGGCTGATTTTTTGTATTTTTAGTAGAGACGGGGTTTCACGGTGTTAGCCAGGATGGTCTCGATCTCCTGACCTCGTGTCCGCCCGCCTTGGCCTCCCAAAGTGCTGGGATTACAGGCGTGAGCCACTGCGCGGAGCCACGATTTCATACTAGACATTTTTTAGGACTGCAGAAATTCAGATAAGATGATCTCAAAAGAAGACTTGCCTGATAATGGCTTCTGTACCAGTGATCTACTACTAACTCTGGCTTTGAGCCTCTGGTACCAATAAACTGTTTCTAAGCAGCTTACATGAACTTCTCACTTTTACCGATAAAGGCTTCCCTTTACCCTCCCCTCTTTGGATGCATCTGTGGCTTGCTATAACTGTGCATCCCAGGTTATTATCCTTTTTACTTACTCACAGATAAAATAGTTATGAGATTTTTTTTTTGATGGCTTATTTTTAGGTTGACAGTGCCCTGGCATATGGGCCCAGCCCTGAACCCTCCTGCACCTATCCATGCCTAGGCTTCTGCCAGGGTGGAAGGTGATGACAAAACGTGGGCCTCCCCCAGCCAAGGTGACCCAGTCACTGCTCTGAAGCAAGGAAGGGAATGCAAAGCCAGGCAGGGACCACGGGACCGGGGGTAGGGAGTGGGCATCAACAGGCCTCAGATCCATGTGTCATCAGAGGCTCCAGGCTCTCAGCATGCTCCATTGTGCCATCAGACTTCACCTAGAAACCACAAATTCAAAGGTAAAATGATAAAGGGTTTTAAGGCAGGGACTGTACATTATTAAAATTCTGAGCGCCAAGTCCTGTGTGACTCTATTGGTTGCAGGCCCACAAAGCCAGCCCTGACGAACACTATTAATTTTGATGTTCAAATTGTCCCAGATCTGGCTAGTGGGAACCCCTTCAAGCTGGTTCCTGTGTCCTTTTTTTTTTCTTTTTAAATAAATGTTTCAAGTATAGAAAGTAATGTTTAAAATTACCCAATTTTATCCAATTATCCAAAAGTTGTGTTCAGTTGAACAAATGTAAAGCAAGACTTTTGAAAAAAAAAGTTTACAATTAGATATAAAATGCTTAATAATACACTTTGACATTCACAGTGGGTGTTTTTGAAAAATGAATTTTGCTAATGTAGCTTAAAAGCAAAATTATAATCTCATTGAAAATAAATAAGCCTTTAACTGAGGAATAGTCCTCCCTCAGGATGCATCCTGTGTCCTTTGCATGCCACTGTCATTTTCTGAGCACTCTTTTACTTTCTGGCTCATCTTTCTCCTTCCCAGACCAAGTTTTGTTTTTCTTTTCTTCTTTGTTTTTGAGATGGAGTCTCGCTCTATTGCCCAAGCTGGAGTGCAGTGGCAGGATCTAGGCATCTTGGCTCACTGCAACCTCCGCCTCCCAGGTTCAAGTGATGCTCATGCCTCAGCCTCCCAAGTAGCTGGGACCACAGGCGTGTGTCACCACGCCTGGCTAATTTTTGTATTTTTAGTAGAGATGGGTTTTCCATGTTGGCTAGACTGATCTGGAACTCCTGACTGCCCACCTTGGCCTCCCAAAGTGCTGGGCCTACAGGTTTGAGCCACCGTGTTGGGCCGCAGGCCAAGTTTTGAATCAAGAAGTACTGGGGCCGGGCACGGTGGCTCACGTCTGTAATCCCAGCACTTTGGGAGGCCAAGGCAGGCAGATCACGAGGTCAGGAGTTCAAGACCAGCCTGGCCAACACGGTAAAACCCTGTCTCTACTAAAAATACAAAAATCAGCCAGGCTTGGTGGCGGGCACCTGTAGTACCAGCTACCTGGGAGGCTGAGGTAGGAGAGTCGCTTGAAACCGGAAGATGGAGGTTGCAGTGAGCTGAGATCACACCACTGCACTCTAGCCTGGGTGAAAGAGCGAAACTCTGTCCCAAATATATATATATATATATATATATATATATAGGTCCCACTCTATATATTTCACCTACTCTATATATATTTCACCCACTGTATATATTTCACCCACTCTGGCCTGGGTGAAAGAGCAAAACTCTGTCCCAAATATATATATATGTTCTTTTTTAAAAAAATATTGAAGCAAAATCTGCATCAAAAAAAATTAATCTCAGCCATTTTAAAGCGTACAATTCTGTGATGTTTTGTACATTCACGATGTTGTGCAAATACCACTTCTATCTAGTTCCAAGACATTTTCATCACCCCAGAAGGAAACCTTGTGTGCAATAAGCAGTCAACACCTCATTTCTCCCTCTCCCCAGCATCTGGAAACCACTGGTTGGCTTTCTTTCTCTGTGGATTGACCTGCTCTGGATGTTTCATATAAGTGGAATTATACAATATGTGATCTTTTGTGTTTGGCTTCTTTCACTTAGTGTAATGTTTTTGAAGTTCATCCATGTTGTAACATGTATCAATACTTTATTCCTCTTTATGGCTGAATAAAATCCCATTATGTGGATGTGCCACATTTTGTTTATTCATTCCTTGATGGCCATTTGTCTCCAATTCTGGGCTATTGTAAATAATGGTCTATGAACACTTATGTACAAGTATTAAATATTTGTTTGGATGCCTGTTTTCAGTTCTTTGAGGCATAGTTCTAGAATAGGCTTGCTAGGTCATCTGTTTAATTTTTTGAAGACTCACCAAACTGTTTTCCAAAGTGACTGCATTATTTTACATTCCCAGCTTCTCCATGTCCTTGCCAAATCACCCCTTTCTTTCCTCCCTCCCTTCCCTTCTCCTTCCTTCTTTCCCTTTCTCTTGCTCTTTCTTTCCAACCTAGTGAGTGTGAAGTGGCAGCAATTTGTAGTTTTGATTCACATTTTCTTTTTCTTTCTTTCTTTTTTTTTTTGAGACAGAGTTACGCTCTGTCGCCCAGGCTGGAGTGCAGTGGCACAATCTCAGCTCACTGCAAGCTCTGCCTCCTGGGTTCACGCCATTCTCCTGCCTCAGCCTCCCGAGTTGCTGGGACTACAGGCACCCGCCACCATGCCTGGCTAATTTTTTGTATTTTTTAGTAGAGACGGGGTTTCACCGTGTTAGCCAGGATGGTCTCGATCTCCTGACTTCGTGATCCACCTGCCTCGGCCTCCCAGAGTGTTGGGATTACAGGCGTGAGCCACTGCGCCCCGCCCACATTTTCTTATTGACTAATGACATTAAACATCTCTTCATTTGATGTTGGCCATTTTTATGTCTTCTATGGAGAAATGTATATTCAATTGTATTCATATGCCCACTTTTTAATTGGGTTATGTCTTTTTGTTGTTGAGTACTTACAGCTCTTTATATATTCTGATACTATAATTTTATCAGATATATATGATTTGCAAATATTTCCTCTCATTCTGTAGGTTGTGTTTTCACTCTGTTGATAATGAGCTTTTATGCACCATCTACAAAACATTTGGTGAAGTCTAATTAATCTACTTTTTTCTTCTGTTGCTTGTGTTTTTGGTGTCACATCTAAAAAATATCATTGCCAAATCCAGGGTCATAAAGATTTATGCCTATGTTTTCCTCTAAAAGTTTTAGAGTTTTAGTTCTTATATTCAGCTCTTTGATTCATTTTCAGTTAATTTTTGTATATCATGTAATTTTTGTGTATGTATTGGTAAGAGTCCAATTTCTTTTTCTTTTTCTTTTTCTTTTTTTTTTTTTTTTTTTGAGACAGGGTCTTGCTCTGTTGCCAAAGCTGGGGTGTAGTGGTGGGATCTTGGCTCACTGCACCTTCCACCTCTTGGGCTCAAGTGATCCTCCCACCTCAGCTTCCCAAGTAGTTGGGACTACAGGTGCAAGCCACGATGTCTGGCTAATTTTTCTATTTTTAGTAGAGACAGTGTTTCACCACGTTACCCAGTTGGGTCCAGAATTCCTGAGCTCAAGTGATCTACCCACGATGGCCTCCCAAAGTGTTGAAATTACAGGCATGAGCTACCGCACCAGGCCTCAGTTTCATTCTTTTGCATGTAGATATCCAGTTCTCCCAGTACCATTTGCTGAGGAAACTTCTTTCTCCATTGAATGATCTTGACTATAGATGCATAATTTGATTTCTAGACTCTCAAGTCTATTCCACTTATCTGTATGTCTTTGTATCAATACCACAGTTATTTTATTTTATTTTTTTATTATTGTACCTTTCTGGTAAGTTTTGAAATCAGGAAGCATGAGCTTTTTAAATTTTTGGGTCCTTTGCAATTTCATATGCATTTTAGCATATGCTTTTCCATTTCTTCAAAAATGTTGTTGAATCTGTAGCTTTATCTGGGGGAATATAGCCATCTTCACAATATTATGTGTTTGAATCCATGAACATTAAATGTCTTTTCTTTTCTTTCCTTTTTTTTTTTTTTTAATATGAGAAGGAGTTTCACTCATCGCCCAGGCTGGAGTGCAGTGGCGTGATCTCAGCTCACTGCAACCTCCGACTCCCAGGTTCAAGCAATTCTCCTGCCTCAGCCTCCTGAATTGCTGGGATTACAGGCTCCTACCGCCACACCCAGCTAATTTTTATATTTTTAGTAGAGATGGGGTTTCACCAAGTTGGCCAGGCTGGTCTCAAACTCCTGACCTCAGGTGATCCACCTTCCTCAGCCTCCCAAAGTGCTGGGATTACAGGTGTGAGCCACCATGCCCAGCCATGTTTTTTCATTTATTTAGATTTTCTTAAATTTTTTTTCAGTAGTAGTTCGTGGTTTTCAATGTATAAATCCTGCACCTTCTTGGTTAAATTTATGCCTAAGTATTTTATTCTTTTTGATATTATTGTAAATGGAACTTCTAAAGTTTCCTTTTCAATTGTTCATTTCTAATATGTTGAAATGCAACTAATTTTTATGTGTTGATCTAGTATCTTGCATCTTTGCTTATTTCATTTATTAGCTCTAATAGTTTTTTATTATTTAGGATTTTCTATATATAATATCATGTAATTGGTTCCTTTTGTTGGAAAGGAATATTAAGAAATCAAGATCAGGCCGAGCGCGGTGGCTCACGCCTGTAATCCCAGCACTTTGGGAGGCAGAGGTGGGCAGATCACGAGGTCAGGAGATCGAGACCATCCTGGCTAACACGGTGAAACCCCGTCTCCATTAAAAATACAAAAAATTAGCTGGGCGCGGAGGCGGGCACCTGTAGTCCCAGCTACTTGGGAGGCTGAGGCAGGAGAATGGCGACAACCCAGGAGGCGGAGCTTGCAGTGAGCCGAGATCGCGCCACTGCACTCCAGCCTGGGAGACAGCAAGACTCCGTCTCAAAAAAAAAAAAAAAAAAAAGAAATCAAGATCCAGGTGCTAAGTGTACTCATAACTACTTTGATATAATTGCTTCTAGGACCTCTTAGCAGACAGAGCTAGATAATACATACATACACACATACATATATCTATTTCTATATATTAAAAGCCATGAATTTTTACTGATTCCTCCAACTTTAATTCTATTAGGAATACTGGAGGCGGAACTCTGCATGTTGCAAGCGGCAGTATCAGAAAAGCCCCAGGGTGGGAGGCAAGAGGTATACTCTGATCGATTCTGTGGCTGGAGTAAGAAGTGGCACTAGAGATGGCCGGGCGCTGTGGCTCACGCCTGTAATCCCAGCACTTTGGGAGGCCAAGGCAAGCGGATCATGAGGTCAGGAGATCGAGACCATCCTGGCTAACACCGTGAAACCCCGTCTCTACTAAAAATACAAAAAATTAGCCGGACGTGGTGGTGGGCGCCTGTAGTCCCAGCTGCTTGGGAGGCTTGAGGCAGGAGAATGGCATGAACCTGGGAGGCGGAGCTTGCAGTGAGCCAAGATCACACCACTGCACTCCAGCCTGGGAGACAGAGCAAGACTCCATCTTAAAACAACAACAACAACAAAAACAAACAACTCATTGAATTGCATACTTTGTATATTTTTATTTTTATTTTTTGAGACAGAGTCTCGCTCTGTTACCCAGGCTGGTGTGCAGTGGTGCAATCTTGGGTCACCACAACCTCAGCCTTCCAGGCTCAAGCCATCCTCCCACCTCAGCCTCTGGAGTAGCTGGGAGCACAGGCATGCGCCACCACTCAAGGCTAAGTTTTGTATTTTTTGTAGAGAAAGCGTCTCACCATGTTGCCCAGGCTGGTCTCAAACTCTTGAGCTCAAGCAATCCGCCCACCTCAGCTTCTCAAAATGCTGGGATACAGGCATGGGCCACCGCACCTGGCCTGATTTGCATACTTTAAATGGATGCAGGTTATTGCATGTAAATTATATTTCAGTAAAGGTGATAGAAAAGAAAATAAATGGTAGTTTTGTTGATATTGACATGGCTTGTCTTTGCAGCAGTAACGTAGGAGATTCATGTACCTTTTGTTGACATTGGGTGGACTTTTCAAACTGGGATCCTGATGTTCCACCAATTGTGTTTAGAGTGTAGCATCAAACTTATTCCATACAGCATTTTGTTTACAATGTTGCACTGAATTTTGGAGATGCAAATATAATTTCTCCTATGTTAACATCAACATACATTGAGAGATACATTTGTTTCATGATGTTTGGGTATGAAAATCCAAGGGGCATTCTACCAGGAAATGCTAATTAGGAACTTTCTGAGGGATATGCATACATGTATGAAAATACCTATGTGGCCATTATTGTAATTTGTTAAATATAAAGTAAAACTGTTGACAATATTCAGCTAAATATTGCATCATGTCTGTTAAAAGTGCAAGCTTTTGATAACTTCGTTACATCTTCTAGTGGAGTTGGGTGTGAATATTTATATATCAAAAATATATTTTTATTATAAATCTATTTTCTTTCTTCTTTGTATCACAGAGAGGGCACTATATTGGTTTTCTATTAAACTGTAGGGTAGGTAGATTATATTATCTGTGAATTTCATTTCAGAATTCATGACCTGATAGATTGTTACAGAAAGATGTTAGGCCTAGTAGTGTTGACACCCCCGATTAAAACAGACCTGGTGATGTATCTATCCCAAGCTCTAAACCACTACGTTGGCCTAAGCCTGTTAGGCTAACAGTGTGAAATTAAAATTAAATAAACTCTTTCATTTTACAGGTCAGTAAGTGCATTTTAAAAAGCTAATTAGAGTTGGTATTTCTTTTTCAACTGGGCACATCCTGAATCATACAATTATAGATTATTATATTATTATAGATTATTATATTACAATTATACAATTACTGTTTGCTTTCTGTTTCCATGGGCTTTCTTCTTTCACAGTCAAGGCTGTGAGCTCTTTTAGAGCAAAAATTCCATCTCGTCCAGGTCATGGCTTTCCCCATATTGTAACCAGAAGAGTGTGTGTTTTGAGGATTTAAATTTATTGATCATCTCTTATGTGTTCAAGGTCTGGGTCACATTCATTCTTAGTATCTGTTGTGCACCCACCTGTGCCAGGGACACTGCTAGGCACTTTGCAGATATGATCTCCCTGAACACTTCAAACAACTCTTTGCTATATAGGTATTATTATCTGGTATTGCAGACATGGGAAAGAAGTTCTGAGAAAACACTTGTCCAAGGTTGTACCAGGCAAGGAGCAAAGTCAAGATCAACCCCAGCTGGGGTAGGAGGATCGCTTGAGCCCAGGAGTTCAAGGGTATATTGAGCTATGATCACACCACTGTACTGCAGCTTGACCCCAAGTCTGTCTGACTGTACAGCCCATGATAGGTAGCTATTGTTCTCCCTGTTTGCAAACAGTGCTGAGTACAGCATAGTAATGAGGAAGATGGGCAAATAATTTAGCCTTTTTGAGCCTCAGTTTCTTCATCAGTCTGCAAATGGGGCAATTAGTAGCTCTGCCATGGAGTGGGTGTGAGGATTCAGTGGGAATAGTGTCAATCGCTTAGCATCTGCTTGTGTTTAACCGGCCATAAACAAAAGTTCATTTCCTCCCTCTTCCTTCCCAGTGGGAAATTTTACTCAACTGTGGTTCAGTAAATAGCCTTGGAGATGTTACTTCTCACTGAGCCCCAGGAATATATAATTGTCCTAAAATCAAAATCATAGTTTTAAAAAAACACTCAAACTGCACCCCTTCTCCCCAAACACGTTCCTGGGCATTGCAATGGGGATGAAATTCTGATCTCTAAGTGGATGGTGTTTCCTGATATTTTGTTTGCAAATGTCCTCAGGTTGTTACTGTCAGACACTAAGGTGCAGTTATGAATTAGTCCATGAGAGACCCTGGGGGAGAAAAGATTCTAGACCCTGGGGAAGAAATGAAATGATCCTTGACCACCAGCCACTTGGCTCCACCCTGGCTTGACTCTGGCAGTCCAAGGACACAGTGGCCACTACATTTCTCTAGCTGCCCCTTATCCCACTCTGCCACCTGTGATAAAAGATGCTGGATAGATTTCAGCAATTTCATGTGCAAATGGATGTAGCATGATTATAGTTGTTCATAGAGTGGCCTCATCAGTGTCTTTTTATAGGTGGGCTTGAAGTGAGGTTGATTTTTTTTTTAGAGACAGGGTCTTGCTCTGTTGCCCAGGCTGGAGTATAATGGCATGATCATAACTCACTGCCACCTCAAACTCCTGGGCTCAAGCAATGCTCCTGACTCAGCCTCCCAAGTAGCTAGGACTACAGGTGTGTACCACCACACCCAGCTAATTTTTAAACTTTTGGCAGAGACAGAGTCTCAGTATGTTGCCCAGGCTGGTCTTGAACTCCTGGGCTCAAGCAATGCTCTTGCCTCTGCCTCCCACGTAGCTAGGACTACAGGTGCATGCCATGATGCCCAGCTGATTTTTAAATTTTTGGTAGAGACAGAGTGTCACTAAGTTGCCCAGGCTGGTCTTGAACTCCTGGACTCAAACAATCTTCCTGCCTCTGCCTCTCAAAGTGCTGCAATTACAGGCATCGGCCACTACATTTGGGCCTAGATTTTTTTTTTTTTTTTTTTTTGATGGAGTCTCACTCTCTCTCTCAGGCTGGAGTGTGATGGCGTGACCTCAGCTCACTACAACCTCCACCTCCCGGTTCAAGCAATTCTGCCTCAGCCTCCCGAGTAGCTGGGATTACAGGTGCCCGCCACCACCACGCCTGGCTAATTTTTTGTATTTTTAGTAGAAACGAGGTTTCACCAAGTTGGCCAGTTTGGTCTTGAACTCATGACCTCAAGTGATCCACGTGCCTTGGCCTCCCAAAGTGCTGGAATTACAGGTGTGAGCCACCGCGTCTGGCCTAGAGTTTATTTATTTATTATTATTATTAAAGGAGAATATTTGTCCCCAGAAAAATCCTGAAGCCCTATCAGTCATCCAGACCCAAAAGGCCATATAACTGCCCATTTTGCAACCTTCATTCCATGATTTTAGTACCCAAAGACATGAATAAGTCACATTAGACACCCATCCCCCCGGCTTCTCTAAAATGGGAATTGAGCAACTAGAGGAGGAGTAGAGATTGTGTTTCAAACACAGGGATCTCAGCCCTGGCTGCACATTAGGATCACCTGGGGAGCTCTGAACAATCCCAATGCCAGCTCTGCACCCAGCTCGTGAGGTCAGATGCTCTGGTTGGGGCCGGGTACCAGTGTGGTCAGGCTCTTTGGGAGTTTCATATGTACAGTAAAATCAAAGAACCACTGCCTGCAAACAAGTGGGTGGATGGGATGCTCACAGAGTGTCTTCTTAGCTTTGTGGGACAGGACGGGCATTTTTTTGAGAAGTCATATGGAAAAAAAAACATCAAAACTCACGTAGACTCCCAATTATCTTCTCCCCATTCTAAACCACATTGATTTGTCTGAATATTTATTCAGGTATTTGCAACTGTGTATACTGAATGTCTGTTGGATTACAGACACTGTTCTAAGCACCAGGGATGCAGCAGGAGGGCCGGCAGTCAGGACCCCTGAGCTCATGGATCTGGCTTTGTGGCAAGGGGTAATATGGAAAGCAGTTGATGTCAAAATGCATTGTTTACTCTTGAGATGAAGGCAGTGACAAAGGTGTGAAAGAGGATAAGAGAACAGGGGCTGGCTTGGGTAGGAGAGGTGGTGATCAGGGAAGACTTCTCTAAGAAAGAGACTCTGAACTGGGCTCAAAAAGTGAAGGCCAAGGGGTGGGGTGAGGCATCTGGGAAGAGAAAGCCAGATTTTCTGTGGCTCTGTCCCCTCCTGCCATCATCTCACTGCTGGAAACTGGCAACCAAATGATCTGCCTAACACATCCTGATTTCATTTCATAGCCCATATATGCAAACTTTAGATCACATACTCATCACCTGTCATCAAGGTTATATGCTAAATCCTCACCTATGGTGCTGGGATGAGCTCAGCTCATTGGAGTCTCTGAATTGCTGTCTGTAGATATTGCAAAATATTCTCTTTTTTTTGTCTTGGTTTCCTGTATTTCTGGCCATTGTCCTTGAGTCCTGATATATCCTTACATCCAGCTTTTCATTCTGACTCCCTGATATTATCCATCCATCCATCCACCCATCCATATACATATATATACATACATACATCCTCTCGTCTACCAATCTATCTATCCTCCATCCATACAACTGTTGTAACCAAGCAAGTTATAGAGAAACGCCACACTTTGAGACTAATTCAGGAGTCCTTTATTAGCCGGTGACCAAGAGACGGCTAGCGCTGAAAATTCTCTCGGCCCCGAAGAAGGGGCTAGATTTTCTTTTATACTTTGGTTTAGAAAGGGGAGGGGGAATTGAGCTGAAGCAATCTCACAGAAGTAAAACAGGCAAAGAAATTAAAAAGACAAATGGTTACAGGAAAACAAACAGTTCCAGGTGCCTTAAATTCATCACAAGGTCACAGGTGGTAAATTTACAATGATATTGACCTTCAATACCCAAAGTAAGCCTTTTAAATTGACATTTGCCAAAGGCTCCACTCGAATTTCATGTAATACAAAAGCCACCGGGGGAGTGGAATGGAAAAAGTAGATTCTGGGTCAATTCTGCATTGACAGCATGAACTGGAAAATCTTAAGAACAATTGAGAATATCAGAGAATTTTTGTTCGATAGAGAAACAAGAACTGGCACTTCTATTGCTGATACCCCTCTAGCCTCAGGGTACCTTTCAAGGGTTTGACCCAGCTATATTTGTGACTTCTTGTCATATTTGCCTTTCCAAATTCAGAGAGGCAAGTATGGAGATGGAAAGATATCATGGGTTTTGGGTTAAGTCCTGTGTTTGATATCAGCCTCATCTCCTAGTTGCTGGGTGACAATGGGCACATTAGTGAATCTCTTTGAGCCTCACAGAATTTGTCATGAGGTTTTGAGGGTTAGAAGAAATGGTGTACATTGCTGGCCGGGCACGGTGGCTCATGCCTGTAATCCTAGCACTTTGGGAGGCCGAGGCTGGCGAATCACGAGGTCAGGAGTTCGAGACCAGCCTGGCCATCATAATGAAACCCCGCCTCTACTAAAATTACAAAAAATTAGCTGGGCGTGGTGGTGGGTGCCTGTAATCTCAGCTACTTGGGAGGCTGAGGAAGGAGAATCGCTTGAACCTGGGAAGCAGAGGTTGCAATGAGCCGAGATCATGCCATTGCACTCCAGCCCAGGCAACAGTGTGAAACTCCATCTCAAAATAAAGAAAGAAAGAAAGAAAAGAAAAGAAAAAAGAAGAGATGGTATACCTTAGGTACCTGACATTTACTAGGTGTTCAATAAATTTTGGCCCCTTCCAGTGGTGTGCTAGCAAATGTTGAATAACTGACTTTCAAAAAAAAAGGCTCTGATTTAGCATTGGCCAATTTCTGTGGTGTAAATACTACCATCATGGCCAATTTCAAGCTATTGACATGATGTCATAGCATTTGGAGTTGGGATAATAAGTAGATGGGGGTGAAACTGAGTCCCTGGGTTCAGAGTCACACAGCCGATTAGTGGCAGAGCTGGGACTATGTTGTGTGCCTCCTCACTCCCAGTCCAGATCACTTTTCACATTTTGATGCTCTTGGAACTTGCCAGGGTGCTGTCCTTCCTGGCAAAATGGCCACATAGAGAGAATTTTGGGCGATTGCTGAAATTAAATCCTTCTAGCCAGGATCTAATAGGTCAGCCTTGCTTTCGATTATACAATTGATCCTTGACCAATACACGGGTTGAAAATCTAAGTTGACTCTATGCATTTGAAAATCTAGGTATACATTTTTAATCCCCAAAATCTTTTTTTAAAAATTATTTATTTTATCTGTATTTTTTAGAGACAGAGTCTTGCTCTATTGCCCAGGCTGGAGTGCAACAGAGTGATTATAGCTCACTGCAGCCTCAATCTCCTGCGCTCAAGCAATTCTCCTCCCTCAGCCTCCTGATTAGCTGGGACTACAGGCACATGCCTCTGTGCCTGGCTAATTTTTGTATCTTTTGTAGAGATGGGGGGTCTTGATTTGTTAACCAGGCTGGTCTCGAACTCCTGGGCTCAGGCAATCTTCCAGCCTCAGCCTCTCAAAGTGCTAAGATTGCAGGCATGAGCCACTACGCCCGGCCTGACTCGCCAAAATCTTAATGACTGATAGCCTGCTGTTGACCAGAAGCCTTACCAATAACATAGACAGTCAATTAGCATATATTTTGGATGCTATTCATATTTTATATTATATTCTTATGATAATGTAAGCTAGAGAAAAGAAAACGTTAAGGAAATCATAAGGAAAATAAAATAGATTTACTACTTATTAAGTGGAAGTGGATCATCATAAAGGTCTTCATCCTCATTGTCTTCACGCTGAGTAGGCTGAGGGAGAGGAAGATTAGGAGGGGCTGGTCTTGCTGTCTCAGGGTGGCAGAGACAGAAGAAAATCCACCCATACGTGGACCTGCACATTTCAAACCTGTGTTGTTCTGAGGTCAACAGTACATAGAAATGGGTCACATGGAAGAACTCCTACATGCCTGTGCAATGTTGACAATCAGATTGTCTCATTTTCTTTTTTTTCTTTTCTTTTTTTTTTTGAGACGGAGTCTCGCTCTGTCACCCAGGCTGGAGTGCAGTGGCGCGATCTCGGCTCATGGCAAGCTCTGCCTCCCGGGTTCACGCCATTCTCCCGCCTCAGCCTCCCGAGTGGCTGGGAGGCTGGGACTACAGGTGCCCGCCGCCACGCCTGGCTAATTTTTTGTATTTTTAATAGAGATGGGATTTCACCATGTTATCCAGCATGGTCTCGATCTCCTGAACTCGTGATCCACCCGCCTCGGCCTCCCAAAGTGCTGGGATTACAAGGGTGAGCCACCGCGCCTGGCCGAGATTGTCTCATTTTCTAGCCTTGTGCATACCCCTCCCCGCCCGGATTACTTGTCATCATGGAATGAAGCTTCTACTTTCTAATGTCCTTCAGGCTGTAGACCCCGAGGTTGGATAAGCTTCCCTTGTTCTGTAATACAAACTGTCCTGGGAAAGATGGAAAAGCTACATCCGGTGTTGTTGGCAAACAAACCGTGGAGGCCTCACCTTGATGTTGATCCTACATGACCTTTCTGTTCCAGGGGCATTCAGATGATGTTATGGGAGACGCTTTGAAGATCAGATGCTAGGTCTTAGAAGAAAGACCATCCGTAAAGAATCCTTTGCTTTCTCACCTAGCATATCAGTAGATCGATCGATCTATCTATCTATCTATCTATCTATCTATCTATCTATCTACCTACCTACCTACCTACCTACCTATCCGTCCTATCTATCTATATCTATCATCTTTCTACCCATCTATCTGTCTCTATGTATCTATCTGTCTCTATCTTTATCTTGCTAGCTAGCTATCTCATTCCTTTATATTGCTTCATTTAATCCATCAAGCATTCATTTGGCATGTTCTACGTACTGAGAAGAACTGTGTTCACAGGTTGTGGATTCAATGATAGATGGTCTATTTTTGAATCCACAACCTATGGATTCGAAGAAAGATAGTCTTTAGGAAACATGTTTACATGGGATATAAATGTATGCTTAATAGTCAGAGAGACCCAGATTCAAATCCCAGCTCTGCTACCTACTTGCTGAGTGACCTTGGATAAATTGCTGCCCTACACCACCCACCAGGCCTCTGTTTGCTTATATAGAAAGAAAGTTAGTCCTTACTTTGTGAGACTGCTGTAAAGGTTCAATGACATGGTGAATAGAAAGTACTTGATGTAGGCCTGGCATGGTGGCTCATGCCTGTAATCCCAGCACTTTGGGAGGCCCAGGTGGGTGAATCACCTGAGGTCAGGAGTTTGAGACCAGCTTGGCCAACATGGTGAAACCCTATCTCTACTAAAAATACAAAAAATTGGCTGGGCATGGTGGCAGGCCCCTGTAATCCCAGCTACTCAGGAGGCTGAGGCAGGAGAATTGCTTGAACCCAGGAGGTGGATGTTGCAGTGAGCTGAGATTGCACCACTGCACTCCAGCCTAGGGAACAAGAGTGAAACTCCATCTCAAAAAAAAAAAAAAAAGTACTTGATGTAAAATCTGGTGCATAGTATGTGTACAATAAATCTCAGCTTTGCTTGCTTGCTTGGTTGATTGATTTTGTCTGTACTGTACTAAACTTAGTTTGGGGACTAAATATACAAATACAAATCATACATATATAGCCCTTGTTTTTAGGAGCCTATGTCTTCTGGGAAAAGCAGGTGTGTTTGGTAATTAGAAGTGTTTGATAATACCCAGGGAGGTATTTATAAGCACTGTGGGTGTCTAGTGTGCTGGGCCTAAATCAGCCTGAAAAATAAGAGGTATCGTCTGTGGATTTTCAAGTCCTTTGTCCCATTTAACCCCCTAGAGAACTCCGAGAGGTTGGGAAATATTGCTCCATTTCAACAGAAGGCCCAGAAAAATCAAGGCACCGTGGCCAGCGTTCTCTGCTGCACCTGGAAGGTACTAGACACCCTGAGGCATCCTTGCTAGGCCTAAGCTGTGGCCACTACAGAGGTCCAGATACTTCCAGGAAGGTCTGATTGTCAGTGAGGCAGTCTCTGTGTGCAGCCAGGAATCTCCGAGTGCAAAGGACAGAGGAATAGAAATCTAGCAGAACAGGCTTGGCTCTAAGCCCACATCTCAGGGCCAGAGAGCAGAAGAGATTCTGAGTGGAGTGAGATGACCATCTCTGGTCTCTTACTTAGGCCCAGTACATGGGCTTATGTCTGGGGCCCCAGAGGAGTGAGGGCAGCAAAGAACAGACAATGGGCTCCACGCAGACCTCTGCAACACACTGGAGCCTGAGCCCACTGCTGCAGGACCCATCAACAACAAGAAGGAGGGAGAAGGTGTATGACCCCCCTCCCTGCAACTCTCCCATGATCTCCATGGACACCCAAAGATATACACTGCAGCACCCAGCAAAGACGTGGTACTTGGTAAGGACAGTGGTACCCGCTTGTTCCACAGGGAACATACTAATCGTGTTTGTAAACCTGTCTGAGAGAGCCCCTGAGATGGGTTTGAATACCCGGCTGTGGAGGAATTATAAGAGCCGAGGTCCTATGGAGAAAAGAGGCAGTCAAGTTGGTATTTATTTATGCATTTACAACTATTAATGGGGCAGCTTTTATGCCCACAGACTGCTGAGGCCCAGATTAAGCTAGCACAGGAGTTTGACAAGAGAAGAGGAAAACTAACCCTGTGCTTTGAAAATCCAATTCACATTTCTTGAGTATGACTATGTCCTAGGCAGTGGGGATATAAAGGAGAATAACATAACACCATCTATTGGAGACATCAATGAGAAAACCAGAATTGTAGTTCAACGCAATAAAGGCTATGCTGGTAATACTTGTGATAATCCCTGAACCAACTGGTATGGCCAATCATAGGCATGAGATCTCAGCTAGTCCAGTCAGAGTGAATCTCAGAGCTCTTTACTGTTTAAAAAGCTTGTTCTTTTTTCTTCTAGGTGTTGGAGTGTGGATATGAGTCATGGAACTCTGGGGCTATATTGCTGCCAGGTAAGAAGCTGTTCTAGGAACGACAAAATCAATGGACATAGAAAGGCAGACTGGAGGAGAAGGGAAAGGGAGCTGAGCCCTGCTGATAGAGTAAACCTCTGGATTAAACTATGCCTGAAGCACACATCCCTGTTTGACTTTTCATTTATATAAGCTGTATTACTCAGGGTTCTCCAAAGAAACAGAAACAAGCAGAAATACATATATTTCTCTATAGAGAGATATATAGAAAGAGATTTATTATGAGCGATTGGCTCATGTGACTGTGGAGACTGAGATGTCCCATGCTCTGCTGTCTGCAAGCTGGAGGCCCAGGAAAGCTGGTGGTGTATTTCCTATCCGAAATTGAAGGCACCAAAACAAGGGGTGCCAATGGTGTAAGTCCCACTTTGAGTACAAAGGCTTGAGAGCCAGAATCACTGATGTTCAAGGGCAGAAGAAGACAGATGTCCCAGCTCAACCAGAGAGAAAATTCTCCCTTTCTCTGCCTTTTTGGTCTATTCAGGCCCTCAATGGATTGGATGGTGTCCACCTGCATAATTGAAGGTGGATCTTCTTTACTCAGTCGACTGATTCAAATGCTGATCTCTTCCAGCAACATCCTCACAGACACACCAGAAATAATGTTTTACCAGCTATCTGTGTATCCCTTAGCCCAGTAAAACTGACACATACAATTAACTATCACATAAGCCAATACTCTTTATTGTTTAAGGCCATTCGAAGTGGGTTTGTCACAACTTGCAATTGACAGCATCTTACAACACAGTAAAGACAGAGTGGAAGATTCAGGTCCTTAAAGGCTATAAAATGCCTTGAGTACTCATTTAACAAATTGCAACTCTTTCTTCAAAGTCATGGGGGACTTCTTGAAGCAAAGGGTGGGGTAAATGATCAGGTTCTTATATTTTAAATATCTTGCTGGCTCCAACGTGGAAGCTGGATTGAAGTAGGGCAATAGTGAACAAGAGGGGCAATATGGGGCTTAGGGGAAGTTTAACAATTGCCCAAGTAATGAGTGTAATATGGTATCCTGAATGAAACCATGGGACAGAAAAAGAACATTAGGTAACAACTAGAGAAATCTGAATAAAGTACAGGCTGTGGTTAATAACTGCCTTAGTCCATTTTGTGTTGCTATAACACAATACCACAGACTGGGTAATTTATAAAGAAAAGAAATTTATTTGGCTTATGGTTCTGCAGGCTGGAAAGTCCAAGAGCATGGCACCAGTATCTGGCAAGGACCTTTATGTTGTGTCATTCCATGGCGAAAGGTGGAAGAGTAAGGGAGCATGTGAGAAAAAGGAAATCAGGCTGAACTCATCCTTTTATCAGGAGCCCACTCCTGCAATAGCTAACCTACCTCCCCCATGACAGCATTAATCCATTCATGAAGACAAAGCCCTCATGATTAAATCACCTCTTAATGGTCCCACCTCTTAATACCATCACAATGGCAATGAAATTTCAACATTAGTTTTGGAGAGGACATCCAAACCATAGCAATAATGATGCATGAATATTAGTTCATTAATTGTGAATAGTGTATCATCTGAATGTAAGATGTTAACAACAGGGGAAACTGGGTGTGTGGTTTGTTGGAGCACTCTGCACTACCTTTGCAATTTTTCAGTAAATCTAAGACTATTCTAAATCAAAAAGGTTATTTTAAATTACCTTTAAAAAGCAGCTAAAAATGTTTTGGTTTCAATGTGTTTATGCTTTCACGTCTATTCCTTTATTGATCTGCAAGTATTTATTGAGCACCTACTCTATGCCAGGCTCTGGGCTGAGTCCTGGGAATGAGCTAGTATCTTGCTTAGGCTCAGGAAAACATTAATGGTTTTATCTTCTATCTTATTCACATGACTATGAGGTCTACAAGTAATGGCCCAGAACTCTGGCTGGAGTCCCTTTCCCAGCCTTGCCAGTGACTGTTAACTATAACTTCACCTCCCTTGGCCTCTATTTCCTCTTCTTGTCATTTACAAAGACTTGTGCCTGGTTTGCCTACATTAGTCATAAGTCATGAGGCTCAAATGGGCACCAGAACATGAAATCAGGCCGTGGCTTGAATGGACTTTAATGGCTATCCAGGCCAATCACTATTTGATACACAGGGAAACTGAGGCCCAGAGAGGGTAAGTGACTGGCACAAGGTCACACAGCTAAAACCAGAAATCAGACCTTCTCGTGCTTTCCACTATAGAAGTCTGGAAGGGTCCTGGAAAGTTTAAAAACTTATGTAGGTAAATGCAAGGACAAATTTCTATTTTTACAAGTTCCAAAATTGCTAAATTCAGACACATCGGGTTTGTATCTTTGGCAAATTCAACTGAAATTTGAATCTAAAAGTCAATAAAGCAGAATATGGTTTCACAGGCTGGTTACCTCTCTTTCTGCATAATTTTTTTTTTTTTTTTTTGAGACGGAGTCTCGCACTGTCGCCAGGCAGGAGTGCAGTGGCATGATCTCGGCTTACTGCAACTTCTGCCTCTCTGGTTCAAGCGATTCTCCTGTCTCAGCCTCCAGAGTAGCTGGGACTACAGGCACATGCCACCACGCCCAGCTAATTTTTGTATTTTTAGTAGAGACGGGGTTTCACCATGTTGGCCAGGATGGTCTCTATATCCTGACTGCATGATCCACCCACCTTGGCCTCCCAAAATGCTAGGATTACAGGTGTGAGCCACCACGCCTGGCCTTGCATATCTTTTTATTTGTTCATTCATTTATATGTAACTTCATTTCATTTTTTGAGCCTAGTTTCACCCTACTCTGTATGATTTGGCTAAGTTAATAATTTCTCCTTGTTCCCATATTTAAGCAGGAGTAGGGAGAGAGCAATGCTGTCAGTAGCATCTCTCCCTCCCCGTCTCACCATGCTCCCGTTTCTGGGAATCCTAATAGTCTTCAATAGTAGGGCTGCAGGAAGAGGGATGACAACAGGTAGCCAAAGGACTGGAACTGCCTGGCTCAGGGATCCCCAAGGCTGGCCTGTGGCCAGTTGGCAGCACAGGTTAGTGATTATGTCCAGAGAGCTTAGATGCAAACTCTGTGATACAAATTCTAGCATTTCCTGGCATCAAAACATCAGGCAAGTTATTCATTCACCCTGTACTTCTGTTTCCTCATCTGTAAAATGGGGACCACCCTTACCTCATGGGAGCACTGAGAGAATTAAATGAGATAATACATGAAACGTGCTTAGCACAGGTTGTGACGTATCATAAGAGTTTAAAATTACTGGTTCAGGTCCCTAAACTCATCCAATCCACAAGTTTTACGCTCATGAAAACTGAGGCCCAGAGAGGTGGTAAGACCTCCTGGGAGGCAGTGACCTGCTGCCACTGGAGTCCTTGAATATTCACAGACCATGACGGGCCCTAAGAAGGTCCTTGTGGTGGTTTCACTGGGGTGGAAGGATCCTGCTCTCCAATCCTCACCTTCCCATCCCGTTTCCGTTAGTCTTCACTTCTGGCCCCTTAATATTTCATCCATCCCTACTAGATCTGCATCCCTGGTGCCTTCCTGTCATTTCCCTTGTTTCTTTCCCACCACACCACAGAGAATAATTAAAGGTCCTTGGCTAGGAGTGATGAAGCTTGGGGGAGGAGGAGGGTGGAGAATCAGAGGCACAAGACTCTTTGACCATTATGCAGTGAGTGGTATAGAAAAGAAAGTGGAATTCACTTCTGCATATAAACCCCCAAAAATTGAAAGCAGGGTCTCAAAGAGGTATTCATACACCCATATTGAGAGCAGCATTATTCACAATAGCTAAATGGGGAAACAACGCAAGGGTCCATCCAGCAATGCATGGATAAACAAAATGTCATCTATCCATACAGTGGAATACTTTTCAGCCTTAAAACGGAAGGAAATTATGACACATGCTACAACATGGATGAACCTTGAAGATATTATGCTAAATGAAATCAGCCAGTCACAAAAAGACAAATACTGTGTGATTCTATTTCAATGAAGTGCCCAGAATAGGCAAATTCATAGACAGGAAATAGAATGGTAGTTGCCAAGGGCTACAGAGAAAGGGGAGATGGGACTTATTGTTTACTTGGTACAGAGTTTCAGTTTTGCAAGACGAAGACTTCTGGAGATGGATGGTGGTTATGGTTATACAATAACACGAGTAAACGAATGCCACTGAATTGTACACTTAAAAATGGTTGAGGTGGTGCATTTTACATTATGTGTTTTTTTACAATTAAAAAGGAAAAAGGAAGGTGGGAGAGCTCTAAAATTAGAAGGTAACAGTTTGATTAAGTGTTACCAGTTTGAATAACTGATTAGTGGCATGAATGTACCACTTCCGTTTTGAACGTGGCTCAGATCTCCTGTGTTCCTATCCCAGCTTTACCACTTTCTTGCTGAGTGACCTTGAGCAAGTTGCTTGACCTCTCTGATACTCTTTCCTCACCTGTAAAATACAGATAATAATAGTACCTATGTCACAGGGTTGTTGTGAAAATGAAATGACATGATCCATGAAGAATGCTTAGCACAGAGCCTGGCATATTTACTTTTCATTTAGCAAATATTTATTAAGCTCCTACTATGTGCCAGTAAATGCTGAAGATGCAACAGTGAACAAAATGGACAAAAGTCTCTGCCCCTGTGGAGTCTATATGTCCATGTGCATTAGCCTGCATTTCCGAGAAAGCAGAACATGAGGCAAAACCTTATGTGTTGCTCTTTTACAAGTGGGGGTGCAGTCCCAGGGAAATACGAGTGAAGGAAAAGAGGAATGAGACAGGGAAAGAAAGGAGAGACAACGCAAGCATGCGATCCTGTCTGGTCGTCTCTTGGTATCAAGAGCTACTGGTTGCCCCTCTTATGGGACCATCTTTGGTGGGGCTACATGAATTACTGTGTTTAAAGATCATTCAACTGGGAGCAGGAAGGGGAAGGAACAGATGCATCAACTTCCAGTCTAGATTTGTCAAAGGTTTGCTGCAAAGGGCAATCATTAAAAACCCAAGTTGCTTATGAATGGTTGCTGAGTCAGTTCTGCTGCTCTTAAGTCTCAGCATCAACATGACAGTGAGCAAGGGCTGCAGAGCTTTCCCTGTGTAGAGGTGGTCAGAGCCCATGCACAGTTGATCACCCCCATGGCAACGGAATAGAACTAGTAGCCAAGGGTCCCAAATATAGCAGAGGCCAGAAGTCCACAGCAGTGCCCAAGAAGTGTCAGATACAATGTATGTAATGCATGTGCCTGTACCTACCCACGTCTAGGTACATATTATAATTAAAACTCAGATGCCTCCAGCATCTACAGCTAAGAACACTTTCAGGCAAATACAGTTCTGCTGATTATCCCTAGAAGGACAATCATGTTATAGGACCAAGAGGTTTGTTTGTCCACTGTGCAGTAACAGACCAATTACACTGAGACAGCAAGGTTTGCAACAGAGAAAGAGATCCATGATCATAGGGCACTGAGTGAGGAGATGGGAGGAGACCCTCAAATCTATCTCCCCAAGGAGTTCTGGGCTGGGTTTTGTTTTTGTTTTTGTTTTGTTTTGTTTTGTTTTTTGAGACAGAGTCTCACTCTGTCACCAAGGCTGGAGTGCAGTGGCACTGTGTCGGCTCACGGCAACCTCTGTCTCCTGGGTTCAAGCAATTCTCCTGCCTCAGCCTCCCGAGTAGCTGGCATTCACCACCACGCTCAGCTAGTTACATATATATGTATATATATATATGTATATATATATATATATATATTTAGTACAGACGGGGTTTCACCATATTGACCAGGCTGGTCTTGAACCCCTGACCTCAGGTGATCTGCCTGCCTCAGCCTCCCGAAGTGCTGGGATTACAGGCATGAGCCACCGTGCCCAGCCCTGGGCTGGGTTTTTTACGGGGATCATGGAGGGTGAGGGACTAGAGAATTGGGGCTGTTGATTGATCAGGGAAAGGGAGATGAAATCATCAGGATGTGAAAACTGCATTCTTCGGCAGTCAGATTCTCATTGGGTCCTTCAGATTGGCTAGTGTTATAGTCTTATTAGTATGCAGGACTTGAAGGACTGTCTCAAAAGGAAAACTTACTGTTTTGTAGTGTTCAGTTTGTTATCTATAGAGCAGTTAAGGGGAGCTATAATCTTGTAACAGAGTCTACGTGATTGTAGGACAATAGGTACCACACAAATATGAGGAAGGAGGTCAGAGAGCGGGTTGACTTAATGATTAGTGCTGAATGTGCTACAAGCTTGTTTCATTTTCATTTCTCCTCCTCCCTTTTTTCCTGATTAATTTAATACAGTTCATAGGGGAGGCTTCAAACACATGAGAAATTACAACCTTTATTACCAGAGTCAGAGCCTGACTATATTGATTGAGTGAAGCCTTCCTTTATAAAATGCAAAGCATGTAAACAATTCCAACACAGTAACATATTCATGAGTTTTTAAAGTCATGAGTTTTAGAGAAAATATTTTACTTAAAACCAGCACTTGATGATCTCTGACAATGTTACGTAGCCTGAACCTGGAGTTTTGGCTGATGGGTTGTCTCAGCCTGTGACAGGTTTTAGCTGGCTTTGGTTCATCTTCTATCACACCCCCACACTCACATGCTCACACACTGTCTTAGTCAGCTCGGGCTGCCATCACAAAATACCATAGACTGGGAGGCTCAAATAACAGAAACTTATTTCTCACAGATCTGGAGGCTGGGAAGTCCAAGGTCAAGGTGCCAGCAGACTCAGTTCCCCAGTGAGGGCTCTTTTCCTGTCTTGCAGGTGTCCACCTTCTTACCATGTCCTATGGCAGAGAGAGAGAGACTGAGAGAGAGAGGGGGATAGGAAGAGAGAGAGAGAGAGAAAGAGAGAGAGTGAGAGAGAGAGTGCACATTGCCCTGGTCTCTTCATCTTCTTAGAAGAACACGGATCCCATCATGGGAACCTGGCCCCCATGACTTCATCTAAACCTAATTACTTCCCAAATGTTCCCATTTCCAAAAACGTCACACTGGGGGTTACAGCTTTAACATGAATTTTAGGGAGACAGAAACATTCGGTCCATAATACATGCCCTGTGATATACCCCCATAAAATAAATACACTGAGTGGCTGTTGGGTTTGTCTTCAGGTGGAAGGGTCTGATCCTCTGAACTTCCAGATAGGGTTCTTGAATGATCCACACCACATCTGCTTCAGTGTTGTCCAAGAAGCTGGCACAAAAGTACAGACTCTCAGGCCCCACCCTGGACATTTCAAGTTAGGGTCTCTGGGGCTGGGACCAGGAATCTGCATTTTGAACCAGTCCTTCTTTCCTCCACTTGCCTGCCCAGAAGATTCTAGCAGCTCCCAAAGCTTGAGAACCACTGCTCCTTACCTCTGCATCCTCTGGAGATTTTCCAAAACTCATGTATGTTCTTAAATCAGTTGTTTTTAATTATAAAAACTATGACACATGAAGCCATGTGATATAACAAAGGCTGAGCTGGATGCAGAAAGGGCCTTCTGACTACAGCAGGCTTTGGAATGTGGATTTAATGAGCTACTACTTTGGTGAGTAGAGAAAGGGGGAATAAAACCCCAGTGTGTCAGGATTTTTAAAATTGAATTTCTGTTTGAAAGGATAGGGAGAAAAGGGCATTGCTTCCCTAAAAACTGAAGCCCCTCCCTCTCTTTTTTTTAATGGAGTCTTGTTCTCTTGCCCAGGCTGGAGTGCAGTTGCATGATCTCCGCTCCCTGCAACCTCCACCTCCCAGGTTCAAGAGAATCTCCTGCTTCAGCCTCCTGAGTAGCTGGGATTACAGGTGCCCACCACCACACCCGGCTAATTTTTGTATTTTTAGTAGAGTCGGGTTTCACCATGTTGGTCAGGCTGGTCTTGAACTCCCAACCTTGTGATCCGCCCACCTCGGTCTCCCAAAGTGCTGGGATTACAGGCATGAGTCACCCCGCTCGGCCAAAGCCCTTTCTTGATCATATAAATGACTCTAGTGTCTTGGTGCTTGGTGACTGCTTTCTGTACCCTGCTACAGATGATGCTGCCTGTTTGTGAAACAGGACTGATACAACTCTTCTGGAAGGAACTCTTTCATATCTAAATATCAAAACTGTTAATCATTGTTATTAGTAATTCGTTATTTATATTTTAATAACTTAAGTACTACAATTAACTATTCAGCTATTTACCCCAGTTTCCCTTTTTTAAATTTATTTTTCCAATAGCAGTGTTATTTGAACACCAACTTCAGATTTTAGTCTGCTTTCGACTTAGGTAATTATGAATCTATAAATTCCTTTTTTTTTTTTTGAGACGGAGTCTCGCTCTGTCGCCCAGGCTGGAGTGCAGTGGCGCGATCTTGGCTCACTGCAAGCTCCGCCTCCTGGGTTCACGCCATTCTCCTGCCTCAGCCTACCGAGTTGCTGGGACTACAGGCGCCCACCACCACGCCCGGCTAATTTTTTTGTATTTTTTAGTAGAGACGGGATTTCATCATGTTAGCCAGGATGGTCTCGATCTCCTGACCTCGTGATGCGCCCGCCTCAGCCTCCCAAAGTGCTGGGATTACAGGCTTAGCCACCGCGCGAAGCTGTGAATCTATAAATTCTTATCAAGAAGCAAATGTGTAGAATCTGTAATGCTTAGATTTTGTTATTGGAGCTATAGAAAATGTTACATTTGTGGTGTCAGACTCTATTTAGCTGGTAAGGACAAAGCAAGAGCTAAGGCCAATTACTTGTCATCGTCGTCATCATCATCATCATCATCGTCATCGTCATATTTCTGGAGCATTCACTATTTACCAGGCACTGAGCCAACATTGTATATTCATCATAGCATTTGGTTCTCATAGCAGCTCTATGAGGTTTGTGCCCACATTATCCCCATTTTGCAGATAAAAAAGCCAAGCCCCAGAAAGGTTAAGTAAATTATTCAAGGTCCACAGCCAGTGTGTGGCAGAACCAGATTCTGGAATCAGGCAGTCCAATTCCGCAGTCCCAATTCCTAACCATTGTGCTGTTCAGCCTAATGAAAGGAGCGAAAGATTCAAGGTAGACAACTGTATATTGTCAAAGGCTTGTTCAACACCAAGGTTGCTTGTTTCTAAATAATGTTTAAGTCCATGAACAGCTTTTTGCTAATGTTTGGAGCAACTGATAAAATACATCAAGCAAAGAAAAGTGTGGACACATTCATGCACACTGGAGAAGTAGCAGAGTGGTTTAATTTTGTGTTGGAGAATCAAAGGCCAGAATGAAAGGCAGTTTTTACATCCCAAAGGAAAATTCCCATTCAGAAAGACATTGATGGCTTTTTTAGCGGCATCCATTCATCTGCTCTGCAAAGGCATGGGGACATGTGATTTTGAGAGTACCGACTCTACTCCCAATGCATGGCAGTCATGTATAATAATTTAGGGGACAGTGACTCCATTCACAGTTCCAGAGGTAAACACCCCTCCAATTGACGAAACCAATCAGAAAATCCTACTCTTGCATAGGACTGTTTCAGAGATGGGCACAAATCTCATCCTAAGCCAATCAGAGCACGGCACTTCCCTCGGCCATGGCGATTGATTCAGAGATGGGCATGTGACTGGTTTGCTCAGTTAGAGTGAAACCTAGGATTTTGTCTGATAGTCGAGGTAAAGACACTTTTCTTCAGGAAGATGTGGTGTATGGAACTGTTCCAGACATTTTGTCACCATGATAAAAGTGAGTCTGAAAAGTAAACCATCATGTTCAGGAAGGCAAAATCAAGAGAACTGCAGAGCAATGGAGTTAGCACCCTGATCAAGCCATTCCTGAAACTAGTGTTTACCCATTTTTATTTACATAAATCAATAAATTCCTTTCACTGTTCACATTATTTTAAGCTGGGGTTCTGTTTCTTTCAACTAAAAGCATTCCAGTTGGTACATCAAACATTGGCTTGCCGTTTAAATACAGTGGGTTCTAATGGGGAGATCTGCTCTCATTGTGAGAGCACCTTAAAATGGACTCAGTACTTGGGATCAATCTTTAAAAACAAAGTCTAACTACACACTATGTTAATGAGAAATGGGTGTTTTACTCAAAGTGTTATGGAAACACTGGGGAGAGAATTTACATGACACATGAAAAAGCAAAACTTAATGAGATTCCTCATCGCCCATCCCCATAGGACTTCTGTGATGACACCTCTTTTGCCTTTCCTTTTCCTTTTCCTTTTTTCCTTGAAGCTTCTAACGTCTCCTTAGTAACTGCACTCTCATCCTCCATTAATGTTCTGCGTGTTGCAACACCCAAAAAAAAATAAAACAATAGCAACGATTAAAAAAAAAAAAAAAAAGGAGGGCCTCTGTCCCTCTAGCCTGTTCCCAATCCCAACCCAAGGATCTTCCCAGAGAGTAGTTCAGCTGCTGAGTAATAGTTCCATATGATTATCTACTGTGTTCTAGAAATACACAAGGAATGCTCTTGGGCTCTTGTGCGATCCTCTCATCTTTGCAGCCACTCCCACAAGAAAGAGGACAAATCATTACCTCATTAAGTGAAACTTGAACTTTACCCAGCTCCAACTCCCTCCCTTGGGGAATTTGGAAGAGAGAAATCACAAAGCTGATTGAATGTGATAGACTTACTTTCTGAGTGATGTTAAGAATAACACATCTTTCTATAACCATCTAAAACTATCTTGGGATTCAAATCCTTTCAAGTCAGACAACCTCCTTCAGTTCAAACATCACCCATGGTTAGCCATTAAATTATTCAGGAATAAAGAAGGCTCTATGGTTTCTCACTGTGTGCCAGGAATTGTGCTGGGTGCTCAGAGCCCAAAGCTGAGTGAGACACAGGCACTCACATCCTGTAGTAAGAAGTGGGTATGTAGTTTTCTTTTCTTGTGATGTCTTTATCTGACATTTGTATCAGAGTAATACTTTGTCTGACATTTGTATCAGAGTAAAGTATTCCTTCCTCTTCTATTTTTTTTAAATAAGAATTTGCAAAGGATTGGTGTTAATTCTTCTTTAAATATTTGGTAGAATTTACCAGTCATCTAGTCCTGTGATTTCCTTTTTGAGAGCTTTTTTATTATGCTTTAATCTCTTACCTTGTTATAAGCCTATTCAGATTTTCTATTTCTTTTTGAGTCAGTTTGGTAGTTTGTGTGTTTCCAGGAATTTGTCCATTTCATATAGATGAATTTATTGGTGTACAATTCTTAGTAAGAAGTGGGTATACAAACCTATCTCTGTTGTAGAAGATAAATACTAAAATAAAGCCTGACAACAGTGTAACAGAAGCCTGCAGAAGGGAAGGCTTAGTTGTGTTTGGAGTTGGGGAGATGAAATAGATTCACAGGAGAGGTGATTGAAACCCACTGGGTGCCATAGAATGAGTAAAAGTTGATTAGGTGAAGATGTCGGAATGGATAAGCATGTAGGGCATTCCATGTAGGGAAATAATATGAGTAAAAGCAGAGAGGAATAAAAATTTCTGGCATGTTCTGAGGCCATGAGGTGGGAAGAGCACAAAAGAGTATTTCTAGAAAACGAGAGAGAGAGAGAAAGAAAGAGAGGGTAAGATTATGAGATTATGAAAAGTGTTTATACCATGCTAAGGATTTTGTATTTTGTTTCTTGATTGATGGGAGGCCATTGACAATCTTTTTTTTTTTTTTTTTTGAGATGGAGTCTTTCTCTGTCACCAGGCTAGAGTGCAGTGGCACAATCTCGGCTCACTGCAACCTCCGCCTCCCAGGTTCAAGCGATTCTCCTGCGTCAGCTTCCCAAGTAGCTGGGACTACAGGCATGAGCCACCATGCCCAGATAATTTTTGTATTTTTATTAGAGACAGGGTTTCACCATGTTGGCCAGGATGATCTCGATCTCTTGATCTCTTGACCTCGTGATCCCCCCACCTCAGCCTCCCAAAGCATTGGGATTACAGGCGTGAGCCACCGTGCCTGGCCCCCACATTGACAATTTTTAAGCAGGACTTTAAGACTATCAGGCTTGTGATTTTTCTAGGAAGACAGTTTTGGTTGCTGTATTGTGAGTGGTTGGAGGGGAGGGACTGGTGGCAGGGAAACTAGGCTGTTGCTACCACCCATCATGAAAGATGCTGGTAGAGAGATGAGGCCAAGCAGAAAGGAGAGGGAGGCTGGATGTCTGAGACCCTGAGTGCTGGAATCAGTAGGACATAGAGGCAACTAGCAGTGACGGAAGAGAGGGAGAGCACGCAACGATGAGGTTGAGGCTTCTAGCCGGGGTTGTGTCAGTCCTGCAAGGCAATGAGCAAGTTCAACCTGTGATGCTTCAGTACATTCTATTTGCGTATCTATGGAAGACAGTTATAGACATGGCTGCGTTTGTGTTGTCACATTAATCATAAAAGCTTTCAGGGGAAAAAAATCCAAAGGGAATAAAGATTTTCTGAAAAGCATTCTTGTCTGAAGGAAGCTGCATGCAAATGGAAAACCTGGACATATAATTGATTTCAGTAACCATAATGATATTGTGTTTTCTTTCTTTTTTTTTTTTTTTTGAGACGGAGTCTTGCTCTGTTGCCCAGACTGGAGTGCACTGGCCCGATCTCGGCTCACTGCAAGCTCCACCTCACAGGTTCACGCCATTCTCTTGCCTCAGCCTCCCAAGTAGCTGGGACTACAGGCGCCCGCCACCACGCCTGGCTAATTTTTTGTATTTTTAGTAGAGATGGGGTTTCACCGTGTTAGACAGGATGGTCTCGATCTCCTGACCTCATGATCCGCCCGCCTTGGCCTCCCAAAGTGCTGGGATTACAGGCGTGAGCCACTGCGCCTGGCTGACATTGTGTTTTCATTCAGGTTGTGCAGTGGGGCTTTGAAAATGTGAGAAATTGACAGACAGGCCCTGGTTAGGGGAAACAAAAATGGTTTCTAGTTTCAAGGTTGAATATGTTTCTTTTCATAAAAATACCCCATCACTTCTAACAGTCTGACTGACAGTTTTCTCTTCATTAGTAGATAAAACCTAACATTTTCTAGACAATAAAAAGCAGTCTGAGAGATATGGATGACACATTTAAAAATACTAACTTCTGCCCTGGGTATTGCCCTGTGCACCGAAACCTAAACTCATAAGATGTTATTGAGGGGAGCGAGTACTCTTTACCTTGCAAAAGGATTCACTGCAGGATTAAATACAGCTGGAGAATTTTAGAATTTGAAAAGACGTCAGGGGACCTGCTCCTTCAATCCCTTCATTAGTTATTGGTGAAAAGTGAGATTTAAAAAGCTTAAGAGACTTGCTTAGAGTTATTCAGCAATGCCAGAGCCAGCGGGTCAGAGCCAGCACTGTTCTGTTCATTCTCAGTGCTGGTCTCTTTCCATCAGGCCCTGTATGATGTAGAGATGCTCCAGCGATGCTGCTGCTGCTGATAACCTGGTCAATATTTATCGAGTGCTTTCTGTGTGCCAGACACAGTTCTTTTATTTATTTATTTATTTTTTTATTGATCATTCTTGGGTGTTTCTCGCAGAGGGGGATTTGGCAGGGTCACAGGACAATAGTGAAGGGAAGGTCAGCAGATAAACAAGTGAACAAAGGTCTCTGGTTTTCCTAGGCAGAGGACCCTGCGGCCTTCCGCACTGTTTGTGTCCCTGGGTACTTGAGATTAGGGAGTGGTGATGACTCTCAAGGAGCATGCTGCCTTCAAGCGTCTGTTTAACAAAGCACATCTTGCACCGCCCTTAATCCATTTAACCCTGAGTGGACACAGCACATGTTTCAGAGAGCACAGGGTTGGGGGTAAGGTCACAGATCAACAGGATCCCAAGGCAGAAGAATTTTTCTTAGTACAGAACAAAATAAAAAGTCTCCCATGTCCACCTCTTTCTACACAGACACGGCAACCATCCGATTTCTCAATCTTTTCCCCACCTTTCCCCCCTTTCGATTCCACAAAACCGCCATTGTCATCATGGCCCATTCTCAATGAGCTGCTGGGTACACCTCCCAGACGGGGTGGTGGCCGGGCAGCGGGGCTCCTCACTTCCCAGTAGGGGCGGCCGGGCAGAGGCGCCCCTCACCTCCCGGACGGGGCGGCTGGCCAGGCGGGGGGCTGACCCCCCCATCTCCCTCCTGGACGGGGTGGCTGCCGGGCAGAGATGCTCCTCACTTCCCAGACGGGGTGGCTGCCGGGCGGAGGGGCTCCTCACTTCTCAGACGGGGCGGCTGCTGGGCAGAGGGGCTCCTCACTTCTCAGACAGGGCGGTTGCCAGGCAGAGGGTCTCCTCACTTCTCAGATGGGGCGGCCGGGCAGAGACGCTCCTCACATCCCGGACGGGGCGACAGGGCAGAGGCGCTCCCCACATCTCAGACGATGGGTGGCCAGGCAGAGACGCTCCTCACTTCCTAGATGGGATGGCGGCCGGGAAGAGGCACTCCTCACTTCCTAGATGGGATGGCGGCCGGGCAGAGACGCTCCTCACTTTCCAGACTGGGCAGCCAGGCAGAGGGGTTCCTCACATCCCAGACGATGGGCGGCCAGGCAGAGACGCTCCTCACTTCCCAGACGGGGTGGCGGCCGGGCAGAGGCTGCAATCTCAGCTCTTTGGGAGGCCAAGGCAGGCGGCTGGGAGGTGGTTGTAGCGAGCCGAGATCAAGCCACTGCACTGCAGCCTGGGCACCATTGAGCACTGAGTGAACGAGACTCCGTCTGCAATCCCGGCACCTCGGGAGGCCGAGGCTGGAGGATCACTCGCGGTTAGGAGCTGGAGACCAGCCCGGCCAACACAGCGAAACCCCGTTTCCACCAAAAAAATATGAGAACCAGTCAGGCGTGGCGGCGCACGCCTGCAATCGCAGGCACTCGGCAGGCTGAGGCAGGAGAATCAGGCAGGGAGGTTGCAGTGAGCCGAGATGGCAGCAGTACAGTCCAGCTTCGGCTGGGCATCAGAGGGAGACCGTGGAAAGAGAGGGAGAGGGAGACCGTGGGGAGAGGGAGAGGGGGAGGGGGAGGGGGTGAGGGGGAGGGGGAGAGGGGGAGGGGAAGAGGGGGAGGGGGAGGGGAAGAGGGGAGAGGGGAGAGGGCCAGACACAGTTCTAAGCACTTTTTACATGTTACAGCATTGCTCTCACGGCAATCCCGTTAACAACACTGAGGCAGAGCTGAGACACAGAGAGATTAGACAACTTGTCTAAGGTCACACAGCTCAGAAGGACTGGTCTCGGGCTTCTTATTCAGGCCATTTGACTTTTGAGCCCATGCTCTGAACCACAACAACAACAACACTGTCACTTTTCTTTAGAGTGACTCCCTGACCAGCAGTCCCCATAGAGAAATGTGTTTCCACTCACATATCGAAAGGAGAGTACTTCTCTACTGAACATCGTTTCAGTGCTAATAGCTAATAGTTTAATAAAACCAAAGCTTGGCATCATACCTTTTGGCAGATCTTTTTAAAGTTGTCATATATAGAGCTGCCATTAAAGTTTGTAAAGCTTTGTGGATAAAAGTAGCATGAAAAGCAGCTCGTATGATGTGTGTGACAACAAACAGAATTGTGATCCAAATTACAGGTGAAACGGGACAGTGGCCTCCCAGGGAGGCTAGAAATACCTGCAGAGGCTTACAGAGTGAGATGTTTGTAAATAAAGCCATTCAAACATCAATTGTGTGTGGTTTTCTTGAGAAGCAACTGTATTTAAGGGACTCCTTATATAAAATCAAGTTCTTCTTAGCAAGGATTGCTTTAAATATTCGGACTTGAATGAAGGCCAGCCATGTTCTGCCATTTTCAAAAATCTTGTAATTGAAGTCTTAGAGTTGATTTTCTTTTCATTTGTGATTAATTTCCCAGAATAACATTCCCAGCTCCCACCCCACCCAGCATTTACAGTCCAGAGATTGAGTGTAGGAAGTCTTAGTAAAGCCCGAAATCTAAAACAAATAAGACCAGTCAGTTCTCTAGTTAGCTTTTTTCCTTTCAAGTCGTTAGCAATATAAACTCTGGAAAGCCTAAACTTTAATGCACCCATCTCAGCAACATCTCCTATAACGATGGAAAGGCATAGAAAAGAAGAAAAGGGAACATTATTAATCTTGTGGGAACGCTGGAGTTTTGTCTATTTTCACAAACAGCGTGAGCCCCAAGTCATTTAAATCCTCTGGGGGTGGGAGACATAATTATTTGCAAGGGAACATTATTAGCTAAGTACAAATGGGTTGCTATTTGTTTTCTCTGTTCTTTGTGATGATTACAGGCTGGGGATGGTGTTTAGTAACAGGATCCAGCAGGTCAGTTATGACAACTTCATCATCACTGTCATTAACCCCTTCTGTTTGCAGTGAAGACAAAAAGCTGTTCAGTATTAAAAGAGTCAAGAAAAAGAGAAAGAAGAGGGGGTGGAGAAAGTGAGACAACCAAAGAGACAGCCAGGGAACAGAAATTCATACACTATGAACACCGGAAAAAAATACCCCTGGGTAATTGAGTCAGCTGACTCAAATGGTGTAGGGGCCTCAGTTAGAGGACCAAATTTTGGACTCCTTGTTCTTTCTGCCAAAAGAGTAATTGTTCTTGTTTGTAAATGCAAATGTTTTTGCCATTTTAGTTCTGAGAAATGCCCTAGGGAGATGTTATTTTTGGTAAGGGGTCTTCCTGCTTCAAGTGTAACAACTGTGAACAACTAGTTTCAGCATCTTCTCTAGCATGCCAGGGTAAAATGAAGCAAAATAAACAGAGGAAGTGACATGACCTTTATTGAGGATCTACTGGGTGCCAGGCAAAATGCTTTTTTTTTTTTTTTTTTTTCAGACAGGGTCTCACTCTTTCACCCAGGCTGGCGTGCAGTGGTGCAATCTCGACTCACTGTAGCTTCTACTTCCTGGGTTCAAGCGATTCTTGTGCCTCAGCCTCCTGAGTAGCTGGGTTACAGGCGTGCACCACCATGCCTGGCTAATTTTTGTATTTTTAATAGAGACATTATTTTTAATGTATTTTTCATGTTGGCCAGGCTGGTCTTGAACTCCTGGCCTCAAGCGATCCACCTGCCTCAGACTCCCAAAGTGCAGGATTACAGGTGTGAGCCACTGCGCCCGACAAGGTGCATTTTTATGTGCTTTTTCTCCCCTGTCTTCTCAACAACCCTGGGGTAAAAGGCCTCATTTCCACTTTTCCTATGAGAACAATAAAGTAGAATGAGGTTAAGAGATTGCCTCTAAGATCACCCAGCCCAGAGCAGGGACTTGATTTCAGGTGTGTCTTGTTCCAAACTTACTACAGTGTGCTGCTGGGGGGAAAAAAAAGCAAAAAGCAAAACCCAAAGGGTTCTTAACTGAAGTCAAAGATGACCAATAAAATGTAGGCAGATGTCAGGTCTGATCATGTGGATGCTCAAATGACAAACAGAAACATTGAGAGAAATTGCATTAATTAAATCATAAAAATATGTTCTGATTTTTGGAGAATTTACTCCTCCTCCTGGGGTGACCCTTGACAAGACATTCTGTCTTCCTATTTTTAAGCAAAAAAAAAAAAAAGTGGGTAGAAGATGAAAGTTTGATATTTCGCTCATGCATAGCTTTGTCTCATTAATATATTTTGTGCTTGCCTGTCATTTTGGCTTTCTGCTGCCAGACGAAGCTCCTTCGACTGCCATTCCTACTTCTGACACTCCTCTTGTCCTTTTCAGGATAACTTTATGCCTATTGTGCCTTGGATCTTGAAAAACGTGGTAAAACTGGCCAATGGTGACGGCAGGCATAGCAGGGAATCAGATTGAGGGGGGTGGGGGTGGGGACAGAAAATAAAAGAGGGCATCAGGCTACTTGATGATGGAATCAGGCTGCTTCTGCAATGACATTACATGAAATATCTGAAATTTGACCTTAACTGTATCTGGTGGGTCCCATTAACCCTGTAAGTTTAGACAGAACATTTACTCCAATTCTAGCAACGTCTAGGCTCATGGGAACACGTGACCAATTCAGGTGAATGAAAGGGATTTTAAAACATCAATTTCCAGGTTAAGTCTTCCTAAGACTGCCTGCGTGTCCCTTACCACCACTCCAGCCTGAGTGTCACATGAATACTGAATGCGGACTTGTGTGCAAACTGTAGAAAAATTAGAAGCAACTGAAAACCCCAGGCAGCGGAGTGGTGTGATGATGAAAGACACCGAGACGGAAGATTGGGAAGCTGGAAATTACCCCCCAGCTTCGGTGTTTGGGCTGTATCTTGCTTTTCCACTTCCCTAAATCACCCTCGTGGTGCGAGCGTGCTCGCAGCAGATGCTCCCTAATTGTCTCTTGTATTGACCGTAAAACCCTAAGGGCAGGAATACTCTCTCTCCTTCTATTTCAACACCCAAACTAAAACCTCTCACCTGAGTGTAAGGGCGTGCTGACCTTCTTAAGCAGAGAGCTCTTCCATCAGGGGGCTCCCTAAGGGCATCTCTGTTCCTAGCGGCGAAGCCCTCACCCCACTTTGCTCTGCTTAGCCTGAGACACGCAACTTTCTCCAGCCTTTACTCTTCGCTGAATTCTCACGGCGGGCTTGCGGGTACGTTCAGGAGCGAGGTTGGGGGCCCGGCCCGCTGGGCGCTGTTCACAGGTAGCTTGGACCAGAGCAGGGGCTTCATCATTACCTGCGGGGACAGGTGGGACACATGCATTTCCGGGGTCATCCCAGACCTCCTGGAGGATGCTGATTGATGCTGTCCCGTTTGAGAACTACTGTGTCCAGGTAGCAGAGGCCTCCCCGATGCCCCTTGAGTAGTGGGCACGGGGCCCAGGGCTTCTCTGGATGAGCTGGGCGGGCATGAGAACGCATGGAGCTGGGGGCAGGAGGTCGGAGCAGCGAACGAGGAGGAGAAGGAGTAGGCGGAGGCCGAAGGAGAGGTGGGGGAGGAAGAAGAGGAGGAGGAGGAGTCCCTTGTGGCCACCCCGAAGGGAGGGAGGGCTACCGTAGAGACTTGGTCGAGAGGCGCGGGACAAGCCTGGCCGCTGGGACTGTGCGCTGAGGTGCACCGACCGTCGGGCCGCGAGCTCCCCGCAGACCCTCGCGGAATGAGCTGGGGGGCGGCGCGCGAGGCGGCGGAGCGGAAGGCGCACTGCGACCCCGGCGGGCTACAGCCTGCGGCGCTTGCAGGGCGCTGGTGGGGCGCGCCGAGCAGGGGCTGCCCTGGGGCTGCCCCAGTCCCACCAGGTCGGGGCTCAGCTGGCGGCGGCGGCGGCGGTGGCGGCAGCGCGTCCCATCCGGGTCCGAGTAACCGCCGCCGCCGCCAAAACTCGCCAACGTGGCGGACCCGGAGGCTGTGCTGGCAGATGCCAGTTACCTGATGGCCATGGAGAAGAGCAAGGCGACTCCGGCCGCCCGCGCCAGCAAGAGGACCGTCCTGCCCGATCCCAGGTACCAGCTGCCCCGGCCCGCGCTGGTCCCCACGCCGCCGTCCCCAAGCGGCCGTCAGCGACCTCCTGCGTCCGGGAGGGTCGGGCATTGAGTCGTCGCTGTCCTGGGTGCGGGTGACACCGCGGAACTGGCGATGCGGGGCCGGCCTCCCCGTTCCAGTCTCTGAAATGGGGCATCGGATGGCCGGTGGGGGGGACTCCGGGAGAGAGCGCTCCAAAGTGCCCAGCGCGGCGCCCTGCGCGCAGCGAGCGCCCCAGGGAGGGGCTGGTTATGACTTGGCTGGACCAGCTCCATCCCTGTCGCCCCCTCCCCCCGGCCCTGTCCTGTCCTGTCCCATCCCCGTGGTTCTTCCTGTTGCATTGGTGTGGTCCCTGTGGGCTCGTTGCCTGTCACTCCTTTGCGCTCCTTCTTGGTCGCTGCTTCTTCCCCGGCTCTGTGGTCCCCCTTTCCAACTCCATCCCCTCAGCTCCCTCTGGGCCGCTTATCTGGGGACTGCAGGCTTGTTGCTTACTGTCCGAGGTAGTTAAACTGCTGTTTTCAGTGCTTGTTCTTCTTGAAGTCCCTAAGTCTAGTCACCTTCTTAGGCTCTTCTTCTATTTTGTGCCCAGGCAGGATTTTTGACCCACTCAATAATCTTTTTGGTGCCACGTGTGTCACCTGAGCTGCTTTTCTCAACTTGCAGATCTACTGGTGGCACTTTATTAAAAAATTGAAATGGGATTCATTTAAAAAGGCACTTGAATGGATGATTCCAGACAGGAATTTGTTGTTAAATTATCAAAGGAGGGCCCGATTGAATTGGCGAGGGGTTTGGTGAGGTCCATACCAAGTTGCAATTTTCTCTCAGATGATTTATAATTAAGGAACTAGTAAAATTTTTTGCTAGTTCATATCATTAGCACTTCCCCAGAAAAAATAGTTCTTCAGGTTAGTAGTGAGTTTTAAATAGTGTATTAAAGCTTCAGTGATGGTTTTTTTTTTTTTCTCTAGCTCCTTTCCTAATTAACACCATCATGAGTTGTACAGCTAATGTGATTCCTTGATGCTAAATAGCTCTTGGAATTTGATGCTCAAAAGAGGCATCTTGTTTATGGTGAATTTGAAACCATGCAATTCTATAAAATATTGGAATCTAAACCAAAGTTATTGTCCATTTGAAATCATCAGGCCTTCAAGCGTTAGGCGCCCAAGATTGCTTAAATGTTACCTAATGCTAAGTGATCATCACATGATTTTTTTTACAAGTCCATCTATGAGCCCTATGATACAGAAAATACCAGTCCCCTTGTTATTTTTGAAAAGCTAAATTGTGCAAATGAAGACATGCTTGCTAGATATTTTGGGCTTGCTTTTCTCCTTAGCCCATGCCTCTTGTTGGTTTTGCAGGATGTGCTACTCTTTGATAGGCAATGCCAAGTAGTGAAAATGAGGGAAAAGTGCAAACCTTTCTTCAATGTCATGAGTTTAACATCCCTATTCCAGAGTGTAGCATATCTGAAGCTAATTGAAAAAAATCAATGCTGCTTAAAATTTCCAGCAAATGGGAAACTTAGAGAACAAGAACTCCTATATCAAACCTAAATTTCACCGAAGAAACTGTATATTTCTATAAATGTGGTAGAAAAAGGCTTAATTCCTTTTTCTCTTGCCTTTCCTAGTGTCCCCCACCACCACCACCCAAAGTCAGGGAGTCCTAAATATTGTAGGGTTTCTAGATATAAAATTGATGAATCTCAACTCATGGGCAGTTATTTTTGGGGGGTGTAGTTTTTTGTATTTAGTCGAGGCGGGGGTTTCACCATATTGGCCAGGCTGGTCTCGAACTCCCGATCTCAGGTGATTCACCCACCTCAGCCTCCCAGAGTGCTGGGATTACAGACGCGAGCCACCGTGCCCAACTGAGATTTGTTTTAAAATGCTTTAAAAACTGGAGGTGGGATAAGTGGTGATAGTGGCTCATGCCTGTAGTTCCAGCACTTTGGGAGGCCGAGGCGAGCAGATCAGTTGAGACCAGCTTGGGCAACACACCAAAACCTCATATCTATGAAAATTAGAAAAATTAGTTGAGCAGAGTGGCACACACCTGTAGTCCTAGCTGCTTGGGAGGCTGAGGTGGGAGGATCACTTGAGTCCAGGAGAGTGAGGCCGCAGTGAGCTGAGATGGCACTACTGTACTCTAATCTCAGCAACACCGTGACTCTGCCTCAAAACGAAAAAGAAAAAAAAATGGAGGGCGGGGTAGGGAAAAGTAGCAGATTACAATCTTGGTAACTTCCAATGAGGTGCTGAGTGATGGGTCTAGGTGTTCACTACATTATATCCTTTTGCATGTTTGAAAACTTTTGCAATAATTTTTCAAAACAGTAGAGAAGATGGCCAGGTGTGAAGATCACAGCTGTGTCCCTGCAGGGCTAATGGAAGCCTCAGTTTTCCCAATGTCATGTGTAATAGCACTGGTGACTTAAGATGTACTATATAATTTCTATGACAGCATCATACACAGATGCAAGATGCAAGTGTACTGCATCTCAAACAACTTAGATTGATGGGAGGATGATGTGTTTTTTGGAAACTGCATTAGATGACTCAAAAAGAGGCTCTGTGACACTGATTACAAAGATGCGGGTAGAGTTTTAAGAGGCTCGTTTGCAACCTAAGAGTCCCGACTAATCCAACCAGAGTGGACAGATTTACAACTTCTTGACCTGAAGGCTTGCTGTAGAAGGATGAGAAAAAAAAAAAATGCAAGAAGGCTATTGAAAGTAGAAAGCACAGTAAGAGATCATACTTCAGAAAACGATGATCTGTTTACTTCCTGAGTGCAAAAGACTTCACTGACTTCATTCAGATCATGGGTATCTATTAAATCGCGGCTCTGATGTTTAAATTTAGCAGAAAAAAAAAAGTAACCCATGGTCTTTAAAATAATCTACCCTCTAAGCATACTATCCATGCCTAAGGAAACCTTGCAATGTAAGTCTCTCTTATTAAAATTATGTTAACAGCTATTTTTTAATTACTTGAATATTAATTTGTGAAAATATTTCAAAATAATCATTTTAAAATGTTTCATGGCCGGGTGCGGTGGCTTATCATGCCTGTAATCCCAGCACTTTGGGAGGCCGAGGCGGGTGGATCACCTGAGGTCAGGAGTTCGAGACCAGCCTGGCCGACATGGTGAATCCCTGTCTCTACTAAAAATATAAAAATTAGCCAGGTGTGGTGGTGGGCACCTGTAATCCCAGCTACTCAGGAGGCTAAGGCAGGAGAATCACTTGAACCCTGGAGGCAGAGGTTGCAAAGAGCCGAGATCACACCACTGCACTCCAGTCTGGGCGACAGAGCGAGACTCTGTCTCAGGAAAAAAAAAAAAAAAAAAAAAAGGCCGGGCCCTGTGGTTCATGCCTGTAATCCCAGCACTTTGGGAGGCCGAGGCAGGTGGATCACGAGGTCAGGAGATCAAGACCATCCTGGCTACCACGGTGAAACCCCGTCTCTACTAAAAATACAAAAAATTAGCTGGGTGTGGTGGTGGGTGCCTGTAGTCCCAGCTACTTGGGAGGCTGAGGCAGGAGAATGGCGTGAACCTGGGAGGTGGAGCTTGCAGTGAGCCAAGATTGTGCCCCTGCACTCCAGCCTGGCCAACAGAGCGAGACTCCATCTCAAAAAAAAAAAAAAAAAAAAAAGTGTGTTGCTCTAAAACAGGCCTCACTAAGTATTTTTGTGTACTTTTTTCTTTGTTACTGTCATCCATTGTCGTTCCATTAGGTTATTTGGGGCAGGCTAACAGGACTTACACGATCCTTCCTGAGAGGTCCCCTTGGTTTCTCTCACTTCAGCCTTGCCCGTGGTCCCTTAGATTCTGTCGTTGAGCTGTAGTGACCTGGGTTCTGGGGCACCCTGCAGTTGCCCCTGTGGAGGCTGACCCGTCACACTGTGTTGGGACTGTCTGTGTCCTCTCCTAACAACCCCTCTGGACATGGGCTCCTTGAAGGCAGGGGATGAGTGGGGTTCACTGTGTATTCTGAGGGTCAGATTCAGTGTCTGGCTCAGGGTAAGGATGCAGCATCTATCTTTTGAATGAGCGAATGGGTGAATAAACAGATGGATTGTCTTTTCCTTTTCTTCCCAATGAGTCTATGTATTTAATAGCCTGTATTAGACATAGCTAATATACCAAGTATTTGACTCTTTAGAGAGAGCTGTGGCAAAGATTTGGTTCTTCAAATGGCGTGAGATCAGAAATTCTTGAATTCATTTGAATGTGCAAAAATATTGTATAGGTTATAACATCATATTTCAACCCCAAATTTGGACAGATTTGGCACTATAGCTTTTATAAACTATGAAAAATAGTTTTCTCTAAACAATGCTACGGCAGCTTATGTGAGAAAAATACTAGAGAAAAGCTAATGATTTATTAATGAGTAAGGAAATATGCAAATATGAAACTAGAATCGACTGGGGGCAGCAGTAGGGAGGTGGGAGTAAATGCCTAAAATCTTTGGGAGTACTTTTTCTGGAAGACTTTGATTTGTTTTGAAAAGTGGCTTTGAAAGCTCTGCTTTAGCCATGTGGTAGTTCCCCCATATCTGTAGTTTTGCTTTCAGCAGTTTCAGTTGTCCGGAGTCAATCGAGGCCTGAAAATATTACATGGAAAATTCCAGAAATAGATAATTGCTAAGTTTTAACTTGCATGCCATTTTGACTAGGAAGATGAAATCTTGCACCATTCTGTCTGGAACGTGATTCCTTTGTTCAAGGAATCCTCAGTGTAGATGCTACTGCCCTGTGGGTCCCTTAGTACCTGGCTTAGGTATCAGATCCTTTGTAACCCTTATTTTATTGAATGATGGCCCCAAAGTGCTTGAGTAACAATGCTGGCAGTTCAGATATGCCAAAGGGAAGCTGCAAAGCACTGCCTCAGTGAAAAGGTGAACATTCTCAATGTAAGAGAACAGAATAAATCATATGCGGCGGTTTCTAAGAAGTAAGAATGAATCTTCTATCCATGAAATTGTGAAGAGTATATTGTTATAATTGTTCTATTTTATTAGCAGTTATTGATTCCTTACTGTGCCTAACTGATAAATTTAACTTTATCATAGATGTGTATGTATAGGAAAAAATGGTGGATATAGGATTCAGTACTATTTGCAGGTGCAGGCATCTACTGGCCTTGTATTTCTTTTTTTAGTCAAGATGATTTGAAAAACTTAGATACAGGAAAACCCTGTGCCCGGTCACTTGAATGGAAAGGCCATCTTTATTAATGAAAACATGGCTTAAGCTGTTGTAACCAAGAGACCCCAAAATGAGATGGCCCCCAAGCCCAGGCCACACCACAGACCAATTACATCAGACTCCCTGAAGAGGCCCAGGCACCAAGCTTTTTAGAATTCTTCCCAGGTAATCCTAAAGTCTAGGTAAAGTGGAGAACCACTGGCCTGGAGTTATTCAGAACTGACTAGGGAGGGGACTGGGTTTTGCAGCCCACAGCTTTCCCTCATCCTGGGCTTGTAGAACAGCTCTGCCTGCCTCGCTATAGGGCCTTCACCTCTCGGCCAAGCCTCGTGTTATGGGTGTTTCCCAGGAGGAAGTGGAGTGCACAAGTTCCTTTTAAGGAAGTGAAGTGGAAGTAGCATGTTTCACTCACATTCCATTGGTGGGTGCTAGGACCTGTGACTATGTAACCGCAATAGAGGTTGGGAAATGTGATGTGAATCTGGTTGGCCATCTGCCCTGCTCATTTTTGAGGTGGGAAGGTTTCTGTTACTGATAGGTAGAAGAGTGTAATGGTTACCGTGCTATCCATTAATTAAAACTACTTATTATCAATTACCAATTATCAATTCTAAAGCTGAACAGAGTTCAACTGACCTCATATATATAATTATGTCATGTGAGATAATTATACACATACATACACAGGCAAGCTATGAGCTAGATGCAAAGACTTGGGAGAGGCTTTAGTTTATATATAAGCTTAGTAAGTTTTACATTTACTAAGCTTTTAGTTTATATTAATCATAAAGTTGTTGCTCTTTGTTCCACTGTCATTTATGAGTTGTTTAGGAGTGGAAACACTGCTGTGGGTGACTTTCATTTGTTTGGGCTCCCTTGGTGCAAACTTAGAGGCAGAAAAGCGTTTTCAGCCAAAACGTATTCCAGTGATGTCAGTTGCAATCCTGAGTCATCACATAAAGGTTATAGCAACTTCAAGGGTGTAGAATCTGAAAAAAGTTAAGGTTAAATAGGAATATCATTTCTGGTAGGGCATGACATTTTCTAGAGCCCCCTTTTAATTATCTTGCTATATACACTCTTACTTGTAGAAACCATTCTTGAAGGGTTGGGGAAGGCTTCATGGTGTTGGTGGGTACAGATTTAGTATAAATGAATTAGTCTTACTCATCTTTCTATATTCTTGTGGCCAGAATACTTCCAGACCCATAACAGATCCTTAGCAAATATTAACTGACATGAATATGCTTATATCATCGTGTAGTTTATTTAGAAAAATGATACTCTTTCACTCCTTTGTGGACATTTCACAGTGACATGTTGAGTCCTTTGGTATGCAACAGTGTTGAAGGTGGGGGATTGAGTACTAGAATGATTGCTGATGTCTCTTCAAGGGTGGTGGGAGACACAGGGACTTCTATCATTAACAGTTAGAAAGAGTGAATAAGACCTGCTGTGCAATAACACAACAGGGTGACTATAGTCAATAATAACTTAATTGTACATTTTAAAATAAAGAGTATAATTGGATAATTTGTAACTCAGAGGAGAAATGCTGGAGCGGTTGGATACTCCATTCTTCATGATGTGCTTATTTCACATTGCATGTCTATATCAAAACATTTCATGTCCCCGTAAATATATCTACCTACTGTGTACCCACAAATGTTAAAAGATAAATTAAAAAAAATCATGACAGTCCATTGTGGGAAATGATACAGCAGTGATGTACAGCAAGCAGTAGGAACAGAGGTGGGAGGGCTGCATAGTCTTGGTGACCTCTGAACTGGGTCATGGAGGATGAGTAGGAGATTTTCATGTGAAAAGGAAAGGGCATTAGAGGGAATGGTATTTACAGAGTGATGGAGCTGTGGAAGAGCCTGTCTTTTTCATGAAAAATGAAAAAATCAAGTGTGGCTGCAGTGTGAGAAAGACAACAGCAAGACCTGGTTGAGGCAGCCTCCTTGAAAATGCTCCCTGCAGTACACTAAGGGGTTTGGACGTTGGGCAAAGTGAGAGGCCCTTGCAATCTTTTTTTTTTTTTTTTTTTTTTTTTTTTTTTTTTGAGACAGAGGCTCGCTTTGTCACCCAGGCTGGAGTGCAGTGGCGCGATCTCAGCTCACTGCAACCTCCACCTCCCATGTTCAAGCAATTCTCCTGCCTCAGCCTCCTGAGTAGCTGGGATTACAGGTGTCTGCCACCACGCCCAGCTAATTTTTGTGTTTTTAGTAGAGACGGGGTTTCACCATGTCGGCCAGGCTGGTCTCGAACTCCTGACCTCAGGTGATCCCCCAGCCTCGGCCTCCCAAAGTGCTAGGATTACAGGCATGAGCCACCGTGCCCAGAGGCCCTTGCAGTCTTTTAAATGAGATGATTACGTGGTCCGATTTATATTTTAGAAAAATTACTCTTGGAAACAAGGAGGCTGCAACTCCCCAGCATGAGGCTCCCTGACCCCAGTCTCTGTCCTCTAATAATACCACAGCCATAGAACATAGTCTTTTCTGTATTATTCCTAATTTAAAGGATTTTGGTGAAAAGGCAAATGGATTCTGAAATGATTCTTATAACTAATTTATTTCTATTTTTTATTTTTTGAGGCAGAGTCTTGCTCTGTCACCCAGGCTGGAGTGCAGTGGCGCGATCTTGGCTCACTGCAATCTCTGCCTCCCAGGCTTAAGCAATCCTCCTACCTCAGCCTCCCAAGTAGCTGGGACCACAGACACGTACCACCATGCCTGGGTAATTTTTTTATAGTTTTGGTAGAGATGGGTGATGTGGTTTGGCTGTATCCCCACCCAAATCTCATCTTGAATTGCACTCCCATAATTCCCACCTGTGGTGGGAGGGACCTGGTGGGAAATAATTGAATCACGGGGCAGTTTCTCCCACACTGTTCTCGTGGCAGTGAGTAAGTCTCAAGGGACCTGATGGTTTGATAAGGGGAAACCCGTTTCACTTGGTTCTCATTCTCTCTTTTGCCTGCTGCTATGTAAGACGTACCCTTTGCCTTCCACCATGATTGTGACGCCTCCCCAGCCACATGGAACTATAAGTCCAATTAAACCCTGTTTCCTGGATACATTACCCAGTCTCGGGTATGTCTTTACCAGCAGTGTGAAAATGGACTAATACAGTGGAGTTTCACCATGTTGCCTAGGCTGGTCTCAAACTCCTGAGCTCAAGCAATCAACCTGTCTTGGCCTCTCAAAGTACTGGGATTACAGGTGTGAGCCACCGTGCCCTGTTTGTTGTAACTAATTTAAAGGGATAGTTTTGAGTATAAAGGTTCAGTCTCTTTGATTAGGTAAACCGAAGACCCCATAAATTTATCCTTCAGCTGGTGTCTGTTTGGGGATGACTGTGTTTGTGGGCCAGTGAAATTCAAGTATATTTAATGTCACCTTAATATCTAGTTATATTGCCAAAAAAAGGCATTAAACACAAGGTGGATTATTAAAATATTCTAGGAAAAGCACAAAATAAATTTGTAGTTAGCTTAATTGGGTTGTGACCTGAACGTAGATTGTCCTGTGCTGAATTGTTTAATACTACGCAAATTATATGAGACTTTCCTGTAAAAGACATAAGAAACTGAGGAAACTCAAAGAGTTGACATTAAACTATTTAAGATTCTTTTACAGACTACATCAGAATCCTGGTGGAGTTTGGTGGTTTTAAATCTAGTGGTCAAGTTTTTATTGTGACTTTGGATAACAGAGCTCTATTCTGTGTGCTTGAGTGGTTTGTGGAAAATACTTAGTAACTACATATAAGAAAAGTAGTTTCATTTTGGAGGAACAGAATCTTGATATGATTGTGTGGTCATTAAAAAGAATCTTTCGGTTTTCTTGATGGTCAGTAATGGTAACAATTCTCATTTGTGTGCTGCTTATAGTTTATTTAAAAAATTTTTTTTTGTTTTTTGAGACAAGGTCTGTTGCCCAGGCTGGAGTGCAGTGGTGAGATCATAGCTCACTGCAGCCTCAAACCCCTGGGCTCAAGTAATTCTCCTACCTCAGCCTCCTGAGTAACTGAGACTACAGGTTCATGCCACCATCTTGGCTAGCTTTTTAATTTGTTTTTGTAGAGAGGGGTTCTCACTATGTTGCCCAGGCAGTTCTTGAACTCCTGGCCTGAAGTGATGCTTCTTCCTCAGCCTCCCGAAGAGCTGAGATTATAGAGCCAGCAAGCCCACTCGCTGCTTATAGTTTAGAAAGCACTCTCTTACAAACTTGTTCAATCTTTATGACTACCTTATTATGTGCTACTAGTTTTTCTAGGCAATATGTTACCTATTAAAATATTTGCTTAAATGCATTTTATTTTGGACATTAGAATAAAACCTCAGATAGAATATGTAGGCTCTTAATAACATGAGGTTATCTAGCTATGTCCTAAAGATTGTAGTTTCTTTACTAGTAAGGTGTTGATGTACAACCTAGCCCACCTATTCTTGGCCTTTAGGGAGCAGATATCTGGTGGCTGGTCTTTCAACCACTCTCATAGGAGAAAAAAATTAAAATTATAATACAATATTTATTATACTTACCATGCATTTATGTAGCAGGACCCCAGTAGGCCATGACAGGTAGGGTTGGTATATTTCCAGCCATTTGGTATTAACACAAGTCATTATGCCTCCAAGCAGTATACAGTGTATGATATACATAACTCTTATTTTGGTGAGGAGGTGTGTAAAAGTAATAACCCTGGACTCTGGAGGCCAGAATTTGATGCTTTAAAACTTTGTATAATGAAAAGTTTAAACATGCACAGGAGAGAATAGGAGTATGAAACTGATACAGCCATCACTCGGCTTTCTCAGTTATTAATACTGTATTAGTCTGTTCTCATGCTGCTAATAAAGACATACCTGAGACTGGATAATTTATAAAGGAAAGAGGTTTGATGGACTCACAGTTCCACACACCTGGGGAGGCCTCACAATCATGGTGGAAGGTGAAGGAGGAGCAAAGTCATGTCTTACGTGGCAGCAGACAAGAGAGCATGTGCAGGGGAACTCCCCTTTATAAAACCATCAGATCTCGTGAGACTTATTAACTTTCATGAAAACAGCATGGGAAAGATCGGGCTCCATGATTCAATGACTTCCCACTGGGTCCCTCCCACAACACATGGGAATTATGGGAACTACAATTCAAGATGAGATTTGGATGGGGACACAGCCAAACCATATCAAATACATAGCTAATTTTGTTTCCTCTATACCTCCTATTTTCTTTAGATTATTTTGAAGCAAGTCTAGAGATTATATATATATATATATATATATATATATATATATAATTTCATCTGTGAGTATTTCTATATGCAGTCCTGAAAGATAAAAACTCTTTCAGAATACAAAAGTGAAAGTGGAATACAATGCCACTGCGAAAAAAATGCTCCCTTAATATTATCCAGTAGTCAATGCACATTCTCATTTCTCTATTTTTTTAAAAGAATACTTTTTTTCTTGAATTGAGTTTTTAAATAAGGTCCATACATTATGCCTGGTTGTTATTTCTTTTGAGTCTTTTTTGACCTTATACATTCCTCCACTATCATTATTTTCTCTTGAGATTTTTTGTTAAAGATATCAGGTCGTTTTATTGTGTAGTTTCCTACACTCGGGGTTTTGCTTACTGCAAATGGTGTAATTAAAACAAACAAACAAATAGCTTACTGAGATGTAATTAACCTAAGATAAACAACATATTTCAAGTGCACAGTTTGGTGAGTTTATCTACATTGGCAAAACCATTACCAAAATTCAGATAATGAACGTCTCAATTGTCTTACCAGCTGGGCGTTCTACAATTCAATTTGATTTTGACACCACCTTAAGTTAGCAGAGATCCCCTCCCCGCTGCTAGGTTAAGGGCTCATTCCCACAAGACTGCCCCAATTCAGATGCCAGCTAGGAATGGGGTTCCCAGTCTCCCATACTTCTGCCTGGCTGACCACAAATTCACGGGCTCCCATGACCATCCTCTCCGGTGTGCTGTGTCACTAGAATGACTCACAGAACTCAGGAAAATGCTATCCTTATGATTAGTTTTTTTATGAAAGATGCAACTCAGGAATCGCAAAATGGAGGAGGTACATGGTGCAGGGTCTTGCAGGGAGGGGTAGAGAGCAGAGCTTCTGTGCCCTCTCTGAGTGCGCCACCTTCCCATCTCATGATGTGTTCACCTGAAAGCTCTCCAAACTCTTCAAGAGTTTTTAAGTTAGGCTTGATTGCAGAAAGCTTTGGGTGTTGGTGACAGAACTCAATCCCCAGCCTCCCTGAGGTCAGGGGATAAGGGTGAAAGTCTTAACCCTCTAGTCACACTTTTGCTTCCTCTGGCAACAAGCCCCCGTATTGAGCTATCTAGAAGCCCACCAAGAGTCAGCTCATTAGCATATACTCACGTATGGTTGAAAAGGGCTCCTTAGGAATAAAAGACACTCCTATCAGGAAATTTCAAGCGTTTTTGGAGCTCTGTGTCAGGAACCAGAGACAAAAACTATATTTTTTGTTATACCACATGCACCATCCTTAAAAATTTGCTCCTGGCCGGGCGTGGTGGCTCAAGCCGGTAATCCCAGCACTTTGGGAGGCAGAGGCAGGCGGATCACGAGGTCAGGAGATCAAGACCATCCTGGCTAATGGGGTGAAACCCCGTCTCTACTAAAAATACAAAAAAATTAGCCGGGTATGGTGGCGGGCGCCTGTAGTCCCAGCTACCTGGGAGGCTGAGGCAGGAGAATGGCATGAACCCAGGAGGTGGAACTTGCAGTGAGCCGAGATTGCACCACTGCACTCCAGCCTGGGAGACAAGACAGACCGAGACTCCGTCTCAAAAAAAAAAAAAAGAAAAAAAAAAAAAGTTTGCTCCTGCCTCCTTGTAATCAAACGTTGTGTACTTTTTTTTGTTGTTGTGGCGGGGGGTGGGGGTCTGGCTTCTTTAAATCAGCACAGTTATTCTGAGATCCATCTGTGTTTTTAAATGTATTCATAGTTCATTCCTTTTATTGCTGAGTACTGTTTAATTATAGTGATACCCATATTTACTTATCCGTTCACCCATTGTGGCTATTGTGTTTCTTCCAGCTTTTGACCATCACAGATAAAGCTGCTGAGAATATCCATGTATAAATATTTGTATGGATATATGGTTTCATTTCTCTCAGGTAAATACCTAAAAATGGAATGGATTTATCATATAGTAGGTGTAGTTTAACTTTGCTTTCTAAGAAGCTGCCAAAATGTTTTCCAAAGTGTGTGCTTCATTTGACATTCCCACTAGCAGTGTGTGAGAATTCCAGTTACTCCATATCCTTCCCAACATTTAGTATGGTCTTTGGTAATTATAGCCACTCTAATAGGTATGTAGTGGAATCTTCTTGTGATTTTAATTTGCCATTTCCTAATGACTAATGACGTTAAACAACTTTTCATATGCTTATTTGCCACCCACATATCTTCTTTGAAGTGTCTGTTCAAATCATTTGCCCAATTTTTATCAGGTTATTTTCTTATTCTTGAGCTTGAAAGGGTCTTTATTTATGCTGGGTACAGATCTTCAGTTAGACAGATGGTTTGCCAGTGTTTTCTCTCGGCATGTGGCTTGTCTTTTCATCCTCTTAAGTGTCTTCTCAGGAGCAGCAGTTTTTAATTTTGATGAAATTTAATTTATCTGTTTTTCTCTTATTCATGTTTTTGCTCTCATGTCTAAAGTCTTTGCTTGAACTAGTTATAAAGTTTTTTTATATTTTCTTTGAGAACTTTTATAGTTTTAGGCTTTATATTTAGATCTGTGGTCCATCTTGAATTACTTTTTAGAAACAATAATTGCAGCTTTAATTTTAGATTTAAGGGGTACATGTGCAGGTTTGTTATGTGGGTGTATTGTGTGATGATGAGGTTTGGCGTATGATTGATGCCATTGCGTAGGTAGTGAGCATAGTGCCCAATAGTGTTTCAACCCTTGCTCCCTTCCCTCCCTCCCCCCATTCATTCCTGGTGTCTATTGTTACCATCTTTATGTCCATGAGTACCCAGTGTTTAGCTCCCACTTATAAATAAGAACATGTGGCATTTGGTTTTCTTTTCCTGTGTTAATTTGCTCAGGATAATCACCTCCAGCTGCATTCATGTTGCTGCAAAGGACACGATTTCATTCTTTTTTATGGCAATATAGTATTCCATGGTGTATATGTACCTTATTTTCTTTATCCAATCCACCATTGATGGGCCCCTATGTTTCTTCCTTGTTTTCGTTATTATGAATAGTGCTGTGATGAGCATAAGAGTGGATGTAGTTTTTTTTTTCTTTTGGTAGAATGATTAATTTTCTTTTGGAAAGAAAATAAGTATATTCAGTAATAGGATTGCTGCGTTGAATGGTAGTTCTTTGTTAAGTTCTTTGGGAAATCTCCAAACAGCTTTTCACAGTGGCTGAACTAATTTACATTTCCACCAGCAGTGTGTAGGCGTTCCCTTTTCTCCAAAGCCTTATCAGCATCTGTTTTATTTTATTTTATTTTTAAAATAATAGCCATTTGCCTGGAGTGAGATGGTATCTCATTGTGGTTTTGATTTATATTTATCTGATGATTAGTGATGTTGAGCATTTTTTCAAATGTTTGTTGGTCAGTTGTAGGTCTTCTTTTGAGAATTGTCTGTTCATGTCTTTTGCCCATTTTTAATGGAATTATTTGTTTTTTGTTAAGTTCCTTATAGAATCTGGATATTAGACCTTTGCCAGATGCATAGTTTGTGAATATTTTCTCCCATTTTGTAGCATGTCTGTTTACTCTGTTGGTAGTTTCTTTTGCTGTGCAAAAGCACTTAGTTCAATTGGGTCCCACTTGTCAATTTTTGTTTTTGTTGCAGTTGCTTTTGAGGGCTATTTTTGCATTTTTTGAGGACTTTTTTGTATATGGTAAAAGTTAGGGATCCAGTTTCAATCTTCTGCATATGGCTAGCCAGCTATCCCAGCACCATTTGTTGAACAGGGAGTCCTTTCCCCATTGCTTATTTTTGTTGACTTTGTCAAAGATCAGATAGCTGAAGCTGCATGTGGCTTTATTTTTGGGTTCTCTCTTCTATTCCACTGGTCTATGTGTCTGTTTCTGTACCAGCACTATGCTGTTTTGGTTATTGTAGCTTTATAGTATAGTTTGAAGCTGGGTAATACGATCACCTCTAGCTTTGTTCTTTTTGCTTAGGATGACTTTGGCTATTTGGGCTCTTTTTTTGTTCCATATTAATTTTAGAATAGTTTTTACCCATCCTGTGAAAAATGACATTAGTAGTTTGATAGCAATAGCATTGAATCTGTAGATTGTTTTGGGCAGCATGGCCATTTTTACAATATTGATTCTTCTAATCTATGAGCATGGAATATTCTTCCATTTGTATCATCTATGATTTTTGTCATCAGTGTTTTGTAGTTCTACTGGTAGAAAAAAGTCAAGGAGGAGGGACTCCTCCCTAACTCATTCTGCAAAGCCAGCATTACCCTGATACCAAAACCTGGCAAAGACATAGTGAAAAAAGAAAACTACAGGCCAACATCCCTGATGAACACAGAGGCAAAAATTCTCAACAAAATACTAGCAAACCAAATCCAGCAGCACATGAAAAAGAAAGGTTAATTCTCCATGATCAGGTAGGCTTCATTCCTGGGATGCAAGGTTGGTTCAACATATGCAAACCAATAAATGTGATTTACCACATAAAAAAATAAAAACAAAACCATACGATCATCTCAATAGATGTGGAAAAACCTCTCAATAAAATCCAGTACCCTTCACGTTAAAAAAAACCCTGAACAAACTAGGCATTGAAGGGACATACCTCAAAATGATAACAGCTATCTATGACAGACATAAAGACACTATCATACTGAATGAGCAAAAGGTGGAGGCATTCTCCTTGAGAACTGGAACAGACAAGGATTCTCACTCTCACCACTGTTATTCAACATACTACTGGAGCAATCAGCAAGAGAAAGAGATAAAAGGCATCTAAATAGGAAAAGAAGGGGTCAAACTGTCTCTCTTTGCTGATGATATGATTCTATACTGAGAAAACCCTAAATACCCTGCCAAAGACTCCTGGAATTGCTAAATGACTTCAATAAGTTTCAGGATACAAAATCAATGTACAGAAATCAGTGGCATTTCTATATACCAATAACGTTCAAGCTGAGAGCCAAATTAAAATGCAGTCCCATTTACAGTAGCTGCACACACACAAAATACTTAGGAATACATCAAATTACTTTTGGTATGTAGCATTAGACAACCAGCCACATTCTTTGAGCTAAAAATAAAAACATGCAAGATATTAAAAATACAAATAGGAACTGAATAGTACAGTGAAGAAAATAGTACAGTGAAATAGAACATAAGGGGATAGTCAAGAATTGTAGGAAAAAATAAAAATATAAGCACAGACTAGATTTGTCATGGTTAGAGAGGAAATTAGACTTTTTAAATAAATAAAAAATTGTTGGGCATGATGGCTTGCACCAATAATTCCAGCTACTTGGGAGGCTGAGGTGGAAGGATCTCTTGAGGCCAAGAATTTAAGACCAGACTGGGCAACATAGTGAGACTCTATCTCCAAAAAGAAAAAAAAAAAAACGGTGTGGTGGTGTGCACTTGTAGTTTCTGCTACTCGGGAGGCTGAGGTGGGAGGATAGCTTGAGCTCAGGAGTTTGAGGCCGCAGTGAGCTATGATCACACCACTGCACTCCAGCCTGGATGACAGAGCAAGACCCCCTTTGTATGTATGTATGTATGTATGTATGTATGTATGTATGTATGTATATATGGGTGTGTGTATGTATATATATACATATACATGTATATGCATATATATATGTATAAAATGTTATACTTCAAGGAAGATGATTACATGAAGGTATATAAGAATCCAACCACCTTCTACAGGAAGGGAAGAGTAAAAATCATATCATCGTAGGAATTGTATGGAAAACTGGAAACTCAATGGAATAGGTAGTAAATTGCTAAATTTGAAGACTGTTTTAGAATGCTTCTGGAACACTTCTTCAAGAGTATTCATGGGGAAAAATGAGAGTCATGGTAGGTGAAAAACTGATCATCATACATGAAATGTTAGATGAATAAAGTAAATGAGGTCTTTTAATTTACTAAAGAAAGATTGCCGTTCTTCAAAAAGAAGTAGTGTGATGTATGAATAGAGTTTGGACTCAACTGAATATCTCTATCTATGAATAGAGTTCGAACTCCTGACCTCAGGTGATCCCCTCACCTTGGCCTCCCAAAGTGCTGGGATTACAGGTGTGAGGCACCTTGCCTGGTTAACAATATACTTTAAGTATGCATTTAATTATGTATAAATTATGCCTCAATTTGTTTTTAAAAATAAAAAAAAAATCACTTTTGGGGTTCAGTTACTGAATAATCCATCCTTTCCCCATTTCTCTGACTTGCTACTTCTATTATATGTCAACGCTGAATGTATGTGTGGTTCAGTTTCTGCACTGTCTTCCATTTCCTTGATTAGTTTGTTTATCCTGTCTTTATTAACTTCATAATAAACACCAGTATCTTTATTCTCTTTCTTCAGAAGTGTTTTGGCTATTATTGATCCTGCATTTTTTGTGTAAATTTTAGAAAGAGCTTATTTATTTCTATGTTCTATGAAAAACCCTATTGGAATGTTGATGGAGATTATATTTCATAGATAAATTTGGGTAGACTTTGAACTTTACAGTATTAAATTTCTCTGTTTATCACTGTGGTATATCTTCCTATTTAGATCCTCTTTAATGTCTCCCAATACAATTTGTAATTTTTCCCATAAAGTTCTTGCACATATTTTGAAAGAATAATTTCAAAGTATTTGATGTTTTTTATTTTATTGCAAGCTAAGTCTTTTAATTATGTTCTGTGTTTTATGTTGGAGTATAGAAACATGATTTTTAAAATATTAATATATCCAGGGAACTTTTGCTCTTGTTTTAGAAAGAAGCTCATTTATTGAATAGCAGAATTTGTGGTGGGGGGGCACAGGCATGTGTGGTGTGTGTGTGTAGGGTGTGTGCTGTGTGCACGTGTTTGTGTGTGCAGACACATTTGTGAATATTTTGGAGAAGAGATATATGGAGGGTGGGTTTTCAAAGCCCTGAAGTTATTTTCTGCAGTTGAGTTTCTACATGTAAGCTTGGCCCTGTGTCGCAGGAGGGGATGGTGGCTAAGGCCGTGAAGTTTCCAGCCTTTAGGCTGGTTTGCATTTCATGCAGTCTTGGTAAGAAGGGTCTCTTGTAAAGCTGATATCATGAAGTCAAGACATCCGTATCTCTTTCATCTTGAGGATGCTTACTCACGATGTAGGCTGTATTGTTAAAAATGTGTCACTTTTCCCTTCCAGTATCCGGAGTGTGATGCAGAAATATCTTGCAGAGACCAATGAAATAAACTTTGACAAGATTTTCAGTCAGAAAATTGGTAAGTCCTGCTTGTTCATTTGGCATATGATACTTTTAGTGATGAAATTGAGCAATTCTATAGTAATATATGAATGCACCCCCCAGTGCTTTGTGTCCTCTATAGCCACAGCTGGGAATAAAGGAAATTTCAGGTAATTAATAAGGTATTTAATGATTACTTATATTCCTAGTAACATATTCTATGATTAAGCTCTCGGGAAATGGGTAATTCTAGGATTTTTACATGAAATCAGCGTGGCTGAATGTAAGAAAATAGGATATTCCTTTCTTTGTGCCTTGTCTGCCTCATGCAGTTACTGAGGTGGTTTGCTGGGGAGCTGTGTGTGATAGTTTTAAAACTATTTTATGGCTGGAGGAAATTACTTTATGAAAATTCCAAGAAATTAAAGTCCCCTAGAACTCAATTTGTGCTCTGTTTCCATGATTAATAGACATAGACTGATAGATCCCTTTAAGACTGCGTATTCTTCGAGATAATTCTGGGCTTGCCCTTTTGTTTGCTGATGAGGAGATGTAGACACAGGGAGGTGGAGTGACTTGTTCTGATTCCCAGTTCTCCTTCTTCTTAACTCCGATAATAAAATATTAACCAGTAAATAATAAAATAGTTACCAGTAGAAGCTGGTGCAGAAATCTTTGGATTTTTGTAAACCACTTTATCTGATTTACAAAAATCAGCCTGTCTGTGAAGAGGGTCTTTGGTAGATACAGTTTCTTTGATCACGCATGAAGTACAGTGGGGAAAAGGTGGACGGAGTGGTTTGGAGAAGCAGATGACGTTGGTCTGTCTGTGCCTGAGCACTGTGTGGAAAGCGATTGGTCTTTGCCATATAGAGATATTTCATCCTGCTCCTCAGGAGTTGGTTAGGGAACAGATAAGTTAAAAGAGTTTGGCTTTCATTTTGTTAGTTCTCACGGCTTCTCATTATTTTCATGGTGTGTGGTTACTGTAAGCTACATAGGTGTTCTCCTTTGCTTCTGATTTTGTGCTAAAAAACAAAATAAAACTCATGATAACAAGAGAGAGAAACTATATCTCTGGGAGCGGAGGGAAAAAGGAATTATTTATCTTTTTATTTGCTAGTTAAAATTTTTTAAATTTATTTTTTGTGGATTTATTGAGGTATATTTCACATAGCATACAATCCACACATTGAAAGTAAACAGTTGAGTGACTTTTTGTGTATTCACTGTCATACAACCATCTGCACTGCCTAATTTTAGAATGTTTTTATCACCCCAAAAAGAACTTGTACCCATTAGCAGTCCTTCTGCCTTCTACCCTCCCTCAGCTCCCGGCAACCACGAATTGAGTTTCTGCCTCCATGGATTTGCTTGTGTTGGACACGCCACATGAAGGGAATCACACACTGTGTGGCCTTTTGCACTGGGCTTCTTCAGCATAAGGCCTTCAAGGTTCGTTCTGGTGGTTGCATGGATCAGAACTTCAGCCTGCTTTCCCTTCAGCTCTCATTCCAGTTTCTGAAATGCATCCAGGATTCTTCTTTTGTGTTTTCTGTTCTCTCTCCCTTCTGTAGCTCCTTTCCTGTCTACAGTCCCCGCAAACATACATACAGCCCCCCAAACATGTATTTTCCATAGCCTGGATTAAAACCTTAACTGACCCTGGCACCGGGAGACTCTGACCTGAGCTCCCAATGGCATTAGTGTGGCTGAGTATCTCAGTTGCACGGATTGTTCTCTGAGAGCAGCCTCACTGGGCGCTGATGGGCTGTGCATTTTATCTGAAGCTGTTAAACATTGTTTAAATAAATAATTTCGGCCGGGCACGGTGGCTCACGCCTGTAATTCCAGCACTTCGGGAGGCCAAGGCGGGTGGATCACAAGGTCAGGAGATCGAGACCATCCTGGCTAACATGGTGAAACCCCGTCTCCACTAAAAAATATAAATAGATAATTTCTTCTTCTCTTCCCTTCAATTCGTGACCTTGGATCTGGTCAGGAGAAGCTGAGTTTGAGCTTGGGAAGGTCATGGTCACAGGAAAGAAGAGCGGCTGATTGGAGGCTTAGGGAGAGCGCACACCACCATCTGCAATTACGTTTTGACGGAGCTGTCTAGTGTTGTTGGCCTGCTCCCCGTTTTTCTCTGTAGTAGTCTCACTTTCTGCCTGGTCTCAGGGATTGGGGGAGAGTGGAAGGTGGGCCATGGTGGGAGTAAATGTGTCTGACACTCCAGGTCTTCCTTTTCCAGGTTCCGTTTGCGCCTTCCATCACTGACTCCATGCGTTCCTGCCCTACTCTTTCCCTTCTCCATCTTTCCTTCCCTCTCCCCTCATTGTTTTGCTGGTCCTCTTGTTCTGTTTCACCCTCTGTCTGCCTACCCATCTGTTCCTTTTCCCTCTTTCCTTACCTCCCAAGGTCCCCGACACACAGGATCACCATAGGGCTTGGGAACTGCCCTCCAATGTGTGCTGTGGGCAATTGGTAAAAATGTTTTCAAAATAAAACCATAGAAGTCTTTAATTTACTTGGCCTCTGAGGCGTTGCCGAACTGGCAGATTGTTTGGCTACACACTGAAGTGGTTGTTATTTCATTACTTTTTATCTATAAAAGTAGGGATAATAATAGTTCAGGTCCATGAGGCTGTTGAGAGGGTTTAGCTGGTGGTGTACATGAAGCCCTTAACACGACAATTGGCTCTCAGCAGATGCTCAGTGAATAGAAGCAAATTGTTTATGTTAAAAATTTTCAACATACAGAAAAGTAGACTAGAATAATTAACCCCACATGTATGTATATGTGTGTGTGTGTGTGTGTGTGTGTATAGTTACATCACCTATATTTGATATATTTCACCATTTTGCTATACTATGTTTTCCCATCCCGCCTTTTCTTGTGGTTGCTGAAGTAATTAACAAAGCAGTCACAGCGTTTTGTGCTATATGCATCTCTAAAAAGTATGCATGCTTTCTTATACAGCCGCAGTACCTTTATCCCAAACGTGAAATTTATCATGATTCTTAGTGTACTCTAATACCGAGTTTATTGTCAAATTTCTCTGATTAACTTAAAAATGTTTTTTTTTTTACTCTTGGTTTGAATCAGTATTCAAATACTGTTCTTGTATTGTAATTGGTGATAATATTTCTTGTAATCTAGACCAGTTCCCCCACATTGCCCCCGCCAGCACATGCACAGGTAATTAACTTACTGAAGAAACTGGGTCCTGTGTGTTGTAGAATGTTCCAAGTTCTGGGCTTTTCTATCTGCTTCTTAATGGTATCATTTAAAAATTTTTTTAAATTTTTATTTATTTTTTTTTGTGACAGAGTCTTGCTCTGTCACTCAGGCTGGAGTGCAGTGGCACAATCTCTGCTCACTGCAACTTCCGCCTCCCAGGTTCAAGCAGTTGTTGTGCCTCAGCCTCCTGAGTGGCTGGGATTACAGGTGTGCACCACCACACTCAGCTAATTTTTTTTTTTTTTCCAGTAGAGACATGGTTTCACTATGTTGGCCAGGCTGGTCCGGAACTCCTGGCCTCAAGGGATCTGCTCACCTCAGCCTCCCAAAGTGCTAGGATTACAAGCGTGAGCCACCATGCCTGGCCTTTAATGGTATCACTTAAATTGTACTTCTGTTTCCTACATTTCCTGTAAACCGAGACTTTGCTCTAACAGCTTAATGAGGTTTAGCTTCAGCTGCTTTTTGGTAGGAGCACTTTATAGGTGGTGCTGTGTACGTCATAGCAGGAGGCACATGCCATTTAGGGTCTCTGTAGTCAGGTCTCTAAAGTGGGCTCAGATGTGGTGGGTGTCAGTTTCTCATTGACAATCATTGTCTAAATCGGTTATTTTATTAGGGATCAACTTAACTAATGTTAAGACACATAATTTCTATATAAGGATGAGGATAAAAGTAGCCGCACTTAACCCCTTTCTTCTGAATAGTGGCAATTAAAAACAAAGAATGAGGTTTATTAGGGAGTTACAAAATGGTGAGTTTTCTAAATATACAATTCCTTCTGCATTGATTACTTTTATTCCTCAGTGGGAGGATATTTAGTTGCCTTTAAATATATTTTAATTAGAAAGGCACGTGTTCATGGTGCAGCCTCATGACCCTTGCCTCGTGGTGTTGCCCCCATGCGTAACATGGCTAAAAGAGATTCTGCAGGTGGAATTAAGATCATTGTCTGAGTGGGCTTAATCCACTCACATGTGCTCTTTAAAAGCAGAGCGTTTCCTCAGGCCAGCAGCAAGGAGGAAGTCAGAAAGATATGAAGCTCAGGAAAGATTCCACACTGTTGCTAGCTCTGCAGATGGAGGGCGTGTGGGTGCTCACTAGGAGCTGAGAGTGGCCCTGGCTGGCAGCAGCGAGGAAACAGCCACCTCCATCCCAAACCATGAAGCACAGAATTCCATCCATAACTGGAATGGGTTTGGAGGCAGATTCCTACTCAGATCCTCTAGATAAGAACCCGGGCTGACCGACACCTTGAATTTGTCCTGGTGAGACCCTAAGCAGAGAGCCCATTGGAGCCCACCCACACTTCTGACCTACAGAACTGTGAGATGATACGTGGGTGTTGTTTTCCAGTCACTAAGTTTCTGGTGACTTGTGACACATGAGAAAACTAATACAGCAGGTAAAATCTCCATTCGTTATTTTTAATTGCCACTATTCAGAATAAAGTGGTTACATGCCAGTTACTTTTATCCTTATCCTTATATAGAAATTTTATCTTAAGAAATATTAAGTTGATCCCTAACTTGCTGTCAGTAAAACTTAACACATTTAGATATTGACACAGTATGTTTGGTTTTAAGGGGATACTGGTTATTGAATAGACAGGAAAATCATTGTATCAGTTATAGTTAAGATTCTTTTGTGACTATTTTTCTTCTTTAAGATACATTGAAATTGTAATTTTATCATATGAAGTGAGGCACATGGCATTTGATAAAGTCCATCTGTCTGTGGACAATCTACTTAGCTTCTCTGTCTGCAAGTTCACTCCTGTTAGAGGAGCATGTTTGAAATTATAAGGAGACTCCAAAACAGATCCTTTTTTTTTTTTTTTAAAGACAGTCTTGCTCTGTTGCCCAGGCTGGAGTGCAGTGGTACAATCTTGGCTCACTGCAACCTCCGCCTCCCAGGTTCAAGTGATACTCTTGCCTCAGCCTCCCAAGTAGCTGGGATTACAGTCGTGTGCCACCATGCCCAGCTAATTTTTCTATTTTTAGTAGAGATGGGGTTTTGCCACGTTGGCCAGGCTGGTCTCGAGCTCCTGACCTCATGATCTGCCCGCCTGGGCCTCCCAAAGTGCTGTGATTATAGGCTTGAGCCAATGCGCCCAGCCCCCAAATCAATACTTAATACATGGTGTATGTAAATGTCATTCTTATGTATAAAGAACATGGTGATTAATGTAATATTATATCACATAATGCAATTAAGGGCATTTCATTTTATAATACTGACTTAAGAGCTCAATCCCCAGTTTGAATAGTAATCTTTTTCAATTTGTGTGAAATAATTTGGTATCTGATATATAGACACAAAAACTATACTTTTTTTTTTTTTTTTTTGAGACAGAGTCTTGCTCTGTCGCTCAGGCTGGAGTGCAGTGTCATGATTTCAGCTCACAGCAACCTCCACCTCCCTGGTTCAAGCAATTCTCCTGCTTCAGCCTCCCCAGTAGCTGGGATTACAGGTGCATGCCACAATGCCTTGCTAATTTTTATATATTTTTTAGTAGAGATGGGGTTTCACCATGTTGGCCAGGCTAGTCTCGAACTCCTGACCTTGTGATCCACCCACCTCAGCCTCCCAAAGTGCTGGGATTACAGTACAGGCGTGAGCCACCTCGCCTGGCCCAGTAATTTTTACTTTTCAAAAAATGACTTGTCCGGGTGTGGTGGCTCACACCTGTAATCCCAACAGTTTGGAAGTCTGAGGCAGGAGGATCACTTGAGGCCAGAAGTTTGAGACCAGCCTGGGGGCAATACAGTGAGACCCCATCTCTATAGAATTTTTTTTTTTTTTGAGATGGAGTCTTGCTCTGTTGTCCAGGCTGGAGTGCAGTGGCACGATCTCGGCTCACTGCAAGGTCTGCCTCCCGGGTTCATGCCATTCTTCTACCTCTGCCTCCCGAGTAGCTGGGACTACAGGCGCCCACCACCATGCCCGGCTAATTTTTTTGTATTTTTAGTAGAGACGGGGTTTCACCGTGTTAGCCAGGATGGTCTTGATCTCCTGACCTCGTGATCCACCCGCCTCAGCCTCCCAAAGTGCTGGAATTACAGGCGTGAGCCACTGTGCCCGGCCCCCATCTCTATAGAAATTTAAGAATAAAATTAGCTGGATGTGGTGCTGCATACCTGTAGTCCCAGCTACTCAGGAGGCTGAGGTGGGAGGATTTCTTAAGCCTTGGATTTCAAGGCCTTAGTGAGTTGTGATCGCACCACTGCTCTCCAGCTTGGGCAACAGAGTGAGACTCTGTCTCAAAAAATAACCCTCAAAATGCAAAACTACTATATGCCATTCACCCATTGTAAATGTATTATGTGATGATTTTGGTAAATTTCTACAGTTGTGCACCCGTCACCACAATACAATTTAAACACATTTCCATGCCTCCAAAAGATCCCTCCTGCCCATTTGTCGTTACTCTGCTCCCATCCTCAGCCCCAGACAAACACTCATCTGTTTCTATCTGCCTTTTCTAGACATTTCATAAAAATGAAATTACACAGTATGAAGTCTGTAGTCTCTTGCATCTGGCTTCTTAGCGTAAGGTTTCTGAAGTTAATCTATGTCGTTGTGTGTATCTGTACTTCATTCCTTTTTGTTGCTGAATAGCATTCCATATTATGGACAGAGCGTACTTTTTTTTTTTTTTTGAAACAGGGCCTTGCTCTGCTACCCAAGCTGGAGTGCAGTAGCTCCATCTCTGCTCACTGCAACCTCCATCTCCTAGGTTCAAATGATTCTCTTACCTCAGCCTCCTGAGTAGCTGGGACTACAGGTGCATGCCACCACACCCAGCTAATTTTTCTATTTTTAGTAGAGACGAGGTCTCACTATGTTGCCCAGGCTGGTCTCAAACTCCTGACCTCAAGCCATCTACTCACCTCAGCCTCCCAAAGTGCCGGGATTACAGGCATGAGCCACGGTGTCCGGCCTACAGAGCACACTCACTTCATTCAGCAGTTGATGGGCATTTGGATTATTTCCACTTTTTGCCTGTTTATAGAGCAGTTATTGCCACTTTTTGCTTGTTTATAGAGCAATGCTACCATAAACATTTGTGTACAAGTATTTTATGGGCATATGTTTTCATTTCTCTTGAGTCTTTACCTAGGAGTGGAATTGCTGGGTTGTATGGCAAATTTGTGTTTAACTTTTTAAGAAATTACCAAATTACTTTTCAAAGTGGCTGTACTGTTTTACATTCCCACCATCAATTTATGAGCATTCCAGGTTTACTATATCCTCACCAATACTTGCTGTTATCAGTCTTTTTTATATCCATCTGAATGGATAGGAAGTGGTATCTTGTTGTGGTCTTGATTTGTATTTCTCCAATAGTTAATGATATTAAACATGTTTGTGCTAATTAGTTATTTGTATATCTTCTTTAGTAAAATGTCTATTTAAATCTTTTACCCATCCTGAAATTTGGATTGTCTTTATGTTATTTGTTGTTTATGTATGATTTACAGATGTTTTCTTCTGGTTGGTGGCTGGAATCCAGTCTTTCATTTTCCTCATGGTGACTTTTGAAGCACAGGTTTTATTTTTGAAGTCCAATTTATAAATTTTTTTCTTTTATGACTCATACATTAGTGTCATATTTAAGAGCTTTTTGCCTCACAAATTCGCAAAGGTTTTCTTCTGTTTTTTTTCTAGTAGTTTTACTCTTTTAGCTCTTATATTTTGGTCTGTGGTCGATTTTGAGTAAATTTTTGTCTATGGTGTAAGGCAAGATCTAAATGTATCTTTTTTGCATGTGGATATCTGATTTTGTATTTCTCATTAAATTTATTATTAAGTATTTTAATCTTTATGATGCTATTGTGAATGGAATTGTTTTCTTTATTTTAATTTTGGTTGTTCATTGCTAGTACATGGAAATAGAATGAGTTTTTTTATAGTGGTCTTGTATCCAGTGATCTTCCTGAACTAGTTTATCAGTTCTAGTAAGGTGTGTGCGTGTGTGTGTGTGTGTGTGTGTGTGTGTGTGTGTGTATTCCTTAGGATTTTTTATGTATGGAATCCTATCTGAATAAAAACAATTATACTTCTTTGTTTCCAGTCTGGTGCCTTTTATTTCCTTACATCTTTTCACTTTAATTTCTTAAATGTTTTTTTAAGTTGGTCTCAAACATATTTAGCATGATATCAAAGAACACTTACCTAGAAATAATACATAAATTATATTTGATATTTAGGGCCAAGGCATAAGAAATGTACTTGCTGTGGGCTTTGAAAGCAAAGGTGTATGTTTCATTATAAAAAGAATACATTGATTAAAACAGAAACTACTACCTTTAAAAGTCCCTTTTTAAAAAAAAAATTCTGAGCAGTCCCTATTGTAATAAAGATGGATGTGCATATACCATAGATGCTTATGTTAAAAATCTGGTAATTATAAAAAAAACCTAAAATACTAAAAAACATAAACTAAAACGTTTTAGGATCACTTTTTTTGTCAGTTTCAATGAATAAACTTGCCAATCGATTTCATCATTTGTAAAATTATTGCTTGACATGTTTAATATCTAAAATATAACATAGATGGTTAAAAGCTGAAAACATGTATAAGTCAGCAGCTTTGGATTCAAAAGTTGAGGTTAAATTACAGCAAATAGAGCCGTCTTGCATAAGGTTGTAGAGAGGGAACTGTTATCCTGGGAACCAACTTCAACTTTGTTTTCCTCTGTGTTCCTACCTTTGTTTGGAAGTGTTTGTTTCTGTCACAGTGAAGGGCCTCCCCTGACCGATCCCCTGATTGACAGTGACACAGTCAGTTCCCACCCTGCCTTATCTGTAAGAGTTCTCTAGCCAGAGCAACCACAGCCTCAGAGAAGAAAAACCTGGGGCCCTATTCAATTCTGCATCCATTATCCATGCCTTTGTGGAGACTTTTCCTGAGGGAAAGAGTTAAAGAGGCACGTAAACTTTCAAACAGCAGAGACCAACAGTGGACTAAGCACAGCGAATTGGATTTTCTGTTGAAGAGGCAGTGCAGTGGCCGGGTTCAGGCAGTAACGGGAGCCTGGGGGACTTAGGGTCACAGCCTCTGCACAGTTTCAACTTGGGTTTCCTAATAAAAATGCTGCCCAGAGAGGAAAGACACTAGGGTAGAGGAAAAGCTGTTTCTTACAAACCTACTGGCAAGTCCGTCTTCTTTTCAGCTGACTTCATCACCTGTGTTGGACTAAACAAGTCGGCATCAGCTCCTGGTGCTGGAGTCTGCCCGGGCTGGGAGCCGCCACATGCCCCCGCAGTGCAGCCTCTGCAGCTCTGAACATTTGGGACATCTGAGCATTTTGGGTTAAAAAGGATAAAAAGAGGAGAAAAAGGCTAAACCAGTTCTATGGGAAAATTTGGTTGTCTTCTTTTTTTTTTTTTTTTTTTTTAACTTAGCTTAGTAGGGCTGGTTTTCCTTTTTAAAATTATCATTCAAGTTCAAAGACCAGCCATAATTATCATCCCCCTCAAAAAAAAATCCAGAAAAGCTACATTTTACTGGAATAACCCAATCTTTTAACATCTACTAATCACTAGAAACTATAGGAGCACTGATTTGCCAGCTAGCAAATATATTATCTTTTTTTTAAATCTTATTTTTTTTTTTGAGACAAGTCTCGTTCTGTGGCCCAGGCTGGAATGCAGTGGTACACTCTCAGCTCACTGCAGCCTCAACCTCCTGGGCTCAAGCAGTCCTCCTGCCTCAGCCTCCCGAGTAGCTAGGACTACAGGCACAGGCATGCGCCAACATGCCTGGCTAATTTTTGTATTTTTTGCAGAGATAAGGATTTGCCATGTTGTCCAGGCTGATCCTGTACTCCTGGGCTCAAGAGATCCACCCACCTCAGCCTCCCAAAGTGTCGGGATTATAGGTGTGAGCCACTGTGCTCGGCCATCTATTATCTGCTAAATTTTTACTGCTTAATTTACCCTGAGCTCTTCTGATTGTGTGATTGGAATACTTAGTCCATATTTGGAATTACTATTAGTTTAAGACAGTGATGCTACCTGTGTACTAGACACTTCAGTGAGTATTTTATGTGCTGGTAAGATAATATGATCAAGCTTGCACAACTCCCAGGTGGGCAGAGCCAGAGTTGGAAGTCATGTGCTTTTTCTGCCTATAACCAGCAAAATTTAGTGTGGAAATTAGCATGTATATGAAGATCTTTAAAAAAATGACATATCAACTGTATAATTTTTATTTCCTATATAATGATACTAAAATCCAGGATTTGGCAGCTGTGCGCAAAGATCTCTCTGTAGCTGGTCTACTTTATGTGCTTTGCTGAAGGGGACATTCAATCAAATATGTTTGAGTCCTTCACTGGGAATGTCTCGTTAAACAAAAAGGCACATGGAGAAGACTAAGACAGTATTGAACAGTTGTTAAGTGTGTTTACTATCGCCAAGCAGCCCCTGAGATTCCCAGAAGAGCCTACTGGTCATTTTCCTGAGGCACAAATTTAAATCCTAAGGCTAATGTGGAGAAGCTACTGTCTTAGCCAAGAGGTAAGCCTTGCTGATCAGCCAGCCTCTGCAGCTAAACTCAACTTTGTAGCTCTCTCTCTGCCAGGGTCGACGTATTTTAGGAAAAAAAAAATTGTGTGCTCTAGCAATATTAGCAAATGTGGGATCTTAATTTATGTTGCTAGAGAATGCCAAGGACCTATGAAACAGCACCTCTGCTGGAAAAGTTCTCTGTAAACTTTTTGAACTGACAGTGGGGGACGATGGGGCTGTTTTAGGATTTTAAGAGCCCTCAATTGGTTTTGAAATTCAAGGTGGTGCTGCATTGTCATAATATCTTCTGGTTTTAGCCTTTTTTTGAGATACCTTTTCTGATGGTTTTACACCTTGTCTTTGATTTATTTTAGTATTTCTGCTTCTTGTCAAAGTTAAAACCAGGAAATACAGAGATGTGCTGTGGGGGTGATGGTTAAGCTTTGTTTGAAACTTGTTGCTCAACATTCAGTTGTTCGTTTAATAAATTTAACTATGTGCCATACCTTTCTCCTAAGCACTGGGGAATCCCTTAGGGAACAAAAGCAGAAATCCACACCCTTATGGAGTTAACTCCTCCTTCTCGGGGGAGAAAGATCCACAAATACATACTGTCCACAAGGGGGTAAATCTCAAGGAGGGTAGAAGAGCTGCGAAGAGAGGCAGGGAGTGCTCGTGCACATGGTGGCTTTAAACAGGGTGTTTTAAGAAGGTGCCATTCATAAGGACAATTGAGCAAAGTCCTCTGGGAGAGGAGGGGCCGAGCCCCTGTGGATTTATCTGGGGGAAGAGTACCCAGGTGAAGTGTTGAGCAGGGCAAAGACCCTGAGCCTGGAGCCTCACAGTTGAGGCACAGCAAGGAGGCCAGGGGGCTGCAGGGCAGGGAGTACAGTGGGAGTTGGGGTGAGGGTGGAGAGTGGCCAGGCCCTTGAGGCCCTTGTGAGGGTTTCTGCTCTTACCCAGAGTGAGGTGGGACATAGGGAAGTTTGAGAGTTGGGATGGCATAATCTGACTCAAGTGCTTCTGGATCAGTCTGGCCGATGGGGAGGCATGGGCCAGGGAGGTTGTGTTAGTCCTGTCTCACACTGCTGTAAAGGACTGCTTGAGACTGAGTAACTTACGAAGAAAAGAGGTTTAACTGACTCACATTTCCACAGGCCTGAGAGGAAGCATGACTGGGAGGCCTCAGGAAACTTACAGTCATGGCAGAAGGCAAAGGGGATGCAAGCACCTTCTTCACATGGTGGCAGGAGAGAGAGAGAGCGAGGGAAAGGCAGGTCACACACTTTTAAACCATCAGATCTTGTGGGAATTCACTCTCACTAGAACAGCACGGAGGAAATCCGCGCCCATGACCCAGTCACCTTCCACCAGGCCCCTCCTTCAGCATTGGGGATTATAATTCAACATGGGATTTGGGCACGGACGTACATCCAAAACATTTCAGAGGCCTCTTAGAAAGCTAGAGGCTGTGAGAGACGATGCTGGCCTTTGGACCACTGGGGTAGCCATGGAAGCAGAGAGAAGCCATGGAATTCCAAATTTTGAAGATAGAGTCAATAGATTTGTAAGAAATTATGTTGCAGTACAAAAAAGCGTCGTGGGGAGAAGTAGTTTGCTGGGGACACTGGCGTCCTCAGGTCTACAGATAAAGGAGAGGTTCAGATAAGAGGTTGAGACTGTACGGCAATGATGTTGTTTATGCTTCTTGGAATTAAAGTAACTTGATTTGCACAGTGAGCCATTTGCTGGAGTATTGTCACACCTCCTTTGCATTCTAGCTGGTGCTTTGAGGTCAGCATTAAGCTAAGAGCTTTGTCCTGACGCTGATAGCTTTTTGCTAGATGAACAGAGAAGATTCTTACGGGTGTGAATCAGGAGTGAAATCCCAGCTGGGACAGAGAGAGTCCTTCTAGGCCCCCAGAGAGTCTGTTTATAACATTGGAGCACAAAAAGAGAAACTAGGACAAATTTTTAAAGAAGCAAATATTCTTACCTCATACGGTATGGATAGAAAGTCAGGTATATTCTGAAAATAAACTAAAAGGCAACACTGAAAGAAAGGGCCAAAATCACTATTCCCAGCAAGCTATTCCATTTCAAGTTCTTTTCTGTCACCAATTTGGAACTCACTTGCTGGCTGAAAAGCAGAAGCCAAAAACAACTAATTTCGATCTTAAATAGCCATAAATTTTAAGATAAGGAAATGAATTCCTAATGAGCAAACTCCAAAGGCTGACAAATATAAGAATCCAATGTTATTTATTTTTCTCTTGTTAACTAATAAATGTGCTCTGTGCTTATGTTCTTACTTTTTAAAACAATTTAATTGACGTAAATATGCGTTTCCATAATATGCATTTCCATAACTTCAAAAAGTATAGTCTTGCCCTTTGGGTTCAAATCACCCTAGCCCTGGGCAGCCACTGATCTGCTTTCAGTCACAATAGATTACATTCACCTTTTCTAGAACTTCATATAAATGGATTCAAACAGTACATGCTCTTTTTGTATCAGGATTTTTGTCTTTTTTTCTTGAGACAGAGTCTCGCTTTGTCATCCAGGCTGGAGTGCAATGGTGTGATCTCGGCTCACTGCAACCTCCGCCTCCTGGGTTCACACCATTCTCCTGCTTCAGCCTCCCGAGTAGCTGGGACTACAGGCACCCGCCACCATGCCCGGCTAATTTTTGTATTTTTAGTAGAGATGAAGTTTTGCCATGTTGGCCAGGTTGGTCTTGAACTCCTGACCTCAGATGATCCACCTGCCTTGGCCTCCCAAAGTGCTGGGATTACAGGCGTGAGCCACCATGCCTGGCCAGTTTTAATTGTTAATTATTTCTAAAATAATTGCAAAAATCTTCTGCAACATGGATGAAACTTGAAGACAGTATACTTAGTGAAATAAGCCAGACACAAACGGACAAATGTCATTTGAATCCACTTTTATGAGGTACCTAATATAGACAAATTCACATAGACAAAAAGTAGATTTGAGGTTATCAAGGTGAGGGGGAAGGAAGAATGGGGGGCTGTAGTTAATGGGTTTAGAGTTTCTGTTTGGGAAGATGAAAGAGTTCTGGAGATGGATGGTGGTGAAGGTTGCCCAACAGTGTGGATGTACTTAGTGCCACAGAACTGTACGTTTAAAAATGGTTAAAGTGGAAATATTGATGCTATGTGTGTATTACCACAATTATAAAAAAGGCACCAGGCATGGTGGCTCACTCCTGTAATCCCAGCACTTTGGGAGGCTGAGGCAGGCAGATACCTGAGGTCAGGAGTTTGAGACCAGCCTGACCAACATGGAGAAAGCCCGTCTCTACTAAAAATACAAAAAATTAGCAGGGCGTGATGGCGCTTGCCTGTAATCCTAGCTACTCGGGAGGCTGAGGCAGGAGAGTTGCTTGAACCTGGGAGGCAGTGGTTATGGTGAGCTGAGATCATGCCATGGCACTCTGGCCTGAGCTAAATTCCATCTGAAAAACAAACAAAAAAAAGAAAAGGAAATGGGGCTCTACATAGCAGGAGAGAGAGGGAGAGATCAATATTACACTTTTTTTTTTTTTTTTTTGAGACAGAGTCTAGCTCTGTTGCCAGGCTGGAGTGCAGTGGTGCGATCTTGGCTCACTGCAACCTCCACCTCCCAGGTTCAAGCCATTCTCCTGCCTCAGCCTCCTGAGTAGCTGGGAGTACAGGTGTGTGCCACCACACCCAGCTACTTTTTTTTCTTTTAAGTAGAGACGGGGTTTCACCATGTTGGCCAGGATGGTTTCGATCTCTTGACCTCGTGATCCGCCCACCTTGGCCTCCCAAAGTGCTGGGATTACAGGCGTGAGCCACCGCTTCCAGCCAATATCACACTTCTTCTTTTTTTTTTTTTTTTTTTTTTGAGACAGAGTTCTGCTCTTGTTGCCCAGGCTGGAGTGCAATGTCACAATCTCCGCTCACTGCAACCTCCGCCTCCTGGGTTCAAGCAATTCTGCTGCCTCAGCCTCCCGAGTAGCTGGGACTATAGGTGCAAACCCACGCCCAGCTAACTTTTTTTTTTTAATTTTAAATTTAATTTTTATTTTTTGAGACAGAATTTCACTCTTGTTGCCCCAGAATTTCACTCTTGTTGCCCAGGCTGGAGTGCAATGGCATGATCTCGGCTCACCGCAACTTCTGCCACCAGGGTTCAAGCGATTCTCCTGCCTCAGCCTCCCAAGTAACTGGGATTGCAGGCATGCGCCAACATGCCTGGTTTATTTTGTATTTTTAGTAGTGACAGGGTTTCTCCATGTTTGTCAGGCTGGTCTCGAACTCCCAACCTCAGGTGATTCACCCACCTTGGCCTCCCAAAGTGCAAAGGGATTACAGGCATGAGCCACCGCACGCTGCCTTTTTTTTTTGTATTTTAGTAGAGATGGGGTTTCATCATTTTGCCCAGGCTGGTCTTGCACTCCTGAGCTCAGGCAATCCACCTGCCTCAGCCTCCCAAAGTGCTAGGATTACAGGCGTGAGCCACCGCACCTGGCCCAATATTACACTTCTTAAATGCACTTCTCATTTCTTAATTGTCTGAAATGTTATATTCTCATAATTTTAAAAGAATAAAGATTTTTTTGGGGCCGGCATGGTGGCTCACACCTGTAATTCCAGCATTTTTGGAGGCCCAGGTGGGTGGATCACTTGAGTTCAGAATTTCGAGGCCAACGTTGCCAACGTGGTGAAACTCTGACTCTATAAAAAATAGAAAAGTTAGCTGGGTGTGGTGGTGCATGCCTGTAGTCCCAGCTACTTGGGAGGCTGAGGCATGAGAATTGCTTGAACCCAGGAACTCCGGAGGCAGAGGTTGCAGTGAGCCGAGATTGCACCACTGCACTCAAGCCTGGGCAACAGAGAGAGACTCAGTCAAAAAAAAAAAAAAAAAAAAAAAAAGCTGGGGGTGGTGGCTCACGCCTGTAATCCCAACACTTTGGGAGGCTGAGGCAGGGAGATAATGAGGTCAGGAGTTCAAGACCAGCCTGACCAATATGGTGAAATCCCGTCTCTACTAAAAATACAAAAATTAGCCGGATGTGGTGGTGCACGCCTGTAGTCCCAGCTACTTGGAGGCTGAGGCAGGAGAATCGCTTGAACCCGGGAGGCGGAGGTTGCAGTGAGCCCACATGGTGCCACTGCACTCCAGCTTGGGTGACTGAGCGAGACTCCATCTCAAAAAAAAGAAAAAAAATTTTTTTGAAAATAAAAAATAAAGGCTGAGCATGGTGGCTTTATGCCTGTAATCCCAGCACTTTGGGAGCCCGAGGCAGGTGGATCACGAGGTCAGGAGTTCCAGACCATCGTGGCCAACATGGTGAAACCCCATCTCTACTAAAAATACAAAATTAGCTGGGTGTGGTGGTGCATGCCTGTAATCCCATCTACGCTGGAGGCTGAGACAGGAGAATCATCTAGAACCTGGGAGGCAGAGGTTGCAGTGAGCTGAGATCATGCCAGCCTGGGTGACAGAGCAAGACTCTGTCTCAAAGGAAAAAAAAAAAAGGAATGTCTAGATGCAGTAGCTAAGTACGCAGAAGCCATTTCAGTGTGGGAGGCGAGGTGACTGAATCCAGGGACTCCAGGTTTCTGGCTGAGGGGTTGAGACTGCCCATGGTCATTGTGATGAGATGAAGACAGAAAATGAGCTGGGCTGGGGGAAGGTGGTCATCTCCTCTGGACGTGATTAGTTTGAGACTCCTGTTGGGTAGCCCACTGGGCATGGTCAGCAGGAAATTGAGGAGCTGAGAGGGTTTGGAGCTGAGATAGACTCCAGCCTCACCATGTGGGCAATAGTGGGGGTCACAGAGTGTGAAGATGGCCAAGAAAGAGGTCTGGGTGGGGGCTGGGGAGTCAGCAGCCAGGCATGGGCCATGGAGAAACAGATGCCAGGGTAAGAGGAAAGGGGAGTCTCAGACCCCAGGGGAAAAGAGTCACTGGAAAGAGGGGCCAGTCCCATGTCATATCCAGCAGAGACACCAGGTACAGCAGAAGGACCTTGGACATGACCATGAGGAGGGCCTTGTTGGCCATGACCTGGGAGAGATGGGGGTGAGAGCCTGGGGGACCACACCATGTCCCCAGCACACGAAACAGTGCCTGGTAGACAGAATGTATTTATGGATGGACGGACAGGTAGATGGATGGATGAATGGACAGATGATAGATGGATGCAAAGACAGATGAATAGATGGACAGATGCACAGATGGACAGATGGATGGACGGACAGACGGAATGAATGATCAGAAAAGGCTTCATGAACAAAGTGAGACTGAGCTGCATCTCCATGGGTAGATACAAAAGCAGAGGACTCTCCTCTTGAGTCAGGAATGACCCAGTGTCCTGGTCCAGGGAGGAAGTCAGCCTCCTTGACTGGGGACACTTGTGGCAGATTTCAGAGGCCCTTAAAATGAGGCCAAGTGAGGTGGACAGGTCCGAGCCAGCTGAGGACTCCTCAGCCACACGGCACAGCTGCCTGAGGGGATGTGTCACTCAGGGAGTTGCTGGGACCTACTGGGCCCAGCGTTGCCATCAGCACCAACAGCTTCAGAGAGGGGGACACATGCCGGGGTGACTCCAAGGCTGTGGGCGGCACCTGCCTCAGATAGAGAACAGGCACAGAGACACTACTGGGGGACACTACTGGGACACTGGCCACCCCCCTACCCTGTGCCTAGATCACAGCCTACACACTGCAGCCCTGTGCCCCTCACACCCAGCAGGTTCCTGCTCCAGCGCGGCTCCTGGACTGGCCCCGGGTGCTGGCCCCGGGGGTTTCAATCCAAGCATAATTCAGTGAAGCATGTGTTTGGCAGCGGGACCCAGCTCACCGTTTTAGGTACGTGGCTCTAACTTCCCAGCCTGTCCCACCCTCTCCTGTCTCTGGAAAAATCTGTTTTCTTTCTCTGGGTCTTCTTCCCCTCTGGCCTCCAGGCCTTAGGCATGAAACCCTCCCTTTCTCCTTGGGGTCTGGGGGAAGTGGGCTAGTCTCAGGTCAACTGGCTTGAAGGGCCTCTACAGTGGGAGCAGCCGCCTTCAGGTTCCAACAGTGGGACACAGCCTGGTCCCGGGACCTGGGCTGGGATTGGGCGGGGTCAGTGCTCCTCCCCTCTCCCAGGGCAAGTGTCTGAGTGAGGGACAGAGGCCGGTTCTGATAAGGGGCCCTGCAGTGGCCTTAGAGACAGTCCCCGGGACCCCAGGGTCTAGGCTGAGGGCTGGATGCCCATCCAGCCTGGGAGGGCCACACAGGGCCCTGGGGACACAGGCGTCACCCCAAGGGGAGACCAATGGAGGGCACAGAGAGGGCTCTGGGTCTAGGCTGCAGCTCTGTGGCCTGTGCTGGGTCGTAAGGACATGGGGACATAGAGGGATGGGTGAGACTGGGTGAGGTCCCAGAGCCCAGCCCTCCCAGGACGGTCACGAGAAAGGAGAGGGTCTCTTAGTGCAGAGATGTGTCTGTCCCTGGAGCCCTATCACCTCTGGGGCCTGGTGTCTCCATTCACAGGTCGGCCTCCTGCCTTCATTTGAGGAAGGGCACCTTAGACTCAGAAGGTGACTAGCGGGGAGTAAACGGGAGTGCAGAGAACTCCACGGCTGACAGGTGAAGTCCAGGGGCATCAGAGGCTGCTGGGGTGGGCATGGGGGCTGTGGTACCCCAACATCTGTGTTAGCAGCCCCAAGAACCCAGCCGATGTGAAGGGTCCTGTGGTTGGGCTGGTGGGGACAGGGGCGACGGCAGAGCCCCAGGGTGTGTCTGGGTGGAGCCCACGCTTCACCAGGAGAGCTGAGTGGGCCAGGCTGGGTCACAGCCTGGTGCCCCAGGGGATGGGAAGCTCCAGGCCATGCCAGGCTTGGGCCTCCCCACACCCTGCCAGGTCAGTTTTGTGTGCTGTTGGGGAGACCCCTAGATTCCAAACTCAGACTCCAGAAACCAGGAAGGAGGGAGCACAGCCTGCCCTGGGTGCACACGGGGAAACTGAGGCTGCAGAGGAAAGGGCTGGGCCAGGACACCTGGGAAAGGTGACTTGGGAAGGGGTCCTAGGAAGGCACAGGGCTGTCTGCTCTCCAGAGGGCTCCAGTGGAAAGGAGGGAATGAGGAGGGAAGGAGAGGCCCTGGGTGGACCAGACGGCCACACCATGAACCCTCCCAGAGACTTTAGACAGAGAGAGGCGCTCCACAACACCCCACACTCCCTCTGCCATCTCTCACCCCCTCCTCTGTCCACACAGGTCAGCCCAAGGCCACCCCCTCGGTCACTCTGTTCCTGCCGTCCTCTGAGGAGCTCCAAGCCAACAAGGCCACACTGGTGTGTCTCATGAATGACTTCTATCTGGGAATCTTGACGGTGACCTGGAAGGCAGATGGTACCCCCATCACCCAGGGCGTGGAGATGACCACGCCCTCCAAACAGAGCAACAGCAAGTACATGGCCAGCAGCTACCTGAGCCTGACGCCCGAGCAGTGGAGGTCCCGCAGAAGCTACAGCTGCCAGGTCATGCATGAAGGGAGCACTGCAGAGAAGACGGTGGCCCCTGCAGAATGTTCATAGGTTCCCAGCCCCCACCCCACCCACAGGGGCCTGGAGCTGCAGGATCCCAGGGGAGGCGTCTCTCTCTGCATCCCAAGCCATCCAGCCCTTCTCCCTGTACCCAGTAAACCCTCAGTAAATATCCTCTTTGTCAACCAGAAATCCTGCTCCCTCTCTTCATTTCTTATCTCTCATATAATGTGATGCTTCTCCTGGGTTCTCAGTGTGGCGCTGGGAGAATGCTGACACCAGTGGGAAAGTAGCCTGGAGGAGAGGATCAAAGCCACCCACGGGTGTCCCCTGGGGAAATAGGCCAGGATAGGAGGAGTTCGCTCACTGGACACCAGTCCCTCCAGTCTCTCCCTCCTCCCCTTCTTCCTTGCAGCTCAACCCCCAACTCGCTGCCTGCTTTCTGGAGGGAGCTACTTCTGGCTGAGCCTCCAGATACACCCTGTGTCCCTGTCCTGGTCTGGACCCTCTACCCACCCACAGCCTCTCTTTCCTCAGCCTGGAAATCCTACTCTGAGCCTGGAGCCCCTCTTCTGGCCCTGACCCTGGCCCCTGGAATGCCTTCCTTCCTCTCTGCCCAACTCCCCACCCCTGAGAGCTGGACTGTCCAGGATTTTTCATCTGACAGCAGGTTCAGAGGCCTGAGAAAAATAGGAGGAAGCCAAGAAGGAAACACACATGAAAGGCCTGCAAGAGGATCAGGACACTTGCAAAAGATAGGCTCTGAGCTCTCCAGGAACCAGTGCAAGAAGGGTAATACCTCCATCATTTCTTTCTTTTTGTTTTTTTAGTTGGAGTCTCGCTGTGTTGCCCAGGCTGGAGTGCAATGGTACAATCTCTGCTCACCATAACCTCCACCTCCCAGGTTCAACAGATTCTCCTGCCTCAGCCTCCTGAGTAGCTGGGATTACAGGTATGTGCCACCACACCCGGCTAATTTTTGTATTTTTATTAGAGATGGAGTTTCGCCATGTTGTTCAGGCTGGTGTGCTCCATCATTTCTAAGAGATTAAACAAGTCTTTGCTCGAGGGAAGTTGGTTTTCTCAATGCTGAGGCCAGGCATCTCTTCATAATTAAAAGTGGGGATGTGTTTTACCCAAGGCCTCACTATTGATGGGATTTGGGCTCTGACATGTGCACAGGTGACTTCCTGGCAGCCCTAGGACATGGAGAGTTTCTCAGATGCTTGGCACAGACAGTCACTGGCCATCTTTGCAGGAAGCATCATTTTTGGGAAACTCTTCGCCATTGGATCCTGGGCCTCAGGTGGAAAACCAGGTCCTGTGTTGGGCATTTCTCTGTGAGGCTCCCTAGGTCTGGGGCTCCAGCTCCTCTCTGAGAAGAAGGTGTGGGGGGAGAGAACAGGGCCCAGCCACACCCAGCCTCTCCTGCATGGTTCCTGCTCATCAGGGTGTTAGAGGGGTGGTGGCACCAGCAGTGGTCAGGCCTGTGTTTCTGTGGGTGGGGCCAAGGAGGTACCCTTGGGGCATCCTAGGGAGTCTCTCCCATGGCTCCTGTTTCACTTTCCTGTGGCTGCTGTCAGAAATGACCCGTAATTTAGAGGCTTAAAACATCACACATTGATTCTGTCCCTGGTCTGGAGGTCAGACGTCCAAAATGAATCGTAGAGTGCTAAAATCAGGGTGCCAGCCAGGCCAGGCTCCTTTGAGGGCTACGGAGAGAATCCGTGTCCAGGATTTTTCCAGCTTCTAGAGGATGCCCTGGGCTCCTGGCCCTTTCCTCCAACTTCAAAGCCAGAGCCAGCATCTTCAAATCTCTCCCACTCTTCTCTCTCTCTCTCTCTCTCTCTCCCCACCGCCTTCTCTCACCCTCCCTCCTTCTCTCCCTTTCTTGTCCTCCAGCCCCACACCTGCTGTCACTCTGACCCTCCTGCCTCCTCCTTTCCCTTATAAAGACCCCACCTTGGACCCACCCACATAACCCAGGATCATCTTCCACCTCAGGCCCCTTGACATCATCACATCTGTAAAGTCCCTGAGGCCACACAACACAGCACATGGACAGGTCCCGGGACTGGGACACAGCCGTCCCTGGGCCCTAATTCAGCCCAACCACAGCTCCTTTCCTTCCTTCCTCTCTCCTTCTCTGGGTATAAGAAGGGAATGCAGAGAGGTTGGTCAATGAATACACACTTACAGTTAGATGCAAGGAATGTGTTCTAATGTTGGATAGCAGAGTAGGGTGACTATGGTTAGCAATAATGTATTGTATATTTCAAAATAGCCACAAGAGAGAACTGAAATATACTCAACACATAGAAATGATAAATACTGAAGCCATACCCCAAATATCCTGACTTGATGATGACACGGTGGATGCACAGAACCAAACAGCACATGTAACTCAGAAATGTCCAATATAGGCCGAGTCTGGTGGCTCACACTTGTAATCCCAGCACTTTAGGAGGCCGAGGCGGGCGGATCATGAGGTCAGGAGATCGAGACCATCCTGGTTAACATGGTGAAACCCCGTCTCTACTAAAAATACAAAAAAATTATCTGAGCATGGTGGCGGGCACCTGTAGTTCCAGCTACTTGGGAGGCTGAGGCAGGAGAATGGTGTGAACCCAGCAGCCAGAGCTTGCAGTGAGCCGAGATTGCGCCACTGCACTCCAGCCTAGATGACAAAGCAATACTCCACCTCAAAAAAAAAAAAAGATATTTCCAATATCATGTATCAGTATATTCTTTTCTATTAATAAGAAAGGCAAGAAAAAGAAGTTAAGCATGAACTAGCCATTTGACCTAGCAATTCCAGCCCTAAGAATTTGTCTAGAAGAAATGAAAGCATGTGTTCCAAAAAGACGTGTACATAAATGTTCTCAGCAGCCTCATTCACTATAGGCAGCAACTGGAAACAACCCAAGTGTCCGTCAGCTAGAGAATGGATAGACCCATATGGTCTGTGCATACAGTGGAGTACTGCTCAGTTACACAAGGAAAAGAAACTATGGATACAGGTCACAGGAGGGATGAACTTCAAAACATTACAGTAAGTGAAAGAAGTAAAACTCCACGAGAGAAGTTGGTGGGTATGGATGTGTTTTTGAACTGGCAGAATTTTACTCTGTTCATTGGGGTATCAGGTATTGAGTCCCTATTGACCAGGTACTGTGCTAGGTGTGGCCATTACAGAAATCAGAAGCAGACACCAGCTCCATTGTGATGAGACTCACTCGATCAGCCATTTCTGATGAACAGTGAGGTACCTTGACACTCACTGCTTACATTTGCAGGCTTTACTTAATGCCACTTAAATCTCCCTGTTCCCCAAGTCTCCTTTCTTTTTTCTTTTTTTTTTGCTAGACAGATTCTTGCTCTGTCACCCAGGCTGGAGTGCAGTGGCACCATCTCGGCTCACTGCAACATCCATCCCCTGGGTTCAAGCAGTTCTCCTGCCTCAGCCTCCCGAATAGCTGGGATTACAAGTGCCCACCAACATGCCCGCTAATTTTTGTATTTTTAGTAGAGACGGGGTTTTGTCATGTTGGCCAGGCTGGTCTTGAACTCCTCCTGACCTCAGGTGATCCGCCTGCCTAGGCCTCCCAAAGTTTTGGGATTACAGGCATGAGCCACCGTGCCTGGCCCCCACATCTCTTTTCTTTCCAACTCCCCTTATTAGACACAGCTTTTTAAAGCAATCCCTGCCATACCCATGGCTTCAATTGTTTTCTATATGCTCTGATGAGAATAAAATTTAAATGTTGTTTTTATATAACAGCTTTATTTTACATGACACCTCATTCACCATGATCATAAATTCAGAGTTGCTCTAAGAAAGTAATAACTAAAAAATTGTCATATTCTTTGTATGTAAATGTTAGGAAATTTCGTTAATGGTTTGACTTAACGTGTGTGTTATTTTTTAAAACATGAGTTGTGATGTCATAGAATGGACTTAGCCTACAGAGGTTTCTATCCAACTTTCAAGCAGAGAGCTCCATTTCAGTGCGATACTTAAGAGTCCAGAACTATCTTTTTTTTTTTTTTTTTTTTTTGAGACGGAGTCTCACTCTGTCACCCAGGCTGGAGTGCAGTGGCATGATCTCGGCTCATTGCAAGCTCCGCCTCCCAGGTTCAAGGGATTCTCCTGCCTCAGCCTCCCGAGTAGCTGGTATTACAGGTACCTGCCATTGTGCCTGGCTAATTTTTGTATTTTTAGTAGAGACTGGGTTTCACCATGTTGGCCAGGCTGGTCTCGAACTCCTGACCTCATGATCCACCCAGCTCGGCCTCCCAAAGTGCTGGGATTACAGGCGTGAGTCACCGTGTCTGGCCCAAAACTATCTTATTCCCCATACCTATTCCTCTTCCTACATTGTCTGTGTAGGAGAAAGTCACTGATATTTACCCAGTCCTTCAAACTAGAGCCTTAGCAGCCTGTTTTTCCTTTTCCTTCCCCTGTTCTTCCACATCTAATCCTCTAGCACTACCTGTTCTCTCTCCCAAATGAACACAAAACTTTTCCGTCCACTTCAGTCATTTCCTCTGCCTTTGGCCTTATCTGTTCTCCCAGATGAACATAGTGTCTCTCTCTCTTTTTTTTGAGACAGAATCTCTCTCTGTCGCCTAGGCTGGAGTTCAATGGTGTGATCTTGGCTCACTGCAACCTCCACCTCTCGGGTTCAAGTGATTCTCCTGCCTCAGCCCCTCGAGTAGATGGGACTACATACAGGTGCCCGCCACCATGCCAGGCTAATTTTTGTATTTTTAGTAGACATGGGGTTTCACCATGTTGGCCAGGCTGGTCTCGAACTCCTGACCTCAAATGTTCCACCCACCTCAGCCTCCCAACATAATGTCTCTTAATTGGTCCCATTGCTTCCATGAGTCCTTCTCTGTTGTGCAGAGAGACCTCACTGCAAACACGTCTGATAGAGACTCCTCATCTCTATGTGGTTCCGTGACTCTCATGTTGCTAGAATAAAATTTAAACTCTACTTAAACTCTACTGCTGGACAGTGAATGAGTCTTTGTATTCCAGGTTCATTCACTGCCCAGCAGTGTAGTCTTACACAACTGAACTCTCTAAGCCTTGGTTTGCTCATCTGCCTGAACTCACTGAGTGTTGGGACTGTTTCAGGACCATGAAGTGCCTCACCCTTAGAAGGGATTTAATGTTGAATGAAAGGGAGGAATTTAAAAATCCACATAAAAAACATTTTTTTGTTGTTTTTTGAGATGGAGTCTCGCTCTGTTGCCCAGGCTGGAGTGCAGTGGCACAATCTCAGCTCACTGCAACCTCTGCCTCCTGGGTTCAAGTGATTCTCCTGCCTCAGCCTTCTGAGTAGCTGGGATTACAGGCATGTGCCACCACGCCCAGCTATTTTTTGTATTTTTAGTAGAGATGGGGTTTTGCCATGTTGCCCCAGCTGGTCTCAAACTCCTGACCTCACGTGATCCACCCACCTGGGCCTCCCAAAGTGCTAGGATTACAGCTGTGAGCCACCGCGCCCAGCCATTTTTCTTAAAATAAACTAATCTACAATGTCACTTCCCCTCCATGCTTGACTTCTACCTTTACTTTCTGATAACCACAGTCATCTTGTGGGGATCAAGACTCCTCAGGATTAAAATCTGGCCCCACCTTGAGCAGTCGTGGGACTTTGGGGAAGTTACTTGACTTTTCCATCTAGATTTATTCTCCAAAATCTATAAAATGCGACTGTTTCTGAAGGTTAAATTAGTAGGCCACAGTTGGAACAGTGTCAGACACATAATGCTTGCCAGATGTTGACTATTCATCTTTATCAAATGAGGACAATGGTACCCCACTGTGTGGTTCTTAATTTTGTATAAGAAAATAATGTTTTATGCATTATTAGTAAAAGAAATACCTGAGGCTGGCCGTGGTGGCTCACACCTGTAATCCCAGCGCTTTGGGAGGCTGAGTCAGGTGGATCACCTGAGGTCAGGAGTTCAAGACCAGCCTGACCAACATGGTGAAACTCTCATCTCTACTAAAAATACAAAAATTAGCCAGATGCGGTGGTGCATGCCTGTAGTCCCAGCTACTCGGGAGGCTGAGGCTGGAGAATCACTTGAACCTGGGAGGTGGAGGCTGCAGTGAGCCGAGGTCGTGCCACTGCACCCCAGCCTGGTCAACAGAGTGACACTCCCATCTCAAAAAATAAATAAAAAGTAAATAAAAGAAATATCTGAATACCCCTGCCATGGAAAGAAGAAACAGCGAGAAAAGGGAGTTGGTACGTCCTAGCATTACAGAACTGGGAAGGATGTGTTCAGTCCCTATTTTATAGACGAGGAGGGAAGTGTGATGTGTCCCAGGGTTTCACTGAGGATACACAGCCATAACTCTCTATTGAGAGTGGGACCAGGGCCCTGGGGGTAGCTATGGTCAAGTTGCAGACAAGAACTAACACTTGTAAGACAGGAGAGAAGCATTTAGTTACAAAAGCAGTCAAAAACTTGTGTATAACTACATTTGGTGAGCAAATGAAAGCTGTCAGACTCAAAAACAGAAATGCTGGTGGAACTGACTTTAGTAACTGGGGTTTTCTTTATTTTATTTTATTTTATTTTATTTTTTTTGAGAGAGTTTCAACCCTGTCACCCAGGCTGGAGTGCAATGGCGCGATCTCAGCTCACTGTGCAACCTCCACCTCCTGGATTCAAGCGACTCTCCTGCCTCAGCTTCCAGAGTAGCTAGGATGACAGGTGCCTGCCACCACGCCGAGCTAATGTTTTGTATTTTTGGTAGAGATGGGGTTTCACCATGTTAGCCAGGCTGGTCTCGAACTCCTGATCTCGGGTGATCCTCCCCCATCAGCCTCCCAAAGTGCTAGGATTACAGGCGTGAGCCACCGTGCCCGGCCGTGCCAGGGTTTTCTATTGAGTTTCTTGCCAAGGGTGACTTCCAATAACAATCCCCCCCTGCACTTTGCTTAGTTCTGGAAAGCTCAGGCCGCACAGGGTGAATAAAAGCCTGAGTAGTGCAGTCCCCATGGAGGGGCAGGGGTGCCACAAGGTGGGCAGCAGCTGGGATGGGCATTGTGAGGCACTGGGGGGGCTGTGGGGCTGGACATGGTGAGTCACTAGCCTGACCTGTTTCCTGGTAACCAGGTGACATAGGAAGCTTTGTGGGTTATAGGCATTAGCCAGGCCAGCAGCCCTCAGTCGGTAGCTGGCAGTGGAGGGAGGAGGAGCTCCGACTGTGCTCTTTGACGGCAGTTTTTGTGCCTCTTGGCGCTTGTCGTGTTTCTTTTTGAGGTAAAACAGTAGGTCCCCGACCTCATAGACCATCCAGTTTGGGAGGTGGCGGCAGACTACGGGCTGAGGCCCCAGATCTGCCTGGGGTCAGGCTGCTTCTACAAGTGCAGGGCCACCCTCAGTAGTGTGGCTGCTAGGGCAGCACAGTTACAATTTCATCGAAGGCTCAGGCAGGAGTGGAGAGGAGTGTAGGTGCCCCACGGGGAATATACTGACCTGTCGTGTGTGCCCCAAAGTCAGCTCCGACTGTGGCTGGCCCAGGGGGAAGGCAGCATCCAGTTATGAATCTGATATTTATGAGGCCGTGGCTGCTGCAACATCAGAATCCACTACCGTAGAGCCTGGCAAGCTGGATGTGGGAGCCACGGAGGGCCAAGACCTGCAGCACATCAGCAACCAAAAGATGCCCACAGGTAAAAAAGCCACGGGTGCCGTTTACCCTCTGGCACACCTCTGGCCACCCCCACCCCCTTCCCTTACCCTCATCCCCAGAGACATCCTCAGCTTCCAGCTCCCTCCTGTCCATAGCCAGCTTTCCCAGGTCTGGGCATGGGGGACAAAGGCTGGCTCTGCCTCTTGCCTTAGACATTGAGGCTTTTTTGATCTAGTCTCTCCCTTTTCTCAATGAAAATTCAAATACCCCAATTTTGGAGTCCCCATCCCATTCTCTAGCCTCACCTATCCGGCCGGTTTGGTACCTAAATGAAGGAACCAGCTAAGGGTCAGATTGTTACTTTTCTCCCAACCCTTAAAGTAGCTAATAATTGGGATAATTCAGGCCCAAATATTTGGATTTTTTGTTTTTTTTTTTTTGAGATGGAGTCTCACTCTGTTGTCCAGGCTGGAGGGCAGAGGCATGATCTCAGCTCACTGCCACTTCTGCCTCCCGGGTTCAAGCAATTCTTCTGCCTCAGCCTCCTGAGTAGCTGGGACTACAGGCACGTGCCACCACACCTGGCTAATTTTTTGTATTTTTAGTACAGGTGGGTTTCACCGTGTTAGCCAGGATGGTCTCTATCTCCTGACCTCATGATCCACCTGCCTCGGCCTTCCAAAGTGTTGGGATTACAGGCGTGAGCCACTGCGCCCGGCTGGAGATTTCTTAAATTCAAAATTCAAAATTATTATTTTTTGAGACAAGGCCTCATTTTGTCACCCAGGAATGCATTGGTGCAATGACAGCTCACTGCAACCTTGACCTCCTCAGGTTCAGGTGTTCCCCCCACCTCAGGCTCCCAAGTAACTGGCACTAAGGCATCATGCCAAGCTAATTTTTCTATTTTTTTTTTTTTGTATAGATGGGGTTTCATCATGTTGCCCAGGCTTGGTTCACTTTTAATAGTAAAGGACACCTCAAATGTTTAGATATTTGCTTTCACTTTGGGCAATTATGAATATAGCTATTAAAAACCTTGCTGTGTCTTGTTTAAAAATTATGTTTCCAAAATATAACTAAGGAAATACTTAGGATTATAATTACTTGCTTGTATGGTAAGACCAGGTTTTTCTTTGTAAGAATTTTGGGGCTGGGCACGGTGGCTCACGCCTGTAATCCCAGCACTTTGGGAAGCTGAGGCGGGTGATCACGAGGTCAGGAGATCAAGACCATCCTGGCCAACATGGCGAGACCCCGCCTCCACTAAAAATACAAAAATCAGCTGGGCGTGGTGGCCTGTGCCTGTAATCCCAGCTACTTGAGAGGCTGAGGCAGGAGAATCGCTTGAACCAGGGAGTCAGATGTTGCAGTGAGCCGAGTTCGCGCCACTGCACTCCAGCTTGGTGACAGAGCAAAACTGCGTCGCAAAAAACAACAACAAAAAAGAATTTTGGTAGAATTTTTTTTTTTTTTTTTTAACCAGTGAAATCATATGAATGTAGTGTTTTTGGTTTTTCCTTCTTTTGAAAGATTATTAATCATTGCTTCAATTTCTAAAATAAATATAGGCCTATTCAGATGATCTATTTTTCCCCAGAAGACTTTTGGTCTTCTAAAATCGATAAAAAGGAATGAGCTCATTTCATCTATGTATCAAATTGTGGGCATAGATGTGTTCAGAATATTCCTTTATTATTTTTTGATTTAACTGCTCTTCAATTGATGCTATTAGTACATTGTAACATCTTTCTTTCCTTTGTGGTTAGCCAAGGTAGAGGTTTATCAATGGTACTGATCTCAAAGAACTGGCTTTTTGTTTTATTGATTTTCTCGGATGATTTTCTGTTTTCTATTCCATTGATTTCTGCAAGAATTGTTTTTTAAGCTTAGAGTATGAATTTAGATTTTTCTCATTATTGACACCGCGTCATGAATGTAGTTCACTGAATTCAATCTCACTGAAATGTACACTAAATAATTAAAATAATATGTATGCTTCACCATAATTTAAAAAGTAAAACACGATAGGTGATAAATGTAGTAGCAGGATATGTAAATCCACAGAATTAAATGGTCTTGTAACATTTTGAAAAATGAGGGGATTGGCCTGGACCTTCAAATGGGCAGGAGGTGTGAGGAGATGCTCTCACAGAACCATACAGTGCCTTTCTGTATTAATCAGTTCTTAACGCTAATATTTCACATTTCTCCTCCTCTCCTTTGCTTTCCTTCCACACCAAAGAGAATGGTCCAGCAGCAGCTCAGTCCATGCTTGTCAACCACCCACCTCCATAGACTTCAGCGCTGGTCCCCACATCCCCCAAGGCTCCTAGTGGGATTCCTGAGAAGCACCAATGCACTGACTATTACTCTATGTTCTCCTAGCTTCTGTTCTGGACCTGGAAGATATTGCGCTTGATATTGCGGAGGAGGTGTTATCTGAAATGGTGAGATGCATTCCTTCATCTGGAAGAGAATTTTTTTTTTTTCTGGGGCTTCTTCCCTTATTAATGAAATGAAGACATAAAAGTCTGACCATATACATAACAGATGACTAAGACAATTTTCTTGGTGGGGGGAATATCAAGTGAATATCATTTTTGATTGCCATTGTCAATCAAGCTTCAGTTGATCAAGCTTCAGTTGGTCATGGACTCTAGTGACCAGCCATGAGTTTATGAACAACTGAGGCCTAATTGATGATGACAGTAAAAAATGACAGCATTACCTACAAACTGTCTGGTAGTGAGCATATTTTTTAGTAGCAACTTTTTCTTCTTGAAAAATAATTTTGTATTTGCCAGCCAACATGGACTTGCAAATATTCCATGAAAACCCATTGCCCAAAATTCCTACCGTATGTATTTATTATTTTTAAAAAAAGCTTTATTGAGAAATAGTTGACATGCAAAACAATTCACCCATTTAAAGTGGGTGATTCAGTGTTTTTACTGTATTTACAGGGTTGTGCAACCATTGTACAATCTCATTTTAGAACGTTTTCATTCCTCCACGAAGAAACCCTGTATCCATTAGTGGTTACTCCTCTCTTTTTCCAACCCCCACACCTCTGGCGATAGGAAGCCACTCATCTACTTTCTATTGCTGTAGATTTGCCTACTCCGGCCGTTTCTTTTTTAACTTGTTTTTTTTTTTTTTTTTTTTAAGTTCTGAGATACATGTGCAGGATGTACAGGTTTGTTACATAGGTAAAAGTGTGCCATGGTGGTTTGCTGCACCTGTCAAACCATCACCTAGGTATTAAGCCCTGCATGCATTTGCTGTTTATCCAGATGCTCTCCCTTCCCCTGCCCCGACAGGCCCGAGTGTGTCTTGTTCTCTTCTCTAACACCGTATATATCCTAAGACCACTCCCTTGCTGATACAAATCTAAGTGATGGGTTGTGGGGGGCTCTATTCCCTGCTTTTGTCTGGAGAGCCTGCCTGGCCTCAGGTTCCTGATAGGAGTGAGGACCTGGAGTGCACTGTGAGAAACAGATGGCTCAGTGAAGAACTGTCATCATCCACTGGAGTCCCTGGAAACAGCCGTATCATTTAGATGGTGTGGGTTTGTGTGCATGAGGGTTGGGAGTTAGCTAGGGATGAATTAATGTGTAGTGATTGTGAATGTGTTTGTAAATGTGTGTTTTTCCCCTAAAATGTGGACCCGCATGCCCAGCACAGTGCAAGTGTCAGTTTTCTTGAATTCCTGGCCTATGGTGGTTCTCTCACCTCAGCCTCCCGAGTCATGTCATTCTTCTAATAAAAAGGAAGAAAAACTTCAACACCACCATACACTTTACATAAATGACCTCTTTACTCCCTCACCACAGCTGTACCTGAAGGTCAGTTTAATATCCCTACTCCTTATATGGAGAGAGTGCAGAAAGGAATGAACCCAGATTTTGACCTCCTGAATGGAAAAGGCAAAAGTGAACCCAGAAATGGGTCCCGATGTTGATGGTCTGTATTACTTAACTGTGTCAGCACTCAGGCTTGGTGATATGACCCTACACCAGGGAGTTCCAGCACCTATGTGTGCCCCTGGTAGTGGTAGTGGATGGCCTATAAGCGTGCCAAACATTGCCCATCATCAAATGGGGCCCCATTGGTCACATAACCCTGGGTAGCAAAAGGTACACGGAACAATAGACGTTGGCATGGACATTACTGTGAAATATACATAGAAAGCCCACAGGCTTCTGGTCAGCTCACAGATTCTGAGAAGTGTAAGGGATCACATGGAATAGTGCAGGTCAACATCTGTCAGTGCTGCGATCATTCCTTAGCACTTGGTCAAAGCAGGGAAGGATCAGGAAGATATTGCATTGTATTTAGTAACATGAGTACCTCAAGCCTTAGAAATGCTCCAATCCATGGCCGGGCACGGTGGGAGGCTGAGACAGCCGATCACCTGAGTCAGGAGTTTGAGACCAGCCTGGCCAACATGGTGAAAGCCTGTATTTTTATACAAAAAGTAGTCAGGCATGGTGGCACACACCTGTAATCCCAGCTACTTGGGAGGCTGAGGCTGGAGAATCACTTGAACCTGGGAGGTGGAGGTTGCAGTGAGCCAAGATCGAACCCCTGCACTGCAGTCTGAGTGGCAGAGTGAAACTCTGTCTCAAAAAAAAAAAAAAAAAAAAAAGCTCCAATCCATAGCAGACGGACAAGGGCCAGTGCCACATCAGAACTCAGAGGACATTGTTGTTAGCCTGGTGCCCATCAATCTCACTGGAGACCTCCTGCATCGCTACGTTAGTGAGGCTTAGCGCTCACCATGTACTGATCCCCATGATGGACTGTCCCACTGTCGGGGGCTGGTGTGAGCATGAGCAGCCACTGACTCAATGGACGCACACAGTGTAAAGAAACGGAAGACATGGGCTGGGCGCGGTGGCTCAAGCCTCTAATCCCAGCACTTTGGGAGGCCGAGGTGGGTGGATTGCCTGAGGTTAGGAGTTCAAGACCAGCCTGGCCGAGCTGGTGAAACCCCGTCTCAACTGCAAATACAAAAATTAGCTGGGTGTGGTGGTGGGCACCTGTAATGCCAGGTACTCAGGAGGCTGAGGCAGGAGAATCACTTGAACCCAGGAGGCAGAGGTAGCAGTGAGCCGAGATTGAGCCATTGCACTCCAGCCTGGGTGACTGGACGAGACTTCGTCTTAAAAAAAAAAAAAGAAAAAAGGAAGGGAAGAGCAGAGGAGAAATATCACAGTTAGTACTCATATCTCTTAGACCCCTTCTGAGTAGGAGTGAACAGGACCTGGCCTTCCTGTCTGCCGAAAGCATGGCATGGACATCATCCTAAATGCCTCAAGAATGGAGTTTCATTGCTTTCTCTTGTCTTCTCCATCTGTATGTGATGATGGCAGTGACACCAGCAGAAATTGGTTGGGGGGCAGAACAGGAATCAGGTCCCCACTTCTCTGACACGGAGCAGACAGGACACAAATCAGCAGGGATGGACTTCAGGGTCAGGACACAGGTCCCAGGCCTGATCTTCCTGGGGCTGGGACAGATGAGTTTTTCTTTTTCACCTCTTCTGGAAGTCACTTGAGGAATGGTCCTTGAGGAGACACTGTTGACCAAGGGTTGTCTGGCCCAGAAATGTGTTTTTGTTGTTTTGTTTGTTTGTTTGTTTTGAGACAGAGTCTCACTCTGTTGCCCAGGCTGGAGTGCAGTGGCAGGATCTGAACTCTCTGCAACCTCCACCTCCCAGGTTCAAGTGATTCTCCTGCCTCAGCCTGCTGAGTAGCTGGAATTACAGACGTGCACCACCATGCCCAGCTAATTTTTGTATTTATAGTAGAGATGGGGTTTCTCCATGTTGGCCAGGCTGGTCTTGAACTCCTTCAGATGATCCACCTGCCTCAGCCTCCCAAAGTGCTGGGATTACAGGCGTGAGCCACTGTGCCTGGCTGACGTGTTTCAACTGGACAGCGCCCCCTAGCACTGGGCCTGTAGCTGCAGCACTCCCGAGTAGCAGGGGAGGTGAGGAGGGACACGAGTGCCAGTGCACCATGAGCTCAGCAGAGGGATGGGGACTGATTCCAGAGTCCAGCTCATCCTTGCAACTCTTCTTAGAATCCAGAGTACATCAGTTTCCACTTATTTTATAGAAGGTTTGGAATCTTCAGTGTCAAAGTCTGTGTTGTGTCTTCCCACAGGGTGGATAGAGGAACCCTGGCTATGGGTGTTTTCTGCCAGGGCAGTGACTGTGTCTTCCTCATTAGTCCTTATCCCAGAGCTCAGTCCTGGGGCGAACATGTTAGGCCCCATGGGCATTGTAATGAACACATCCCTGGGATGAGTTCTAGGTCGCCTCTGGGGTGGGATCTAGCTTAGTTGTGGAAATGTTCCCTTCTCAGCCTGTCCAGCCTGTTGAGCCCTACACCAATCCTGGAGGCTGCCCCAGCTTCTGAGTCAGGGTCCCTGGAGATGAACTTGAGCTCCTGAGGACAGTGAGGTACCCCTGCCCCTCGGTTCCTGCTGCGCTGATCCTGTCTAGACAGGCTGTGCAGGGCCACGCTCTTCCCCTGTGTGCACGTGCGCCCCCTGCTGGAATCCCTCTGGACCTGGATGTTGTCCTCATTGTTGTCATATCCCCAGCCCCACACAGTGACTGGCACTTGTGCAGATGCCCAGGAAGTAACCATAAACGTATGGTAGGAGCAGAGCTGCAAACTATTTCGCAAGAAAACACCAGGGGAGGGGAGTCATGTCTTCCTCATGTCTGGATCTCCTGTGCCGTCTAGTGTGGTTCTCAGTCATATATGTGCCGCCTCGTATTTTTTTTTTGAGGTGGAATCTCGCTCTGTCGCCCAGACTGGAGTGCAGTGGCGTGATCTCGGCTCACTGCAAGCTCCACCTCCCGGGTTCACGCCATTCTCCAGCCTCAGCCTCCCGAGTAGCTGGGACTACAGGCGCCTGCCACCACGCCCGGCTAATTTTTTTTTATTTTTAGTAGAGACGGGGTTTCATGGTGTTAGCCAGGATGGTCTCGATCTCCTGACCTCATGATCCGCCCACCTCGACTTCCCAAAGTGCTGGGATTACAGGCATGAGCCAACGTGCCCGGCCCTCATTTAAATACATTGAAATATTTACAATTAAAAGTTCAGGGCCGGGCATGGTGGCTCACGCCTATAATTTCAGCACTTTGGGAGGCCGGGGCGGGTGGATCATCTGAGGTCAGGAGATCGAGACCAGTCTGGCCAACGTGGTGAAACCCCGTCTCTACAAAAATTAGCTGGGTGTGGTGGTGCACACCTGTAATCCCAGCTACTCGGGAGACTGAGGCAGGAGAATCACCTGAACCCGGGAGGCGGAGGTTGCAGTGAGCTGAGATCATGTCATTGTACTCCAGCCTGGGCAGCAAGAATGAAACTCTGTCTCGAAAAAAAAAAAAAAAATTTCAGAACCTCATCACAATAGCCACCGTGCAGTGGCCCAGCAGCCTTATGTTAATGAAGCGGAGAGATTTCCATCCCCGCAGAATGCTCTTTCACATCTGCTGTGAGCCTGGCTGAGGGACCGATTGTTGAACTCCTCTAACTCAAAGTGTGCACATGAAAGTGGGAATCTCAGGGCTGTGAGATTGGAGGTGAGACCTGTAATGGGCCAGTGGAAGGAAAAAGTTGAAAGGTGGTTCCTTCAGTTTCTCTTTCTCAATCGAAGGCTGGCAAGTGTGAGCAATGCCTTTTTACAGACCTCTGACTCCACAGAGACCACGGAGAGTCTGACAACACCGAGGAAAGGGCAGAGTGATGTGTAACCCAGTGTGGCCTCACCTGCAGTAGGAGGCTGGGCGAGTTGCTCTCTGGAATAACTTCTTGCAGAGTTTTTGTCTCTTAATGATTGGCCAATGGACACCATCCATGAGGGCAGCTGCAATGAGGCAGATCTGCAGGTAGAGAATGATACTCTAGGAGGATCTCTGGGAGCAGTTGGGTGACACCTGTTGGTTTGGAACCTAGGAAAAGGGCAATGAAGTCAGAACCGAAGGAAATATGCGTAGAAGTCTGACTTGTTCCTTTTGTATTTTAGTAAGATAGAGATGAGACAATACATGTCCATGGACTTTATGTGCTGTGTTTGTAACCATTTTTTTTCTTGCTCTGGTGTTTAATGGTTACCTTTCCACAAGACCAGTTTTTCCTATGTCACAGCAAACATCAAAGCCCTGATTTTTGATTGGTTAGTATCTTCTGGGACTTGGGAATGCAAGAGTCTTATTAGGTCTGGGCACTGGCTAAGATGCAAGGTATCTGGTGAGACTCCCTCATGCTCACTACTTGAACACAGTTGTTTCTCTGAGATGTCTCAATATCTTCAGTCCCACGCTCCATGTGCCGCATCCAGCAAGCTCCCTGAGGGACTCCCAGTCTCCAACCACCAGCGCACTGACATTAACTGCGTGTCCTTTTAGGTCCCCCTGAGGACCGCCTGAGTTTAAAACTTCTACCACCAAGTGAGGAAGACAATGATGACACCAAGGTAAGACTCCTTTCTTTGCCTTCTAAGGAAATGTTGCTTTCCTGATGTCAGAAGCAAACTCACCCATCCACACCCAAAGAATGGACTCAGAGGCCTGCAGAACAGAAAAAGTGAGACTTTTAATGATGGTCTTGCAAGGTCGAGTGTCTGATGGGCAGACACACCCAGAACAATTTCAACAAGCAGTTTATCCCCTAGTGTGCAAGTCCCTCCCCTGGTTCCTCAGAGGCTGCGTACTATGGGGTCACAATCTTCCCAGGTTGTCGCATATTGATTGTTGGGTAGGAGCTTTAGGTTTTATTTTTATGGTTGTCTTAACTGCATTTTGTTGCAGCCCACAATGCATTGCAATCCTAGTCAGCTCAGGGGCTGTTCAAGTATTTGACTTATGACCTTAGTAGCTGGGCAGGCTGGTAAGAACAGACAAAGTGAGGTATTTTGCAGGCTAGTAAACTTTCAACTTAGACTAAACTTCTTTGTTCAAGTGATGGGAACTAAGTAGTGTGGAAGGGGGGCCCAACAAGCAGACATTGCCTGTCCAACCAGGAGCCTAGTATTTCTTCTGTACTTTTTTGACCTGAACCAGTTCAAGGCACTTTGTCTTAAAAATGGATCACTGTATACATTATTTCCTTAACCTGATTTCTTTCCTTCTCAATTAATTTTCACTTAATATGATGAGGCATATAAAATACAAATACACAATTCTCTTTGTGAGGATGGAGTTCAGTGGGAATGTCTTCCCATCTAATACGTGACACACTAGGATGTTTTTAAATGACAGCATCCATCATCAACTGTAATGCAGAGGCATTTTCCTCCACACCAATTTTCCTCTTTGAATTAGGCATTGTGCATTTACCAATCTAAATCAACTTCAAAGAAATTCTGTGGGAAAAGCTCTTGTCTTTTCCACAGGTGTCCTCCATGCTAGAATGTTTGCTCTTTGAACCTTGACTCAACCAGTTTCACAACTAGTTTTCTGAAGTCATCAAGAGACTAACTGATCTGTGTAAGGGGTGCAGCAGAATTGATCTGATCCTCATAGAATCTTCTTTTGTCTCATTGCAGATTTTACCATCACCTATCCAGGGTACGTACTTTGAACTAACTTTCTGAGAAACAAACTTGCTGGCTTTAATATATAGAAACCTCAATCTGGGTTCCTATTAAAAATACTGGGGGTGTGGTGAGAGCAAATGATTCTGCAAGTGTATAGCTATGAGAAGAGGGGCTGTAGAAATGTGTGTGAACCAGAGGACCAACCAGGAGATTTTGTGTGAGCCAGTGTGTCTTCACCTGGAGTAGAAGTGAGTGCACCTCTCACTGACTTATCCTCATGTTGTTGGTTCTGAAGAGTGGATTCTGGAGAATCTCAGCAGGGAAGAGGATACCTTTCCAGGTAGGCAAGAAGACTTCAGGTGGGATCTAATAAAACAGCATTTCCAGCAACTTTCAGGTTATACCTGCTGCTTGGGAGGCTGAGGAGGGTGCAGAAAGAGAAAAAGTAAATAAAAGCTGTTTGTTCTTTTCAGAGTTTAATGTCATTGTGGTGAGAAGTACTATGTTTATGGGCTTTTGAGTATCCTGAGTTTTCGATCTCCTCTTCTTCATTATTTAAAGATGTTTCTGAGAACACCTGCTCTTTTCTGCCTCTGCCACTGCAAAATGTCTTTGGTTTGGGATGCAGTTCTGTCACAGGGAGTCACTTAATCCTGGAGACAGAATTCTTCTGCGGTGTGCCCAGATGCACAGGAGAAATGGATCCTCACCTTATGAACTGTTAGGTTTCATGGCAGCACATTCATTTGTCTGTGCTTGCTGTTTACCTCTGGTATCAAGACATCTCTCTGGGCATGGAGGACGGAATGAAAATTCACTCTGGGCTCACTGCAGAAGCTCCAGTGTCTTGGAAATGGAGGGAGAAGCACAACCTTGAGCATATTGTCAGCATTCCATTTCTTCATGTGAATGAGAATATGCAGTTTTAGCATCATTTGTGGAAGAGGCTTTCCTTTCCTCATTGTGTATTCTTGGCACCTTTGTTGAAGATCAGCTGACTCTGTATGTGTGCATTTAATTCTGGGCTCTCAATTCTATACTTATGGGTGCCCCCATGCTAGAAGCATGCTAAATTTTTTTTTTTTTTGTAAGTTTCCATCTCATGAATGTGTGTCCTCCAACAGTATTCTTTTTCAATGTTACCATGGTTATTTGAGCCACATAAAAATTCACTGAAGTCTTAGGATTATCTTTTCCATTTCTGCACAGAGGGCTGTTGCCAGTTTGATAGCAGTTGTTGTGAGTCTATAGATCATTGTGTAGTATTGTGTGTTAGTCATGTTTAGTCTTCCTATCCATGAATACGGTATGCCTTTCAACTTATTTGTACCTTCTTTACTTTCTAGAATCTAGGTTGACAGCTAATAAGTTACATTTATCATGACTGATAAAAATCTGATTTTTTTTTTTTTTTTTTGCAATGGAGTCTTACTCTGTCACCATACTGGGGTGCAGTGATGTGCTCTCCACTCACTGCAACCTCAGCCTCCCGGTTTCAAGTGATTCTCCTGCCTTAGCCTTCTGAATAGCTGAGACTACAGGTGTATATCACCACACCCAGCTAATTTTTTTTATTTTTAGTAGACACGTGGTTTTACCATGTTGGCCAGGATGGTCTCAATGTCTTGAGCTCGTGATCTGCTTGCCTCAGCCTCCCAAGGTGCTGGAATAACAGGCATGAGCCACTGCGCCTGGCCAAATTTGTGATTTCTCATGCCAATATTTTGTATTTCTGAATGAACAGGCATAAAATAAAAAAATTTTTTATGTAAGCTAGTTAACCAAAAAATCACCCCTATACTCATGGATATTTTTTCCTGAATTTGTTCATTTCTTCTGGTATACATTTCCTCATTTCAGTAGATCATGTGTATTTGAACCTGGAAACTTATCCTCCTGGCAGAAAGTGTTCAAAGTCACGTCTCTCAGCTTCACTGGTGTAGGCAGAGAAGGCTCTGTGAACTTGGCCTGTTTGAATGAAGCCTGATATTTAGGGAATCTCCTCAGGGAGAGTGACACAGAGTAGGTTTTGTGCACACACCCTGGTTCCAGAAGAAGACTTACAAAGAGGAACTCATGACTATTTTTAATTGTAGCATTTTAATATTTAATTTTTAAAATGATCTTTACGGAAAAGAATGTGTGATTAATACAATAGAGTAAATTGGGTAAAATTGATCCATTTTACCAATAAAATAGGCTTTTAATTAAGTAATAAATCCTTTAAAAGAGATGGTGCATGTAGTACCAGCATAATTGGATTCTAGTGTACTGACATGATCTTGAATATGTTAAGAAAATGCTGTTGGTTTAGAAGAGTTTCAAAACATTTGAGAGGGAGGAAGGCACTCTTCCATTGACCCTTAGTGTGTGCTTTAGTTCCATTTGGGGTTGACTGTTTTGTGTTTCTGCATGATGCCTCTAGTACAAGGACAAGGCCCCCATGTCTCATGTCTTTCCTGCTCCCCTCCTCTGCCATCCCTCTTCCACCCAGGGGAATAGCCCAGCATCAACTCAGTCCATGCTATTTAATCAACCACCTCCTTACACCACATCCAGGAAAGCTCCCTGAGTGACTCACAGTCACAAACAACCAGGGCACTGATCTTTCCTCTGTGTCCTCCCAGCTTCTCTTGAGGACAACCTGACTTTAGTATGCCTACCACCAAGTGAAGATGATTGTGATGATGACAATGATGATGATGATGCCCAGGTAAGACCACCTTTCTTTGTCTTCTAAGGAAATGTTGGTTTTCTGATGTGAGAAACAAACTCACCAGTCCAAACCTAAAGAATGGACTCAGGGAGCTGAAAAACAGTAACAGTGAGATTTTCTTTCCTTTTCTTTTTAATTATACTTTAAGTTGTAGGGTACATGTGCACAATGTGCAGATTAGTTACATATGTATATATGTGCCATGTTGGTGTGCTGCACCCATTAACTCGTCATTTAACATTAGGTATATCTCCTAATGCTATCCCTCCCCACTCTCCCCACCCCACAACAGGCCCCAGTGTGTGATGTTCCCCTTCCTGTGTCCATGTGTTCTCATTGTTCAATTCCCACCTAATGAGAACATGCAGTGTTTGGTTTTTTGTCCTTGCAATAGTTTGCTTGCTTTCCAGCTTCATCCATGTCCCTACAAAGGACATGAACTCATCATTTTTTATGGCTGCATAGTATTCCATGATGTGTATGTGCCACATTTTCTTAATCCAGTCTGTCGTTGTTGGACATTTGGGTTGGTTCCAAGTCTTTGCTATTGTGAATAGTGCCGCTATAAACATACGTGTGCATGTGTCTTTACAGCAGCATGATTTAGAATCCTTTGGGTATATACCCAGTAATGGGATGGCTGGGTCAAATGGTATTTCTAGTTCTAGATCCCTGAGGAATCGCCACACTGACTTCCACAATGGTTGAACTAGTTTACAGTCCACCAACATTGTAAACGTGTTCCTATTTCTCCACATCCTCTCCAGCACCTGTTGTTGCCTGACTTTTTAATGATTGCCATTCTAACTGGTGTGAGATGGTATCTCATTGTGGTTTTGATTTGCATTTCTCTGATGGCCAGTGATGGTGAGCATTTTTTCATGTCTTTTGGCTGCATAAATGTCTTCTTTGGAGAAGTGTCTGTTCATATCCTTCGCCCACTTCTTGATGGGGTTGTTTGTTTTTTTCTTGTAAATTTGTTTGAGTTCATTGTAGATTCTGGATATTAGCCCCTTGTCAGATGAGTAGATTGCAAAAATTTTCTCCCATTCTGTAGGTTGTCTGTTCACTCTGATGGTAGTTTCTTTTGCTGTGCAGAAGCTCTTTAGTTTAATTAGATCCCATTTGTCTATTTTGGCTTTTGTTGCCATTGCTTTTGGTGTTTTAGACATGAAGTCCTTGCCCATGCCTATGTCCTAAATGGTATTGCCTTGGTTTTCTCCTAGGGTTTTTGTGGTTTCAGGTCTAACATGTAAGTCTTTAATCCATCTTGAATTAATATTTGTATAAGGTATAAGGAAGGGATCCAGTTTCAGCTTTCTACATGTGGCTAGCCAGTTTTCCCAGCCCCACTGGTTAAATAGGGAATCGTTTCCCCATTTCTTGTTTTTGTCAGGTTTGTCAAAGATCAGATGGTTGTAGATATGCGGCATTATTTCTGAGGGCTCTGTTCTGTTCCATTGGTCTATATCTCTGTTTTGGTACCAGTACCATGCTGTTTTGGTTACTGTGGCCTTGTAGTATAGTTTGAAGTCAGGTAGCGTGATGCCTCCAGCTTTGTTCTTTTGGCTTAGGATTCACTTGGCAATGCGGGCTTTTTGGTTCCATATGAACTTTAAAGTAGTTTTTTCCAATTCTGTGAAGAAAGTCATTGGTAGCTTGATGGGGATGGCATTGAATCTATAAATAACCTTGGGCAGTATGGCCATTTTCATGATATTGATTCTTCCTACCCATGAGCATGTAATGTTTTTCCATTTGTTTGTATCCTCTTTTATTTCATTGAGCAGTGGTTTGTAGGTCTATCAATTGTGTTGATCTTTTCAAAAAACCAGCTCCTGGATTCACTGATTTTTTGAAGGGTTTTTTGTGTCTCTATTTCCTTCAGTTCTGCTCTTAGTTATTTCTTGCCTTCTGCTAGCTTTTGAATGTGTTTGCTCTTGCTTCTCTAGTTCTTTTAATTGTGATGTTAGGGTGTCAATTTTAGATCTTTCCTGCTTTCTCTTGTGGACATTTAGTGCTATAAATTTCCCTCTACACACTGCTTTGAATGTGTCCCAGAGATTCTGGTATGTTGTGTCTTTGTTCTCATTGGTTTCAAAGAACATCTTTATTTCTGCCTTCATTTCGTTATGTACCCAGTAGTCATTCAGGAGCAGGTTGTTCAGTTTCCACGTAGTTGAGTGGTTTTGAGTGAGTTTCTTAATCCTGAGTTCCAGTTTGATTGCACTGTGGTGTGAGAGACAGTTTGTTATAACTTCTGTTCTTTTACATTTGCTGAGGAGTGCTTTACTTCCAACTATGTGGTCAATTTTGGAATAGGTGTGGTGTGGTCCTGCAAAGAATGTATATTCTGTTGATTTGGGGTGGAGAGTTCTGTAGATGTCTATTAGGTCCGCTTGGTGCAGAGCTGAGTTCAATTCCTGCATATCCTTGTTAACTTTCTATCTCGTTGATCTGTCTAATGTTGACAGTGGGGTGTTAAAGTCTCCCATTATTATCGTGTGGGAGTCTAAGTCTCTTTGTAGGTCTCTAAGGACTTGCTTTATGAATCTGGGTGCTCCTGTATTGGGTGCATATATATTTAGGATAGTTAGCTCTTCTTGTTGAATTGATCCCTTTACCATTATGTAATGGCCTTCTTTGTCTCTTCTGATCTTTGTTGGTTTAAAGTCTGTTTTATCAGAGACTAGGATTTTGCAACCCCTGCCTTTTTTTGTTTTCCATTTGCTTGGTAGATCTTCCTCCATCCCTTTATTTTAAGCCTATGTGTGTCTCTGCACGTGAGATGGGTTTCCTGAATACAGCACACTGATGGGTCTTGACTCTTTATCCAATTTGCCAGTCTGTGTCTTTTAATTGGAGCATTTAGCCCATTTACATTTAAGGTTAATATTGTTATGTGTGAATTTGATCCTGTCATTATGATGTTAGCTGGTTATTTTGCTCGTTAGTTGATGCAGTTTCTTCCTAGCCTCGATAGTCTTTACAATTTGACATGTTTTTGCAGTAGCTGGTACCAGTTGTTCCTTTCCATGTTTAGTGCTTCCTTCAGGAGCTCTTTTAGGGCAGGCCTGGTGGTGACAAAATCTCTCAGCACTTGCTTGTCAGTGAAGGATTTTATTTCTCCTTCACTTATGAAGCTTAATTTGGCTGGATATGAAATTCTGGATTGAAAATTCTTTTCTTTAAGAATGTTGAATATTGGCCCCCACTCTCTTCTGGCTTGTAGAATTTCTGCTGAGAGATCAGCTGTTAGTCTGATGGGCTTCCCTTTGCGGGTAACCCGACCTTTCTCTCTGGCTGCCCTTAACATTTTTTCCTTCATTTCAACTTTGGTGAATCTGACAATTATGTGTCTTGGAGTTGCTCTTCTCGAGGAGTATCTTTGTGGCGTTCTCTGTATTTCCTGAATCTGAATGTTGGCTTGCCTTGCTAGATTGGGGAAGTTCTCCTGGATAATATCCTACAGAGTGTTTTCCAACTTGGTTCCATTCTCCCCATCACTTTCAGGTACACCAATCAGACGTAGATTTGGTCTTTTCACATAGTCCCAAATTTCTTGGAGGCTTTGTTCATTTCTTTTTATTCTTTTTTCTCTAAACTTCTCTTCTCGCTTCATTTCATTCATTTGATCTTCCATCACTGATACCCTTTGTTCCAGTTGATCGAATTGGCTACTGAGGCTTGTGCATTCGTCACGTAGTTCTCGTGCTGTGGTTTTCAGCTCCATCAGGTCCTTTAAGGACTTCTCTGCATTGGTTATTCTAGTTAGCCATTCATCTAATCTTTTTTCAAGGTTTTTAACTTCTTTGCCATGGGTTCGAACTTCCTCCTTTAGCTCCGAGTAGTTTGATCATCTGAAGCCTTCTTCTCTCAACTCGTCATTCTCCATCCAGCTTTGTTCCATTGCTGGTGAGGAGCTGCATTCCTTTGGAGCAGGAGAGGCACTCTGATTTTTAGACTTTTCAGTTTTTCTGCTCCGTTTTTTCCCCATCTTTGTGGTTTTATCTATCTTTGGTCTTTGATGATGGTGACGTACAGATGGGGTTTTGCTGTGGATGTCCTTTCTGTTTTGTTAGTTTTCCTTCTAACAGTCAGGACCCTCAGCTGCAGGTCTGTTGGAGTTTGCTGGAGGTCCACTCCAGAACCTGTTTGCCTGGGTATCAGCAGTGGGGGCTGCAGAAAGCGGATATTGGTGAACAGCAAATGTTGCTGCCTGATCGTTCCTCTGGAAGTTTTGTCTCAGAGGAGTACCCAGCCGTTTGAGGTGTCAGTCTGCCCCTACTGGGGGGTGCCTCCCAGTTGGGCTACTCGGGGGTCAGGGACCCACTTGAGGAGGCAGTCTGTCCATTCTCAGATCTCCAGCTGCATGCTGGGAGAACCACTACTCTCTTCAAAGCTGTCAGACAGGGACAATTAAGTCTGCAGAGGTTTCTGCTGCCTTTTGTTTGGCTATACCTTGCCCCCAGAGGTGGAGTCCACAGAGGCAGGTGGGCCTCCTTGAGCTGCGGTGGACTCCACCCAGTTCGAGCTTCCTGGCTGCTTTGTTTACCTACTGAAGACTCGGCAATGGCGGGCGCCCCTCCCCTAGCCTCACTGCCACCTTGCAGTTTGATCTCAGACTGCTGTGCTAGCAATGAGCGAGGCTTCGTGGGCGTAGGACCCTCCAAGCAAGGTGCGGGATACAGTCTCCTGGTGTGCCATTTGCTAAGACCTTTGGAAAAGTGCAGTATTAGGGTGAGAGTCACCCGATTTTCCAGGTGCCATCTGTCATCCCTTTCCTTGGCTAGGAAAGGGAATTCCCTGACCCCATGCACTTCCTGGGTGAGGCGATGCCTCGCCCTGCTTCGGCTCACGCTCGGTGCGCTGCACCTGCTGTCCGACAATCCCCAGTGAGATGAACCCGGTACCTCAGTTGGAAATGCAGAAATCATTTGTCTTCTGCGCCACTCACGCTGGGAGCTGTAGACTGGAGCTGTTCCTATTCAGCCATCTTGGCTCCACCTCCCATAATAAACATTTTAAAACATTTAAACATTTCAAACATTTCTATTTTTATTTACAGTAAAGTTTACTCTTTTTGGTGAAGCTAATAAAACCTAGTATAATTTTCTAAAAATTATTGACTCATGTAACTATCACAATTGAAATACAGAATATTTCCACCACCACCCCCAAATTTCTCTAAGCACCCCTTTTTTAGAAACACAGTCTCACTCTGTCACCCAGGCTGGTGTGCAGAGGTGCAATCTCGGCTCACTGCAAACTCCACCTCCTGGATTCAAGTGATTCTCTTGCCTCAGCCTCTCAAGTAGCTGGAATTACAAGTGTGGTCACCACACCCGGGTAATTTTTGTATTTTTAGTAGAGACAGGGTTTCGCCATGTTGGCCAGGCTGGTCTCAAATTCCTGGCCCCAAGTGACCCATCTGCCTCAGCCTCCCACAGTGCTGGGATTACAGGGGTGAGCCCCTGCTCTCAGCCTCCCACAGTGCTGGGATTACTGGGGTGAGCCCCTGCTCTCAGCCTCCCACAGTGCTGGGATTACAGGGGTGAGCCGCTGCTCTCAGCCTCCCACAGTGCTGGGATTACAGGGGTGACCCACCTGCCTCAGCCTCCCACAGTGCTGGGATTACAGGGGTGAGCCGCTGCTCTCAGCCTCCCACAGTGCTGGGATTACAGGGGTGACCCACCTGCCTCAGCCTCCCACAGTGCTGGGATTACAGGGGTGAGCCCCTGCTCTCAGCCTCCCACAGTGCTGGGATTACAGGGGTGAGCTGCTGCCTCAGCCTCCCACAGTGCTGGGATTACAGGGGTGAGCCCCTGCTCTCAGCCTCCCACAGTGCTGGGATTACAGGGGTGAGCCCCTGCTCTCAGCCTCCCACAGTGCTGGGATTACAGGGGTGAGCCGCTGCTCTCAGCCTCCCACAGTGCTGGGATTACAGGGGTGAGCCGCTGCTCTCAGCCTCCCACAGTGCTGGGATTACAGGGGTGACCCACCTGCCTCAGCCTCCCACAGTGCTGGGATTACAGGGGTGAGCCGCTGCTCTCAGCCTCCCACAGTGCTGGGATTACAGGGGTGACCCACCTGCCTCAGCCTCCCACAGTGCTGGGATTACAGGGGTGAGCCCCTGCTCTCAGCCCTTACGTTCCTTTTACATTCAAACCCTTTCTGTACCCCAACCATGGCAACCACTGGTCTCTTTCTGACCCTATACTGTTGATTTTTACAGAATATCACAGAAATGCAAACGTAAAGGATGTTGTGTCTGAAATTGGTGGGTTCTTGGTCTCACTGACTTCAAGAATGAAGCCGCGGACCTCTGTGGTGAGTGTTCTTAAAGATGGTGTGTCCAGAGTTTGTTCCTTCTGATGTTTGGACGTGTTCGGAGTTTCTTCCTTCTGGTGGGTTTGTGGTCTCGCTGGCTTCAGGAATGAAGCTGCGGACCTTTGCAGTGAGTGTTACAGCTCATAAAGGCAGTGTGGAGCCAAAGAGTAGCAGATTGGTCCATTTTGACAGGGTGCTGATTGGTGCATTTATAAACCTTTAGCTAGACACAAAAGTTCTCCAAGTCTCCACTAGATGAGCTAGACACAGCACGGATTAGTGCTTTTACAAACCTTGAGCTAGACACAGGGTGCTGATTGGTGCGTTTACAAACTTGAGCTAGACATAGAGCACTGATCCGTGCATTTACAATCCTTTAGCTAGACAGAAAAGTTCTCCAAGTCCCCACCAGATTAGCTAGATACAGTGTGCTGATTGGTGCATCCACGAACCCCGAGCTAGACACAGAATGCTGATTGGTGCATATACCATCCTCTGGGTAGACATATAAAAGTTCTCCAAGCCCCCACCAGATTCAGGAGTCCAGCTGGCTTCACCTCGTGGATCCCACACCAGGGCCACACGGGCGGAGCTGCCCGCCAGTCCTGTGCGTGTGCATGCACCCCTCAGCCCTTGGGCAGTCGATGGGACTGGGCACCGCAGAGCAGGGGGCGTCGCCTGTCGGGGAAGCTTGGGCCGTGAGGGAGCCCACAGTGCTGGGGAGCATGCCTTGGGCATGGTGGGCTGCAGGTCCCGAGCCCTGCCCTGTGGGGAGGTGGCTGAGGCCTGGCAAGAATTTGAGTGTGGTGTGGATGGGCCGGCAGTGCTGTGGGACCCAGTGCACCCTCCACAGGTGCTGGCCTGGGTGCTAAGCCCCTCACTGCCACTCTGAGTGTCGGACCCACTGAGCCCACGCCCACCCAGAACGCATGCTGGCCTGTGAGCACCGCGAGCAGCTCTGGTTCCCGCCCGCGCCTCTCCCTCCACACCTCCCCGCAAGCAGAGGGAGTCAGTTCCAGCCTCGGCCAGCCCAGAGAGGGGCTCACACAGTGCAGCAGTGGGCTGAAGGGTTCCTCAAGCGTGGTCAGAGTGGGCGCCAAGGCCAAGGAGGTGCCGAGAGTGAGCGAGGGCTGCCAGCACGCTGTCATCTCTCAATGTGACCGTTTTTTAAATTAAACTTTTTATTTTGAGATTATTGTAGCTTCTCATGCAGCTGTGAGGAATAATACAGAGGAATCCTAGGTACTCTGGCCAGTTCCCTCAAGGGTAGGACCTTGCAGCTACAGTAATGGATCAGAGCCAGGATACTGACATTGATACAGCAAGAAGGGAATGCTTCCCTCCCAAACATCCCTCATGTTGCCCTTTCACAGGAACACTCACTTCCCACTGTCCCAAACCCCTCCTTAGCCCCTGGCAACTACTAATTTGGTCTCCACTTGTATAATTTTGTTATTTCAAGAATGTTCTGCACATGGAATCATACAGTATGTGACCTCTGGGGACTGGCTTTCTCCCACTCAGCATAGTTTTCTGGGTGTTCCTCCAGGTGGCTCAATTGCAACGTAGTTTTTTCCTTTTTAATGCTGACTAGGAGTCTAAGTATGTAACCTTCTGAGCCTGGCTTCCTGAGTTCAGTGTAACAATGTTGCAATTCATCCCAGTTGCCTTATGGATCAATAGTTTGTTCCCCTATTATTGCCGAGCCTGATTCCATTTATGAAGGTATGACACTTTGTTTAGCCATTCACCAGTTGAATGACAATTGGGTTGTTTCCACGTGTGTGCATATGTGTGTGTGGTGGGTCAAACCAGATGTTTCTGCTTCTTGCCAGTGGTGAATAAAACCAGTATAAATATTTGCATTCAAATTTTTGTTTGAACATAAGTTTTCATTCCATTTGGATAAAAACCCAGGAGTAGGGTTTGCTTGATATGCATAAGCGTGTATTTATTAGAAATTGCCAAATGGTTTTCAGAGGGGAAGCCTCCTATGGGGGTGGGGACATAGGAGTAGGGGAGGGTTCAGTTAATGCAGCCTCTGCCAGCCCAGCTGGGAAGTGGGCCTGTGTCCCAGCACCAAGGTGCTCAAGCCCCATGCCCAGACCTGAGCTAGATAGGGTCTCAAGATCACAGTCAAGGGACAGAAGCAGCATCTTCTGCTCCAGAAGCTTCTGTTCATGCAGGCCCTGCCTCCGCCTCAGGGCTCTGCAGGAACTGTTCAAAATGCTGGGTGCAGAGCTGTGGCCAACTGTGGGGCACAGCCAAGACACTCACAGCTCAGAGGGACCCAGGGTGGGCTGGCCGAAGCTGGAAGTGGGTCCCTGCAGTTCATACCCCCCCCCAACCCCCACCCCACTGCCTCCAGACCCTGGACATTTCAGTGGGGCTGGGCCAGTTACAGGGAGGTAAAGGGAAATGGGGACCCTTCCAATTGCTGCCCTGGTTACCCTAAGGTCTTGAGTAGTGACAAGGAACTTGGCAGCACAGCTGCCCCCAAGAGGCCTTCCAGGGTCCCTCCTCTGTGGACAGGACTTCAGACTGGACAGTTACTCATCTGTTTTTATCAGTCTGTCCATCCATATATCTGTCCATACACACACCCCCATCCTTCCACAAGCCCCCTGAGGCCTCCTGGGTCCTGACCTATATAGACCCTCAGCTCCTGATGTCCCAGGCAAGGCAGGATCGGCCTAGCCCAGCCCCAGGTGAGACCTGGCCTAGCCCAGCCCCAGGTGAGACCTGGCCTAGCCCAGCCCCAGGTGAGACCTGGCCTAGCCCAGCCCCAGGTGAGACCTGGCCTAGCCCAGCCCCAGGTGAGACCTGGCCTAGCCCAGCCCCAGGTGAGACCTGAAGTGTGCCTGCTCATGCACCATGGGAGAAGGGGGCTGTGGCACTGGGGTCCCCTGGGAGTACTTGTCCCTGCTCTGACCCCATTTCAGGGATGCAGAAAAGAGGCCTCAGAGCAGAGTAAGGCCGAGTCAGGGCTACAGAGCCCGATGGCCACCCCTCCCCTGAACGGCTAGGAGGAGGGAGGGCAGCTGGCAAAGGCCTGCAGGAGCCCAGAGCGTGTTCTTCCAAGTGGAGCCTCTGCTGTGGGAGCCCCAGCCACAGGGTCAGACAAAGTGTCCTGCCCAAGCTCAGCCCTCATCAGCCCTTGAACTTGGGAAATTTGATTCCCTTCAGTGGGCCTCAGTTTCCTCATCTGTACGGGGGGTGATAACAGTCTCTCTTCTTGTCTTTTGATTTGTCTTCCCTGGAAAGAGTCCTCCTGGCTGTCAGGAGGGCTTTCCCCTTCAGATACATTCATTGCCAGAGGAGCTATCCAAAGTGCCTTTATTTTTCCGTTTTTCGTCACCTCGACCATCTTCGCCATCATTTGAATCACTGTCTACAGCAGGGAGCTCAGGATCCAGAGGGGGGCTCATACAGGGCTGTGTTTAATGGCAGGTACCAGAGCTCATCTGGTGAGTACCTTTTATAATATTCCTCAAACTGTCGAACTGTCAGGGGATGAGACCCACTGGGTAAGAACTAATCATTGTTTGCTCTGTTGGCAAAACTTTGTAATTCCCTTGAGGCACCTGGATAACATGTGTCTGCAAGTCAAAATAAGCTCTTCTTCCATGCGTTCCCAGTTTACGTTGCTGTTAAATTCAGCTGCTTTTTTGGCAGCTTTCTTAATATCCTCAGGCACTTTACTGGCTTCAACTTTCTGAGTATTCTGTTGTTGCATTTGGGAATACTCTTTATAATGGTCTGTAATTCGCTGACATTCATTTTCTTGTAGAATAACAGAATACTCAGCATGTTTGGCTGGATATTCTTTTATCATTAAATCAATCACTTCATCACTGCGCAATGCTGTTATACCTAGCATGCACTGAGTTTCAGTAATGACTTTAGCTCTCTCAGGTAGAGTTTCTCCTTGTGAGACAAATCTCGCTCTAAATCTGGATATTTCCTTTTAAAGGAGGTCACACCCAAATATTCACTGACTTGTTATTGAAGCATATAGTATTCTCCTATTTCATCAGGTGGCCTTTTGTACTCTATCAAATTTTCTGCTGGATAGTGACTAAAGCCAAGATCTTGACTTGAAGTTTCATAACTATTAGAACTACCTCCTGAGCCCATTCACCTCCTTTTGGATGGCTGGGTCCCATCATTTGAATTATCTTCATTATCATCCTTCCGGGACTGTGCTCCGGGGCTGGCTGGGTCACTGTCGCAGGCACGCAGCGGGGACAGCTCAGCCCCAGTTCCTGCCGCCATTGCCTCCGCCTCCTCCTGGTGGCCGCTGGGACCCCCCCACACCGCCCCCTCCTCCCAGGGGCAGGCACCGCCATGGCTGCAGCCTGCACACCAGGGCGCCCAAGACTGGGAGGGTGCCTGGTGCAGGCCGGAGGCTGCCGAGCTCCACTTCAGCCCCACCGCCACCTCCTCAGCGCCGCTGCCCCGCACAGCTGCGCCACTGGCTTCAGCACCACCGTGACTCCCTTCAGCCCCTTCGCTCGCCTCAGCCCCGGGGCCGCCTGGCTCCCCACGCCCGGCATTGTACTCGGCCACAGCTCCCCCTAGCTAGCAGCGTGCCCCTAAACCCTTCTTTAGAAGGCAAAAAGTCTTTCTAGGCCGGGTACGGTGGCTCACGCCTGTAATCCCACCACTTTGTGAGGCCAAGGCGGGCAGATCACCTGAGGTCAAGAGTTCAAGACCAGCCTGGCCAACATGGTGAAACCCTGTCTCTACTAAAAAAACTAGCTGGGTGTGGTTGCATATGCCTGTAAACCCAGCTACTTAGGAGGCTGAGGCAGGAGAATCGCTTTAACCTGGGAGGTGGAGGTTGCGGTGAGCTGAGATCATGCTACTGCACACTCCACCCTGGGCGACAGAGCAAGACTCCGTCTCAAAAAAAAAAAAAAAAAAAAAAAAAAAAAAAAAAAAAAAAGGTCTTCCTGTATTTGTCCTGGATGTTTATATTTGCACTATAAATGAAGAAAGAGTGCTAAGCAAACGGGCACTGGAAAGACAGCGGGTGGGGTGTCTGAGGTCAAGCTCAACGGACAACAGACATTTCACATTCACACAAGCATTTCACAAAAGCCGTCATGTGTGTCTACCGGATTTGCTCATTATAATCGTCTATTTTTTTTGAAATAGGCTTGCTCATATTTAATTAGCTTGAATTGTGTTACAATAAATATTATAGTGCTTTAAGAAAAATGTCTGAAACCTTTGAGGCAGGTACAGAGGGAAGGTTTTCCCATATAGGCTGCACGTGTGCATGTTCGGGCCCACGCTACCTTCAGGCTGATGTCTGTCCAGTAGATGTGGTTGCTGGACACATCAAAGTCCAGGGCCGAGGCCTCCTTGACGCCGAGAGCAGGATGGCCACATCGTTGTTGTTGGTCTCGAGGGAGATCCTGTGGATGGCGGCTCTACTGGTGAAGACCAAGAAGGCCTTGGGCATGATGCAGGTCTTCATGTCACTCAGCAGTTCCAGGCCCTAGATGGGGCAGCCAAACCGGGTTGTGTGGGGCGTGAAGAAGCACAGGTGGCTGCACCCCCATTCCTGTCCGCATGAGGGTTGGTTCCTGGAAGTGAACACACAGGCTCCGATCTAAACACCAACAGCCCAGCAGGGAAAGGGGTGCAGCCAAGCCACACAATGAATGCCACCGTGAACCGCACAGCTCAGGGGTGTCAAGCTCAGGACTCACCCCTAGGTAGGGTTCGACCTCACGGCTGGGTTGGGCTGTGATTATCATTCCCATGGCCAGGCTCAACCCTCAAACACACACGTACCTTTTACCTCAAAGCCAGGATGTGCCAAAAGCTGCAACGTGCACAGCTTTATTCCAGCCACATGTCAAACAGGGACAGTAGCTGGGCGTGGTGGGAGAACACCTGGCAATGGCAACCAAGTTCTCCCCTGGTACGGCCAAGGGTCAGTATCAGTAACAGCAGTTCTGGCTCTGACTGGACCTTGTCAGGCTCCAGGCGCTGATCCCAGGGATTCAACCTGTGCGAACTTACTCCATCCACCTTGGAGTTAGGAGCTATTCTCATCCCCATTTCTCATTCGAGGAAACTAAAGTGCAGAGGCTGCTGAAGGGAGCATGGTCAGGAAGTCAGGGAGCAGCTCAGCGAGAATGCCAGCCTGGTGGTCCAGCCTCCTGGCCTGTGCTCCGACCCAGGAAGAACACGGTAACGGCTTGGGGCAGGGACTGGGTAAGTCACCCCTTGGGGTCTCGGCTCCTGAGACTCCCACCTAGGCCCTTCTTCTGATTCACAGACATTCCCAGCAACCCTGAAAACTCACATTCACCCAGCATGGCCAAAGCTGCCTCTTTTTCACACAGTACAGAGTGTGTTCATTTATTTTTGGCCAGTCTGTTAATCTCATCAACCGAAGTGCTGTTAAAACTGGCTTTAATTTAGTATTAAATATTTAAGCCAAAAAAAGAATCCTTTTGTTCATCTCCTTTAGTAAACCATGGGGTGAGAGGGGAGGGGAAAGAAGCCCAATTTCTCAGATTTAAATCACAGCCCCATGGATGCACCCTTTTGTCTTATCTCTGGGGATTATTTTTTGTTCTTTGAACAATCACTCACAGTGGGTCAGTCTCACCTTCCATGGTGGATAGTGAATGCTTTTTTTTTTTTTTTTTGAGACAGGTTCTCACTCTGTCACCCAGGCTGGAGTGCAGTGGCATGATCTCTGCTCACTGCAACCTCTGCCTCCAGGCTCAGGGATCCTGCCACCTCAGCCTCCTAAGTAGATGGGACCACAGGCACATGCCACTATGCCCGGCTAATTGTTTGTAATTTTTATTTTTTTAGTAGAGATGAGGTCTGTCTCTGTTGCCCAGGAGAGACACTCTCAAATTCCTGGGCTCAAGTGATCCTCCTGCCTCAGCCTTCCAAAGTGCTGGGATTTCAGGCGTGAGCCACTGCACCTGGCATTCATGCATTTTTTTTCTTTTTTTTTTTTTTTTTTTTGAGACAGGGTCTCACTCTATTGCCCAGATGGAGGTCAGTGGCGCAATACTGGCTCACTATAACCTCTGCCTCCTGGGTTCAAGTGATTCTCCTGCCTCAGCCTCCCAAAGAGCTGGGATTACAGGTGCGTGACACCACGTCTGACTAATTTTTTTTTTTGTACTTTGAGTAGACACGGGGTTTCACCATGTTGGCTAGGCTGGTCTCAAACTCCTGACCTCAAGTAATCAGCCTGCCTCAGCCTCCCAAAGTGGTGGGATTTCAGGTGTGAGCCACTGCCCCTGGCATGAATGAGTTTTTAAGGAGGCTGGGAAAACTAAATTCGTAGATTCCATCCCCTTTATGAGGACCACAGGGTGCGATGAAGGCTGTGACGGAAGCACTCACTGCTCCTGGGGTCGCCCGCACTGCCTCAGCTCCAGGCCTCTGCGGGGCTGTCCTTTCTGCCCCAACCTGCTCCCTCAATTCCCAGCTCCCTCGTATTTTAAAGCCAGGGACCTAACATCACAGCTAACATCACATCCACCCGACGGGGAGCAAAGCCAACCTGGGCATCTCATCCAGGATTGCAGGCAATGCAGCAGCAAGCATCATGTCCTCTATCCTCTCATCCTTCATCAGCAAAGATTTACTGAGTGCTTCTGACACACAGGTGCAGCGCAGGACCCCAGGCCCCAGCCGGACACAGAGCCCCTGCCCGTGAGCCCCAGGCCCATCCCTGCTGCACCTGGATGCTGCTCTCTCCAGTGTAACTCTATCACCTTTTTAGGAAGAGACAAATCATAGTGCCAAACAACGACCTCCTCGGGGAACGTTCTGCGGATCCTGGCTTTCAGGTGAAAGGTGCGCGTGTGTTGGCCACAGGGGCAACAAGCACAGCCCAGCCCAGGCAGACCCAGGAGTGAGTCTTGAGCTCGGCACCTGTGAGTTGTGCAGCTCTGCCTCCCACTCCCCAGTTTGAATGAGGCAAAGAACTGCATTCAGACGGGGTCACTCTGGGCACGAAGGCTCCCAGCCGGGGCCAGGCACACAGCAGGTGCTCAACAAATGTTAGCCACTTTCTAACCATTGTTACTGATACTCCTAGTCCATAACCATTCCCTAATCAGCACCCTTGGTCCCTTCCCATCTATCCTTAGCCAGATACTGTCACCTTTCCTGTCCTGCCCTTCCCCAGGGCAGGGCACCCCAGCTCAACACTTATGCCCAGGTTTGGAACTGTCACTTCTTCCTCATGCAAGTCTGCAGCTGAGCAACGGCTTGGGGCCCACCCCCCTGGACTCACCGACGACCTTGTCCACGTTCACAGCTTTGAGCCCCATCAGGTCGGGCAGCTGGTCAATGATGACGTCCCGGTTGGCCTTGACCTTGTGTACCCGCTTGATGCTGTGGTGCTGCCAGGCGGTCCAGTAGATGAAGTCCCCCAGCAGGGTGAACCTGAAAATGTGTGGGAGCTTGTCCTTCAGGAGGGTCTGCCTCTTCGTCTCATCGACACTGATCGCCTGCAGAATGGCAAAGATACAGGTCTGGATGGGCCAGGGCCATGCCAACGAGAGCCAACCCTGACCCTGCCTCGGGCCTGAGCTGCCCCAAACGAGACGGGTTCAACACCCAGGAGCCTCAACTTCACCTGCACCTTGCCAGGTACCATAAAACGCCAGGTATCACGGCTCTCCAGGGGTGCTGGATAAATGACGTTTTTTCTTTTCTTTTTTTTGAGATTCTGAGACAGAGTCTCTCCCTGTTGCCCAGGCTGGAGTGCAGTGGTGAGATCTCGGCTCACTGCAACCTCCACCTCCTGGGTTCAAGCGATTCTCCTGCCTCAGCCTCCCAAGTAGCTGGGACTACAGGTGCCTGCCACCATACCCGGTGAATTTTTGTATTTTTAGTAGACAGGGGGGTTTCACCATGTTGGTCCAGGCTGGTCTTGGAACTCCTAACCTCAGGTGATCCGCCTGCCTCAGCCTCCCAAAGTACTGGGATTACAGGTGTGAGCCACCGTCCCTGGCCTGAATTGTTCACTTTAAAATGGTTAAAATCATCAATTTTGTGCTATGTTTATTTTATCACAATAAAAAAAATCATTGGGCTTGGTGTGGTGGCTTATGCCTGTCAGTCATCCCAGCACTTTGGGAGGCCAAGGCAGGTGGATCACTTGTGCCTCAGGAGTTTCAGATCAGCTTGGGCACCATGGCGAAACCCCATGTCTACAAAAAAATATGCAAAAACTAGCTGGATATGGTGGTGTGTGTCTGTAGTCCCAGCTACTCAGAAGCTGAGGCAGAAGGATCACCTGAGACCAAGGAGATGGAGGCTGCAGGGAGCCGTGATCGCGCCACTGCACTCCAGCCTGAGCAACTGAGCGAGACCCTGTCTCAAGAAAACCACTGCTGCAACAGTACAAGGAACAACACCTGTGGCCTGGCGTGCCACAGACACGTGAGTGAGTCCCTGACCTGCTCCCATGGGTAGGGGGGATGCATGAAGGCAAATCATCCTCAGCGGCCCAGAAACATGGGCCTTGCCAAAAAAAAAAAAAAAAACAACATTTACAAGGAGCTCCAACAGGAAATGGCCACATCTGCAGCTTCTAGAGTTTTTGTGGGAGGGGCATCCACTCAGCCCTTTCCATCCCTGGGTGTTCCCCACCCTGAAGGTGCTGAGGCTCCTCCCGCTCAGAAGCAGGGTCTGAAATCCTGCAACACAGACACACACTCGTGTTCTCCATCCCACCCTCCCCTGCAAGCTGCCTGGTTCGGGCCTCCCCTGGGAGCCCTGAGGAGAGCAAAGGTGACCCCGATGGTGACGTCAACAAGGACTGATGAGGCTCAGGAAAATCCTTCAGAAGTTGCTGGGAACAAAGGGAGGCGACTACCCCGAGGAGAGGCACCAATGTCACCTCGATGGGTGACAATGTGCAATGGGGACACATGTAACATATTACTGGCACCAAGAGCACCTCAAAAAAACTGCTCAATAGAGGCAAGGCACGGTGGCTCACGCCTGTAATCCCAGTACTTTGGGAGGCTGAGGCAGGTGGATCACTTGAGGTCAGGAGTTCCAGAACAGCCTGGCCAAATGGTGAAACCCCGTCTCTACTAAAAATGTAAAAATTAGCCGAGTGTGGTGGCATGCGCCTGTAATCCCAGCTACTCGGGAGGCTGAGGCAGGAGAATCGCTAGAACCCAGGAGGTGGAGATTGCAGTGAGCTGAGATCGTGCCACTGCACTCCAGCCTGGACAACTACAACAACAACAACAACAAAAGCTCAATAGAAGCTCCACAGGTGAGCAAAAAGCAAGCTGCCAAAGCACGCCCACAGGACAAGGCCACTGAAATCCAACCACAGTGGCAATGCAGGGCTGCACCCAGCATAGGGAGAAGAGACAGACATCCACAGAAAAACAAAACTGTCTTCAACTGCTTGGGAACGAATCAACAAACTCAGGCCAATGGCTGCCTCTGGCTTCAATGACACTCATGTTTTATGTCTTAAGTGGGGGCAGTGGATATGTTATTAATTTTTTGTCTTGATTTTGTATTGTTTGTGAAATAGTTTAAGGCTCACAGTAAGTGGCAAAAGCAGTGCAGAGGTTTCCCGTGTCCCCTTTACCCAGGCTGGCCTTAAACTCTTGGGCTCCAGTGATCCTCCCACCTCAGTCTCCAAGTAGCTGTGACTACAGGCGCCTGGCCCAATGATAACATCTTACGTAACCACAGGACGTTGTATAGCGCTACCCTCTCAAGGCGTTTTTGTCAGAAAGTACTGTAACTACTTTATCAAGCATTCCGCTTGGCCAAATAGCAGAGCACAGGCACCCATTGGTGCCTTGGTGATACGTATGTCAGGCTGCAGGGGGTGGCCGGGCCTGGCCTCTTAGGAGCCCAGGGACAGCCGGGCAGGGCCAGGCCTCCAGGATCAAATACCTCCATGGGAGCCTCACCTCGATCTTGTCTGTCTTGGCATCTCCCCAGTAGAGCTTCCCTTCCTGCAGGTCCAGGGCCAGGCCGTTGGGCCACCCGAGGGAAGCATTGACCAGCACGCGCAGCTCCTGCCTGTCCAGGTTGGCACGCTTGATTTCAGGGTTCTCTCCCCAGTCTATCCAGTACGTGAGGCTGGAGAAGAAGCAGAAGTCCATGACCCCATGCATCTGTCTAGTTTCTGTGGCACCCCCACTGCTAAGAGCAAGGCCCGTCCCCGAGCCGGCCCCCATCACATGGCTAAATGTTGGGGTCAGTAAATATCGGCATTGGTAAATGCTGGTGTAGGTAAATGTCGGCGTCGGTCAATATCAGTGTTGGTAAATGTCGGTGTCAGTAATTGTCAGTGTTGGTCAATGTCAGTGTTTGTAAATGTTGGTGTTGGTAGATGCTGGTGTCAGTAAGTGCTGGAGGACTGAGCATGCCAGCCACAAGCCCAGTGACCAGAGTCCCTGGGGGCTCCCCTGGGACAGTGGTGCCCACTTCCACCCTGTGCAGGCTTCACTGCACCAGCCCTTAGGACTCTGAGGGGCCAGGAGCTCATCTCCCATCTCAAACGTCAGTGGATAGCAATGACCCTGCCCAGGGTCTAGGGCAGCCTCACATCTGACTGGTGGGCTGAAGAAGCTCAGCACCCAGAGGGAGGAAGGGGCAGAGCGCAATCTTCTGCATACAGCTGAAGGGCTCCCCTGTGCAAAGGACAGGTGACTTGTTCCCTGTGGCCCCCCAAGGAGGGAACCCAGATCCTGGGGTGGCAGCTCAGGGGTGGAGGTTCTGGGGCCTCAGGTCACAGCCTCTGCTTCAGCTGTGTCTGACCCAGCCGGCCAGCCCCTCTGCCTCCCACTTCCAGCTCGGTGCCCCTCCCTAGACCCCATGACCTCACATGTCAGACTGCCAAGCCCCATTTCCCTGGGATCCTCAGACTCATGAAACCAGGGCTAGGAGGGACCTTGGAGTTGGCTTCCCCGTCCCTTCCTCTTTCACAGATGAGGACACTGAGGCCCATAGAGGCAGTGACTTGACCAAGCTCCTGACCTCAGGGCCATGTTCCCTTCACTGCAGCTGGCAACCAGTTCCTGTGCCTCCTCTTGCTAAAGCCCTGGGGGACCCCACTTCCTACCATCATCCGCCCTCCTCGGGGCACAACCCAGCCCGTCAGCCACCGACATGGAGCAGCTCTCTTCCACGTGCCGCCATGCCCTGGGGTCCATGGAGGGCTGCTTGGGCCCCACCATCTGCCTACTGTGCTCCCGCTGCCTGCTGCCTGACATGCTGGCTTCTAGACACCAGCTCACTTGCAGGAAAAGCTCCCCAGCCAGCACACTGGCAACCCCCAGGGCCAGGCCATGAGCGCAGGCTTCATAGCCTGCAAATCCTCTGCCCGCTGGGTACCCTGGGCAAGTCACTTCACCTGAGCTTCGGGTCCCAGAGCCATGAACCTGGAAACACACCTGGTGCCTACTAAGTGCTCCACAGAGAGCAGCACTGCGACTGACCTCCCAGCTCCTCCGGGACTTCCCATCGGCACCCCCAGCTCCACTGCACCTCCTCCCTCAGGGTCTGCCCATTTAGTGTTCTGGGTTATGAGCCCCCAGGAAGGCCCCTGGCTACAGCAATCTGAGCCGCTGTGGGGGGGGTCTCAACCAACCGACAAGCTCTCTGCTTTCACAGACTTCTACGCTGGAAAGCTGGAGCCATGCTGTCAGCCCCAGCCACACACCTGCCACCTCCTGCTGTGTGACCCTGGCCAAGTCCCTGAGCATCTCTGGGCTTCACTGTCCTCAACTGTATAACTACCTACCCTCCTGGATGAAAAGACCCATGGTGTGCAAAGTGTTAAAAGAGGCCTGGCCTGGCCAGGCATGGTGGCTCATGCCTGTAATCCCAGCACTTTGGGAGGCCAAGGCAGGTGGATCACCTGAGGTCAGGAGTTCGAGACCAGCCTGGCCAACATGGAGAAACCCCATCTCTAGCAAAAATACAAAAATTAGCCAGACACGGTGGCAGGCACCTGTAATCCCAGCTACTTGGGAGGCTGAGGCAGGAGAATTGCTTGAGCCCGGAAGGCAGAGGTTGCAGTGAGCCAAGATTGTGCCATTGCATTCCAGTCTGGGCGACAGAGTGAGACACCATCTCAAAAAAAAAAAAAAGAGGCCTGGCCTGTACTGTGGTCAGTGTCACAGAGGCTGCCCTTACTACCACTACTGTCGTCCTGGAAATCACCCAGGTGGACTGTTCCATTCTACAGATCAGGAAGCTGAAGCTAGGGGAAGAAAGGGCTCACTCCAGGTCTCCAGGGCTTTCTATGCATGGACCCAGCAGCAGCACCGGACCACCTGGGTACTTGTTAGAAACCCAAGTCCTCAGCCCTGCCCTGGAGCTCCTGAATCAGCACTCTGGGGATGGGGCCCAGCCGCTGGTGTTTTAACAAGCCTTCCTCCAGGTTCTGATGCAAGACAGTGTTCCAGAATGACTGGTCCAGGTCAAGCTCCCTCTGCTTGGCCTGGCCCTGGCTCCAGGCCCCACCCGTCTTACCCCATCTCGGGATGCAGTGCAATGGCACGGGGCTCGTCCATGTCCTCTGACACCAGGATCTTGTGGGAGGTGCTGTTGAGGCACGTCACCTCGATGTGTTCAGTGCCTGTGTGGGTCCAATAGAGGCTTCGGGCCACCCAGTTGACTGCGATGTCATCGGGGTCGTTGATCTTGGTGTTGATCAGCGTCTGCGCCCCAGACCCATCCAGGTATGCCCTGCGGATGGCCCACACCTCGTCATCCGTCCAGTAGACGTGGCCCTCCATTGGGTCATAGTTGATGGCGATGGCATGCTGGATGTCGTCCAGCTGCAGCACGATGTCGGTGAAGTCCGGTGTGTCCAGCGAGACCCTCCATTGGTCCGTCTACCGGGCCAGCAGCAGGACCTCCTTGGCTCCTGTGGGGACAGGTGCAGTGGGCCAGGCAAGGGAAAAACTCAGCCAGGTCCCCAGGGCTCTCCTTGCAAAGGCTGGTAATGTTAGGTGACACGCACCCAGCCCATGCTACGTGGTCACTCGTTCATCCTCATGACAGGTCTGGGAGGCTGGCACTGTTTTCTCATTTTATAGATGAGAGAACTGAGGCACAGAGCCAGGCCATCAGGCTTCAACCGCTGGATGGGAGCTGCCTCACAGTCCCCCTTGTCTTCTGCCAGCCCCTCTCCTGGCCACACACCAGCCCCAACCACAAGTCCCACCGGGTACCGAGCTGAAGACCCACCTGCTGGCCGTGCTGCTCAGCGTCCCCAGCACACCCACCCCACCTTGCAGGGGCTCACCCTTCCCGCCCAGCTCAACGCCACCTCATCCCTGAAGCTCTCTCCCTCCCCTCCACCAACGAGGGCAGCTTCAGGTCCCAGGACCGTGCCTGGGGGGGCTCCCAGGCAGGACCAAACGTACCCATCAAGTAAATCACCCTCTTTACTCACTGCCCAGATGCTCCCGGGTCACTGAGATGAAGGGAAACCCTGGTTCCGAAGCCCAGGGGCACCAAGAGCTAACACAGTTTTGTGGCCACTTGAGACACCAGGCAACACAGGTGCAAGATGAGAAACACCTCCAGGGCATGCGTTCTGGTCACGGCTAGACCCAGGGCCCTGGCTCCTTGGATGGGGCTCCACCGTGGCCTCCACACAGCTAGGCCATCAGAATGTAGCGATGACCCCCAGTAACTCAGACCTGGTTTCTAAACAGGGTCCCACAGAGAACAGGTAAGGCACTGTCCATGCACTTCCAACTGCGTTTCAGAACCACCCCATGAAGCAACCACCCCACAGCCACCTGGGTCTCTGCTGCACCCCAGGCCCAAGCCTGCTGCTGGCTAAGCAGGTTGAGGCCAAGCCTCTCCAAGCATGGGTGGACAGGCTTCAGGGTGGCACTTACGCAGGTGGATGAGGGGAGAGCCTAGTCCTCTCAGGATGTCCCTGCAGACAGGCTGGACACAGCTGGGGACAGGAGGATGCTGAGGTGATTCTAGTCTCAAAAACCCCCTCTCTAGCTGAGGGAAAGATTTGCCGGACCTCAAGATTCGCACATATTAAATCCCCAAGGAAAGTTCTCTGCTCTGGGCATCTGTGCCTTGCCAAACTCACCAGCGTGGCCTGACAGCGTACGGCCGGCACAAGAGAGGCTCGACTCAGGCTCTCTCGGCAGCCACAGCAACACTCAAGAGAGCAGCTGAGCAGCAGGGCCCAGGGATCAGCTGTGGACGGGGTCCTGCTGCTCAGGCCCAGCAGCATGTAAACCCAAAGACCCCCCACCACCCACTCCACAGGACACCCCCCCAAGCTTTCACCCATGGCCCTCCAGTGGGCTTCTAAGTTTGGGGGGCAGGGGCGGTTACAGGATTCTCTTATGAACCCCCTGTGGCCCACCTTCTACATGCTCCTGACCCCCCAGGGCCCGGGGATCCACACACAGTGGCATCAGCATTTCTGATTGTGTCCTATGACCCCCCAGTTGGGATTTTTCAGAGTTTCCGGCAGAAGTTGCATGTGGAGACCCATGCAGACTCGGGGCCCCCAGGGTGCCCCATAACCCTGACACGGATCCTTCTGAGGCTGCTGGGGTCAGGATGTGGCTCCCTCCCCGAGTTAGGGCATTGTTCACTGATTTGTTCCAGACCTTTCTGGTTTCAAGGATGCACAGAGCCAAGAAGGTCAGGGTCAGAGATCCCCCCTCAACATCATGTGGCCATGCCCCCACAGTCACAATCCGCATGGGGGCCCGGGGCTGAGCCAGCCCAGAGCATCCCTCATGCCCTGGCCCCTAGACCTGGCCCTGCAGCCAACTGCCAGGTCTCCTGAGTGCCCTACCAGGCTGCAGCCTTCAGCCTTCAAACAACAGTAGCCCCCTGCGCCCAGGCTCTGGCTGTTGCCAGGAGGAATGCAGAGACCTGAAGAGCTGTTCCAGGATCCCGGCGTCCAGCATTTCAAGGAAGGACAGGAGCCCCTTCTGAATCCTGCTCCAAGCCCCCTCGTGCATAATCCGATTCATCCACTAGAGGGCGCCCAGGTGATGGTGACAGCGGCACAGGCCCAGGGCTAGGGAAACGGAGGCAGGCAGGCTGGGGACAGTGAGGTGGAGGCAGCACTCAGAAAGTGCCCCAACTGCCTGGCTACAATGGAAATCTCTGAGAGCCAAATTCAGATCTGGTCAGAGGCGTCTGATTTGGTGTGTATTGGTAGGGGGAGGGGGATCTCTGAATTTCAACAAGTTTTCTCCCTCTAGGCTCCACTCCCAAAATGTTCTGTTGACATTGGACCTGTCCTTCAAGGCCCAGGTCACACGGCACCGCCTCCTCAGGGAAGCTGTTCCTCCCCACACCCCGGTGGATGGCTGTCCCGTACCCCCAGTCTGCCCCATGGCCAAGGCACCACCCCTACTGGCTCACTGGGGTCCTGGCAGAAGCCCTCTGCTCTCCACAGCCCCTAGCACAGCCCCACGTCCACAGCAGCGCTACATCCAGGGATGAGCAGGGAGAATCTGAGACCGAAACCTCTGGGGCCTGCCCGTGCTTGGTGACCTCGGGCAGGTTCCTGCCCCTCTCTGGGCCTGTCTCCTCATCCACAGTGAATAACAGCCAGGGCTGATGGTGCCTGAGTCCCTGTCTAGCTATGACTTAGAGGGGACCATAGACTCCACGAAGGGTCCCTGCTTAATCAGCCACGGTGGGGAGATCACAGTCCTGGAAGTCCTCCAGGGCTTGGCTGGGAAGAGCCCTGTCCACACGGTGTCTACAGAACTTTCCAACGAGACTGCCAGGCACAGCGTGAGACGAATCACGCTTGACCTCAGCAGTGTGTCCATCATGGCCCCACAGAGAACGCCAGTGCCAGACAGAAACCGGCATTTGATCCCAAAACACATTCCAAGCCTGCCTTGCTAGCTAGTTCCCTCCGTCGTCCTAAGAAATCACTAAAGTACGCTAGGCGCAGTGGCTCACGCCTGTAATCCCAGCACTTTGGGAGGCCTAGGCAGGTGGATCACCTGAGGTCAAGAGTTCAAGACCAGCCTGGCCAACATGGCAAAACCCTACTAAAAATACAAAACTATGCTGGGCTTGGTGGCGCACTCCTGTAACCCCAGCTACTCAGGAGGCTGAGGCAGGAGAATCACTTGAACCCAGGAGGCAGAGGTTGCAGTAAGCTGAGATCGTGCCACTACACTCCAGCCTGTGCACTGGAGTGAGACTCCGTCTCAAAAAAAAAAAAAAATCATTAACACAATTTTCACACACTACCCCTCGAGCTATGAGGATGCCCCATCCTACTGACAAGGACCCCAATCCTCAGAGAGGGTAGGCTCCCGGCCCAAGGACACACAGCTGCAAGAGGAAAGCTCACTTCACTTCGCTTCCTCAAATACTTCAATCCCAGGAGCCAGCACATCCAGGAAGCGCGTTTGTCACTTGATGCCTGGCTGCCTCCATCATCCCACCAGTATCTCTGTAGGAACCTACTTCAGGCCAGGCCCTGGACCAGCTGCTAGGGAAGGAGAGGTGGATGAAACAGACTTGGGATCTGCCCTCTGGACGCCCTTGGGGTCACAGGGCAGAGACCTTAGGTGAACGACACCATCCGTGAATACACAGCCACAAACTGTACTGTGAAGGCAGGCTAGGGTTATGGGGTACGTGCAGGGGACCTGCTGAGATTGAGAGGTCTGTTCTCCAGCTCAAGAGCCTCTGGGATTTAGGTAGCTGTCACCATGTGGCAGGTTCTGGCGGGGCGTCCCAAATGGGCCTAGAACCTTCAGGGACTGAGCACACCCAGCCCTAGCCCTCTGTTAACTAGGTCAGCAAAGGGCCTCCAGTTCCACCATCAGGAACCCATTCTCGGCATCCCATCCAATTACTTAGGAATAAATCAAACCTCTGTGGTGAAGCAGTCCTTTCACTGCTGGGATGAATCTGTAGGTGTTTACTGACTCCAGGGAGGAGTCTCTGACACGCCTCAGGCTACAAGGCCCCTGAGGTTTTTGAATTTTGCAGAGATTGTGACACCTGGGAGAGAGCCAGGACCCAACCTATTTGCCTGAAGGTCTGAGTGAGCTGTGAGCAGTACAGAGGTGACCCCAGTGTGGTGGGGACTCTGTCCAGCCAGGCTGGCAGGGAGCAGCTGCAGAGAGAGTCCCACCAGCCTGGGCTCTGCCAGATGCCTGCCAAGGCTGGTGCCCACAGCTGGCCTCCAGGAGGTTGTGTGTGTAGTGAGGTCCGGGCAGCAGCCATGGCCACAGGTAAGCAGGCCTGGGGTTGGGAGGGGCAGGTGCAGGGGACTGTGTTGGGCTATAAAGAAGAGAGGCCAACTCCTTCCCTGGGACCAGCTACAGAGCCTTGGTAGGAGTTTTTCAAACACCAAGGAAGTAAATTGTTTGGAAACTAACAGTTTGGCCAAATGGTTTTCTTTGGGGTTGTTTAAACAAACAGCCAGCCCCACAATGTTGCCGGAAAGTGAAACCTTCCCCTCGCCCGAGCCTCCTCCAGGCGGGTTTCTGACCTCTCCCTTCCTCCTTGCACGCATGCAGGAGAGAAGGGCCACATCCCTTCCACGAGCCAAGCACAGGGCAGGGGCAAGGGCCAGGCAGGGTACAACTTCCTGGTAAGCAGCCTTGTCCTCAAAAAGCAGTCCTAAGGGATGGGCCAGTGTCATGGACATGTCTGTCCCTGCCCACCTCTGCCCCCGACCACATGGACACCCAGAACCTGTGGGGGGCTGCAGTGACACATCGCCGCCAACCAGGTGGCTTCTAACATCAGAAATGTACCCCGCCGCCAAGACCTGCAACCCAGAAGTCAAATGTCAAGACATCTTCAGGGACAGACTCTCTCTGAAGGCGCCAGGGGAGGATCCTTCCTGGCCTCTTCCAGCTTCTGGAGTTGCAGGAAATACCTGGGGTTCCTTGGCTTGTGGCCGCCATCACACCAAGCCCTGCTCTGACTCCATGCAGCCTTCACCCGAGTGTCAGTGTCTGCTCTCCTGCTCTCATGAGGACACCAGCACCGTGGATATAGGCCCCCTACTCCAGGGTGACCTTGTCCTTGCTTGATTACATCTGCCAAGACCCTGTTTCCAAATTAGGTCACAGACACAGGTTCCAGACGTCAGCATATCTCCTTCAGGGACACGACTGGACCCATACCCAGTGGGGAGCGGCGGGTAAGAGGAGCGCTTCAGTGGAAAGCCAGAGGCAAGTGTGCCAGGCAGGGGGGCGGCCTGGGCCACTGCACGGAGGCCAGAGAGAGGGTGGCCCGAACCTATCGCCAGGGCTGATCTGAACGTGGAGGCCCAGCGCCCACCAGCATTGACGTTGCCCCGCCCGCCACGGCTCTCTGCTGAGGCCCCAGTGCGTGCAGGATGCTGGTGCAGCTCCGAGCCCAGCCCTGTCCTCCAGGAAGCCTCAGGCAAACAGCCCGCCGTGCCTGCAGCAGATCCCAACCACAAAAGCAAAGAGACTGCCACCTTCACACAAAAGCCGGGAAGGAAATGCGCTCAAATGTCAATAGTGGTTATCGTAGGACGGGTCCTATCCTTCCTTCCAGCTGTCGGACAGAGGTCAGCAAGCACTCTAGGAAGGGCCAGAGAGCAAATATGTTCGGTGCTGCGGCCTACACAGTCTCCTTCCCATCTCTTCAGCTCTGCCGCCGCTATGGGAAGGCAGCCTGCCTCAGACAACACAGCTGGGAGCAAACTTGACAGACGAACATCTGTTAAAACTCTGCTGGGTGAGCTGTGGCCGGTGGCCCACAAATCCCCAAGCCACACCCCAGCCTCATCTGGGCACTGCCGGGAGCACAGCCTAGCCACCCTCTGGACACGGCCCCGAGAGCCACCAGCCTGGGCACGTGTGGCCCAAGTGGCATGGCGCACGCCACTAAGCCCACTGCCCAAAGGCCCCCAACCAGGAGGGATGTTCGGGCGACAAAAGTCAAAGCAACAGGGGCATGTTCCACCGAGGATGGGGCTGGAGGGGTGGCAGTGAGGGACAGCAGCTTCCAAGGACGGCAGTGGCAACTCCCAAATAAGGCCCCACTCCTGCTGTTTTTAGCTCATTCCACATACTTGGAAAAACATGGCAGAAACCGAAGCCAGCTGCTGCCTCGGTCCTGGGGTGGTGTGGAGGGGCTGGGGAGGCCGGGGGGCCCAGGCTCTGCACTCGACTGCTGGCGATGAGAGTGACTCTGAGCTGCAGAGAGCAGCATTGCAGCCGCCGTGGTCCCACTGAGCCCTGGCCACGCTGGGCAGCAGAGGGCTGCTCACAGGACATACCTGCCTTGTCTCATGGGGGCCACTTCAGGAGGGGCGGGAGAGCCAGGACACAGAGCCCAGGGCCAGCAATCACCCTGCAGCTCCAGGGCCATGTGAATAGTGCCGCCCTGCAGGCACACAGCAGCACAAGGACCCCCACACATCCCTGCCTCTAGGGGGCTGCCTGTGCACCCCTAGGAATGCTACTCCCTGTCCCCTGGGTCCCGGCATGACCACCCTCTCAGCCCCTTACTTGGGGAAGGCACCCGACTGCCTACACCAGGCTGGCTTTCATTTGCTCAAAATCAGGAAAAAGCAGAATTCAAGACATCACAGAAATGTCTTCGCCTCTAACTCCACGAAGCATAAACGGTCAGACACCCAGAAGAGAGTCCCAGGGACCCTTGAGTCTCACCTGAGGCTCTGGCTTCAAACCCCAAGATGTTTCCAGCTGTGCCAGCGCCGCCCCCGACAACTTACTGCACACAGGCCTCCCTTGGGAACTCGCAGATTTGGGCCCCACCTCCCCACCCTGTTCCTTCTCGTGGACTGGGTGGGTTGGGGTGGGGCTAGGGACTCTGGATGTGTCATAAGAGTCTGAGTGGTCCTGACACAGCTGGGCCCTGCCCCCATGCTGGTCTTCGCCCCACAGGAAAGGGAACCACATGCCTGGAGCGCCCAGCACAGCCCCCTCTGTCCTCCCCAGGCTGCCTGCCAGCAGTGTGAGCTGTGCTCCCCATTGCCCCATCAGCCTCCCCAGCTCCTCCTGGCAGCACCCAGCCTTGGAAGCTACCTCTGATTGCAACCGTCGAAGGAACACTCGCTCTCTCAGCACTGACCCAGACGGCCTGCACCATCGCGCTGCTCGGCACGGCCCGCACGGCCATCCTCCAAACCCTGTGTAGTGGGGAGCATAATCACCCCTTTTACCAATGGGGAAACTGAGGCACCGAGAGGTTAAGTCACTTTCACAAGGTCCCAACACAATGACCAAAAACAGAAAGCCAGCCCGCAAGTGGAACTAGGTGCTCCAAGTCCTGGGTCTGCCTGACACCGCATTTCCTCATCACCACAGTCCTCGGCAGGCTCCCAACTACAAACTAAGCCATGTCCTCCATCCTGAATCCTCTCAGCCTAAACGTCACTCCCAATGCCTCCCTCCGGAACAGGCACAAGTCCCACCAGCACACCCTCCTTCGTTATCTGCATTTCTGCCACCCCAGGGCCAGCTCCGGAGCCCTCACCACACGGCCTCTATCCTTCACCCCCGGACACTGGACCTCACCAACCCACAGCCAGGAGATCCGCGTGTGACCCCAGGGCCTCCTCTGCCTGACTCTGAATTCCACTGCCCAACGTGACACCTCGGAAGGCTCCCTGGGCACTGGCAGCCCTCCACGGGCACTGCGCCTTCCGGCAAGCTCTGACATCCGGCTGGTGAGGTGCCCTGCACGAGGCCTCTGCCCACCGGGACCTCAGAGTCGTGCTGTCAGCTACAACAAGCAACAGAATTTCACATTTTCTTCATGTTGCCCCTGTGTGAGCAGCTTCTATCTCCACACGGTTTTCAGTCGAATCGAGGTGAGGTGAGGCGTCTTCACCTCACCTCACCGTCCGCAGCCATGCTGCACAGTTAATTCATGCCCGCCAGGCACACAGCCGCAACACAAACGGGCGCCTGCCGCTTGGAAGGCCAAAGAGGAACAGAGAACAGCTACTGTGCTCAGGTGACAGGACTGTGGTCTTTTAACAAAACGTTTTCCTTTAATGTGATATTTTATGGCAAGGAATAAAACCTGGAGGGCAGGACGTTTGGATACTAACGCCCCAGGCTGCCATGTGGTCTGCTTTGTGAGGTCTGAAGCCCAAGCCCCATTCTGGCCCCACCCACAGATCCGTCTCTGACTCACCAACTTCAATGCCAGGCTCCGCCTGTCCTCCAACCAGAACATGAGTTCCTCATGGACAAAGCCATTTCTCACCCATCTCCATCTCCCTCTGGATTAAGAAATATGGAAAGATCTTCTAGAACCACCTCAAATTTGCAGAGAGCCACCTTGGTGACAAACCCTTGAAATGCTTCTGAGAAGAGTCTAGGTTTCTACTCAACTCTAAAACCTCTAGAAAACTCTATTTCCCCTTTTCCATACCAGCTGCCCCTGGAACACTTCAGCTTCAAAAGGGTCCAGGGCAGGGAGACAGAGAAGCCAGCATCCATGTCCAGCACTGCCCGCTTAATTAACCGGAAGCCCCGTGGGGCCCATCTCCAGGCACCCCTGAGGCCAGGCTGGGGAACCATGTTTACAAAAAAAGTGAATTGAAACGCTCACATCCTCATGCAAAACAAGACTCCCGGTTGCATCCTTCTGTCTCATCGAGGAGCATTGTTCTCTCTTTGACAGAACACCCAAACACAGCATCTGGAGCCAAAGCAGAAAGATTGAGGCTCAGAGTAAACCAGTCCCCGCACTGGCTGCATGTGGATGTTCCCAGCCAGAGTCCCACCCAGGCAGGGCCTCTAAATGACACAAAATGTTTCTCTCCTACATGCCTGTCATGCTCCGACTCAGTTATGTGTAAAAGTGCCTCTCACGGCTGGGGGCAAAAACAGTTTCCACAAGACCAGACAAAGCTGACCCTTGATGGCGGAGTCTCCAGGGAGTGTGGAGCTGCATGCTCAGCCCCTGTGGCCCTGACAGCTCTGGACTGGACAAGCTTCCAACAGGAAGGGCAGGGCGTGCTGCTAGTCCAGCGGTCCAACCTCACAGGTGTCTGTGGTGTCAGCTCCATGCCACAGAACCACCAGGGCTGGGGCCAGAGCCACCAGGCCCCCTGCCAGCCTGCAGGGGCCTCCTTCTCTGAGTAGCCCACCCACCTTCTGTGGGCGCAGGCAGCCTCTTCTAATCACCACAGGGCCTGCCCCAGCTGACCCCCACCCACCCCCTTGCAGGAAAATGAGCCCTGAGGACTCCCCGGGGCTGCTTTGGGCCTGGACATGGAGACTGGGAGTGACATTTGCAGAAGGAGCGCAATGCCCTTGAAGGGCTCAGCCACAGGCAGCCAGTCCCCAGGGCTCAGAAGACCCAGCTGTCAGAACCCTGGGAGCCAGCAAAGAGCCAGCGGTTCCACCTAAGTCTATGGCCCCTGCCTCTACTGGTTGGAAAAGAAATCAACACCCCCTTACTGGCTCCCAATGACAGCCCACTCCCCCGGGTGTGGGAGGACTCTGGGACAATGCAGGCAAATCTGGACCCTGAGCGAACCTGCCCCGGCTCTCACGGGCCTGGCACCAGCCACAGCACCTAAGGCGCTGGTCATGGTGACAGCATGACGGTAATAAGTGCATGGACAGTGGACGTGGCAGGTGAACACTGGGCACCCACTGCATGCCAGGCACCGTCCACTCCTGGATGAGCAATGGCCCTTTGCAAGCCAGGGTAGCCTGGGCAAGTTATTTGAGGGTCTCCAGGCTTGTCCAGCTGTGCAACTTCACTGAGCCATGAGTCTGGGGTTTTATCAGGGCCCACACCCGTTCCTGGAACTCTGAGCCACACAGGGACCCTTAACAAAAGCTCCCTGTGCAACATGTTCTCCTGCCTCAGTCTCCTGAGTAGCTGGGATCACAGGCACGCCACTACCGCCTGGCTAATTTTTGTATTTTTAGTAGAGACAGGGTTTCACCATGTTGGCCACCATGTTGGCCAGGCTGGTCTTGAACTCCTGACCTCAAATGATCCTTCCCCTCTTGGGGCTAGGCGTCGACTGCACGATCTGCCTTTTGTGGGGGTTGTGTCTATCCCCCACTCCTTCGACAAATGTCCATCCCAGCCTTGCTTTGACACCCCAAGAGCAGAGATGGTGACCACACCTGCTTCCAGCATGCCCATTGCTCTCCCAGGGCAGACATCCTCAACAGACGCAACACAGCGTTTAGGCAGACATCACCAATCGATGGTGGCAACAGACACCAGGCCCTGCTCCCTCTAACTCCAGGGCCCTGCCCACCCCCAAACCACAGCAGTGAGACTCAGAAATGGCAAAAACACAAAGAGAAAAGAAACGCCCCATAGCGGGAGGACAGCTAAAAGACATGTCTTGATAAGATATCCTTCAGGCACTAGGCCGGGCGCAGTGGCTCATGCCTGTGATCCCAGCACTTTGGGAGGCTGAGGTAGGCGGATCACCTGAGGTTAGGAGTTCAGGACCAGCCTAGCCAACATGGTAAAACCCCATCTCTACTAAACATACAAAAATTAGCTGGGTGTGGTAGCGGGCTGAGGCAGGAGAATCACTTGAACCTGGGAGGTGGAAGCTGCTGGGAGCCACTGCACTCCAGCACGGGCGACAGAGCAAGATTCCGTCTCCAACTCAAAAAAAAAAAAAAAAAATTCTTCGGACACTAAAACTCATGTCTTTGATACATATTTACCTCCTGCAATCGCAAATGTTTCTGCAATGCATAAGTGAAATAAATACCAGGAAGCCTTATGGTTCGATCACACGCACAGACACACAGTCACATACAGAAAAAATGCAGGCAGGGCTGGGGAACAAAAAAACAAAAGAGAAGATAAAATGTGGAGACAGACACACCAAGAGAGTAAGAGACCACCTCCGGACCTCCGTTTAGCTTCTCAAACACACAGAGCAGGACCCGTTACAGAATTTGTGCAGACCACTGCAAAATGGAAGTCCAGAGAGCCCCTTACTCAAAAGGTAGGAATTTCAGGTCAACAACAACAGAGTTCACCTCATGTAACTACACAGGTCGCACAGCCCATGAAGTCGGTCCCGACACCAACATGCTCCTGCCTCAGAGCCACCACATGTGCTGTTCCTTCTTGCCTTTCCCTCTTTTAGTCCTTCAGATCTCAGGCCTCCTGGGAGAGACCTCTGACCTGCCAGCTCAGGTGGCCACACCTGAGTACAGGAGTCTCCAGCTCAGCCCCTGCTGTGTCCCGTACCAGATCCAGGTCTGTCCTGACTATGTCCATCTGCGTGCCGGCATGCTTCCTGACATGGCCCCCATCACACGTGCGCCTCAGGGCAGGGGAACAGGCCCATCTCATTAACTGCTTTCTTCTCGGATATTTTATGAAATATTTGTGAATATTGGGGAACGTATATGCTCCACCTTTTTCAGATTGGCCAGGATGAGCTGCCTGTTTGTTGTTGTTGGTTTTTTTTTTTTTTTTTTTTTTTGAGACAGGGTCTCATTCTGTCTCCCAGGCTGGAGTACAGTGGCACGATCTCAGCTCACTGCAACCTCTGCCTCCCAGGCTCAAGCAATTCTCCTGCCTCAGTCTCCCAAGTAGCTGGGATTATAGGCCCGCATCACTACTGCCAGGCTAACTTTTGTATTTTTAGTAGAGACAGGGTTTCACCATGTTGGCCAGGCTGGTCTTGAACTCCGGACCTCAAATGATCCACCCGCCTCGACCTCCCAAATTGTTGGGATTACAGGCGTGAGCCACCGCGCCTGGCCAAGCTGTCTGTTTTAAACCCATGCCACGTTCCAGTGATGCTCTCTCCCCTCCATCCCCCGGGCCTGACTGTGGTGGCCACTCCCTGCCATCATGAGCCCCTATGTCCTCACTCTTTCCCTTTCCAACAGGACTTTGACCGACACACTGCTGAACGCAGGGTCCAGCTCCGGCACTGAGTTCAGCCTCTTCTCACCAACAGACAGACAGGAAGGAGAGAAAACAAACTCTGAGAAGGCCAAGGTTCCCAGGCAGCCGGCAGGCCAAGCATCCTTCTCCGCTAAGGCTTGTGTGGCCGAGGCACCCCTTCCTCCGGGGAGCGGGCAGGGTCCTGAGGCAGTCTGCAAGGGAGACCAGGGCTTTGCTCCACCAGGGCCCAGGCATGGGGCAGCAGCAAACTCATGCCTCTGGGAGCCAGACCCCACCTGCTAGAACTTACTATGCCACCTGCTAGAACCTACCATGCTACCTGCTAGAACCTACTATGCCACCTGCTATGGGCAACCCCAGGCCGGTGACTTGCCCTCAGCCTCCTCAGTAAATGAGGGGCTGATCCAACCTGGTCAAGCTACTTCTCCCCATCAAGGGTCTATAATCCACCCTTAACCTGCTTGGTCCAAACCCCTGGTGTCACTGGGTCACTCACGAGGCAGCTCATCTGGACTCCTCCCCTGGTTCCAGTTTCTCTCTCAACATTGCCTTTGAGGCTGAGGTGAAAGGTAAAAGCGAAGGGCCCCAGAGGCAACGGAGGAGCGGGTGTCCAAAACACTCACCCTTTCTAATGCACGACTCCCTCGTGGACTCACTTGTGCCATCTCCCCCACCCACCCAGCCCCAGAGCCCAGGGTGTGAGCACCAGGGGCCCGGGATTCTGTCTGCACTGCGGGATCCCCAGTGCCTCGGAGCAATATCAGCACGCGGCAAGTGCTCGACAAACGCCTGCTGAACGAGCAAATGGATGGACGACCGAATGAATGAGCAAACAGATGAATGAATGGGGTGCTGTCCAGAACCATGAGGACTAGGCTGCCTGAGACCCCATTTCTCAAATTCTCCCTCTCACCACTTGGGAAAACAAGACGCTTGGTGGAGGAGAATCTCCAACTGTCCCCTGCAGTAGCTGGTGCAGCGGACAGACCCTTTGATGAAACAGCCATGTCTTCATTAAAGATGCTCTGCTCTCAGAAAGAGAAAGACACGAACGTGGAAAGTCCTCACCTGCCAGGGAAAGACCCCTGCCAGGGAGCAGAGAAAAGATGCACCCACCACGGACGCCACGACCACACACACTCTCCCTGGCCGCTGCACACAAATACAAACCCTAACTGGCAAGAGCAGAGGGACCAGGAAACTGTCCCTAGAGTCAGGAACCCCATGTGCTCAGACAGCAGTGTAAGCAAGATTTCTCCACCCACTGGATGCCAGGAGAGTCCTCCTAGGGGGCCCCTACACCGAGACTCTGCCCCCCTCTTAGGACTGTCCCTGAGTTGGAAGCCAGCCCACTTGGAAGCCCCCTGCCCTCCCAAGTGGAACACTGGCACAGGAAGCAGGCCCTGTCCCCACCACCTTCTGCAAGCTGGGCCCCATCATGCTACAGAAACGGGGAGACCTGGTCTCAGGGATGGCGCTTTCCTGACATCTCTTGTTACCCCCTCGCTCACCAGGCCCTAGGGTCAGCCCCAGAGGCCAAACCAGCTACCCCAGGCCCAGGAGCATCCCCGAAGGCGAGCTGCATCCTGAAAGTGTGTGATTTCCCGAAAGGCCCACCCCGAACCTGACACCTGGAAAGAAAGATCCTCAGCCGGTGCCGCAGAGGAGAAGAGCCATGCCTCATTGCAACACAGTCCTGGGGAGCACCAAGTGCCTGAGGACCAAGGCGGAGGGTAAAAAAGTGGGAAAACATCTAGAGCAAAAAACAAAAACAAAACAGGATTGACCTCCTAGGCTCAAGAGATCCTCCCAACTCAGCTTCCTGAGCAGCTGGGACCACAGACTTGAATCACCACATTCGCCAAGTGGATCATTTTGAACGGGTTGGCCGACGCTCCTTCTGGGGCACCCCCGCTGGCTGCAGCCCATTGCTGCCAGGCCCCGCCCCGTCCCACTGCCTCACTGGCCTCACATGCCCTGCCGTTGTCCTGCAGCTGCACACCCATGGGGCAGGCGCACATGTAGAAAGCCTCCCTTAGGGACAGCAGACACAGGTGGGAGCAGCCACCATTGTCCTCCTCACAGCGAGTGTGGACTGGGAAAACCAGGACAGAGTGAGAGAAGGTTCCAGAAAAGGACCATCACTTATTTCTGAATCAGTCGCATCCTGCCTCGTCTCCTGTGACAGCCCCTAGTGTGTCCCTCTGCCCAAACGCCAGCCTCAAGTGGCATCAGGGACCTCCCCGCAGGCACCACTCCACCTACCTCATCGCTGGCCCCCTCCACATTGGGCCCTCAGCCTGGCCAGACGGTCTGCAATTTCCCCAAAACCAGCCGTGACCTTCCTGGCCACCCTCACACCCAGATGTGACCTGCCCATGGAGTGGCATCCTCACCACCTGCTCCCTCCCACCAAGCTCCTATGATTAGAAAACACTCCCCAGCTCCTCGAGGCCCATAAGGACACCCCTTTGCAAGGCTGCCCCCCACACTAAAATGGCAGGAGTCAAGACCTGCCTGCATGGTAGTGATGGCAACCCCAGAGACAGTGGGCTCCTGGGCAAAAGGCCTGTTTTGTCTTTGCAGCTTCCACAGGATCACTGTCCCTCTTGCCAGGATGGCCAAGCTTGTCACTCTCCCAAGCCCTTCTATGACCAACAGCAATTGAATGGAACTCAATAATGCTTCCAGCACCTCATTCTAACCAGGGGAAAGCTGGGGTGTAGCAGCCCCAAAATACGGAGTTAACTGGAACAACAAACAAACCAAAATGAACCTCCCCCTCCCTCACACTGCCCCAAGTGTAGATGGGTTTTGTGACCATGACTTTCTCAACAGGAAACAGCTCCAGAGAGCCCCACCCTCCTGTGTCCTGCTCTGTGAACAGCTGCCACCCGAGTCCCAAAGTCCTAACCTTCCGTAATGACTTAGCCAGAAATCTCCATCCCTGGTCCCTGTGGGGGTGGGCCACTGTCCCCAGAGCCACAGCCCCACTGTCACAGAAGCTGGTGCATTTCCCCATCAGGGACTCTGTCCCAACCCTGCGTGGCCCCCAGGCTGAGAACTGCTGACTTTGAGCAGGTTATTCATTGATAAATATGCAACTTGCAGGGCCAAGCATGGTGGCTCACATCTGTGCCCCAGCACTTTGGGAGGTCAAGGTGTGAGGATCACTGGAACCCAGGAGTTTGAGACCAGCCTGGGCAATGCGGCAAGATCTTGTCTCTGTTAAAAATACATATACATATATATCTATCTTAGTATGCATATATATATATATATATATATATATATATATATATATATATATATACATGCAACTTCTTCTGGGCCTTGAAAATGAGGCGACCTCCCTTGGGAATCCCCTTGCCACTGCTGAGCCCTAGAACAGCCCACACAAGCCCTGCAGAGGGGTCCTCTGCAGACCCGTGCCCCCTGGCCAGCCACGCACTCTGCACACACCTCCCTCCATTGCAGCAGGCACCCCTTAGAGAGGGGGCCCCCCAGAGCATGGAGTTTTGCAGGGAGGGGCCGCCCACCTCCCACCCCACCCACCATGCCCCCACATCCCCATGCCCCCACATCCCCACGCCCCAGCCGGCACTCACAGAAAGGCTGCTGCTCCTGGCTCAGCACCTGGATATCCATGCTGAGTAGAGGGCGCTCAAGATCTCGTTCCTCTTCCCCGCAGTGTTCCTGTTGCAGGCATGGATGGAGCACGTCAGCCAGTCCATCCAGTGCAGAGTGTCCCCGGAGAGTGTCAGGGTGAAGGGGTGCGTCAGGCTGCCCTTCACCACCTTCTGCCTGCAGTCAGGGAGGCGGGGTAGAGAGCCATCAGGAGGGTCCCCCAACAGTCATTGCTGCTGACGCATTTACTTTCTTTTTTTTTTTTTGAGATGGAGTCTTGGTCTGTCGCCCAGGCTGGAGTGCAGTAATGCAATCTCAGCTCACTGCAAGCTCCACCTCCCGGGTTCAAGCAATTCTCTTGCCTCAGCCTCCCGAGTAGCTGGGATTACAGATGCCCACCACCATGCCCAGCTGATTTTTGTATTTTTAGTAGAGACAGTGTTTCATCATGTTGGCCAGGCTGGTCTCAAACTCCTGACCTCAGGTGATCCGCCTGCCTCAGCCTCTCAAAGTGCTGGGATTACAGGCATGTGCCACCACTCCCGGCCTCCCATTTACTTTCAACCAGACAAGTGAGGCCAGGTCAAGAGCCCCAGGAGTTGGCGCCCTCGTACATCTCTCCTGGCGTGCACAGGGCGCCTCCCAAACCCAGTCTGTGACAGTGACACATGGAGTCCCCCAGGTCAAGTGGCAAAGTCTCCCCCAGGGAAGAAAGGAGGAAGCCCCACCTGGTGAAAAGGACACCTCTCCTGCCCAAGGCTTAAACCTCTGAATACAAATCAGGCCACGTGCACTTGCTCCTTCTTACAATGCTCATAATTTATATTTTCAGAGTAAATTAAACGTGGCATCAACACGAGAAACAGCTATTCTTTTCTAGGTGCCTACAGTGCCCAGCAAAGGAGGACTCGGGTATAATGAGATTATGGACACTGGTAACAGGATCGTAATGTGACATGGTCAGTAATGTGTAGTTTTATTTGCTTAATGACCCTCTCCCCGTGACAGGCTCCCTGAGGGTGGGCCTGGGGGCAGATGGTCCCTGCCACATCCCCAGCCCTCAGCACAGCTGCCAGGAGAAGGTGACGCTCATGAAGTGGCACAGGGGAGATGGAAGCTGTGGGCTTGTGCTCTGCAGATCCACCACCTCTTTTGTTCGTTTTTGTTGATGCTGTTTTTAAGAAAATTATTGAAGTAAAATTCACAGGACATAACATTTATCGCTGTTTTTTTTTTTTTTTTTTTTTTGAGATAGGGTCTCAGTCTGTCACCCAGGTTGGAGTACAGTGGGGTGATCTCAGCTCCCTGCTCTCTGCCTCCCAGGTTCAACTGATTCTCCCACCTCAGCCTCCAGAGCAGCTGGGACCACAGGCATGCACCACTATGCCCAGCTAATTTTTGGTGGGTATTTTTTGGTAGAGACGGGGTTTCACCATGTTGCCCAGGCTGGTCTCGAACTCCTGAGCTCAGGCGATCCACCCGCCTCGGCCTCCCAAAGTGCTGGGATTACAGGCATGAGCCACCGTGCCCAGCGTAAGTTTACCACTTTAAAGTGAGTAATTCAGAGCTATCTAGCACATTTGCAAGGCTGTGCAACCTCCACTTCTGTCTAGTTCCAAAGCCCTTCCATTGCCCCACAGGAAAACCCCACGCCCACCAACAGTCACTCCCCGGCCCACACCCCCAGCGCCGGCAAACACTGATCTGCTTTCGACAGCTCTGTCTAACACATTCTAAACATTTCACATAAATGGAATCACAACATGCAGCCTTTGATGTCTGGCTTCTTTGACTCAGCACCATGTTTTTTGAGGTTCATCCATGCTGTACGTGTTAGTGCTTCATTCTGTTCTAGGGGTGAACCATATTCCAATGCACAGATAGAACAGTCTGTGCATCCATTCACCTGCTGGGAACCTCTGGGTCGTTTCCACCTTCGGCTGTTGTGCACAGTGCTGCTATAGACATTCCTGTCCGTTCACATTTTGTGTGAATACCTGTTTCAATTCTTACAGTATATAGTTAGGAGCGGAATTGCTGGGTCATACGTAAATCAATGTTTACATCCTAAGGAATCACCAAACTGTTTTCCACAATGTTGCCTTTTTTGTCTGTTTGTTTGTTTTCTGAGACAGGGTCTTGCTCTGTCACCCAGGCTGGAGTGCAGTGGCATGATCACGGCTCACTGCAGCCTTGATCACCTAAGCTCAATCAATCCTCCTGCCTCAGCCTCCTGAGTAGCTGGGAACACAGGTGTGCACCACCATGGCCAGCTAATTTTTTAATTTTAATTTTTTATTTATTTATTTTTTTGAGATGGAGTTTTGCTCTTGTCACCCAGGCTGGAGTGCAATGGTGCGACCTCAGCTCACTGCAATCTTCATCTCCCAGGTTCAAGCAGTTCTCCTGCCTCAACCTCCTGAGTAGCTGGGATTACAGGTGCCCACCACCACACCCAGCTAATTTTTGTATTTTTAGTAGCAGCAGGGTTTCACCATGTTGGCCAGGCTTGTCTTGAACTCCTGACCCTCAGGTGATCCACCCACCTCAGCCTCTCAAACTGCTGGGATTACAGGCATAAGCCACTGCACCCGGCCCAATTTTTATTTTTAGTAGATGGGCTCTCACTTTGTTGCCAGGTTGGTCTTGAACTCCTGGGCTCATATGATCCTCTCACCTCAGCCTTCCAAAGCCTGGGATTATAGGTGTGAACCACTGTGCCTGGCCATGTTGCCATTTTTTGATGAGAAAAGCCAGAGGCCCATCACTCCCGGTTGCTTTCCGGGCCATGCTCTGCCTCAACCAGAAGCACTAAGGGAAGGTCAGCCTTGGCCCTTGCCCGAGCCACAGTCACAGATAAAGGGGCCTACACAAGTCTGTGCGGCTTCAGAGCTTGTCCCCCCGCACATGATGGTTCCACGTGAGTAGCCCTGGGTGCATTCATGAAGAGAAATGGCTGCTGCAGAGGCAGAAGAATCCCAGGGGGAGGCAGGTAGGAGAGAAGCTGAGAACAGACCCTGGGGCTAGAGACCCTACATTCCAACCCTGGCTGTGACTCGCTGTGTGGCTTTGGGCAAATTCACATGCCTGCCTCTCTGTGCACAGGGCATCATAATAGCAAACACAGGCCGGGTGCAGTGGCTCGCACCTGTAATCCCAGTGCTTTGAGAGGCCAAAGCGGATACATGGCTTGAGCTAAGGAGTTTGAGGCCAGCCTGGGCAACATGGTGAAACCCCATCTCTACAAAAAAATACCAAAAAAATTAGCCACGCTTGGTGGTGCATGCCTGTGGTCTCAGCTACTTAGGAGGCTGAGGTGGGAGGACCACTTGAGCCTAAGAAGTCAAGGCTGCGGCCAGGCCTGGTGGCTCATGCCCGTAATCCCAGCACTTTGGGAGGTTGAGGTGGGAGGATCACTTGAGGTCAGGAGTTCGAGACCAGCCTGGCCAACATGGTGAAACCCCGTCTCTACTAAAAAAATACAAAAATCCTGTAATCCCAGCTACTTGGGAGGCTGAGGCAGGAGAATCGCTGGAACCCAGGAGGTGGAGGTTGTGGTGAGCTGAGATTGTGCCACTGTACTCCAGCCTGCAGGACAGAGCAAGACTGCATCTCAAACAAAACCAACCAAACAAAAAAAGAGGTCACAGCTGCAGTGAACTAAGATCATGCCAATGCAGTCCCGCCTCGGTGACAAAGTGAGACCCTGCCTCAAAAAAATATAAATATAACATAACAGCAAACATTTCATAGAGCTGGTGTGAGCATTAAATGAACTGATAAATGTCCCTGGAAAACAGTAAATTGCTGCGCCACCACCATTAGCATGTTTCAATTGCCATCACCCTCACTGTCTCCTGTTACCATCCTTTGACCAGGGCACTCCCAGCTGCAGCCTTTCTATCCTCTAATCCACCCTTCATAACTGTAAGATCATTCAGCTCCCAAGAACCACAGTCTACAGGGTAGCCACATTTCCAAATCTCAAACCAGACCCAGCCAGTCTGCACTTCCAGGACAACGGGATATTTTCAAACCAGCCCAAAAGAGATGTGTGGCTCAGCATAAGAGGAACAGGAGAAACCGAGGCCTCTTGCCATGAGAATGAGCTTGGAAGTGGATCTCCCAGCCTCACTCAAACGTTCAGATGACTAAGGCCCCAGCCAGGAGCTTGAATGTGTCCTCAGATCACACCCTGAGCCAGAACCACCCAGCTAATCCACTCCTCATTGCTGACCCCCTCCCCCCCCGTAAAAAACCTGTTTGCTGTTTCAGGCTGCTAAGTTGTGGGCTGTTTTGTTACACAGCAATGGATAACTAACACATGAGGCCTGGCGAGCACAGAGCAAAGCTGCCCAGGCCCTCAAGTCTGTTCATGTGGGTGTTGGCCTGTGTTTGCAGAAATCCAGCCACTGGGTCCTCCCATGCAGTCACTACTGCTCTTTGCATCGACACCCGCCACACCCCCTGCCTAGGCCAGGAGCTCCACTAGTGCAGGAATGGGGTGTGCCATCCCAGGAGGATCCCTGACACCTGGCACAGAGCCAGCAGCAGGCAGTACTTGGTCAGTGAATAAATTGCCCTTCACCTGTACATGGAGGGGATGTTTTTCTAAGGTGTAATTAAGTATGGGGCTGTGAAGCTATGCTGACCAGAAGGCTCTAAAAGCAATTACCCACCAAGGGGAAAACCTTCCTACTCATTCATTTGGCCCACTTTATTGAGGACTATGTGGAAGGCCCCCTGGTGAGACTGGGGAATGCAGCAATAACTGAGACAGCTTCCGGCTGCTGCCCTCAGGATGCCTGAGCTGGGGTAGGGCCAGGGTGGGGGTGGTGGTGTGACAGGGTTATTGTTCACAACCCCCTCGGGCCACAAGCCCTCCCCAACAATTCCAAAATCCAAGACACTCTGGAGACGGAAAGCTTTTGTTGCTCATTTGGCGATAAAACCTCATTTGGTGCATGGGCCGGGGGCAGTGGCTCACGCCTGCAATCCCAGCACTCTGGGATCCGAGGGGGAGGATCGCTTGAGTTTAGGAGTTTTGTGACCAGCCTGAGCAACATGTGAGACCCCCATCTCTACCAAAAATACGAACATTAGCTGGGTGTGGTGGTGCACTCCTGTAGTTCCAGCTACTTGGGAGGCTGAGGTGGGAGAATCGCTTGAGCCTGGGAGGTGAAGGCTGCAGTGAGCTGAGACGATGCCATTGCACTCCAGCCTGAGTGAAACAGTGAGACTCTGCCTCAAAAAAACAAAATAATGAAAAAGAAAACAACAACTGTGCATAGGTATGGGCTACAGACAGTCTTTTCTGCCCTACTTAGAATGAACATGCCACATTTGCTATAGAAATATACAGGTGCTGGGGCAAGTGTCACCCAGCCCCTGACACTGTTTCAAGTTCTGAGAAGTCATGCATTTCTCAGGTCCCCAGAGTTTCAGAGAAGAGTCTGTTGGCCTGAGTTAAGAAGGAACGCCTTCAAAAGCACTGGGGACACCTGGGGGCAAAGGGGAAGGGGGTGCCCCGGGACTGGGCGGGTACCTACCGGAACGAGCCGTCCAGGTTGGCACGGTGGATGAAGCCGAGCTTAGTGTCAGCCCAGTAGAGCTTCTTCTCCCCCAGGTCGATGGTCAGTCTATTGGGCCAGTAAATGTCCAAGTCCACAATGATCTTCTGGGTGCTGTCGTCCATCCCCACCTGCTCGATCCAGGGCGTCTCACCCCAATCTGCCCAGTACATGTACCTGTGACGGGGGCAGGGCAAGAGGAGAAGCAGCTAACACAGATCTGTTTTTTTGTTTTTGTCCACACAGATGCAGACATGAAACAATAGACAGTGAACTTGCCCTAAAATCTCACCCATCAGAAGTAACCAACAGGTAAGGTTTCAGGTATTCCTGCCTTAAATTGGGCAATCAAAATATACTATTTCCAACTTGTTCTCAGTTAACAGTAAATTCTGGGCACCTTCCCTTCTCGTGAATAGAAAGATTCCCTGTTCTTTTGATGACTGCATAGTGCACTGTGCTGTAAGTTCTTTAAATAACTTCGGGTTATTTCTGATTTTTTTGCTACCATGAAAATGCTGTAAATGAACCTCTAAAAGGCAATTCAAAACATGCAGGATAGAGTATTATTTAGTGCTAAAAAGAAATGACCTATTGGCTGGGTGGGGTGGCACACGCCTGTTATCCCAGCACTCTGGGGGGCCGAGGCGGGCGGATCACGAGGTCAGGATATCGAGACCATCCTCGCTAACACGGTGAAACCCCATCTCTACTAAAAATACAAAAAATTAGCTGGGTTTGGTGGCGGGCACCTGTTATCCCAGCTACTCGGGAGGCTGAGGCAGGAGAATCATTTGAACCCAGGAAGAGGAGGTTGCAGTGAGTGGAGATCGCACCATTGCTCTCCAGCCTGGGCGACAGAGTGAGCCTCCGTCTCAAAAAAAAAAAAAGAAAAGAAAAAGAAAAAAGAAAAGAAAGAAGGAAAAGAAATGATCTATCAAGCCATGAAAAGACATGGAGGAAACTTAAATGCATATTAGTAGGTGAGAGAGCCAATGTGAAAAGGCTACATACTGTATGAGTCCAACTCTATGACATTCTGGAAAAAGCAAATAAGACAGTAAAGCGTCAGTGGCTGCCAGGGGTTTGAGGAGAGGAGAGGGATGAATGAGTGGTGCACAGAAAATCAGGGCAGTGGAACTATCCTGTATGACACGTAACGGTGGGTATATGTCCTTATTCATCTGTCTAAACCCAAGTGCCAAACACCTCCCAACCAAGTACCGATTACCTCCCAAGCACCTAGCACCTCCCAGCTGAGCATCATGCACCTCCCAACAGCACACCTAGCACACCGAGGCACAGAGCAGCACCATGCCATCCTTGTCTCGTCTTTCTATCGAACCCACATGCAGAGTGCCTGCAAGTCAAGCTGGCTTTCCCTTCAGAACAGATCCCGTATCTTGCCACTTGTCACCCCCAGAAGTGAGGGGTCCCCGCTGCTGCCTTCTGTTGCAAGGATCCCGGTAATAACTGTGGACAGGGCTCCTGCCCCCATGCCAACCACCTCACATACCTGCTCACATAGGCACATACATGTGCACAGCTCTTGCTCCAACCAGCAGGGGATGCCCTCCAGCACGAGTCAGACGTGGCACCTCCTCTGCTCAAGACCAATTCGTCCTCTCCCCACACCTTGGGCCCTGTTCCCCTACATTCTGCTGCAGCCCCTCAAATAAGCCCCACCCCAAACTAGCCCAGGGCCTTTGCACTGGCTGATCCCTCTGCCTGGACCGCACTTTCCCCAGATAGCCACATGGTTCTCAGCCTCATCTGCTTCCAGTCTCGGCTCAAAAGTCACCAAGAGGCATTCCCGGCACCTGAGCTCCGATGGAAGCCCCTCGCCACAGCCTCCAGGCACTGCTTTATCCCCCCACGCACACGTCCCTCTTGAATACTATTTATTTACCATCTCCTCCCACCCACTGAAAGGGCCAGAGACTGGGCTATACCAGCTGTGTGGGGTGCACAAGGGCTCACAAATGTGGCTGGATGCCTGGTTGGGAGGTGAGGGAGCTGCAGGGACCCATGCTGGGAGGGAAGGCGAGGATGGGAGGAGCACAGGTCCCAGCGACACGATGACCGCGGCAGCCGCTGGTAAGCGACCGCAGGCCGGCCCTGGGAGAGGGCTCCCAGCAGGCTGCTATCTTCGGCCTCTCCCACTGCTGCAGATGCCCCCTCCTAGCCAGAGAGACACCAGCTGACCCTTCCAGAAAGAAGGTCAGTAACCCCACAGCTCCTGGAGCCACAGGGCAGAGGGAGAGGGCTGAGAGGGTCACGGTTCACCAGGCAGAACAGAGGCCACCCGGGAGGTCAGCTGGCTCCCAGGCAGCTGCGGGTGAACAGCCCACTCAGAGGGCAACAAGGGCATGAGAGGGGCTCCAGGGATGAGTGGCTGCCCAGCATGGCACCCCTGGGAGGCCGGGGGCACTTCTCAGGTGGTGAGAACATGAGGCTGCTCTGGCCTGACCTCAGGGACTCAAAATACTTGGGCGATACATTCTACCGCATCCCACCCCTGCAGGTACCCCGTACTTACACACACACTGGTTCAGATGCAGACACTCTTGCGCACATACCCACTCACATGGGCACATACATGTGCACACATAATCACATGCACACACGCATACAAATATCCGCTCACATGCACACACGCAGGCGTGCGCACGCACACACAGGCTCACATCCTCCCACTCCCACACTCAGTTGCTCAGACACACACACACCTGGCTCTCACACAAACCCGCCGGGCTCTGAAACGCTCCAGCCCTTCCTGTGCTTGTCAGAAGCCAGTCGAGGGCTTCCTAAGTCGCCGCACAGAGCAAAGAGGTGAACTCAGCCACCATGGCACTCTGCTTCCCGAGCTCCCAAACACCGGCCTTGGTGAGGACAGACCCTCACCCCGCACTCTCATTCCCACTACCCTGGGCAGGCCCAGATGAGGGGCATCTGCAGGGTCTGGCAACCAACCCCTCCCAGCCTGGCTCCTGCAGCCAGCGCCGTGGGAGTCGGGGGAGGTGACTGCGCAGGGCAACAGCAAGTTGGTGGCCCCAGGACTAGGGCCCAGGGGTCTTCAGTCCTACTCCAGAGCTTGGGCAGTATCCCACAGGGCATGGCCAAGGGAAGGGCTTCCAGAGCCCTGACTTCAGGGAGGAGGGCGGGTGGGCTCCTGTGGCAGACCTGAGTGCCCAGCCGCCCACTTCTGGGACTTTCTAACTTAGAAGATCTAGGTCAGGCTGGGTGCAGTGGCTCACACTTGTAATCTCAGCACTTTGGGAGGCCGAGGCCGGTGGATCATTTGAGGTTAGGAGTTTGAGACCAGCCTGGCCAACATGGTGAAACCCCATCTCTACTAAAAATATAAAAATTAGCCAGGCATGGTGGCAGGCACCTGTAATGCCAGCTACTCCAGAGGCTGAAACAGGAGAATCCCTTGAACCGGGGAAATGGAGGTTGCAGTGAGCTAAGATCGCGCCACTGCACTCCAGTCTGGGTGACAGAACGAAGCTCCGTCTCAAAAAATTAGCCGGGCGCAGTGGTGGGCGCCTGTAATCCCAGCTACTTGGGAGGCTGAGCAGGAGAATCACTTGAACCCCGGAGGCGGAGGTTGCAGTGAGCCGAGATGGTGCCACTGCGCTCCAGCTTGCATGACAGAAGGGAGACTCTGCCTCAAAAAAAAAAAAAAAAAAAAAAAAAGCCCAGGCATGGTGTCTCACACCTGTAATGCCAACACTTTGGGAGGCCAAGGCGAGTGGATCACCTGAGGTCAGGAGTTTGAAAGCAGCCTGGGCAACATGGTGAAACCCCGTCTCTACTAAAAATACAAAAATTAGCCAGGTGTGGTGGCACATGCCTGTAATCCCAGCTACTCGGGAGGCTGAGGCAGGAGAATCACTTGAACCTCGGAGGCAGAGGCTGCTGTGAGCCAAGATCACACCACTACACTCTAGCCTAGGCGACAGAGCAGGACTCTGTCCCAAACCAACTTGGATTATGAAAAGCTTTTCTTAGGATCCCAAGAGTGGAGGAGCTCAGGGGCAGACAAAACGGAGGCTGGCTGCAGAAGGTGGAGAGTGGGACCTTCGGGGGTAGGTGGGGAGAGAGAAAGCCTGGAGCTGCACCCCCAAGGTCTGTGCATGTCACATGCTGCAGAATAACACCACTTCTTCCAGCTTGGCCCCCACCTGCCCTCTCCCAGCCCAGCCACCCAGACAGCACCCCACTCCCCACACACACCTTACATCTCCCCACCTCACACTCACCAGCTCAGGCTCCCAATGCAAACTGGAACCTGCCCTTGGCCTCTCAGCTCAGCCACCCCCATTCCTGTTGGCCCCTGGCCCCCCATCCAACTCTCTCTCATCTTAACACACACATTCACACACTCAAACTCACATACACACACACACACATACATACACACACACACACACACACACACACACACACACACACACACAGCCCGGAGGAAAACCATAATTAACTGAAGTCCAGGCAAGTTTCCCGAGCAGGGACCACATTTCAAAGGTGAGGGAAGCAGGCGAACAGGAAACATACTGGGGGCACGCTTGGGGGTGAAGCAGGAAATAAGAAATCACTCGCAAAAGATAAAAAGAAAAGAGGTAGCTGGTTTTAGACACCTCTGAGCACACAGAACAGGACAGGTGCCTCCTGGTCTTCACTCAACAGGGAGATGGGCCAGACAGGTCCCTGGTGCTCCACTGCAGAGCTGGGGGCCATGGCCCTGACACCAAGGCCCTGGGGCAGGCGGGGAGGCAGCTGTTCTCCTGCCTGTGCTCTGGGCACGGCCCAGCCCCACAAGGGAACTGGCCCAGGGCTCTGCCTGGCTACTCTGGGAAGTCCTGGGAGACAAGCAAAGGACTTGCTGGGTCACTCCAAATGGCCCAGATGTGTTGGTGACATCAGGTATCAGGTTAGGCACAACTCCGCTTACCCGGCCTCATCTGTAACCTGCCCTCTCTTCCCAACCAGTAAAGGATGCCTAGGTAGAGGGGGACAAGGCCTGGAGCATAATTACCATTATAAAGGCTCTGAGAAGTCCTGCAGTGAGGAAACCTAGTTCACTTTCTCTCCCCCAGGATTTCCCAACTGCACCTGATCACAGAACATTTTTTCGTTTCAACTCAGGAAACACATTTTGAAAAACACTGGCCTAGAGGCAGAAGTGAAATGGAAAACACCAAAGTAAAACTGAAGAGGAGGCGCTGGGCAGAGAACGGTCGGAGGCGCCCTGAATCCTGGACCTGTGGAGATCCCCAGCTCTGCATGCTTCCCTCCCTGGGCCCAGACCGCCTCCCCCATTTCCTGGATAAGAAGGCTAATGCGCACCAGGGTGAAGGGCTTGCCTGGGCCACACTCCCGGGCTCACCCCACACCAATCATGCTCCTGCGAGAGCCAGTGACTTTCTTGATTTGGCTACTGTGGAATTGCTTTCAACTAACCACCCCAGATACAAATGACAAATGACCGGATATAAAGGACCCATGGGTCTCTGTGATACGGCTTCATGCAGCCAGCACAGCTACTAACATGCAGAACGAGAATGACCCCAGGCAAGTCCTCGCCTCCCAGACCCAGAACCCCACGGAGCCCACCAGGGCTGGTTCACAAGCACTGTCTGGGTCAGGCAGAGATTCCAGCAAAGGGAGGAAACATTCGTGCACTGGAGCCAGTTACCAGAAGCAAATCGCCTTTTCCAAAACCCAGGCTGTTAATGGAGTCCACTGATGACCAGAGTCAGGGTCTAGCTATGGAATACTGCACAGCAGAGATCTTCCTGAGAGAAAGTGTTTCTCCCTGAAAGCCACGTGTCCTCTACAATGTTTTAATTGGGCGAACATCTATATCTCATTGCAGTGGCCATGCACGTGCTGACAAGGGGCTGGGGGCAGGGTAGGGAGCAGAAGCTCAGGGGCCTGGTAGGGAAGGAAACAGGCCACCAGGGCTCCCCAGAAGGCATGTGTCTCTCTCGCTAACACACACATATACACACACACGTGCACACACATTCTGCAAGCCCTGAGTTAGCAACTGCGGAATGTGACCAGGTCAGTGATCCCAGGACAAGCTGCTAGGGAATATGACATTTGATTGATGTCTGCAAATGTGCATTTTCATTAATTAGAAGTTTTAGGGCAGAGCAGAGAAAAATATGTATTTCAGGGTCCCAGTTTGACCTGCCAGAAACAAGCCTGTTACTGACATTCTTATTTTCAACAAAATACAGCATTCTGATTATATACCATCTTGGTTCCACGCCTCCTGCCTTGCCAAGCCCCCGGAAGTGGCCCAAGGCCATGGCAAAGAGTGAAAGAAACAGTCCTGGGGTGGAGACTGACTCAGGGGTGTCAGTCAGTGGGGGACTGATGGCTGGTGGGAGGCCAGCAGTGATCATCCTCTCCTTGGGACAGTTAGGTAGCGCTCCCCCAGGGTCACGTGGCCACTCAGGTTTGTATGGGAGGCGACAGGAGTGGCAGACCCCAGGAGAGTGGCTCCGATGTCACAGTCCCCTCCAGGCCTCAGTGTCCTCACCCATTAATGAGCAGGCTGAGGTCTGGGATGACAAGGAGGGCTTGCACTTACTGAAACGCACAGGAGGCTGTTCGCTGATTTCTTTTATTGATGGAAGAAAACACTTTTATACGTAGCAATTAAGAGGCAGGCACTGGAACCACCGTCTGCCGATTCCTAGTTTTGCCTGCATGAAATTGAGCAAGTTAATTGACCTCCCCCAGCCTCAGTTTCTTCATCTATAAAATGAGGGTAGTGATGGCCCCCAGCTCACAGGGCAACTGGAAGGATTAAAAAAATCAAACATCTCTTAGAGCCCGCCTAGCACACTGTGATACACTACAAATGTTAGCTATTTTTATCTATGAAGTCTAGATTTTATATCTTGGGCGTTCTAAAGCAGGATATATTTATTTAAAAACAAGGATTTTCATTAAACACATACCCCACAGAAAGCAACCCCATGGAGACTGCTCTTAATTCAGGCCAGTATCGAAACGACCCTAACTACAAACTTTATACAGGTGTCTTGGCTGTCCTTCAAATCCAACTAAGGTGGTACTTCTCAAGTACTGTGCACATGTGTGTGTGCATGCACACGTGTGGGAAGGCGGGGCTCACAGATCCCTCAAGTACCCCATCCCCGCAGTCTCAAGTCACGAAGCGACAGACGGAGCAGCCAAGGAAGGTCTGTGCCCCGCTGGACTCTGGTGAAGCCGTCAACTCTACCTCTGCGCCATGTCCTGCAGACTGGGCTACCTTTTGGGTGGGGACCAGCATTTGATGCAAGAGAGACAGATGGAAAAGGAAAAGGGTGAGTTCGACTCCAGGTAATGAAGATAGTACCAAGTCCCAGAGTCCACAAATGCCATGCAGATGGAAGCACTTACTGCAAGGCCACACGGCAAACTCAAGGATCCAGGGACAGAGGTACAGACTGCAGTGCCCCGAGCCACGACCCTGCAAATTACCACCATGGGAAAGGAGGCTGACAAACCCCTGACAGTCGGCTGGGCTGGCAAAGACTTGTGGTTTCCATCAAGGTGGGAGGAGGTGGGACCTCCTAGCCCCTCCCCAATGCCCATAGCAGAGGGAAGTGGCCACTTCCCCTGTGTGGTTACAAAGATCTCATTATTCTTCCCCACAGAGAGGAAACTGGAGGACTGAGCTCAGAATGCATTTTGGAATTGGCAGAAAAGAACATCTGGGGAAGGAAACACATTTCAGAAACAAACATACCTTTGTACCAGCTTTTATTTAAGTGTTGGAAAAATAATAATAAAGACATGCCGAATTTATCATCACTCTACAAAATCCCTCTATTGAGCAAAATGTGGCAGCTCTGCTTTCAAATGATCTACTGTTCCTGGAGAATTGCAGTGACGTGGATGCCAAGGCGCGAAGGCCGCCGTCAGCAGCCAAACAAAAGATGCCACCTTGGGCTCCATGACACTGTCCCATGCCAGGGAACTGGACAGATTTGGGGAATGCCACGGTTTGCCTTTAACCCCTTGCCTCCTGGTCCCTTGATGCATCTCAGAGGCTAACATTCTTTAAGGAACTGGCATTTCTTAGTTCTAAATATGTATGTGGGTTTGGGAGCTGCCTGCAAAGTCCAGTGTTGAGGATCAGCTCTGATTGCCTTGGAATCAAGCTTAAGTGTCGGGTCTTGAAGTTAATCGGAATTTGGAGAAGCTGAGCACTATGGTTTTGTAGGTCCTGGGTGAACTCTTCCACCAAGCATTCACCGTGGACTGACAGCGTGCGAGGGCCTCTGCAGGCAGGTGCATAGGACGAAGCAGATTCCCTCCGGGGGAAACCTGGAGGGAAGCTCCGTTTTTTTCCTAAGGCGCCAGGCCTGGCTTCATGGGTCCGTACCTTCCATGCCTGCCACACTTTCTGAGTCTCGTGTGGGAGCTGCTCCTGGTTCCTGACTTCACTCAGTCCTCATAAGAGGTGTAACTACTGTCACTCCATTTTACAGATGGGGAGACTGGGGCATAAGGGGACCAAGAAACTGACGCAAAGTCACACTTGGCTGATCAGTGACAGGGGAGATCAATTCCCAGGTTCTTTCTGCAAGAGTTAAATTGTTTTCATGCTGCCTAAGGGGGTGGGGAGGGGCAACTGAAAGACCCCTTGATATCTTTGCAAAAAGGGTCAAGCACAGAAGCTGCAGCCAGTGGGTCAGATCTGCGGAAGCGCTGGGGTGACCCTCCCTACACCCAGAGGGATGCTTGTCCCCTCCTGGCCTTCACTGGGTCCCCTCAGGACCATGGCCTCCCAGGACCTCAGCATAATCCTGGTCCTGTGCTCCAGGACAAGCCCTCTGTCCCCAGGATGATGAGGAAATGGAACCAAGAGAGGCTCGCTGCAGCCCAACACCCACTCTGCCCCTTCTCGGGGGCAAGAACCGTCCTGGGGAGGACTTGGCTTTGGAGGGGGAGCCTGGGAGGCCAGCAAGTCAAAAAGCCTCTCCTGCTCATGGGTGGGATCCCACCCTAGGCCCTCACCTGCTAGGGCGGGCAGGGATGGGCAGCACAGCTTGGCCAGGGCAGATAACCCCCACCTTGGCCAGGGGTGAGAGTAGGACACGTGGGCTCCAGCCTGGCCCCACTATCCCTGCACAACACTGGGCAAAGTCCACGTTCTCCTCAACTGGATGTTGACATCTGCAGGACAGGGGCATGGATGTACAGAGCACTGAAGCCACACAGCAACCTAGGAGCGAGACTCCATGCATCCCCGGGGACCCCTCCCCACCATGAGGACCACGCAGGCTTCCTGTGTGCCACAAGGGCTCCAGTGTGGAGACACACGTCTCCTACACAGCCAGACCTAACACTCTTGTAGCCGGGTGGTCCCACCTGGGCTCACAGCTGGAGAGCAAGGGGCTCAAGGCTTCACGGGGTCTGCTCTCATCCCAGAGACGATGGGGAGCCACACAGCAGGCTGTAGGAGAGAGGGTGGCGCCCCCCTCCACTTCAGAGGCCCCTTCTGGCACACAGACTGGAGAGCACATCTCGCAGTAACCACGGAGTGCCAACTGGGCACAGGGCCTGGTTAGCAGAGCAGGGCAGAGGCACTGACCATCCACAACCAGGGTGAGGGAAGCTGAGCGGGCAGAGACCTCGGGCAGAGGGGGAAGACCCTGGTGGCCATGCTGGCCCTGCCTTCAGCAGTGAAGCTGACTGGGGAGGCGCTGATGCAAGGGGTCCAGAAAGGGCTGTTGGTCAGCCAGGGGGAGCCCCCCACAGATGAAGCAGCCAGCCAAGACGCAGAAGGCAAGGTCCCCTCAACAATGTCCTCTGAAAAGGAGAGGCGGGGACTGCTCTGGCAACACCTACAAATAGATGGTCAGCCCCCAGCCATACCTCTAACAAAGCAGAGGTCCCCAGGGGAGGGGCACCCGCAGGTTCCTGCACCTGTTCCCCCAGACTCCCAGAGCCCACCCGACCCCATCCCACCAGGGCTCCAGCTACAAAATAAATGCCGGGGCCAGCTAGGCAAGGTCGCACACTCGGTACCGACTGAACAGGCTCCACACTGTCATGAGTGCAACCCACAGGCCACGCTATGCAGAGCTGAGATTGTTTCACCCAAGCAGCCTTTCAGTGGAGCCAAACAAGTCCAGAGTCCCCGGGGTGTCTTCACCATGGAGTAACAATTGCAATGCGATGGTAACCCTAACAGCTAACCGTCACTGAGCCAGGCCCTGAGCTAGGCACTTTTCAACACCACCTCTCTGCAGCCTCAGGACGATCCTGTGGGAGCATAAAGATCATTCCCTATTACAGATGGGGAAACTGAGCCCTGGAGCAGTTAACATGCTTGTCCGAGACCACAGAGCTAGGAGTGAGACAGAAAAGCAGGTTGGGCAGGAACGGGTGATGGGGGCCTGCATGTGTTCCTCTGGAGGCTGGGTGGACACGCAGCCCCCAGGACCCCAACCCTGCAGCTCACCACTGCCCCCTCAGCTATTCCAGAAAACCTCGGGGTAGGGGAAGGAGGCTGGGGACACCTTAGGTGTCCGAAACAGTAGCTTCTGCTTGGAGGCCAGCGCTGCATAGTGGCTGCTACCCAGAAGCACACCCCAAGCCACCTGTGCCACCTGGGGTGACCTTCCAGCATGCCTTGATGACCAAGCTGGCCTTAGATACTGTGGGCAGCCAAGAACGGAACAGGGCACACCCATCCTCTTCACACCTACACAAAGCAAGAGGGGGGAACTTCAACTGAGTGCGTCCCTCTTGCTCAAGGACCTCATGGATCACGGGGTCACGGCGTGATCCCAATTCTGGACTCTCATCTGCCTTTCATACTGCTCTGCCCACACAAGCCAGTAACCCTGGGGGCATCCCTGAACCTGTTTCCCACCTAAAACACATCATCCCCTTGGACCCCAGTCCTCCAGGAGAGGCTCTAATCCTTGACTGTGGTGAGATCAGATCACTGGTTAAGTACCCGGAGGAGCCTCGGTCAGGGAGCTCCAGGGGTTGGGGATGACGGGTGTGGTGGTGTCCCGCCCTGGGCTACAGTCCACCCTGATGCAGGAGGTCTGTGGTCAGAACCGGGCTGTGCAGGGCACAGGAGTCCAGAGGGAGAAATGCTCACCTGGGGGGTCTCTGAGCAGGGCTCTCTGGACCCTCAGAGAAAAGCAAAGCAAGGAGGCCACCTGGAGCCCAACACCTAGCACCCAGAGGCATGCCAGACCTGCCTGGATCCTGGAGGAGATCTCTCATCACACTCCAAGTCAGTCATGCCCAACCCAGGGACCCACAGCCCAAGGGGGCTGTGGAGATGTACTGGGTCCAAGAAGGGCCTTCGACACTGAGAAGCCAAGTGGCACCCCCCGGTGCGGAACAGGTGGAATCCCACCAGCCTCTGCTCTGCCAGCGAGCACGGCTGGACGATGAGCAGAAGGGGCTGTTGCTTAGTAAACGTCATTTCCTTAAGAGGAGAAAACTTTTCAAAATAGATGGAAATTTTTTTTTTAATTAAAACTGGTAGCCAAAGGGATGGAAAGCGCCCCTTGTCCTTCCCTCCTATCGTGAGCCATCCTCTGCACACCTCAAGCTGTTCGCTGCCCAGGTGTCTCCTGAGGTGCAGGGGGCAGGTGAGAATCCATGAGCCCTCGGCTAGCCATGGCTCTCTGGAGCTCTGCCCCAGGCCTTCGGGGGACAGGCCGGGCAGCCTGGGGGCCACGCAAGGCAGAGCCCAGCTGGGTCAGCACACAGGGCCACACCGGGCACACAGTCTCCAAGCCTCCCCTGTGGACATAGTTCTCACTGTCCCAGCCCACTAGGTCCCGGGGGTCTGTCCCACAGGGTGATATGCTGTCACAGACCACTACGAGAGCCATGGCCTGCTGTTCCACTCGCAGCCAGGTAGTCACCTGCTCCACAGGGACAGGCAACGCCGCACTGGGGACTACTCTGTGGCAGGACTAGAGCTCCAGCAGCTCAGCCCTCCTGAGAGGGAGAACTCTGTGCCCTAAAGGAAGCAGACGCAGCAGACGGCACCAAAGCCACCACAAGCCTGTGGTGCCCTGCATGGCAGGTCAGGAGTCCCTGACCACTGCTCTTTGTAACCAGAGCTGCAGTGGAGCCTACAAGGCAAGGACTGTGGGTGGCAGTGGCCACAGCAGCTGAATGAGTGTCCCAAGGGAGCAGGCGGCTGCGGGGAGGCACAGCCCAGGCCCAGGAGTCCTCCGGCACTGCAGCAAACTCCCTGGGCCGCCTGAGCAGCAAGCTGGTGGCAAGGGCACGAACTCCCAGGGGCACAACCTGGGAGAGTGAAACTCTCTTCATGTTCAAATTCTTGAGAACATATTAAAAACATCACTCAGTCACCTACTCTATAGTTTTAACGCAAAAGTACCAAATTAGCTATGCGCAGTGGCTCACGCCTGTAATCCCAGCACTTTGGGGGGCTGAGGCAGGAGGATTGAGCCCAGGAGTTCCAAATGAGCCTGGGCAACATGGTGGGACCCCATCTCTACAAAAGAAGTTTTTTTAAAAAAATTACCTGGGCATGGTGGTGTGTGCCTGTAGCCCCAACTACTCAGAAGGCTGAGGCAGGAGAACCACATGAACCTGGGGGAGATCGAGGCTGCAGTAGGCTGTGATGGCACCAATGCACTCCAGCCTGGGCAACAGAGTGAGACTCTGTCTCAAAATAAATGTAAAAAACACCAGGCCAGGTGTGGTGGCTCACGCCTGTAATCCCAGCACTTTGGGAGGCCGAGGTGGGTGGATCACCTGAGGTCAGGAGATCGAGACCATCCTGGCTAACACAGTGAAACCCCGTCTCTACTAAAAATACAAAAAAATTAGCCGGGCGTGGTGGCGGGCGCCTGTAGTCCCAGCTACTTGGGAGGCTGAGGCAGGAGAATGGCATGAACCCGGGAGGCGGAGCTTTCAGTGAGCAGAGATCGCACCACTGCACTCTAGCCTGGGCAACAGAGTGAGACTCCGTCTCAAAAAATAAATAAATCAAAAGCACCAAAACTTTTTAATATAAACACTTATTATTCCATAATTCCCTTTGCATGATTAAAAATGTTTATATAAAGGTTTTTGAAAATGGTAAGAATGCTAAGTGAAGGATGCAAATGCCCAAGCCCCCACCCAGTGACAGCTCATACAGTCTGGGCCATGGGAGGTTGGTAGGTACCACATGGACCCGGGACTTCACGGTCAAGTCCCTTTGGGGTACACTGGGTTTCCCACACCCCAGAAATATGGGCTCTTACTGCAGGACCATGGGGGTCCTCACACTTGGCCCAGAAGCTTTCTGTCACATAGCCAGACAGGCGTTCTACAACCTGGGCTAGATTTGGGGATGGCAGAGTCAGCTCATGCTCCAGCAGAATTCAAGCCAGAGGAGGTAAGCATGGGTAAAATCTGCTCTCTGGACAGATGAGCCCTTGGGTGGCCTCAGAACAGTTACTGATCATCTACCAGACATCACACTGGAGGCAGAAGGGCACAGACGAAGACAGCCCCTGTCCTCAAGCCCACCCAGGCTGGGTGGACCATGGAAGGTTCCAGATGGGTCTGGCAAGAGAAGTGCCCACACCAGGGGCAGAAGATGGGCAGGCCTGCTCAGGGCAGCACAGCATGCCAGGCCAAAAAGTTCCAACTTCAGATGCTGGAGAATGGGCACGACCATCTGAGAAAAGGAAGGACATGATGAAAACTACTTGGAGAAAAATTAATCTTGCCAGAGCATAAGATAAATGGGCAAAGGGGAGGTTCTAGAAAGCAAGGAGACCCAGTAAAAGCTGATATCATCAGCTCTGAATTTGATGACAGAATCTGAATCTGCAGGGCCTGTGGGTAAAGCCTCGGAGCCCTGGGGGTCTGAGTGGAGGGGAGGGTGGGGGGCAGGCTTTCGGCTGGGCGGGGGCAGAGCTGGGGCCTGTGTCTACAGTGCTGAGAAGGAACAGGCATGGATGTCAGCTCGGAAGCTCCAGCTGAAGTGAGGAGGAGGCCAGGGCAGCACAGCCACACCCGGATCCAGGCTCCTTTTGGGAACCAAGTTCTCTCTGGGGAAAAGTGTGGAGAAGTGGCCTTTACCCACAGAAGCAAGCCCCAGAACATGTCTTGCTCCAAAACTACCTCGTACAGTGAGGACATTAAGCTTCAGGTCCCCTAGAGGAGACAGCCTGCTCCTTCCTGGGGCAGAACCCAAGGTGGACAGAGCCTGGAGGGCACCCAGCACCCGGGCTGGCATGTTCCGGCCAGGGCCACGCGCTCGGATAGCTATTAATGCCCCGTTGAACAATTTCCTGAGAGCTTTGCCAGGCAGGTACCGCCTCTCCATCTGGGTTAATAGAGGGGTACATCCCAGGCAAGAAATGAAAGGTGCCCACATTTTGCTCTGGGATGAACTAGGGGAGGGGAGTGATAATTAACTCAGTAATTACATTTGCCCTCGGGCTAATGCTAAAATTAGCGTGCATTAGAGTTTCTTTCCTGAGCAGACACAGGAGGGAGCTGGGCAGCAGGAGTGGCTTGGGCAAGGTGGCACAAAGGGCACCTCCAGAGCCCTCCACAAATGTCAGCAAAACCCACAAATGTCAAGGCCGGCTCCACCGCACCCAGCAGATGAATTCACTTCCACAGCCTGAGACTGCCAGCTCATCAGGGGCTACTTAAAATCCAGCCCTCTGACACCTGTTGGATATCACCACTTACCATCCCCAGTTCAAGAGATCAAAGGGTGGAACCTGATAGGATGGCTCTGAAGTTCACCACAAAAGCGTAAACATGCAAGAAGAGCCAACACATCTTTTGAAAAGGACAGTGAGGTGGGAATTTGCACAACTGATCTCAAAATATGGTCTGATGCTTCAGAGATGGAGACAGCAGCACTCCAGTATAGGCAGTGGAGCACAGGGAAGGGTCTGGAATCAGGACCCAGGTGTCTGTGGACACTACACATAAAAGAGCAGCATTTTCAATGAATGGACAGGTTGGATCATCCCACCAAGGTGTTGGACAACTCCCTATTCACTGGCCAGACCCCTACCTCATACCATATACAAAAAAAAATCAGAATAATGTCTGAATGTAAAACACAAAACAGTAACACTCCTGGAAGAAAATAATGGAGAATATACTTATAATCTGGAGGTGGAGGAACAAGGGATAGGAAAAAAGCCATAAAAGATAGAGTTGTGATTACATGAAACTTCTTAATGCCTTTAAGATAATGTACCACCAGAAACAAGGATGAAGGACTAGCCAAAGACCAGCAGTGAAACGTGAAACAAACAGAACAAAGAATTAAAGTCCACACCAAATAAAGACCTCCCACAAATCAATGAGAAAAAGACAAACAGTCCAGGCACCGTGGCTTACGTCTGTAATCCCAGCACTTTGGGAGGTGGACAGGTCACTTGAGGTCAGGAGTTCGAGACCAGCCTGGCCAACAGGGTGAAACCTTGTCTCCACTAAAAATATAAAAATTAGCTGGGGGTGGTGGCGCATGCCTGTAGTCCCAGCTACTTGGGAGGCTTAGCCAGGAGAATGGCTTGAATCCGGGAGGCAAGGGTTGCAGTGAACCAAGATGGCGATCGCACCATTGCACTCCAGCCTGGGAGACAAGCAAGACTCCGTCTCAAAAAAAGAAAGAAAAACAATAGAAAGATGGATAAGTGTAGGCAATTTGCAGAAAAGTAAATACCAATAAACCGGAAATGAGGGTTGTGCAAATCAAAAGGTGTTATAATTTTTAACCAAATTGGGACCAAAGAAAACACAAAAAACCAAAATCTGGTAATTGCCAGCATCAGAGAGGATATAGGAATGTGTATGTTCTCATAGATGCTTGCAGGTATGAATTGGTACAGCCTTTTAGGAGGTATGTATGTATGTATTTGAGACAGGGTCTCGCTCTGCTGCCCAGGCTAGATCTGTTGCAGTGCCATGATCATGGCTTAATGTAGCCTTGACCTCCTGGGCTCAAGAGATTTTCCCACCTCAGTCTTTCAGGTAGCTGAGACTACAGGAGTGTGCAATCATACCCAGCTAATTTTTAATTTTTTTGTAGAGATGGGGGTCTCCCAATGTTGCCCAGGCTGGTCTCGAACTCCTGGACTCAAGTAATCCTCCTGCCTCAACCTCCCAAAGTGCTGGGATTACTGGGGTGAGCCACTGTGCCCGGCATCAATATATTTAAAAACCTAAATGGACACACTCTTTGACTAGGAATGTTTCCTATAAAAACACTTATACACATGCAGAGACACACGAGCAAGCATGCCTTGTAACAGTAATGAAGCCTGGGAAAACTCAATCAAGTAAATGCTGTAAAGTGCACCTGTGTACTATGAAATAGCACTTGGCTTTTAATAAGAGCAAAGATATGAAAGTAAAAGTACAAAGTAGGGTGTGGTGGCACATGCCTGCAGTCCCAGCTACTCAGGAGGCTGAGGTGGGAAGATCGTTCAAGCCCAGGAGTTGGAGGCCAGCCTGGGCAATAGTGAGAAAAAATAAAATTAAATAATAATAATAAAATAGGCTGGGCACAGTGGCTCATGCCTGTAATCCCAACACTTTGGAAGGCTGACGTGGGAGGATAGCTGGATGCCAGGAGTTCAAGACCAGACTGGGCAGCAAAGCAAGACACCCATCTCGACAACAAATTTTTAAAAATTAGCCAGGCAGGCTGGACACGGTGACTCACGCCTGTAATCCCAGCACTTTAGGAGGCCGAGGCAGGCAGATCACTCGAGGTCAGGAGTTCGAGATCAGCCTGGCCAACGTGGCAAAACCCCGTCTCTACTAAAAATACAAAAATTATTTGGGCATGGTGGCGGACACCTGTAGTCCCAGCTGCTGAGGCATGAGAATCTCTTGAACCAGGGAGGCGGAGGTTGCAGTGAGCCGAGACTGTGCCACTGCACTCCAGCTTGGGCGACAGAGGGCACAGAAGCAGCACCTCTTCTGGGGGTACCCTCAATCCCTAGCGGTCCAGAGGCCTCAGGATCCTGAAGGAACTAAAATGTGAAGCCCTGTGCTAGAAGAGTCCATAGAGATTGGAATCAGCTGGTTTCATTTTACAAAAAGGGAAACTGAGGCACTCAGAAGGTGAGTGCCCCCCAATGCCCCACAAGGAGACTGGGAGCGGGGCTCTGAGCCCTGCGGGGCCCTGGATTCTTGCAATGCAGTGGAGTGGAGCCTGTGCCGCCCCCACCAGGCACCTTCTCAGGAGAGGAACCATTATCATACGCTTGAAGGGGCCCTCGAGGCCTCAGAAAGGCTAAAAACCACTTTCCTCTTTGAGTGAACCTTCACTTCAGTTTAACCACAAGAAAAATTACATTAAGGCTGGGGGCAGTGACTCATACCTGTAATCCCAGCACTTGGGGAGGCTGAGGTGGGTGGATCACTTGAGCCCAGGAGTTCAAGACCAGCCTGGGCAACATAGTGAAACCCTGTCTCTACAAAAAATAAATAAAATTAGCTGGCCGTGGTGGTACACACCTGTGGTCTCAACTACTTGCGGGCTGAGGTGAGAGGATTGCTTCAGCCCAGGAGGTAGACGCTGCAGTGAGCAGTGATTGTATCACTGCACTCCAGACTGGGCAACAGAGCAAGACTCAAAAAAAAAAAAAAATTAAATCTTGGCTGGGCGCGATGGCTCCTGCCTGTAATCCCAGCACTTTGGGAGGCCGAGGCGGGCGGATCACGAAGTCAGGAGATTGAGACCATCTTGGCTAACATGGTGAAACCCCGTCTCTACTTAAAAAAATACAAAAAATTAGCCGGGCGTGGTGGCAGGTGCCTGTAGTCCCAGCTACTCGGGAGGCTGAGGCAGGAGAATGGCATGAACCCGGGAAGCGGAGCTTGCAGTGAGCCGAGATCGCACCACTGCACTGCAGTCTGGGGGACAGAGTGAGACTCCGTCTCAAAAAAAAAAAATTTAAATCTCCAAAAAATATTACAATAAGGCAAACTAAAAACAGATGTTTTAAATATACATATTAAATTAAATACACTTCAATAGAGCAAATAAGAAAATACCCAGAAAGCGACCAGGCACGGTGGCTCACGCCTGTAATCCCAGCACTTTGGGAGGCCGAGGCAGGCAGATGACAAGGTCAGGAGATGGAGACCATCCTGGCTAACAAGGTGAAACCTCGTCTCTACTAAAAAAACAAATACAAAAAATTAGCCAAGCTTGGTGGCGGGTGCCTGTAGTCCCAGCTACTCAGGAGGCTGAGGCAGAGGAACGGTGTGAACTCAGGAGGTGGAGCTTGCAGTGAGCTGAGATCGCACCACTGCACTCTAGCCTGGGCAACAGAGCCAGACTCCGTCTCAAAAAAAAAAAAAGAAAATACCCAGAAAGCACAATCTCCCCACCCGCAAGACAACCTCCCAGGGGGTCCACGGCAGGAGATCCCAAGCACGAGGGACAGAGAACAGTGACCCTGTGAAGGATCCTCCAGCCCATCAGGCTCAATCAGAATATGAGGCTCCTGCCACTGTGAGAGCAAGAGGCACAGTTGCGCAGCAGCCACAGGCTCTGGCACACCATGAGCCAGGCCAGCAAAGCGTCAACTGCCCCCTACAAGGCGACAGGCAAACCATGACAAACTGGAAACCAGAGACTGGACCTGGAGCACAGGGACCACTACAAGGGCCTTGGAAATGGGCAGGGACCATGGATGGCCACCCGCATGTGTAAGAGCGGCCCGTCTGCACATGTCTCTGCATGGCTTAGGGGCACAAGTCCCCCCCAACTCCCAACCCAGGAAGGCAGCCCCCATTTAACCAGGTGGGGCAAGAAGGGATAGGGCCAGCATCCGGCTCTGCTTTTTTTTTTTTTTTTTTTGGAGACGGAGTCTCACTCTGTCCCCGAGTCTGGAGTGCAGTGGCCCAATCTCGGCTCACTGCAAGCTCCGCCTCCCGGGTTCACACCATTCTCCTGCCTCAACCTCCCGAGTAGTTGGGACTACAGGTGCCTGCCTCCACGCCCGGCTAGTTTTTTGTATTTTTAGTAGAGATGGGGTTTCACCGTGTTAGCCAGGAAGGTCTCGATCTCCTGACCTTGTGATCTGCCTGCCTCGGCCTCCCAAAGTGCTGGGATTACAGGCGTGAACCACCGTGCCCGGCTGGGCTCTGCTCTTAACGCAGGGCTCTAGGCCCCCTCGGGGGCAACCAGCACAGAGCTCAGACCACAAATACCTTCACCCACCTCCTGGTCCCCATCTGGACAAGGGTGCTGGGGACTGGCTCTCAGTCACACCCTCAGGGTACTCTTCAAAGGACAGCTGGGGCCCCAGGGCATGAGCTTTTGGCCCCCAGCTCCCTTACCCCAGACAACAGCTCTTGGGACCCCACCAGCACCGGCAAGGTGGACACCATCGTCCCAATTTTGCAGATGAGGAAACTCAGGCTGAGGGCCGGCACACAGCTCTCCAGAGCTGAAGAGAATGCAGAGAGCAGCTGGAGCCAGCCAGTGGGTCCCTGGCGCCAGCTCGTAGCAAGCCACAGCCGCCTCCGCCCTTCATGCTTGGGTTGCGCTGCCCCAGGACAGCCTTCCAGGGTGGCCTGGCATGGAGCCCAGACCCTGCTGCTTCCTGAACAAATAAGTGAACGAGGCCACCAAGCCAAGGGGCTGGATGCAGCCCCAGCTCCTGCCAGGGCCTCCCCAACAGACTCCCTGTTTGGAGAGCGCATTGTCTCCAAGGCCTCAAACCACAAATGTCCGGCTGTCTCACAGCTTCTGTAACCTGAACTTGGCCCTCACCCTGCCCTCCCAGGGCTCCTCTCAGGGCCCAGGCCCCTCCTCTCAGAGGCCAACACTGACTACCCAGCTCATTCTCATCACCTGGCTCATTCCTGAACCTCACTCAGCAGGAGAGTCTCAGGCCAGATCCTCCCACCAGCCACCTCCACCAGGACGCATGAGCCCTGTTCATGCTGGCTGGGAGACACAACCAACCAATATCAATCCAATCAGTGGATGAACTGACAAATATAATGTGGTCCCTCCACACAATGGAATATTATTCAGCCACAAAAAGGGTTGAAATAGGACGGGCATGGTGGCTCACGCCTGTAATCCCAGCACTTTGGGAGGCCGAGGCTGCCAGCTCACTTGACGTCAGGAGTTCAAGACCAGCCTTGCCAACATGGTGAAACCCCGTCTCTACTAAAAATACAAAAATTTGCTGGGTGTGGTGGCGAGCACCCATTAGTAATCCAAGCTATTTGGGAGGCAGAGGCAGGAGAATCACTTAAATCCAGGAGGCAGAAGTTGCAGTGAGCCGAGATTGTGCCACTGCACTCCAGCCTGGGCAACAGAGCAAGACTCCATCTCAAAAAAAAAAAAAAAAAAAAGGCTGAAACACCCATACCTGGGACTACTTGGATGACCCCTGAAAACATTACAGTAACCAAGGAAGTCAGCCACAAAAAACAACGATGTATTGTATGATTCCCTTCATACAAAATGCACAGAACAGGCAGAGCCATAGAGGCAGAAAGCAGACTGGTGCTCATCAGGGGGTCGGGGGAGAGGGAACGAGAAGTCACTGTGCAATGGGTATGGGTTTTACTTTGGGGTGATGGAAATCTCTTCTAACTTCATAGAAGTGATGGTTGTAAGCACTGTGGATGTACTAAATGCCTGCCTTGTATACTTTAATTTTATATCATGTAAGTTTCACCTCAATTAAAAAAAAAAGATCAACTTGACACTTTTCACCTAGGAAAGGTCTGGCTTCAGCTTTCATTTCCTATCAGTCCTGCCTAAAGCCTTCCAGTAGCTTCCACTGCCTTCTGGATCACAGTGAGACTCCACAGCATGATCTGGCCTCTAAGGACCTCTCACAGGACGCCCCGAGGGTGAAGGAGCACCCCTGGGCCCATCTCTGCATAGCTGCACAGCTTGTTTCCCTTCCTCCCCTCTACACGGGAAGCCCTGCCTACAGCGGAGGGGCCTTATTTGCCATTCTATCACATTCAACCCCAGCACTTCACACAGTAGCAGACACCAAAGCGAAACAGCAACAGCATTACACTGGGCCAGGTGCACGTTCACTCACTGAATTCATGGTAGGAAGGATTCTTATCCCCATTTTACAGCTGAGAAAACTGAGGCACACAAAGGTAGCGTCAGCTTCTCAAGCTTCCCAGCACAGCAAGCGGCCAGGCTGGGATCAGACTCTGGACACAGGGGCTCTGTCCACAGTGCTAACTACTCCTGCCCCCCAGGGCTGCAGCAGTGAGTGAGTGAGGTGGTCAGTGGACTGGATGTCCAAGGTCACACAGACTATTGTAATAACAGCCTCTAGACCGGCCAGGGCCAGAAAGATCAAGGACTCCTACATACAACTGCCACTGCAGCACTGCCGCTGCCAGTCCCCAGCCTGGGCCAGGGATGGGGCTAAAGGTCTCACACAGGGCACTAAGGGCTTCCCAAGGCCTGGGAGAGGAGCGAGGCAAGATGACAGAAACTAGGTATGGTGCCCAAAGTCAAACAGCTACTGAGCATGTAAATCCAGGTGGGTCTGACCCCAAAACCCCCTATCAGCCCTGCAACCCGTTGCTGCAAGGGAGAAAGCAACTCGGAGGCCTCACCTGCCTGCACCTTCACCCCCCATCTCTGTGTGTGAGTTCTACTAAATGCCTGAGCAGTGACACAGTGCCGCTGAAATTAAACGGATTCCAAAAACGACAGGAAGCACGAGGTGGATCTCCCCAGAAAAGTGCTGAACAAATGTTGGCTCGGGTTCACCCGGGAATTTCTTGGAACTGAACAAGGGAAGTTCAACGCCAAGGGGCCCTGCTTTAGAGGGGACTCTCTCAGGGTGCCCCACACAGCCCTTAGTTAACCCCACTCAGCCCTGCTGGCCTTGGCCTTGGGCATCTACAGGAGGAAACTCCAGGGTGAAAGGGGGTGCCTAGACAGGCGGGTCCTGGAATAAGCACTTGGGCCCCGAGGAGAGAGGCCTAGGGCTTGGAAGCTGGGGAGGTTCTCAGCACTGGGACCACTAGAACAAAGCCATTTCCGTGGGTTCACAGCTTCCAATTGCAACAGGAAGCAATCAGGAAAAATAATTAGCTGCCCACTTACTGGCTTCGCTGAAGTCCGAGGCATGTATCTCACACAGAAAATCAGGGACATAACATCAAAACCGTTCCTCCTTTTCCTTTTATTTTAGGACTGGATCACCACATTTGCTGGGGCTCCCAGGCCTTGCTGCCTAATGTTAAAATAATCAACTCTATTTTTGCCTCACATACAACTGAACTCCACAGCTGTAGTTCTTTCTCCTTAGGGGCTCCAACCACATGAACGACAGACATTTGATTCCAGCAACATCACCTAAAACGTGCACAAAACCCAAACTGCAATGAGGTGAAAGGCAAACGTGGTCAGCCTAGAAACTCCCCCTTTAAAACAAACAGCTTCCTCAAAACCCCTTTTGCCTCCTTGACCCACGCATTTCCGGAAAAAGGAACGGTGCTGGCCTGTACTCCCCAGATACTGTCGCTGTTTTGTCTTCACCTTGTTTTGCTAGCTCCCGACAAGGCCCCAAAATGTAAACACGCTCCTGAGAGAGGCAAATTTGGGGTGAAACTGTCCACAGAATCTCTAGGTTTGGGTCAGAGGTAGGAGGACTTGAAACAAAGGCCAAGCTCCTCCTGTTCCCCGCTGCCCCCTACACCTCCAGAAGAGAGGCTGCAGCCCAGGGGAACAGACTACACGGCCACCCCCCTGCACCATCCACACTGGAAATATTCAAGGAGACAGCTGTTTGCCTTAAGGAGGCACAGACAAAGGGGCCCAAGATCCTCCCAGCTAAACTGCCACAAACAGAACAGGAGCCCAGGCGTGCACAGGCACTTGCGGGCCGTGCCACTTGGCTGGCCATACTCCAGAAAAGCAAAACACGCACATCCGAAGAGAATGATTTAGGCAGCAAGAGGCTTGCTTCAAAAACCACATGGCCATCTCCAAATTAAAAGAACATGTGTAGCGTTTCACAAACTGCTTAAGTGTCCTGAGTCCTCCTGACCTCAACTCCACCCCTTGGGAAACACCAAAAGTTGGAGACAAAGTTGCCCGGCCTTACTCTCTCCCCACTGGAGAGTACAACTGAGGCACGAACCTGCCTCCCCTACTGTCCCGCGCTCTGGGACCATGTCACCACCCCCCCCGCCCCCCTCCGGGCAGCCGACCCGGGGAGGGACACCATCTGGGACCCCGGCGGCCACAAGGGGCATTCGGGTCGCCCCGGCACCTGGCATGTGTCAGTCCGCTTGGAAACCCACAGCCACGGCTCACAGGGGCAGCGCCACCGGCCAGGCAGCCCCGCACCCGGGCTCAGAACTTTCTCGCTGCAACCTCAGCCGGTCCTCGGAGCACGCGGGCCGGCCGCGCGGCCGCTGGAAACAGAGTCGCGAACCGGCTTCCCGGGCCAGGCCCGCCTCCGGGCCCCAAGTCCCAACTTGGTGCCCGGCCCGGGCCACACGGGCCCAGCGCGGGCTCGGCTCCTGGCTTCCTACGGGCGCGGGCAGGTGAGGACCGGCCGGCGCCGCCCGCGCGCCCTCCTCACCGGCCCGGGACGCGGCGTCCCCGGGGATGGCCCGGGCAGGGACGGCGGGGGGATCCCCGGTGCGCGCCCCAACTCGCCCCCAACTCGCTTCCAAGGCGGCGGTGGCGCCCGTGCACTTGGTCGCGGGGCCGCCCGGGCCATTGTACTAGCAGCCCGCGGTCCCGGGTCGGCCCGCGCCCACCTACCTGCGGCGGGGGCCGGGCAGCCGCACAGCGCCAGCAGCAGCGGCCACGGCGGCCCGGGCAGTGCAGCCTCCATGTTGTCCAGCGGCCGGACGGGCTGGCGCCGCGCTCACTCGGGCTCCACAGCGCGGCGGCGGCGGCTGCGGCGGCTCCTCGCGCGTGTCCCTGCATCTTCGTCTTCCCCGTTGGGCGCCGCGGACCAGGACGACTGGGAGGAGGGAGCAGGGCGCGCGTGAGCGGAAGCAGCGCCGCGTCTCCGCCCCCCGCTGACGCAGCCGCCCGCGCCCCAGGGAGCCGGCCGGCGGCCGGGCGGGCCCCACGGCCCCAGCGGCCCGGGTCCCCGCGGCCCCTCCCCGCGCTCCTCGCCCTGCCCTGGGGGCGCCGCCGGGAGGCTCGGCGCGGGGCTGGGGCGCGGGGTTTCCGCCCCGCGGGGCCCGGGGGCAGATCTGGGCCAGGAGCCCGGTGTGTTACCTGTGGAGCCTCTATGAGTGGGGAAACTGAGGCACGGGGCGGGGCTGCCCAAGGGCACACAGCGAGGCAGTTTCAGGGCAGGAAGCCTGGGGTCCCATGGTGCGGCCCTGACACTTGTTCTCACCTGTGGAGGGCAGAGGAGGGGACAGGGAGAGAACTGCATGAAGCTGGCCAGCTGGGAGTGGAGGTGGGTTTGAATTTTTACTTTAAACTAAATGTGTACTCTCTACCTTAATTATGAATTATGAGACACGAAGACTGCGAAACAGACACGCTCCTCTAAAAGTGCCTCTAGGCTGACAGGGGAAAAGTCCCGCCAGGCTTCCAGACGCCACCTTTGAGTCCTTCAACAAGCAGGCCAAGGCCTCTTGCCCACCGGTGTCAGCTCAGCCACTGAACCCTCGAGGAAGAAGAGGTGCTCGAAGGGGAAGAATCTCACCCAGGCACAGCCTGGAAGGGGCACAGAAGGGGCTCTGGAACCAGCAAGCCCAAGTTCAAACTCCCGATCTGCTACTTTCTAGAACGACTGTGCCCTTGGCGGGTCTAAATAGAACCTCTCCGGGCACTCCTTCCTCCCTTGTAAAGTGGGAACAGCAATGGCCACCTTGCAGGTTCAGAGAGGGCTTGCAATACCTCACAGAACTGGGTGCCCGCGAACGTGTGCGTTCCTCCAGATTTGTGACAAATTTGCCAGGCTGGCGTGAGGCTGAACGCCTCTGCCCTCATGGGGTTTAAATTCTAGGAAGGGAGACCGACAAAAACAAGAAGACAAAATTAAAACAACAAAAGGCCCATTGACAGAACATGAAGAATGTCATGAAAAATGAAGGGTGTTGGGCTGCAGTGTTGGGAAACTCTGGCTTAGGGAAGGAAGGACACTTGAGCTGCCACCAAGGAGCAGCTGTCCGGCAGAAGGGCAGTTCAGGAAGAGCACACATCAATAGAGGAGGCCCTGCGGCAGGGGCCAGCGTGGTCAATGGACTGGGAGGAGGAACCACATCAGGCCACGAGCTGGAGCTGAGGGGTGGAAGGTGGAGCTGGGGGAAGGAAGAGGCCAGCTGGGGCCAGCACATGTCAGACCTCAGGCAGGGAAGAGGAATTGATAATGTACCCCACCAGCAATGGGAAGACAGGCTAGGATTTAAGCAGCAAAAATCCTTTCCCTTCTTGCACCCTGTGTCCACCTCTACCTCGACCCCCTTCCGCCTGACCTCATGGCAGCCAGGGAAGCTCCAGGGTTTGTGAGGGCCGCCATCTCAGGAGAGAAACAAGGGTCTCGGGCACCTTCAGGGCCGGCTCCAGCCACACTTATTCCCTGACCTCTCAGCCTCCTTAGCCACTCTCCCTTCCCACATCTCACCCTGCTACAGCCACAGTGGCATCCCTGTGGGTTCTCAAACACACTAGGCACACTCCTGCCTCAGGGCCTTTGCACTTGCTGTTCTCTGCTACAAGTTTTTTTTTTTTTTTTTTTTTTTTGAGACAGGGTCTCGCTCTGTCACCCAGGCTGGAGTGTAGTGGTGTGATCATAGCTCACTGCAACCTCGAACTCCTGAGCTCATGCAATCCTCCCACCTCAGCCTCTCCAGTAGTTAGTTTTCGTTGTTTTGTTTTGTTTGAGATGGAATCTCACTCTGTTGCCCAGGCTGGAGAGGCTGGAGTGCAATGCCACAATCTTGGCTCACTGCAACCTCTGCCTCCCAGGTCCAAGCGATTCTCCTGACTCAGCCTCCCAAGTAGCTGGGATTACAGGCATGCGCCACCGCGCCTGGCTCATTTTTGTAATTTTAGTAGAGACAGGGTTTCACCATGTTGGTCTGGCTGGTCTTCAACTCGTGACCTCAGGTGATCCACCCGCCTTGGCCTCCCAAAGTACTGGGATGACAGGCATGAGCCGCTGTGCCCGGCTCTAGTACTTAGGACTACAGACAGGGACCATCATGCCTGGTGATCCTCCCACCTTTTCTGCTTCAACTCTTTCACCCCACTTAGCCACATGGCTTTACTCTCTTACCTCTTCGGCTCCTCAGTCAGGCCTGACCACCCCTGTTGAAAATTGCAAATCATACCCCCCCACCGCCCACTCTTGCCAGCAGTTTCTGCTCCATTTCTCTGATTTACTTTTCTCCTTTGCACTCATCACTACCTGACATGTTTACATATCTTTATTCCCTCCACTAGCAAGGAAGCCCCAGGAGAGCAGAGAGTGTAGTTTTGTTCCCTGATGTGTTTCCTGTGCCTGTACCAGGGCCTAGCACACAGCAGGTGCTCAGTAAATGTTGGATGAACGAATACAGTGAAAGGATCCAATCTACATTTATAAAGAGGGCACTCTGGCTGCTGAGTGGGGATGAGACTGTCAGGAGGAGAGAGGCCCCTGTGGGGGCCTGGCCAGCAGGTGGGTACAATGGTAGCAGCTTGGACTCAAGTGGGTGGGGCCTGCTTAGGGCTCTGGCTGCAGGAATCAAGGGAAGGGGGCACAGGATGGCCTACAACTGGTCCAAAGTCAAGTCAGGTTTCTAAATTTGGGAAGCGATACAGAAAATCTGAAGACTCTACTGGCCAGTTATTTAAATGGTTACATAGAAAATGTACCAAGAATATTAAAAAAAAAAAAAGGCTAGGCACGGTGGCTCATGCCTGTAATCCCGGCACTTTGGGAGGCCGAGGCGGGTGGATCACAAGGTCAGAAGATCAAGACAATCCTGGCCAACACGGTAAAACCCCATCTCTACTAAAAATACAAAAAATTAGCCGGGCGTGGCGGCAGGCGCCTGTAGTCCCAGCTACTTGGGAGTCTGAGGCAGTAGAATGGCATGAACCCGGGAGACAGAGCTTGCAGTGAACTGAGATCCCGCCACTGCACTTCAGCCTGGGCAACAGAGCGAGACTCCGTCTCAAAAAAAAAAAAAAAAAAAGCATCATGAAGAGGTCATCAGAGACTTCCAGAGAGTAAAGGGGCTGTGGGCCGGGCACAGTGGCTCATGCCTGTATTCCCAGCACTTTGGGAGGCCGAGGAGGGTGGATCATGAGGTCGGGAGTTCAAGACCAGCCTGGGAAACACAGTGAAACCCCATCTCTACTAAAAATACAAAAAATTAGCTGGGCGTGGTGGCGGGCACCTGTAATCACAGCTACTTGGGAGGTTGAGGCAGGAAAATTGCTAGAACCTGGAAGGCAGAGGTTGCAGTGAGCCGAGATTGCACCACTAGACTCCACCCTGGGAGAGAGAGCAAGACTCCATCTCAAAAAGGAAACAAAAAAGAAAGGGGCTGTGGCCTGCGGCCCAAAGCACACTACTGCAAGGTCCCAGGGTGCCTGACTCCAACCAGAGCCTTGAGAAAATTCATTTGCAAAGAATGAATTAAAACTCATCAGTATTTTATTCTGCAGGATTCTGACACCCCAAGGACATCATTTTTAGACCCTTCAGTAAGGTGATAAGTAACCAGAGGATGTGCTAAGCTTCCACTTCCCCAGACGGTTGCCTGTCACAGCTCATCAGGACACCAAATTTTTCTTAGGCTTCAAATTTGGAAAGGTTCACTCTCAGTTTGTTCCTCAGATGCAAGTCCGTCCCAATCAAGTAACAAGGGCTCAGCACCTGTCCAATCTCATTGCTTCTGGGGACAGGGACCCATCACAGGATGCTGTTTCAAGCTCTGTGACACTTGGGCAAAGTGCCTTTGGTTTCCTTCCCAGACTGGAATGTGCTGGCTCTGTGAAGTTACACCGGGCACAAGAGCCCCTCCCAACCTGGCCAGACTGACTGCTGTGGTCAGAGGTGCCCCTGGGGCTTTTGGAGCCACAGCATCTTCCTGAGGGCAGCACCAGAGGAGGTCCCAGTGGGACTGCCCATTGCAAGGCCCATGCCTCAGGCCCCTGCAGACCTCTCCCCCAAAACAGGCAATACCTCCTGGCAACTTGCCCCAGGAGCAGGCGAGGGAAGGCCACCATTGGCCCATGGTACTGGGCTCTGGAGGGCTTGGTTGGTAACAGGTCATGGTTTCTATGAGCCAGCTAGGGTGTGAAGGACACAGGCTGGATTCACCTCTCTGGGCCTCAGTTTCTGCATTCAAAAAATGGGAATCATGATATCTGTTCTATTTCTTATCTCTCAGTACTGATGTGAACCTCCAATAAGAGTTTGAACAATACTTTTTATACCTTACTTTTATTTTTCATTTACTTTGGGACAATGTCTAGCTGTCTCACCTAGTCTGGAGTGCAGTGGTGTGATCATGGCTCACTACAGCCTTAACCTCCTGGGCTCAAGTGATCCTCCTACCACAGCCTCCCAAGTAGCTGGAACTACAGTCATGCACCGCCATACCTGGCTAATTTTTTCTTTTGAGACAAGGTTTCACTCTTTCACCCAGGCTGGAGTGCAGTGGTGTACTCTTGGCTCACTGCAGCCTCAACCTCCCCGAACTTAGGTGATCCTCACACTTCAGTCTCCCAAGTAGCTGGTACTACAGGCGTGTGCCAGTACAGCCGGCTAATATTTTTGTATTTTTGTAGAGATGGGGTTTCACTATGTTGCCCAGGCTGGTCTTGAACTCTTAGGTTTAAGCAATCTACCTTCCTCAGCCTCCCAAAGTGCTAAGATTATAGGTGGGATCCTCCACCCCACCTGGCCTGTAATCCTACCACTTAAAAAAGGCCTGTAACCCTAGCAGTTAAAAAAAATTTTTTTTTAGCTTTTTGTAGAGATGAGGGGAGGGTCTCACTATGTTGCCCAGGCTGGTCTTGAACTCCTAGGATTAAGCCATCCTCCTGGCCTGGCCTCCCACAGTGTTGGCATTATAAGCATGAGCCATTATACCTTACTTTTTTTTTTTTTTTTGAGACGGAGTTTTGTTCTTGTTGCCCAGGCTGGAGTGCAATGGCACGATCTTGGCTCACCGCAGCCTCTGCCTCCCGGGTTCAAGTGATTCTCCTGCCTCAGCCTCCCAAGTAGCTGGGATTACAGGCATGTGCCACCATGCCTGGCTAATTTTGTATTTTTAGTAGAAATGGGGTTTCTCCATATACCTTACTTTTAAAGCGCTGCATTCATGTAAATTGTGATTAACATGGATTCAAGAGAGGGAGTGAGGACAAATGAGCTAGGCACTCACCTCAGCTGTCATCCTCCACTTCTCTCCTCCTTCTGACAGTCATTGTCCATCCCTGTTTCTGTAGCCATTTCTTTGACCCTCCTGATCATTTGGCTGGTCACAGTAACTTGCCTCCTGGGAGAGAATGCCCTGGGCAGGCCCTCATGAGTGGTGAAAAATAATCTGCAGTGAAAAATAAAACTGCTAAGAAGTCCGGTCCACTGAACAGTCTTATTTTTTCACTGCAGTTGAAGGAGTTGACATTCAGTTTTCATTTTCATTTTTAAGTGCTTTAAAGACACCTACAGTGGATTGAACCGTGGCCTTCAAAAAGATATATCCACATCCTAATCCCTGGGACCTGTGAATGTTAACCGAGTTGGGAAAAGGGTCTTCCCAGATGTCATTAAGTTAAAGATCTTGAGATGGATTATCCAGGTGGACTCTGCGTCCAAGGACAAATGGTCCTTAGAAAAGAAAAGCAAAGGCTGGGTGCTGTGGCTCAAGCCTGTAATCCCCGCACTTTGGGAGGCCGAGGTGGGTGGATCACCTGAGGTCATGAGTTTGAGACGAGCCTGGACAACATGGTGAAACCCCATCTCTACTAAAAATACAAAAATTAGCTGGGCTTGGTGGCATGCACCTGTAATCCCAGCTACTCAGGAAGCTGAGGCAGGAGAATCGCTTGAACCCAGGAGGCGAAAGTTGCAGTGAGCCGAGATCATGCCACTGCACTCCAGCCTGGGCAACAAAAGTGAAACTCCATCTCATAAAAGAAAAAATAAAAGAAAGGAAAAGAAAAGCGTACAGAGATTTGAGACAGAAGAGGAGAGTGAAGAAGAGAAGGCCATGTGAAGATGAAGCAGAGGTCGGAGCCATGCAGCCAGAAGCCAAGGAACACCTGGAGCCCCCAGAAGTTGGAAGACGTAGGAAGGAGCCTCCCCTAGAGCCTCCAGAGGGAGCACAGCCCTGGCAACACCTCCATCTCGGACTTCTAGCCTCCGGCACTGTGAGATCATCAATTCCCATTGGTTTTTTTTTGGTTGTTGTTGTTTGTTTTTTTGAGACGGAGTCTCGCTCTGTTGCCTAGGCTGGAGTGCAGTGGCACGATCTAGGCTCACTGCAAGCTCTGCCTCCTGGGTTCACGCCATTCTCCTGCCTCAGCCTCCCGAGTAGCTGGGACTACAGGTACCCGCCACCACGCCCAGCTAATTTTTTGTGTATTTTTAGTAGAGACGTGGTTTCACCTTGTTAGCCAGGATGGTCTTGATCTCCTGACCTTGTGATCCGCCCGCCTCAGCCTCCCAAAGTGCTGGGATTACAGGCATGAGCCACCTCGCCTGGCCAATTCCCATTGTTTTAAGCCACCAGATTTGTGGTAATTTGTTATGGCAGTCACAGGAAATGAATACAGCACCTAATCTTCACAAACCCCTATTACAGAAAAGGAAACTGAGGTCAGAAAGGTATGGGCTTGCCCAGTGTGTTAGGCCATTCTTGTATTACTACAAAGAAATACCTGAGGCCGGGCATGGAGGCTGACACCTATAATCCTAAGCACTTTGGGAGACCAAGGGTCACTTGAGGTCAGGAGTTCAAGACCAGCCTGGACAACATGGTGAAACCACATCTCTAATAAAAATACGAAAATTAGCCAGGCATGGTGGCATGCACCTATAGTCCCAGCTACTCAGGAGGCTGAGGCAGGAGAATCACTTGAGCCCAGGAGGAGGAGGTTGTAGTGAGCCGAGATTGTGCCACTGCACTTCAGCCTGGGCAACAGGAGAGAAACCCTGTCTCTAAATAAGTAAATAAATAAATAAATACCTGAGACTGGGTAATTTATAAAGAAAGGGGTTAACTGGCTCACAGTTCTGCAAGCTGTACAAACATGGTGCCGGCATCTGCTTGGTTTCTGGGAAGGCTTCAGGGAGCTTTTACACATCGTGGAAGGCAAAGCCAGAGCAGGTGCATCACACAGCAAAAGCAGGAGCAAGAGAGAGAGAGAGAGAGAGAGCAGGGAGGTGCACACACTTTTAAATGAGCAGATCTCATAAGAACTCATTATTGCAAGGACAGCACCAAGCCACGAGGGATCTGCCCCCATGACCCAAACCTCCCACCAGGCCCCACCCCCAACATTGGGAATTATAGTTCAACATGAGGTTTTGGGGGACAAATATCCAAACTTTATCATTCCACCGCGGCCCCCCAGATCTCATGCTCTTTGCACATTGCAAAATATAGTCATGCCTTCCCAAGAGACCCCCAAAGTCTTAACTCATTCCAGCATTAACTCAAAAGTCCCAATCCCAAGTCCAAGTCCAACGTCTCATCTGAAGATGAGTTCCTTTCACCTATAAGCCTGTAAAAATGAAAACAAGTTATTTACTCCTGAGATACAATGGGGGCATAGGCATTAGGTAAACATTCCTGTTCCAAAAGGGAGAAATCAGTCAAAAGAAAGGGGTTATAGGTCCCAAGCAAGTCCAAAACCCAGCCGGGTAATCATTCAATCTTAAGGCTCCAAAATAATCTCCTTTAACTCCATGTCCCAAAATCAGGGCACACTGGTGCAAGGGGTGGGCTCCCAAGGCTTTGGGCAGCTGTGTTCCTGTGGCTTTGCAGAATTCAGTCCACACAGCTGCTCTTACAGATTGGAGATGAGGGCCTGCCTCTTTTCTAGGTGCAGGGTGCAAGCTGCTGGTGATCTACCATTCTGGGGTCTGCATGGTGGGAGCCCCCTTCCTGCAGCTCCACTAGGCATTGCCCCAGTGGGGACTCTGTGTGGGGCATTCAACCCCACATTTTCCCTCCAATGTGAGGGCTCTGCCCCTGCAGCAGCCTTCTTCCTGGGCTCCCAGGCTTTCTCATACAATCTAAGTGGAGGCTGCCAAGCCTTCTAAGCCTTCTACAGTCTTGCATTCTGCATACCTACAGGCTTAACACCACATGGAAGCTGCCAAGGCTTATGGCTTCAACCCTCTGAAATAGCAGCCTGAGCTGTGTCTAGGGTCCTCTAAGCAAAGGGTGGAGCTGGAACAGCCTAGATGCAGGCAGGGAGCAGTGTCCTGAGGCTGTGCAGGGCAGTAGGGCCCTGGGCCTTGACAATGAAACCATTCTTTCCTCCTAGGCCTCTGAGCCTGTGATGGGAGGGTTGTTGAAGATCTCTGAAATGGCTCTGAGGCCTATTTCCTATTGTGTCGATTATTAGCACTGCATCAATTATTAGCACTTGGTTCCCTTTTAGTTATGCAAATCTCTCTAACAAGTGGTTACTCCCCAGCCTGCTTGAGCTCCTCTCCTGAAAAAGCTTTTTCTTTCTTTCTCACATGGCCAGCCTGCAAATTTCCCAAATTTTTATGCTCTGCTTTACCTTTAAATATAACTTCTAACTTTAATTCATTTATTTCTTCCTGCAATGGAGCATAAGGAGTTAGAAGCAGCCAGGCCACATCTTGAATGCTTTGCTGCTTAGAAATTTCTGGCCGGGTGTGGTGGGCTCACACCTGTAATCCCAGCACTATGGGAGGCCAAGGTGGGTGGATCACGCGGTGAGGAGATCAAGACCATCCTGGCCAACATGGTGAAACCCTGTCTCTACTAAAAATGCAAAAAAATTAGCTGGGTGTGGTGGCGCATGCCTGTAGTCCCAGCTACTCGGGAGGCTGAGGCAGGAGAATTGCTTGAACCCAGGAGGCAGAGATTGCAGTGAGCCGAGATTGTGCCACTGCACTCCAGCCTGGGCGACAGAGCAAGACTCACTCTCAAAGAAAGAAATTTCTTTGGCTGGGCGCGTTGGCTCACATCTGTAATCCCAGAACTTTGGGAGGCCAAGGCGGGCGGATCATGTCAGGAGATCGAGACCATCCTGGCTAACACGGTGAAACCCTGTCTCTACTAAAAATACAAAAAATTAGCTGGGCATGGTGGCGGGCGCCTCCTCTTTACCCTGAATACAAGAGACCCTAATAGGTAGGCAGGAGTATCATTGCCCCTATTCAGCATGAAGAAGTTACAGAAGACGGACCTTCATCCTTCTGCAACCCCTAGGATTAAGGGTCCTCTTGTAAAAGGGAAAGGGGAGATACGTAGGAAGCATTCAAACCAGGCGACTCCATTTTGAATACGGGCTAAGAAAAATGAAGCTGGATCACCAACTGGCAATTAAGGGCTGCACAGCCTACATTTGCCTTGCTCAATTAATTTTAAAAAGAGGCCACCTCATGCTAATAATGATAGCTGTGGTGGTTTTTACAAAAAAGAGAAGGGGGGTATGTTGGGAGAAAAGCTGAGTGTTGGGAGAGAAGCTGAGGCAGGGCTTGCATGTCTGTTAGACATGCTGGCTCCTTGCTTCTAGCACTCCCATTATTTCAAGCAGCCATATGTTTCTCATTCACTCGATACACTGTTTCCTTTCAACCCCCACATCCTCACCACCTGTTTGTTTGTTTGAACACCAATAAATAGAGTGGATTCCCAGAGCTCAAGGCCTTCGCAGCCTCCACCCTCGTGACGCCCTCTGGTCCCACTCTGTCTCTCAAACTGTCTTTTTCTCATTCCTTTGTCTCCTCTGGACTTCGTTGCCCCCCACGACCTGGTGTTGGTTCTGATCACCCCAATAGGCACAGAAGACAGAAGAACAGATTTCCTGTTCCGGAATGATTTCCAGACCACCCCACCTCCAGGCTTGGCACCCACTGCATGGACTGCCTAGCTTTGGCCCAACTTGTTGCCCTCTCTCTTACTCCCTCTTTCAAGTTCCTCTCTAAGTCCCCTTTCTTAGGCAAAGGGAGTGAGCGCTCTCCATTCCTGTGCCTAAAGCTTCCAGACTCAACTTTGCACAGCCCAAGCACATCAGAGCTCTTGGCTGCAGGAGAGGCCTTCCAGGCCATAAGCAGCACGAAGGACCAGTGGGGACCTGGCAGTTAGCACTCCTCCTTTCATAGGAGGCATCCCTTGAGTGGCACTTGTGGTTTTAAGTAGTAATTTTCCCCCTCCCTTTAGGTTATTTTCCAATAGAAGGCTGAGGCAATCTATGATCTTTATGTCATTCTTTCATTTACTCATTTATCCATCCAATACATATATTGAGCAAAGTCAGTGTGCTAAGTGCAGATGCTGGGGGAACAAATACAGACAGGCTTGTTTCCAGAAGCAAGCTAATGGATTGCTCACCTCACCTGCGGGCTATGGTGACAGTGGAAATGATTTATGCCCTGGGAATTGCCCTATGCACCGAAACCTAAACTCATAAGATGTTATTGAGGGGAGCGAGTACTCTTTACCTTGCAAAAGGATTCACTGCAGGATTAAATAAAGCTGGAGAATTTTAGAATTTGAAAAGACGTCAGGGGACCTGCTCCTTCAATCCCTTCATTAGTTATTGGTGAAAAGTGAGATTTAAAAAGCTTAAGAGACTTGCTTAGAGTTATTCAGCAATGCCAGAGCCAGCGGGTCAGAGCCAGCACTGTTCTGTTCATTCTCAGTGCTGGTCTCTTTCCATCAGGCCCTGTATGATGTAGAGATGCTCCAGCGATGCTGCTGCTGCTGCTAACCAGGTCAATATTTATCGAGTGCTTTCTGTGTGCCAGACACAGTTCTAAGCGCTTTTTACATGTTACAGCATTGCTCTCACGGCAATCCCGTTAACAACACTGAGGCAGAGCTGAGACACAGAGAGATTAGACAACTTGTCTAAGGTCACACAGCTCAGAAGGACTGGTCTTGGGCTTCTTATCCATTTGTCTTTTGAGCCCACGCTCTGAACCGCAACACTGCGGCTTTTTCTTTAGAATGACTCCCTGACCAGCAGTCCCTATAGAGAAATGTGTTTCCACTCACATATTGAAAGAAAAGTACTTCTGTATTGAACAATGTTTCAGTGCTTTTAAAACCAAAGCTTGGTATCATACCTTTTGGCAGCTCTTTTAAAGTTGTCATATATAGAGCTGCCACTAAAACTTGTAAAGCTTTGTGGATAAAAGCAGCATGAAAAGCAGTTCATATGATGTGTGTGACAACAAACAGAATTGTGATCCAAATTACAGGTGAAACGGGACAGTGGCCCCCGGGAGGCTAGCAATACCTGCAGAGGCTTACAGAGTGAGATGTTTGTAAATAAAGCCATTCAAACATCAATTGTGTGTGGTTTTCTTGAGAAGCAACTGTATTTAAGGGACTGCTTATACAAAATCAAGTTCTTCTTAGCAAGGATTGCTTTAAATATTCAGACTTGAATGAAGGCCAGTCATGTTCTGCCATTTTCAAAAATTTTCTAACTGAAGTCTTAGAGTTGATTTTCTTTTCATTTGTGATTAATTTCCCAGAATAACATTCCCAGCTCCCACCCCACCCAGCGTTTATAGATTCTGAGTGTAGGAAGTCCTAGTAAAGCCCAGAATCTAAAACAAGTAAGACCAGTCAGCTCTCTAGTTAGCTTTTTTCCTTCAAGTTGTTAGCAAAATAAACTCTGGAAAGCCTAAACTTTAATGCACCCATCTCAGCAACATCTCCTGTAACGATGGAAAGGCACAGAAAAGAAGAAAAGGGAACATTATTAATCTTGTGGGAACGCTGGAGTTTTGTCTATTATCACAAGCAGCGTGAGCCCCAAGTCATTTAAATCCTCTGGGGGTGGGAAACATAATTATTTGCAAGGGAGCATTATTAGCTAAGTACAAATGGGTTGCTATTTGTTTTCTCTGTTCTTTGTGATGATTACAGGCTGGGGATGGCGTTTAGTAACAGGATCCAGCAGGTCAGTTATGACAACTTCATCACTGTCATTAACCCCTTTTGTTTGCAGTGAACACAAAAAGCTGTTCAGTATCAAGAGAGTCAAGAAAAAGAGAAAGAAGAGGGGGTAGAGAAAGTGAGACAACCAAAGAGACAGCCAGGGAACAGAAATTCATACACTATGAACACCAGAAAAAAATACCCCTGGGTAATTGAGTCACCTGACTCAAATGGTGTAGGGGCCTCAGTTAGAGGATCAAATTTTGGACTCCTTGGTCTTTCTGCCAAAACAGTAATTGCTCATACTTATAAATACAAATGTTTTTGCCATTTGGTTTCCTAGAAATGCCCTAGACGGAGATGTTATTTTTGGTAAGGGGTCTTCCTGCTTCAAGTATAATGACTGTGAACAACTAGTTTCAGTATCTTCTCTAGCATGCCAGGGTAAAATGAAGCAAAATAAATAGAGGAAGTGCTTATAATCTTTATTGAGGATCTACCAGGTGCCAGGAAAGATGCATTTTTCTTTTTCTTTTTTTTTTTTTTTTTTTTGTGAGACAGGGTCTCACTCTGTCACCCAGCCTGGGGTGCAGTGGTGCAATCTTGACTGACTGCAGCTTCCACTTACTGGGTTCAAGCAATTCTTGTGCCCCAGCCTGCCAAGTAGCTGGGATTACAGGCGTGCACCACCATGCCTGTCTAATTTTTGTATTTTCAATAGAGACAGGGTTTTGCCATGTTGGCCAGGCTGGTCTTGAGCTACTAGCCTCAAGCTATCCACCTGCCTCGGCCTCCCAAAGTGCAGGATTACAGGTGTGAGCCACCGCACCCGACAAGTTGAATTTTTATGTGCTTTTTCTCCTCTGTCTTCTCAAAAAGCCGGGGGTAAAAGGCCTCATTTCCACTTTTCCTATGAGAACAACAAAGTAGAAAGGGTAAAAGATTGCCTCGAAGATCACCCAGCACAGAGCAGGGATTTGATTTCAGGTGTGTCTTGTTCCAAACTTACTACACTGTGCTGCCGGGGCAAAAAAAGAGCAAAAAGAAAAACCCAAAAGGTTCTTAACTGAAGTTAAAGATGACCAAGAAAATGTAGGCAGATGTCAGGTCTGATCATGTGGATGCTCAAATGATAAACAGACACATTGAGAGAAATTGTATTAATTAAATCATAAAAACATGTTCTGCTTTTCTGGGGAATTTACTGCTCCATGTGGCGTGACCCTTGACAAGACATTCTGTCTTCCTGTTTTATTTTTTATTTTTTATTTTTTGGGACGGAGTCTCACTCTGTCACCCAGGCCGAGTGCAGTGGTGCAATCTTGGCTCACTGCAAGCTCCGCCTCCCAGGTTCAGGCCATTCTCTTGTCTCAGCCTCCAGAGTAGCTGGAACTACAGGTGCCTGCCACCACACCCAGCTATTTTTTGTTTTTTTTTTTTCTATTTTTGTAGAGACGGGGTTTCACTGTGTTAGCCAGGATGGTCTCGATCTCCTGACCTCGTGATTTGCCCGCCTCAGCCTCCCAACTGTCTTCCTGTTTTTAAGGAAAAAAAAAAAAAGTGGGTAGAAGATGAAAGTTTGATATTTCGCTCATGCATAGCTTTGTCTCATTAATATATTTTGTGCTTGCCTGTCATTTCAGCTTTCTGCTGCCAGACCAAGCTCCTTTGACTGCCATTCCTACTTCTGACACTCCTCTTGTCCTTTTCAGGACAACTTTATGCCTATTGTGCCTTGGATCTTGAGAAATATGTGGTAAAACTGGCCAGTGGTGATGGCAGGCATAGCAGGGAATCAGATTGAGGGGGGCTGCCGGGTGAGAGAGAAAACAAAAGAGGGAAACAGGCTACTTGATGACGGAATCAGGCTGCTTCTGCAATGACATTACATGAAATAATCTGAAATACGATCTTAACTGTATCTGGTGGGTCCCGTTAACCCTGTAAGTTATGGACAGAACATTTACTCAAATTGTAGCCAAGTCTAGGCTCATGGGAACACGTGACCAATTCAGGTGAATGAAAGGGACTTTAAAACATTAATTTCCAGCTTAGGTCTTCCTAAGACTGCCTGCATGTTCCTTAACACCACTCCAGCCTGAGTGTCACGTGGATCCTGAATGCGGACTTGTGTGCACACTGCTGAAAAATAAGCAACTGAAAACCCCAGGCAGCGGGGTGGAGTGATGATGAAAGACACCGAGACCTATCGGGAAGCTGGAAATTCCCCCCCAGCTTCGGTGTTTGGGCTGTATCTCGCTTTTCCACTTCCCTAAATCACCCCCGTGGTGCGAGTGTGCTCGCAGCAGATGCTCCCTAATTGTCTCTTGTATTTGTAGCAGGATGAGCAGCAAACAAAACTCCTCAGACACCGAGTTAAAGAAGGAAGGGGTTTATTCAGCCGGGGGCATCGGCAAGACTCCCGTCTCAAGAGCCGAGCTCCCCGAGTGAGCAATTCCTGTGCCTTCAACTCTAAGTGGGTGCGTGTGAGAGGGTCGTGATTGATTGAGCAAGCTGGGGGTAAGTGACTGGGAGCTGCACGCACTGCTAAGTAGATCGGAACAAAACAGGATAGGGATTTCACAATGCTTTTCTATACAATGTTTGTAATCTCTAGATAACATAACCGATTAGGTCAGGGGTCGATCTTTAACTACCAGGCCCAGGGTGTGGCGCTGGGCTGTCGGCTTGTGGATTTCATTTCTGCCTTTTAGTTTTTACTTTTTCTTTCTTTGGTCGCAGAAACTAGGTATAAGACAATATGAGAGGTGGTCTCCTCCCTTATATTGACAGTAAAACCCCAAGGGCAGGAATACTCTTATTTCTCAACACCATTTCAACAACCAAACTAAAACCTCTCACCTGAGTGTAAGGGAGTGGTGACCTTCTTAAGCCGGGAGCTCTTCCATCAGGGGGTTCCCTAAGGGCATCTCTGTTCCTAGCGGGGGAGCCGTCACCCCACTTTGCTCTGCTTAGCCTGAGACACGCAATTTTCTCCAGCTTTTACTCTTCGCTGAATTCTCAAGGCGGGGTTGGGGGGATGTTCAGGCTCAGGAAGGAGGTTGGGGGCCCGGCCGCTGGACGCTGTTCACCGGTAGCCCGGACCAGAGCAGGAGTTTCATCACCACCTGCGGGGACAGGTGGGACACATGCATTTCCGGGGCCATCCTAGACCTCCTGGAGGATGCTGATTGACACTGTCCAGTTTGAGAACTACTGTGTCCCCGGAGCAGAGGCCTCCCCATTGCCCTTGGGTAGCGGGCGTCGGGCACAGGGCTTCTCCGGATGAGCGGGGCGGGCATGAGAGCACATGGAACTGGGGGCGGGAGGTCGGGGCAGCCAAGGAGGAGAAGGAGGAGGCGGAGGGGGAGGGAGGGGAGGAAGAAGAGGAGGAGGAGTCCTTTGTGGCCACCCGGAGGGGAGAGACTTGGTTGGGAGGCGCCAACCGAGCTGGCCGCTGGGACTCTGCACCCAGGTGCGCCAACCCTTGGGCGCACGCTCCCCGCAGACCCTCGCTGAAGGAGCGGTGGGCGGCGCGCCGCGACCCTGGCGGGCTACAGATTACACCGCTTGCAGGGCGCTGCTGGGGCGCGCAGAGCGGGGCTGCCCCAGGGTGGCTCCCCCAGGTTGGGGCGCGGCGGGCGGCGGCCGCGGGCGCGCGTCCCATCCGGGTCCCGAGTAACCGCCACCGCCGCTGCCAAAGCTCGCCAACATGGTGGACCTGGAGGCCGTGGTGGCCGATGTCAGTTACCTGATGGCCATGGAGAAGAGCAAGGCGACCCCGGCCGACCACGCCTGCAAGAGGACCGTCCTGCCCGAACCCACGTACCACCTGCCCCGGCCCGCGCCGGTCCCCGACGCCGCCGCCCCCTGCGGCCGCCAGCGACCCCCTGCGTCCGGGAGAATCGGGAGCTGAGCCGTCGCTGTCCCGGAGCGGGTGACACAGCGGAGCGGGCGATGCGGGGCCGGCCTCCTGGCTCCAGTCTCTGAAATGGGGCATCGGAGGGCGGGTGGGGGGCACTCCGGGAGAGAGCGCTCCAAAGTGCCTGGCGCCGCGCCCTGCGCGCAGCTAGCACCCCAGCAAGGGGCTGGTTATGACTTGGCTGGACCAGTTCCATCCCTGTCGCCCCCTCCCCCAGCCCTGTCCTCTCCTGTCCCATCCCCGTGGTTCTACCTGTTGCATTGGTGTGGTCCCTTTGGGCTCCTTGCCTGTCACTCGTTTGCGCTCCATCCTGGTCGCTCCTTCTTCCCGGGCTCTGTGGTTCCCCTTTCCAACTCCATCCTTTCAGCTCCCTCTGGGCCGATTATCTGGGGACTGCAGGCTTGTTGCTTACTGTCCGAGGTAGTTAAACTGCTCTTTTCAGTGCTTGCTCTTCTTGAAGTCCCTAAGTCTAGTCACCTTCTTCGTCTCCTCTTCTATTGTCTGCCCAGGCAGGATTTCGACCCACTCAGTATTCTTTTTGGTGCCAAGTGTGTCACCTGAGCTGCTTTCCTCAACTTGCAGATCTACTGGTAGTACTTTATTAAAAAATTGAAATGGGATTCATTTAAAAAGGCACTTGAATGGATGATTCCAGACAGGAATTTGTTGTTAAATTATCAAAGGAGGGCCTGATTGAATTGGCGAGGGGCTCGGTGAGGTCCATACCAAGTTGCAATTTTCCCTCAAATGATTTATTATTAAGGAACTAGTAAAATTTTTTGCCAGCTCATGTCATTAGCACTTCCCCGGAAAAAAATAGTTCATCAGGTTAATAGTGAGTTTTAAATAATGTATCAAGGCTTCAGCGATGGATTTTTTTTTCTCTAGCTCCTTTCCTAATTAACACCATCATGAGTTGTACAGCTAATGAGGTTCCTTAATGCTAAATAGCTCTTTGAATTGATGCTCAAAAGAGGCATTTTCTTTATGGTGAATTTGAAACCATGCAATTCTATAAAATGTTGGAATTTAAACCAAAGTTATTGTCCATTTGAAATCATCAGTCCTTCAAGTGTTAGGCGCCCAAAATTGCTTAAATGTTACCTAATGCTAAGTGATCATAATGTGATTTTTTTACAAGTCCATCTATGAGCCCTATGATACAGAAAATACCAGTCCCCTTGTTATTTCTTGTGAAAAAGCTAAATTGTGCAAATGAAGACATGCTTGCTAGATATTTTGGGCTTGCTTCTCCCTCCTTAGCCCATGCCTCTTGTTGGTTTTGCAGGATGTGCTACTCTTTGATAGACAATGCCAAGTAGTGAAAATAAGGAAAAAGTGCAAACCCTTCTGCAATGTCGTGAGTTTAACACCCCTATGCCAGAGTGTAGCATATCAGAAGCTAATTGAAAAAATCAATGCTGCTTAAAATTTCTGGCAAATGGGAAACTTACTTAGAGAACAAGAACTCCTATATCAAACCTAAATTTCACCAAAAAAACTGAATATTTCTATAAAGGTGGTAGAAAATTCCTTTTTCTCTTGCCTTTCCTAGTGTCCCTCCGCCACCCAAGGTCAGGGAGTCCTGAATATGTAGGGTTTCTAGATATAAAATTGATAAATCTCAACTCATGGGCAGTTTTTTTGGGGGGGGGTAGTATATAATATTACTAAAGTTAGGAACTTCTGTTCAGTTTTTATTTTTTTTCTTGGGGTTTCCTTTTTTAGTGTCCCTCTTAAGAACATACTTATGTGCTTAGGATGTTCACTTCCTTGTATGAATGCCTTTGTTTTTCAGTGGTATTCTTTGTTAATGCTTTAAGGCAGAGTAAGTGACAGCCAGCATATTTCTCGTGACATTTGAAAACTGAGAAATACCAACCAGAGAGTAATTTTAGGAAACAGCCCTTCAGTAATTGTTATTCTGTTGCTCTTTTTAAAATAGACTCTCCAATTGGGCCATTGGAACCTCCTCCTGAGATTCCAATTTGTTTCCTTTTTTCTTTTCTTTTTTTTTTTTTTTTTTTTGAGATGGAGTCTAGCTCTGTCGCCCAGGCTGGAGTGCAGTGGCACAATCTTGGCTGACTGCAACCTCTGCCTCCCAGGTTCATGTGATTCTCCTGCCTCAGCCTCCTGAGTAGCTGGGACCACAGGCGCCTGCCACCACACTTGGCTAATTTTTTTCGCATTTTTAGTAGAGATGGGCTTTCACCATGGTGGTCAGGCTGGTCTCGAACTCCTGACCTCATGATCCGCCCACCTTGGCCTCCCAAAGTGAAGGGATTACAGGCCTTAGCCACCGCACCCCGGCCTGTTTTCTACTTATCTTAGTGGCTTTGGCTTTAGTTTTATAATGTAGCCATTTACATAGTAACAGTCACTCCTTGTGCTGTGTTAGGATTCTGTTACATTGAGATTATCAGGTAAAACATCTTGCAAAATTCTCTCTACCACGGGATGGCAGTCAGTAGCCTACCTGTTTGATTTGGAGGTTGGGGGTTGGGGAATTTCTAGATCCTGTAAGAAAGTTAATTGCGTGTTAAAAGTCTCAGCCTAATGACTTAAATGGCTGGTATGACTTCACGCTGTTGGTAAAAGGGATTCGGGTCAAGTGTTTTTTGACAAGAGTTTCTATATCAGCTTCATTATAGAGGAAGCCATGTGACCGCCAGTTTTTGGTATTCTTGAAAGAGATGTTCAGATTTGTATTTTTAGTATCTGAATGAGAAGCATACATTTTAATTTGCCTTTGGTCTATCACTAGTGATTTTTTTATTTCCAGCTAATTATTTGAAGTCACTATTCTTGGTGCTTCCTTATTTTAGTTACTTTGCCTTTTCCACAATTTTAAAACAGAAGAGCATCAGAACGAAATATCTAGCTAATTTAAATGAAACAATGGGTCTGCAGTTTCCTGCCTATTACAGGAGAGTCTCAGAAAATGGAACATTCTGTCTAGGGGAGATTTTGCTTCCCTGAGATGGCAAGAGGCACACATTTTGTTATGTTGACACATTATTCAATTAACCAATGAGTGCAAATCCTGGAAAAGCTGACTATTTGTCCAAATGGTATAGCTGCTTTAGTTTACTGAAATGTTGTTGAGCTAATGTAGCTGATAATGGGGCCTACTGGGAGTAGTAAACTGTGACCCACAGACTCCCTTGCAGGCCCAGTTAAAACAGGAGCATTTAGATGTGCAGGCCAGTTGTTTTACATCATGTTGGAAAAGAAATACTTTTTTTTTTTTTTTGAGATGGAGTCTTGCTCTGTCACCCCGGCTGGAGTGCAGTGGCGTGACCTGGGCTCACTGCAAGCTCTGCCTCCCAGGTTGATGCCATTCTCCTGCCTCAGCCTCTCGAGTAGCTGGGACTACAGGCACCGCCACCATGCCTGGCTAATTTTTTTTTGTATTTTGTTTTTTTTTTTAGTAGAGACGGGGTTTCACTGTGTTAGCCAGGATGGTCTCCATCTCCTGACCTCATGATCCACCCACCTCGGCCTCCCAAAGTGCTGGGATTACAGGCATGAGCCACCGCGCCTGGCCAAGAAATACTTTTATTTAAGTAAGGTCTAATTCACAAGCAAAGTCCCACAAAGGGTCAACATCTTAAGCCCTCAAGTGATTCAGACGACTTTTACTGTAGGCGGTATTACTTTGTTACTCTTTTTAAAAACAGAATGAAATTCAGATGACTTGAAATCACACATAGTTGAAAGAGGTTGAGTAATGTGAACTTCATCTTTCCCCTGGAGTCTCATTTCTATTTACTGGACATTTCAAATGTTGGATCACCTATTGCAAAGCTTGTCCTTTCAAAGTATTCATAAATATGATAGGAAGGTCTGAAACAACATTTTAAAGATTCTTTATAATTTTCTAGGAACACTGACAGTCCTTAAAGGACATTTATGATACCATTTATGACATTAATTCAGTACATAGTTGCAGAGCCATTTCTATGAGCCAGGCATGGGGTACTATGACAAACCCAGCCACGGCCCCTTCCTTCATGGAGCTTATAGACTAGTGTGAAACATACAGAGTTGAGTCAAGAAGGATGTTTGCTTTAAAGTGTAATTGCTTGAAGATTTTATTTAACCACAAACAAATAGTGTATGGATAACTTTTATTATTCTATACGCATAGAATATAGAATAATAACAAAGAATGAATATAGAATATAGGATAATGCATAGAACACATGATGTTTAGTGTTTTACAATAATTTGTTAGTGAGTACCTTTGAAGAACTATCTAAACATAGTCTCCATAGTGATATGGTAGTTTGCATCTTTCTGTTTGTGTAGCCACCACAAGTGGCCTTGTTTTCTTCTTTAGTGGACATGGAATTTATTTAGTAATTTTCTAGCTTCAATCAGTAAGTGATTGGTGGATAACTTGAAATTTTCTGCTCCATTTAGGCTGTAGAGTTTTCTGTGTCTTCACTGTCCTGTGCTCATAGCCCAATTTTGAACTGAAAAGTCCATGTTGAAAGCACAAATAGCCTTTAGAAAGAAAGTATTCCTTATTATTGATAGGAGTAGTTCTATGTGTAAGAAACGGTAGTGTTCTTGCTTCTTTACATTATGGTACAAATTCAAAACGTAAATTGTAATTTGTGATTTATTTTGTGTTTATTACAGTAGATGGTCATTTAATTCATGTTTATTACAGTAGATGGTCATTTATTTAGAGTTTAAGAAAACTCCACTAAGATTTGTAGATTGCATGTTATAGTTTTATATACATTAACTCTTTTTAGTTTTTACAATTATGCTTGATAATAGGTAGAAATTTCAAAAAGAAAAAAATTACTCCAGATACATCCATGTGGAGACATTGAGAGGTATATTTTATCTGTTTGAGGACAGCTGGTTTTCTCCTTAGATACTAGTATCTTGACTGTGGGGCAAGGAGTGGCTTTCAGCCTTCCAGACTCAGAAACTAGATTTTATTATATCACTGTATTAAGCATCTGTCTCTTATTGTGAAACTCACATAATCAGCCAAGTCTGCCTGACTAAATTATTCTCTTTCTATAGGCCTCTGGTTCTTATTTTAAGATTAAAGACCCTTTTGAGAATCCTACTAAGTGAGAGCCTCCCCCTCCCAAAAGTGCGCTAACTCACTTACACAGATTTATCTGAAAAGCTACACTATAACTAGAATGTCCAGTTTGCTACATTGCATTAAACACTGGCTCCCACAGGAGCCTACGTGCCCAGCGTCTGTGTGGCTGGAGCTCTCTCTCTTGTGGGTCCCCCTTGTGGGAAGCAAAATGACCATCAGAAGGTGGTGTAGCGGGCACAGACCCACAGTCAGATGAGTCAGATGGTTACTTGGGACCAAGTCACCCCTCCTAGGAGAGGCTTACGCTGGATGTCCAGTACTTGCAATCCCCGACTACGGTGGCTTTGGGACAAGTCATCTTTCCTTATTTTCATGTTTCCCATTGTAATTGGTGGGCACACGTCCACTGGATTTGAGACTATAGTTCATGAAACCACTGCCAAAGCTGCCTAGACCAGAAACCTTTGGCATTTCTCGGCCCTTTGTGTTATGTATTGACTTAGTTTTTATTCTCAGAGAGCAAGCTTTTTTCTTTATTTAGAGATTCTGGAAATGGCTCTGAAATACTCATTGTCTTATTTTAGAAGAAGGAAATTCAGGTTCAGGGACAAGCTAATTGCTAATTGCACAAGCTGATGGCTTCTGCTTCCAGTAGGGGGAGGTAAAATAAACTATGTTACGTCCATGGTAGGGAACACTAAACATTTAAGATATGTTTTTGACAACTGTAATGGCATAACAAATATTTTAAAACATTTTAAACATTTGAAATATTTCTATTTTAATTTAAAGTTTACTGTTTTTGGTGTAGCTAATAAAACCTAGTATAATTTTTAAAATATCATTGACTCATGTAACTATCACAATTGAAATACAGAATATTTCCACCCCCCCCCCCCAAATTTCTCTAAGCACTCCTTTTTTAGAGACACAGTCTCACTCTGTCACCCAGGCTGGTGTGCAGAGGTGAATCTCGGCTCACTGCAACCTCCGCCTCCTGGGTTCAAGCGATTCTCTTGCCTCAGCCTCACGAGTACCTGGAATTACAGGTGCGAGTCACCACACCCGGGTAATTTTTGTATTTTTAGTAGAGACGGTTTCGCCGTGTTGGCCAGGCTGGTCTCAAATTCCTGGCCCCAAGTGAGCCACCTGCCTCAGCCTCCCACAGTGCTGGGATTACAGGGGTGAGCCCCTGCTCTCAGCCCTTACGTTCCTTTTACATTCAAACCCTTTCTGTACCCCAACCATGGCAACCACTGGCCTCTTTCTGACCCTATACTGTTGCTTTTTACAGAATATCACAGAAATGCAAACGTAAAGGATGTGACCGCTTTTTAAATTAAACTTTTTATTTTGAGATAATTGTAGCTTCTCATGCAGTTGTGAGGAAACATACAGAGGGATCCCAGGTACTCCGGCCAGTTCCCTCAACGGTAGCACCTTGCAGCTACAGTAACGGATCAGAGCCAGGAGATTGACATTGATACAGCAAGAAGGGAACACTTCCCTCCCAAACATCCCTCATGTTGCCCTTTCACAGAAACACTCTCTTCCCACTGTCCCAAACCCCTCCTTAGCCCCTGGCAACTATTAATTTGGTCTCCACTTGTGTAATTTTGTTATTTCAAGAATGTTCTGCACATGGAATCATACAGTATGTGATTTCTGGGGACTGGCTTTCTCCCACTCAGCATAGTTTTCTGGGTGTTCCTCCAGGTGGCTCGGTTGCAACATACTTTGTTCCTTTTTAATACTAAATAGGAGTCTAAGTATGTAACCTTCTGAGTCTGGCTTCCTGAGTTCAGTGTAACAATGTTGCAATTCATCCCAGTTGCCTTATTGATCAATAGTTTGTTCCCTATTATTGCTGAGTCTGATTCTCCGTCTTGCTCTGTCACCCAGGCTGGAGTGCAGTGGCGAGATCTTGGCTCACTGCAAGCTCTGCCTCCCGGGTTCATGCCATTCTCCTGCCTCAGCCTCCCGAGTAGCTGGGACTACAGGCATCTGCCACCACGCCCGGCTAATTTTTTTGTATTTTTAGTAGAGACGGGGTTTCACCGTGTTAGCCAGGATGGTCCCGATCTCGTTTAGCCATTCACCAGCTGAATGACAATTGTGTTGTTTCCACTTGTGGGGTGTGTGTATGTGTGTGGTGGGTCAAACCAGATGTTTCTGCTGTTCTGTGTGTGTGTGTGTGTGTGTGTGTGTGTGTGTGTGTGTGTTTTGAATAGCAGGTGTTTTCTTTTTAATTTTTTTAATTATACTTTAAGTTCTAGGGTACATGTGCACCGTGTGTGTATACAGATGTTTCTGCTTTTTGCCAATGGTGAATAAAACCAGTATAAGTATTTGCAAACAAATTTTTGTTTGAACATAAGTTTTCATTCCATTTGGATAAAAACCTAGGAGTAGGGTTTGCTTGATATGCATAAGCATATGTTTATTAGAAATTGCCGGCCGGGTGTGGTGGCTCACGCCTGTAATCCCAGCACTTTGGGAGGCCAAGGTGGGTGGATCACGAGGTCAGGAGATCGACATCATCCTGGCTAACACGGTGAAACCCCGTCTCTACTAAAAATACAAAAAATTAGCCGGGCATGGTGGCAGGCGCCTGTAGTCCCAGCTACTGGGAAGGCTGAGGCAGGAGAATGGTGTGAACCCGGGAGGCGGAGCTTGCAGTGAGCCGAGATCGCACCACTGTACTCCAGCCTGGGCAACAGAGCGAGACTCCGTCTCAAAAAAAAAAAAAATTGCCAAATGGTTTTTAGAGGGGAAGCTGGTGGGGGTGGGGACATAGGGGTAGGGGAGGATTCGGTTAATGAAGCCTCCACCAGCCCAGCTGGGAAATGGGCCTGTATCCAGCACCGAGGTGCCCAGGCCCTGTGCCCAGACCTGAGCTAGACAGGGTCTCAAGATCGCAGTCAGTGAAGGGTCAGAAGCGGCATCTTCTGCTCCAGAAGCTTCTGTTCATGCAGGCCCTGCCCCCTTCTCAGGGCTCTGTAGGAACTGTTCAAAATGCTAGGTGCAGAGCTATGGCCAACTGTAGGGCACAGCCAGACACTCAGAGCTCAGAGGGACCCAGGGTGGGCAGGATTGGCCAAAGCCGGAAGTGGGTACCTGCAGGTCACACGCCACCTGCTGCCTCTAGACCTTGGATATTTCAGGGGGCTTGGCCAGTTACAGGGAGGGAAAGGGAAATGGGGACCCTTCCAATTGCTGCCGTGGGACCCTAAGGTCTTGGGTAGTGACAAGGAACCTGGAAGCACAGCTGCCCCCAAGAGGCCTTCCAGGGTCTCTCCTTCATGGGCAGGACTTCAGACTGGACAGTTACTTATCCGTTTTTCCATCAGTCTGTCCATCCATATATCTGTCCATACACACACACACCCACCCTTCCACAAGCCCCCTGAGGCTTCCTGGGGCCTGACCTATATAGACCCTCAGCTCCTGATGTCCCAGGCAAGGCAGGATCGGCCTAGCCCAGCCCCAGGTGAGACCTGAAGTGTGCCTGCTCATGCACCGTGGCAGAAGGGGACTGTGGCACTGGGGTCCCCTGGGAGTACTTGTCCCTGCCCAGTCCAGAGCTCAGGCTGCAGGAAAGACCCTCTGTGAAGAAAATGAGGGGCAGGGGATACTGGGGATTCCATGTCAGCAAAGGTGGCCTGGGGGCAGTGGCAACCTCAGACAGGCCTGGGAGCTGCAACCAGGGCTGGAGGGCAGAGGGAGGAAGGGCATGCTGGAAGATGGGTGTGAGCAAAGGCACAGGAGTGACCTCAGCGCCCCTTCTCTCAACAGGGATATGGCAGGTGCACATGGGCCCCCATAAAAGCACGCTGAGGGATCATCTCAGAGACCCTAGAACCTGTCTGCCATACCACGTGCTCTGCCACCCTGCTCACCACCCAAAAATTCCTTCCATTCTGCCGCATGGCTGGGCCCTGCACTGGGCCAGGCCTTCATGGCGGGCAGGGGACAAGGGAGGGAGGGGGTCTGGGCCCTGAATGGGACACAGACAGTGGCCACCTGGTAAAGAAGACTGAATGAGCAGAGGATGCGGGTAGGCAGGTCCAGGGCAGGGCCCTGCAGGGTGCACAAGAGTTCTCTGGGGTGGATGGTAGACCAGGGCTGTGAACACGCACGCTGGGCTGGGCCAGCAGGCTAACATGTCCTAAGCCCCAGAGCTCTGCAGAGGGGCAGGAACAGGGCCCAGAGGGAGCAAGGCCGAGAATAAAGGCCCTGAATGCCTCAGATCTGGCCAGATCTGCTAAAGACAGTTGCGTCCTGTGTTGAAACGCTATTGAGTGGCCTTACTGTCCCTGTACCATTTATAAAATATGGGACACGTGTTATCCGGCTGAGCCACTCAGGGATTCTGTGGGGCCCACAGCCAGAATCACGGTCCCATTTCATAGGTAGGATAACTGAGGCCCGGAGCAGTTAAATCCCAAAGAGTGAGGCAGAGCCAGCTCAGGGGTGTCCTGACTTTCAGCCCAGGGCCTCCCATCTGACAAATGGGGAAATCGAGATCAGGAGAGGAAGGGGCCTGCCCAAGCTCACATGGGAGCACACCTGTATGGAACACACTTGTATGGAGGGCGCCTGTATGGAGCACTGCCCTCTGCCAGGCACGAGATATGCTCAGGTGGGGTGACCTCCCTTTACCATTCCCCAGCTCTGACCCCATTTCGGGGATGCAGAAAAGAGGCCTCAGAGCAGAGTAAGGCCGAGTCAGGGCTACAGAGTCCGATGGCCACCCCTCCCCTGAACGGCTAGGAGGAGGGAGGGCAGCTGGCAAAGGCCTGCAGGAGCCCAGAGCGTGTTCTTCCAAGTGGAGCCTCTGCTGTGGGAGCCCCAGCCACGGGGTCAGACAGAAAAGGGGTCCCGCCCAAGCTCAGCCCTCAGCAGCCCTTGACCTCAGGCAGTTTGACTCCCTTCAATGGGCTTCAGTTTCCTCCTCTGTACAGGGGGGTGATAACAGTCTCTCCCCACAGGTTGGTTTTGGGGATTAAATGAGAATGCCTAGGGAGTGCCAGGCCCACGGGGACCCTCACCTACCCACAGCCATTGCTGTTATCTCCTGGGTTCTTGCCTGGGCCTGTGGGTGACACACTGTGTGATCCTGGGCAAGTGCCTTTCCCTCCCTGGGCCCAGCCTTTGCTCTGGTCAAGGAAAAGCTGGGTCAGGGACCCTGAGGACCAGCCATTCAGGAAACCAGTAGCTTCCTGGGTGAAGGAGTTGGCCAGGGAGGCCTGGAGGGGCAGCGTGGTCTGAGGTGAGAGTAGGGTGGGGGCCAGGCCAAGGGATGGGGGTGGGGGATTCACCTTCCCAGCTCTGGTGGCCCTGCCTGCAGCTGGCTGACCTTGGGAATCCCCAGGCTAAGGTTAATCTTAACACTGACCTAAACCAGAACTCAGGGTGACAAGGGAAAAAACTAAGGCAAGGAGAAGCCAAGGCTGCCGCGTGGGATGTGGGACAGGAGAAAAACAAGACAGATGTGGCCAGGGAGAGGGGGAGCGTATTTCAGGGCTGCACTGGGTGTTCATGCAGCTCACAGGTGAGGGTGGAACAGCCCTCTCCCTACATCCCACCTGCTCCCAGCCCCAGCCCCCCACCAGGCCTGATGCTGCCCCCTGGCTGCCTTCCCACACCCTGAGCTCCACCTTGGGTCCTGGAGCTCTGGAGGACCTGGCTTCAAGGGATCTTACCTACCCCTTCCAGGACCCTCTTTGACTAAGGAAAAGCTGTGGCCTCCCAGAGATGCAGCCTTTTCCCAAGTCTCCAGACTCTTCATCCCATCTCATCCCCAGCTTAGTGCCTGGCGCATACACGGCTCCCAACCAACAGTTTATCTGTGTATTTATGTACTTCTCTTTCTTTTTTCTTTTTTTTTTTTTTGAGACAGGGTCTCCTTCTGTCACCCAGGCTGGAGTGCAGTAGTGTGATCATGGCTCACTGCAGCCTTGACCTCCAGGGCTCAATAGATGCCCTGGCCTTAGCTTCCTGAGTGGCCGCATAGCTGCACCTATAGGTGACCGGCTAATTTTAGGTTTTGTTTTGTTGTGTTGTGTTGTAGAGACTGGGTTTCACCATGTTGCCCAGGCTGGTCTCAAACTTCTGGGTTCACACACTTCACCTGCCTTGGCCTCCCAAATTCTGGAATTATAGATGTAAGCCACTGTGTCCTGCCAACAGTTTAAATGAGGGAGGGATGGAAGGAGGGAGGAAGGAAAGAGGGAAGGAGGCAAGGAATGAAGGAAAAGAGAGATGGGTCTGTCAATGAAAGTTATTACAAGAGACAAAGAAGGACATTATATATTGATAAATAAGTTACTTCATCAAGAAGATGTAACAATTAGTACATGTGCGTCTAACCACAGAGCCCCCAAGTATAGGAAGTAATGACTGATGGAATTGAAGAGAGAAACAGACAGCTTCGCAATAATAGTTGCAATACTATACTGTCAATACTGGCTAGAACAATGAGACAGAAGATCAATAAAGAAGTAGAGAACTTGAAAAACTATAAATCAGCTAGACCTGACAACATCTACAACAGACTCACAGAATACAGATTCTTCTCCAGCACACATGGAGTGTTCTCTGGAATATACCTTGTATTAGACCATGAAACAAATCTCATTAATTTAAAAGCACTAAAATCAAAATATCTTTTCTGCGAGAGAAAAAGGTAGAAATAAGAAAGGAAATCTGAATTCAGGAATATGTAAAGATTAAACACACTCCTAAACAATCAATGAATCAAAGCAGAAATTACAAGTGATGTTCGAAAATTCTTTGAGATAAATGAAAATGGAAACAAAGCACACCAAACTTGTAGGAGGCTGTGAGACCAGTGCTCAGAAGAAAATGTAGAGTGGGGAGGTCACGGTGGGAAGATGGCATGAGGCCAGGAGTTTAAACCAGCCTGGGCGACAAAATGAGACCCCTTTGCACAAACAAAAATAAACAGGTGGGTGCCATGTACCTGTGGTCACAACTACTTGCGAAGCTGAGGTGGGAGGGTTCTTGAGTCCAGTAGATCAAGGCTACAGTGAGCTGTGATCGTGTCACCACACACCAGCCTGGATGCAAGACTCTGTCGGAAGGGGAAGGGGAAGGGGACAACCTTTGAACTGCAACCCTGAGGTTGGACCTGGGGAGAACTGGCCTCACAGGAAAGAGAAGAGGTGCTAGATGGAATCAGACTCTCAGAAGAGACAGAAAGGAGATGAAGGTAAACAGGGAAAATGACTAGGACCCACTGTGCAAGACTCTGTGCAGCAAAAATGACGTAATGGGATAATGAAGGGACAGTTTCTATTTCCTACAGAGCAGGAGTGCCCCTGAGAGCTCGAGTGAGAGGACAGGCTGTGGGTTCCTGGGATTTCAAACATTTGGAGCGGGAATGCAGGGATGTAAGATGATGTGTTTTCCAGTCCCCTGGCCAGCAATGATGCTTCTCAGTTATGAACATCCCCCATGGACACTCCTAGGGTCTTCCTGTCTGAGGCAACTTGTCCTCTCAGTTCCTCCTCCCTAGATCTCTTTAGAATTATTTCCTGGGTTAGGGTTTCCTGAGAGTGGAGGAGAAGGAGCTATGGATGTCCCCCTTCCTCCCTCACCATGGTTGGAAGTCTGGCCAAGGCCACTTCATTAAGGGACAGGGGACCTTTCCTATCTCCTCAGGGGCAGCCTCCTGAGTTGGTCTGACCCCCAGATTTAACCGGAACACACTAGAACTTTCCACACCAGAACTTTCCACACCATCTGCACATGGAAAATGTGTGTCTGTTCATTGATTTATGAAGACACCTAGAAAGATTAGCTATAAACAACGTGTTTATTTCATTTTAGGATACATTTTCAGAGGCAACTAGGTAGAAAGGTGAACTTTCCCATCACTTAGACCTCAAGTCAGCAGCTCATGCAGCAGTGATTGCTCGGGTGACTCTGAGTGACCTGTTCTACCTCTAGAGCTGACGTTTCTGTTCTGGTTAGGCTAAATGGAGGAAATAAAAATTCTCCAAACATTTCATTAAGATTCACTGGGAAACAGTACCCTGAGTGCTTAGAGCTGCACTCCTCACACAGAAGACACAGTAAGGGTTAGGGAACCTTCTCAGGGGATGAATACACACGAACTTTCACCACAGCGACCAAGAGCTTATATTGGGAGTCTGATTCCGGCCTCTAGGGAAGCTGGAAAATCCAAAACCAATCTCATTAAACTATTTCATCTACTCATAGGAGGAGGTCCAGCTCTTATAAAACTGCCAACCCTTCCTTCTCTCCCTCTCCTCACCCTCCACCCACAGGACAGGGCCGGGCACACGGAGGAGGGACACTGAGGACCTGGGTGGTGGAGACCCTGGCTTTCCTCTCTTCTCACCCATGGTGGGCTCTGCTTATCCTCATCTTTTCTTCCCCAGTTAGGGTTTCCTGGGAGGCTGTGAGTTGTCTGGGGACCTCATCAACATTTGCACAAATGCCCCAGACTCTGCTCACCTCTTTCAAAGGGGCTCCTCCCTCTGAGCCTGCAATGTCTGTGTGATTGGGAGGTGTCACCTCCAGGCCCTGAAACCACAGCACCCGCAGGGTCTCTGGCCCCAGTCTGAGGTTTCTCTACAAGCTTTGGAGATGAATGAAGCCTCTGTTTTAACAGGAATAGATCGGTTTATCAAAGCATGTAAAGGCCAGATGTTCGTTTCTATGTTAGGGATCCTGAAGAGTTGTTTCAGAGTGGATGAATGACTGTCACATCCTCAGTGGCCCTGCCACTCTGACAGATGAGTAGTCACTTGTCATACATCTTGTTCACTTGAACTTCAACGACTGAAAATACAAACAATTAGCCAGGCGTGGTGGTGGGCGCCTGTAGTCCCAGCTACTTGGGAGGCTGAGGCAGGAGAATGGCATGAACCCAGGAGGTGGAGCTTGCAGTGAGCCGAGATCGCGCCACTGCACTCCAGCCTGGGTGACAGAATGAGACTCTGTCTCAAAAAAAAAACAAAAAACAAAAAACAAAAACATTCTATTTATGATTTGAAATGGAAATAACAAAAAGTACAATTACTATCATTTCAACTACTAATTAAGCAAGTACAGAAGAAATCTATGACATTTGAGAAGAGTAATCTGCATACAACAGCACCTTCCTCTTGATTTTGATGTGAACCACCACCAGCTGTTTCAACACTTGCTCTCATTTAACTGAATAAGAGGTCAGCAGCAAGGTTGTTGAATTACTGATGTTTTCCACAGTGATTCATTTTAATGTATAGTTGATTTTACCATGAATGTAAAAAGTGTGTTTTTCTCCTTTGTATGTTATATTTTAATAATAAATTGAATTTTTTAAAAATGCGGCCAGGCACAGTGGTTCATGCCTGTAATCCCAGCACTTTTGGAGGCCAAGGCAGATGGATCACCTGAGGTCAAGAATTTGAGACCGCCTGGCCAACATGGTGAAACCTCATCTCTACTAAAAATACAAAAAAAAAAAAAAAAAAGCCAGGTGTGGTGGCACACGCCATCTGTGCTCCCAGCTACTCAGGGAGGCTGAGGCAGGAGAATCACTTGAACGCAGGGGGCAGAGGTTGTAGAGAGCCAAGATCATGCCACTGCATTCCAACCTGGGTGAAAGAGGGAGACTCCGCCAAAAAAAAATAAATAAATAAAAGCATCATCCTGCTTTGACAAGAGATGGAAGTCTGTTCTTCAGGATTTCTGGGAGTGGGAATCTTATTGTCTTGTGTAAAACTCCACTGGGGCAAGCGTCAGAATCGAGGAGTGACCTTCTCGCACCCCTGGACTCTTTTTGACTATGTGAACTAAAACATGATAAGAAGCTGTCATTTTAACCCCCACAGTGACAGTTTCCCCACAACTGAATTCTAATCTTAAGTGATGCACTCCCCAGAATGTTCTGGACAAGGCCTGGTGCCATCCCTGCTGCAGTCCCTGGAGGGAGAGCAGGGGGTCTCCTCGGGGCCACCGTGGAGTCTCTGGGGCAAGAGGGAGGCTGCCGGGGGGAGGATGACAGGTCTGCTCACTTGTGGACTGGACACAATTCCTTCTAGGCTGCCGGGGGAGGATGACAGGTCTGCTCACTTGTGGACTGGACACAATTCCTTCTAGGCTGCCGGGGGGAGGATGACAGGTCTGCTCACTTGTGGACTGGACACAATTCCTTCTAGGCTGCCGGGGGGAGGATGACAGGTCTGCTCACTTGTGGACTGGACACAATTCCTTCTAGGCTGCCCTCTGGATGTGAATTCCAGATGCACAGGTAATGTAGCAGCAGAAATTCCTCTGAGATTATGTCTGTGTATAGTTGTGTTGGTTTGAAAAGTGTTTTGGTCATTTGAGTCTTCATACTTAGTAAACAAACAAAAATAAACTGGAAAAAAATTCTGAATTTGTAAAGTGGTATCAATAGTGTAGATACATTTTTTTTTTTTAATTGAGATGGAGTCCCACTCTGTTGCCCAGGATGGAGTGCAGTGGCAGGATCTCCTCTCACTGCAAGCTCCGCCTCCTGGGTTCACGCCATTCTCCTGCCTCAGCCTTCTGAGTAGCTGGGACTACAGGCGCCAGCCACCAGGACGGCTAATTTTTTGTATTTTTAGTAGAGACGGACTTTCACCGTGTTAGCCAGATGGTCTCGATCTCCTGACCTTGTGATCTGCCTGTCTCAGCCTCCCAAAGTGCTGGGATTACAGGCATAAGCCACCACGCCTGGCCTAGTGTAGATACATTTTAACATCAACAAAGAGACGGGCCAGCATCTGGGGGCCAGCAGGTTTTGTCCCACTTCCCCGCCTGCCTGTGTCGCTGTGAGAAGCATCACTGGTCCAGGCATACAGTAATAGCCTTGTTCTCTAGCTGGGCCCAGAGATGTAAAGAATCCCTGCATTTTCAGGGGCATCTTTGGTTCCAAAGAAGCGGCTGGGGACGCTGGAGCCCTGGTGCTTATTTGAATGCCAGTGGTAGCTCAGGAGATGCTGGAGAGGGCTCCCTGGCTTCTGCCATCTCCAGTGTATCCCATAGTCACCAACATTGAAGCCACTGCTCAGGGTGCAGGGGAGTCTGGCAGATGCTACCGGGGTTGCAGAGAGGGAGGGCAGCTGAGTCAGCACAGGCTGGAGAGGGAAACTGCAGACACAGACAGTCACTGGTGCTGCGTCAAGGACCAGGGTAAAGATTTTCAGGGCCAGACCCAGAAGAGATGAAAACAGACTGGGGGCTGCCCTGGGTCTCTGAGGCCTGTCCCTACCTGTGCAGTGAGAGAGGGACATGAGGAGGAGAGGAATCCAGGCCGTGGTGGAGACAGCCCTTAACCCTCACAATGGGGCTGGGCTGTCCCAGGCTTGTGTAATTTCCCTCCTGCTCCCAGGGAAAAGGGGCTGTTCATGCAAATTCACTCCCTCCCCTCCCGGATCCCTCAGACCCTGCCTGATCACGGATTCAGGAGCCTGAGAGGGGACTTGAGGACAGAGGAGGCTGAGGGAGGGGCTGCTCTGAGTGCAGGCCCAGCAGCGTTGTGCAGGGGGACACACAGCTGTTAGAAACACACACAGGACCCTGCCAGGCCTTGAGAGCACCAGGCCATTGGGTCACATTCTGAGCACAGGGGACAGCTCTGACTCTGCCAGCTGGAGGCCAGTGGAGCTCACCCAGTTGTGAGCAATCCCCAGACAGGGCCTGGGACAGGGCACAGCACTCCTTACTGGTCACAGGCCCATCTTCAGTGTCCTCAGGGTCCAGGTACTTAATGCCCCAGGACGTCCCACCATCATTCAACACACAGTCCCCCAGGCCTCTGTGTAAGCAGTATGCTTAGGTCTCATTTCACAAATATTGATGAGCTCTCCGTGATTTCAGAGGCTTGCAATACAGAGAGAGAACTTTTCAATCCACAGACAATCCTATGAATATTAGGGGCTCAAGAAAACATATAAAGCAGTGGGGCTCTCTGGCCTGGCACGGTGGCTCATGCCTGTAATCCCAGCACTTTGGGAGGCCGAGGATGGTGGATCACCTGAAGTCAGGGGTTCAAGACCAGCCTGGCCAACATAGTGAAACCCTGTCTCTACTAAAAATACAAAAATTAGGCCATACGCGGTGGCTCACGCCTGTAATCCCAGCACTTTGGGATGCCGAGCTGGGTGGATCATGAGGTCAGGAGTTCGAAACCAGCCTGACCAACGTGGTGAAACCCCATCTCTACTAAACATACAAAAATTAGCCAAGCATGGTGGTGTGCGCCTGTATTCCCAGCTACTCAGGAGCCTAAGGCAGAAGAATCGCTTGAACCCAGGAGGCAGAGGTTGCAGTGAGCCGAGATCATACCACTGCACTCCAGCCTGGGCGACAGAGACTCCGTCTCAAAAAAAAAAAAAAAATCACAAAACAAAACAAAATGAAACAAAAAACTCCCTCTCTTCTCTCCTTCCTCCCCCTAGTCATCTCTAGTTTCTGTCTCTTCGAATTTGCCTATTCTAGACATCTCATGTAAGTGAAAACATGCAATATTTGTCCTTCTCTCCTTGCCTTATTTCACAGCATATTTTACAAGGTTCATCCATGTAACAGCATATATCAACATTGAATTCATTTTATGGCTGAATAGTATCTGTTGCATAAATACACATTATTTGACTTGTCCATTTATTTGTTGATTGATACTGGGTATCAATCAAGATTTTCTTGTTATTTCCACCTGTTCGCTACTGTGAGTAATTCTGCTATGAACTCTGATATACAGATATCTGTCTGAGTTCCTTCTCTCTCTCTCTCTCTATATATATAAATGTATATATATTTACATATTTATTTATATATATATTTATATACCTTACAGTGGAATTATTGGGTCATACGGTAGTTTCATGTTTACAGTTTTGAGGCTCCACCAAACTCTTTATCACAATGGCTAAATCAGTTTTTCCTCCAGCAATACATAAAGTTTTCAATGTCTTGACATCCTTGTGAACAGTTGTTATTTTACTTTTCCTTTTTTTTTCACTATAACCTTCCCAGAGAATGTGAAGTGATGTCTCACTGTTGTTTTGATACATACTTCCTCATGCCTAATGATGTTGAGTATCTTTTTTTGTACTTACTGGACCATTTGTATATGTGTTTGGAGAAATATATACTCAAGTCCTTTGCCCCCCCGAGCCCCACCCCCGCCTTTTTTTTTTTTTTGAGGCAGAGTCTCACTCTGTCGCCATGCTGGAGTGCAGTGACTCGATCTTGGCTCACTGCAACCTCCGCCTCCTGGATTCAAGCGATTCCTCTGCCTCAGCCTCCTGAGTAGCTGGGACTATAGGCATGCACCACCACACCTGGCTAATTTTTGTTTGTTTGTTTGTTTGTATTTTAGTAGAGATGGGGTTTCACCATGTTGGCCAAGATGGTCTCCATCTCCTGATCTCGTCATCTACCTGCTTTGGCCTTCCAAAGTGCTGGGATTACAGGTGTGAGCCACCACACCTGGCCCTTTGCCCATTTTTTAACTGGGTTGTTTACTTGTTTTTATTGTTGAGTTCTGGGGTGCTTTACATACTGCGGATATAAATTCCCTTGTCAAATATTTAATTTGTGAAGGTTCTGTTCCATTGTGTAGGTTGTCTCTCTGCTTTCTTGACATTGTCCATTGATGCACAGTACTTGGCAAAAAATGTTCATTACATGTTACAATATGTTATATATGTTAACAGTTATAAAATATAGCTAATAATTCAAACATATTAATAATCACTTTAAATGTGCATGGTCTATATACAGTAATTAAAAGACATAGACTAGAAGAGTGGATAAAAATAATATGCAAATATGTGTTCTCTACCAGAAACCCACTTCAAATATAAAGACTCAGAGCAAAAGAAGAGAGTTTTTTTTTTGTTTTTTTTTTTCTTTTTGAGATGGAGTCTCACTCTGTCGCCCAGGCTGGAGTGCAGTGGTGCAATCTCGGCTCACTGCAAGTTCTGCCTCCTGGGTTCACGCCATTCTCCTGCCTCAGCCTCCCAAGTAGCTGGGACTACAGGTGCCTGCCACCAGACCTGGCTAATTTTTTTATATGTTTTAGTAGAGACGGGGTTTCACCGTGTTAGCCAGGATGATCTCAATCTCCTGACCTTGTGATCTGCCGACCTCAGCCTCCCAAAGTGCTGGGAATACAGGCGTGAGCCACCGTGCCTGGCCAAGAACAGAGATTTAAAAAGACAGACCACTGGGCCTGGTGGCTCATGCCTGTAATCCCGGCACTTTGGGAGGCCGAGCCGGGCGGATCACCTGAGGTCGGGAGTTCGAGACCAGCCTGACCAACATGGAGAAACCTCCTCTCTACCAAAAATATAAAATTAGCTAGGCCTGGTGGCACATGCCTATAATCCCAGCTACTTGGGAGGCTGAGGCAGGAGAATCACTTGAACCCAGGAGAAGGAGGTTGTGGTGAGCCAAGATTGCACCATTGCACTCCAGCCTGGCAGCAGAGCAAGACTCCTCTAAAAAAAAAAAAAAAAAAAAAAAAAAAGGCAACATTGTGGGCCATAAAATAATACCACAACTTATTTAAATGAATGAAATTTCTAAAATATGCTTTCATAGCATTACAAAATTAGACTAGAATTCAGTAATAGAAAGATAAATGGAAAACCTCCAAATATTTGGACATTAAATCATGTACTCTGCAAAACACATGGATCAAAGAAGATGCCTCAATGAAGTTGTAAAAATACATATATATTTTTTGAGATGGAGTTTCACTCTTGTCACCCAGGCTGGAGTGCAGCGGTGCAATGTCAGCTCACTGCAATGTCCGCCTCCCAGGTTCAAAGCGATTCTCCCACTTCACCCTCCCGAGTAGCTGGGTCTACAGGTGCACACCACCACACCCGGCTAATTTTTGTATTTTTAGTAGAGACAGTGTTTCACCATGTTGGCTAGGCTGGTCTCGAACTCCTGACCTCAAGTGATCCGCCCACCTCAGCCTCCCAAAGTGCTGGATTACAGGCGTGAGCCACCATGCCAGGCAATTTTTTGTATTTTTTAGTAGAGATGGGGTTTCACGGTGTTAGCCAGGATGGTCTCAATCTCCTGACCTTGTGATCTGCCCACCTCGGCCTCCCAAAGTGTTGGATTACAGGCATGAGCCACCACACACAGCTGAAAAAATATTTTAAACAAAATGAAATAAAAATGTACCTTGTCAAGATCTGTGGGATGCAGTCAAAGCAGGGCTCGGAGGGAAATTTATAACTGAATGCCATGTGATAGAAAATAAGAAAGACCTAAAGTCAATAACCTAAGCTTTCACATTAGAAAACCAGACAAAACAGAGCAGTGTTATAGAAAGCAGACAGAAGAATAGCAAAAGCAATAATTACTGCAGAAATCAATGGAATGAAAAATCAAAAATCAACAGAGAAAGTTATCAAAACCAACAGCTGTTTCTATGAATAGATAAAAAAAAAAATCAATAAACCTCCAGGCAGGCTAACCATGAAGAAAGGAAGTCATAATGTACTAATAACTAAAGGAGAGGTCATCATTTGTGATTCTATGGGCATTGAGAAGACCATGAGGGAATACTTTGAGAAAATCTATGCCCAGAAATGTGATAAGCTTAGGAACCGATTCCTTCAAAGGCAGAAACTATAAAACTCACCAAGGAGAAATTGATAAACTGAATAAACCTGTATCAATTTTAGACATTGAATCAATCAGTAACTTTTCCAAAAAAAAAAAAAGCACCAGGCTTAGATGGTTTTACTGGTAAATCCTACCAAATTCTTTTTTTTTTTTTTGGAGATGGAGTCTTGCCATGTTGCTCAGGCTGGAGTGCAGTGGCACAGTGTTGGCTCACTGCAGCCTCCACCACCTGGGTTCAAGTTATTCTCCTGCCTCTGCCTCCTGAGTAGCTGGGACTACAGGCATATGCCACCACACCTGGCTAATTTTTGTATTTTTTTTTTTTTGAGACGGAGTCTCGCTCTGTCGCCCAGGCTGGAGTGCAGTGGCGCGATCTCGGCTCACTGCAAGCTCCACCTCCTGGGTTCACGCCATTCTCCTGCTTCAGCCTCCCCAGCAGCTGGGACTACAGGCGCATGCCGCCACGTCTGGCTAATTTTTTTTTGTATTTTTAGTAGAGACGGGGTTTCACTGTATTAGCCAGGATGGTCTTGATCTCCTGACCTTGTGATCCGCCCGCCTCAGCCTCCCAAAGTGCTGGGATTACAGGCATGAGCCACCGCGCCCAGCCTAATTTTTTTATTTTTGGTAGAGACAGGGTTTCACCATGTTGGCCAGTCTGGTCTCGAACTCCTGACCTCACGTGATCTGCCTGCCTCAGCCTCCCAAAGTGCTGGGATTAAAGGCATGAGCCACCGTGCCCAGCAACCCTACCAAATTCTTATGTAGTCTTATCATATAAGTAAGTGATCACAATCCTAAGTATTTACCCAGTTTAATTAAACAATTATGTATGGGCTGGGCCTCCCTACTCGGGAGGCTGAGGCAGGAGAATTGCTTGAACCTGTGAGACATTGGTTGCAGTGAGCTGAGATCGCACCACTGCACTCCAGCCTGGGCGACAGAGCAACACTCTGTCTCAGAAAAAAAAAAAATTATGTCTGTACTAAAAAGTCCACAGGAATGTTTATGGTAGCTTTATCCATACTGCCCACATTGAAAGCAACCTTTATGTTCTTCAGTAGGCGAATGTACCAACAAACTTTGTTACACTGATCAATGGAATATTATCCAGTGATAAAAAACCATTGAGATACATTTGGATTCGATTTATTAATCTCAGTTACCTACTATTCTGACATTTTAGGAAGGAAGTAATTGTTTTTAATGATGGATAAACTTGTGTGGTGTTTCAGATCTTATGATGCTGAGCACGTTCTGCACTGCGCTAACGTCTAATATAATTTTATATTTACAAACATACCTGCTACCCGGAGATTAATTTAGTCCATATGGACTATTGACCCCTCTTGAGACTGCAACATACGCACTCGTAAATCAGTGTGTTTAGACTTTTCAAGTATCTAACTCATTTCTAAACATGTACCATGTTTATAAACCTCTTGATTTCCAGCAACATAAGATAGAAAACCCCTGCTATTAAAAACACTTCACAGCTTCTACTCAGTGTCACCCATTGCTGTCGTGAGAGACAACACAGCGATATCTCATATGTTGCAAGCTTTCAAGATAGCCTGAACTTAAAAAGTTGCTCCATTAGTTGTATCTGATGGACCTAAATTTGCCTCCTAGTTCACTTTGTGTCAAGAGCCAAAACTGTGAACCTAACTTTCTCTTACTTGCAGGCAATAACTGAAAATAAAGATTTATTTTCATGCTAACTTCTTAAAAGTCATAAAAACAATAAAATAGGATCCTGAAAAAAAAACCGTTGAGATAAAAAGGCACAAATCAATATGAAAATATCATAAATGTATATTATAAGTGAAATAAGTCAATCTGAAAAAGCTGCATATGCTATGATTCCAATTACATAAGCTTTCTGGGAAAGAAAAACCAGAGGGACAGTGAAAAGATCAGTGGTTGCTGAGGGATCTGGAAAAAGGGGAGAGAAGTTAATAGGTGAAGCTCATGTAATGTCAAAACCCTTAGACTACCAAAACACAGACTGAATCTTAATGCAAACTCTGGCCTTTAGATACTAACAATGTATCAATAATGGTTCACTCATTGTAACGCATGGACCACACCCATGTAAAAGGTGGTTAAGAAAAGCAAACTTTGGGGGGAGGGTCTGAGAATTTTCTGTACTCTCTTCAATTTTTACATTCATCTAAAACTGTCCTACATAAACTCTCTTAATTTTTAAAACTCTGGCAACACTGTTTCAGGAAGAGATCCATCTCAGCTAATGTTTAATGATCAGCTAAATGTTAAAAGTTTCAGTTGAGATGTTTTCTATTTAAAGTGAATGAAACTTTTAGTTGTAAATACGCCATTACTTCTGTAGTTGTAGTAGTGGCAACTGACTAAATAATTTAAACGTGCACACATGAAATAAAAGAGAAATATGACACAGCATTTTTAAAGTTTTGTCTAGGCCGGGCATGGTGGCTCATGCCTGTAGGCCCAGCACTTTGGGAGGCCGAGGCGGGTGGATCACCTAATGTTAAGAGTTCGAGACACCCTGGCCAACATGGCGAAACCCCATCTCTACTAAAAATATAAAAATTAGCTGGGCATGTTGGTGGACGCCTGTAGTCCCAGCTACTCAGTAGGCTGAGGCAGGAGAATTGCTTGAACCCAGGAGGCAGAGGTTGCAGTGAGCTGAGATCGAGCCACTACACTCCAGCCTGGGCTACAAGAGTGAAACTCCAACTTAAAATAAATAAATAAATCAAGTTTTGTCTTAAACATGAAATGCTTAACCAACTGGAATCACTCTGCTTGAATGCACTTAATAACAGAATAGTCACAGTACCTTCAATTGATATGCACACTCTCACTCTTTGCCTAGTCAGAACTTTTCGGACCCTCTGCTTCCAGGGAGAAATAGACTGCACTGATTCCTGATGAGTGCTGTTGGGCCAGAAGTTCTCGGATGCTCAGCTTGGAGTCGGCAGAGGCTCCGCCAACTCCTCAGGAATTACTTGTATGTTCGGGATGCAAGATCCTGGGGAATTACAAAAAAGATAGCTGTTGAAATCTTACAGGCAGAAGACCATAGATAAATTAGTAATACTTTACTCACAGATCAAACTTTTTTTTTTTTTGAGATGGAGTCTTGCTATGTTGCCCAGGCTGGAGTGCAGTGGTGTAGTCTGGGCTGATTGCCATCTCCGCCTCCTGGGTTCAAGCGATTCGCCCGCCTCAGCCTCCCAAGTAGTTGGGATTACAGGCATGCGCCACCACGCCTGGCTAATAGTTTTGTATTTTTAGTAGAGACAGAGTTTCACCATGTTGGCCAGGCTGGTCTCAAACTCCTGACCTCAGGTGATCTAGCTGCCTCAGCCTCCCAAAGTGCTGGAATTACAGGCATGAGCCACCACACCCAGCTCACAGATCAAACTTTTGATCCAATTTTTACCACCTGCTTAGCACAGCCACCTGAATCAGAGAGTTAGTCCTTACAGAGAGATTTTTTTTTTTTGAGATGAGGTCTTGCTCTATTACCTAGGCAGCCGTGCAGTGGCATGCTCATGACTCACTGCAGCCTCGAACTCCAGGGCTCCAGTGATCCTCCCACCTCAGCCTCCCAGGTAGGTGGAACCACAGGCACACACAACCATATGGGGCTAATTTCTAAAAGTTTTTTGTAGAGGTGGGGTCTCCCTAAGTTGCCCAAGCTGGTCTTGAACTCCTACCCTCAAACTACCCTCTTGGTTTGGCCTCCCAAACTGTTGAGGGATTACAGGTGTGACCCACTGTGCCTGGTCCTCCTAGAAAGACCTTGCAGTGTGGGTAGCACTTAAAATGGAACAGATGATGTAGGCAAATGCCTTTCTTTAGATGAGGCAATGTGGAAAGGAAGCAGAGCAGACTGACCAAGAGCATGGAGCCTGGTGCCTATGGCCTGGGTTCAAATCCCACTGAGAAGCTGCACATACCTAGGAGTGTTATGTAAATCTCTCTGTGCTTCAGTCCCTGTTCTGAGATACACGAATGTTAGGCCGAGCGTGGTGGCTCACACCTATATTCCCAGCACTTTGGGAGGCTGAGGCAGACGGATCACCTGAGGTCAGGAATTCGAGACCAGCCTCATCAACATGGTGAAAACCCGTCTCTACTAAAATACAAAAATTAGCCGGGCGTGGTGGCAGGCACCTGTAATCTCAGCTATGTGGGAGGCTGAGGCAGGAGAATCGCTTGAACCCAGAAGGCAGTGGTTGCAATGAGCCGAGATCCCTCCATGGCACTCCAGCCTGGGCAATAAGAGCGAAACTCTGTCTCAAACAAACAAACAAACAAAAAACAAATGTTAATATGGTCCCTCTTATGATATAACGCTAACATTGAATTCAGGTAAAGCCTTAAGAAGACTGGTGCCGGCCAGGTGCGGTGGCTCATGCCTGGAATGCCAGCACTTTGGGAGGCCAAGGCGGGCAGATCATGAGGTCAGGAGATCGAGACCATCCTGGCTAAAATGGTGAAACGCTGTCTGTACTAAAAATACAAAAAATTAGCCAGGCATGGTGGCGGGCCCCTGTAATCCCAGCTACTTGGGAGGCTGACGCAGGAGAATCGCTTGAACCCGGGAGGCAGACGTTGCAGTGAACTGAGATCACGCCACTGCACTCCAGCCTGGGTGACAGAGCGAGACTCCGTCTCAAAACAAAAAAAAAAAAAAAAAAAAAGAGAGAGAGAGAGAGAACTGCATTAATACAGATGGTTCCATATTTTCTCCAGGGATCATCCGACTGAGGAGGTGGGTGGGGAGGTGTGGGACAAAATGGGGATTATGGTATTGTTCAAAACGGAGGATTTTAATGTGGTCTCCAGTTGGATAGAAGTTGTGTGTACATGTGTTTGTATTATCTATACACACAGAGACACTGTTCTGAGTTCCTCATGTATATTAATCTGTATTTTATCCTCTCAACAACTCTTATGAGAAGGTACTTTTCTGCAGATGGAGAAGCTGAAACACGCAGAGGATTCACTGCCTGCTCCAGGTCACCAGCTTATAAGTGGCTGGAGCAGGATGTTAACCCAGGTGGCCTGGCTCCAGAGTCCATGCACTGAGCTAGAACAAAGAAGATAGAAAAGAGGGCACATTCAGCTTGCTGGGCTTTCCTGTTCATGCTCACTCTGTCTCTCCGGAAGAGGGTCACCTTTTCCTATCCTCCTGTCTTTGGACTTGAAACTCCATGATTTGGGCCTTTGTATTCTGCTACTTGCACCAGCAAACACAAAGGATTCTCAAATCTTGGACCTCAGACTGGGAGCTGCAGTGAAAGTTTCCGTTGTTTTCAGGCTTTTGCACATAAACAAATCCACATGGCTGGTTCCCCTGGGAGCCACACTACTGCTGCTTTTTCTCATTCTCCAGCTTGCAGATGACCTGCTGTGGGACTTTGCCTTGCAATTAGGTGAGCCAATTCTCCCTATAAATTCCCATTTACAACACACACACACACACACATATGTACACACACACACACGTATATACACACACAAGACTTACTTATCCTGAATACATATGCACCCAACAGTGGAGCAGCCAGATTCGCAGGTACTTGAAAGCTGAGATGGGAGGATCACTTGGGTCCGGGAGGTTGAGGCTGCAGTGAACTGTGATTGCACCACTGCACTTCATCCTGGGGGACAGAGTGAGACCCTGTCCAAAAAAAAAAGGGAGCTTCACAGGGGGAGGTCCACATGCATAGGTTGGGGAGTTCCTGCTCCCTGGTGTCCCACAAGGCACCCTTCTACCCTACCTGACCTGGGCTTATGCTGACCATGAGGTGAATCATCCTGCACTGTGCACTGTGACTGGCAGGGGGCGCTGAAACCGCCTTTTCTGCCCCACATGGTGCGCATGCGTGTTCTCACCGTAGACGCTGCGTGGCGTGCGTGGCGTGCGTGGCGTGCGTGGCGTGGAGTCCAGAATGAGAAGAAGGAAAGCGGGGCCGGTTCCTTCAGGACCCGCCTCAGGGGGCACCGCGGCGGCTTGGGGACCACTTGGAGCCCCGTCCTGGGGAGAAAACAGCTCACGTCTATGGCCCTGACTGCTTAGGCGGGAGCTGCGTGCAGCTCAGCTTCTCCGGGGCATTTTTTTCTACACGGTGAGTACAGAAGTTTGTTTCCTCGAACGTTCCCTTTATTCTCATCTTCTCACTAGTTTTCCTCTTTCTCTTATAGTATTTTAATATTTGTTTTACCATTAGTTTTGTTCCCTGAGGGCTTTTGAGGGTGGGAAGTGTAGCAGACTGTGGTATTTTTAGGGTTTGAGGAGTTCTTCTGAGGGAACCTGTCCCATATAGATGGGGAGAGAGGAAGGGGAAGCCCGGCCCAGGTGGGAGTGGGGGCCAGGTCTGGGTTTTTGGCCGCCTCCTGTCCAGGCCTCAGACGGAGGAAAAAAGATGCCAGCTGCCTCCAGGATTTGATGAATTTTTAAATTTGCCTTCCCGCCATCGGGACAAATCGGGACTCTTTCACCCCCCTCCAACCCCCGCCCCCAGGGAAGCCTATGTCCCCTTCTGTCCCTCTGGTCACGACCACCTGACCAGGGGGGAGGGACACCCTAGTGCGAGCCTGACGGGGACTTACCCCTGATGACGGCGATGCTGAGGACCTGGTTCTCTCCATTCTGCTCAGTGTTACGTCCCCTGTGCAGAAATGTCTATTCAGGGTCCCTGCCCAATTTGGTGTTATCTTATTGTGGTTATTGCTGCTTAGCGCTGTTAACGTATTGCATATCTTTTATAACAACCCCTTAGGAGATATATGCTTCCCCCAAACTTTCTCCCCATTTGTAGGATTCCTTTTCATTTGGGTCATTGTTTCCTTTCTGTACAGAAGCGTTCCAGTTGGATGTAGCCCCACATGGTTGTTTTTGCTTTTGTTACTTGTGATTCGCTTTCCCAATTTAAAAAATAAATATATTCATAAGTCATTCCATTCTCGACGAGATTTTGTCCCTCTTCTTTTTTTTCCTTTTTTTCTTTTCCTGTTTCCAAACTGTGAGCCTAGATGCAAGTTGCCCCAAAACTAAGTGCTCCACCATCCCCTCTTTTTATCTTACAGACATTTGATGATGATCTGTAATTTCAGGCCTTGTGTTTGGGTCTTCAATCCATTTTGAGTTGATTTTTGTGTATTGTATACCAGAAGGTTCCTGTTTCATTCTTTTTCATAAAAACATCAGTTTTTTCAAAACCATTTAATGAAGAAAATCTCCTATCCCCATTGAGGCTTTGCAAACTCTGATACTGTTTTCATTTGCTTTGGAGGTATACCCAGTAGTGGGATTGCTAGATCATATGGTAGTTGCGTTTTCAATTTTTTGAGGAATTTACAACTTTTTTTTTTTTTTGGAGAGGAAGTCTGGCTCTGTTGCCCAGGCTGAAGTGCAGTGGCGTGATCTCGGCTCACTGCAATGTCTGCCTCCCGGGTTCAAGTGATTTTCCTGCCTCAGCCTCCCGAGTAGCTGGGACTACAGGTGCATGCCACCATGCCCGGCTAATTTTTTGTGTTTTTAGTAGAGACGGGGTTTCTCTGTGTTAATCAGGATGGGCTTGATCTTCTGACCTCGTAATCTGCCCGCCTCGGCCTCCCAAAGTGCTGGGATTACAGGCATGAGCCACCGCGTCTGGCCTACAACTTTTTTCCATAGTGTATATCCTAATTTATCTTTACACCAACAATGCATAAGATTTTCCCTTTATCCAAATCCACACCAGCATTCTTTTTAATTTTTAAGATATTTTCAGTAACATGTATTCCAGTAGGTGTGGGATGGTATCTGAATGTGGTTTTGGAGTACAATCTTTTCTGATGAATAGTAATGTTGAGGACCTTTTCTCTTACGTGTTTGTGCATGTTATGTAATTTTGGCAGCGATGTCTATTCGGGTTTTCTGCCCGATTTTAGTTTGGATATGTATTTTTTATGCTATTTGGTTTTTTTTTCTGTGTATATGTTTGATAACAACCAGTTATCACTTCTCTGATTCCCTCCTATTTTCTCACAATCTTTTTCTTTTTTGAGACGGGTCACTCTCACCCATGCTGGAGCACAGCGGCACATCACAGGACCATGTGTATTGGGGTATTGGCTACCTACAGCTTTGCAACGCAATTTGATATGAGGAATTGTGAGTCCTCCAACTTAGTTTGTATTTGTCAGGGTTCCTTAGAGGTTCAGGGCTCTTTGTGGTTCCATGATAATATTAGCATTGTGTATTTAAACTTTTTTTTTTTTTTTTTTTTTTTTTTTTTGACGGAGTCTTGCTCTGTCAACCAGGCTGGAGTGCAGTGGCATGATCTCGGCTCACTGAAACCTTCATCTCCTGGGTTAAAGCGATTCCCCTGCCTCAGCCTCCCAAGTAGCTGGAACTACAGGTGCATGCCACAACACCCAGCTGAATTTTTTTTTTTTTTGTATTTTAGTAGAGATGGGGTTTCATCATGTTGGCCAGGATGGTCTCGATCTCTTGACCCTGTGATCTGCCTGCCTTGGCCTCCCAAAGTGCTGGGATTACAGGTGTGAGCCACTGCACCCGCTCCTCCCCCACCCCTTTTTTTTTTCGAGATGGAGTCTCGCTCTGTCGCCAGGCTAGAGCGCAGTAGTATGATCTTGGCTTACTGCAACCTCTGCTTCCTGGGTTCAAGTGAGTCTCCTGCCTCAGCCTCCCAAGTAGCTAGGACTACAGGCGCGCCACCATGCCCAGTTAATTTTTGTATTTTTAGTAGAGATGGGGTTTCACCATGTTGGCCAGGATGGTCTTGATCTCCTGACCTCCTGACCTCGTGATCCACCCACCTCAGCCCCCAAAAATGCTAGGATTAAGGGGCCACCGCACCCGGCCTATACTTCTTAAATGTTTTGTCTATAATAAGGCACATAAACAGAGGGTATACTGGGACTTTTTTTCTCATCTGGGACTCTTTTGTTTTTGTTTCTGTTTTTATTTTGAGACACTGAGTCCCGCTCTGTCGCCCAGGTTGGAGTGCAGTAGCATGATCTTGGCTTACTGCAACCTTTGGCTCCCAGGTTCAAGTGATTTTTGTGCCTCAGCCACGCAAGTAGCTAGAATTACAAGTGTGTGCCACCATGCCCAGCTAATTTTTGTATTTTTCAGTAGAGACGGGGTTTTGCCACGTTGGCCAGGCTGGTCTCACACTTCTGGCCTCAAGCGATCTGCCCACCTCAGCCTCCCAAGGTGCTGGGATTACACACAGCCACCTTTCCCAGCCTCGTCTGGGACATTTTGATACATGTATATTTTTGGTGATGATCAAATCAGGGTACTTAGCCTAACTATTCCTTCCTACAGGTATTATTTCTCTGTGGTGAGAACACTCAAAATTGTTCCCTTCTAGCTTTTTTGAAAAATACAGTATTGTAACCAGAGTCACTCAGCTGTGGAACAGGAATGTATTCCTCCCAGCTAACTGTAACTTTGTTTCTATAACCAATCCCTCCTATCTGCCCTCCTTCCCCCAGCCTCAGGAAACCACTCCTGTACTTTCTGCTTCTTGAAGGTTAAGTTTTTGGATTCATCATAAGTGAGGTCATGCAGTGTTTGTCTTTGTCTTTCTGTGCTTGGCTTATTTAACAGAATGTTTTCTAGGTTCATTGGTGTTGCCCTAAATGAAAATTGCATTATTTTTTATGACCGGAGAGTATATCATTGTATATGTGTACTACATTTTCTTTATCCCTTCATCTGTGGGTGAACAGGTAGTCTGATTCCATCATCCTAGCTATTGTGACTAGTGATGCAATAGACATGGAAAGGCAGATGTCTCTTCAAAATACTGATTTGCTTTGACTGTATAGCTAGTAGTGGGATGAATAGATCATATGGCATTGGACTTTGAGTTTTTTGAGGAATCTGCAACTGCTTTCCGCAGTGTATATAGTAATTGACCCTCCCATAAACACTTCTTTTTTCCTGGAAATTCACACCAGCATTTGTGTTTGTATTTTTATTTGTCATATTCATTTCAAATAAGAGATGCTTTCTGTGTATGGTTTTGATTTCCATTTTTTGCAGGAGTAGTAATGTTAACCACATTTTTGTAAAGATAAAGTCAGTGTTATGTCTTCTTTGCCAAAAAGTCTATTCAGGCTCTTTGCCCAATTTTGGTTCGGTTACTAGTTTCTCTTTTGTTTAGTTTTTTTGCTAGTTACTAGTGTTAGTAGCTTGTGCCTTTTGGAAAACAAGGTCTTATCAGCTGTATGTTTCCCTAAACTTTCTTCTCATCTTTGCGATGCTGTTTGTTCGTTTCTTCTCTGCCCCCTCCTCTCCCCACGACAGAGTCTTGCTCTGTCACTCAGGCTGGAGTGCAGTAGCATGATCTCAGCTCACTGCAACTTCCGCCTCCCAGGTTCAAGCAATTCTCCGGCCTCAGCCTCTTGAGTAGCTGGGATTACAGGCACGCACCACCGTGCCCAGCTAATTTTTGTATTACTAGAGACGGGGTTTCACCATGTTGGCCAGGCTGGTGTCAAACTCCTGACCTCGTGAGCCACCATGCCTAGTCTAAGATGCCTTCTCTTTGGGTTCGTTTGTTCTGTCCTGTGCAGCAGCTCTAATGTTGTACTTAGTCTCTCATGTTTATATTTGCATTTGTTGCCAGTGATTTCAGTGTTCCATCCAAAAAAAGAGATTGTTAAGCCATTTTATTGTCTATGCGTATTTTCCCCCTAATTTTTCCTTTTCTTTTTGCGACCTGTGTGCACAGTGTCAAGTTTCCCCCAAATATATGCTTATCCCATGTTTTTTCCTTGGAGTGTTTTGCTTTCAGGATTGAATTTAACTGTTCGATTTATTTTTTGTAGATTTTTGTGTATTGGGCAGCATAGGGGTGCTATTTCAATCTTTTGCACATGACTACCCAGTTTTCTCAACTGGTGTGCCTTGGTGTGCTTTTGAAAAATGTGTGCCCTAAATATAATTTTGGGTTGATTACTTGGCTCCCTCATTTTGTCCATTCGGTTGTCTTTCTATATTTATGCCAGTCAGTGATTGCCTGGATGACTGTAGGTTTTGTTTTATCTATCTATCTATCTATCTATCTATCTATCTATCTATCTATCTATCTATCTATAATATATCCTAATCCTATTATTATTATTATTTGAGACAGGTTATTGCTCTGTCACCCAGGCTGGAGTTCAGCAGTGCGATCTTGGCTCATTGCAGCCTTGAACCTCCCGGGCTCAAGTGATCCTCCCTCCTCAACCTCCCAAGTAGCTGGGACTACAGGTGCGCATCCCCATGCCCCACTAATTTTTTTGTACTTTCTGTAGAGGTAGGGTTTTGCCATGCTGCCCAGGCTTCTCTCGAACTCCCAGGCTCAAGTGATCTGCCTGCCTTAGCCTCCCAAAGTGCTGTGATTACAGGCGGGAGCCACTGTGCCCAGGGCAACCCTGTTTTTTTTTTTTTTTTTTTAAATCAACTTTTATTTTGATTAAATTGCAGCTTAGTTACATGTGAACCTTTGATGACACTGAGGCTTGTGGCCACTGACCCCGTCACCCAGGCAGTGAGCAAAGTGCCCGTCAGGTGGTTCTTCCGCCCACACTCCCTTTCTGCCTCCTTTTTTCCATCTGATAGTCCCCAGTGTCTATTGTTTCCATCTTTATGTTCGAGTGTATTCACTGTTTAGCTCCCACTCATAAGTGAGAACATGCAGTATTTGGTTTTCTGTTCTTGCCTTGGTTTGCTAAACATAATAATCCCCAGGTCTATCCATGCTGCTTAGGACATGATTGTGTGTTTTACTTATGGCTGCGTAGTATTTTTTGGTGTGTATGCGCCACATTAAAAAATCAAATCCACTGTTGCTGGTCATCTAGGATGCTTCCACATCTTTGTTCTTGTGAATGGCACGACCATGAATGCACGAGAGCATGTGTCTTTTTGATAGAAGGATTTATTGTCTTTTGGGTAGATACTAAGTAGTGGAATTGCTGGGTCTGATGGTAGTTCTGTTTTAAGTTCTTTGAGAATCTCTACACTGCTTTCCACAGTGTGAACCTGTTTTCACGTTCCCCAAGGTAGGAGCGTTCCCTTTCCTTTCCTGCCTCGCCAGCATGTTGTTTTGCTTTTGGAAAAATGGCCATTCTGACCAGCGTGAGATGGTATCTCATTGTGTTTGTGAGTTGCATTTCACTGATGATTAGTGAGGTAGTGCATTTTTTCATGTCAGTTGGTCACTTGAACGTCTTCTTTTTCTTTATTTTTATTTTTTATTTTTTGAGACAGTGTCTCACTCTGTTGCCCAGACTGGAGTGCAGTGGCGTGATCTTGGCTCACTGCAACCTCCGCCTCCCAGGTTCAAGTGATTCTTCTGCCTCAGCCTCCTGAGTAGCTGGGATTACAGGTGCCTGCCACTATGCCTAGCTAATTTTTGTGTATTTTAGTAGAGACGGGGTTTCACCATGTTGGCCAGGCTGGTCTTGAAGTCCTGACCTCGTGATTTGCCCGCCTCGGCCTCTCAAAGTGCTGGGATTAAAGGCATGAGCCACCATGCCTGACCAATTTTTTGTATTTTTAGTAGAGATAGAGTTTCACTGGTCTCGAACTCCTGATCTCAGGTGATCTGCCCACCTCAGCTTCCCAGAGTGCTGGGATTATAGGCATAAGCCACAGTGCCCAGCCCCTTGACAACTGTTTTGTAAGGAACCATTGCCTGAAGTAGAATTGCTGGATCAAGACTACTTTTCCAAAAGAGGATAATAAACATGATCTCCTCTTTTGTTAATGACTTAGATCATTCCTCTGAAAAGCCATTATTGCACATTGCTGAAATGTTCGCCTCTGCACTGGTTGGTCCCAGAATGCTAATCATTTTGAGATTTGTGCCTTCTTTCTTCTATTTTCTGCTTTCTTCTATTAGCCATGCCCGACCTGAAAGCCATCCCTTCCTCTTTAATGTACTATTTTTCTTCTAATGTGGATCTACAAAAACAGAGTTTGGGCAGAGTCTAACAACAGGAACAAGAGAAGAAACAGATCCAAAGAGAGGGGCTTTGGGCCCAGAGATGTTCTAGAGTCAGTTCTCAGTGGTGAAGGCTGACTGTGCATCTCTCTTCCTAACTTCACTTGCAGCCGTGTCGTATTGATAGCTTGAAATCTGCCACAGTGGGAGCATTTACACCATGGAAATTGGCAAACGCTGCAAATCAAGAGTGTTAATTTTCGTTTTGTTTTTTGAGAGTTGGCTATTAACTTACCAGCATACTATTGGCTTTAGTGCATGGCGTCTATATATTGGTATTTGTTGCTGGGCCGTTATTTAGACTGCCTTCTTATTTCTTAACTGTGTTCCAGGTGGGTAAAGGCAGCATAGCACTGAGTTCTAGATAACTGAGGGGATTTTGCACTTGGATTTGCTGTGCTAAGGTTTGGGTGGGGCTATTACATCTTGCCGGGCTGGGCAAGAGTGAACCCTAGGGGTCAACATCAGTAGCCAGGATTCTGCCATAGGAAGCTTGGAGTGGAACTGACCTGCCCCCTTTCTCTCTGACTCCATGGCAGCTGGGTGAGCTATGAACAGGCCAACTGCAAGGGCGAGCAGTTTGTGTTTGAGAAGGGCGAGTACGCCCACTGGGACTGGTGGACCAGCAGCCAGAGGACAGACTCAGCAGCCTGAGGCCCATCAAAGTGGTGAGCCCCCTGCCATCATCCTACTTTCTCTCTCTGCCACCTTGGAGCAGGAGGTCCTGGGACCAGGAAGGAGCCCGCCCCTCTAGCATTGTGCCCCTTCTGATTGGTGAGGAACCTCCTCACTGGGTGACCTTGCAAAAGTCATTTTACTTCCCTGAGCCTCAGTTTCTTCATCTGTAAAATGGGCATATTGGTATCTACTGTCCTGAGGTTCCAATGTGCTTATTAGCTTGAGGGTTGTCACACTGCAACTCCAGAAGGCTCCAATCACAAGACTATGAAATGCTCCAGAGGGCACTATTCACATTCTATTTTAGGTGGTTGGTGCCCGCCCCCCGCGCCCAAGGGTTGGGCAACTCCCGTCATTGCTCAATAACCAATAGCCATCAGAAATACTACAAGAAATTATGAGTTTGGGGCTGGAGGAGAAGGTGGTTTAGCTCTTCTTCAAGACTCGTGCCAGTGTGAGTTTTCAGTGCTTCTGAGATCCTGATTCTTACTAGTGTGTGAGAGTGTCAACTCTCAGGAAGGGGACAGGGCCCATCACTGCTCAGTTACACTCTCAAACCCTCCAAGCCCAGTCTAGCTCCTCCCAGGACCTACTGGAAGGTTGGAGAACACTGGACTTTGCACCCCACAGACCTGGGTTCCCAAGTTGGCTGTGCTGCTCCCAGCTGTGTGGCCTTGAGCACGTCATTTGACCTCTCTGTGCCGCACTTTCCTCATCTGCTAAATGGCATAAGAGGATTTTATGTCTGAGGGATAAGGGTTTTATGTGTAAAGGATGAGATGAGATAACTAAGGAAAATGTCATAGGGACAGGAGGATGGGAAGAGATGTAGAAATGAAGAAAAATCAAAGTATCTCAGGTGCCTATTAGAGGCACAGTTAGCCTGTGCATGTGTGTGTGTACATGTGTGGGTGTGCATGTGTGTGCACGTGTGTGTGTGCAAGTGTGCACGTGTGTGCACACATGTGTGGGTGTGCATGTGTGTGTACATGTGTGGGTGTGCACGTGTGCGCGCGCGTGTGTGTGTGCAAGTGTGCGTGTGTGCCTGTATGTGTGCACGCTTGTGTGGGTGTGCGTGTGTGTGTATGTGTGGGTGTTCATATGTGGGTGGGTAGGTAGATCGTAGCCACCATTTATAAAAGAGAAACTTGAGGAGGAAAAAATGACATTTCAGAATCAAACATTCCCCAAAGTGTTGCAGAGTGTCTGTTACATGAAAATGGCCCAGTAGAAACTTAACAAACGGCTGTGATCCAACAGCAGTGGTCATAGACACGTAGTGGGTGCATTGGGAAGAGAGTGATGTGTGGGACATGCTGATCCCAACTCTGGGGCATGAGCATGGGGTGGGAAGGCCAACCCTGGGCCCCCTCACCCATACTCACTTCCCCCCATCCTCTGCCAATAGGACAGCCAAGAGCACAAGATCATCCTCTATGAAAACCCCAACTTCACCGGGAAGAAGATGGAAATCATAGATGACGATGTACCCAGCTTCCACGCCCATGGCTACCAGGAGAAGGTGTCATCTGTGTGGGTGCGGAGTGGCATGTAAGTGCATTGCCAGCCCTGGCTCACCCTGCCCCAGGAACTGAGACTCTGGGGTCCTAAGTCCTGCTCTGCCCTGTACACACTGGTGATCTTGCACACATCAATGTGCTCTGCTGACCTCTGGCTTCCCACTGGAAAGTAAATGGGAATTCTCTGCCCATAGGTGGCTTACAGCCGCTGAATTTCTTTCTAGAGCTGCCTTTGGGGAAATGGTATGCCTTTGGAGTGGAGAAACCTTGGCCTTAACCTCAGCCCCAGTGAGCAAGACATGTATGTCAGAGGGGCAAGTTGAGGCAGAGGGAGGATTAGGTTGAGGCAGGAGGGAAGGAATGAGTTGAGTAGTCTGAAAGCTATGAGAAGCAGGAGGACCAGCCCATGCTGCCTTTGACCACTTGTGTCCCTAAGTTTGGGAACAGGAGGTGTCATTTTCCACTGAATCGAAGTTCCTGGGCACATCGACCCTGGCCATCAGCAGTGAGGGATTTCTCATGGTAAAAAATTTGGATTCCATGGGGGTCCACAGATGAGCTTTGGGCAGCGGTGTGCTGGAAATAGCTTATACCAGCTTGTAAGAACTGACTTTTTTTTTTTTTTTAATTGAGACGGAGGCGCGCACTTTCGCCCTGGCTGGAGTGCAGTGGAATGATCTTGGCTCACTGCAACCTCCGCCTCCCAGGTTCAAGCGATTCTCCTGCCTTATCCTCCCAAGTAGCTGGGATTACAGGTGCCCACCACCAAGCTCAGCTGATTTTTTGCATTTTTAGTAGAGACAGGGTTTCACTGTGTTGGCCAGGTTAGTTTTAAACTCCTGACCTCATGACCTGCCTGCCTCGGCCTCCCAAAGTGCAGGGATTACAGGCATGAGCCACTGTGCCTGACCTGGAACTGACTCTTAAATTTTCAGAATTTGTGTGAACTGGTTGACTAATCATTGGTAGCTTGAAACCAGCCACAGGGTGCATTTACAGCATAGAAATCAGCAAGTGCTGCTAATTAAGGCTCTTTCCCCACAACAGAACCAATTTAGCCAAACATACTGGCTTCTTGGGGTTTGTGAAACTCCTAAAATAGTGTGCAAAGTTCTGTGCTCCTATTCCCCTTCATTCCCTCATTCATTCATTCATTCATTCAATCTGTCAGTGCTGCCATATGCCAGGCATTGTGTTAGGTGCCCAGGGTGAAGGAGATTAAAGAGATCTGGCTTCTGCCCTGTGTAGCCAACAGTCTAGAAGGGGCAACTGTTAATACTTTAAGAATCCACATGAATCTAAGCTACTTCCTTGGAGAAAAGATTCTTGAGCTGAGATCTCAAGGAACAGTAGGAATTGCAGGGGTAAAGAGGCCAAGGAAGAGCATCCCAGACAACGAGAGCAGCATGTGCAAAGGCCCTGTGGTGTGTGTGTGGGGAGCCTGATAGGTCTGAGAAACTCTACAAAGGCCATGGTGGCTGGAATGCAGAGATGTGGAAGCATAAGAATGAGAAGTAGAGCTGGAGGTGTTCACAGAGACTGGCCAGGCAGATCCTTGCAGGCCAGGCCTGTGTGACATTTTCTGGAGAGAAGACCAGCACTTTCATTAAGTAGCCCCTGGAACCTCTTTGATCAGAAGGCCCCTGGAACCTCCCCCAACTCTTCTTTGACTTTGCAGCCAGGCTTGGAGGTGGGATAAGACTGGAGGGAGATGGTTCAAAGGCCTGGCTTATTCTAAGCTTCAGTGAGCTTAAGATATCACCCCCTTGCTCTGACCCCAGTACAGTATAGTACAGGCCTTCAGTCAAAATTTGCTTCAGGAGGCAGTGAGCTCCCCGTCAAGAGAAGGAAGAAAGCAGAGGCTCAATGCTGGAAGGGTGGGGTGGAAAGGGTGTCCTGCTTACCCTTGGGAAGTGGCAATGGTTGGGAGGCTTCACCCTTCCTAGTGGCTTATGGATGCTCTATCTCTCTCCCCTCACCTCTCTCTCTGTCTGCTTCTCTTCCTGTCCCCCTGGTTCACCCTCCCCTCCCCTCTGGCCCTGCAGGTGGGTTGGCTACTAGTACCCTGGCTACCGTGGGCTGCAGTACCTGCTGGAGAAGGGAGACTACAAGGACAGCAGCGACTTTGGGGCCCGTCACCCTCAGGTACAGTCCGTGCGCTGCATCCACGACATGCAGGGGCACCAATGTGGTGCCTTCCACCCCTCCAACTAGTGCCCACCCCACCATGCCTCCTTCCCAGGACCCAGGTCTGCTGCCCAGGAACCCTCCAGACCTCCCAGAGAGTGAATGAAGTGTGACTTGCAACTTGTCTGCTGTGGGTCTTTGATCTCCCCTGGCAGCTGGTGTGTGTGTGTGTGTGTGTGTGTGTGCGTGCGTGTGTGTGATAGAAATGAGAATTGGCAAGTATCTGGGCTATGAGTAGGGCAACAGAACCCTTACTGAGTCTTACGGTTCTGCAGCTTCTTAGCTCTTAACTGTGTGACCTTGGACACAGTGCCCAACCTCTCTGAGCCTTTGTTTCTTCACCTGACTTGCAATTCCCTTGCCTCTGAGTGTCTGGCTGGTCTCGAACCCCTGAACTTGTGATCTGCCTGCCTCAGCCTCCCAAAATGCTGGGATTACAGGCGTGAGCCACTGCACCTGGCCAAACTTGAAGAAATTATTTCTAATCCCCGGTCACAAAGAAATTCCCTAATAGATTTTTTTCTCTAAACTTTTTAAACATTTGCTGTTCACATTTGCGTTCTTAATCCTTCTGGAGCTGATTCTTGTATATAGTGTATGGTAGAGATTCAGTTTTTTTTTCTTTTTGGAAGTCCAGTGTCTTAAATCATTCATGAAGGAGTCCATTTCCTGCACTGTGGTGCAATGTCGCCTTGCTGATCTATCCCCTTCCCCACAGGTGGGGTGATTTTATGGGCTGTCTTTTCTGTTCCTGTAGTCTGTGTATCCCTGCACTCTTGCCAGATTATGTTAATGACTATTGCTTTGTAGTCAGTGTTGAGGTCCCTAAAACAGGGGCCCTCCACCCCTGGGCCTCCCGGGCCTCCCGTGGCCTGGAATGGGGGCTCCACAGCAGGAGGTGGGGATTACAGCCTGAGCCCCGCCTCCCGTCAGACCAGCGGCAGTATTAGATTCTCATAGGGGTGCAAACCCTATTGTGAACTGCACATGGAAAGGATCTAGGTTGCATGCTCCAATGAGAATCTAATGTCCCCTGCCCACAGCCCGTGAAAAATTGTCTTCCACAAAATCAATCCCTGGTGCCAAAACATTTGGCCCTATAACATGATTCTTCAGGAATGTTTTAGGTATTCTTGCCCTTTTAGGACTCCATTTAGAAGCATCCCCTCACATTTGGAAAAGTGGAAAACCTTGTTGAATGAGCTGAAGTGGTTAAAATGATTATCATAAAGGTAGAAACCAGTAAGTGCTCCATATACACCATGGAATACTATGCAGCCATAAAAAAATGAGTTCATGTCCTTTGCAGGGACATGGATGAAGCTGGAAACCATCATTCTCAGCAAACTAACACAGAAGCAGAAAACCAAACACCACATGTTCTCACTCATAAGTGGGAGTTGAACAGTGAGAACACATGGACACAAGGAGGGGAACATCACACACCGAGGCCTGTCAGGGAGTGGGGGACAAGAGGGAGAGAGAGCATTGGGACAAATACCAAATGCATGCACGGCTTAAAACCTAGATGACAGGTTGATGGGTGCAGCAAACCACCATGGCACATGTATACCTGTGTAACAAACCTGCACGTTCTGCACATGTATCCCAGAACTTATAATAAAAAAGAAACCAGTAAGTGCTCAATAAATGTTACTAACATCTATTTCTTCATTCATTCTTCAACCATTACCCACTGAGTGCCTATTTGGATACTTGGCTTAGTACCTGGGTGATGAAATAATCTACAGCAAACCCCCATGGCATGAGTTTATAACAAACCTGCACATGTATCCCCGAACTTAAAAGTTAAAAAAACAGAATCTGCACAAGTCTAAGCTACTTCCTTGAGGAAAAGACTCGAGCTGAGATCTCAAAGAAGAGTAGAAGTTGCAGGGGTAAAGAGGCCAAAGAAGAGTGTCTCAGATGAGAGCGGCACGTGCAAAGGCCCTGTGGTGGGAGGAGCCTGGTAGCTCTGAGAAACTCCACAAAGGCACGGTGGTGGCTGGAATGCAGAGATGTGGGGGCACATTGAAAACCTTGTTAAAGTGCTTAAAATGATTATCATAAAGGTAGAAACTAATAAGTGCTAAATAAATGTTATTCTCGTCCGTTTCTCCATTGATTCTTCAATCAATACCTATTGAGTGCCTGTTTCACTCCTGGAACTGGGCAGAGTAGGAATACAAAGTAAGACAGATTCCCTGCCCCTAGAAGCTCTCACTGTGGGGGGATTGTAATAGTTTGAGAGTAGAGCAATGGTGATTATTATGGGTTGAATGAGAACCCCCCAAATTCATATGCTGAAATCCTAATCCTCAATACCTTAGAGAATGTGACCTTATTTGGAAACTGGGTCATTGCAAGTGCAATTTTTTTTTTAAGTGATAGGGTCTCACTCTGTTGTCCACGCTGGAGTGTGGTGGCACAATCATAGCTCACTGCAGCCTCCAACTCCTGGGCTTTCAAGTGATCCTGTTGCCTCAGCCTCTGGAGAAGCTGAGACCGCAGGCGTGTGTGACCACACCTGGCTATTTTTTTTTTTTTTTTAATTTCATGTAGAGATTGGGGGGTGGGGGGTGGACTCCCTGTGTTTTCCAGGCTGGTCTCAAACTCCTGGCCTCAAGCAATCCTCCCATCTTTGCCTCCCAAAGTGCTGTGACTGCAGGTGTGAGCTACCATGCCCGGCCAAATGTAATTAGTTATTTTAAGAGTAGATCACACTGGAGTAGTGTGGGCCTAATGGAACGTGACTGGTGTCTATGAAAACGGGAAACTTGGAGACAGGCACGCACACAGGGAGAATGTCATGTGAAGATGATGCTGGGGTGATGTTTCTGCAAGGCAAAGAGTGCCGGAGACTGCGGGCCACCCACCAGAAGCTAGGAGAGAAACACGGAGCAGATTCTCTCTCGCAGCCCCCAGAGGGACCCCACCCTGCCAAAGCCTTGACCTCGGACTTCTAGCCTTCCTGGGGACTTCCTAGAGAATGCCCAGTCCTTCCTCCCTCTTCCTCCCCCTTCTGCGTGGGGAGTGCTCTGCGTGTCATCCCTACTCACCTCTCCTCGGGGCCTACAGTTACCTCCTCTCCTGTCTCCGCAGGACCCAGCCAACCCTTTCTTCCCGTCCCCAAGGCTCCACTTCCCCCTGCAGCCACCAGGTGTCAGCAAAGCATCATCCTTGGGGCTCATGGCCGGGTGGCCTGAGCTGCGCAGGCCCTGTAGGAGCCTTGGGTTTCAGGGGAACTAGTTCTTGGTGTTGGAGAGCCGGACTCAGCAGCCAGACTAGTCCCTGGGAAGTGGATTGGAGTCTGGCAGAAACAGGTAGGAAGCCACAGGGCAGCCCTAAGAGAGGCAGTGGAAACAGCCCCAAGTCAGGCAGTGGAGCCAGAGGCCCCTGGAGTCAGGCAGGACTAGAGTCAAGTCCCAGATCTCCTACTCATTGACCCTGTGACGGCAGGCAAATGACCTTACCTCTCTGAGACTCTCTTTCCTCATCTGACCAAGGGCCATACGGGGGTTTTTATTCCATTGGTAATTCTCAGACACCTGGTCACCGAGCTGACACGAAGTAGTTGCTCAATAAATGACACCCTAGTTGCCTTTTCGCTCTTCATTCATTCATTGAATAGTGATTGGGGAATCTCTCCCACGCTGCCACTGCTCCATGTACCAGAGACACAAAGCAAAGGAGCCTGCCTGTCAAGCCTACCTTGTCACCTGTTGCCAGGAAGTCCTGCTCCCTCCTAGGGCAGCCCCTGGTTAGTGGAGCTGAGAGAACCCAAGATGCTGAGCCGTGGGGTGTGCATGAGAACCGGGAGGGAGGTTTTATGAAAATCAGGTACAGGTGCAGCCCCAGGCCAGGTCAGCTCAGAGGGGGTGGCGGGGTTGCGGGGGGCGGAGCGCAGGCAGGTGAAACTGGAGGAAATTGGAGATACAGCGGGAGGGAGGGGGAAAAGGTAAAACCTCTCACCACCTCCTCAACGCTTATGAAGGTCTGAAGCTTGCTTACTAATAATTTTAAACCCAAACTCAGACATCAGCCAATACTAAATGTTTGCAAGGATTGGGGAACAAAAACTCTGAAGCGCTTCTGCAGTGATGTAAATTGGTGCCATCACTTTGCAAAAATTAGAATTTGACAGATTCTAGTAATGTTGAAGATGCAGAAATCTGGAGACCCAGCTATTTCTTCACTGGGTGTTTACCCTGGAAAATCTCTCCCACATCTGTACCAGGAGATAGGTACAGGATGCTCAGAACAGCATTGTCTGTGCTAGCAAAAAACTGGAAATAACCTACATGTCCATGAGAAGGGGAATGAGTAAATAATCAGCATGCAATAATATCATCATGCCACAGACAAAAGGGATACACAACACCTTACATATTCAACATGGGCATATCTCAGAAACATTCCCGGAGGTAAAACAAAACAAACAAAAAAAACAGGCAAGTTACAGAACAATGTTTGATATTTATAAGAATTTTTTAAAACATCTGTAGTGAGGGATCAGTTTTTGTATTTTACCTTTTTTGATACCTTATGGACTGAAAAGTTAGTAGAATATATAAAAATGAATTACCAGAAATGAAAATGAAAAATACAACAATCATCCCCAATTTAAAATTTTTATATTAACAGTTAAAACAGACTGTCAAATTATTAAAAGTCTTTTTTTTTTTTAAGAGACGGGGCGGGAGCGGGGGGGGGTCTCACTGTGTTGCCCAGGCTGGTCTTGAACCCCTGGCCTCAAGAGATCTTCCTGCCTCAGCCTCCCAAAGTGCTGGGATTACAGGGGTGAGTCCACCATGCCCAGCCAAAAGTTTCTAAAGTCTTAGTCTCTCTTTAGTCTCTCTCTCATTTTTTTTGAGACAGAGTTTTGCTCTTGTTGCCCAGGCTGGAGTGCAATGGCACGATCTCGGCTCACCACAACCTCCGCCTTCCAGGTTCAAGCGATTTTCCTGACTCAGCATGTAATCCCAGCTAATTTTGTATTTTCAGTGGAGATGGGGTTTCTTCATATTGGTCAGGCTGGTCTTGAACTCCCGACCTCAGGTGATCCACCCACCTCGGCCTCCCAAAGTGCAGGGATTACAGGCGTGAGCCACCGTGCCTGGCCTCTAAAGTCTTACTCTCAATTTCTGTGTTTATCTCATCGCAGATTGGTAACAAACAATTACCACCGACCAGACTTTGAGTAGGTGTTGGCGAACTTTTTCTGTAAAGAACTGGGTAGTAAATATTTCACATTTTGGGGGGCAGTATGGTCTCTGGCAACTACTCAACCCTGCTGGCATCACGTAGAAGCAGCAGTAGGTAAATGAATGGGTGTGGCTGTACCTCTGTAAAACTTTATGAACGCTGAAATTTGAATTTCATTGTCATGTATTACACAGATTTTTTATTACTTTTTACATTTTAAAATATATTGATATTTTGGGGTAGATGTGATATTTTGATACACGTATACAATATATAATGATCAAGTCAGGGTAATCAGGATACCCATCCCCTCAAACATTTATCTTTTATCTTTTCTTTGTGTTGGGGACATTGCCCAACACAATTTTCCTCTTCTGGATATTTTGAAATCTGTAAGACGTTATTGTTAACTATAATTTCCCTGCTGTACTATTGAATACAAGAACTTTTTTTTTTTAGGCAGGGTCTCACTCTGTCACCCAGGCTGGAGTGCAGTAGCGTAATCTTGGCTCACTGCAACCTCCGCCTCCTGGGCCCAAGCAATCCTCCCACCTCAGCCTCCTGAGTAGCTGGGATTACAGGCACGTGCCACCATGCCTGGCTAATTTTTGTATTTTTTGTAGAGACAGCATCTTGCCATATTGCCCAGGCTGGTCTCAAACTCCTGAGCTCAAGCGATCCACCTGCCCCTGCCTCCCAAAGTGCTGAGATTACAGGCATCAGCCACAGTGCCCGGCCTGAATACAAGAACTTATTTCTTCTATCTAAGTGTATTTCTGTACCATTATCCAACTTCTCTTTCATCCTTCCCTCCCCACCTTCCCTTCCCAGCCTCTGGTAATCACCAATCTACTCTCTACCTCCATGAGATCCACTTTTTAAACTCCCACATATGAGTGAGAACACATGAGTTTCTTCCTTTGATTTTTCCCCAACCATTTAAAAATGTAAAAACTATTTGTATTTTATGGGTTGTATAAAATGAAGTATCGGCCAGGTTTGTCCTACAAGCCATGGCTTGCTGACCTTTCCTTCAGCTTATCCAGCAATAGACATAAATCAACGTAATGTTTGTTTTTTCAGAAAGATTTAACATAGCTGCTATCCAATTTTCTTTTTTAAACGAAATGCTAATGATTTTGATACATGAGTTACATAACTTTTTTGAAGTATGCACATAGAAAAGACTGGAAAACATGCCAGATTATTAAAAAATGTTGAGTTTGTGGTATGGGCCATTTAGGCAATTGTTGCCATTTGCTTTGTGCTTTTCTGTATTTTTTTTTTAATTTCCAGGAAGTTTCTCTTTTCATCATCATGAGTCCTCGAAGGGTGCTGTGTTCTGTCCCTCTCACTCCTGACTGGCAGTGACTCTAAAAAATGCCCCACCCGTGGGGAGGCCTTGGAAAGTAGAAGTGGAGATGCAGTCACTGATCTCGGGAGAAGCTGAAAACACAGTCATCAGCCCTAGGAGAGGGGTTTTCTGCACTTCCTTGGCCATCGCTGGCCTCTGGGGTGTTTCAAGTTTTTCTGGAAAACAGGATCATTCTGTGGAGTGAGTCTCAGGACCTTGACATGGGAGGAACAAAACTTTTCTTGCTTTTTTGGTGCACCCTGGGCTGAAATAAGAAAACCACTAGGGGTGAGTCTTCAAAGCAAAGACAACCCAGGTGAGCGGAGTGGTGGGGTTTTAAAAAAACACAGGTGGAGAGGAGCACGTTCTCTCTCTCAGATAAGATCTCAACCAGTGGGGAGAACCATGCGTGCTCAGGATGGGATGCCTGCCTCAGAATCCCCTGGAATATGGATTTCCACTCCACCCATCTTCTGCTACAGCAATGGAATTGGTTTCTATCAAGGTGGGACTGAGGTGCTGGGCAGGTTGACCATCACCTCCCAAGTGATGAAGCAGCTGGCTGGGGATGTGGATGGGAAGGAGCTCAGAGGCTGCCCCAAGCTCCTCCCAGCACGAAGCTGAAAACCAGACCCTTCTGCCCCTAAGAGGCTGTCGAGGGCTTCCTGTCTCCCCTTGTGAGAAAAGAGACTCAGTGAAGCAGGGCTCATATTAGTGAATCTCCAAAGGTATTCCCAGCTTCCCTGAAGCCGCGGTTCTCAGTGTGTGAACCACAAACCAGCATCACTGGCATCACCTGGGGTCTTGTTAGAAATGCAAGTTCCGATCAGGAGCCTTGGTTCAGGCCTATAATCCCAACACTTTGGGAAACTGAGGTGGGAGGATCGCTTGAGGCCGGGAATTCGAGACCAGCCAGGACAACATGGTAAGACCCCATCTCTATAAAAAATAAAAAATTAGCTGGGCATGGTGGTGCACAACTGTAGTCCTAGCTACTCAGGAGGCTGAGGTGGGAGGATCACTTGAGCCTAGGAGTTCAAGGCTGCAGTGAGCTATGATCACGCCATTGCACTCCAGCCTGGGCAAAAGAGTGAGAACGGGTCTCAATAAATAAATAAAAAGAAATGCAAGTTCTCAGTCCTACCCTAGACCTACTGAATCACAATTTGGGAGGGAGGGGTGTCCCAACTGTAAACCCAAGTTTGAGAACCATTGCTTTGCCAAGATAGGGTCTTGCTATGTTGTCCAGGCTGATCTTGAACTCCTGGGCTCAAGTGATCCTCCTGTCTCAGCCTCCCAAAGTGCTGGGATTATGGGTGTGAGCCATTGCACTTGGCTACCATTGCCTTTGGGTTTTGTATTTCTTTAAACTGTTCGCCTTTCTGCATCTTTCATGAAAATAGGTGGGTGATATGTTCCTTTTCCAAGACCAGTTTATAGTTAATGCTGTTTCTTCATAAAGTTGTTATTCTTTTTTTCACTAAAGAAGGCAACTTTGAGTGGATTGGGCTTAAATTTTCTTTCTCTCCATTAATCCAGGAATTAGGAAACATCAACCAGGTGGCTCACGCTGCCATTTCCTGAGATAGCAGTTTCTGTCAAAAAGATTGGTCCACATATTGGCCAAATCCTCCTTTTCTTCCAGGCATACTTTATATTCATCATTATTATATATTCAGGAGGCAAACTATATTCTTCTTTTTAGAGATAGGGTCTCACTCTTGCCCAGGTTGGAGAGCAGTGGTGCCATCACAGCTCACTGAGCCCTGATCTCCTGAGCTCAGGTGATCCTCCTGGCTCAGCCTCCCATGTAGCTGGGACTACAGGTGTGCACCATCATGCCCGGATAATTTTTTATTTTTATTTTTTGTAGAGGTGGGGTCTCGCTGTGTTGCCCAGACTAGTCTCAAACTCCTGGGCTCAGCTCAAGCAATCTTCCCGTCTCGGTCTCCCAAAGCACTGGGATTATAGGTATGAGCCACGGCCCCCAGCCTTCAATTTTTCTTTAATGTTGGTTTCCCTGTTAGAATGAAAGCTCAGTGAAGCACATCTTGTTCACAATTGCATTACCACCACCGCGTACCATGACAGGCTCACAGGAGGCATTTATTAAGTGATTGCTGGCTGATGTCCTCACGCTTCCACCTATGACCACCTGTGGCTTATTCCCATTTTCTAGGGGAGCCCCTGAGGCTCAGAAAGGGGGAGATGATTTGCTCAAGGCCATGCTGGTGGAAAATGAAAAAGCTGGGTTTGAACCCAGGGCTCTATCCCACCCATGGTGGTCAACCTCTCTGGCTTTTCTTGCACCACGGCACTCCAAAACCTCCTCCACCCATGCTGGAGGCCTCTCTCCTGGCTGCCCATGGTCACTGCACAGCCCTGTGCACAGAGCCTGTCTCTGGTGCTGGGCTGGAGGGAGTTGAAGTTTTTGAAGCTTCCAGTACTGGAAATGTTGGTGGTGAGCAGGGCACCCTGACCCCGGCTTTAAAAATAGGAAGCCTGAAATAGCTCTTTCTGGGCCTCCCCTTTGCTGTGGCCTTTGAAGCCCCGAGTGTGCAGGGCTGAGAGTCCCTGCGTCCTGTGGCTGCCCTGGACAGGCTCTGCGAGGAATCCAGGCTGGAAGCCAGGCCCAGGTGGGAGCCACAGTCCACCACAATAGTGGCTTCCTAAAACCAAATCTTTGCTCCCCATCTCGAGCAGGGGAGTTGATTGGTGATGGCCGCGGGCATCTGGGAGCCTTGGCAGGGCAGCCCTGAAGGAGATCCCAAAAGAAGGGTGTATGAGTTCTTCATGCAGTTCTCCTGAACTTCCATCACCCATCTGAGCTAATGAATTTCTGTTAAATTCACACACTTCTCACCAATCCCCTGATCCAGGCCCGCATCCTCTCTTGTTCACACAACCCCAGCAGCACTTCTCACAGGTCTGTCTGCACTCCCTCTGTCCCCCTACAAATCCCATGCAGAAGTCAGAGGGATCTCAAAATGCAAATCTGATCATGAGACCCTCCTGCTTAAACCTGCCATGGCTCCCCTTCACCCTCTGGATACAAATCCTAATTACTAACTCACAAGACCTGTGTGGACCAGCCCTTGCTTTGTCTCTTTAGCTTCCTACCATGTATATAAACTTTTTTTTCTGTCCTGTGTACCCTTGATGAGTCCTCCAGCCACAGGACTCTGGCATATGCTGTTTTCTTTTCCTGAAACATATTTTCCCCCAGTTTGCCTAATTATTCCTATTATTATTATTATTATTATTATTATTATTATTAGAGACGGAATCTTGCTCTGTCATCCAGGCTGGAGTGAAGTGGCATGATCTTGGCTCACTGCAACCTCCACCTCCCAGGTTCAAGTGATTCTCTTGTCTCAACCTCCCAAGTAGCTGGGATTACAGGTGCACACCACCATGCCCGGCTAATTTTGTTTTAGTAGAGGCAGGGTTTCACCATGTTGGCCAGGCTGGTCTCTAACTCCTGACAGATCAAGTGATCTGCCTGCCTCGGCCTCCCAAACTGCTGGGATTACAGGCGTGAGCCACCACACCTGACGTAATTATCCCCCTTATGCAGGCTTCGAATCTCGGCCCAGCGTCCTCCCTGGCTTCTATGGCCAGGCCAATCTTCTGATGTGCTATTTTCTGCTTTGCTCACCTCTCTTTGGAAGCCCTAATCACACATGTTGCTCTATATGTATTTATTTAGTTCTTTGATTTCATTTCCATCTCTTTTCCTAGGCTCTATGAGGGCAAGGGCCACGCCTGATTTTGCATTCAATATATCCACAGAGCACAGTATATAGTTGAGGCTTGATAGGTATTTATTGAATGAATGAAAGATCAAATGAATGAATGAGTAGTCAAACCCAGAGACTAGGACTTGACCAACAGGAAAGACTCCTTAGAATTAGTCACTTCCAAGCACGAAGCCATGGAGACACCTGTCATTGTAATGAAAATCAAGCACTCGGATAAAAAGCTTGTCTTGTTCTCTCAACATGTGCCGATTTCTTCATCTGAAAACAACTCTCATTGTTCAGGCACAAATGCTTCCCTCTCCTCGAGTTAGTGACCACCCCCATTCCTCCCTTCCAGAGCACAGACTCCAGAATCTGTTACAGTAACTCTTCAGAACTGCGTGTTTTAACCAACCTTGTCTCAACATTCTCATCTGGAAACAGGGTGCATGTGGCTTGCTTGGCAGGAGATGTGGCCTACAAAGTGATGAATCCATAGCCTGGTGCCCAGCTGCTGCATAAAAACATAATTTCTCCATTTTTAAACTTGTAATGCTTCCTTCTACCTTGGGTACTACCAGAACACTCCAAGCATCTCAGTCTAGAGAGTGTAAAGGAAAGTATCCAATAAATGCTTTCATTCTAGGCAGGGCTACTCATTCTCAACTTCACCGCTTTTTTTTTTTTTTTTTTTTTGCGACAGGGTCTCACATCACCCAGGCTGGGGTACAGTGGCACCATCAGGGTTCACTGCAGCCTCAACCTCCCTGGGCTCAGGTGATCCTCCTGCCTCAGCCTCCTGAGTCTCTGAGACCACAGATGCACCGCCACACCTCGCTAACTTTTTTATTTTTTGTAGAGATGGTGTTTCTCCATGTTGCCCAGGCTCATCTCGAATTCCTGAGCTCAAGCGATCTGCCCTCCTCGGCTTCGCAATCAACTTTACTCCTCTTGATGTGTGGTGGGGGCTGCCCTGTGCACTGCAGGATATTAACTGCACCCCCCGGCCTCTACCAGCCAGTTGACCAGTAGCAACCCCCAACACTTGATGACCAAAAATGTATACAAACATTGCCAAGTGTCTCCTGGGAGCAAAATCACCCCAGGTTGAAAACTGTAGGGAATTACAGATATTCATACTAGGGATAAGGACATTTCCAAAGAGGATAGTGGATGGGGTCACTAATGGGATTTCCAGCAGGATTGCAGACAGGGAGGTGAAAATTTAGGACAAATCATGCAAAGTAGGTGTTTGCCTCCACCTTCTACATGAGACAGACTCAGATAAACGGTCAGGGATGAAGGGGATGAAGTCTCCCATTTTATAGATGGGGAAGTAGAGGTCCACAGGGAAGAACTTTGTTATCTGGCAAGCAGTGAGACCTGGGTGCCTAAAACACACCTGTACAAATGCATATGCATGTAGTATGTGCATATGTATTAGATAAATATTTGACATGTATTATATGTAGCAACTCTATTAGAAATGGAACTCTGTTAGAAACGTAGAACTCTTGAGGCCAAGACTTCGAGACCAGCCAGGCCAATGTGGTAAAACCCTGGCTCTACAAAAAATACAAAAATTAGCTGGGCATGGTGGTGTGCACCTGTAGTCCCAGCTACATGGGAGGCTGAGGCACAAGAATCTCTTGAACCTGGGAGGCAGAGGTTACTGTGAGCCGAGATCACACCTCTGCACTCCAGCCTGGGTGACAGAGCAAGATCCTGTGTCAAAAAAAAAAAAAAAAAAAAGGATATGTGGTCACAAATAGGAAAGGAATTTTTTTTTTTAGATTTTTTTTTCTGTGTACCCATATGTGAGCACCCATACACTCACATACACAAATGCACACACAGATACAGGTGAATCCTAACCTCCTTGCTTCCTTTTGTTAGTTCAGGGAGGAGAAAGCGGGGGGAATTTGGGGTGCATTTACTACCTGCAATCTTTTGGCTTTGGGAACTCAGGAGGAGGAGGAGGCAGGACAGAAAGAGCAGATGGAACAGGTACCCTTTTGGTTAGCCAGAGGGGACATTTGTGAACTAAGTGGGAAGAAAAGTGTCATTTTGTCCTTTTGTCTTATGAAGCTATTTTGGTGGCATTCATTTGGTTTTGAATGAAAGAAGCTGAATTTTACCACTGATTGTACATGTGAGTTGTTAGCAACAACCACCACAATAAGTCTGGGAACTGCGGGAAAGTAGGATGGGGCCATGGGAAATGGCCCGCCCTTCCTTCATCCAGAGGTGGCTGATGCCAATCTCCTGGCAAGGCCTGTCAGGCTTCTCTTAGGATGCACTGTGCATGGTGGTGAGGACTCCGGGCATCAGACCGACAAGGCTGGCAGGGGGTAAGGGCCTTTTCCAGAGCAAGGGGTCACACATGCAAAATTATCAAGGTGAGAAAAACTACTGGACGAGAGGGAATGGAGGTGGCTCTGCATGCAACTGTGGCTTCTACAGGGTGTGGGAACAAGAATGGTGGCAGGTGAGGCTGGCAAGGCAGCAGGGCCCAGGCTATGGAGGTAAATGTTGACCCTGGAAAGGAGTGTGGGCTTGCTTCTGAGGGCACTGGGGAGCCATGGGAGAATTCTAAGGAAGAGAGTCACCTGGCACAATTGGCCCTGGGGAACATTCCTTCTGTCTAGTGTGAGGAGTTGGGGAAAGAGGGAAAAGGCTGGAAGCAGTTCCCTTTGGTTGAGTGACAGAGGCCAACCACCTGCGCTATCCAGGTGGGGGCATGCCGGGGACGGGGCAGGATTTCTCTGGTGCACCCATTCCTTGTAAGGGGGACCTGTGATCACAGCAGTCTTGGTGTGCCATGTGGTCCCATCTTTTGCACCTTTCCTTTCTTTTGACACAGAGGCATGCTCTGTCACCCAGGCCGGAGTGCAGTGGTGCCATTTCAGCTCACTGCAGCCTCTTCCTCCTGGATTCAAGCAATTCTCGTGCCTCAGCCTCCTGAGTAGCTGGCTTTACAGGTGTGTGCCTGTAAATTTTTTGTATTTTTAGTAGAGAAGGGGTTTCACCATGTTAGTAATGGCTGGTCTCGAACTCCTGGCATCAAGCAGTCTGCCTGCCTCAGCCTCCCAGAGTGCTAGGATCATAGGTGTGAGCCATAGGGCCCAGCTTGTACTTTTCAAAGCACATTTGTCCATTTCTTGTTTCAGACATTCTTTTGATTAGAAACAAAATGTTACATTACAGTGGAAGCCTGCTGGGTACTTCCCTGACACCATTCCCTTTTCTCCTCCTACTTTTTTTGTATCTTTTTGTATCTTTTTTTTACTTTAACTACATGTGCCTAACCACAAACAATATATAGTATTGTTTCCACACTTTCCGTAAATGTTAAACTCTGTGATTCATTTAGCAAATTGCATTTTTCCCTTTAACATTATGTTTCCAAGGCCAGGCCAAGTGGCTCACGCCTGTAATTCCAGCACTATGGGAGGCTGAGGTGGGCGGATCACTTGAGGTCAGGAGTTCGAGACCAGCCTGGCCAACCTGGTGAAACCCTGTCTCTACTAAAAATACAAAAATTAGCTGGGCGTGGTGGTGGGCGCCTGTAATCCCAGCTACTCAGGAGGCTGAGGCAGGAGAATCCCTTGAACCCAGGAGGTGGAGGTTGCAGTGAGCCGAGATCATGCCACTGCACTCCAGCCCGCGCAACAGAGTGAGACTCTGTCTCAAAAACAAAAACAAAAACATTATGTTTCCAAGACTTATTTACAGTTGACTCTTGAACAATGAGGGAGGGAGGGGCACTGACTCCTTCATGCAGTCAAAAATCCACCTGTAACTTTTGACTCGCCCAAAACTTAACTTCCATTGAACAGAAGACTTGCCAACGCCGTAAACAGTGGAACAACACATATTTTGTATGTTGTAGGTATTCTATATTGTATTCTTGCAATAAAGTAAGCTAGAGAAAAGAAAAAATTATTAAGAAAATCAGAAGGAGGAGAATATATATTTACTATTCATTAAGTGGAAGTGGATCATCATCAAGGTCTTCCTTCTGGTCATCTTTATATTGAGTAAGCAGAGGAGGAAGAAAAGAGGAGGCTTTGGTGTTACTGTCTCAGGAGTGGCAGAGATGGAAGAAAATCCAGGAATAAGTGGACCCACACAGTTCAAACCCATATTTGAAGGGTCAACTGTATATTGTCACATATAGTAGATTTAGATCATTCATCTTAGCTGGTGTGCACAGTTTCACTGCATATGTATAATGCAAGTTATTAATCCAGTCTCTCTTTGTTGTTGTTGTTGTTGTTTTGATACGGAGTCTCATTGTGTTGCCCAGGCTATAGTGGTGTGATCTCAGCTCACTGCAACCTCCGCCCCCTGGGTTCAAGTGATTCTCTTGCCTCAGCCTCCTGAGTAGCTGGGATTACAGGTGCCCACCACCACACCCAGCTAATTTTTGTATTTTTAGTAGAGACAGGTTTCACCATCTTGGCCAGGCTGTCCTTGAACTCCTGACCTCGTGATCCACCCGCCTCCCAGTCCCGTTTTGATGGACACTTGCGTTGCTTCCAGTGGCTGCTGCTGTACACCTTGCTGCCGTGATTAGACCATGTGCATCCGGAGCCCTTTCCTTTCTTTTGGTGGCCACCTCTCCTTGAGGGGCCTTGTGACCGTGCCGAGAGCAAGAACTCTGCAACTGGGCTGACTGGGTTCAGATTCCAAATCTGTAATTTACGGGCTGAGCAACTGAGCAAGTTGCTTAAGGACGCTGTTTTTTCATCCAGAAAAATGGAGATAATAGCAGTACTTCCTTTAGAGGTTGTTGTGAAGATTAACCTATTAGTGTCTGTGAAGCGCTTAGTACTATGAGGTGTTTAACATAATTATTATGCAGCTAAAACTTGAACATGGGGATGTGCTTACTTATTTGTGGGAGCTACAAATTAAAACAATTGAATTTATGGAGACAGTAGAAGGATGGTTACCAGCGACTAGGAAGGGTAGATGGCGGGGTGGAGTTAGGGGAGAAAGAGGGGATAGTTAATGGGTACAAAAAAATAGTTAGAATGAATAAGATCTAGTATTTGGTAGCACAACAGGGTGGCTATAGTCAACAATAATTTAATTGTACATTTAAAAATAACTAAAATAATATAATTGGATTGTTTGAAACACAAAGGATAATTGCTTGAGGGGATGGATACCCAATTTACCCCGATATGATTATTATGCATTGCATGCCTCTATCAAAATAGCTCATATGCCCCATAAATGTATACACCTACCATGTATCCACAAAAAATTAAAAATGGAAAAACATTGAGCATGGGAGGTGTGAGTGGAGCTGTCCCAGCCTCGTCTCCCAGGCTGTGCAACTTTGAACAGGTCACTGCACTGCTCCGGGTCTCACCTTCTACATCCATGAAATGGCGGTGTCGTAAGGATGACATGAGATGATGTGTAGCCTGTAACGACACTCGACTAGGATTCATTTTTCTTGTCCCACTTCTTTTCCTCACCCTTGTGAGGTCATTCAGGCACATGTCATTCAGTCACCTTCTTCGACAGATAAGTATACTGTGGCTCGGAGAGGTGGAGAGACTTTCTGTAGGTCACCCAGCGTGTCAGAGGTGAATAGACTCTGCAGGCAATGTCCATGGGGTGGGTAACAGTGGTTGTGGTTGCCACACCTTGGAGCCAGCTCAGCTCCTCCTGTAGACCCCATTAAACAGCCCCTGTCCCTGACCTCCAATCCTACCCTCCTCACTTAGCCTCCAAGCTTGGCCACCCACTGTGTTCTTGTGATGAGGTGGAACAGACACAGTCATCCACGTGGCCTCTTAGAAACAGCCACCAAATGCTCCCGTATCGTAGCAACCACAGAATCAAAACAAGCTCTTAATGAAAGATCAAAAAAGACAGGGAGCTGGAAAGCCCACTCCCTGAACCAGCCAGCCCTCTGAAGATTCCTACTGCTGGGGTTTCAGTTCAGGGAGTTTATTTGATTTGCGTCTTCAACCTCCCCGCTCCACATTGTTAACTTCTAGCAGACTGTGGCTGGGAGCCAAGAAGTGGGTTTTAAATACACAAAAGGAAACAGAGCATGGCGAGGTCTGGAGGACAGAAGCCATCAGAGAGTGGGTGTTCCGGGGGGTGGCGATCATAGAGGCACTGCACCACGCCTGGAGCCAGGGAATGACTTTTGCTTGGCCCTTGAAGTTTCTAGAGGCTGAACTTAAGCGCTGCAGCCCCTTGTACCCACTGCTCAGCCTTTAGTTGGCTTCTTGCAGTGAAATCCCAAAAGGGAAAGCCGGGAAGGCCCTTAAAGACCACTTGATCCAGTGGTTTCCAAACTTTTTTTCTTTTTTTTTTTTTTGAGATGGAGTTTAGCTCTCGTTGCCCAGGCTGGAGTGCAATGGTGTAATCTTGGTTCACCACAACCTCTGCCTCTCAGGTTCAAGTGATTCTCCTGTCTCAGCCTCCCAAGTAGCTAGGATTACAGGCATGTGCCACCACGCCCTGCTAATTTTGTATTTTTAGTAGAGACGGATGGGGTTTCACCATGTTGGTCAAGCTGGTCTCGAACTCCTGACCTCAGGTGATCTGCCCCTATTAGCCTCCCAAAGTGCTGGGATTACAGTCATGAGCCACCGCACCTGGCCCCAAACTTTTTTTTTTTTAAGCAAAGAAATTGTTTCCTGGATAACCTCACATAAAGCATCCCAGTATGTAAAGCAGATAATAGTGTTGGAAGTGACAACCTGGAATTCTGTCCATGGGGACTCTTCTCCTTGTACTCCCACACACAGAAACCCTTCAGCTTATGCTTCCAACGTCAGTGTCCAAAGAAACTTTAGACAAATCCAGCCCCTTCATTCACAGATGGAGACATTATTGTTAGTTGTAGTAAATGTTAGCTAACTACCAGTACTTACACTTTAAACGTGCCTGGCATAGGAGAATGATTTTATATGTCTGATAGTATCAAATCCCCACAACTACCTGATAAACTAAGTATTATAATGACCCTCATTTTGCAGGTGAGTAAACAGAAGTCTAGAGAGGTACAATCACTTCCGAAAGTCACCCAGCTGGTAAGTGGTGAAGGCAGAATTCAGAGCCCAGTGTGGCTGACTCAATAGCCTGTGCCATCCACCCCTACATGAGTTGCCCAGGGAGGTTAGAGACTGTCCCACAGTCTCATAGGAGCTGAGCAGGGACAACGAGGTGGCCTGGTGTGGAGGGAAGGTCACGGGTGTGTGGGGCTGGAGCTCTGGGTCCAAGATGTTCATCAGCTGCCTGTCCTGGCTGGTAAGAGACTGAGGGTGAGTGGTCAGTGAGCATGAGAGGGGGAAGGGAGCCTTGGGAGACCACACTGGAGAACCTGGAACTAGGGAGCTATAGCAGGTGTCTGAGCTAGAGAATTAATCCTACTGTTGGCTGCACATCAATATTGGGACAATAGGCCCAGATGTGTCATTCCTAATAATCACAATGGGGCAGGATGGTGCTCAAAGCACTTTACTGGCATGATCTTAATCATCACAAAGCCTCTATGAGAGAGGTGATGTCATGATACCCATTTTACAGATGAGGTCGCTGGGGGCTCAGGGAAGTGAAGTGCTTTGTCCAGGGTCACGTGGCTGAAGAGTGGGGGAGCTGACACTTGAAGCCAAGACTGGCTGACTTTCAAGCCCACATGCCTCTGTCAGTTAAGTGTGGTGATGGTAATGCTGTGTAACAAACAATCCCCCAAATCTCTGTGCTGTAGGACAGTAAGTGTTGATTTAGCTCGCATGTCTAATGTGGGTTGGCTGAGCCAGGCTGGGCTCAGCTGGGCAGCTGTGTGCTCATCCATGTGTCTCTCATCCTGTCCTGGGATCAGTGGACTAGCCTTGGCATATTCCCCTCCTGCTCATGGCAGGAGTGCAAGGGGGTGAGCAGAAACACACAAAGTCTCTTGAGGCCTAGACTCAGGACCACACAGAGTCACTCCTGCCTCATTCTATTGACCCTAGCAAGTCACAGGGCCAAACCCAGGGTCAATAGGTGGGAAATGGTACTCTGTTCTTTTAACGGGAGGAACTGCAAAGTCGCTTGGCAAGGGTGAGAATACAAAGAAGGGTAAAGAATTGGAGGCAAGTTTTGCATTATATCATATTGTCTGTGCTGGTTTAAAATATGTTCACACAGTCTTTGATAATTCCTTCAAAAGATGGAGCCTAATTCTACATCTCTTGAGTGTGGGCTAGCCTTACTGACTCCCTTTTAATGAATAGAACAAAGTGGAAGTGATGGTGTGCAACTTCCAAGGCAAGGTCATAAAAGACATTGTGGCTCCCTCCTCGCTCTCTTGAGGATCACCCACTCTAGGGAAGCCAGCTGCCATGTCGTGGGGATATTCAAGCAGCCCAGTGGAGAGACCCATGTGGTGAGGACCTGTGATCTCCAGCCAGCAGCTGTGTGAGTGGCCTATCTTGGAAGCAGCTCCTCCAGCCCCAGTTCAGTCTTCAGATGAGACTGCAGCTGCAGCTGACATCCTGACTGCAACCTGATGAGAGACCCAGAGTCAGAACTGCTCAGACTAAAGTTGCTCCTGAATTTCTGACCCGCAGGAACTGTGAGACAACAACTGTTTATTGTTTTAAGTTGCCAAGTTCTGGGGTAGATTTGCTTGCAGCAATAGATACGAATGCTGTGTCTAAGTATTCTGCCAACTCACTGCTGCCATAGCAAGGCCCATCATAACAAGCGAGGCTTGGATGGAAGCAGCTTTGTCTTCTACCCAGAGAACCAGCAAAATCCCAACAATTTACCAAGATTAGAGAACCAAAAATACCCATGGAAACTATAGTTGTTAAGAAACATCTGTTTTTGAGCTGTCTAAATTGGGTAGTTCTCAAAAGGAATAAAAATGTATCAGAGGATGGGGACAGCTGGGTGGGGACTGATGCCAACTGCCTGGCAGGCTCAGCTGGTCACTCGGGTTCCTTCTCAGAGCTGAGGCAGGGAGAAAGATCCAAATAAAGATCTGATGGGGCAGATTAGACAGAGCTGCCTGTAGCAAGGCACTGAGGGCTGTGTCCAGCTGCAGGGGCAGTACTTAAGCTTACTGCACCCCTACTATGTGCCAGGTGCAGGGTGGGCACCTGCATGTGAGGACCAGGGATTGGGGTGTTGGAAGATTTTGGCTTTTGGCCAGGACTAAAGGGTGAGAGGTAGTATGGAGAAGGAATTAAGGCCCTGTGGAGAGGCCTGGGCTTAAATCCTGGCATTGATGTTTACCAGCTCTGAGGCTTGTACGTGGCCAATCACTTAAACACTCTGGGCCAGTTTCCTCAACTGTAAAACGGGCATAGTCACAGTGCCTACTTGATCCATCCTTGTGTTCCTCTCAGGCTTGCTTTGTAAGACTCCTGGACTCCTTAGGTTTTATCAATCCTGGTGCCCTTCCATTGTATCACATCCTTGGATCACAGTGATGGGTTCAGGAATAGACACATGACCCAAGGGAGGCTAATCAGGTGAATATAGGGAGATGTTCTTTCTTTCTTAAGGTGGCTACGTTTAGGACATGAGCCAGGGTTGCCAGTGTCACCCATCACATGTACCATATGAATAACTCTTGTCTAAGATCTGGCAAGAGATGGTGGAGCCTAATGACATTGTTAAAGATCCTGGATACAGCCATACCTGAAGCGTATCCAGAATTCCGGCTGAGTATCTGTACTAGTCAATGTTCTCCAAATAATATACACAGGCATAACTCAGAGATACTGTAGGTTTGGTTGCAGGCCACCTCAATAAAACAAATATTGCAATAAAGTGGGTCATAGGAATTTTTGATTTCCCAGTGCACGTAAAAGTTACACTATAGTGTATTAAGTGTGCAATACCATTACATCTAAAAACCACTGTACATACCTTAATTAAAAATACTTTATTGCTAGCAATCATCTGAGCCTTCTGCAAATTGTAATCTTTTTGCTCGTGGAGGGTCATGCCTTGATGTTTATGGCTGCTGACTCATTAGGGTGGTGGTTGCTGAAGGTTGGGGTGGCTGTGGCAGTTTCTTAAAATATGACAACAATAAAGTTGGCCACATTGATGGACTCTTTCATTAAAGATTTCATGGAAGCATATGATACTGTTTGATAGCACTTTATGGACAGTAGAACTTCTTTCAAAATTTGAGTTAATCCTCTCCAACCCTGCTGCTGCTTTAGCTATTAAGTGTATGAAATATTCTAAATGTGGCCAGGCGCAGTGGCTCATGCCTGTAATCCCAGCACTTTGGGAGGCCAAGGTGGGTGGATCACCTGAGGTCAGGAGTTTGAGACCAGTCTAACTAATATGGTGAAACCCTATCTCTACTAAAAATACAAAAATTAGCTGGGTGTGATGGTGGGCATCGTAGTCCCAGCTACTTGGGAGGCTGAGGCAAGAGAATCACTTGAACCCAGGAGGCGGAGGTTGTAGTGAGCCAAGATTGTGCCACTGCACTCCAGTCTGGGCCACAGAGTGAGACTCCACTTCAAAAAAAAAAAAAAAAAAAAAAAAAAAAATATATATATATATATATATACATACATATGTATGTATATATATATATTCTAAATGTTTGTTGTCATATCAACGATGTTCACAGCATCTTCACCAGCAGTAGGTTCCACCTCAAAATACACTTACTTTGTTCATCTATAAGAAGCAGTTTACCATTCATTTAAGTTGTTTTTTTCAAAGAGTTAAAATCTCACTTTGGCACCTAGACTGGAGTGCAGTGGTGTGATCATTGCTCACTACAGCCTCAAATTCCTGGGCTCAGGTGATCCTCCTGCCTCAGCCTCCCAAGTAGCTTGGGACTGCATGTGTGCACCACCACACCCAGCTTAAAGTTGTATGAGATTGCAGCAATTCAAGAACCAGCAGTCTGGATAGTCAAGAAGAGCTCATGTTTTTGTTTGATTTGGAAAACAGGAGAAGATCAGTGTCCCAGCTCAATGCCAGTAGTCAGGAAAATTTCCCTCTAACTTGTAGGAGTATGAGCCTTTTGTTCTATTCAGGCCTTTAACGGATTGGGTGAGAGCCACCCATAGCAGGGAAGAAAATTTACTCAGTCTACCAATTCATGTGTTAATCTTATCCAAAAACGCCCTCACAGACACACCCAGAATAATGTTTGACCAAATATCTGGGCACCCTGTGGCTCAGTCAAGTTGACACATAAAGTTAACCATCACAGTGTCCCAAGTTATATGATCTAATACTGTCCCCTTTTTCTTTTAGACGGAGTCTTGCTCTGTCACCAGCCTGGAGTGCAGTGGCGCAATCTCTGCTCACTGTAACCTCTGCCTCCTGGGTTCAAGTGATTCTCCTGCCTCAGCCTCCCAAGCAGGTGGGACTACAGGTGCGTGCCACCACACCCAGCTAATTTTTGTACTTTTTTAGTAGAGTCGGGGTTTCACCATGTTGACCAGGATGGTCTTGATCTCTTGACTTCATGATCCACCCACCTCGGCCTCCCAAAGTGCTGGGATTACAGGCGTGAGCCACCACACCTGGCTACCTTCCCCTATTTGTTTTAAACACATTTTGTTTGACAGAACTTGCTCACAACCAACAGTTTGAATGATAGAAATGCTTATTTCATAGGGATAGTGAAACAACAAATGATCTCTCTCATAGCACAATGCCTGAGGGGGACAGTGGGTGCTCAAAAATAATAATCATTGATGCATGTTATAGAGAAATATCATGGGAAGAGGATTTTCCCATTTTGCTCCCACTTCTCCCCACAATGCTGACACATAAAATTAACCATCAGTGTCCAAGTTATGTGTTCTAATATCTTCCCCTATTTGTTTTAAACACATTTAAAAACACGTTTAAACAGAAATAATAACCATTGATGCATGTTATAGAGAAATATCATTGGAGAAGTCAGAAAACAGGCAGACATTTCTTCTACTTCCACTACATCACGTTCTCTCTCTCTTTTTTTTTTTTGTGAGGCGGAGTCTCGCTCTGCAGCCCAGGCTGGAGTGCAGTGGCGCCATCTCGGCTCCCTGCAAGCTCCGCCTCCTGGGTTCACGCCATTCTCCTGCCTCAGCCTCCCGAGTAGCTGGGACGACAGGCACCTGCCACCACGCCTGGCTAATTTTTTGTATTTTTAGTAGAGACGGGGTTTCACCGTTAGCCAGGATGGTCTCGATCTCCTGACCTCCATCATGTCCTCTCTTTATCAGGGGTACCCAACGGTTTTAGGCAGATGGGACAGACCCTGCAATCCACAGACAAACTCTATGTTCTAAGATGTTTGGCACAATTATTCATAAGCTCAAAGATAAGGAACCTGTAGAATTCTTCCTTAAGGCTATCGTCTGGTACATAATCTAATTTTGATGTCTAAAGCTTAACATCACTTGTCTTTCTCTTTGCATTTTCTGTAATAAATTCTAATCTCACCCAGACTAATGGATGCCTAGCGTGGTAGAGATAAAAATCTGTACTCAGGAAAGCAAAATGAAATACACATTAAAAACTTTTAAACTAGGTATCCCTGCTACATATCTTTTGAAGCATGGTGGATGTATTGATTTTGACCACTAGCGTCCCTTCCTTGATGAAACCATGCCTCCCTCACTCCCCAGAGGCTGTTAATCACTGTTGTCTGCCCTCCTCACCACAGCGGAGGGCCTGTGACCAGGCTGAGCCAATCCTAGCACCCATGTCAGTGTCCTCTTGGGCTCAGTGATTGGTCCTGAGGTGAACATGTGACCCAAGCAGAGCCAATCCAAATCCTTAGTTGGATTTCTATGTGGAAGCTGAGAGAGAGGAAGAGCGATAGATAGATAGATAGTTAGATAGATAGATAGATAGATAGATAGACAGACAGACAGACAGACAGATAGTTAGACCTTATGGATTACAAGCTGTAAGGATGAAGCTTGGGACTGCCTGTGACCATTCTTTATACCTAGTAGAGGGAGTAACACATGAAAGAGAGATGGAGAGAGAACTGAGTGCCAGCCACATGGGTCAATAGCACATGAGAACCTGGATCTAACTACATTTTCCGTATCTTGCTTAAATTCATTTGAGCTAAAACAATGATCTCTGGCTGTTCCACACTCCTCAAATTCACTTAAAAATGATGAAGAAAGCTACAGACCTGTTTGTGCAGAAGAGTTCCAGCTTGGGCCATGCAGGCTGAGCGTCTCCATGCCAGATGGCCAAGATTCCCACTACCCTTTTGTGTTCTGGAAGTCTGCCCTGGTGCCCCAACCTGCAGATCTTGGATGGAGAGGACTGGGATAGGATACCCAAATCCTGACTCTCTGAGCCTTAGTATTCTTCTCTATCAACTGTAGATAACAGTCCCTACCTCAAAGGACAGTAAGAAAATTAAATAAGATTAATTTTACTACTTAATAAATTAATGGGCTGGCACAGAGGAAGTGCCCCATCAGCAGGAGCTGTCTAGCCCCAATACTCAAAAGTTCCCAGCCTGCTGCTCCCTCTCCTGCCTGACCCAGTTTTTCATCTAAATTTGGCCATTGGCCCAGGCCCTGGCCTATTTTAGGTACACCTCTTTTTGTTGCAGGAAAAAGAGACTCAGACAAGCTACCTTAAAACAAGGGGTTTATTGTAAGAATGAATGGGAACAGGAACATGGAGTGGGTGGAGGCAGGGAAACCCTCAGGACTGAAGCTGTTTTGATGTGAGAATTCTTTTTTTTTTTTTTTCTCCTTCAGAAGGAATCATTTCACCTGTCACATATCGTTGCAGAAAGGGCCTTTTGCCAGGACTGGATGTAAACAAACCTCAGAGAGGTATTGTCAAAGGCTAAGTCTCTCCTGCATTGGTAGAGAGAGACTGGATTTTGTTGTTGTTGCTAATAATTTTGATTCAAGTTTTAACAGCTCTCAGGCCTGTAAGGTCTGCAGTGAGAAAGGAAGTGAGCAGGAACGTCAGAATGGAGGGATGTGTGAAGTGACTGTTATTTATTATCCAAAGCAAGATACTTTGAGAATGAAAGAGGCACTATGAAGAATTACACAAGGACAATAGACATTAAAACAGTCCAGGGAAACCAGGACATAGGGTCGCCTTAAGAGTACAAGGGTCTGGGAAGGAAGGGATGGGGAAAGTGGGTTCTCAGACTGAAAAGAGGTCCAGGAGTGTGGCTGCTGCCCAGAAAGTGCCAGGTTCATAAGTGGAGGGCTGGACAGCCAGGAGGGAAGCACCTGGGTACCCAGAGATAATTTTATATTGCCTGCCCAGTAGGTGGACAACCTTCAGGCATGGCTTGATCCAGGGGCTCAAATGTCAACAGGATCCTGTTTCTCTTTCTCTCTGTACTCATGGAACTTTGATCCATCTGCAACAAAGGCCAATGGCAGCCCACAGCCTACACAGAGGGAGACCCAGGCCCTTCTACTCATCTTCTCAGACTTCCACTCTCCAATGTTTGAAACCATAGGAGACCTCTATACACTGGCAGGTCATGGAGAGAAACTCCCCAGATACTTAGAGTGGGAAAGTGGGACTGAAGGTGAGCATCCCCATCCCATCCTGGATCAGTGTGGGCACACCTCCCTGTGACATGCAAAGCTCTTCATATCACATCTGTACACTCAGAACTCCATACATGCTGTGAGTCTTCCCTGACCTCCACCACTTCCTCCAGGTCTCTGCTTTCTAGTGACCACACCTCTCCTTGACTCTTCACTTTGTCTTCCTGACTGACTCCTAGCCCTGACCCTTATCTCAAAGCCTAGCAATGCTGAGACAACGTTTTCCACTCCCCAGGTAGGCCCCAGAATGCTCTCACCCCCGGGGGATCATGGGCCCCTCCCTATGATAGACATATGTGGCTCTTCTCATCCAGCTTATTACCTCTCCCTTTTATGTGGCAACAATGCCCCAGTATTGCTAGAGTGGGAAACCCCCTCACTCACATTCATTCTCTATGCTTTCAAGGAAGCCATCTCCACCCTGGATATGAGTAATGGAACATAGGACCTAAACTAAGCCAGCCAGCACATTCTGTCTCTCTGGCCACTAACTAGTCTAAGTATGGGTCAATCAGAGTCTGTGCATGGCCTAAAGTCCTAAGAAGAGCCTGCGGATTCTTTTCTGAGGCTCTTGGAGGGATGAAGATGGAATGCAGAGCTGTCAATGCCATTTTTGTTGAGGGATCTGCACATGTTGTCATATCCAAGGAAGTCATGTTGAGAAGTGGAGAAACAGGATCTTGGTGATATCAGTGAAGACCCTGGATCAAGCCATACCTGAAGGTCTGCCCTTGGGCTGTTCAAACACAGGAGCCAATGAATTCCCTTTTCTCAGGCCAGGTTCTCTGCTACTTGCAATTGACAGAGCTCTAACTGAAGATTAGGACCCCTGGCCAAGAGGATGCTCAAACCAAAGGGATAAACAAATTACATAGCTGCTCACACAAAGCTCTGAGCCCTGCCCTCCCATAGGGTAAATTTCCAGGGTCTACCTAAAGCTATTGACCCACATCCTCCTATCCACTAACCCATGCTGTCTTACACAATCTAGTCCTGGCAATATTATGAAGTAGGTTAAGTCTGTTTCTGAAGCTCCAGTGTCCCACCTGACTGCCCTCTGTGCAGCCCCCAGCCCAAAAAGTGGGTCTACGCAGCCTAGTTCATGCATATCTGGGCTCCCTGGAGCTTACTCGCTCCCCACCTCCCTCTGCTCGGGGTCCCAAATCCCACTGCTGTCTCCAAGACCCTGCAAAACCCAGCCCCTGACCTCCCTGTGCTTGTCCTGCACTGTATGCCTCTCACTCTGGGTGCCAGCGATGTGGGTGACTTCCCGGGTCCTTGACTCAGCAAACTCTTTCCCATATTGGGGCCTTTGCAGATGCGGTTCCTCTGGCCAAGAATCCCTTTTCCATATTTGCACCTAGTTATCTTCTAATCCTCCTTTAAGTCTCAGGGGAAATGTCACTCCCCCAGCAAGTCCTTTGTAGCCTTTAATCCAGATCAGGCCAACCCATTTTACATTCTCATAGCACCTTGTGGCTTGTCTCTTGGAACTATAATTCTGTGCTTAGTTGCTCCTTGGGGGCTGTCACAAAACCTGGCACATGGTAGGTTCTCAGAAACATCTGGATGAGTGACTGTAGCAGGCACAAGCCCTACCAGCAGGCAGCACAGAAAGGGAACAAAGATCAAAAGGGAGGTGGTGACTTGCCCAGGGTCACACAGCAAATCTATGGCAGTGTGGACACCTGAGTCCAGACTCTTTGGTGCTCTTATGAGCCCAGAGGTGGCCGCCCATCCCTTTACCCGCAGGTGCTTTTTCTGTTTACATCCAGAAGATCTTTTCTGAAACTCTGTGGCTGCCCTGCTGATGGAAGGCCTGAACAAGTGGCAGAGATGTGAGCCCAGCAGAAGGCATGGCTGTCTTGGGGCCCAGCAAGGATGAGCTGGGTTAAAGTTTATCCCACTTCCTGAATATCTGAGTCATCAGACCAAGAGCAGGTGCAAGGAGTGTGATTGTGTGGGTGAGACCCCTGTGTGTCAATGGCCCCAACATTGGTACAAGGCCCAGAACAAAAGAGGCAGAAGGCCCTGAATACAGTAATTTCTCCTCCTGATGCTCCACCATGATCAGTGGCTACATTTGGGTTTCAATCGCAGCTCTGATGCTTGCCAGCTGTGTGACCTTAGGCACGTTACCTCACTACTCTGAGTCTGCTTGCCTCTTTGTGAAACATGAATATTAATAGTAACAACCTCATTAGGTAGTAATGAGAATTAAATTAGAAGATAACATGTGCCTGTAACTGCCCTATCCAGAAAAGGTGCTCAAATTGCACCCCCTGGGCAATGGCTTAATATACCTACCCAAAAAGCAATTGTAATATTTATTGCTTTGTTTACTTATTGTCTGAACACCCCTCCAGAATGTAAACTCGACAAGGGCAGATTTCTTCTTCTTTTTTTTTTTTTTTCGAGACAGTCTCTCACTCTGTCGCCCAGGCTGGAGTGCAGTGGCACGATCTCGGCTCACTGCAAGCTTTGCCTCCCGGGTTCACGCCATTCTCCTGCCACAGCCTCCCGAGTAACTGGGACTACAGGTGCCCGCCACCATGCCCGGCTAATTTTTTGTATTTTTTTTTTAATAGAGACGGGGTTTCACCGTGTTGGCCAGGATGGTCTCGATCTCCTGACCTTGTGATCGGCCCATCTTGGCCTCCCAAGGTGCTGGGATTACAGGAGTGAGCCACTGCACCCAGCCGACAAGGGCAGATTTCTAATGGATCATGTTCACCAGTGAATTCCTGGCACGGTGCCAGGCACATAGAAGGCACTCAATAAATAGTGAATGGATGGATGAATGGGCAGATGGGTGGGTGACTGAATGGGAGTGTGGATGGGTGGATGAAGAGATGCATAGATGAATGGATGGGTGGATGCGTGGGTGGATGTGTGGGTGGATGAATGGGTAGGTGAGTGGATGGGTGGGTGGATGGATGAGTGGAAAGGTGGGTGTAAGGGTAGGTGGATGGGTGGATAGATGAATGGATGGATGGATGAATGGGTGGAAGGGTGGGTAGAAGAGTGGGTGAGTGGGTGGATGGATGGATGGGTGAGTGAATGGGTGGGTAGATGGATGGGTGGATGGATGGATGGAAAGGTGCGTGAAAGGGTGGATGGGTTGGTGGACAGATAAAAATGGATGGATGGGTAGATGGGTGGTTGAATTGGTGGGAGAGTGGGTGGATGGATGGGTGGATGGGTAGGTGGACGGATGGATGGAAAGGCGGGTGGAAGGGTGGGTGGATGGGTAGATGGATGCGTAAGTGGATACAAGGATGGGTGGATGATAGATGGATGCATGAATGGATGCATGGATGAGTGGATGGATGGATGGATGGATGGGTAGATGTGTGGGTGGATGGAAGTGTGGATGGATGGGTGGATGGATGGATGGATGGACGGATGGATGGATGGATGGACGGATGGAAAGGTGGATAGAAGGATGGGTGTGTGGGTGGATGGGCTGGTGGATGGATGGATGGAAAGGTGAGTGGAAGGGTGGGTGGATGAATGGATGGGCGGGTGGATGGATGGATGGAAGGATGGATGGAAAGGTGGGTGGAAGGGTGGGTGGATGGGCAGATAGATGCATGAGTGGATACAAGGATGGGTGGATGATAGATGAATGCATGAATGAAGGTATGGATGAATGGATGGATGGGTGAATAGGTGGAGATGTGGAAAGGTGGGTGGGATGGGCTGGGTGGATGGATTTGTAGGAAAAAAAATGTAAGCTTTGATTTCTGAAAACCTAGATCTCCAGCCTTGGCCTTATGCTCGTGTCTCTAATTCTCCTCCCTCTCTCATCTTGGTGTGCATAGCCCAGGTAGCTGTGAGTGCAAAGAACAATAGGATAAACATTCAGCACTCTCCTGTGGGTATTATTTTTAGTTTCCATGCTGCAGAGGTCAGAGTGTCAAATAACAAAGAGAGATCTTTTCTTTTCTCTCTCAAGGAAAGAATCGGTCATATCTGCGTGGGCAGCAGTGGAGGTGGGTGTTAGTTTGTTTGGTTTAACAGCTATTTGACTCAGACCTCCTGCCAGCAGGAGTGGGTGACCTTTCCTTGGAGCTCTGGGCACCAAGCCAAGCCTAGGAGGGCAGTTCCCTTTGCTCATGAGCTCTGTTAATGTAGCTGTGTCCTGCTGAGATTCAATTCCCACGGACTTCACTGTTGCCACCAAATGTGTGCATATGAGGGCTCTGCAGAAGTAAGAGTCACAGGGGCCTGGAATGAGAGCAGAGGAGGAGGTGCAGAAATTGAAATGCCAGTCATACACACTCTGTTACATTAACTCTTTGTGGTAGACTAACATAATAATAACCCCACAAAGAGTCTGTCTCTCTGAGTCCACACTCTTTTGCAATGTACTTTGTTGCTTTTCCCCTCTTGAATTTATGACTTGCTTTGGCCAACAGAATGTGGCATGAGTGATGCTGGGTATTTTCCAAGGCTTGGTCTTAAAGGCTGCTGCAGTTTCTTTTGCTGTTTTGCAACTTTGGTTCCACCAGGCTGTGTAGAAGCCCAGTTTCACCTGTGTGGATGAGAGGCCACATGAAGAAAACTGGAGATGGCCCAGTAGACAGCCAGCACCAAATGCCAGACACTGGCAGTTGGCCTCTTCAGCTCAACCAATCCTTTAACCAAATGCAGCCTTGTGAATGAACTCAGGCAAAACTGGGGGAGGAACTGCAAAAGCAACCCAAAGCATCAGGAGCCACAAGGCAATGTTGTCTTAAGGCACATCGTGGGGTGGTTTGCAACCCAGCAAAGGCTAATGAAATGCTTCTGTAACAAACATCCCCAAAACTCGTGGCTCAAATGATAAAAATTTTCTTCTTGTTTCCATCCCAGTCTGGTGTGGATGAAGACTTCTGCTCCATGTAGTCATTGAGGAGCCCACATTTCTTCTATACTCTAGCTTTTATCATATTACAAAGTTCCTCTACTGAATCCTTAGGCAATGAGGAAAGAAAGTGCATGGAAGATGTCCCAGGAGGCTCAGGGGTGAGGCATGGAAGTGACCCATGTCACTCCTGCCTCCGTTCGGCTGGTGGAACTCAGCCTTGTGGCTAGGTGGATAGGAAGAAAAGGGAAATGGCATAGGAAACAACTAGCCAGTTCCAGCCTCTCTTGCCAGACTCTGGGCTCAGTGCTTCGTCCTCAGCATCTCATTAAAGACTCATAGTCACCCTTTGGGATAGGGACTATTCAACAGTCACCCACAGATTTGCACAGCTGTCCAACTTGAGCCAGTGATGAATAAAGACAGATATGGTTGCTGTTCTTTCATGGAGCTTACATCCTAGGGGAGAAGTCAATCCCTAAATAAGGAAACTAATAGATAAATAATTTCAGAGAGTGATACATTCTATGCAACACATATCAGAGTGGTGGTTTAGAGTGAGGGGTGCTATTTTGGATAGAGTGGGCAGGGCAGCTTTCTGCGAGGAGGTGACTAAATTAAGATCTTGCTGTGAAGATGTTTAGTTGCCTGCTACCCTCCACTTCTCCCTGAATAAAACAGCCATGCTCTGCTGCTGAGTTCAGCAATATCCCTGGCTATATAAGCATGTTTCCTAGCTTCCTTGCAGGAGGGTTGGATAGGAGTAAATAAGTTGTTAGATAGACATTGCTTATAAGTTCCTTAAAAGAGGAAAACTCAACTCAAGAGGTGAGAATAATTTTGCCATTCCTTCCTTTTTCCTGTCTATAATGCAGATGTGATGGCTGGTGCTGCAGCAGCCATCAGGCACCATAAGGTGAGATGCTAAGAATGGTAGAGCAGAAAGACACAAGGAGCCTTCGTCTTGTGTGGAAACTCTATACTGCCCTGGATGTCATCCTTCTACACTTCTTTTGTATGAGGGAAATAACCATGGTATATCTTGTTTATACCATTATTATTTGGAACTGCTGTTGCTGAAAGCAATTCCTACATAATACAGGCTGTGTAATGGGATTTTATGATGAGCAAATTGAGACTTAGAACAGTTAGCACTTCTTGCAAAGTAACATAGTGGAATTGAGGAGTTAGGATTTGAACTCAGGTCTGTGGGGCCCTAAGTTCAGAGTTTTGGTTGTAGCCCAGCCTCCCTTGGCTGGGGGTGGGGGTGGACAGAAGGAGTTAGCCAACAGTATCAACTATGGAAAGGAGTGTACTGACTGGATTAAGGATTGCTTCAAAGAGCCCCCAAATTCACTTTTACGAGGTAAATTTTTCCTTCTTGACTGTATGATCCTGATCTAGGTTCTGGGATCCTAACTTCTCTCAGCCCCGTCTTCGTCCACTGCCAGGTGGGTGCATCTATCCTCTTATTGCTGTCTCAACATACTCTTGCAATACCCTCACTGTAGCAGCACTCAGTGAACCACCCTCCCAGGACCCTCACACAGACGTCTAAGCAAGTATCAGCCCAGCCCTTTGCTCCTAGTGCCAGGTTGATCCCAGGGAAGCCAAGTTAAAAAACAAATGCAAGGACATTTTGAGGGGAAAAGTCTCACTGATAGCCAAGGTAATACAGAAGCCAAGAGAAGATATTTGCTGCCAGGCAACCAGGCTGAGTTTTATGGGAGTTGGGGGTAGTGAAATGCATGCATGTCAGTCATTCGAATGCCTCTACCTCCAAAGCATGCTGCCTCCTGGAACCACTCCATTCGACTTTCCCACCCACGATTCCTCAGGCTTCCTGCAAATTGTGGGGGCCTGCAGAAGTCACCCCAAGTTGCTCAATCCAAGAAATTTTCCTCTGAGCTGACAATAAACCCTTAGACTAAATTGACTCAGATTGCACACTCAGGAAGAGACTAGACACACCTCGGCAGAAAATTGGATTTGTGCAGCTTGAAAAAGATGCTCTTGTAATTCCTCTAAAGCCTGCGAGCCACCTAAAGGGCCCTAGACATGTATAGTAGCCCATCTCCAGACCTTTGTCTGTACTGTTCCCTCAGCCAAGAAGAATTTTGCCTAGCTTTTTACATGACTGATTCTTTCTTACCCTTGAGATCTCAGGTTAAATGTCACCCCCTCAAGAAATACAAACATGTCCACACAAAAGCCTGTACAGAAGTGTTCATAGCAGCATTATTCATAATAATCCCAAAGTGGAAACAACCTAGAGTCCATCAACTGATTGATGATTCCACAAAACATGCTATATACGTGCTATATCCTTGCAACACAGTATTATTTGGCCATCAAAAAGGATTGACATCCTTTTCTTTCTTTCTGTCTTTCTTTCTGTCTGTCTGTCTTTCTTTCTTTCTTTCTTTCTTTCTTTCTTTCTTTCTTTTTCTTTCTTTGTCTTTCTTTCTCTTTCTTTCTTTTCTTTTACTTTCTTTCTTTTCTTTCTTTCTTTCTTTCCTTTTCTTTTCTTTTCTTTTCTTTTCTTCTTTCTTTGTCTCTTTCTCTCTTTCTCTCTTTCTGAGACAGAGTCTTGCTCTGTTGCCCAGGCTGGAGTGCAGTGGCATGACCATGGCTCAATGTAGCCTTAACCTCCCAGGCTCAAGCAATCCTAGCTCAGCCTCCCAAGTAGCTGGGACCACAGGTGTGTGCCACCACACCCTGCTACTCTTTTTTTTTTTCAGAGAGGGGGTCTTGCTCTGCTGTCCAGGCTAGTCTTTAACTCTTGGGCTCAAACTCCCAACTCTGTCTCCCAAAGTCCTAGGATTGTAAGTGTGAGCCATCGTACCTGGCAGGACTGATGTTCTGATACATGCTACAATATGAATAAACCTTGAAAGTATTATGTTAAGTGAAAGAAGTCAGGCTCAGAAGGCCACATATGGTATGATTCCATTCATAATAAATGTCCAGAATAGGAAAATCCATAGAGACAGAGAGTAGATTAGTGGTTGTCAGGGCCTTTGGGGGAAGGAGAGAATGGGGAGTGACTGCTAATAGGTGTAAGCCTTTTTTGGGGGGTGATGAAATGTTCTAAAATTAGATTGTAGTGATGATTGCACAACCTTGCAAAAATATTAAAAACCACTGAATTTTGCACTTTAAAAGGGTAACTATTACAGCATATGAATTATAACTCAATAAATCTGTTTAACAAAATATCACTCCCTCAAAGAGACCTTCTGTGAGTCCTCTCTCTGAAGGTGGTGTTCTTTTAAAAAGTTTTTTTGAGACAGGGTCTTGCTCTGTCACCCAGGTTATAGTGCAGTGGTGCAATCTCAGCTCACTGCAGCCTCAACCTACTGGGCTCAAGCGATCCTCCTTCCTCAGGCCTGAGTAGCTGGGAGTACAGGTGCACACCACCATGCTTGGCTAATTTTTTAAATTTAATTTTATTTCTTTAGAGATAGAGTCTCACTGTGTTGCCCAGGCTAGTCTCAAACTCCTGTGTTCAAGTGAGTCAGGAGTCTCCTGCCTTGGTCTCCCAAAGCGCTGCGTGAACCACCATGCCTGGCCTCCTGATGTTCTTTAATTCAGCCCCTGCTTTATTCAGTTCCTCATCCTGTTGGCCACCAGCTGTGATAATTTGGTACATTTATGTGTATGTTGTGTGTGTGCCCATGCTCGTGTGTGGTCCTCATTTCTAGCAGCAAGCTACATAAGAGCAGGGGGCTACATCTGCCTCACCAGAACTGTTTCCCCAGCACTCAGTACAGGGATGGTTGTCAATTGAATATCCGTTGGTTGATTGAAGGAGTCCTGGCACACTGTAGCTGGAAGGGAACTGAGTGCTCATCCAGTCCTTCCTGTTTGCAGATGCAGAGGCCAACTGCTCAGAGGCGGAGGGGCCCACTCAAGGACTCAGCTTTCAATGGCTGTGTTCTTTAATTTTATTCTCCCTCAGTAGTTTTCCAAAGATTTGGGAGTCCAATAAACCATTGCCCAAGTGGAACAGACAGACTGTTCTGGACTTAGCAGTTAAGTGACAAAGATAAATGAGGTTGGGGGGGGTCCCCGTTGAGTTAATAGATGCACGCTCCCTTCTATAGCAATAGACGGTGTGTGGCCTTAATGTCTATAAATGCCACTCATGTAACCTTGAAGACACAGCCTCTGCCGAGCTAGTGGCAGATGCTGCCGCAGGGAATGGGGGTTCCAGCCAACTTGGTTCCTGCTGTGGGACCCGGCTGACAGGGCACAGTAGCCCGGCTATTTGCCTCATTGTGGCAAATTGCTCCTCAGTGAGCCAGCTGGCTCCTGGCCTGCAGAGCTGTGGGGTCTTTTGTGCCTTGAAGTAATTAATTATGCCATATGGCAAGGAAACACAACAAGATTTATAGCAGAGTCAGCGACAGATGGCCCCGAGAGAAAAACACAGATCTGTGGAGAGATACAGAGACGCCGGGCGTCCAAAGCCATGGGAGATGATGTTTGTCGGGGGAGTGGGGAGGGAAAGGACACTTGGCTGGGGTCCGAGGCTTTGACACTTCTTTGAGACTGTCCGTCAGAAAGCAGATCCTTCCTTTCTTCCTCCTTTGGAATTTTTAAATTTACCCCCCTCCCAGTGTAGGGGAAGAACTGGGCTCTGACTTACAGGGTGTCTGTGTGGGATGAGAGAGAAATGCCAATTGAGAGATAGAGAAAAGAGTGAGAAAATCCTGGAGAGGACTGAGTTGGTGTTCCAAGAGCCCACAGGCCCCCTGAGCTCTGAGAAGCTTCCAGCTTCAGTGTTCCGAGCTGCCTTCTGCATTTTGATCTGAGGAGTGATCCACCTCCACTGCCATCATCTCAGTGTCCCATCGACACCTCAAACGCAGCATATCCCAAACAGAAGTCATCCCTTCTCCCTACTCCTCATCCAGCTTCTACTGTGGTTTCTCCACCACTCCCCAGGCAAAGTCCTCCTTCTAGAATGCAAATCTAGCCATGTTACCCCTCGTTCCCCCACCACACTTAATACCCACTCCCCAGCCTCTCCCCAGGGTCTTCTATATCCTTACCCCTGAGGTCCATCTCCCAACATCCCTCCCTGGCTCCCACTTACGCCACATCTGCCATTTTCTTTTTTCCTTTTTTCTTTTTTTTTCGAGGTGGAGTTTCACTCTTGTTGCCCAGGCTGGAGTGCAATGGAGTGATCTCAGCTCACCTCACCTCAACCTCTGTCTCCATGGTTCAAGCGATTCTCCTGCCTCAGCCTCCCGAGTAGCTGGGATTACAGGCATGCATCACCACGCCTGGCTAATTGTTGTATTTTTAGTAGAGACAGGGTTTCTCCATGTTGGTCAGGTGGGTCTTGAATTCCCAATCTCAGGTGATCTGCCTGTCTCAGCCTCCCAAAGTGCTGGGATTACAGGCATGAGCCACCATGCCTGGCCACATCTGCAGTTTTCTATACTCAATATCCTATTTCACACTCTATGCCTTTATAAATGCTGTTCCCTCTACCTGGATTGCCTTTCTTCAGCTGGCTTGCCCAGAAAATCCTCAGTCATCCCAGCTCACAGATCTCTTCCTCTGTGTCCCTTCTCTGACATGTTTGAATAGAGTTAATCCTATGCTCCTTTCTGCTGCCACCAAAATTTGCATATTGCTTACTCATGACTCTCGGCACTTGGTTTTTACAGGTCTGATATCCACACTTGGTTTGTGGGCAAGAACTCTTCTATTACTTCCTTTTTTCTAAGTGTAATACAATGCATGGTGCACATAGTAGGCACCTTTGGGCTTCCCCTCCACCACCCAGTTTTGGGTCCTACATAATAAATGCGTGTATGCTAGAAAGATGAAAGAATAGCTGGGGTTTCAACTCTGAGGCCAGGATGGGAGTCAAAGGAAGAACATAATGGAATTTCTTCACTGACGTTTGCTGTAGATTGATTGCATGGATTGATCCCAATTCATGGCCTCCCTGTATCCACATTTTTTGCAGTGAGACTTTAAAGCACCTCCCATCAAGAAATGGAGTCTATTTCCCCACTCTGAATCTAAGCTTCTCTTGTGACTTTGACCAATAGAATGTGATGGAAGTGATGGCATGCAGGTCCCAGTCCTTACAACCTTTCTCTCACTCTCTTGGAACTCTGCCCAGCTGCCATGTGAACAAGCCCAAGCTACTCTGTTGGAGGATGAGAGACATGTGGGTCAGAGACCTGCTGTCCTAGCTGAATCCATTCCAGACCAGCCCAATCTAGCCAATCTGCAACCCAAGTTTAGCCAGTCAATTCCCAGATAAACAGAACCATCAAGCAGACCTAAGAACTTGTGAGCTGAGTAAATCCCTGTTGTTCCAAGCCATTGATTTTTTGGGGGTGGGGCGGGGGGTGGTTTGTTATGCAGCTATAACAAATACATGATCCAATATGAGCAGAAACCCATTATGCTGTTACTTAATAATTAACTGTGACCCTTGATTGGAAAGAAGTTCCGAATGGGGCAGTCGTTCTAGGGCCTTTAATTTTCCTACTGGTAAAATAAGGAGAGAAGGAGAAGAAAATAACACAAAGCTCTTACTCGTCCCACCAAGTTATGGGTCTTATGGTTGAGCTAGAACTTTTTTTTTTTTTTTTTTTTGAGACAGAATCTTGCTCTGTCGCCCAGGCTGGAGTGCAGTGGCGCGATCTCAGCTCACTGCAAGCTCCACCTCCCAGGTTCATGCCATTCTCCTGCCTCAGCCTCCTGAGTAGCTGGGACTACAGGCGCCCACCACCATGCCTGGCTAATTTTTTGTATTTTTAGTAGAGACGGGGTTTCACCATGTTAGCCAGGATGGTCTCAATCTCCTGACTTTGTGATCCGCCTGCCTTGGCCTCCCAAAGTGCTGGGATTACAGGCGTAAGCCACCATGCCCGGCCTGAGCTAGAACTCTTAACGCCAAGTTGTCCAGTGTTTCTCAAACCGTATCCCAGAGGGCTATTCTAAGGGATATTATCAGATGTTACCAGGAGGAAAAAGGAAGATCTTTTGGCTAAACACTGACTTTATGAAAGCAACTCAAAGTCTCTGATGGAGCGAAGTGTCAGTGTCTTTAACATGCTCATTACGTATCCTAAATTTGAGAAGGAGGACTTGATGTTCAATGCATCTCAAACATATTTTCACTACAGTTCTATGGGACACACTTTGGCAAAAAGCTTAATTGGCATAAGTATCCTTCTGGTACATCGAACCAAGCTATGGCATTCTTGAAAAGCAGTCAGTCAGCCAAGACCCAGGGCTGAGAAATGTTTATTTAGACAAGTGATTGGATTTTCATTCTTGTATTAACAGCTGGACCCGTAAGCTTACATTTTCCAGTCCCACAGAACTTACACAAGAGTCAGCCCTCCAGAGATCATATCTTTTTCCTCTCCAGTCTCCAACCTATTCTAAGCAAAACATTTCAAGTTTCTTCAATTACATCTCACAAGGCTGGTCACAAACTCCCTTCATCTACCTAGATAGTCTCTTTTATTTCTTTTTTTTGTAATTTGAGGAGAACCATAACAAAATTTAAGTACTCCAAGTATGGTATCATCATCTCCCTCATTTAGATCCCAGACCTCTGTTAATATGACCTAAAAAGGATTTAGCTTTTGTGTCCATGTCATTGCACTTTTGATTTACATTGAGTTTTCTTTGAACAAAAAAACCCATGTATTCGTTTAACTCATTGAAGCGTTTGCAAAATTCATCTTGTACTTGTGTCATTTTTAAGACCTAAGTATAAAGCTTTATATTTATCTCTTCTAAATGTCATCTTCTAAGATTTACCTCCTAACTTCTGTTTAGATCTTGATTCTGAAATCCCTCATATTTCCAGTCTCTTACAGAACTCTGCCTACATCATGCAGTTTAGCATATGACCTTTGTAGTGGCTATGTGATATTCTTCCCACCCAGAAACTCTTCCAGTAACAGCACCACGACTTTCCTCTGTTAGATTCCCTTCCTCACTCCCTACAGAACTGTAGGTGGAATTGACTCCACTTCCCTTCTGGGATGTGCATGTAACCAAGTTTTGACCAATCAGAGTGTGGTGCACCCCCCATCTCTGGTTGGTTGACAGATAGTCACATGATAAACAGCAGTGAGAGGGAAACCTTCAGTTTAGTCAGGAGAGACTGGGAAAGTGGCCAGAAATGCCTCATTTTCCTCGAGGCTTGGTGCAGTAAGGATGAAAACCTGGAGCTGCTGACAGCTGTCTGACTGGTGGTCACATGCAGGGGCCTATCTGAGGGCAGTGGCAGCACAGAGGGAGGCTTGGAAGAGAGAAGAAAGTAGGGAGAGAGTCAGGACCTTGTGGCACTCTTTAACCAGTGAATGCTAGTTGAAGGCAATACAACCCTCTAGGAGGAGTTTGGAAAGTTGTCAAGGTTTTCAATTGTCTGGAGGATGTGGTTCCGACTGGAACTCTTTGGAAAACAGTTGGCATTTTCTGTTAAAGCCAAACACATACACCTACCCAATGTCCAGCAATTCCATTCCATTCTTAGGTATATATCCAACAGAGATGCTATGAATAGATGTGTTCACAAAAGAGTTGCAAAAGAATGTTCATAGCAGCCTTTTTCTCTAATAACAAAAAAAAAAAAAAAAAAAAAGGAAGAAGAAGAAAGAAATCATAGTCCTTTAGGGCAGAATGAATCATAAAATTGTGGTGTTTTCATATGATTGAATACTACAAAAAAAAGTGAACAAACAACTGCTTCTCATTACAACATAGGTGAACTTCACAAACGTAATGTTGAATGAAAGCCACTCACAAAAGAGTATACCTGAGAGATTCCATGTTTATGAAGATCAAAAACAAGCAAAAATAACGTATGGTTATCAAAATCAGAGTAGAGGTTACCTTCAGTAGGGGAGGGTAATGACTGCAGAGGACACGGGGAGGCTTCTGAGAGGCGGGGATGAAGAATGTTGCTCCGTCCCTTGTTCCTGGCTCTGGTTACAGAGACGTGTTTTCGTTATGAAAAATCATGGAGGTATACGCTTATGATTTGTGCACTTTTCTGTATGTATAGTAGACTTTAGTAAACCTTTACTTACTAAGGTGATTGGGAAGCAGTCAGACATTTCTGAGCAGGGGCTGGGAATGCCAGGCAATACTACACAATGAAGAATTGTCCAGCAGCTCAGTCTACGTTCTAATGCCCCAGCCGGCATTGAGTTTGATGAAAACCCAGTTTGTAATTATTTCAGCCAGGAGCTGAACTCCATTTTTCCCCCCTTACTCCAAATCTACATGGAATTTTCTGGAAGGGAAACCCTGGTATAAATATAATAGAAAGAGAATTGTGTTTCTTTTTTATCCTGAACAAGCATTGTTTGGAAAACCACATCACTCACAGCCATACCATTGGTGGTAGGCCATGGACATAGCCTGTCTGTCAGCCTAAATTGGAGCTGACATATTCGTGGAGGATGTGGGCATCTCCTGTTTACTGCTAGTAATCCATTCCTCTTTTAAAAGGCGTAACTCATACACAGTAAGGTGCACAAATTTTAAGTGTACAGCTTGACAGTTTTTATAGATGTAGATTACTGCACCACTGCCTAGATCAAGATACAGAAAATTCCCATATCCCTAGCAGCAAATTCCATCATGCCCCTTTCCAGTCAATATACCACCAAAAGCAACCACCATTCTAAATTCTATCGTCATAGATTAGTTTTGCTTGTTCTAGAATTTCAAATAAATGGAATCCTACAGTATGTACTCTTTTGTCTCTGGCTTCTTTCTCTCAACATTAAATTGATGACATTTCTCTACAATTTTGTGTGTAGTGGTAGTTATTCTTTTGCATCGTGGTATGTAGTTTTCTGGTGCATTAATACATCACAACCCAGTAATCATTCTTAAAAATCAGATATTCTGGCCAGGTGCAGTGGCTCATGCCTGTAATCCCAGCACTTTGGGAGGCTGAGGCAGGCAGATTACCTGAGGTTGGGAGTTGGAGACCAGCCTGACAAACTTGGAGAAACCCTGTCTCTATTAAAAATACAAAATTAGCCGGGTGTGGTGGCGCATGCCTGTAATCCCAGCTACTCAGGAGGCTGAGGCAGGAGAATCGCTTGAACATGGGAGGTGGAAGTTGCAGTGAGCCGAAACTGCGCCATTGCACTATAGCCTGGGCAACAAGAGTGAAAGTCTGTCTTGAAAAAAAAAAATCAGATGTTCTATGTAAAAATGCTATCTATGATTGAAGTATAAAACTTTACCTCCCTTTATGTTCCTTTGCCCTCCCCACTATTTATTATTGTCTTGATTATATCTTCTATATGCATTGAGAGGTGTTATAACTTTTGTATCAATCACCAAATTTAATTTAGAAAATATAAGAGGAGAAGAAAAGTCTATTACATTTACTCATATTTTTGCTTACTGTGTTCTTTCTTCCTTCTTGATGTTCCAGAATTTCTTTTATTGCTTCTTTTCTGCTTAGAAAACTTTATCTTTTTCTTTCATCTTTCTTTTTTCCTCCTCCTCCTCCTCCTCCTTTTTTTTTTTTTTTTTTTTTTTTTTTTTAATAAAGAGACAGGGTCTCACTCTATCACCCAGACTGGAGTTCAGTGATGCAATCATAGCTCATTGCAACCTTGAACTCCTGGGCTCAAGTGATCCTCCCACCTCAGCCTCCTGAGTAGCTGGGACTGCAGGCATGTGCCACTACACCTGGCTAATTTATTATTATTATTATTTGTAGAGATGGGGTCTCACTATGTTGCCCAGGATGGTCTTGAACTCCTGGGCTCAAGTGATCCTCCCACCTCGGCCTCCCAAAGTGCTAGGATTATAGGCGCAAGCCATGGCACCCAGCCAGAAAACTTTCTGTAGCCATTCTTTTAGGGTGGGTCTTCCAGAAACAAAATTTCCTAGTTTGCCTTTGTCTAAGAATGTCTTTTTTTTTTTTTTCATTCCTAAAGGATATTTTTGCTGAATATAGGATTCTAGTTTAACAGTTCTTTTCTTTCAGTACCTGAAAATTATCTTGCCATTTTTTTCTGGCATCGATGGTTTCTGAATAAAAATCTGCTATCATTTGAATTTTTTTCCCCCTATGGCTAAGATGCCGTTTTTCTCTGGCTGCTTTCAAAATTTTTCTTTGTCCTTTGTTTTCGGAAGCTTTATTATGATGTATCTTTGGTTTGCTCAGCTTCTTAAGTTTCTTCTTGACATATTTGGGTAGTTTTCAGCCATTATTTCTTTGAGTAGTTTTCTAGCCTCTCATTTTTTCTTCTCACCTCCAGGACTCTGTGGACACAAATGTTAGCTATTTTTTATAATTTCATTGGTCCATGAGCGTGTTAGTCCATTCTCACATTGCTATAAAGAACTTCTCAAGACTGGGTAATTATAAAGAAAAGAGGTTTAATTGACTCAGTTCTACATGGCTGGGGAGGCCTCAGGAAACATACACTCATGGCAGAAGGCACCTCTTCACAGGGTGACAGGAGAGAGAATGAACACAGGAGGACAGGCCAAACACTGATAAAACCATCAGATCTCATGAGAACTCACTCACTATCACAAGAACAGCATGAGGGAAACCACCCCCATGATCCATTTGCCTCCACCTGGTCTCTCCCTTGACATGTGGGGATTATGGGGATTACAATTCAACATGAGATTTGGGTGGTGACACAAAGCCTAACCATAGGCTTTATGAGTCTCTGTTTATTTTTTTTCACTCTATTTTCTCTCCGTTGTTCAGCTTAAGTCGTTTCTATTGCGCTACCCTCCAGTTCACAGATTCTTTCCTCTGTTCCCTCTTTTCTGCTGTGAGCTGGTCCACTCAGCTTGGTGTTTCAGTAATGGTATTTTTCACTTCTAAAATTTCCATCTGTTCCTTCTTTATAGCTATTTCCTTTCTGAGCTGTCTTATTTCTTTGCTGAGGATTTCTATTTTTTTTCGTTTGTTTCACACATTTGTAGTTGCTTGTTGGAGCATATTTATCAAAGTATCTCTACAATCACTGTGAGAGAATTCTCACATTTCTGTCATCTTAGTGTTGACATATATTAATTGTCTTTTTTTTCACTCAGTTTGAGATCTTCCTGGTTCTTGGTATGCAAGGAGATTGTTGATGAAAACCTGGACATTTTAATATTATGTTATGAGACCCCAAATCTATTTAAATTTTCTGTCTTAGCTGGCTTCTGACACTGCTCTGAAAGGATAGGTGGCAGGGGTGCCACCTAGTCACTACCAGAAGGAGGTAGAAGTCCACATTTTTCATCACTGACACTCAAAGGGGGGTGGTTTCTTGTTATTACCAAGTGGGTTTGAGAGTTACAGCTACCTTTGTAGTACCACTGACACTGAGGTGGCTGTGGCCTTATTACCACTGGACAGTGGTGAAAGTTTTGACTCTTCACTAGGCCTCCTCAGACACCATCCCAAAAGATGTGTTGGGCACCTCATTACAACCTCAAGAGCATGGAAGTCCAGGCTCCTCACTTGGCCTTTGATGATGTGGGTGTAGTCAGGCTACTGACTTTTCTATGTTCGGATGCAACAGAACAGTTATTGTCTAAAAGTCTTCTGTCTTGCTAGGTTACCTCTTTCTTGGTCCTTTGCCTGGAAAAAGTAGGGTTTTGTTAGAGTCTTTTTTTTTTTTTTTGGTCTGCACCCATTGGTGTTTCTGAGTTGCCAGCTTTTTCAGCTTCAACTCCGGGATATGTGAAACCAAAAACAATTTCCCACAACTCACTGCTATATTGTTCTTCAAGTCCTGAGGTCTCTAGCCAGTCCTTTTCTCAATGTCTTCTTATATTTGTTTACATACAATGTCCAGGGTTTTAGTTGTACTTAGTGGGAAGAAGAGGGAAAAATATATCTGCTTCATCATCCCAGAAGCAGAAGTCTTAGTTTTCATTATTTTAAAATAGACAAATTAGAATGCCTTTGTTAACCCAAATCCCCAACCAATTTCTTAAAATGTAATTAAAACACAGTAAAATTGCTATATATAACTGACAAATTCTTATTTAAGATATGAAATACCTAAAGCATCACCACAATATCAATCCCATTGTTAGTGAACAGTTGTTTGGATTCAGTGACTGCCTGAGGCTGGGAGTGGAAGATGAAATGAATTGCAAAGGGTCACAAGGATATTTGGGGGGTGATGGGTATGTTCTGTGGCAGTGGTTTCCCAGGCATATACATCTATCAAAACTCATTGAATTGCATACTTTACATATTTTTATTTTTATTATTTGAGACAAGGTCTTGTTCTGTCCCCCAGGCTGGTGTGCAGTGGTGCAATCTTGGCTCACCACAACCTCTGCCTCCCAGGCTCAAGCCATCCTCCCACCTGAGCCTCTGGAGTAGCTGGGACCACAGGCATGTGCCACCACACAAGGCTAAGTTTTGTATTTTTTTAGAGATGGCATCTCACCATGTTGCCCAGGCTGGTCTCAAACTCTTGAGCTCAAGCAATCCGCCCACCTCAGCTTCTCAAAGTGCTGGGATACAGGCATGGGCCACCGCACCTGGCCTGATTTGCATACTTTAAATAGATGCAGGTTATTGCATGTAAATTATATTTCAGTAAAGGTGATAGAAAAGAAAATAAATGGTAGTTTTGTTGATATTGACATGGCTTGTCTTTGCAGCAGTAACGTAGGAGATTCATGTACCTTTTGTTGACATTGGGTGGACTTTTCAAACTGGGATCCTGATGTTCCACCAATTGTGTTTAGAGTGTAGCATCAAACTTATTCCATACAGCATTTTGTTTACAATGTTGCACTGAATTTTGGAGATGCAAATATAATTTCTCCTATGTTAACATCAACATACATTGAGAGATACATTTGTTTCATGATGTTTGGGTATGAAAATCCAAGGGGCATTCTACCAGGAAATGCTAATTAGGAAGACTTTCTGAGGGGTATGCATACATGTGTGAATATACCTATGTCGCCATTATTCTGATTTGTTAAATATAAAGTAAAACTGTTGACAATATTCAGCCAAATATTTCATCACGTCTGTTAAAAGTGCAAGCTTTTGATGACTTCATTACATCTTCTAGTGTAGTTGGGTGTGAATATTTATATATTGAAAATATATTTTTTATTATAAATCTATTTTCTTTCTTCTCCTTTGTATCACAGAGAGGCACTATATTGGTTTTCTATTACACTATAGGGTAGGTAGATTATATTATCTGTGAATTTCATTTCAGAATTCATGACATGATAGATTATTTGTTATAGAAGGATGTTAGGCCTAGTAGTGTTGACACCCCCTGATCAAAACAGACCTGGTGATGTATCTATCCCAAGCTCTAAACCACTACGTTGGCCTAAGCCTCTTATGTTAACAGTTTAAAATTAAAATTAAATAAACTCTTTCATTTTATAGGTCAACAAGTGCATTTAAAAAAAGCTAATTAGAGTTGGTATTTCTTTTTCAACTGGTCACATCCTGAATCATACAATTATAGATTATTATATTATTATAGATTATTATATTACAATTATACAATTACTGTTTGCTTTCTGTTTCCATGGGCTTTCTTCTTTCACAGTCAAGGCTGTGAGCTCTTTTAGAGCAAAAATTCCATCTCGTCCAGGTCATGGCTTTCCCCATATTGTAACCAGAAGAGTGTGTGTTTTGAGGATTTAAATTTATTGATCATCTCTTATGTGTTCAGGGTTTGGATCACATTAATTTTTAATATCTGTTGTGCACCCACCTGTGCCAGGGACACTGCTAGGCACTTTGCAGATATGATCTCCCTGAACACTTCAAACAACTCTTTGCTATATAGGTATTATTATCTGGTATTGCAGACATGGGAAAGAAGTTCTGAGAAAACACTTGCCCAAGGTTGCACCAGGCAAGGAGCAAAGTCAAGATCAACCCCAGCTGGGGTAGGAGGATCGCTTGAGCCCAGGAGTTCAAGGGTATAGTGAGCTATGATCACACCACTGTACTGCAGCCTGACCCCAGGTCTGTCTGACTGTACAGCCTATGATAGGTAGCTATTGTTCTCCCTGTTTGCAAACAGTGCTGAGTACTGCATAGTAATGAGGAAGATGGGCAAATAATTTAGCCTTTTTGAGCCTCAGTTTCTCCATCAGTCTGCAAATGGGGCAATTAGTAGCTCTGCCATGGAGTGGGTGTGAGGATTCAGTGGGAATAGTGTCAATCACTTAGCATCTGCTTGTGTTTAACCAGCCATAAACAAAAGTTCATTTCCTCCCTCTTCCTTCCCAGTGGGAAATTTTACTCAACTGTGGTTCAGTAAATAGCCTTGGAGATGTTACTTCTCACTGAGCCCCAGGAATATATAATTGTCCTAAAATCAAAATCATAGTTTTAAAAAAACACTCAAACTGCATCCCTTCTCCCCAAACATGCTCCTGGGCATTGCAATGGGGATGAAATTCTGATCTCTAAGTGGATGGTGTTTCCTGATATTTTGTTTGCAAATTTCCTCAGGTTGTTACTGTCAGACACTAAGGTGCAGTTATGAATTAGTCCATGAGAGACCCTGGGGGAGAAAAGATTCTAGACCCTGGGGAAGAAAGGAAATGATCCTCAACTACGGGCCACTTGGCTCCACCCTGGCTTGACTCTGGCAGTCCAAGGACACAGTGGCCACTACCTATCTGTAGCTACCCCTTACCCACTCTGCCACCTGTGATAAAAGATGCTGGATAGATTTCAGCAATTTCATGTGCAAATGGATGTAGCATGATTATAGTTGTTCATAGAGTGGCCTCATCAGTGTCTTTTTATAGATGGGTAGAGTGAGGTTGATTTTTTTTTTTTTTTTTTTAGAGACAGAGTCTCGCTCTGTTGCCTAGGCTGGAGTACAATAGCATGATCACAGCTCACCACCACCTCGAACTCCTGGGCTCAAGCAATGCTCCTGACTCAGCCTCCCAAGTAGCTAGGACTACAGGTGCATGCTGCCATGCCCAGCTGATTTTTAAAGTTTTGGTAGAGACAGAGTCTCAGTATGTTGCCCAGGCTGGTCTTGAACTCCTGGACTCAAACAATCCTCCTGCCTCTGCCTCCCAAAGTGCTGCAATTATAGGCATCAGCCACTGCATCTGGCTCTAGATTTTTTTTTTTTTTTTTTGATGGAGTCGCACTCTCTCTCCCAGGCTGGAGTGCAATGGCATGATCTCAACTCACTGCAACCTCCTGGTTTCAAGCAATTCTTCTGCCTCAGCCTCCCAAATAGATGAGATTACAGGTTTCCGCCACCATGCCCTGCTAATTTTTTGTATTTTTAATAGAAACGAGGTTTCACCAAGTTAGCCAAGTTGGTCTTGAACTCCTGACCTCAGGTGATCCACTTGCCTTGGCCTCCCGAAGTGCTGGAATTGCAGGTTTGAGCCACCATGCCTGGCCAAGATTTTTTTTTTTTAATTAAAGGAGAATATTTGTCCCCAGAAAGAATCCTGAAGCCCTATCAGTCATCCAGACCCAAAAGGCCATATAGCTGCCCATTTTGCAACCTTCATTCCATGATTTTAGTACCCAAAGACATGAATAAGTCACATTAGACACCCATCCCCCCGGCTTCTCTAAAATGGGAATTGAGCAACTAGAGGAGGAGTAGAGATTGTGTTTCAAACACAGGGATCTCAGCCCTGGCTACACATTAGGATCACCTGGGGAGCTCTGAACAATCCCAATGCCAGCTCTGCACCCAGCTCATGAGGTCAGATGCTCTGGTTGGGGCCGGGTACCAGTGTGGTCAGGCTCTTTGGGAGTTTCATATGTACAGTAAAATCAAAGAACCACTGCCTGCAAACAAGTGGGTAGCTGGGATGCTCATAGAGTGTCTTAGCTTTGTGGGACAGGACGGGCATTTTTTGGAAAAGTCATATGGAAAAAAAAACATCAAAACTCATGTAGACTCCCAATTATCTTCTCCCCATTCTAAACCACATTGATTTGTCTGAATATTTATTCAGGTATTTGCAACTGTGTATACTGAATGTGTGTTGGATTACAGACACTGTTCTAAGCACCAGGGATGCAGCAGGAGGGCCGGCAGTCAGGACCCCTGAGCTCATGGATCTGGCTTTGTGGCAAGGGGTAATATGGAAAGCAGTTGATGTCAAAATGCATTGTTTACTCTTGAGATGAAGGCAGTGACAAAGGTGTGAAAGAGGATAAGAGAACAGGGGCTGGCTTGGGTAGGAGAGGTGGTGATCAGGGAAGACTTCTCTAAGAAAGAGACTCTGAACTGGGCTCAAAAAGTGAAGGCCAAGGGGTGGGGTGAGGCATCTGGGAAGAGAAAGCCAGATTTTTCTGTGGCTCTGTCCCCTCCTGCCATCATCTCACTGCTGGAAACTGGCAACCAAATGATCTGCCTAACACATCCTGATTTCATTTCATAGCCCATATATGCAAACTTTAGATCACATACTCATCACCTATCATCAAGGTTATATGCTAAATCCTCACCTATGGTGCTGGGATGAGCTCAGCTCATTGGAGTCTCTGAATTGCTGTCTGTAGATATTGCAAAATATTCTTTATTTTTTTTCTGTCTTGGTTTCCTGTATTTCTGGCCACCGTCCCCAAGCCCTGATGTATCCCTACATCCGGCTCTTCATTCTGACTCCCTGATATTATCCATCCATCCATCCATCCATCCATCCATCCATCCATCCACCAATCAATATACATATATACATATATACACACACACACATACATACATCCTCTCATCTACCAATCTATCCTCCATCCATCCATCCATCCCCCATCCTTTTATTCATCCATCCATCCATCCTTCCACCCATCCATATACATATATATAATCTACACATACATACATCCTCTCATCTACCAATCTATCCTCCATCCATCCATCCATCCATCCTCCATCCTTTTATTCATCCATTCATCCATCCATCCACCCCTCCATATATGTATATATACATGCATACATCCTCTCATCTACCAATCTATCATCCATCCATCCATCCACCCATCCATATACATATATATACATACATACATCCTCTCATCTGCCAATCTATCTATCCTCCATCCCTTCACCCATCCATATACATATATATTTACATGGATACATACATACACCATCTCATCATTTATCCATCCATCCATCCATCCATCCATCCCGTCCATTCATCCATCCATCCCTCCTTCCATTAATTCATTCATCTATCAATCTACCCATCCACTCACCCATCCTTTCCTTCATTCCACAGATATTTGTTGAACACTCAACAATGTGCTAAATCCTAAGCCAGAATAAAAACAGAATCTTGCAATGCTCTCCTCCAAGCTGGACGAGATGGTCTCCTCACTGTCCATGTCTCCATACCTCTGTTCACTTCACTCAGTACCTGGGTCATCCTACCTACCCCCTCTGCTTATCTCCTGGCCCCACCCCCTAGAAAGGTCTGACCTGAGGCTGTTGAGCTAAACCCACCCGAACATAGTCTCACTGGCTCGCTGAAGGTGAGCCAGGAGGAGGATGAACAGATGTAGTCCATGCGCATCCCATAAGTGTAGCACAGGGAGGTGAGTGTAACAAGAGCCAAATGCTGCAGGAAGAGAAGAGGGTCCAGATTCGGGCTCCATAATCTTTACTTGAAGGAGTCAGAGGAGTGTTTACAGAGGGGAACGACATGAGGGATGGGGCAGGTAGGGCCAGTTGACACTCCCTAAACAGACAGGATGGGGGCAGTCACTCTAGGCCAAAGGAACTGCATGTGTGAAGGCACGTAAGCATGAAGCACTGTCTTCTGGGTTGGTGCATGTGCCCAGAACCAGAGTTTTAAAGGAACAGCTCAGAGATCATTCGATCCAACCTTCCATTTTATAGATGTGGAAACTAAGATTCAGAGGAGAGTAGTCAATTACCCAAGGAGGCACAGCAAATTTTCTCAGAGATACCCTACTCCCTTACCTCCTGCAGAATCACCCTAAACCTTTAAAGTTGATTAAACCTTTAAAGTCCCCAGGTTAGGCCCAGAGGCGCTGACTGTATCAACTCAAGACAAGCCTCCAGGGTAAAAACTATTGTTATGTTCATTCTGTGTAAGAGAAAACTGAAGCAGAGAGGCTAAGGAATTTACACTAGGCTACACAGGAAGTGAGTGGTAGAGCTGGGATTCAAACACAGCGAGAGCCTCCAGAGCCCATCTTCTTTTTTTTTTTTCTTAGCCAACTACTAAAGACATTTAAAGAGCCCATGTTCTTAACCACTGCGATGTGCTACCCATCTCACCAGTTAATTTAATTTTTTTTTTTTTTTTGAGACAGAGTCTCACTCTGTCGCCCATGCTGGAGTGCAGTGGCGTGACCTGGGCTCACTGCAACTTCCGCCTCCCAGGTTCAAGTAATTCTCTTGCCTCAGCATCCCGAATAGTTGGGATTACAGGCACACACCACCATGCCAGGTTAATTTTTTTGTATTTTTAGTAGAGACGGGGTTTCGCCATTTTGGTGGCCTCAAATCCTGACCTCAGGTGATCCGTCTGGCCTCCCAAAGTGCTGGGATTACAAGCATGAGCCACTGCACCCGGCCAACCTTTTTTTTTTTTTTTTTTAAAGAGACAGGTTCTTGCTCTCTCACCCAGGCTGGAGTATGGTGGTGCCATCATAGCTCATTGCAGCCTCCAAATCCTGGGCTTAAGTGATTCTCCTGCCTCAGCCTCCTGAGTAGCTGTGACCACAAGCATGCACCCCCACACCCAGCTAATTTTTGTAATTCTTTTTGTAGAGATGGGATCTGGCTGTGTTGCCCAGGTTAGTCTTAAACTCTTGGTCTCAAGTGATCCTCTTGCTTCAGCCTCCCAAAGTGCTGGATTACAGGTGTAAGCCACCAGGACCAGCCACTTCATTTAGTTTTCAATGTGTATTGTCCCTATTTTTCCAGATGTTACAGAAGCACAGAGAGGTTAAGTAACTTGCCCAGTGCTGCACAGAAACTAAGTGGTGGAGCTGGGATCCGAACCCAAGCTATCTGACTGTATTGACAAACAAAAGATGCATCAAAACCCAAAAGGGCGAGCGAGGTATTATGGCCATTACTGGGGGTAAGTGAGAACTTAAGCTTTCCTCATTCCTCCCACACTACCCAAGAAATCCTCCCTCTAGTCTCAGCATAGCCCTGGGTTACAGAGTACAATTTCATGTACTCTTTCTCAGTCTCCTCCCTATCACTTCATTAATCACCGTTTGAATTCTGCTCTCCTTGAAAGCAGCTGGTCATCTTGGCAATCAAAAATCCTGCCAGCTGGACACAGTTCAAGTTCAATTGCATCTCCCTGACCAGGTAGAACCCATCCGTGTTGAAATACTTGGCTGTTAACAGCCAAGGGGATGAAGCCAACACAGGAAAATGGATTGCTCACAGATTGGTTTTCTCTGCCTCCAGCTCAGGATAATATATGGGCAGTGACGTAAAACAAATGGAGCCTTGGCTGGGTTACTTCACGTCCTTCTTGGGGGCCTCGCTGCTTCTACCATGGGGCCTTGGAGCTGTTACTTCATAACCTGCAGGCCAAAACCTGTAAACTGTGTATTCGCAAATTCCTAAAATATTGCCCAATGGTCTTGAAAAAATTAATGTCCTGTGACATGTTAGCATAATTTTCATGATTGAGGTGTTGAATATAAATTCTGTATATATTTATTTATACAGAAACCAACCCAGACTGGGGCATAATATTTTTAATTTTTCATGTTTCTGGCAAAACAGTGACTGAGTTGCTTTTATTTATTTCACAGAGTTAGAAATTTCTTTTCACTGGAGAGATAAATGGTAAGTTATAAGGGACAAGAGGAGGACAATCTTATAAAATACTCTCTGTACTTGAATAATCTCTGCTTTCATTTCCTTTCTTTTTGTATCTGGTGATAATTTTAAGAGTCCAAGTGTTTGAGATTGGGTCCTAAGACCATCACCCAGGCCCCCTTTTCAGAACTCCTGTAGTATATTCAGTCTGGACCCCTTAAAGTTTAAGACTTAAATAAACAGTTACATTCTATGAGGCAGGGAGGGACGGTGAAAACTCATTCAGCTCAAGTCCTGGAACGTGAGTTTCCACTGAGAGTGGAGAGGATTTTAAAGTAGTTCTGTGGCTGTAAACACTTTTTGGGGTTCCTAGTCTCTTGAGAATTTGCTAGATGGTATATGTACACCCTCTCCAGAAAAGTGGACATACAATATAAAAATGGATCCACAATATACAGTATATAATTTTATGTATATCAATCAGCTATTGCTGTGATTATGCCACATAACAAATCATCCCTGAACTCAATGGGTGACAACAACAAGCATTTATTTTTCTTGCTCATGCATGTATAAATTTTTCAGGTGTTTCTGTTCCAGATTGTGAACTGGCCATGCCTGGCTCTAGGCTTTGGGACAGTTCAACTCTGTTCCACATGTCTGATTCTGGATCCCATGCTGAAGAGGCAGCTGCTGTATAAGGCATGTTCTTTTTGTGATGATGGCAGAAGTTTGAGAGACAAGTCACACTATGCAAACATGGCTCAAGATTCTATCATACAACATCTGCTCACATTCAACTGGCCAAAGTCAGTCAAGGTCAGTGGGGCAGAAAAGAATATACTGCCCGAAAAGGAAGGAAAAAGTGAGTGAACATGTGTTGAACAATACTCCAATTTATTATCGGTAGGTCAAGGAATCTTTGCAGCCTGAGTCTCGTATGGTGATTCTCAAACCTCAGCAAACATAGATATCATCTGGGGAATCTGGTTCAAAATGCAGACCTGAGACTATTCTCCTGCAGAATATCTGAGTCAGTGGATTTGGGTGGGGCCCAGGAATCTGCACTTTAAACAGCCACTCCCTGGGGTTATTCTGATACTGATGGTCCAGGGTCCACACTTTGAGAATCACTGGTTTAATGGTTCTGAGCATGTGCTGAGGGCTCAGAGATGCAAGTTCAAATCCCAGCTCCACCCTAGCTTTGACCTTGGTAAGTAGCTTTGCTTTTCAGAGCCTCAGTTTTCTCCTCTAAAAAACTGAGTTGGCCGGGCGCTGTGGCTCATGCCTGTAATCCCAGCACTTTGGGAGGCTGAGGTGGGCGGATCATCTGAGGTTGTGAGTTTGAGACCAGCCTGACCAACATGGAGAAACCCTGTCTCTACTAAAAATACAAAATTAGCCGGGCATGGTGATGCATGCCTGTAGTCCCAGCTACTAGGGAGGCTGAGGCAGGAGAATCACTTCAACCTGGGAGGCGGAGGTTGCGGTGAGCTGAGATCACGCCATTGCACTCCAGCCTGGGCAACAAGAGCGAAACTCTGTCTCAAAAAAATAAATAAATAAATAAAGTAAAAATAAAAAAGTGAGTTAACAGTAATACCTCTTTTAGGATTTGTATTAGTCAGGGTTCTCCAGAGGGACATAAAGACACACCCAGGAAGAATACTTTGCATCCTTCAATCCAATCAAATTTTGACACTCAATATTAACCATCACAGGGTTGTAGAGAGGATTCAGAAATGGTGCTGGTAAAGCAAACAGCAATAGTGCTTGGGACACATGAAACCAATAAAGGGTCATCTGCCTGAAGCTGCTACCTCAGCATCATGCAATAGCATCATCCTCATCTCCTATTGTCATCATTACCATTGCCGTTGTCTTCATATGACATCATCACTATTAGCACCGTTGTTTTGTTTCTTCTAGCTCCAGTAGTCTATGATTCCACACCACCTCACATTGTTCTTTGACCATAAATCTGATTTCCTCAGACTGCTAGAATTCTTTTCTTGAATCCCCATGGTGGGGAATGTTCTGCTTATGGCGAGGTCCAATGTCCAAGTTTAATTTCACCCACCTCACTGGGCCATGATGTTCTGGATGCTGCGTGGCAAGTCAGAGATGTATTTCCCCCCTTCAGAACCAGGTAGACCGCAGTTTCTGAAGGCTTAAGGATTCAGAGTGGTTTAAGAGCAGTAAACCATGGCCCATCATCATTGCATAAGGAAGCAATGAAAGGTAAGTATGCACCCTGAAGCTCACAGCTCACGCTTTAGTGTTTCCTTGTATCCTTTTCATTTCCTGACTCTCTTATCCTCTTCCTTCTCTATTTCTATATTTCTGTGTGTTTCCCTTGCTGCTTTTTTTCCCTTTCCCTCTACTCGTTTTTCTCTCTCTCTCTTTCTCATTTCCTTTTCTCCCTTCTCTATATCTTTCTTGTTTTTCTGTATGCCCTGCTCTCTTTATACTCTCTGCCCCACCCCCTTCCTCATTCAGTGGAATGTGTGATGCCTGGTACCTAGTGGATGTTTGAGAAATGTATCCATGAAGGAAGGAGTGAATGAAAGAAAAAGCTTCCTGCATCTGAAATCCAGTTTCCTTTCCTTGCACTCCAGCATGTCTCACTGCTGGACTCTTTCTCCTGGTGAATGCAGTATTGATTAGCTGAGTGAACAGCAACAACATCCCCTTCAAAATCAGCCCAGGATCTGATCCAATCTCTTGCCTTTTAGAAGTACCATTTACTGGCCAGGCACGGTGGCTCACGCCTGTAATCCCAGCACTTTGGGAGGCCGAGGTGGGCGAATCACGAGGTCAGGAGATCGAGACCATCCTGGCCAACATGGTGAAACCCTGTTTCTACTAAAAACACACAAAAATTAGCTGGGCGTGGTGGCGTGCCCCTGTAGTCCCAGCTACTGGGGAGGCTAAGGCAGGAGAATCGCTTGAACCCGGGAGGTGGAGGTTGCAGTGAGCAGAGATTGCACCACTGTACTCCAGCCTGGTGACAGAACAAGACTCCGTCTCAAAAAAAAAAGAAAGAAAAGAAAAGAAAATGTGTCATTTACTGCCCAGAATAACTGCCCTGCAGATTGCTTTTCTTCCACATCTGAAATTTTCTTTCCTGAGCCAAGTCTTTGTCCAGATTTTGAATTCCTTTTCCTTTCATCTACCTACCTCTTAAAGATGCCATTGCTGACCTCCCTGGGCCCTGCCAAAGCCTATGCATTCCTTACCTCTTTACTGTCTCCATTGCTTTTGATGGCTGGTTTCTTTACATTTCTAGTCCAGGTGTCAGCAAAGTTTCTGTAAAGGGCCAGAGAGATAATAGTTGAAGCTTTGTGGGCCACTCTGTCTCTATTGTTTAACTACTCAATTCTGGCTGCATGAAAGCAGCCATACACAATAAACACATAAATGAATGAGTGAGTGTGGCTGTGTTCCAATAGAACTTTATTTTTACAGAAACAGGTGAGCCCAATTTGGCCCTCAGGCCATAGATCACCAATCTCTGCTCTAGTCGATAGCATGGTTTAGACTTGAAGCTAAACCCCAGGTTCATCACTCCTAGCTATGTGACCTTGACCCAGTGCATCTTGTATAGAACCTCAGATTCATCACCTGCAAATGGGTTTGGGCCGATCAATGGATGAATGTCTACAGATCTTTACCATGGAGTTTGGCATATAACTGCTCAGTAACTGCTGCTTAGTACCAAAAATTTGGCTCTTATTTATCTGACTAATCTTTACAGAACACCTACTGTGTGCAGACTGCATTCCATAGAGATTCAGACTGTTAGAGCTGGAAGGATTTTGGAGACCTCCTAGTCTAAGGATTGAAAACTGGGAATGTATTCCTAATCTTTTTTTTTTTTTTTTTTGAGACAGAGTCTTGCTCTGTCACCCAGGCTGGAGTGTAGTGGCGTGATCTCGGCTCACTGCAAGCTCTGCCTCCCGGGTTCACGCCATTCTCCTGCCTCAGCCTCCTGAGTAGCTGGGACTACAGGCGCCCACCACCACGCCCGGCTAATTTTTTGCATTTAGAGACGGGGTTTCACCATGTTAGCCGGGATAGTCTCGATCTCCTGACCTCATGATCGGCCTGCCTTGGCCTCCCAAAGTGCTGGGATTACAGGCGTGAGCCACTGCACCCGGCCCATTCCTAATCTTACTCAGAGAGAAGCTCTTTCTCATTTATCAGCTGTGTGACTCTGGGGCCAGTTTCTGAACATCTCTGTGCCTCCGTTTCCTCATTCGTAAAATGGGAATAGGGCCTACCACAGAGGGTGTTATGAGAAACACGAGTTATACATGGAGAGGGTTTAGGATCGTGCCTGGAATAATAAGCGCTCAACTGTGTTCCCTGTTATTACTTTTATTTGTATTATCCTTGTCGATATTGTTAACAGTTTTCTCTTACGTGGGGCATGCACTTTCTGGTTTCCCTAAATTCTTAATCCAGCCTTCTGAAATCACTTCTTTACCTGCTTTGCCTCTGAAGCCACTTGATTTCTCCACCCCTGGTTAAGCCCAACCCTCATACTTTATAGACAGGAAATCTGAGACCCAGATGAGAAAGAGTGACTCGGCTAAACTCCCATAGCGAGTCAGGGACAAACCCATTTAGATTCCTGGCATTTACTCTCTAACTGTAGGCACACGCAGCTCCTCACAGCCACGAGCCACACACCTTTCAAGCTGAAATCTTCCTCCTTAAATATTTCCACCCTTGTTACCAAGGAGTCGGAGACTGCTTCACTTTAAAGTGCTGTATCCCCGTGGTGAAATGCCGCAGATGGGCCATCAGCCATATTGGCTGGGAGACAATGTATGTGATAGGGATTTCCACCCACATGTATTTAACTGGGCTCATTGAGCTTAATGGCGTATAATTTCAGGGGTGGGGAGTCAAGCTACAAGGAAAATCTAGGTTGCTCAATGGCATTCCCAGAAAGGGTCCAGAGAGACATTTCCAGGAAGAGCCTGACTTGGGACTGAACCATTTCTGCTACAGAGCCATTGAATGTCTGCCGTAGATTAGAAGTCAGTCATGCACGGAGTGAGAAGGTCATCCTTGCGGTCACAGGAAAACCAATAAGCTCACCTTGATTCAATCTTGAATAAGTGGCAGATGCATGAGCTGCCTTAAAATTACAGGGACCATGAAGGAAAAAAATCACTGTTCTGGGCATTCAATTTATCTCAATAAGGGCATGTGGCTTTTGTTCAAAACTTCTTTGATGATGAACCCCATCATTTGTTTCTGCTGGATTGCTATCAAAAATACTCAGTAGAGAGCTATTTCTTCTTGGTGAAGAGAAAAAAGGACAGTCTTTGGGGGAGTAAACCATTAATAAACAAAGGTGGTTGTGTGCTTGCATGAAATTGTATATTTCCCCCCTGAATTAGCTTACATAAAACCTCTCATTGATAGCAGTGTCAGTGATGGGAACTGCAGGCTTTACCTATGACCGAACATGCATGGAAATGCCCTCTGATGGACTCAGGCATGATACATACATCAAACAGCCTTGCACGGTGGTAAATTTACAGTTATTGACCTTCAATACCCAAAGTAAGCCCCTTAAATTGACATTTGCCAAAGGCTCCAAATAATTTGACTCGAATTTCATGTAATACAAAAGCCACTGGGGGAGTGGAATGGAAAAAGTAGATTCTGGGTCAATTCTGCATTGACAGCATGAACTGGAAAATCTTAAGGACAATTGAGAATATCAGAGAATTTTCATTCAATAGAGAAACAAGAACTGGCACTTTTATTGCTGATACCCCTCTAGCCTCAGGGTACCTTTCAAGGGTGTGACCCAGATATATTTGTGGCTTCTTGTCATATTTGCCTTTCCAAATTCAGAGAGGCAAGTATGGAGATGGAAAGATATCATGGGTTTTGGGTTAAGTCCTGTGTTTGATATCAGCCTCATCTCCTAGTTGCTGGGCGACAATGGGCACATTAGTGAATCTCTTTGAGCCTCACAGAATTTGTCATGAGGTTTTGAGGGTTAGAAGAAATGGTGTACATTGCTGGCTGGGCACGGTGGCTCACGCCTGTAATCCTAGCACTTTGGGAGGCTGAGGCTGGCAAATCATGAGGTCAGGAGTTCAAGACCAGCCTGGCCATCATAATGAAACCCCGCCTCTACTAAAATTACAAAAAATTAGCTGGGCGTGGTGGTGGCGCCTGTAATCTCAGCTACTTGGGAGGCTGAGGAAGGAGAATTGCTTGAACCTGGGAAGCAGAGGTTGCAATGAACCAAGATCATGCCATTGCACTCCAGCCCAGGCAACAATGTGAAACTCCATCTCAAAATAAATAAATAAATAAAAGAAAAAAGAAGAGATGGTATACATTAGGTACCTGACATTTACTAGGTGTTCAATAAATTTTGGCCCCTTCCAGTGGTGTGCTAGCAAATGTTGAATAACTGACTCTCAAAAAAAAGGCTCTGATTTAGCATTAGCTAATTTCTGTGGTGTAAATACTACCATCATGGCCAATTTCAAGCTATTGACATGATGTCATAGCATTTGGAGTTGGGATAATAAGTAGATGGGGGTGAAACTGAGTCCCTGGGTTCAGAGTCACACAGCCGATTAGTGGCAGAGCTGGGACTATGTTGTGTGCCTCCTCACTCCCAGTCCAGATCACTTTTCACATTTTGGTGCTCTTGGAACTTGCCAGGGTGCTGTCCTTCCTGGCAAAATGGCCACATAGAGAGAATTTTGGGTGATTGCAGAAGTTAAATCCTTCTAGCCAGGCTCTAATAGGTCAGCCTTGCTTTCGATTATACAATTGATCCTTGACCAATACACGGGTTGAAAATCTAAGTTGACTCTATGCATTTGAAAATCTAGGTATACATTTTTAATCCCCAAAATCTTTTTTAAAAATTATTTATTTTATCTGTATTTTTTAGAGACAGAGTCTTGCTCTGTTGCCCAGGCTGGAGTGCAACAGAGTGATTATAGCTCACTGCAGCCTCAATCTCCTGCACTCAAGCAATTCTCCTCCCTCAGCCTCCTGATTAGCTGGGACTACAGGCACATGCCTCTGTGCCTGGCTAATTTTTGTATCTTTTGTACAGATGGGGTCTTGATTTGTTACCCGGGCTGGTCTCGAACTCCTGGGCTCAGGCAATCTTCCAGCCTCAGCCTCTCAAAGTGCTAAGATTACAGGCATGAGCCACTATGCCTGGCCTGACTCCCCAAAATCTTAATGACTGATAGCCTACTGTTAACCAGAAGCTTTACCAATAACATAGACAGTCAATTAGCATATATTTTGGATGCTATTCATATTTTATATTATATTCTTATGATAATGTAAGCTAGAGAAAAGAAAACGTTAAGGAAATCATAAGGAAAATAAAATAGATGTACTACTTATTAAGTGGAAGTGGATCATCATAAAGGTCTTCATCCTCATTGTCTTCACGCTGAGTAGGCTGAGGGAGAGGAAGAGGGGCTGGTCTTGCTGTCTCAGGGTGGCAGAGACAGAAGAAAATCCACCCATATGTGGACCTGCACATTTCAAACCTGTGTTGTTCTGAGGTCAACAGTACATAGAAATGGGTCACATGGAAGAACTCCTACATGCCTGTGCAATGTTGACAATCAGATTGTCTCATTTTCTTTTTTTTCTTTTTTCTTTCTTTTTTTTTTTTTTTGAGATGAAGTCTCGCTCTGTCGCCCAGGCTGGAGTGCAGTGGCGCGATCTCGGCTCATGGCAAGCTCTGCCTCCCGGGTTCACGCCATTCTCCCGCCTCAGCCTCCCGAGTGGCTGGGAGGCTGGGACTACAGGTGCCCGCCGCCACGCCTGGCTAATTTTTTGTATTTTTAATAGAGACGGGGTTTCACCATGTTATCCAGCATGGTCTCGATCTCCTGAACTCGTGATCCACCCACCTCGGCCTCCCAAAGTGCTGGGATTACAAGCGTGAGCCACCGCGCCTGGCCGAGTTTGTCTCATTTTCTAGCCTTGTGCATACGCCTCCCTACCTGGATTACTTGTCATCATGGAATGAAGCTTCTACATTCTAATGTCCTTCAGGCTCTAGACCCGGAGGTTGGATAAGGTTCCCTTGTTCTGTAATACAAACTGTCCTGGGAAAGATGGAAAAGCCACATCCGGTGTTGTTGGCAAACAAACCATGGAGACCTCACCTTGATGTTGATCCTACATGACCTTTCTGTTCCAGGGGCATTCAGATGATGTTATGGGAGACGCTTTGAAGATCAGATGCTAGGTCTTAGAAGAAAGACCATCTGTAAAGAATCCTTTGCTTTCTCGCCTAGCATATCAGTAGATCGATCTATTAATCTATCTATCTGTGTATCTATCTATCTATCTATCTATCTATCTATCTATCTATCTATCTATCATCTATTTACCTACCTACCTACCTACATATCCGTCCTGTCTATATCTATCATCTTTCTATCCATCTATCTATCTGTCTCTATGTATCCATCTGTCTCTATCTTTATCTTGCTAGCTAGCTATCGTTCTTTTATATTGCTTCATTTAATCAATCAAGCATTCATTTGGCATGTTCTATGTACTGAGAAGAACTGTGTTCACAGGTTGTGGATTCAATGATAGATGGTCTATTTTTGAATCCACAACCTATGGATTTGAAGAAAGATAGTCTTTAGGAAGCATGTTTACATGGGATATAAATGTATGCTTAATACTCAGAGAGACCCAGATTCAAATCCCAGCTCTGCTACCTACTTGCTGAGTGACCTTGGATAAATTGCTGCCCTACACCACCCACCAGGCCTCTGTTTGCTTATATAGAAAGAAAGTTAGTCCTTACTTTGTGAGACTGCTGTAAAGGTTCAATGACATGGTGAATAGAAAGTACTTGATGTAGGCCTGGCATGGTGGCTCATGCCTGTAATCCCAGGACTTTGGGAGGCCCAGGTGGGTGGATCACCTGAGGTCAGGAGTTCCAGACCAGCCTGGCCAACATGGTGAAACCCCGTCTTTACTAAAAATACAAAAAATTAGCTGGGCATGGTGGCAGGCCCCTGTAATCCCAGCTACTCAGGAGGCTGAGGCAGGAGAATTGCTTGAACCTGGGAGGTGGAGGTTGCAGTGAGCTGAGATTGTGCCACTGCACTCCAGCCTAGGGAACAAGAGCAAAACTCCATCTCAAAAAAAAAAGTGCTTGGTGTAAAATCTGGTGCATAGTATGTGCACAATAAATCTCAGCTTTGCTTGCTTGCTTGGTTGATTGATTTTGTCTGTACTGTACTAAACTTAGTTTGGGGACTAAATATACAAATACAAATCATACATATATACCCATTGTTTTTAGGAGCCTACGTCTTCTGGGAAAAGCAGGTGTGTTTGGTAATTAGAAGTGTTTGATAATACCCAGGGAGGTATTTATAAGCACTGTGGGTGTCTAGTGTGCTGGGCCTAAATCAGCCTGAAAAATAAGAGGTATCATCTGTGGATTTTCAAGTCCTTTATCCCATTTAACCCCCTAGAGAACCCTGAGAGGTTGGAAATATTGCCCCATTTCAACAGAAGGCCCAGAAAAATCAAGGCACAGTGGCCAGCATTCTCTGCTGCACCTGGAAGGTACTAGACACCCTGAGGCATCCTTGCTAGCGTACTCCTCATGGGTGAGGCCTAAGCTGTGGCCACTGCAGAGGTCCAGATACTTCCAGGAAGGTCTGATTGTCAGTGAGGCAGTCTCTGTGTGCAGCCAGGAATCTCTGAGTGCAAAGGACAGAGGAATAGAAATCTAGCAGGACAGGCTTGGCTCCAATCCCACATCTCAGGGCCAGAGAGCAGAAGAGATTCTGAATGGAGTGAGATGACCATCTCTGGTCTCTTACTTAGGCCCAGTCCACAGGCTCATGTCTGGGGCCCCGGGGGAGTGAGGGCAGCAAAGAAGAACAGACAATGGGCTCCACGCAGACCTCTGCAACACACTGGAGCCTGAGCCCAATGCTGCACGACCCATCAACTACAAGAAGGAGGGAGAAGGTGTATGACCCCCCCTACACCCGCAACTCTCCCATGATCTCCATGGAGACCCAAAGATATACACTGCAGCACCCAGCAAAGATGTGGTACTTGGTAAGGACAGTGGTACCCACCTGTTCCACAGGGAACATACTAATCATGTCTGAGATAGCCCCTGAGATGGGCTTGAATACCCGGCTGTGGAGAAGTTATAAGAGCTGAGGTCCTATGGAGCCAAGAGGCAGTCAAGTTGGTATTTATTTATGCATTTACAACTATTAATGGGGCACCTTTTATGCCCACAGACTGCTGAGGCCCGGATTAAGCTAGCACAAGAGTTTGATAAGAGGACAACTAACCCTGTGCTTTGAAAATCCAATTCACATTTCTTGAGTATGACTATGTCCTAGGCAGTGGGGATATAAAGGAGAATAACATAACACCATCTATTGGAGACACCAATGAGAAAACCAGAATTGTAGTTCAACGCAATAAAGGCTATGCTGGTAATACTTGTGATAATCCCTGAACCAACTGGTATGGCCAATCATAGGCATGAGATCTCAGCTAGTCCAGTCAGAGTGAATCTCAGAGCTCTTTACTGTCTAAAAAGCTTGTTCTTTTTTCTTCTAGGTGTTGGAGTGTGGATATGAGTCATGGAACTCTGGGGCTATGTTGCTGCCAGGTAAGAATCTGTTCTAGGAAGGATAAAATCAATGGACATAGAAAGGCAGACTGGAGAAGGGAAAGGGAGCTGAGCCCTGCTGATAGAGTAAACCTCTGGATTAAACTATGCCTGAAGCCCACATTCCTGTTTGACTTTTCATTTATATAAGCTGTATTACTCAGGGTTCTCCAAAGAAACAGAAACAAGCAGAAATACATATATTTCTTTATAGAGAGTTATATAGAAAGAGATTTATTATGAGCGATTGGCTCATGTGACTATGGAGACTGAGATGTCCCATGCTCTGCTGTCTGCAAGCTGGAGGCCCAGGAAAGCGGGTGGTGTAGTTCGACAATCTGAAGTTGAAGGCCCCAAAACCAGGGGTGCCAATGGTGTAAGTCCCACTTTGAGTACAAAGGCTTGAGAGCCAGAATCACTGATGTTCGAGGGCAGAAGAAGACAGATGTCCCAGCTCAAGCAGAGAGAAAATTCTCCCTTTCTCTGACTTTTTCGTCTATTCAGGCCCTCAATGGATTGGATGGTGTCCACCTGCATAATTGAAGGTGGATCTTCTTTACTCAGTCGACTGATTCAAATGCTGATCTCTTCCAGCAACACCCTCACAGACACACCAGAAATAATGTTTTACCAGCTATCTGTGTATCCCTTAGCCCAGTAAAACTGACACATACAATTAACTATCACATAAGCCAATACTCTTTATTGTTTAAGGCCATTCGAAGTGGGTTTGTCACAACTTGCAATTGACAGCATCTTACAACACAGTAAAGACAGAGTGGAAGATTCAGGTCCTTAAAGGCTATAAAATGCCTTGAGTACTCATTTAACAAATTGCAACTCTTTCTTCAAAGTCATGGGGGACTTCTTGAAGCAAAGGGTGGGGTAAATGATCAGGTTCTTGTATTTTAAATATCTTGCTGGCTCCAATGTGGAAGCTGGATTGAAGTAGGGCAATAGCGAACAAGAGGAGCAATATGGGACTCAGGGGAAGTTTAACAATTGCCTAAGTAATGAGTGTAATATGGTATCCTGAATGAAACCATGGACCAGAAAAAGGACATTAGGTAAAAACTAAAGAAATCTGAAAAGTACAGACTGTAGTTAACAACTGTTTTAGTCCATTTTGTGTTGCTATAACACAATACCACAGACTGGGTAATTTATAAAGAAAAGAAATGTATTTGCTCATGATTCTGCAGGCTGGAAAGTCCAAGAGCATGGCACCAGTATCTGGCAAGGACCTTTGTGCTGTGTCATCCCATGGCAAAAGGTGGAAGAGTAAGCGAGCATGTGAGAAAAAGGAAATCAGGCTGAACTCATCCTTTTGTCAGGAGCCCACTCCTGCAATAGCTAACCTACCTCCCCCATGACAGCATTAATCCATTTATGAAGACAAAGTCCTCATGATCAAATCACCTCTTAAGTGGTCCCACCTCTTAATACCATCACAATGGCAATGAAATTTCAACATTAGTTTTGGAGGGGACATCCAAACTATAGCAATAATGATGTATGAATATTAGTTCATTAATTGTAAATAGTGTATCATCTGAATGTAAGATGTTAACAATAGGGGAAACTGGGTGTGTGGTTTGTTGGAGCACTCTGCACTACCTTTGCAATTTTTCAGTAAATCTAAGACTATTCTAAAACAAAAAGGTTATTTTAAATTACCTTTAAAAAGCAGCTAAAAATGTTTTGGTTTCAATGTCTTTATGCTTTCATGTCTATTCCTTTATTGATCTGCAAGTATTTATTGAGCACCTACTCTATGCCAGACTGTGGGCTGCGTCCAGGGAATGAGCTAATATCTTGCTTCGGCTCAGGAAAACATTAATGGTTTTATCTTCTATCTTATTCACATGACTATGAGGTCCACAAGTCAATGGCCCAAAACTCTGGCTGGCGTCCCTGTCCCAGCCTTGCCAGTGACTGTTAACTATGACTTCACCTCTCTTGGCCTCTATTTCTTCCTATGTCATTTACAAAGACTTGTGCCTGCTTCACCTACATCAGTCATAAATCATGAGGCTGAAATGGGCACCAGAACATAAAATCAGGCCATGGCTTGAATGGACTTTAATGGCTATCCAGGCCAACCACTATTTGATACACAGGGAAACTGAGGCCCAGAGAGGGCAAGTGACTGGCACAAAGTCACACAGCTAAAACCAGAAATCAGACCTTCTCGTGCTTTCCACTATAGAAGGCTGGAAGTATCCTGGAAAGTTTAAAAGCTTATGTAGGTAAATGCAAAGACAAATTTCTGTTTTTAAGAGTTCCAAAATTGCTAAATTCAGACACTTTGGGTTTGTATCTTTGGCAAATTCAGGTGGGTTTTGGCCATCAACTGAAATTTGAATCTAAAAGGCAATAAAGCAGAATATGGGTTCTCAGTCTGCTTACCTCTCTTTCTGCATACTTTTTTTTTTTTTTTTGAGATGGAGTCTCACACTGTTGCCAGGCAGGAGTGCAGTGGCATGATCTCAGCTCACTGCAACCTCTGCCTCCTGGATTCAAGCAATTCTCCTGCCTCAGCCTCCTGAGTAGCTGGGACTACAGGCACACGCCACCACGCCCAGCTAATTTTTGTATTTTTAGTAGAGACGGGGTTTCACCATGTTGGCCAGGATTGTCTCTATATCCTTACCGCGTGATCCACCCGCCTCAGCCTCCCAAAGTGCTGGGATTACAGGCAGGAGCCACAGCACCCGGCCCTGCATATCTTTTTATTTATTCATTCATTTATATTTAACTTTATTTTGTGAGCCTAGTTTCACCCTACTCTATATGATTTGGCCAAGGTAGTAATTTCTCCTTGTAGGGAGAGAGCAATGCTGTCAGTAGCATCTCTCCCTCCCCGTCTCACCATGCTCCCGTTTCTGGGAATCCTAATAGTCTTCAATAGTAGGGCTGCAGGAAGAGGGATGACAACAGGTAGCCAAAGGACTGGAACTGCCTGGCTCAGGGATCCCCAAGGCTGGCCTGTGGCCAGTTGGCAGCACAGGTTAGTGATTATGTCCAGAGAGCTTAGATGCAAACTCTGTGATACAAATTCTAGCATTTCCTGGCATCAAAACATCAGGCAAGTTATTCATTCACCCTGTACTTCTGTTTCCTCATCTGTAAAATGGGGACCACCCTTACCTCATGGGAGCACTGAGAGAATTAAATGAGATAATACATGAAACGTGCTTAGCACAGGTTGTGACGTATCATAAGAGTTTAAAATTACTGGTTCAGGTCCCTAAACTCATCCAATCCACAAGTTTTACGCTCATGAAAACTGAGGCCCAGAGAGGTGGTAAGACCTCCTGGGAGGCAGTGACCTGCTGCCACTGGAGTCCTTGAATATTCACAGATCATGACGGGCCCTAAGAAGGTCCTTGTGGTGGTTTCACTGGGGTGGAAGGATCCTGCTCTCCAATCCTCACCTTCCTATCCCATTTCCATTAGTCTTCACTTCTGGCCCCTTAATATTTCATCCATCCCTACTAGATCTGCATCCCTGGTGCCTTCCTGTCATTTCCCTTGTTTCTTTCCCACCACACCACAGAGAATAATTAAAGGTCCTTGGCTAGGAGTGATGAAGCTTGGGGGAGGAGGAGGGTGGAGAATCAGAGGCACAAGACTCTTTGACCATTATGCAGTGAGTGGTATAAAAGAGAAAGTGGAATCCACTTCTGCATATAAACCCAAAAGAATTGAAAGCAGGGTCTCAAAGAGGCATTCGTACACCCATATTGATAGCAGCATTATTCACAATAGCTAAATGGGGAAACAACGCAAGGGTCCATCCAGCGATGCATGGATAAACAAAATGTCATCTATCCATACAGTGGAATACTCTTCAGCCTTAAAACAGAAGGAAATTATGACACATGCTACAACATGGATGAACCTTGAAGATATTATGCTAAATGAAATCAGCCAGTCACAAAAAGACAAATACTGTGTGATTCTATTTCAATGAAGTGCCCAGAATAGGCAAATTCATAGACAGGAAATAGAATGGTAGTTGCCAAAGGCTACAGGGAAAGGGGAGATGGGACTTATTGTTTACTTGGTAGAGAGTTTCAGTTTTGCAAGACGAAGACTTCTGGAGATGGATGGTGGTTATGGTTATACAATAACACGAGTAAATGAATGCCACTGAATTGTACACTTAAAAATGGTTGAGATGGTACATTTTACATTATGTGGTTTTTTTTTACAATTAAAAAGGAAAAAGGAAGGTGGGAGAGCTCTAAAATGAGAAGGTAACAGTTTGATTAACTGTTACCAGTTTAATTAGCTGATGAGTGGCATGAATGTACAACTTCCGTTTTGAACGTGGCTCATATCTCCTGTGTTCCTATCCCAGCTCTATCACTTTCTTGCTGAGTGACCTTGAGCAAGTTGCTTGACCCCTCTGAGACTCTTTCCTCACCTATAAAATACAGATAATCAGAGTACGTATGTCACAGGGTTGTTGTGAAAATGAAATGACATTAGCACAGAGCCTGGCATATTTACTTTTCATTTAGCAAATTGGTTAAGCTCCTACTATGTGCCAGTAAGTGCTGAAGATGCAACAGTGAACAAAACAGACAAAAGTCTCTGCCCCTATGGAGTTTATATGTCCATGTGCATTAGCCTGCATTTCCCAGAAAGCAGAACATGAAGCTAAGGCTTATGTATTGCTCTTTTACAAGTGGGGGTACTCAGATGCCTCCAGCATCTACAGCTAAGAACACTTTCAGGCAAATACAGTTCTGCTGATCATCCCTAGGAGGACAATCATGTTATAGAACCAACAGGTTTGTATGTCCACTGTGCAGTAACAGACCAATTACACTGAGACAGCAAGGTTTGCAACAGAGAAAAAGATCCATGATCATAGGGCACTGAGTGAGGAGATGGGAGGAGACCCTCAAATCCGTCTCCCCAAGGAGTTATGGGCTGGGTTTTTTAAGGGGATCATGGAGGGTGAGGGACTTCAGAATTGGGGCTGTTGATTGATCAGGGAAAGGGGGCTGAAATCATCAGGATGTGAAAACTGCATTCTTCGGCAGTCAGATTCTCATTGGGTCCTTCAGATTGGCTAGTGTTATAGTCTTATTAGTATGCAGGACCTGAAGGACTATCTCAAAAAGAAAACTTACTGTTTTGTAGTGTTCAGTTTTTTATCTATAGAGCAGTTAAGGGGAGCTATAATCTTGTAACAGAGTCTACGTGATTGTAGGACAATAGGCACCACACAAATATGAGGAAGCAGGTCAGAGAGCGGGCTGACTTAATGATTAATGCTGAATGTGCTACAAGCTTGTTTCATTTTCATTTCTCCTCCTCCCTTTTTTCCTGATTAATTTAATAAAGTTCATAGGGGAGGCTTCAAACACATGAGAAATTAAAACCTTTATTACCAGAGTCAGAGCCTGACTATATTGATTGAGTGAAGCTTTCCTTTATAAAATGCAAAGCATGTAAACAATTCCAACACAGTAACATATTCATGAGTTTTTAAATTCATGAGTTTTAGAGAAAATATTTTACTTAAAACCAGCACTTGATGATCTCTGACAATGTTATGTAGCCTGAACCTGGAGTTTTGGCTGATGGGTTGTCTCAGCCTGTGACAGGTTTTAGCTGGCTTTGGTTCATCTTGTATCACACCCCCACACTCACATGCTCACACACTGTCTTAGTCAGCTCGGGCTGCCATCACAAAATACCATAGACTGGGAGGCTCAAATAACAGAAACTTATTTCTCACAGATCTGGAGGCTGGGAAGTCCAAGGTCAAGGTGCCAGCAGACTCAGTTCCCCAGTGAGGGCTCTCTTCCTGTCTTGCAGGTGTCCACCTTCTTACTGTGTCCTATGGCAGAGAGAGAGAGACTGAGAGAGAGAGAGGGATAGGAAGAGAGAGAGAGAGAGAGAGAAAGAGAGAGAGAGAGAGAGTGCACATTGCCCTGGTCTCTTCATCTTCTTAGAAGAACACGGATCCCATCATGGGAACCTGGCCCCCATGACTTCATCTAAACCTAATTACTTCCCAAATGTTCCCATTTCCAAAAACATCACATTGGGGGTTACAGCTTTAACATGAATTTTAGGGAGACAGAAACATTCGGTCCATAATACATGCCCTGTGATATACCCCCATAAAATAAATACACTGAGTGGCTGTTGGGTTTGTCTTCAGGTGGAAGGGTCTGATCCTCTGAGCTTCCAGATAGGGTTCTTGAATGATCCACACCACATCTGCTTCAGTGTTGTCCAAGAAGCTGGCACAAAAGTACAGACTCTCAGGCCCCACCCTGGACATTTCAAGTTAGGGTCTCTGGGGCTGGGGCCAGGAATCTGCATTTTGAACCAGTCCTTCCTTCTCCCACTTGCCTGCCCAGAAGATTCTAGCAGCTCCCAAAGCTTGAGAACCACTGCTCTGTACCTCTGCATCCTCTGGAGATTTTCCAAAACTCGTGTGTCTTCTTAAATCAGTTGTTTTTATAATGACTATGACACATAAAGCCATGTGATATAACAAAGGCTGAGCTGGATGCAGAAAGGGCCTTCTGACTACAGCAGGCTTTGGAATGTGGATTTAATGAGCTACTACTTTGGTGAGTAGAGAAAGGGGGAATAAAATCCCAGTGGGTCAGGATTTTTAAAATTGAATTTCTGTTGGAAAGGATAGGGAGAGAAGGGCATTGCTTCCCTAAAAACTAAAATCCTTTCTTTTCTTTTTTCTTATTTGTTTTTTTTTTTTTGATGGAGTCTTGCTCTGTCACCCAGGCTGGAGTGCAGTGGTGCAACCTCGGCTCACTGCAACCTCTGCCTCCCAGGTTCAAGCAATTCTCCTGCCTCAGCCTCCTGAGTAGCTGGGATTACAGGCACCCGCCACCACACCCGGCTAAGTTTTGTATTTTTAGTAGAGTCGGGTTTCACCATGTTGGTCAGGCTGGTCTTGAACTCCTGACCTCATGATCCGCCCACCTCAGCCTCCCAAAGTGCTAGGATTACAGGCATGAGTCACTGCGCTCAGCCAAAGCCCTTTCTTGATCATATAAATGACTCTAGTGTCTTCGTGCTTGGTGACTGCTTTCTGTACCCTGCTACAGATGATGCTGCCTGTTTGTGAAACAGGACTGATACAACTCTTCTGGAAGGAACTCTTTAATATCTAAATATCAAAACTGTTAATCATTATTATTAGTAATTCATTATTAATATGTTAATAGCTCAAGTACTACAATTAACTATTCAACTATTCAGCCCTAGTTTTCCTTTTTTAAATTTATTTTTCCAATAGCAGTGTTGTTTGAATGCCAACTTCAGATTTTAGTCTCCTTTCGACTTAGGTGATTGTGAATCTATAAATTCTTAACAAGAAGCAAATGTGTAGAATCTGTAATGCTTAGATTTTGTTATTGGAGCTATAGAAAATGTTACATTTATGGTGTCAGACTCTATTTAGCTGGTAAGGACAAAGCAAGAGCTAAGGCCAATTACTTGTCATCATCATCATCATCATCATCGTCATATTTCTGGAGCATTCACTATTTACCGGGCACTGAGCCAACATTGTATATTCATCATAGCATTTGGTTCTCATAGCAGCTCTATGAGGTTTGTGCCCACATTATCCCCATTTTGCAGATAAAAAAGCCAAGCCCCAGAAAGGTTAAGTAAATTATTCAAGGTCCACAGCCAGTGTGTGGCAGAACCAGATTCTGAAATCAGGCAGTCCAATTCCAGAGTTCCAATTCCTAACCATTGTGCTATTCAGTCTAATGAAAGGAGCGAAAGATTCAAGGTAGACAACTGTATATTGTCAAAGGCATGTTCAACACCAGGGTTGCTTGTTTCTAAATAATGTTCAAGTCCATGAACAGCTTTTTGCTAATGTTTGGAGCAACTGATAAAATATATCAAGCAAAGAAAAGTGTGGACACATCCATGCACACTGGAGAAGTAGCAGAGTGGTTTAATTTTGTGTTGGAGAATCAAAGGCCAGAATGAAAAGGCACTTTTTACATCCCAAAGGAAAATTCCCATTCAGAAAGACATTGATGGCTTTTTTAGCGGCATCCATTCATCTGCTCTGCAAAGGCATGGGGTCATGTGATTTTGAGAGTACTGACTCTACTCCCAATGCATGGCAGTCATGTATAATAATTTAGGGGACAGTGATTCCATTCACAGTTCCAGAGGTAAACCCCCCTCCAATTGACTAAACCCAATCAGAAAATCCTACTCTTGCATAGGATTGTTTCAGAGATAGGCACAAATCTCATCCTAAGCCAATCAGAGCACGGCACTTCCGTCGGCCATGGTGATTGATTCAGAGATGGGCATGTGACTGGTTTGCTCAGTTAGAGTGAAACCTAGGATTTTGTTTGGTAATTGAGATAAAGACACTTTTCTTCAGGAAGATGTGGTGTACGGAACTGTTCCAGACATTTTGTCACCATGATAAAAGTGAGTCTGAAAAGTAAACCATCATGTTCAGGAAGGCAAAATCAACAGAACTGCAGAGCAATGGAGTCAGCACCCTGATCAAGCCATTCCTGAAACTAGTGTTGACCCATTTTTATTTACATGAATCAATAAATTCCTTTCACTGTTCACATTATTTTAAGCTGGGGTTCTGTTTCTTTCAACTAAAAGCATTCTAGTTGGTACATCAAGCATTATGCTTGTCATTTAAATACAAGTAGGTTCTAATGGGGAGATCTGCTCTCATTGTGAGAACACCTTAAAATGGACTCAGCACTTGGGATCAATCTTTAAAAACAAACAAATTAAGTCTAACTACACACTATGTTAATGAGAAATGGGTGTTTTACTCAAAGTGTTATGGAAACACTGGGGAGAGAATTTACATGACATATGAAAAAGCAAAACTTAATAAGATTCCTCATCACCCATCCCCATAGGACTTCTGTGATGACACCTCTTTTGCCTTTCCTTTTCCTTTTGCTTTTCTCCCTGAACCTTCTAGCGTCTCCTTAGTCACTGCACTCTCATCCTCTATTAATGTTCTGCGTGCTGCAACATGCAAAGAAATAAAACAACGGCATCAGTTTAAAAAAAAAAAAAAGGAGGGCCTCTGTCCCTCTAGCCTGTTCCCAATCCCAACCCAAGGATCTTCCCAGAGAGTAGTTCAGCTGCTGAGTAATATTTCCATATGGTTATCTACTGTGTTCTAGAAATACACAAGGAATGCTCTTGGGCTCTTGTGCGATCCTCTCATCTTTGCAGCCACTCCCACAAGAAAGAGGACAAATCATTACCTCATTAAGTGAAACTTGAGCTTTACCCAGCTCCAACTCCCTCCCTTGGGGAATTTGGAAGAGAGAAATCACAAAGCTGATTGAATGTGGTAGACTTACTTTCTGAGTGATGTTAAGAATAACACATCTTTCTATAACCATCTAAAACTATCTTGGGATTCAAATCCTTTCAAGTCAGACAACCTCTTCCAGTTCAAACATTGCCCATGGTTAGCCATTAAATTATTCAGGAATAAAGAAGGCTCTATGGTTTCTCACTGTGTGCCAGGAATTGTGCTGGGTGCTCAGAGCCCAAAGCTCAGTGAGACACAGGCACTCATATTTGGTAGTAAGAAGTGGGTATGTAGTTTTCTTTTCTTGTGATGTCTTTATCTGGCTTTGGTATCAGAGTAATGCGACCTCGTACAATGAGTTAGGAAGTGTTCCCTCCTCTTCTATTTTTTTTTTTTAACTAGAGTTTGGGAAGGATTTGTGTTCATTCTTCTTTAAATATTTGGTAGAATTTACCAGTCATCTAGTCCTGGGATTTCCTTCTTGAGAGCTTTTTGATTATGCTTTAATCTCTTACCTTGTTATAAGCCTATTCAGATTTTCTATTTCTTTTTGAGTCAGTTTGGTAGTTTGTGTGTTTCTAGGAATTTGTCCATTTCATATAGATGAATTTATTGGTGTACAACACTTCTTAGTAAGAAGTGGGTATACAAACTCATCTCTGCTGTATAAGATAAATACTAAAATAAAGCTTGACAACAGTGTAACAGAAGCCTGAAGAAAGGAAGGCTTAGTTGTGTTTGAAGTTGGGGAGATGAAATAGATTCACAGGAGAGGTGATTGAAACTCATTGGGTGCCATAGAATGAGTAAAAGTTGGTTAGGTGAAGATGTAGGAATGGATAAGCATGTAGGGCATTCCATGTAGGGAAATGATGTGAGTAAAGGCAGAGAGGAATAAAAATTTCTAGCATGTTCTGAGGCCATGAGGTGGGAAGAACATAAAAGAGTTTCTAGAAAAAAAAAGAGAGAAAAAAAAGAGAGGGTAAGATTATGAGAGTATGAAAGGTGTTTATACCATGCTAAGGATTTTGTATTTTGTTCCTTGATTGATGGGAGGTCATTGACAATTTTTTTATTTTTTATTTTTATTTATTTATTTATTTATTTATTTTTGAGATGGAGTCTTGCTCTGTCACCAGGCTGGAGTACAGTGGTGCAATCTCAGCTCACTGCAACCTCTGCCTCCCGGGTTCAAGCGATTCTCCTGCCTCAGCCTCCCAAGTAGCTGGGACTACAGGTGCACGCCACCACACCCAGCTAATTTTTGTATTTTTATTAGAGACAGGGTTTCGCCATGTTGGCCAGGATGGTCTCGATCTCTTGACCTCGTGATCCCCCCACCTCAGCCTCCCAAAGTGTTGGGATTACAGGCGTGAGCCATCGTGCCTGGCCCCCCATTGACAATTTTTAAGCGGGACTTTAAGACTATCAGGCTTGTGATTTTCTAGGAAGACAGTTTGGTTGCTGTATTGTGAGTGGTTGGAGGGGAGGGACTGGTGGCAGGGAAACTAGGCTGTTGCTGCCATCCATCATGAAAGATGCTGGTGGAGAGATGAGGCCAAGTAGAAAGGAGAGGGAGGCTGGGTGTCTGAGACCCTGAGTGCTGGAACCAGTAGGACATAGAGGCAACTAGCAGTGATGGAAGAGAGGGAGAGCACGCAACGATGAGGTTGAGGCTTCTAGCCGGGGTTGTGTCAGTCCTGCAAGGCAATGAGCAAGTTCAACCTGTGATGCTTCAGTACATTCTATTTGTGTATCTATGGAAGACAGTTATAGACATGGCTGCATTTGTGTTGTCACATTAATCATAAAAGCTTTCAGGGAAAAAAGTCCAAAGGGAATAAAGATTTTCTGAAAAGCATTCTTGTCTGAAGGAAGCTGCATGCAAATGGAAAACCTGGACATATAATTGATTTCAGTAACCATAATGACATTGTGTTTTCATTCGGTTGTGCAGTGGGGCTTTGAAACTGTGGGAAATTGAGAGACAGGCCCTTGTTAGGGGAAACAAAAATGGTTTCTAATTTCAAGGTTGAATATGTTTCTTTTCATAAAAATACCTCATCATTTCTAATAGTCTGAATGACAGTCTTATTTCTCTTCATTGGTAGGTAAAACCTAACGTTTTCTAGACAATAAAAAGCAGTCTGAGAGATATGGATGACATATTTAAAAATACTAACATCTGAAAATATATCATTTTATAGATTTGACTCGGGAATCATGTAAGTTTCTTCTACAATGATAAAAAGTCAAAAAGAAAATGAAAATTAATTCTTTAAAACTGAAAGGAAAATGAAACAAATGAACCTAACTGTGTTGGCTTAGTGACTTAACCACATATATGTGACTTTAAGCACAGCAATTTGACTGTACAAAATAACAATAAAAACAAAAAAAGAAAGAAACTATTCTCATTAATCATACTATTAGCAAAAATATTGGTATTGTTATTTTAATACATAGTGGGTAAAATAAATAGATTGGTAAATTAGTGTTGTCAGCAACTAAGATTTTCAGCATAAGAGAAAACATATAAAAATACAAGATCACCTAAGTGAATGAAGCCTTGTAATCCTAAATTTGAACGGGAAATAGTATGAACTTATGATGCATTTCTTTTTTAAAATTTTTACTTCCTAGTTTTGATTATTGAAATTTTAGGTTGGTGCAAAAGTAATTGCAGCTTTTGCCATTAAAAGTAATGGCAAAAACTGCAAATTCTTTTGCACCAACCTACTACCTAGAAACAATGACCAACCCAGCTATTACACTGATTATGGTCTCTAAGAACAATTTCAAAGTGAAAGGAATTACAGCTCCTGGGAGAAATGGCTGATTCCAAGAGTGGGGTAGGAAATGTACAAGATGATCTTAGGACATCTTGTTAATCAGAAGAAAGGAGGCTATCAAAGATTACTATGGTTGTGTCAAAAGGGCTCAGGAACCAACCCACTTGGCTCTCGCTGGCTAAAGATGAAATTCTGTGAGCATCTGAAAGAAGAATAACTACAATGCGGTGAAACGCATGAACTATTCTAAACTCCATGAGTTAACAATGATCCTAAAAACAAAACAAATCAAACCAAAATTCACTGGCCTCCTTTGGAAGGTATTTTAAAGAACCAACTTATTATTCTGAAAATTGGCAAATAAAAGAATCGAGCATTTATCTTGCCTTTCCTGTAGGTACTGTATCTTAGTCGATGAAGAAAAGCTTTCTCCATAGAAGCAGCCCAACGAATAGGAAGGAGTGATAGACTTAAAATAGAGCCATTTTGCAAGTGCCTAAGGAAATAATGGCTCTAGGCAATGCATCATCGGCTACTAAAATCCCCCGAAGAGAGACGGCCAGACGTTATGAGCCTGCTGATTGAATAATACAACTAACTACGAAATATTCTTGCTGAAAACTCAAACCTGAATCAGATCAAATCTTTAAATCTAATGACCAATTTACAGGACATACAAGAGAAGGAACAACATATTAAAAGATGCCACAAGAATACAACCAATGGAACCCAGATTGTGAGGTACTCTACAGAGCAAATGATTCAGTTTTAAAAAATATGTCAATTGCAAGGAAAATTTTAAAAAATAGGCAGAGGCAGAAGCCATAGATAAAGGAGACTAAAGAGACATACCAGCCAAAGGCAAATGTGTGGAGGGATGAATCCTTCCCTAGTACTCCCTGTCTTAAAGAATGCTGCTACTAGTAATGCGGGTGCCAGAGCCAGAAATCTGGGATTTGCTTTTATTCCTTTCTTTTCCTTAGCCCCGTCCACCTGCATGCAATAAATGAGAACCAGCCCTACTTGTTTTACTTCCTAAGTGCCTGTAAAATATCACTTATTTATTTTGATTTTTAATTGTAGTAAAATACACTTAACATAAAATTTACCACTTTTTTATTTTTCTTTTTCCTTCTTTTTTTTTTTTTTTGAGACAGAGTCTTGCTCTGTTGCCCAGGCTGGAGTGCAGTGGCGTGATCTCAGCTCACAGCAACTTCCATCTCCCGGGTTCAAGAAATTCTCCTGCTTAAACCTCCTGAGTAGCTGGGATTACAGGCACCCACCACCACACCCAGCTAATTTTTGAATTTTTAGTAGAGACGGGGTTTCACCATTTTGGCCAGGCTGGTCTCAGACTCCTGGTCTCAGGTGATCTGTCCGCCTCAGCCTCCCAAAGTGCTGGGATTATAGGCATGAACCACAGCACCCGGCCAATTTACCACCTTAATTTTTTAGTGTACAATTCAGTGATATTAAATGTACATTCATATTGTTGTGCAACTGTCACGACAGTCTATCTTAAGAACCCTTTTCATTTTGTAAAACTGAGACTATAAAACAGTAACTCCTCATTCGCCCCAACCCCCAGCTCCTGGCAACCACCATTCTACTTTCTGTCTCTATGATTTTGAGAACTCTAAGTATTTCACATAAGCGAATCATACAGTATTTGCCTCTTTGTGACTGGTTTATTTCACTTAGCATAGTATCCTCAAGGTTTATCCATGTTGTAGCATGTGCCAGAATTTCCTTCCCTTTTAAGGCTGACTAGTATTCTTTTGTATGGATATACCACATTTACTTATCCTTTCATTGGTGGATGGACATTTGGGTTGCTTCCACAGTTTTCAGCTCTTGTGAATGATGTTGCTGTGGACATTAGTGTACAAACAACTCTTCAAGACCCTGCTTCCTATTCTTTTGGGTATATACTCTAAAGAGGAATTGCTAGATGATGTGAAAATTCTATTTCGGTTTTCAGGAACTGCCATACTGTGTTCTACAGAGACTGTACCATTTTACATTCCCACCAGCAGGGCATAGGTGTTCCCATTTCTCCACATCCTCGCCAACACTTGTCATTTTCTGTTTTTTTGATCGTAGCCATCCTAATGGGTGTGAGGTGGTATCTCACTGTGGTTTTGGTTGCCATTCCCCTAATGATTAGTGATTCTAAGCATCTTTTCTTGTGCTTATTGGCATTTGTATATCCCTTTCAGAGACATGTCTATTCAAGTTGTTTGGATTGAACTGGGTTGTTTGGCCTTTGTTGTTGTTGAGTTGTAGGAGTTCTCTATATATTCTGGATATGAATCCCTTATCAGGTATATGACTTGCAAATACTTTCTCCCATTCTATAGGTTTCCTTTTCACTGTGTTGAGAATGTCCTTCAATGCACCAAAGTTTTTAATTTTCATGAAGTTCGGTTTGTCTATTTCTTTCTTTTTTTTGCCTGTGCCAAGTGCCTTTTGAACCTCTCTCTACCCACCACTACCTTAACCCAGTCCAGGCCAATATTTTCCTGGACTCCTGTAATTGCCTTCTTACTGCTCCCTCATAGCCCTCACTGAAAACTTTTCTGTGGATCCCCCTTACCCTCAGAACAAAACTCAATCTCCTTACCATGTGAATCTTTGCACATCTCTGCCTCTCCAAGGCATAGTGCACCTGGCATGTAAAGTGCTCAATAAACAGTCACTGTTAAATTAGGTGGTAGCTTGGGGATCTCTGAGACATCTTCTTATCTAAAGGTACCTCTCTCACCAAGCTTCCAGTGTCTCTGAACCCCACATTAGATATGCATTTCTGAACCCATCCCATAGTTCTAGTTGTCCACTTTAAAAATAGTTGTAATCATGGACATACGGGGTACACTAGACACTGGAGGCTGCAAAAGGTGAGAGGGTAGGAGGGGGCATGAGGGTTGAAAAATTGCCTATTGGGTACAATGTTCGCTATTCTGATGATGGGTAGACTAAAAGCCCAGATTTCACCACTATGGGATATATGTATGTAAGAAACCTGCATTTGTACTCTCTAAATATATAAAAATAAAAATAAGGCCATGCACGATGGCACACCTAGCACTTTGGGAAGCTGAAGCCAGGAATTTGAGACCAGCCTGGGCAACACAGGGACACCCACCTCTACAAAAAAAAATTTAAAAAATTAGCTAGGGGTGGTGGCATGCACCTGTAGTCCCCAGCTACTTGGGGGACTGAGGCAAGAAGATTGCTTGAGGCTGGGAGGTTGAGGCTGCAGTGAATTATGATCACACTACTGCACCCCATCTGGAACAACAGAGCGAGACCCTGTCTCTAAAATAAATAAAATAAAAGAGTTGCAATATTGAAACAAAGATTGTAGAAACCAAAGGCATACATCTGAGCCTGAAGGCTGTTACTTACCTACCAGCTGTGTGATGCAATTAAGATCTCTGGACCTTTGTTTCCTTATGTGTAAATTGAAGGCAATAAAGCAAATTTTACAAAGATATTGCGTGATCTAGGGATCATATCTGTGAAGTGTCTGCTCTGTTTAACACATCACTGCCACTCTAGAAGTTCCTACAGTTTGGATGATTAATAACTACAAAGAAAAAATAATAAGTGAAATAAACAAAAAATGGGGGCATTCAAAGAAAAGACTGACGGAAACTCTTGAGTGGCACAAGACATAAATATTGTGGGTAAGATCAACTCTTCTTCCACTGTGATTGTCTCTTTGGAGGGGCACTGCTTGCTTTTCCTAGAAAGATATCTTCATCTTCTACTGAGTCACCATAAAACAATAAAGAAGAAACATGGGTAGTGTCCAAATATTTTGGTAACAATCAACTTGTAGTCAGCTGTTGCTGGGATAAGGCTGCACAGTGAGCCCAAGATCTCAGCGGCTTGTGACAAACAACATTCATTTCTCTCCCATGGGTCTGGATATCAGCCACAGTTAACTGGGCTCAGATTCAGGACAGCTCCGTGTGTCTTTCACGTTAGGACCAGGATAAAGGAGCAGTGACTACTTGGAGCATACTCATCATGGTGACAGCAAGTATACAAGAGGCTAAGCCACGGCACATAAATATACTTAAAGCCTCTGTTTGCATCATTTCTGCTTGTGGGCCATTGGCCAAAGTAAATCACAGGGCGGCAGCTCAAGTCAGTGGGGTAGCATCGTACACTCTCTAAAGAGAAGCCATGGCCAAGGTGGGAGAGAAAGAAGAGTCATGAACAAACAATACCATCGACCACTCCACTGTAACTCTCATGTTCACTGATTTATCTCAATGGTTTTTTTTGGGTTTTTTTTTTTTTTTTTTTTGAGATGGAATCTCTCTCTGTCTCCCAGGCTGGAGAGCAACGGCCCAATCTCGGCTCACTGCAACCTCCGCCTCCTGGTTCAAGCGATTCTCCTACCTTAGCCTCCCGAGTAGCTGGGATTACAGGCGTGCGCCACAACACCCAGCTAATTTTTGTATTTTTCATAGAGATGGGTTTTCACCATGTTGGCCACGCTAATCTCGAACGCCTGACCTCAGATGATCCATCCGCCTTGGCCTCCCAAAGTTCTAGGATTACAGGCATGAGCCACTGCACCGGCCTCAATGGTTATTAAAACTATACCCAAAGGAGGCCGGGCGCGGTGGCTCACGCCTGTAATCCCAGCACTTCGGGAGGCTGAGGCGGGCGGATCACAAGGTCAGGAGATCGAGACCATCCTGGCTAACACGGTGAAACCACCTCTCTATTAAAAATACAAAAAGTTTGCCGGGCATGGTGGTGGACACCTGTAGTCCCAGCTACTTGGGAGGCTGAGGCAGGAGAATGGGGTGAACCTGGGAGGCAGAGCTTGCAGTGAGCCGAGATCACGCCACTGCCCTCCAGCCTGGGTGACAGAGTGAGACTCCATCTCAAAAAAAAAAAAAAAAAAAAAAAACTACACCCAAAGGAAAATGAATCAATCCACCCAAAAAGCACATGCACTCATATGTTTATCTCAGTTCTAGTCACAATAGCAAAGACATGGAATCAACCCAGGTGCCCATCAATGGTGGATTGAATAAAGACAATGTGGTACATACACACCATGGAATACTATGCAGCCTTAAAAGACAATGAAATCAGCCAGGCGTGGTGGCTCATGCCTGTAATCCCAGTACTTTGGGAGGCCGGGGCGGGCAGACCACCTGAACTCAAGAGTTCAAGACCACCCTGGGCAACATGGTGAAACCCCGTCTCTACTAAAATACAAAAAGTTAGCTGGGCATGGTGGCCCGCACCTGTAGTCCCAGCTACTTGGGAGGCTGAGGCATGAGATTTGCTTGAGCCTCAGAGGCAGAGGTTGGAGTGAGCTGAGATGGTGTCACTCCCTCCAGCCTGGGCAACAGAGCAAGACTCTGTCAAAAAAAAAAAAAAAAAAGAATGAGATCATGTCCTTTGCAGCAATATGGATGCAGCTAGAGGCCATCATCCTTAGCAAACTAACACAGGAACAAAAAACCATTTACTGCATGTTCTCACTTATCTATGGGAGCTAAGCATTGGGTACATGCAGACACAGAGATGGGAGAAATAAACACTGCGGATTCAAAAAGTGGGGAGGGAGGTAGGAGCATAAGGCTTGAAAAACTACCTATTGGCTACTATGTTCACTACTTGGGCAACGGAATCAGTAGAGACCCAAACTTCATCATCACACAGTCTACCCATGTAACAAACCTGCACATGTACCCTTTGAATCTAAAATTTAAAAAAAGAAACTATTTTGTCTTTTCAGCATGCACAACCTATTGGGGGAATTATTGCCTTATTTATTATTGGTTGGGAAGGTAAGATTTCTCTGATTTTCATACTAAGAAATAAATAACAATTATGATGGCCATAATCTATGGAGTGTTTGCGATATGTCACACTGCTTCCATATGTGACCTCCTTTATATCTCCCCACAATTCTAGGAGGAAGGCACCTTGATAGTCATATTTTATAGACAAGGAAGACAAAATGCTGGGAAGTTAAGTGACTTCTCCAGGACCACACAACCAATAAATGTAACACAACCTTGGAACGAAATCTGACTGTGCCTGACTTCAAAGTCTATGCTTAAATTTCCTCTTTCATCCTCAAGGATGGCCCTGGTTCACACATTTTTTAACGATAAACTTTCTATTTGAGAATTGATTTTGATTTCAGACAAGTTATGAAGATTGTGCAGAGCATTCTAACATACCACCCAGTTTCCTCTATTATTAACACTAATTGTATCTTACATTAATATGGTGAATTTGCCAGAAGTGAACCTGTACTGAAACATTAACTACAATTGTTGCTTTGTTTGGATTCCCTTAATTTTTACTTAATATCCTTTATTTATTTATTTAAAAAAATTTTTTTGGTAGAAACCGGGTCTTGCTATGTTGACCAGCCTGGCCTCAAGTGATCTTCCCACCTCGGCCTTCCAAAGTGTTGGGATTATAGGTGTGGGGCACCCCTCCCGGCCAATCTCCTTCTTCTGTTCCAGGATCCCTTCCAGGATAGCATATTCCACTTACTCATCGTGCCTCCCCAGGCTCCTCTTGGCTGTGACAATTAATCAGACTTTGTTTTTGATGACCTTGACAGTTCGGAGGAGTACTGGTTAGGTTTTCTTTATAGAACGCTCCTCAACCGGGATTGGTCCGGTGTTTTGCTCATGGTTAAACCAGTGAGGTGGGTTTTTAGGAGGGAGACCACAAAGATCAAGTGCCATAACTCATCATATCATATTAAGGTTACCTACGACACCATGATTTAACCTTGATCACCTGGCTGAGGTAGAGTCTGTCAGTTTTCTCTATGGTAAAGTTATGCTTCTCTTCCTTCACCCACCCCTGCCTTGTACCCCCTGTAGAGGGAAGTCACTATGCACAGCCCACACTTAGGGAGTGGGATGTTAGACTCCCCCTCCTTGAGGGCAGAATGTATATGTACATGTTTTGCAATTTTTCTGCACAGGAGATTTGCCTATTTTATTCTGTATTTATTTCATGAATATCAGTATAAACTCATGAATTTTTTTAATACTTGTGTTTGTAATCCAGTGCAACTTTATGTATTTTCTTGCTCGAATTGTTCCAGCTTTGGCCATTGGGAGCTCTTTCCGTGGCCCATGTGTTTCTTTGACACACCGCCATCATTGTGTGTGTGTGTGTGTGTGGTTGTGTTTGAACAATTTCTAGCACTACAAGATCCTCCAGGCTCATCTTGCAGATTTCCTACCCCAGTCCTAGAATCAACCATTTCTCCAAAATTTTTTTTGTAATTGGAGAATGGCATTAAAAACAAAGATCTGGGTGTTAGGTGCTGGTTCTACTACTTTGGGTTGTGGAAGGTTCCCTCTTTTACACTGGGAAGTCAGAGCTTTTCTCCAATTATTTTTGACTTTCCAGAATGGGGAACTTTGGTCTGTAGTTCCTCTCTGCTCTTGGTCTCTGAACCTCTTTCAGCTCCATTTATGCCCATATTGGCTCCTCTGTAAGCAAAACAACCCCGTGACTTGTAGGCATAAATGCTTCATAGTTATGAGTGGTGGGGGTGAAGGTGGTGGTGGTGGTGAGTGGTGGGTGGTGTTTTCTGTCTTGATTCCAGCACCTTCTTTGCTGATGCACAGTGCTTTGTTGACTCCCTTGTCCTCAGAAGCCCTGGATTCACGTCATGAAGGATGAAGTTAACCATGGCTCTGGAATTCCACCTCTGGGTCATGTGTCATCTCAGAGCATATTATCTTCAGCAGAGTCTGGAGTATTTCCTTCAGCATGCGCCTGACACTTCTGTAATATTTTCCTACCCCTTTTTTATTGTCTCCAGTAAAAAAGTAACCTGGGAAAACACAGTATCCTTTGCAAGCTTGAGCAACTCCACCATATTGGCTCATTGCTGCACAATAAACAACACATTTCAATGTCATACAACAAGAACTCATTTAGCCCATGGTTTGTGGGTGGGTTGTGGCTGATCTAGGTGGGCTTGGCTGGTTGGCTCTGTTGATCTCAGCTGGGTTTGCTTACACATCTGAGGGTTAGCAATGAGGGCTGGGCAATCTAGAGAGAATTGGCTAGAGTGGCTCTGCCCATGTATCTATCATCCTTCTCCTGGTTCCAGCACATTAGCCCAGCATGTTCTTCCAGTGGCAACAGCAGAAGCACCAAAGGGCAAGTGAGAACTGCAAGGCCACTTGAGACGTAGGTCCAGAACTAGCAATAGTGAGTTCTGCCTCATTCTGTTGGCCAAAGTGAGTCACACTGCCTAACTCAGCATCAAGAAGTGGGGGAAATAGACTCTGTCCTTTTAGTGGAGAGGGAACAGGCAGTCAATATTTCTGAACAATAGTCTTCCACATCCTACTCTGTACTTCTCTTTCTGGGTTACTTATCAAAATTAAAAACGGTGTTTCTGGAATCTCTAAATTTTCTACAATAACCATGTGAAAGAACTGCAGAGATTCCAGAAGCTGTGATTGATGACACACTGTTAGGAAGGTGCTGGTGTTCACAACTATCCATGTTCCCACCTCTACCTGGGCTCCCACTATTCTATACTTCCCAGCTCTGCTGTATGTAGGTGGCACCACGTGACTAGTTCCAGCCAATGGAAAGAGACCAAAAGTGTCGTGTGTTACCTCTGGTTCAAGACAATTAAGGGTGGCTGTGCCTTTTCTGTGTGCTCTCTTTCCTCATCTGCTCATTGGATGTAAAAAAATCTCATGAAGATCCCCAAGGACCTTGGGTATAGGAGAGAGCTATTTGATGGAAAGAGCCTGGGTCCCTGAATGACTGTGTGGAGCACCGTGGTTTCCAACCCATGCTATCTTGGACTTCTTTGACAAACCGTTGTTGTGTCAAGTCACTGAGATTTAGGAATAGTTTGTTATAGCAGTTTGCATATCGTGACTAATATAACCCACCTTCCTGGTGGTCACTAGTGACACCTGTTGACTTCTTTCAGTTAGCTCTGTTAACTGTAACCTTTATAAGAATTATGTATCTGAGTGTTCATTTTTGACAAGTGACCTGAAGGTTTACTTCAGACATCCACCTACCATTCCCAACTTTGACAATATGACTGATTTTGCTTTAGGGAAATCATCCTCTCTCTAATCTTAGCTGATGTGATTCTAAGGAAGGTGACCCCACTTTCTGGAATCTAGGAGTAGAATATGTAACCCGAGCTGAGCCATGAGGTCCTTGTGTTCCTCCAGCCACAGTGATTGGTTCAGGGGTGCAGGGGTGGGCATGTGACCTAAGTTGGTCCAAATTTAATCTTAAGATGTTGGCTAGCTAAGTTGAAACCCTGAGTGCTTTTACTAGACATTACTAGGGAAGATGATAGATAGTCATGGTAGGTAGGTGCAGACAGCTATCCTGTAATTATACAAACAGCCAGCCTAAGGAGGAAGCTTATACTAAGGATGGCAGAAGCTTACACTAGAAACTGCAGAACAGAGCAATGGAAAGAGCAGGTCCTTGACATCATATCAGACAGTTGGATCAGGCCTTGCCTGAAGCTAATGAATTCTTGTTCAAAGGTCAATAAGTAGCCTATATAGTTTAAGTGAATTAGTTGAGTCTTCATTACTCACATGCGAACTATTTTCAGTGGATTCAGCCTTTATCACTTTTCTAATCAAGTAAGACAATGTTATTCAGAGAATGCAGAACAATATCAAAATAAATGATCTTCAGGGATCACTTCTAATTCTAAAATTTAGAGTTTACGAGGCCTAGTATGAATTCCTAGCACTTAAAGTGTTTACAGTGATCTACACATAGGAATATCTGTTTATCTTGATAGTCAAGGAAAGTCTAATTGTTTGGAGACTTTGGGCAAAAAGATGATGAATATTCCATAAAAGAAATACAGGCCTTCCCACACATGGGCAAACCCCTCCATGGTTCCCATTGCTCTTTACAGGTTTTATAACTGACCGCTCTCCACCCATCTGACCTTATCAGCTACACTCCCACCCACCCCACAACTCACCGAACGTTAAATCCTCTGAGCTCATTTCTGCCCCAGGACCTTTGCACCTGCTATTCTCTTTGCCTAAAATGCACTTGTGCTGACTTCTTCTCCTGGAATCTACCTTAGGTTCTCCCCAGAGAGGCCTTCCCTGATCACCTGCGAAAGAAAATCTTCCTTCTTTGACACTCTTTACAAATTACTGTTTAGTTCCTTCACAGCACTTTTACAGACTCACAGTATCTGGTTCATTTATTTTCTAGTCATCTGGTTCATTTATCTCCTGTTAGAATGAGAGTTCTTCAAGGGCAGAGCCTCTGCCCGTGCTGGTGTCCCCGCTGCCTCCAGCACCTGACACATGGCTGGCACAGAGCAAAAAACAATCAGAGCCTTAGGAGTGAAACAGAGGCAGTAGTTGTTTTTTTTTGTTGTTGTTGTTTTTTTTTAGAGGAGTAGGGAATAGAAGGTACTTGTAGTGTCATGGTGAGGGCAGGAATTTCTGGGAGTGTGAGCAATGTGACAGGGAACAGGGAGCAGGCTGCTACTTGGAAATTGTTATCCGGGTTTATTTATAGAGTACTTCCATTTTCTTTCTTTCTTTCTTTCTTTCTTTCTTTCTTTCTTTCTTTCTTTCTTTCTTTCTTTCTTTCCTTTCTTTCTTTCTTTCTCTTTCTTTCTTCTCTCTCTCTCTTTCTTTTTTCTTTCTTTCTTTTTCTTTCTCTCTCTCTCTTTCTTTTTTTTTTGGAGACGGAGTCCTGCTCTGTTGCCCAGGCTGGAGTGCAATGGTGCATTCATAGCTCACTGCAGCCTCAACCTCCCAGACTCAAGTGATGCCCCCGCCTCAGCCTCCTGAGTAGTTGAGGCCATACCCAGCTAATTTTTTTCATTTTTAAAATTTTTGTAGAGATGAGGTCTCACTGTGTTGTCCAGGCTGGTCTTGAACTCCTGGACTCAAATGATTCTCCCACCCTGACCTCCCAAATTGCTGGGATTACAGGCGTGAATCATGGCGCCTGGCCTCATAGAGTATTTTTAAAAGGAATTGCGTGTGTGTGTGTGTGTGTGTGTGTGTGAGAGAGAGAGAGAGAGAGAGAGATCGACCAATAGAAAGGAAGAGAAGATTACTCATCCAAAAAAATAATAGAATGAACATTAGAAGCTTCCTCAGATGCTTCACTTAATTTCTGCCTAACCCCTGGTATTTCAGGGTCTGTGCCCTCCCAGAGCTTTTATTACCTACATGAGCTTCTCCTCAAAGTTGCAATCTGAGAGCATCCACTTGGGGGAACAAAAGGACACTGTGGGCCCCTGTAGTTCAGCTTCATCATTACGTTTCACTTCCTTTTTATGAGATGGGAATAAAGATAGTTCCCTTAATTTCAGGACATATGAAAATAATTTTTCTTTGGGCTGTTGGGTAAATGCTGTTAACTCAGATCCATAGGCCCCTTCAGGTTTTGGGGGGAACTTTCTCAATCAAATGTTGTTATTGAATGAAAACCTCAAAGCAGAAATTCAAAAGAATGAAGCTCAAGGCAGCTGTATCTTGTTTCTGTTTTGCTTTGAGAGTCAGAATATGCGATCAAAATCTATCTTCCCCTTCCTTATCCTTCATTTTTTTCCCCAGCAGATAAGAAAAAAAATAGTGGTGCTTCTTTTAGGACTTAATTCTCAGAAGGCTAATATCATACACAGTTGGAGCTTCAGAAAACTGCTCTGGAAATTGATATGCACACAACCTGTTCTTGATGAGCTGAAAGAAGCATGAATGTTGAAACGGAGCTGAAAAGGCAGTGGTAGGATGGCAAGGGAGACTGTGATATTTTTTTCTTCCATTTTTCCTTTTCAATATTGTAACATTTTCTTATTGTAGATGAACAAATTTCTACAAACCTGGTACCTGGTACCACCACGCTGCTGTTGTTACTGTTTAAGGTGTCTCCTGTGTCTGTTTTCTCTCGGTGTTACTTGTTCATATTTTCTGGTTTATTTGGTTGATTTAATCCATGTTGTCACGATTTGAAGGGTTTTTTGTTTGTTTGTTTTTGTTTTGTTTTGTTTTGAGACAGGGTCCTGCTCTGTCACACAGGCTGGGGCGCAGTGGTGCCAGCTCAGCTCATTGCAACCTCTGCCTCCTGGCCTCAGGCCATCCTCACACCTCAGCCTCCTAAATAGCTGGGACTACAGGTGCACACCACTACATCTGGCTATTTTTGTTTTTTGTATTTTTTGTAGAGACAGGGTTTCATCAAGTTGGCCAGGCTGGTCTCAAACTCCTGGGCTTAAGCCATCTGCCTGCTTTGGCTTCCCCAAAGTGTTGGGATTACAGGCGTGAGCCACCACACCCAGCAGAGGAGTTCTTAAATTCTGGTTTTTATGCTGGATACTGGATGGGAAAAGAGGAGACAGACACATTTTATTGAGGAGCCGTAGTCCAGAAACAGTAAATATTTACTTGACAAGTGATTTATTCCCTTTCATGCCATGATTAAAGTTTAACTTTCATTGAACAATTGCTCCATTTATATAGATGAAAATAAATAATTGGGAACATATGTGACAGCCCTTTCACTGGTCTCCCCACGATCTCTCTGGCCCTCCAGTAACCCATTATGTTCACAGCAGTCTTTCTGAAAAAACAAAACAAAAAAAAAAACAAAAAACAAATCATGCCCCAGTGCCTGCTTAACACATTCAATGGCTCCCTTTTGTCCTCAGAATTCAGCCCACACTTCCTATCCAAACTTTGAGAACTTGCAGAGTCTAGCTCTTTATTGATACCTCCAGTTGAATCTCATTTCTGCTATCTTTGAAGAGAGGGATAGCGGTTTGGGTGCGGGGTCAGAAACTAGGTGTGTCGGTGAGAGATTAGTCCGGGAAGCAGAGCCACACGGTGGTATGTTTGGAATAAGAACTGTGTTACAGGAATCAGATGATACACGCTTGTAGGAGAAGCTGGGGAAGAAGGTCCACTGAGAGCACTGAGGATCACTAACAAGGGCTGGTGCAAGTGAATGAGTCAGGAGCTTGTAGGGAAGTCCGAAGCTTGGTGTATTGAGCTGGTGCACAGGCACCAGGAAAGGGGCTGATCTAGAAGTCTATGGAATGTATTAGTTCTCCACGGTGACTGCCTCTGTGAATCTGCCGCTAAGGGTCTGAGGGTGGGCTTGCCATCACTGCTGGTCAGCAGGGTCGGGGAGAGCTAGATACAGAGCAGGGAAGATGGAGGACAAACTGGAAGCTGCTGGCCCCTCTGTGTCTGGCCACCCCTCACTGCTTCTAACCAATGATGACCTTCAGAGTGTAACGGCTGCTGCTTCCCATGAGCCTCCCTGGTCTTGCACAACCTCATTTTGGGGCAACTCTAACCTAGGAACATACAGGAAAAGGAGGTCTGAGAAATGTGGTTCCCAGCATAACCAAGTTGTCAACAGAATAATCCGGTAGATGTAGTCTCTGTACTCAAAGAACAGGAAAAAAGAGCAGAGAGGCCAAAAGAGGGTACTGGGGCAGTTTTGCTGTGTGATGAGTGATGTCATCCCTCCCTTCATATCTCCACCTCATCTTCAATAAAATCCACAGCCCTTGGCCATACTGTTTAAGTTGGATTTATTTCTTCCACTTTCCTCCCTTCCTCCTCCCTCCATCCCTTCCTCCTCCCATCCTCTCCCCCTCTCTTCCTTCCCTCCCTTCTCCCTTCTAGATGTCCTGGGTCTGGTCTGAACTTGGCACGGGGAAGAACAAGGCCTGCAAAGGTGGTCCAAACACATACAGTTTCCACTTTACTGAAAGGAGACATGGGTTTCCAATGTTGAGAAATCATAATCTAGCCAACCCTCTTTTTTATGTTAACTTCGTCTCCTTTCTATGAATGAGGCAATGCAGAAGTACAAAAAAAAAAAAAAAAAAAAAGCAGGGTAGTGGGGAAGGAAAGATTCTGTCTCCCTCCCAGGGAGAAGGTGATGAAAAGGGAGAAGCTAGTGCCTCTGCACCAGCTGAACGCAACAAGCTTCCAGACTTCCCTGCAAGGATCCCTCCCAGCCCTACTTACTCTTTGTTTCACAGTCAAAAAGCAGAAGTCCAAAGAGGTGAAGCACTTTGCTCCAAATCACACAGCACTCATTTTGGCCTAGAAACGGGCCTATTAGGAGTGACTCATCTCTTAAAAGGCCACACTCTCCAAGCCTGTTCTCTAAAGTGCTTACATCTACCCGGGGGGTCAGAGAGTGTCTTCACCTAAAACAATTTGCATTGATCATTGTGGTCGCAATTTCCATTTCTACATTAAAGTGGGGAAAGTGAGGCTAATTCTTAAGCTGTTGTTGGCAGAGCTTCTTATGGGGAGGTTATATCTTGGTTGGGGCCACCACAGATCAGGGGCTGACCTCTGTTGTAGAAACTCAACTCTATAGTTCACTTGGGTGAAGTCAATTTATTAATTTACCTTTGTAGTGACTGGAATGCTTGTGGATACATTTTTGGGCTCAGGGACTCTGGAAGTCTTTGACCATGGCCCATGGTAAGAAGTACATTTTATTTAATACAAAGCAGTGGAATACACACACACACACACACACACACACACACACACACACACACACACATCTGAAACAAATATTTCACTTAACGATGCTTAAAACTGACTGTGTATGACTCACTCTGATGATTTTTATTCCATTCTATTTCACTTCATTATGTAAAAATGCTGCTAGCATCCATGTAAATGTATTCCATGACCTACCGATTGGCCTTGAGTCCCAGCATAAAAAACACTAAGCTAGGGCCTCTCTTCTTGCAATCGAAGGATCTCAGAAGGAAGCAAAATTGAATTTAATCATCATAAAGTTGTTGTTATACCTCGAGTCAGAGTGGAGAGTGTGAGAGCAGCTTGAGGGTGAATTGAGTAACAGTGTGATAGGTCTGCGTGAGTTAAACCTGCTCTCTTGCAGGGCTCACTTTTCTAGCGACTGTCATGCTCAGTTTGCTAAGGAGTGTTCACTGCTCCCATTTACTGAGTCCTTATGGCGTGCTCAGTGATGGAGAGTAACAGGAAACATGAAAGAGGTCTGACAATATGGTAGGAATGAGTAGATTGATGTGAGTGAAGGAAAACACTCCTCTGCAGAGTCATGCCCAGGGACAAGCACAGTGAAAACCAAGTTGTTTTAAAACCAGCTGGTGTCTGTGATATGGAGGTATGTGGAAGGAAAACCCTGTCATTCATGTCATCGTGGTCACAGAACATGATATAATTTGTATGTCCGGAAGAACACAGCAAGAGGTTTTTTTTTTTGCTTTTTTTTTTTTTTTTTTTACTACTAAGGGCCATTCAGGTCCTAAACATGGAAGTTCAAGGCACCAAACCTCCAGTGTTATCATTACAAGAATATGGGAAGAAGCACTAGCTACTTGGGAAGATCGCTTGAATCCAGAAAGCTGAGGCTGCAGTGAGATGTGATCATGCCTCTACATGCCAGCCTGGGCAACAGAGTAAGACCCAGTCTCTAAAAGAGGGAGAAGGAGGGAGGGAGACAGAGAGAGAACTAGATGTGCAGATCTCAAAGGGTCCTAGGTGGAACACTGTGAGGAGAATCTTGCATGGAAGGAAGAGAGAGAGCAGAGGAATGAGAGACTTTGTGTTGCATTGGAGAACTCCAGGCAGGGTGCAAGCTGTGCATCTCCATCTGCCTCTGATCAAGTTTGTGTAGATTAGATAATAACTCATATAGATGTAGATAATAACTCACATAGGTATAGATAATAATTCACATAGTTGCATACCCATGTTGCCTCACTGATCAACATCATTGTGTGGAAGAAATCTTGGGCTGGGAAATGATAGACGGCCTCTCTCTTGATGCCTCAGGTAAGGACAATCAAGGCAGTCTGCTGCTCTATGGCCAAGAAGGTTAGGGATTGGAACAGAGGGTCGGCACCAAATACTTTGCTTATATTTTCTTGTTTTAAAACATATTTTATTGAGGTGTAACTCAATAAGTGCATGGGTCAATAACATGTATATACCCATGTAACCACGACTACCTCAAGATATAAAACATTTCCAGCCCCCAGGAAGCTCCCTCCTCCCCCTCCTGGTCAATATCCACCCAAGGTAACCACTATGCTGATCGTTATCAGCGTTGACCAGTTCTGCTTGTTTTTCACTTTTACATTGTTGTGGTCTCAAACAACATGCATTCTTTTGTGTCTGACTTCCTTAACAGTACGTCTGTGTGAACCAAATTGCTGCAAGCCATGGTGGCGTGTGCTTTATTATCACTGTGTAGTATTACGCTGTGTGAACATGTTACAATGTATCCATTAGATCATGGGTCTCCAATTCCCGGCCACAGACCGGTACCTGTGAGGAACTGGGCTGCACAGCAGGAGGTGAGCTGCAGATGACCAAGCCAAGCTTCATCTGTATTTACAGCTGCTCGCCATTGCTCATATTACCACCTGAGCTCTGTCTCCTGTCAGATCAGTGGAGGAATTACATTCTCATCGTGAACTGTGCATGTGAGGGATCTAGATTGTGTGCTCCTTATGAGGATCTAATGCCTGATGATCTGTCACTGTCTCCCATCACCCCCAGATGGGACCATCTAGTTGCAGGAAAGCAAGCTCAGGGCTCCCATTGATTCTACACTACTGCGAGTTGCAGAATTATTTCGGTGTATATTACAATGTAATAATGATAGAAATAAAGTGCATGATAAATGTAATGTGCTTGAATCATCCCGAAACCATCTCCCCAGACCCTGTCCATGAAAAATTTGTCTTCTGTGAAACCAGTCCCTGGTGCCAAAAAGGTTGAGGACCACTGCATTAGATTGTTGATGAATATTTGGGTTGTTCAGTTTGGGCTGAGAATAAAGCTACCGTGAACATTCATGTACAGGTTTTCTTGGTCTACGTAAGCACTCATCTCTGCAGGGTATATATCATGGAGTTAAAATTCCTTGGTCACGCATTTAGCTTTTGTGGATACTGCTAAACAACTTTCCAGAACGGTCAAACCAATTTACACTCACACCAGGGGCACAGAAGAGCTCCGTTTGCATTCTCACCAATATTGGTTTTGTTTGTATTTTTCATTTTAGCCATTCTAACATAAAGCACAGTTATACACATGATGTCAGTAAATCCTCAAGACAAACTTATTATTGTTCCTGCTTCCTAATTAAAGAACCACAGATTTTGGGGGGTCAAGCCAGTTGCCTAAGCTCTCTCAGCCAGTGTATAGTAACGTTGAGATTCAAACTGTGCATATAACACCCTGGGTTCCTGGTCCCTGCTGGATGTGCTGTGCCATGATCCATTTTCACTCCGTCACCAACCAAGTCAATGTTTAGGCTGAGGTACTTTGGGATACAATCCCCATGTATTGTATCCTCACATGTAATTATATTATTTTATTAAGTATCTCCTTGGAGTCTGGGGGACCACCCTTCACCCTGGCTGGTCCATTCAACACCCTGTACATTGTGTTGATAGAGCTAATTATTTGTTAAAAGCATACATTTTAGCCAAGTGATATCTTTGCCTATTTATCTATTAACTATATATCAATCAATTATATATATGTGTGTGTATATATATAGATATACACACACACATACATGCTAAGATTTGAATGTGTTCCCTCCGGACTTCAGGTGCTGAAACTTAATGGCCAATGTGATGCTATTAAGAGGTAGTGCCTTTTTTTTTTTTTTTTTTTTGAGATGGAGTCTTGCTCTGTCACCCAGGCTGGAGTGCAGTGGCGCCATCTCAGCTCACTGCAAGCTCCGCCTCCTTGGTTCACGCCATTCTTCCACCCCAGCCTCCCAAGTAGCTGGGATTACAGGCACCCGCCACCACGCCTGGCAATTTTTTTGTATTTTTAGTAGATATGGGGTTTCATCGTGTTAACCAGGATGGTCCTGATCTCCTGACCTCGTGATCCACCTGCCTCGGCCTCCCAAAGTGCTAGGATTACAGGCGTGAGCCACCCTGTCCGGCTGCAAGGTAGCGCCTTTAAGGGGTGATTAGGTCATGAGGGTTCCTCCCCTCATGACTAGGATTAAGGCCCTCATAAAAGAGGCTTCACACAGTCTGGCATGCCCTTCTGCCTTCCATTATGTGAGGATACAGAGTTCCTTTCCTCTGGAGGATGCAGTGCTCAAGGCACTGTGTTAGATGCAAAGATCAGCCCTTGCCAGACAATGGAACCTGCTGGCGCCTTGCTCTTGGACTTCCCAGCCTCCAGAACCATGAGAAAAGAAATGTCTATTGTTTATAAATTACCCAGTCTCGGGTATTCTGTTATAGTAGCTCAGACTAAGACTCCAATGGACTAAGAATATATACATGAAATAGCAAGCTACTTGAACCAGTGGCTAACAGTTTTATTCTCTTCAATGGAGGAAAGCTTTCTCAAGTTGTGGCAGACAGACTCTAGGCTCATGGGCGTCCCCATGATCCCATCTTCTGGCATCCCTGGCCTTTTGTGGGCCCTTCCCTTTGAGCGTGTGTGGGATCTATGACTGGATTTTAACCAATACAATATGCAAAGGTGATGGGATGTAAAAGATTATAATGCCCATCTTGAGATGCTTTGGGCCATGTTTGGGAGGCCCATGTGGCAAGGAAATTAGTGCTACTTCTAGGAGCTAAGGGAAGCCTCTGGCCAACAGTCAGCAAAAATCTAACAGCCTAAATCCAATAGACCACAAGAAACTAAATTTTGGCAGCACTTACATCAACTTGGAAGTGGATCCTTCCCCAGTAAACCTCACATGAAACCACAGCCCTGGCTGACACGTAACTGCAGCCTTGTAAGACCCTGAGTAGAGGACCTTGCTAATCTATACCCAGACCCCTGACCTACAGAAACTTTGAGATAATAAATGTATAGTTTTTTTAAAAAAATTATTTATTTTTAAATTTTATTTTAATTTCTGGGATATATGTGCAGGACGTGTAGGTTTGTTACATAGGTGTATGCCATGGTGGTTTGCTGCACCTAGGTATTAAGCTCCACATACATTAGCTATTTATCCTGGTGCTCTCCCTCCTCCACCCACCCCTGACAGGCCCTGGTGTGTGTTCCTCTCCCTGTATCCATGTGTTCTCATTGTTCAGCTCCCACTTATGAGTGAGAATATGCGATGTTTGGTTTTCTGTTCCTGTGTTAGTTTGCTGAGGATAATGGCTTCCAGCTCCATCCATGTCCCTGCAAAGACATGATCTCGTTCATTTTTATGGCTGCATAGTATTCTATGGTGTATTATGTACCATATTTTATTTATCCAGTCTATCATTGATGGGCATCTGGGTTGGTTCCATGTTTTCGCTATTGTGAATAGTGCTGCAATAAACATATACGTGCATGTATCTTTATAATAGAATGATTTGTATTCCTTTGGGTATATACCCAGTAATGAGATTCCTGGGTCAAATGGGATTTCTGGTTCTAGATCCTTGAGGAATTACCACACTGTCTTCCACAATCGTTGAACTAATTTACATTCCCACCAACAGAGCAAAAGCATTCCTACTTCTCCACAGCCTTGCCAGCATCTGTTGTTCCTTGACTTTTTAATAATTGCATTCTGACTGGCATGAGATGGTATCTCATTGTGGTTTTGATTTGCATTTCTCTAATGATCAGTGATGTTGAGCTTTTTTCATGTTTTTTGGCTGCAAAAATGTCTTCTTGTTGTTTTAAGCTGTTAAGTGTGGTCATATTGTTACACAGCAATGACTAATACAAAAGATTTGTCTCTGCATGGAGATAAAGAATGTAATCAAGAAATCTGATTTGGCTGGGCATGGTGGCTCATGCCTGCAATTCCAGCACTTTGGGAGGCCGAGGCAGGAGGATTGCTTGAGAGCAGAAGTTTGAAACCAGCTTGGGTAACATAGCAAGATCCCCATCTCTACAAAAAAAAAAAATTAGCTGGGCATGTGGTGTGTGCCTGCAGTCCTAGTACTTGGGAGGATGAGGTGGGAGGATTGCTTGAGCCCAGGAGGTCCAGGCTGCAGTGAGCCATGATGATCATGCCATCACACATCAGCCTGGGCAACAGAGCAAGACCCTGTCTATAAAAAAAAAATGAAAAAAAAAAAAAAGAAATCTGATTTGATCAGCTAATAGACATAGGAAAATTCCAAGTGTTTTTTCTACTTTCATATACCACTCAACACAGCACTTCTGACACCAGAAGTGTGGAGATTTCTTCCCATCAGCAACCAGTCAATTATTCAGGGGACACCAACTGGGCGTCCTCTAATTCCATTCACTCTGACCAATTGCAAGTAGTAGGTTGTCACTTACACTTCTGACCAATCAGCTATAAATTGGGGTTCCCATGACCCCCTCCTCAAGTTCAATTAATTTGCTAGAGTGACTCACAGAACTCAGGAAAACACCGTATCTGTGTTTACTGGCTTATTACAAGGGTATTACAAAAGATACAGATGAGCAGCCAGGTGGAAGAGATGCATAGGGCAAGTCCTGGGGCTAGGAGCATCTCTGCTCTCTCTGAGCACACCATACTACAGGACCTCCATGTGTTCAGCTATATGGAAGCTCTCTGAACCCACTTGGTTTTTCTGCATTTATCTGGAGGCTTCATTCTATAGGCATGATTGATTAAATCACTGGCCATTGGTAGTCAACTCACCCGTCAGCCCCTCTCTGCTCCTCAGAGGCTAAGGGGTGGAATTAAAAGTCTCAACTCTAGGCTACATGTGGTGGCTCACACCTGTAATCCCAATACTTTGGGAGGCTGAGGAGGGAGGATGGCTTGAGCCCATGAATTTGAGACCAGCCTGGGGAACATAGTGAGACCCTATCTCTACAAAAAAAAAAAAAAAAAAAATAGCTGGGCATAATGGTGTGTGCCTGTAGTTCTAGCTACTCAAGAGGCTGAGGTGGGAGGATTGCTTGAGCCTGGGAGGTTGAGGCTGCAGTAATCACACCACTGCACTCCAGCCTGGGCAACAGAGCCAGATCCTATTTTTGTTTTTTAGTCTCAACCGTCTAATCATGCCTTGGTTTTGTGGGTAACCAGTCCCCATCTTGAAGTTGTCTAGGGACCCTAGCCACCAGTCATCTCACTAACATACAAAAGACACTCTTAACATTTTGGAGGTTCCAAGGATTTTAGGAGCTCTGTGCCAGGAAATGGATGAAGACCAAATGTATATATACATGAATATTTAATATATACATGATATTAATATATATGAATATGTAATAAGAATATCTATTAATCTTTATAAATCACAATATCATATCAGCCAACATATCTCACCCAGTTTAAGTGCTGGTGACAGACAACCACACCATTAGTAGATGGGAGAAAACTCCCTGGAGAGCTGCTGAAATCCCATAACTCATGACAAGCAGATGAAGGCTTTCTGAGCCAAACATCCCATGACATCGGGATTGTAATTCCAGTCTTGGGAAATTGCTTTTTCTCTTGCAATTTGCTAGATTCTAAGGGGGGATCAAAAGAGTCACAAAGACTCCCCAGTGGGCTGTTAGCTGCAGCAACATTTCTTGAGCAAGTATTCAGCCTGGGAAGCTTCCTGATCATGTGCTCAGTGTCCACATGGATGGGAGCTGGACTGATGGAGTAAGAAAGATCAGTGAGCACAGGGGAGAGGTCAGATGTTGTCAAATACACCATCCCTGGGTGAGCCCCAGAGAGCCTTTGCCCCCAGCCAATTAGCCCAACAAGTTACCATCTGTATGTGGCATCTATTTGCATAGCACACACTGTTCCCTGCACTTCTGAGGAAGAGGTGAAACAGACTGGGACTTTTCTTTTCAAGACCTCAAGGGTGGAAACACTTTTGCCTGCAGTTGCCCATGGTTCTTGTTTGTTTAGAAAAATTAAGGCCTGGATGGACAGAGCTATCATTTGTTTGCTTCCTCTCATTTCTATTTAAAGCAGTTTATAAAGAAAGTCCTCCAGAAAAATCCAGCCGGCTCCCCACCCCCACACATGCCTTTTCTGGACTGTGTTAAAGGGAGGGAAAGGTTATTATCCAGAGAGCAGTCAGAGTTCTCTTTCATAAGGTCAATTGGGTCATGTCACGTCCCTGCTGAAAGCCCATCTCTGGCTTCTCATTGCTCTCAGGACAAAGACCCAGCTCTTTGGTGTGGCCTCCAAGGCCCTGCAGGGTCTGGCCTCTGCCCAGTCTCAGGTGTCATCACACATCCTACTCTTTGCTTCCCAGCTATGCTCCTTGTTTGCCGCCCAGGGCCTTTGCCTGGCTGTATGGTCCACCTGGAGGCTGTCTCTGACCCCCTTCTGTTCCTCCTTCCATTCTCAGCTTAAATGTCACCTCCTCAGAGAAGGCCTCCTGGACCCACAACCAACTGTGGGCTCTTCAAAGACATCTATTACATCATTTTGGCTCATAGCACAATTTTAATAAATTAACCAATTAACTGCCAATGCACCCCCCTGCAAATATGTTATTCCATGAAGGTGGAGGGTGTCTACCTGTCCACCACTGTCATCCCGGTACCTCACATACAGTAGGTTTCCAAGAAAAAGTTGCCAATAATTGGTTGATGGACTGAAGAAATCAATGGAGATCAGTGTAACTGTTTAATGTGAGAACTTCCTTGGCCCCTGGAGGGCCTGGGAGGAAACCTTTCCTCATCTTTAGATAATTACCACTTTGGCTTTTGGGTTTATGGTGGCTGGATTATGATTCTTTTCAGAGGACTGATGTCTGGTCAGGTTTGGTGATGCTTATGAGAAAGGTTGTTAGCCTGGCAAGACAGACAGTGACATTTGCTGGTTACAGGGACAGGAAGGAGGGCTTCAGGGCTGGAGCAGTTCCAATCCCCAACTAAGTCTTCCATGCTCCAACACTGGCCCCAAGAATGTGATTCTCTGGAGGAGAGCATTCTAGACTTGACAGTGGCCAGGATTCCAGGACGTTTTGTGGTCTCCTGCCAAGTTTCATGCTCAGTTCTTTCCAGAAACAGTTATAAGCAGTGGGGGCCCTGGGAGTGTGTGTAGGTGTCTTCGAGCCCAGGCACGGGGTCCATCAGGCCTGACTGCTCCAAAGAGGACTTCACGCATTCCAGCCCCACTGAGCCCTTATGGTGTGTCCTGTGATCTCATCTAGCTCTTACAATAATCTTTACAATAGTTAATTACCCTCACATTATAAAAGAGACAACTGGGAGTCAGAGTGAAATCACTTAGTCTAAGATCGTTCGAGTACTGTCAGAAGCGAGATTCAAATTGAGGCCTTCCTTATTTTAATGTTCATCCTCTTTCCTTTCAACTGTATCACGATGCCTGAAATTATTCCAGCTGAACAAAGTCAGCCTGAATGATTCCTGGCGTTAAGGAAAAACCTGCTGCCCCTAACATATCACACACACACACACACACACACACACACACACACACACACACACACACACAAACTAGCAACCCAGTTGTATGAAATTCCTTTAAGAAAGGCAAACTCTACTATTTTATAATCAAGCATATGGTTTAAAATTCAGACACTCCTGGCCGGGTGTGGTGGTTCACACCTGTAATCCCAGCAGTTTGAGAGGCCAAGGCAGGGAGATCATTTGAGGCCAGGAGTTCGAGACCAGCCTGGCCAACATGGTGAAACTCTATCTCTATTAAAAATACAAAAATTAGCTGGGCATGGTGGCACATGCCTATAATCCCAGCTACTCGGGAGGCCGAGGCAGGAGAAGCGCTTGAACCTGGGAGGTGGAGGTTGAGGTTGCAGGGTGCTGAGATTGCCGAGATCGCACCACTGCACTCCAGCCTAGGTGACAGAGCAAGACTTACCTGGTCTCAAAAAAATTAAAAAAAAAATAAAAAATAAAAATAAATCAGACATTTCTGGGAAAATTGACCTACCAACAAATTCACACTAAGGCGTATATGATGGACAGGACATCTTTTGATGAGAGCAGCTTTTGATTAAGGAGGAGAACACGGAGGAGAAGAGAGAGGCACTTGTTCTTGAAGGGCTAAAGGGGCAAGGGGAGGTGGGAGGAAGTGGAGAGGAAGACAGAAAAAAGGAAACAGGAGAAAAGGGCTTAGAACGTGATAGGAGCCCACCAAGAGAATTTTTGGCAGATTTCCATTATTGCCTACAAGTGTCTCAGTGGCTTCTCTCCCAGAGATGCCAGGGGTGATATCTGAGCAGAGATCTGAATGGTGAGAGGCCAAAACAAGGCCTTGAAGGAGAGTGTTCCAGGCAAATGGAAAAGGAAGACAAAACCCTCAAGGTTGGAATTGCTTGGTCGGTGTGACCCGGGCATCATGGGAGGACTTGGGATTAGCATGAGGTGAGTCGGAAAGAGAATTTGAATGGGGTTTTATTGTGCACTTTAACATGCCTTATTTGATGTTGTTTCACTCACAGCCCCATGACTTAGAGTACAAGGACATTCAGAGGACAGGGGTTGAGGGAGAAGTCCTGGGTTGAGACTGCCTGAATTCATACCCTATGAATTTAGTTGTTGCACTTACGTTGCAAGTGACTTGAGATTTTTCTTTTGGCTAAAATGAGCCCAACCAGCTGGGCACAGTGGCTCACGCCTGCAATCTCAGCACTTTGGGAGGCTGAGGCGGGTGGATTGCTTGAGCTCGCGAGTTCAAGATCAGCCTGGGCAACATGGTAGCACCCCCCAAAAGACAAAAAAAAAAAGCCAGGCATGGTGACATATCCCTGTGGTCTCAGCTACTTGGGAGGCTGAAGTGGGAAGACTGCTTAAACCCAGGAGGTTGAGGCAACGGTGAGCTGAGATCACAGCACTGCAATCCAGCCTTGGTGACAGAGTGAGACCCTGTCTCAAACAAACAAAACAAAAACCCACAAAACGAAAAATGAGGCCAACCCTCTCCATTATAGGTGTCTGAGGAAGATTATTAAGATAGTCCCACAAAGTGTTTAACATGATAGTTGGCACAAAGTTAGTATTTAATAAGTGTTTTCTATTATTATTTTCATTTGCTACAGCCAAAGCACTTATTTGGAAGAGCATTTCAGTGTGGCTATAAGCCTCCTGAAATTGATTATGTGCCTTGGCAGATGAGTGGTTTCTTTTTAGTGCCTGCCACATTGATGATACTCAATAAATATTTGTTGCATGAATGAAAGTGTGAACTACTGTGTCACGGGTTAGGCAGACATAGAAGTAGAACATAACAGTGTGGGTGGAGGAGTTAGCAGATCATTTGGCAGGCAATGGGGAGCTATTGAAGGTTTTTGAGCAGGGGCAGGAGAGTGTCAGATGGATTGAAGGAGGGAGGGTTTGGAAACAGGACAAGGAGTTGGCAACCTGTGGGCACCTTCCAGGTGAGAAGTCAGAGAGATCTGGTCCAGGGAGAAGGGAAGTGGGAGGGCCTTCGTTTTGTACTTGGCTGCTTCAGAGGCCTGCAAATCACCCTGGACCATGAGTGATGTGCTGGTCTGCTTACTGCAGCTACCCTCATCTGGGTCTCTTGGACTGCTACCCTAGCTCTCTCTAGCGCCTCCCTTAATTCAACTATCCCCCCCTGCCTCCAACTGGATCTGCATCCCCAGCCAGAAGAATCCTATAAAATGGTCCATCTGATTTTGTCACTCTCCTCTTGGAAACCTTCCACTGGCTTTCTGGTGCCCCGAGGATAGCTTCAATTTCCCACTGTGGCTCCAGGTGCTGCAGAATCAAGGCCGGCTGATCTCTCTGACCTGCCTCTCCCTCCTCTCCTCCTTTGTCTGGTGGCTGTCCATCTGGGCTCCGCTGATCTGACCTTTCTCTAATCTGGAACTCCCTCCCCTAAGTGAGGCCAGTCTGAACAACTTCAGGGTGGGAGATTGCCTGGGCATCTTGTTCCAGTGCAGATTTGGCTTAAGTCTGTGGTGGGGCCTAAGATGTCAATGTTTCTGCTGTGTTGGCACCACCTGGGGGCTTGCAAGGAGTGCAGATTCTCAGGCCCTGATTGGACCTCTGAATCCGAATCTGCATGTTGGCAATTTCAGCACATAAGTGTCTGGGGGTGCTGGTGGCAAGCACGTCTTAGGAGCATGTGACAGCTTCTCTGGTGGCTCCCTGGGGAGGGTAGGGGTGGTCCTCTGAGATCAGGGTTATGCCAGGCCTGGCCCAGGCACCCTGATTTCATAATTGAGTGTGACCTGTTTGAATCTCTATTCATGAACTGCTCTATACCAAGCAGTTTGGGAGTTATTTCTGTTGATCAAGAGAGAAGAAACAGACCTGGCCAGGACAGGAAGAGACAAGCTCTGAGAGGTGGGGGGTGGATTTGCTCAGTACCTGCTGCCACTGGCCCAGGTGGCATGCCCCAAAATGACCTGCCCTTGTAAGGGGGTGCCGTGGGAGATGCAGAAAAGTTCTGGCCTTTTGTGACTCACGTATCCAGAAGTCATCTTCTTACTCCTTGAGAGGGAGACAAGATGAGCTTTCCAGTCCCATGGAGAGGCCGAGGCCTGCCTTGGCTGTCTGTGGATCTTCAGAGCCCACGTTCCCATCATCATGGCAGGCCCCAAATTCCCTGCTTTTGCTTAGTTCTTGTTCTCTTGCTCTTACAGCTGTTCCTTTATCTTGGTCCTGGTATTGATCCCAGCCCTAGTTCCCTGCTTCCCCTGCAACTTTCCATCAAAGTACCCACAAATACAAGCTGGGAAGTTGTAAGGATCACTGGAAAAGCAGGCATTGCTGTACAGAACTTAAAATGGCACAGAAGACAGAAGAACATATTTCCTGTTCTGGAATGATTTCCAGACCACCCCACCTCAGGCTTGGCACCCGCTGCATGGACTGCCTAGCCTCGGCCCCTCTTGTTGCCCTCTCTCTTACTCCCTCTTTCAAGTTCCCCTCTAAGTCCCCTTTCTTAGGCAAAGGGAGTCAGCGCTCTCCATTCCTGCGCCTAAAGTTCCCAGACTCACCCCAGACTCACCGTTGCACAGCCCAAGCACATCAGGGCTCTTGGCTGCAGGAGAGGCCTTCCAGGCCATAAGCAGCACGAAGAACCAGTGGGGACCTGGCAGTTAGCACTCCTCCTTTCATAGGAGGCATCCCTTGAGTGGCACTTGTGGTTTTAAGTAGTAATTTTCCCCCTCCCTTTAGGTTATTTTCCAATAGAAGGCTGAGGCAATCTATGATCTTTATGTCATTCATTCATTTACTCACTTATCCATCCAATACATATACTGAGCAAAGTCAGTGTGCTGAGTGCAGATGCTGGGGGAACAAATACAGACAGGCTTGTTTCCAGAAGCAAGCTAATGGATTGCTCACCTCACCTGCGGGCTATGGTGACAGTGGAAATGATTTATGCCCTGGGTATTGCCCTATGCACCGAAACCTAAACTCATAAGATGTTATTGAGGGGAGCGAGTACTCTTTACCTTGCAAAAGGATTCACTGCAGGATTAAATAAAGCTGGAGAATTTTAGAATTTGAAAAGACGTCAGGGGACCTGCTCCTTCAATCCCTTCATTAGTTACTGGTGAAAAATCATATTTAAAAAGCTTAAGAGACTTGCTTAGAGTTATTCAGCAATGCCAGAGCCAGCGGGTCAGAGCCAGCACTGTTCTGTTCATTCTCAGTGCTGGTCTCTTTCCATCGGGCCCTGTATGATGTAGAGATGCTCCAGCGATGGCTGCTGCTGCTGCTAACCAGGTCAATATTTATCGAGTGCTTTCTGTGTGCCAGACACAGTTCTAAGTGCTTTTTACATGTTACAGCATTGCTCTCACGGCAATCCCATTAACAACACTGAGGCAGAGCTGAGACACAGAGAGATTAGACAACTTGTCTAAGGTCACACAGCTCAGAAGGACTGGTCTTGGGCTTCTTATCCATTTGTCTTTTGAGCCCATGCTCTGAACCACAACACTGTGGCTTTTCTTTAGAGTGAGTCCCTGACCAGCAGTCCCCATAGAGAAATGTGTTTCCACTCACATATTGAAAGGAGAGTACTTCTCTACTGAACATCGTTTCAGTGCTAATAGCTAATAGTTTAATAAAAGCAAAGCTTGGCATCATACCTTTTGGCAGATCTTTATAAAGTTGTCATACATAGAGCTGCCATTAAAGCTTGTAAAGCTTTGTGGATAAAAGCAGCATGAAAAGCAGTTCATATGATGTGTGTGACAACAAACAGAATTGTGATCCAAATTACAGGTGAAACGGGACAGTGGCCCCTGGGAGGCTAGAAATACCTGCAGAGGCTTACGGAGTGAGATGTTTGTAAATAAAGCCATTCAAACATCAATTGTGTGTGGTTTTCTTGAGAAGCAACTGTATTTAAGGGACTGCTTATACAAAATCAAGTTCTTCTTAGCAAGGATTGCTTTAAATATTCTGACTTGAATGAAGGCCAGTCATGTTCTGCCATTTTCAAAAATCTTCTAACTGGAGTCTTAGAGTTGATTTTCTTTTCATTTGTGATTAATTTTCCAGAATAACATTCCCAGCTCCCACCCCACCCAGCGTTTATAGTCCAGAGATTCTGAGAGTAGGAAGTCTTAGTAAAGCCCAGAATCTAAAACAAATAAGACCAGTCAGTTCTCTAGTTAGCTTTTTTCCTTTCAAGTTGTTAGCAATATAAACTCTGGAAAGCCTAAACTTTAATGCACCCATCTCAGCAACATCTCCTGTAACGATGGAAAGGCATAGAAAAGAAGAAAAGGGAACATTATTAATCTTGTGGGAACGCTGGAGTTTTGTCTATTATCACAAGCAGCGTGAGCCCCAAGTCATTTAAATCCTCTGGGGGTGGGAGACATAATTATTTGCAAGGGAGCATTATTAGCTAAGTACAAATGGGTTGCTATTTGTTTTTTCTGTTCTTTGTGATGATTACAGGCTGGGGATGGTGTTTAGTAACAGGATCCAGCAGGTCAGTTATGACAACTTCATCATCACTGTCATTAACCCCTTTTGTTTGCAGTGAACACAAAAAGCTGTTCAGTATCAAGAGAGTCAAGAAAAAGGGAAAGAAGAGGGGGTGGAGAAAGTGAGACAACCAAAGAGACAGCCAGGGAACAGAAATTCATACACTATGAACACCAGAAAAAAATACCCCTGGGTAATTGAGTCAGCTGACTCAAATGGTGTAGGGGCCTCAGTTAGAGGACCAAATTTTGGACTCCTTGGTCTTTCTGCCAAAAGAGTAATTGCTCATGTTTATAGATGCAAATGTTTTTGCCATTTTGGTTCCTAGAAATGCCCTAGGGAGATGTTATTTTTGGTAAGGGGTCTTCCTGCTTCAAGTGTAATGACTGTGAACAACTAGTTTCAGTATCTTCTCTAGCATGCCAGGGTAAAATGAAGCAAAATAAATAGAGGAAGTGCCATGACCTTTATTGAGGATCTACTGGGTGCCAGGCAAAATGCTTTTTTTTTTTTTTTTTTTTTTTTTGAGACAGGGTCTTGCTCTCTTGCCCAGGCTGGAGTGCAGCAGTGCAATCTTGGCTGACGGCAAGCTCTGCCTCCCGGGTTCCTGCCATTCTCCTGCCTCAGCCTCCCAGGTAGCTGGGACTACAGGCGCCCGCCACCACGCCCAGCTTATTTTGTTTTTGTATTTTTAGTAGAGATACAGTTTCATCGTGTTAGCCAGGATGGTCTCCATCTCCTGACCTTGTGATCCACCCACCTCAGCCTCCCAAAGTACTGGGATTACAGGTGTGAGCCACTGTGCCTGCCCAGTGCTGCGATCTCGACTCACTGCAGCTTTCGCTTCCTGGGTTCAAGCGATTCTTCTGCCTCAGCCTCCTGAGTAGCTGGGATTACAGGCGTGCACCACCATACCTGGCTAATTTTTGTATTTTTAATAGAGACATTATTTTTAATGTATTTTTCCTGTTGGCCAGGCTGGTCTTGAACTCCTGGCCTCAAGCGATACACCTGCCTCAGCCTCCCAAAGTGCTGGGATTACAGGTGTGAGCCCCACGCCCGACAAGGTGCATTTTTATGTGCTTTTTCTCCTCTGTCTTCTCAACAACCCTGGGGTAAAAGGCCTCATTTCCACTTTTCCTATGAGAACAATAAAGTAGAAAGAGGTAAAAGACTGCCTCTAAGATCACCCAGCACAGAGCAGGGATTTGATTTCAGGTGTGTCTTGTTCCAAACTTAATATACTGTGCTGCTGGGGGAAAACAAAGAGCAAAAGGTTCTTAACTGAAGTCAAAGACGACCAAGAAAATGTAGGCAGATGTCAGGTCTGATCATGTGGATGCTCAAATGATAAACAGACACATTGAGAGAAATTGTATTAATTAAATCATAAAAATATGTTCCGCTTTTTGGGGAATTTACTCCTCCTCCTGGGGTGACCCTTGACAAGACATTCTGTCTTCCTGTTTTTAAGCAAAAAAAAAAAAAAAAAGTGGGTAGAAGATGAAAGTTTGATATTTCGCTCATGCATAGCTTTGTCTCCTTAATATATTTTGTGCTTGCCTGTCATTTCAGCTTTCTGCTGGCAGACGAAGCTCCTTCAACTGCCATTCCTACTTCTGACACTCCTCTTGTCCTTTTCAGGACAACTTTATGCCTATTGTGCCTTGGGTCTTGAGAAGCATGTGGTAAAACTGGCCAGTGGTGATGGCAGGCATAGCAGGGAATCAGATTGAGGGGGGCTGTGGCGTGGGAGAGAAAACAAAAGAGGGAAACAGGCTATTTGATGACAGAATCAGGCTGCTTCTGCAATGACATTACATGAAATATCTGAAATTTGACCTTAACTGTATCTGGTGGGTCCCGTTAACCCTGTAAGTTATGGACAGAACGTTCACTCAAATTCTAGCAACGTCTAGGCTCATGGAAATACGTGACCAATTCAGGTGAATGAAAGGGATTTTAAAACATTAATTTCCAGCTTAGGTCTTCCTAAGACTGCCTGCGTGTCCCTTACCACCACTCCAGCCTGAGTGTCACATGGATCCTGAATGCGGACTTGTGTGCACACTGTAGAAAAATAAGCAACTGAAAACCCCAGGCATCGGGGTGGAGTGATGATGAAAGACACCGAGACCGAAGATCAGGAAGCTGGAAATTCCCCCCAGCTTCGGTGTTTGGGCTGTATCTCGCTTTTCCACTTCCCTAAATCACCCTCGTGGTGCGAGTGTGCTCGCAGCAGATGCTCCCTAATTGTCTCTTGTATTGACCGTAAAACCCTAACGACAGGAATACTCTCTCTCCTTCTATTTCTCAACACCATTTCAACACCCAAACTAAAACCTCTCACCTGAGTGTAAGGGAGTGGTGACCTTCTTAAGCGGAGAGCTCTTCCATCAGAGGGCTCCCTAAGGGCATCTCTGTTCCTAGCCGGGGAGCCGTCACCCCACTTTGTTCTGCTTAGCCTAAGACACGCAACTTTTTCCAGCTTTTACTCTTCGCTGAATTCTCACGGTGGGGTTGGGGGGATGTTCAGGCTCAGGAGCGAGGTTGGGGGCCCGGCCCGCTGGGCGCTGTTCACCGGTAGCCCGGACCAGAGCAGGAGTTTCATCATTACCTGCTGGGATAGGTGGGACACATGTATTTCCGGGGCCACCCCAGACCTCCCGGAGGATGCTGATTGACACTGTCCAGTTTGAGAACTACTGTGTCCAGGGAGCAGAGGCCTCCCCATAACCCCTTGGGTTGTGGACGTCTGGCCCAGGGCTTCTCTGGGTGAGCGGGGCGGGCATCAGAGCGCGTGGAACCTGGGGCGGGAGGTCGGGGCAGTGAAGGAGGAGGAGAAGGAGGAGGCGGAGACCGAGGGGGAGGGAGGGGAGGAGGAAGAGGAGGAGGAGTCCCTCGTGGCCACCCCGAGGGGAGGGCGACCGTAGAGACTTGGTCGGGAGGCGCCGGCCCAGCGAGGCCGCTGGGACTGTGCACTGAGGGGCGCTGACCGTTGGACGCGCGCTCCCCGCAGACCCTCGCTGAAGGAGCAGGGGGCGGCGCGCGTGCGCGGGGCGCCGGGCGGCGCGCGAGGGGGCGGAGCGGGGAGGCGTGCTGCGACCCCGGCCGGCTACAGCCTGCGGCGCGCGCAGAGCGCTAGTGGGGCGCGCGGCGCGCGCGCGGGGCGGGGGCGCGCGGAGGGGGGGGCTGCCCCGGGGCGGCCCCCCCAGGTCGGGGCGCGGCGGGCGGCGGCGGCGGGCGCGCGTCCCGTCCAGGTCCGGAGTAACCGCCGCCGCCGCCGCCAAAGCTCGCCAACATGGCGGACCTGGAGGCTGTGCTGGCCGATGTCAGTTACCTGATGGCCATGGAGAAGAGCAAGGCGACCCCGGCCGCCCGCGCCAGCAAGAGGATCGTCCTGCCGGAGCCCAGGTACCAGCTGCCCCGGCCGGCGCCGGCCCCAAGCCGCCGCCCCCTGCGGCCGCCAGCTACCCCCTGCTTCCTGGAGGGTCGGGCGCTGAGCCTCCGCTGCCCCGGGGCGGGTGACACAGCGGAGCGGGCGATGCGGGGCCGGCCTCGTCGTTCCAGTCTCTGAAATGGGGCATCGGAGGGCCGGTGGGGGGCACCCCGGGAGAGAGCGCTCCAAAGTGCCCGGCGCGGCGCCCTGCGCGCAGCGAGCGCCCCAGCCAGGGTCTGGTTATGACTTGGCTGGACCAGCTCCATCCCTGTCGCCCCCTCCCCCCAGCCCTGTCCTGTCCTGCCCTGTCCCATCCCCGTGGTTCTTCCTGTTGCATTGGTGTAGTCCCCGTTGGCTCCTTGCCTGTCACTGCTTTGCGCTCCATCCTGGTCGCTCCTTCTTCCCGGGCTCATTGGTCCCCCTTTCCAACTCCATCCTCTCACCTCCCTCTGGGCCGCTTACCTGGGGACTGCAGGCTTGTTGCTTATTGTCCGAGGTAGTTAAACTGCTGTTTTCAGTACTTGCTCTTCTTGAAGTCTATTAAGTCTAGTCACCTTCTTCGGCTTCTCTTCTATTTTGTCCCCGGGCAGGATTTTGACCCACTCAGTATTCTTTTTGGTGCCAAGTGTGTCACCTGAGCTGCTTTCCTCAACTTGTAGATCTACTGGTGGCACTTTATTAAAAAATTGAAACAGGAGTCACTTAAAAAGACACTTGAATGGGTGATTCCAGACAGGAATTTGTTGTTAAATTATCAAAGGAGGGCCCGATTGAATTGGCGAGGGGCTCGGTGAGGTGCATACCAAGTTGCAATTTTCTCTCAAATGATTTATTATTAAGGTACTAGTAAAATTTTTTCTAGTTCATATCATTAGCACTTCCCCAGAAAAAATAGTTTGTCTGGTTAATAGTGAGTTTTAAATAACGTATCAAGGCTTCAGTGATGGATTTTTTTTTCTCTAGCTCCTTTCCTAATTAACACCATCATGAGTTGTACAGCTAATGTGATTCCTTGATGCTAAATAGCTCTTGGAATTGATGCTCAAAAGAGGCATCTTGTTTATGGTGAATTTGAAACCATGCAATTCTGTAAAATATTGGAATCTAAACCAAAGTTATTGTCCATTTGAAATCATCAGTCCTTCAAGCGTTAGGCGCCCAAGATTGCTTAAATGTTACCTAATGCTAAGTGATCATCATCTGATTTTTTTTACAAGTCATCCATGAGCCCTATGATACAGAAAATACCAGTCCCCTTGTTATTTGTTGTGAAAAGCTAAATTGTGCAAATGAAGACATGCTTGCTAGGTATTTTGAGCTTGCTTTTCCTCCTTAGCCCATGCCTCTTGTTGGTTTTGCAGGATGTGCTACTCTTTGATAGACAATGCCAAGTAGTGAAAATGAGGGAAAAGTGCAAACCTTTCTGCAATGTCGTGAGTTTAACACCCCTATTCCAGAGTGTAGCATATCTGAAGCTAATTGAAAAAAATCAATGCTGCTTAAAATTTCCGGCAAATGGGAAACTTACTTAGAGAACAAGAACGCCTACATCAAACCTAAATTTCACCAAAAAAACTGTACATTTCTAATGTGGTAGAAAAAGGCTTAATTCCTCTTTTGTCTTGCCTTTCCTAGTGTCCCTCCACCACCCAAAGGCAGGGAGTCCTAAATATGTAGTATTTCTATATACAAAATTGATAAATCTCAACTCATGGGCAGTTTTTTTTTTGGGGGGGGCTAGTATATAATATTAATAAAGTTAGGAACTTCTGTTCAGTTTTTTTTTTCTTGGTGTTTGGAACTTAATGTGACTTCTGCTTTTTTAGTGTCCCTCTTAAGAACGTACTTATGCACTTAGGGTGTTCACTTCCTTGTATGAATGCCTTTGTTTTTCAGTGGTATTCTTTGGTAATGCTTTCTTTTAAGGCAGAGTAAGTGACAGCCAGCATTATTTCTCATGACATTTGAAAATTGAGAAATACCAACCAGAGAGTAATTTTAGGAAACAGCCCTTCAGTAATTGTTACTCTGTTGCTCTTTTTAAAATAGACTCTCGAATTGGGCCATTGGAACCTCCTCCTGAGATTCTAATTTGTTTTCTACTTATCTTAGTGGCTTTGGCTTTAGTTTTGTAATGTAGCTATTTACATAGTAACAGTCACTCCTTGTGCTGTGTTAGGATTCTGTTACATTGAGATTATCAGGTATAACATCTTGCAAAATTCTCTCTACCACTGGATGGCAGTTAGTGGCCTACCTATTTGATTTGGAGGTTGGGGGTTGGGGAATTTCTAGATCCTGTAAAAAAGTTAATTGCATGTTAAAATGCCCCAGCCTAATGACTTAAATAGCTGGTATGACTTCACACTATTGGTAAAAGGGATACGGGTCAAATGTTTTCTGATAAGTTTCTATTTCAGCTTCATTATAGAGGAAGCCATGTGATCACCAGTTTTTGGTATTCTTGAAAGAGATGTTCAGATTTGTATTTTTGGTATCTGAATGAGAAGCATACATTTTAATTTGCCTTTGGTCTATCACTAGTGATTTTTTTATTTCCAGCAAATTATTTGCAGTCACTATTCTTTGTGCTTCCTTATTTTAGTTACTTTGCCTTTCCCACAGTTTTAAACAGAAGAGCATCAGAACGAAATATCTAGCTAATTTAAATGAAACACTGGGTTTGCAGCTTCCTGCCTATTACAGGAGAGTCTCAGAAAATGGAACATTCTGCCCAGGGGAGATTTTGCTTCCCTGAGATGGCAAGAGGCAAATATTTTGTTATGTTGACACTTTATTCAGTTAACCAACCAATGAGTGCAAATCCTGGAAAAGCTGACTGTTTGTCCAAATGGTATAGCTGCTTTAGTTTACTGAAATGTTGTTGAGCTAATGTAGCTGATAATGGGGCCTACTGGGAGTAGTAAACTGTGACCCACAGCCTCCCTTGCAGGCCCAGTTAAAACAGGAGCATTTAGATGTGCAGGCCAGTTGTTTTACATCATGTTGGAAAAGAAATACTTTTATTTAAGTAAGGTCTAATTCACAAGCAAAGGCCCACAAAGGGTCATCATCTTAAGCCCTGGAGTGATTCAGACGACTTTTACTGTAGGCTGTATTACTCTGTTACTCTTTTTTTTTTAAAAAAAACAGAATGAAATTCAGATGACTTGAAATCACATATAGTTGAAGGCGGTTGAGTAATGTGAACTTCATCTTTCCCCTGGAGTCTTATTTCTATTTACTGGACATTTCAAATGTTGGATCACCTATTGCAAAGCTTGTCCTTTCAAAGTATTCATACAATATGATAGGAAGGTCTGAAACAACATTTTAAAGATTCTTTATAATTTTCTAGGAGCACTGACAGTCCTTAAAGGACATTTATGATACCGTTTATGACATTAATTCAGTACATAGTTGTAGAGCCATTTCTATGAGCCAGGCACGGGGTACTATGACAAACCCAGCCACAGCCCCTTCCTTCATGGAGCTTATAGACTAGTGTGAAATACAAAGATTTGAGCCAAGAAGGATGTTTGCTTTGAAGTGTATTTGCTTGAAGATTTTATTTAACCACAAACAAATAGCGTTTGGATGACTTTTATTACTCTATATGCATAGAATATAGAATAATAAAGAATGAATATAGAATATAGCATAATGCATAGAACACATGATGTTTGGTGTTTTACAATAATTTGTTAGTGATTACCTTTGAAGAACTATCTAAACATAGTCTCCATGGTGATATGGTAGTTTGCATCTTTCTGTTTGTGTAGCCACCACATGTAATTGATCTTTAAAAATGTCCCAGTTTTCTTCTTTAGTGGACATGGAGTTTATTCGGTAATTGTTTAACTCCAATCAGTAAGTGATTGGTGGATAACTTGAAATACTCCTCTCCGTTTAGGCTGTAGAGTTTTCTGTGTCTTCACTGTCCTGTGCTCATAGCCTAATTTTGAACTGAAAAGTCCACGTTGAAAGCACAAATAGCCTTTAGAAAGAAAGTATTCCTTATTATTGATAGGAGTGTTTCTATGTGTAAGAAACAGTAGTGTTCTTGCTTCTTTTTCATTAAGGTACAAATTCAAAATGTAATTTGTTCTGACCTTTCAGTTATTATCTCATTCTTGGTCCAAGTTAACTTGTGCCAGTGACTTGAAGATGCAAGGAGTGCGTGTAGATGTCAATTCTTAGAAATGGATGTTCCGGTGAAATCAGTTTTGGACCTAGAATCTGCCAAAGCTGAGCATCATGAAATGCTTCGAATCGAGAGCCTCATAGATCTCTCTGAGGTACAGGCAGTCCCAGCTTTTACACGCAATGGATTCTTAGAGACAGCCTCTTACAGTGTTTTCCCCAGTACACCGGACTTTGCCAAACATCTGTTTGGACAAGGGTGGAAACTATCCGACGAAGGTGTCAAGGCTTGAGGAAGGGAAGCACAGGTCTTTTTCAGTCAGTGGCTGGCCAGCAAAGCAGTGAAATGCAAAGTAGTATTAAATAGCTAGCAGGACGCCTGGCCTCCCTAGGGTCCCTGGAGCCCTGGCAAGGGAAAGAGAAGTTTAACGTCCATGATGTAATAATGTAATAACTGCCTTTAATTGAGAGCTCATCCTCTGTCAGGCAGTTGGCATAATTAGTTCATTTGTCCCCACAGTAGTTCTACCAGGTGAGTTGCATTAGCTCCGTTTAACAGAAGGAGCAGACACTCAGGGAAGGTAAGGAGCTCAGCCCAGGTGACACCTGACAGTGGGAGAGGCAGGAGGGACGCCCAGGTTTCGCCCAGCTCGGGGTCTTTCCCCGCCCAGGCAGGGTCTTGCTGGGCTGCCCCACCAAAAACGAATACCAAACTCCCTCGCGTCTTATTTTGCAAGGAATGGATGAAACTGCGATACTTTTTTATTTGGGGGAAAAAATCCTTTTTCGTACTCTCCCGATCAGCTACGAGTCCTCAGAGACTGATAGAGAATTCCTCTGGGACCTGCGAAAACGGTAATTATGAGTAAGTGAATAAGCAGCTTGTTCCTTATTTCCCATGAGCTTGAAGGTGAAATGCCTATTCTGTTTAACACAAGTCATGCAATCTTGCTGGTGTTAATGAGAAATTGTGTAATACACCATCTCACCCCCCAAGGCCTCAAAACAGGATTTCTACTGTCTTTTTATTTAGAAAAGGGGCCACCTAAGCTGCCCTGTCTCCTTTTTATTTAAAAAAGGGGCAGCCTGAGCTGTCCCCTCCCTTGAAATTTTCATTTCTGGGAAAAGAGTAAAAGGGAAAAACAATATTTTTGGCTTTATTTGCAATAAAAATCACTTTCTCATTCACATAATCTTCCTTTGTTAGTACAGTCACATATCTGCGGACCACTGTAGGTGAAAATGTAGGCTGTCTGCATGGCTATCATTGTCTCTTCTTATTCTCTGGACATTGGCAATGGGGAAATGGAAATGATTAATTTGGCAACTTTTACTCTATTATTGCAAAATCATTTGTATGGTAAGTAATTTGCATGCAAATGGGACTGGATATCCCGGCCCCCCTCTGCTTCTCCTGTGTCTTACTTTTTTAATCTTCCCTTCCTATTTTTATCATTGATTAGAAGTTACAACCCCTGGGCCCTTTTTGATTGCTCTATGAGCCTAAAATGCAGAATAAGTAATAATGTGGCTCTTCATATCCTGTAAATGTTTCTTCTAATTTTGGAAGCCTTCTTTTGGGTCCTCTGCTTCCACTGGAGCATACACATATTTGAATACTTTCTATGTAGGACACTATATAGAGAGCCCATGGCGAATGCAGTGAAAATATTTTTGCGACATATTTTGTAAAATATTTTGTGATAGGTAGTTGGTAAAGGTCAGCTTGATCCAGCCTTGGACCTATACTGTTGTTTGCCACCATTTCCTTCTCCTGCAGTTTCAGGAGCAGAAAAAGATGCTAATGTGAAAATAGCCAGCCCAGACCTCCATCCTTAGTGCACCAGAAAGCCACTGTCATTGCTGGGCCCCTCGTTTTCCTGTGCCATCCCTACTACCTACCAAACTGTCATAGAAGAGAAGGTTCTAAATCAGAAGCCAGACATTAAGGATCTGATTCCACTGGCAGCTTGCTATGGGACCTCTGGAAGTCACTTAAATTTGCTGTATTTAGTTTCTCCATCAGTAAAATACATTATCTATTTCTTTCTGATTGTATAATGTCCCAATAAAAATCTGCCTTGTGAGCATTTTCTGTCTATGCAATACATTTGTAAATAATAGGAAACATTAAAAATTACCCATATTGAATTTCAGACACGGATAACTCAAACAAAAAGATGAGAAGGAATATTAAAAGAAATGATTAAAAACACTTATACTATAGGGTTATTGTTGTTGAGATTATGTGTAGTATAAGATACAAGTACACCTTTAAAAAAGTACAACATAATAGCGAATATTAAGGCAGTCTTGCAAGTGCTGTGGTGCCATGTGCTCTGAGGGAGGAGGGAGTGGGTTTGGGAGGCAGGACTTCTGAAAAGCTGGATGATTGGCTGGAACAGAGAAGAGCAATTGTTGAGCCTTAGACTCATAAGTAGGTTGATTGCCCAGATTTCTCAGTTTTCCTCCTCTAGCTGCTTATTGTGGTACTGTGTGTCTAGAACCTTCTACACATGATACCTTACTCACACTTTTTTTTTTAAAATTATACTTTAAGTTCTAGGGTACATGTGCACAACATGCAGGTTTGTTGTATGTATGTATACATGTGCCATGTTGGTGTGCTGCACCCATTAACTTGTCATTTACATTAGATATTTCTCCCAATGCTATCCCTACCCCTTCCCCCCGCCCCATGATAGACCCTGGTGTATGATGTTCCCCACCCTGTGTCCAAGTGTTCTCATTGTTCAATTCCCACCTATGAGTGAGAACATGTGGTGTTTGGTTTTCTGTTCCTGTGTTAGTTTGCTCAGAATGATGGTTTCCAGCTTCATCTATGTCCCTACAAAGGACATAAACTCATCCTTTTTTATGGCTGCATAGTATTCCATGGTGTATATGTGCCAGATTTTCTTAATCCATTCTATCATTGGTGGACATTTGGGTTGGTTCCAAGTCTTTGCTATTGTAAATAGTGCCGCAATAAACATACGTGTGCATGTGTCTTTATAGCAGCATGATTTATAATGCTTTGGATATATATCCAGTAATGGGATGGCTGGGTCAAATGGTATTTCTAGTTCTAGATCTTTGAGGAATCGCCACAGTCTTCCACAATGGTTGAACTAGTTTACAGTCCCACCAACAGTGTAAAAGTGTTCTTATTTCTCCACATCCTCTCCAACACCTGTTGTTTCCTTTTTAATGATCGCCCTTCTAACTGGCGTGAGATGGTATCTCATCGCACTCACACTTTCTTGCTTGCTTGCTTTCCTCCCTTTCTTCTTTCCTTTCTGTCTTTCATCTATCCATCTATCCATCCCGTAGGCTCTGGGATGGTGGTATCAGTGCCTAAGAGTTGCAAGCCTGCTACTTAAATAGGTGTAACCAGGCAATTAGCAGAGTTGACTCATTCTTTAGAGGTTTTTGTTTCAGAAAAATGAACCAAAAATCATGATCTGAAAGCAGCTGGCTTCATTGTATTGTGCATAAGGTGATTCATTACAGTCTTTCTTAGACATTAACAGATTGTATATGAATAACATAGGATTGTAGTATCTCATGTTTGAAAAGATGTTGGGGGACATCCAATCTAGTTATGCTTTTTGATGAGTGACTTCCCTCTCTAATATCTAGCCACAGGCATCTTTGATGAGCATCTTTGGAAACTGTTGTACCAGAAAGCTCTCTTGTATTACCTTCTGTGCACTGGTCTCTTATTATCCTTTTGTGGTTGTGAGAAACAAGTTTAGTTCCTCAAATGTGACAGATCATCAAATATTTGAAGGCAGCTCCTCTAGCTCAAGATGCCTTTTATAGGAAGCTGTCCCCAGCTCCTTTACTTATTCCTCATAATGCACACTGCTGTGTGTAATCTATGCTCATTAGTCTGAACATTACTGAGCTGAGTAAGAATATCAAAATTTATGAAGACCAAAAAGAGATCTGTAAAATTATCATAATTAATTTAGTAATGGCAAAGCTAGTAATAAATTCTATTTCAAGTGTGTGATTGAGTCCCTCTGAAGTTCCATTTTAGGATTTGGTTCCTTGAATGATTCAAAATTCATTATACCAGTTTGCTTAGGGGATGAATATTTTCATTAGTCAGAGTTTGGAAGCCAGGTATGGGTTACATGTGTATTATGACAACAGCTGCCATTGCTGACTGCTAAGTAGGTACTAGGCACTGTATAATTCTTAGACAATTATGGACTAAAATATTTCAGGAAGAAAGTGAGCTTTAAATATGCAGAAAAAGGTCATAGGATATTAGGGGGTATGTTTCATATAGTCAAAAACATAAAATGACTGTAATCCCAGCACTTTGGGAGGCTGAGGCAGGTGAATCACCTGAGGTCAGGAGTTCAAGATCAGCCTGACAAACATGGTGAAACCCCGTCTCTACTAAAAATACAAAAATTAGCTGGGCATGGTGGCAGGCACCCACAATCCCGGCTACTCAGGAGGCTGAGGCAGGAGAATTGTTTGAATCCAGGAGGCAGAGGTTGCAGTGAGCTGAGATCGTGCTATTGCACTCCAGTCCGTGTGGCAAGAGCGAAACTCTGTCTCAAACAAAGAAACAAAAAAACCAACCAACCAACCAACCAACCAACCAAACAACAACACCAACAACACCACCACCAACAACAAAAACCCATAAAATCCCATTGGCTGGGGAAGACAGCAAGTTTCTTCAATGTCAGCAATAAAACTTTCTTGAATAATATGCTGTTAGTATTTGTGCATTGTGTCATTAAGTCGGTCCATTGATCTTTATTATCTTGTTTGGATACTAATATGTCTGGTTATATTTTCAGGTGTATTTCTTGTAATTTTTTTTGTATCTTTATTGCCTTTGATAAAAGTTTAAATTAAAAATGAGGCCAGGTGTGGTGGCTCACGCCTGCACTTTGGGAGGACAAAGCAGGAGGATTGCTTGAGCTCAGGAGTTCAAGACCAGCCTGGGCAACATGGTGAAACCCTGTCTCTACCAAAAATACAGAAAATTAGCCAGACATAGTGGTGCGCACCTATGGTCCCAACTCCAGCTACTCAGGAAGCTGAGGTGGGAGGGTTTCTTGAGCCCAGGAGGCAGATGTTGCAGTGAGCTGAAATCATGTCACTGCACTGCAGCCTGACAGAGTGAGGTCTCGTCTCAAAATACAAAGAAACAAATAAAACCAAAAACTAAAAGTTGCATGGAATGGCATTTACACAGCTGTTAAATATTGCAGACTTTCATTTTCCTTTGTGAATGTCTAAGGCCGTGATGGTATTTTGGAAACATCTTTTTTAAAAAATATGAGGTATTTGGTGGTGGTGGCGGGGTCTATTCTCTATTTAAAATGGAACGAATCCTAATGGCTAAGTAAGATCAAGGGACTTTAATACACATCTTTAACCTGGTCCTACCTTTTTCAAGTGAATTTTCTTTGTCTTTTTTTATATTATGACACAGTAACTGGGAAGAGAATCATGCAATAAATATCGTCATCACCAGTAAGTCTAGAATAGCGTGCAAAATTTCTGTGCTATCTTTTTTTGTTCCATTTTGGACCTGCTTCTTTCTGTTTTGTTTCTAGTGGCAGTGGAGAAAAGCTTGTTTTTTATGCAAAACATCCCAATAATATAGAAGAGAAAAATTGCACAATAGCAGTTTCTAAGCAATGAATGAGAGGACACGTATGTTGGTGACTTTGTTGTTTCTCTTCATCCCTCCAATAAATAAAACCGAGAGTTTTGTGGACAGGGATTTATTAGAGTTTCATCATTTAGTTGACTGGCTTATTAAATTCCACATGGAAAACTAGCTTGACTCTCCACATTTCTGTCCTTTAAGTAAGGTGACCTGCTTGATGCTGGATTGATGTTTCAAAATATTTTAAAAATTCAGGCTACTCTATAAGAAAAGCTTATTTGGAAACTCCTTCTTTTGAGATGAGAGTTCTAAGTGAAGCGTTATGGCCTATGGTTATGACTAGCTGGGGTAGCATAGATGATGGTGGAGCAGATAGAAACAGCAGGGCAAGTTTGAAGTGCTCAGTGGTGCTAGCCTTTCACAACCCTCTTTCCCTTACTTTCAGGAAACTTATGCTCTAGAACTAGGGTTTGAATTGGGTCAGTATTGAAATGATCTTAGTGAGAGGCCAACTTGCTGGACTTCTCTTCTAGATCTGTAGTTATAAAGGTTAGCTCATTAAACCCAGTGACAGTAGATGGTCATTTATTTCGTGTTTATTACAGTGGATGGTCATTTATTTAGAGTTTAAGAAAACCCCATGGTAGATAGTCATTTATTTAGAGTTTAAAAAAACCCCACTAAGATTTGTAGATGATGTTTTATAGTTTTATATATATTAACTCTTTTTAGTTTTTACAATTATGCTTGGTAGCAGGTAGAAATTTTAAAAAGAAAAAAATTACTCCAGATACATCCATGTGGAGACATTGAGAGGTATATTTTATCTGTTTGAGGACAGCTGGTTTTCTCCTTAGATACTAGTGTCTTGACTGTGGGGCAGGGAGTGGCTTTCAGCCTTCCAGACTCAGAAACTAGATTTTATTATGTCACTGTACTAAGCATCTGTCTCTTATTGTGAAACTCACATAATCAGCCAAGTCTGCCTGACTAAATTATTCTCTTCCTATAGGCCTCTGGTTCTTATTTTAAGATTAAAGACCCTTTTGAGAATCCTACTAAGTGAGAGCCTCCCCCTCCCAAAAGTGCGCTAACTCACTTACACAGATTTATCTGAAAAGCTACACTATAACTAGAATGTCCAGTTTGCTACATTGCATTAAACACTGGCTCCCACAGGAGCCTACGTGCCCAGCGTCTGTGTGGCTGGAGCTCTCTCTCGTGGGTCCCCCTTGTGGGAAGCAAAACGACCATCAGAAGGTGGTATAGCGAGCACAGACCCACAGTCGGATGAGTCAGATGGTTACTTGGGACCAAGTCACCCCTCCTAGGAGTGGCTTACGCTGGATGTCCAGTACCTGAAATCCCTGACTACAGTGGCTTTGGGACAAGTCATCTTTCCATATTTTCATGTTTCCCATTGTAATTGGTGGGCACACGTCCACTGGATTTGAGACTATAGTTCATGAAACCACTGCCAAAGCTGCCTAGACCAGAAACCTTTGCCATTTCTTGGCCATTTGTGTTATGTATTGATTTAAAGTTTTTATTCTCAGAGAGCAAGCTTTTTTCTTTATTTAGAGATTCTTGGAAATGGCTCTGTAATACTCATCATCTTATTTTAGAAGAAGGAAATTCAGGTTCAGGGAGAAGCTAATTGCTCAAGGTCGCGCTGATAACAAATGGTGCAGCTGAGCTTCAAATCCAGGTTTTCTGATTCCAAATTCAGCGTATTTTCAGAAAAACCTTCAGACTGTCTTTTTCCTGGTGAATCTTATTTTATGAGGAGGGGGCTCATGGATTTGACTAGAGGAGCACTGTCAATTTCAGACGTTAGTGACACAATTTGAAAATGCATTGTATTCATTCAGTAAAGATTATCCACTGCAGGGGTCTGAGGAAGTGCTCCAGTAGCATAATTTCACTGGCCATGTTAACTTAATAATAAATACATTAATAATTTCCTAGAAGAAAAGATGTCATAGATTCCATGTTAACTAATAAGATTGTTATTAATAATGATGGCAGTGTTATAACTTGAGAAACCAACTAAGCTACATGTCATGAGTTCTTAATGTTTTCTTACCCCAAACATCTTTTTGTGATTTTAGGTGCATTCTTAATTAAAATTCATCTCCATGCCTGCCAGTTGGTAAATGAGTATCCTTGACTTGAACACGTTTGTCAGTTACTCTAGATACAATAAAGGATTTTTTTTTTTTTTGAGACAGTCTCGCTCTCTTGCCCAGGCTGGAGTGCAGCGGTGTGATCTCGGCTCACTGTAACCTCCGCCTCCCAGGTTCAACTGATTCTCCTGCCTCAGCCTCCTGAGTAGCTGGGACTACAGATGTGCACCACCATGCCTGGCTAATATTTTTCTACTTTTTGTAGAGACAGGGTTTTGCCACATTGCCCAGGCTGGTCTCGAACTCCTGGCCTCAAGTGATTCAACTGCCTCAGCCTCCCAAAGTGTTGGGATTACAGGCATGAGCCACCGTGCCTGGCCCGTAAAGGATTTTTAATGTTAAACTTGGCACTCATTAGCAGTTCATTCTAAATTGTGATGGAAAATTAATGGAGCGGGTTGCATATCTAACCCCTACCCAGAAAGGTTGTTGAGCTCAGCTTGGGACAGAGTTGTATTTGTCAGGAGCACATTAGTAAATCCACTTATGGCTTTTGCCTTCTTCACCTAGTAATGCACGTGGAGCTTTTCCTCGTCAGCAGTATATAGATCTGTTCAGTGTTTGGAATTGCTGCATGAGATGTCAGAACTCTGATCTACTTGACCCTGTGCTCATAAGCCCAAGAGCAATTGCAGTGAATGTTCTTACATAGGTGCCTTTGGGTCTATGTGTGAGCCTTTCTCTAAGATAGACACCTAGAAATAAGTAAGATATGGGCATAGTCTACTCTACGTAGAGCTGCAAAGAAATTCTAATTTTATTCAGAAGCTTTACTGTTAAGAGTAATATTATTTTTAGTTTGAAATTATTTCATATAAACAATTATTTCATATATATATTTGGGTAAAACAAAAAAGAATAATGTCATTTTTGGTTAGAACCAAGAATTTAAGTGTAAATGAAGAGATACATGAGTACAAGATAAGAGTTAAATAAAAATTCTGTAAGATCAAATTTGAATTGGAAGGTTATTTGAAATTCATGATTTTTTTTTCAAATATGTGTGCTTATCATCCCCAGTCTTTAAAAAAATCGAAGAAACAATTGCATTTCCATCACATAGGCACCTCATACACCTGCGCCTGACTCCAGGTGTGGGTGAGATGAGCCTGGACCCTCTGTTACCTGTTGTATCAGAAAAAAAAGGAGCCATCCAAGAAATGTGGTGGGCACCTTCGCTAACAAACTCTGAGGCCAGAAGAAGGGGTTTCCACTGGCTAAAAGTGAGACACCCTGAACATCAAAAGAATATGACTGATACAAACCCCCTGTGGTGGGCAGAATGATGCCCCCCTGAAATATCCACATCTTAATCCCCAGAACCTATGAACATGTTATGTTATATGACAAGGGGGCGTTAGGGGTGTAGGTGGCATCATAGCAGCTAAGGTGCTGAGTTTAAGATAAAGAGATTATCCTGGATTATCTAGGTGGGCCCTAGTGTTACCGCCAGGGAGGCGGAGAGTTGGTGTCAGAGCGATGCAACATGAGAATGAGTCAACCAACCACTGCTGGCCTTTTGAGGAAGGAGGAAGGGGCCATGGACCGAGGAATGTGGGCAGCCTGTAGAATCTGGAAAAGGCAAGGAAATGGCCTGTCCCTTACAGCCTCCATGTGAGACCGCAGTCCTACTGACACTCTGACCGACCTCAGCCCAGGGAGGCCCATTTCAGACCTCTGACCTGCAGATCTGTAAGAGAGTCAATTTCTGCTTGATTTAAGCCACCAAGTTTGTGGTAATTTATTATGGCTGCAATAACAAACTAATAACAAAGCATGAGTTTGTGGATATCTCATGCTATCCACAAGAGATCCCCAAACAAGACAGAAGAGAACACCTCATTGATCACCACCAGCAGTAGAACCAAGGCACCTACTCTGTCTCTGAATAGTGGCAATTGAAAAGGTAAAGAATTAAGCATTTATCCTGCCTTTCCTGTAAAAACTGCTTCTTAGGGTATTTAGAACCCTAGTTGATGGTTGGGGTGGCAGGACAGGAATTCTTTTTTTTTTTTTCTTTGTGACACGCTCTCGCTCTGTCACCCAGGCTGGAGTACAGTAGTGGTGTGATCACAGCTCACTTCAGGCTCAACCTCCTGGGCTCAACTGATCCTCCCACATAGCTGGGACTAAGGGCACATGCTACCATGCCTGGCTAATTTTTTTTTTTTTGGTAGATATGGGGTTTCGCCATGTTGCCAAGGCTGGTCGAGAATTCTTGGGCTCAATGATCTGTTCACCTCAGCCTCTCAAAAAGTTGGGATTGCAGGCTTGAGCCTCTGTGCCCGACCAATGAATGAGGGGACTTCTTTTTTTATTTTTATTATTTTTTTTTTGAGATGGTGTCTCACTCTGTCCCCCAGGCTGGAGTGTAGTGGCATGATCTCAGCTCACTTCAAGCTCCATCTCCCGGGTTCACGGCATTCTCCTGCCTCAGCCTCCTGAGTAGCTGGGACTACAGGCACCCACCACCACACCCGGCTAATTTTTTGTATTTTTAGTAGAGACGTGGTTTCACCGCGTTAGCCAGGATGGTCTCGATCTCCTGACCTCGTGATCTGCCCGCCTCAGCCTCCCAAAGTGCTGGGATTATAGGAGTGGGCCACCGAGCCTGGCCGAGGGGACTTCTTTACAGAAGAATGGCAGCAAATTAATGTGGAAGGAATGGCGAAATTTTAAAAAAATCCCCATTTTGCAATTCTTAATGAAAATATTGATTTAGGCAAAGATCATCAATGTATGATATCGCTAAATGAAAGATTGATGGGGAATTTCAGATGGAGAGATCAGACTATCACCAACTGAATTTTCTAAGTAAAATTTGCATCACTAGGATGAAATAACTGTGTACCCCCTAATGTGAGGCAATATAAGTACCAAAACCATCTCAAAAGTATTCCTGCCCCCAAATGGTGGACTTGAATATGATCAAGCCTTTTGAGGTAACTTTCAGTTTATAGGAAATATGGAGAGAGAGGAACAGTGAAAGACCTTATAGGGAAGCAACAGACAGAAAGGGCATCCCCCATGATGGCTTCCTCGGCTTCCTCAGGGGGTCACTGCAGATAAAGGTCAGGGGTGGGGACAGTCAGGTACTCTCCCTGTCTGCCTTAAATCCCAGAAGAGATTTAAGAGATGGCGCTATCAGATGAATGTGTGGATCTTGGTTAGATCCAGATTGAAACCCACCAGCTATACAAAAGACACTTGAGTCATGGAAATGTGGTTAGAGACTGGGCATTGGATCTTCAGGAATTATCAATTTGAAGGGGGAGTTGGGAAGTGATAATAGACTGTGTTTATATGAGAAAATTATCCATAATTTTTAGAAATGCAAACTGAAATAGGCTAAAACGACATGTGGTCTGAGATTTGTTATTGATTGATTGATTGATTGGGATGGAGTTTTGCTCTTGTTGCCCAGGCTGGAGTGCAACGGCACAATCTCGGCTCACTGCAACCTCCGCCTCCTGAGTTCAAGCAATTCTCCTGCCTCAGCCTCCCAACTAGCTGGGATTACAGGCGACTGCCACCATGCCCACAGCTAATTTTTTGTATTTAGTAGAGGCGGGGTTTCACCATGTTGGCCTGGATGGTCTTGAACTCCTGACCTCAGGTGATCCTCAGATGAGCCACTGTGCCTGGCTGAGATTTGTTTTAAAATGCTTTAAAAAATAAAGGTGGGATAAGTCGAGTGGAGTGGCTCATGCCTGTAATTCCAGCACTTTGGGTGGCCGAGGCAGGCGGATCAGTTGAACCAGGAGTTCGAGACCAGCTTGGGCAACACACCAAAACCTCATCTCTACAAAAATTAGTTGGGCATGGTGGCACACACCTGTAGTCCTAGCTACTTGGGAGGCTGGGGTGGGAGGATCACTTGAACCCAGGAGAGTGAGGCTGAAGTGAGCTGAGATTGCACTCCTGCACTCTAATTTGAGCAACAGAGTGAGACTCTGTCTCAAAAAAAGAGAAAAGTAAAAGAAAAAAAATGGAGGGTGGGGTAGGGAAAAGTAGCAGATTACAATCTTGGTAACTTCCAATGAGGTGCTGAGTGATGGGTCTAGGTGTTCACTATATTATATCCTTTTGCATGTTTGAAAACTTTTGCAATAATTTTTCAAAACAGTAGAGAAGATGGCTAGGTGTGAATATCACAACTGTGTCCCTGCAGGGCTAATGGAAGCCTCAGTTTTCCCAATGTCATGTGTAATAGCACTGGTGACTTAAGATGTACTATATAATTTCTATGACAGCATCATACACAGATGCAAGATGCAAGTGTACTGCATCTCAAACAACTTAGATTGACGGGAGGATGATGTGTTTTTTGGAAACTGCATTAGATGACTCAAAAAGAGGCTCTGTGACACTGATTACAAAGATGCGGGTAGAGTTTTAAGAGGCTCGTTTGCAACCTAAGAGTCCCGACTAATCCAACCAGAGTGGACAGATTTACAACTTCTTGACCTGAAGGCTTGCTATAGAAGGATGAGAAAAAAAAAATGTAAGAAGGCTATTGAAAGGAGAAAGCACAGTAAGAGATCATACTTTAGAAAACGATGATCTGTTTACTTCCTGAGTGCAAAAGACTTCACTGACTTATTCAGATCATGGGTATCTATTAAATCACGGCTCTGATGTTTAAATTTAGCAGAAAAAAAAAAAAGTAACCCATGCTCTTTAAGATAATCTACCCTCTAAGCATACTATCCATGCCTAATGAAACCTTGCAATGTAAGTCTCTCTTATTAAAATTATGTTAACAGCTTTCTATTTTTAAATTACTTGAATATTAATTTGTGAAAACATTTCAGAATAATCATTTTAAAATAAATAAGTGTTTCATGGCTGGGCGCGGTGGCCTGTAATCCCAGCACTTTGGGAGGCCGAGGCGGGTGGATCACCTGAGGTCAGGAGTTCGAGACCAGCCTGGCCGACATGGTGAATCCTCGTCGCTACTAAAAATACAAAAATTAGCCAGGCGTGGTGGTGGGCACCTGTAATCCCAGCTACTCAGGAGGCTGAGGCAGGAGAATCACTTAAACCCAGGTAGCGGAGGTTGCAGTGAGCCGAGATGAGATTGTGCCACTGCACTCCAGTCCAGGTGACAGAGCAATACCCTGTCTCAAAAAAAAAAAAGAGTGTGTTGCTCTAAACCGGGCCTCACTAAGTAATTACCAACAGGACCAGTGTGAAGAAAAAAAGTTTATTAAGAGAAAAATTTTAAAAAATCTGAGTAAATTGAGAGCTGTAACATATTTCTAGACAGGAAAACTCGACATTGTGAAGATGTCAGGTCTCCACAAATTAATCTGTAAATTCAAGACCAAAATTCAAATGAGAATCATTCCAAATGAGAATTTTAGAGAAACTCACAAGCCAGTGCTCATTCATCTGAAGAAAAAATGGGCAAAAATAACCAATATAATTTTGGAAAAGTAAAACAATGGAGATTTGCTCTAATATAAAACATTCCTCTAGCAACTAAAACAGTGTAAATATTCATGTATAGATGTGTACACATATCAGTTTGGTTTATGTTAAATACAGGTGGCATTTCGAGTGGAGGAGGAAGAGTGATGTGTGGTAGCTGTCTATCAAATAAAGCCATAATTCCTCCACATTATACACAAAAATAAATTCCAGGGTATTTAATGAGATAATAAAAAAGCTAAAAATACAAAAAAGGAATATATTCTTATTGTGGAGTACAGATACTCTGGGCTTTCCTAAGCAAACCCCAAACCTGGAAACCACAAAGGAGGAGATGAATGGATACGAGGACATGAATGAAAAGTTGGCATGTGACAGAGATCTCAGAATCCAAATTAAAAGACAGGAGGAAAAATTACATTGCATGACCTTCTGTGGAGCATGTTTTAGTTTGTAAGTCTATCTGCTTAGATAGCGCATACTTACTAAAATTCCTAACTGGCTCTTGTCCTAGGGAAGAGAGGGGGTAGGAGGCCTGAACTGTGTTTGGGTGTCCAGGAAGTAAGGCAATTTGTATCAAATGAGTCGCCTGTTTGCTAGTGGTAATTTCATCCGTTAGTCATTGGGAAGGAAGAGCTTGCTTTAAAAATGCCACAGAAAGATGGACGTTAATTTCATAGGTGGTAATTTAGGAATTCTTCTCACATGGCTACAAAAATAAGTCAGTCCAAAAGTGGAGGCTATTTGTGGCCTGGCGTTTTTCTGTGTACTTTTTTTTTTTTTTTTTCTTAGTTACTGTCATCCATTGTCTGTTCCATTAGGTTATTTGGGGCAGGCTAACAGGACTTACACAGTCCTTCCCCTTGGAAGGATCAGCCTTGCCCACGGTCCCTTAGATTCTGTCATTGAGCTGTAGTGACCTGGGTTCTGGGGCACCCTGCAGTCACACTGTTTAGACTGTCTGTGTCCTCTCCTGTCACCCCCTCTGGACATGGGCTCCTTGAAGGCAGGGGATGAGTGGGGTTCACTGTGTATTCTGAGGGTCAGACTCAGTGTCTGGCTCAGGGTAAGGATGCAGCACCTATCTTTTGAATGAGCGAATGGGTGAATGAACAGATGAGTTGTCTTTTCCTTTTCCTCCCAATGAGTCTATGTATTTAATAGCCTATATTAGACATAGCTAATATACCAAGTATTTGACTCGTTAGAGACAGCTGTGGCAAAGATTTGATTCTTCAAATGGTGCGAGATCAGAAATTCTTGAATTCATTTGAATGTGCAGAAATATTGTATAGGTTATAACATCATATTTCAACCCCAAATTTGGACAGATTTGGCACTATAGCTTTTATAAACTATGAAAAATAGTTTTCTCTAAACAATGCTACGGCAGCTTATGTGAGAAAAATACTAGAGAAAAGCTAATGATTTATTAATGAGTAAGGAAATATGCAAATATGAAACTAGAATCAACTGGGGGCAGAAGTAGGGAAGTGGGAGTAAATGCCTAAAATCTTTGGGAGTACTTTTTCTGGAAGACTTTGATTTGTTTTGAAAAGTGGCTTTGAAAGCTCTGCTTTAGCCATGTGGTGGTTCCCCCATTATCTGTGGTTTTGCTTTCAGCAGTTTCAGTTGTCTGGAGTCAATTGAGGCCTGAAAATGTTACATGGAAAATTCCAGAAATAGATAATTGCTAAGTTTTAACTTGCATGCCATTTTGACTAGAAAGATGAAATCTTGCACCATTCTGTCTGGAACGTGATTCCTTTGTTCAAGGAATCCTCAGTGTAGATGCTACTGCCCTGTGGGTCCCTTAGTACCTGGCTTAGGTATCAGATCCTTTGTAACCCTTATTTTATTGAATGATGGCCCCAAAGTGTGTGAGTAGCGATGCTGGCAGTTCAGATATGCCAAAGGGAAGCTGCAAAGTGCTGCCTCAGTGAAAAGGTGAACATTCTCAATGTAAGAGAACAGAATAAATCATATGCGGAGGTTTCTAAGAAGTAAGAATGTTCTATCCATGAAATTGTGAAGAGTATATTGTTATAATTGTTCTATTAGCAGTTATTGTTGATCCCTTACTGTGCCTAACTGATAAATTTAACTTTATCATAGATGTGTATGTATAGGAAAAAACAGTAAATATAGGATTCTTATACTATCTGCAGGTTCAGGTATCCACTGGCCTTGTATTTCTTTTTTTAGTCAAGATGATTTGAGAAACTTAGATACAGGGAAACCCTGTGCCCGGTCACTTGAATGGAAAGGCCGTCTTTATTAATGAAAACATGGCTTAAGCTGTTGTAACCAAGAGACCCCAAAATGAGATGGCCCCCACGTCCAGGCCACACCACAGACCATTTACATCAGACTCTCCCTGGAGAGGCCCAGTCACCAAGCTTTTTAGAATTCTTCCCAGGTAATCCTAAAGTCTAGGTAAAGTGGAGAACCACTGGCCTGGAGTTATTCAGAACTGACTAGGGAGGGGACTGGGTTTTGCAGCCCACAGCTTTCCCTCATCCTGGGCTTGTAGAACAGCTCTGCCTGCCTCGCTATAGGGCCTTCACCTCTCGGCCAAGCCTCGTGTTATGGGTGTTTCCCACTCAGGAGGAAGTGGGGTGCACAAGTTCCTTTTAAGGAAGTGAAGTGGAAGTAGCATGTTTCACTCACATTCCATTGGCGTGTGCTAGGACCTGTGACTATGTAACCGCAATAGAGGTTGGGAAATGTGATGTGAATCTGGTTGGCCATCTGCCCTGCTCATTTTTGAGGTGGGAAGGTTTCTGTTACTGATAGGTAGAATGTAATGGTTACCATGCTATCCATTAATTAAAACTATTTATTATCAATTACCAATTATCAATTCTAAAGCTGAACAGAGTTCAACTGACCTCATATATATGTCATGTGAGATAATTATACACATACACACACAGGCAAGCTATGAGCTAGATGCAAAGACTTGGGAGAGGCTTTAGTTTACGTTAATTACAAAGTTTTAAAGTTTACATTTACTAAGCTTTTAGTTTATATTAATCATAAAGTTGTTGCTCTTTGTTCCACTGTCATTTATGAGTTGTTTAGGAGTGGAAACACTGCTGTGGGTGACTTTTTCATTTGTTTGGGCTCCCTTGGTGCAAACTTAGAGGCAGAAAAGCGTTTTCAGCCAAAACGTATTCCAGTGATGTCAGTTGCAATCCTGGGTCATCACATAAAGGTTATAGCAACTTCAAGGGTGTAGAATCTGAAAAAAGTTAAGGTTAAATAGGAATATCATTTCTGGTAGGGCATGACATTTTCTAGAGCCCCCTTTTAATTATCTTGCTATATACACTCTTACTTGTAGAAACCATTCTTGAAGGGTTGGGGAAGGCTCCACGGTGTTGGTGGGTACAGATTTAGTATAAATGAATTAGTCTTACTCATCTTTCTATATTCTTGTGACCAGAATACTTCCAGACCCATAACAGATTCTTAGCAAATATTAACTGACATGAATATGCTTATATCATTGTGTAGTTTATTTAGAAAAATGATACTCTTTCACTCCTTTGTGGACATTTCACAGTGACATGTTGAGTCCTTTGGTATGCAACAGTGTTGAAGGTGGGGGATTGAGTACTAGAATGATTGCTGATGTCTCTTCAAGGGTGGTGGGAGACACAGGGACTTCTATCATTAACAGTTAGAAAGAGTGAATAAGACCTGCTGTGCAATAACACAACAGAGTGACTATAGTCAATAATAACTTAATTGTACATTTTAAAATAAAGAGTATAATTGGATAATTTGTAACTCAGAGGAGAAATGCTGGAGGGGTTGGATACTCCATTCTTCATGATGTGCTTATTTCACATTGCATGTCTATATCAAAACATTTCATGTCCCCGTAAATATATCTACCTACTGTGTACACACAAATGTTAAAAGATAAATTAAAAAAAATCATGACAGTCCATTGTGGGAAATGATATAGCAGTGATGTACAGCAAGCAGTAGGAACAGAGGTGGGAGGGCTCACCTCTGCAGAGTTGGGGAGGGCTGCATAGTCTTGGTGACCCCTGAACTGGGTCATGGAGGATGAGTAGGAGATTTTCATGTGAAAAGGAAAGGGCATTAGAGGGAATGGTATTTACAGAGTGATGGAGCTGTGGAAGAGCCTGTGTCTTTCATGAAAAATGAAAAAATCAAGTGTGGCTGCAGTGTGAGAAAGACAACAGCAAGACCTGGTTGAGGCAGCCTCCTTGAAAATGCTCCCTGCAGTACACTAAGGGGTTTGGACGTTGGGCAAAGCGAGAGGCCCTTGCAATCTTTTTTTTTTTTTGAGATGGAGTCTCATTCAGGCTGGAGTGCATGGCACGATCTCAGCTCACCACATCCTCCACCTCCCATGTTCAAGCAATTCTCCTGCCTCAGCCTCCTGAGTAGCTGGGATTACAGGTGCCTGCCACCACGCCCAGCTACAGCTAATTTTTGTGTTTTTAGTAGAGACAGGGTTTCACCATGTCAGCCAGGCTGGTCTGGAACTCCTGACCTCAGGTGATCCCCCTGCCTCAGCCTCCCAAAGTGCTAGGATTATAGGCGTGAGCCACCGTGCCCAGTGGCCCTTGCAGTCTTTTAAATGAGATGATTACATGGTCCGATTTATATTTTAGAAAAATTACTCTTGGAAACAAGGAGGCTGCAACCCTCCCTGCATGAGGCTTCCTGACCCTAGTCTCTGTCCTCTAATAATGCCACAGCCATAGAACATAGTCTCTTCTGTATTATTCCTGATTTAAAGGATTTTGATGAAAAGGTAAATGGATTCTGAAATGATTCTTACAACTAATTTATTTTATTTTTATTTTTTATTTTTTGAGGCAGAGTCTTGCTCTGTCACCCAGGCTGGAGTGCAGTGGCGCGATCTTGGCTCACTGCAATCTCTGCCTCCCAGGCTTAAGCAATCCTGCCACGTCAGCCTCCCAAGTAGCTGGGACCACAGACACGTACCACCATGCCTGGGTAATTTTTTTATAGTTTTGGTAGAGATGGGTGATGTGGTTTGGCTGTATCCCCACCCAAATCTCATCTTGAATTGCACTCCCATAATTCCCACCTGTGGTGGGAGGGACCTGGTGGGAAATAATTGAATCACGGGGCAGTTTCTCCCACACTGTTCTCGTGGCAGTGAGTAAGTCTCACGAGATCTGATGGTTTGATAAGGGGAAACCCGTTTCGCTTGGTTCTCATTCTCTCTTTTGCCTGCTGCTATGTAAGACGTACCCTTTGCCTTCCACCATGATTGTGAGGCCTCCCCAGCCACATGGAACTATAAGTCCAATTAAACCCTGTTTCCTGGATACATTACCCAGTCTCGGGTATGTCTTTACCAGCAGTGTGAAAATGGACTAATACAATGGAGTTTCACCATGTTGCCCAGGCTGGTCTCAAACTCCTGAGCTGAAGCGATCCACCTGCCTCGGCCCCTCAAAGCGCTGGGATTACAGGTGTGAGCCACCACGCCCTGCCTGTTGTAACTAATTTAAAGGGATAGTTTCAAGTATAAAGGTTCAGTCTCTTTGATTAGGTAAACCGAGGACACCATAAATTTATTTGTCATTCAGCTGGTGTCTGTTTGGGGATGATTTTTGTATCTGATGACTGTGGGCCAGTGAAATTCAAGTATATTTATTGTCACCTTAATATCTAGTTATATTGCAAAGAAAAAGGCATTAAAACAGAATGTGGATTATCAAAATATTATAGGAAAAGCACAAAATAAATTTGTAGTTAGCCTAATTGGGTTGTTATCTGAACATAGATTGTCCTGTGCTGAATTGTTTAGTACTATGCAAATTATATGAGACTTTCCTGTAAAAGACATAAGAAACTGAGGAAACTCAAAGAGTTGACATTAAACTATTTAAGATTCTTTTACAGACTACATCAGAATCCTGGTGGAGTTTAGTGGTTTTAAATCTAGTGGTCAAGTCTTTATTGTGACTTTGGATAACAGAGCTCTGTTTTGCGTGCTTGATGAGTGGTTTGTGGAAAATACTTAGTAACTACATATAAGGAAAGTAGTTTCATTTTGGGGGAACAGAATCTTGATATGATTGTGTGGTCATTAAAAAGAATCTTTTGGTTTTCTTGAGGGTCAGTAATGGTAACAATTCTCATTTGTGTGCTGCTTATAGTTCATTAATTTTTTTTTTTTTTTTTTGAGACAAGGTTTGTCGCCCAGGCTGGAGTACAGTGGTAAGATCATAGCTCACTGCAGCCTCAAACCCCTGGGCTCAAGTAATTCTCCTACCTCAGCCTCCTGAGTAACTGAGACTACAGGTTCATGCCACCATCTTGGCTAGCTTTTTAATTTGTTTTTGTAGAGAGGGGTTCTCGCTATGTTGCCCAGGCAGTTCTCGAACTCCTGGCCTGAAGTGATGCTTCTGCCTCAGCCTCCCGAAGAGCTGAGATTATAGAGCCACCAAGCCCACTCACTGCTTATAGTTTAGAAAACACTGTTTTACAAACTTGTTCAACCTTTATGACTACCTTATTATGTGCTACTAGTTTTTCTAGGCAATATGTTACCTATTAATTAAAATATTTGCTTAAATGCATTTTATTTTGGACATTAGAATAAAACATAATTAAACCTCAGATAGAATATGTAGGATTTTAATAATGTGAGGTTATCTAGCAGTGTCCTAAACATTGTAGTTTCTCTACCAGTAAGGTGTTGACGTACAACCTAGCCCACCTATTCTTGGCCCGTAGGGAGCAGATATCTGGTGTCTGGTCTTTCAACCACTTTCGTAGTAGAAAATAAATTAAAATTATAATACAATATTTATTATACTTACCATGGATTTAAGTAGCAGTAGGCCATGACAGGTAGGGCTGGTATATTTCCAGCCAGTTGGTATTAAATTAACACAAGTCATTATGCCTCCAAGCAGTATACAGTGTATGATATACATAACTCTTATTTTGGTGAGGAGGAGTATAAAAGTAATAACCCTGGACTCTGGAGGCCGGAATTTGATGCTTTAAAACTTTGTATAATGAAAATTTTAAACATTTACAGAACGAGAGAATAGGAGTATGAAATTGATACAGCCATCACTCGGCTTTCTCAGTTATTAATACTGTATTAGTCTGTTCTCACACTGCTAATAAAGACATACCTGAGACTGGATAATTTATAAAGGAAAGAGGTTTGATGGACTCACAGTTCCACATGGCTGGGGAGGCCTCACAATCATGGTGGAAGGTGAAGGAGGAGCAAAGGCATGTCTTACATGGCAGCAGGCAAGAGAGTGTGTGCAGGGGAACTCCCCTTTATAAAACCATCAGATCTCGTGAGACTAATTCACTATCATGAAAACAGCATGGGAAAGATCCGGCTCCATGATTCAATGACCTCCCACTGGGTCCCTCCCTCAACTCGTGGGAATTATGGGAGCTAGAATTCAAGATGAGATTTGGATGGGGACACAGCCAAACCATATCAAATACATAGCTAATTTTGTTTTATCTATACCTCCTATTTCCCTTAGATTATTTTGAAGCATGTCTAGAGATCATATATATAATTTCATCTTTAAATATTTCTATATGCATTCCTGAAAGATAAAAACTCTTTCAGAATACAAAAGTGAAAGTGGAATACAATGCCACTGCGAAAAAAATGTTCCCTTAATATTATCAAATAGTCAATGCACATTCTCATTTCTCTATTTTTTTTTTTAAAGAATACTGTTTTACTTGAATTGAGTTTTTAATAAGGTCCATACATTATGCCTGATTGTTATTTCTTTTGATTCTTTTTTGACCTATACATTCCTCTTCTATCATTATTTTCTCTTGAGACTTTTTGTTAAAGATATCAGGTCATTTTGTTGTGTAGTTTCCCCACACTCAGGGTTTTACTTACTGCATCCTAATGGTGCAATTAAAACAAACAAACAGGCCGGGCGCGGTGGCTCATGCCTGTAATCCTAGCATTTTGGAAGGCTGAGGCGGATGGATCATAAGGTCAAGAGATCGAGACTCTCCTGGCCAACATGTTGAAACCTTATCTCTACTAAAAATACAAAAAATTAGCCAGGCATGGTGGTGGGCACCCACAGTCCCAGCTACTCGAGAGGCTGAGGGAGGAGTATCACTTGAACTTGGGAGGTGGAGGTTGCGCCACTGCACTCCAGCCTAGCGACAGAGCGATACTGCGTCTCAAAACAATAAAACAAAAAACAAACAAACAAATAGCATTATTGAGGTATAATTAACCTAAGATAAACAACATATTACAAGTGCACAGTTTGGTGAGTTTATCTACATTGGCAAAACCATTACCCAAATTCAGATAATGAACGTCTCAATTGTCTTACCAGCTGGGCGTTCTACAATTCAATTTGATTTTGACACCACCTTAAGTTAGCAGAGACCCCCTCCCCACTGCTAGGTTAAGGGCTCATTCCCACAAGACTGCCCCAATTCAGATGCCAGCTAGGAATGGGGTTCCCAGTCTCCCATACTTCTGCCTGGCTGACCACAAATTCACGGGCTCCCATGACCATCCTCTCCGGTGTGCTGTGTCACTAGAACAACTCACAGAACTCAGGAAAATGCTATCCTTATGATTAGTTTTATTATGAAAGATGCAACTCAGGAATAGCAAAATGGAAGAGGTACATGGTGCAGGGTCTTGCAGGGAGGGGTAGAGAGCAGAGCTTCTGTGCCCTCTCTGAGTGCACCACCTTCCCATCTCATGATGTGTTCACCTGGAAGCTCTCCAAACTCTTCAAGAGTTTTTAAGCAAAGTAGGCTTGATTGCAGAAAGCTTTGGGTGTTGGTGACAGAACTCAATCCCCAGCCTCCCTGAGGTCAGGGGATAAGGGTGAAAGTCTTAACCCTCTAGTCACACTTTTGCTTCCTCTGGCAACAAGCCCCCATATTGAACTATCTAGAAGCCCACCAAGAGTCAGCTCATTAGCATAAACTCAGGTATGGTTGAAAAGGGCTCCTTAGGAATAAAAGACACTCCTATCAGGAAATTTCAAGCGTTTTTGGAGCTCTGTGTCAGGAACCAGAGACAAAAACTAAATATATTTTTTATTATACCACATGCACCATCCTTAAAAGTTTGCTCCTGCCTCTTTGTAATCAAACGTTGTGTACTTTTTTGGGGGGTCTGGCTTCTTTAAATCAGCAGTTATTCTGAGATCCATCTGGGTTTTTAAATGTATTCATAGTTCATTCATTTTATTGCTGAGTACTGTTTCATTATAGTGATATGCATATTTACTTACCCATTGTGGCTATTGTGTTGCTTCCAGCTTTTGACCATCACAGATAAAGCTGCTGAGAATATCCATGTATAAATATTTGTATGGATATATGCTTTCATTTCTCTCAGGTAAAATACCTAAAAATGGAATGGATTTATCAAATGGTAGGTGTAGTTTAACTTTACTCTCTAAGAAGCTGCCAAAGTGTTTTCCAAAGTGTGTGCTTCATTTGACATTCCCACTAGCAGTGTATGAGAATTCCAGTTACTCCATATCCCTCCCAACATTTAGTATGGTCTTTTGTAATTGTAGCCACTCTAATAGGTATGTAGTGGAATCTTCTTGTGATTTTAATTCGCCTTTTCCTAATGACTAATGATGTTGAACAACTTTTCATATGCTTATTTGCCACCCACATATCTTCTTTGAAGTGTCTATTCAAATCATTTGCCCATTTTTTATTAGGTTATTTTCTTATTCTTGAGCTTTAAAGCGTCTTTATTTATGTTGGGTACAGATCTTCAATTGGATAGATGGTTTGCCAGTGTTTTCTCTCGGCATGTGGCTTGTCTTTTCATCCTCTTAAGTGTCTTTTCAGGAGCAGCAGTTTTTAATTTTGACGAAATTAATTTATCAGTTTTTCTCTTATTATTCATGTTTTTGCTCTCATGTCTAAAGTCTTTGCTTGAACTAGTCACAAAGTTTTTTTTTATATTTTCTTTGAGAACTTTTATAGTTTTAGGCTTTATATTTAGACCTATGGTCAATCTTGAATTACTTTTTAGAAACAATAATTGCAGCTTTAATTTTAGATTTAAGGGGTACATGTGCAGGTTTGTTATGTGGGTGTATTGTGTGATGATGAGGTTTGGGGTATGACTGATCCCATTGCCTAGTTAGTGAGCACAGTATCCAGTAGTGTTTCAACCCTTGCTCCCTTCCCTCCCTCCCCCGCCATTCATCCCTGGTATCCAAATCCAGCAGCACATCAAAAAGGTTATGTCCATGAGTACCCAGTGTTTAGCTCCCACTTATAAGTAAGAACATGTGGTATTTGGTTTTCTGTTCCTGTGTTAATTTGCTTAGGATAATCACCTACCGCTGCATTCACATTGCTGCAAAGGACATGATTTCATTCTTTTTAATGGCAATATAGTATCCCATGGTGTATATGTACCACATTTTCTTTATCCAGTCCACCATTGATGGGCATGTAGGTTGATTCCTTGTCTTTGTTATTAATGAATAGTGCTGTGATGAACATATGAGTGCATGTGGTTTTTTTTTTTTCTTTTGGTAGAACGATTTATTTTCTTTTGGAAAGAAAATAAATATATTCAGTAATAGGATTGCTGGGTTGAATGGTACTTCTTTGTTAAGTTTTTTGGGAAATCTCCAAACAGCTTTTCACAGTGGCTGAATTAATTTACATTCCCACCAGCAGTGTATAGGCATTCCCATTTCTCCGAAGACTTGCCAGCATCTGTTTCTTTCTTTTCTTTTCTTTTCTTTCTTTCTTTTTTTAAATAATAGCCATTTGCCTGGAGTGAGATGGTATCTCATGGTGGTTTTGATTTACGTTTCTGTGATGATTAGTGATTTTGAGCATTTTTTCATATGTTTGTTGGTTGCTTGTATGTCTTCTTTTGAGAAGTGTCTGTTCATGTCTTTTGCCCATTTTTTAATGTAATTATTTGTTTTTTGTTGTTAAGTTCCTTATAGAATCTGGATATTAGACCTTTGTCAGATGCATAGTTTGTAAATATTTTCTCTCATTCTGTAGGGTGTCTGTTTACTCTGTTGATAGTTTCTTTTGCTGTGCAAAAGCACTTTAGATTAATTGGGCCCTACTTGTCAATTTTTGTTTTCTTTGCAGTTGCTTTTGAGGACTTTTTTTTGCATTTTTTGAGGACTTTTTTGTATATGGTAAAAGGTAGGGATCCAGTTTCAATCTTCTGCATATGGCTAGCCAGCTATCCCAGCACCATTTATTGAGTAGGGAGTCCTTTCTCTCTTATTTTTGTTGACTTTGTCAAAGATCAGATAGCTAAAGCTGCATGTGGCTTTATTTTTGGGTTCTCTCTTCTATTCCACTGGTCTGTGTGTCTGTTTCTGTATCAGCACTATGCTGTTTTGGTTACTGTAGCCTTATGGTATAGTTTGAAGTTGGGTAATATGATCCTCTAGCTTTGTTCTTTTTTCTTAAGATTACTTTGGCTATTTGGGCTCTTTTTTTATTCCATATTAATCTTAGAATAGTTTTTACCCATCCTGTGAAAAATGACATTGGTAGTTTGATAGCAATAGCATTGAATCTGTAGATTGTTTTGGGCAGCATGGCCATTTTTACAATATTGATTCTTCCAATCTATGAGCATGGAACGTTCTTCCATTTGTGTGTATGTATCATCTATGATTTCTTTCATTGGTGTTTTGTAGTTCTACTGGTAGAAAAAAGTCAAGGAGGAGGGACTCCTCCCTAACTCATTCTGCAAAGCCAGTATTACCCTGATGCCAAAACCTGGCAAAGACACAGTGAAAAAAGAAAACTACAGGCCAACATCCCTGATGAACACAGAGGCAAAAATCCTCAACAAAATACTAGCAAACCAAATCCAGCAGCACATCAAAGAGGTTAATTCATCATGATCAGGTAGGCTTCATTCCTGGGAGGCAAGGTTGGTTCAACATATGCAAACCAATAAATGTGATTTACCACATAAAAAAATTAAAAACTGGCCCGGTGCAGTGGCTCACGCTTGTAATCCCAGCACTTTGGGAGGCTGAAGCAGGTGGATCACGAGGTCAGGAGATCGAGACCATCCTGGCTAACATGGTGAAACCCTGTCTCTACTGAAAATACAAAAAATTAGCCGGGCGTGGCGGTGGGCACCTGTAGTCCCAGGTACTCGGGAGGCTGAGGCAGGAGAATGGCGTGAACCCAGGAGGCAGAGCTTGCAAGTGAGCTGAGATCGCGCCACTGCACTCCAGCCTGGGCAACAGAGCGAAACTCCATCTCAAAAATAAATAAATAAATAAAATAAATAAATAAAAACAAAACCATATGATCATCTCAATAGACGTGGAAAAAGCTTTCAATAAAATCCAGTACGCTTCATGTTAAAAATCCTGAACAAACTAGATATTGAAGGGACATACCTCAAAATAATAACAGCTATCTATGACAAACCTAAATACAATATCATATTGAATGAGCAAAAGCTGGAAGCATTCCCCTTGAGAACTGGAACAGACAAGGATTCTCATTCTTGCCACTCTTATTCAACATAGTACTGGAGCAGTCAGGCAAGAGAAAAAATAGAAGGCATCCAAATTGGAAAAGAAGGAGTCAAACTGTCTTTCTTTGCCGATGATAATGATTCTATACCGAGAAAACCCTAAAGACTCTGCCAAAGACTCCAGGAATTGATAAACGACTTCAGGAAGTTTCAGGATACAAAATCAATGTACAGAAATCAGTAGCATTTCTATACACCAATAACGTTCAAGCTGAGAGCCAAATTAAAATGCAGTCCCATTTACAGTAGCTGCACACCCACAAAATACTTAGGAATACATCAAATTACTTTTTGTGTGTAGTATTAGACAACCAGCCACATTCTTTGAGCTAAAAATAAAAACATGCAAGATATTAAAAATACAAATAGGGACTGAATAGTACAGTGAAGAAAATTACAAGTAGAACATAAGGGAATAGTCAAGAATTGTAGGAAAAAATAAAAATATAAGTACAGACTAGATTTCTCATGTTTAGGAAATTAGACTTTTTAAATAAATAAAAAATTGCCAGGCATGGTGGCTTGCACCAATAATTCCAGCCACTTGGGAGGCTGAGGTGGGAGGATCTCTTGAGGCCAAGAATTTAAGACCAGTCTGGGCAACATAGTGAGACTCTGTCTCCAAAAAAAAAAATAATAATTACTGGGTGTGGTGGTGTGCACTTACAGTTTCTGCTACTCAGGAGGCTGAGGTGGGAGGATGGCTTGAGCTCAGGAGTTTGAGGCCGCAGTGAGCTATGATCACACCACTGTACTCCAGCCTGGATGACAGAGCGAGACCCGCTTTGTATGTATGTGTGTATATGTAATACACATGTATACGTGTATATATATGTATAAAATGTTCTACTTCAAGGAAGATGATTACATGAAGGTATATAAGAACCACCACCACCAACCACCCTCTACAAGAAGGGAAGAGTAAAAATCATATCATGGTAGGAATTGTATGGAAAAACTGGAAAGTCAGAATGGAATAGGTAGTACATTGCTAAATTTGTTGATTGTTTTAGAATGCTTCTGGAACACTTCTTCAAGAGTATTCATGGGGAAAAATGAGAGTCGTGGGTAGGTAGGTGAAAAACCAGTTGTCATTCATGAAATGTTGGATGAATCAAATAAATGAGGGCTTTTAATTTACTAAAGAAAAAGATTGCTGTTCTTCAAAAAGAAGTAATGTGATCTATGAATAGAGTTTAGACTCAATTGAACTATTCTGCTTCAATCAAGAAAATATTTGACAATATGAAAAGTGAGAGATGAAGAACATTTTAATATCTAGTTTTTACTTTTATATTACTTGCATTTTAAACATCTATTTGAAAATGTTAATAAATTAGCAATTTCAAAAAAATTTAAAATTATCATTTGATTTATTCCCTCAGAACTTTGAGACAGGAGAGTACTATGAGTGACTTCTCATAGCTAGGTATAATTAAATGCAGGGGCAAGCAACTGGCTATTCTATGCACTGTTACAATTAGTGATAGGCCATCCCTGGCAGAGTCTTAGCATGTCTTGTAACTTGTTTGAAAAATAAACCCTTCCTCTTCATTCATATCTTTATTGAGACTCATAATTTACTTGATACTTACCATGGCTCAAGTGCTGGACTTATATTCACAGAATTTAACTAATCATGGCACTTGATTCATGATACTCTCTCATTATTAATTTATGCATGGCCTTCTTTATTTTGTAGGCATTGAATCATTCATTAATTCATTTTAAATAATATTATAAGCACTTATAGTACCAGCATGAGAACAAGGATACTGAGAATAATTTCCTTCTACTGTGAGTTCCTTCCCCATTCCATCTCCTGGCCTTGTGTTTCCTTTCCTCCTTCTCCCTGTAGGCAGCCACTCATTATGAATTACACATTACACACTTCCCTGCCTTTCAGAAATGTATGGTTTTATTACATACATGTATTTCTATAGATTATATTTTTAGTTTTGGATTTATAATTAGGGTCTCATGCTCTGTGTCTGAAAGTTGTGGGACAATATCAAATGTTCTAACATGTGAGTAAGTGAAATATCAGAAAGAGAAGAGAAAGAGCCGACTAAAAAAATATGCAGAGAAAATGGCTGAGAATTTTCCAAAATCAGTGAAAGATAGAAAGTTGGGAAGGGTAGGAGAAAGGGTGGGGAAGGAAGAAATTTGTTAAAGGATATAAAATTACAGCTAGATAAGAGAAATACATTCTAATGTTCTATAGCACTGTAGGATTACTATAGTTAACAATAATACATAATTTCAAATAGCTGGAAGGAGAACATTGAATGTTCCCATCACAAAGAAATGACAAATGTTTGAGATAATGGGTATGCTAATTACCCTGATCTGATCACTATGCATCGTATGTATCAAAATATCACAGTGCGCCCCATGAATATGTACAATTATTATGTGTCAGTTAACAAAGTTAAAAAAATGTTCAGAGAACCCCAAGCAGGGTAAAGGTAGGGAGAGAAAGCATACCTCTAGATGCATTATAGTTAAACTACTGACCAACAATAAAGAGAAATTCTTAAAGAAGCTAGATAAAGAAAGGCAGCCGGATTAAAACAAAATGTATGTACAGAGGAATAAAGATAAAAATTATAGCACAATTCTTATATAACCTATGCACGCAGAAGACAGTGGAGTGACATCAAGTGCTGAGAGAAAACAAAACAAACCTGCCAACCTGGGATCCTATACCCAATAACAATATCTTTCAAAACTAAAGGCAAAACAAAGACTTTTTAGACAAACAAGAGCTGGGAAAATTCATTGCTAGTTAACCTGCACTACAAGAGATGGAGGAAGTGTGTTGGGCAGAAGGTGTATGGTACCAGGTGACATTTGGATCTCCACAAAGAAATATAGAGTACCTGCAGTAATGTAAAAGCCATCGAATGTAAAGACATTGCATGTCTAAAGCCAAAACAATGCAAATATATTATGAGATTTAGAACATGTAGGAATAAAGCATATGACAATAATAGCACAAATCATAGACAGGACATGGAAATGTAAAATGTTATTTAGAGGTAGACTATGGTAAGTAAAAATGTGTATTGTAAACCCTAGAGCAACCCCTAAGGAAAAAAAGAAAGAAAAGAGTTAAAATAATCTAGGAGGGGAGATAAAAATTGAATCATAAGAAGAAGGCAAGAAAAGAGGAAAACAGGAACAAAATACAGACAAAAGCAGGTTCAGTGTTATTAAGATGGCAGTTCTGGTCCTGGCTTGGTGGCTCACGCCTGTATCCCAGCACTTTGGGAGTCTGAGCCGGGAGGATCACTTGAGCCCAGGAGTTCAAGACCAGCCTGGGCAACATGGTGAGACCCTGTCTCTACAAAAAAAATTTTAAAAATTAGCTGGGCACAGTGGCATGCACCTCTCTTCCCAGCTACTTGAGAGTCTGAGGTGAGAGAATTGCTTGAGCCCAGTAGGCCAAGGCTGCAGTGAGCCATGATCTCATCACTATACTCCAGCCTGGGCAACAGAGAGACCCTGTGCGAAAAACAAAAAGGTGGCAATTCTTCCCATATTGATCCATATTGATCTATAGATTTACTGCAGTCCCTTTTGAAATCCAAGCAGAATAGGCAACACAATTTTGAAAACAGAACAGAGAGAACTTAGACTGGTTTGACCACTTCCTGTAGAGCTGTTGTCATCAACATGGTGCTACACTGGCATAAAGAACATAGATAATGGAGCAGAATATGGAGGGGAGAAATCCTCACATTTACAGTAATTGATTTTTGAAAAAATGCCAAGACAATTTAGTGGGGGAAATGATAGGAATTTCAACAAAATGATGCTAGAAAAATTGAATGTCCATATGCAAAAACAAAGACAAAAACAAACCAAAATCCCTTAGATATTTATCTCCTACCATACTCCCAGAATAACTCAAAATTGATCATAAATCTGCATTTGTGAGCTAAAACTATAACACTTCTGGAAGAAAGCATAAGAAAAAGTTTTTGTGACCTTGGGTTAGGCAAAGAATTCTTAGCTATGACACCATTAAAGAAAAATATTGATAAATTGGGTTTAATCAAAAATTTAAAACTTGTCCTTTAAAGACACCACTAAGCAAGTGCAAAGACAAATTATAGACTCTGAGAAAATATTTGAAAATCACATATATGCCAGGTGCAGTGGCTCATGCCTGTAATCCCAGCATTTTGGGAGGCTGAGGTGGGCAGATCACGAGGTCAGGAGATCAAGACCATCTTGGCTAACATGGTGAAACCCCGTCTCTACTAAAAATACAAAATATTAGCCGGGCGTGGTGGCGGGTGCCTATAGTCTCAGCTACTCGGGAGGCTGAGGCAGGAGAATGATGTGAACCCGGGAGGCGGAGCTTGCAGTGAGCCGAGATCATGCCACTGCACTCCAGCCTAGGTGACAGAGCGAGACTCTGTCTCAAAAAAAAAAAAAAAGAAAAGAAAAAAGAAAATCACATATATAATAAATAACTTGTATCCAGAACATATAAAGAACTCTATGAATATTAAGATACCAGTCCTCCTCAAATTGGCCAAATATTTGAATAGCCAGTTCACTACAGAAGATACATGAATAGCTAATAAGCACATGAAAAAATGCTTATTATTACTCATTAGGGAAATGCAAATTAAAACCACAGTGCGATGCTACTTCACACCCACCAAAATGGCTAAAATAAAAACTCAGAAAATAAGTATGTTCAAGGAGAAACAGGAATTCTGTGTTGCTGATGGGAATCTGAAAGGTATAGCCACAACAGAAGGTGGTTTGGCAGTTTTTAAAAAAGTCATACTAAAACATATTTACCATATGATCTAGCTAATTCACTTACCTGTATCTACCTAACAGAAGTATGCAGATTCTTTAAGTACTTCAATTAAAAGAGATCATCAGGTAGGGTGAAAAAGCAAGATCCAGCTATACAGTCAGCTGCCCATATCTGTGGGTTACAGTCAGCTGTCCATATCTGCAGGGTTTTTTTTTTTTTTTTTGAGATGGAGTCTTGCTCTGTCACCCAGGCTGCAGTGCAGTGGCATGATCTCGGCTCACTGCAACGTCCGCCTCCCAGGTTCAAATGATTCTCCTGCCTCAGCCTCCTGAGTAGCTGGGATTACAGGCAACCGCCACTGCTAATTTTTGTATTTGTAGTAAAGACAGGGTTTCACCATGTTGTCCATGCTGGTCTGGAACGTCTGACCTCAGGTGATCCACCTGCCTCGGCCTCCCAAAGTGCTGGGATTACAGGTGTGAGCCGCCGTGCCTGGCCATGTCTGCAGGTTGCATCTGGGTATTCAACCAACTACGCCTCAAAATATTTGGAAAGAAAGAAACAATGAGAAATAACAATACAACAGTAAAAATACAAATAAAAACCAATACAGTATAACAACTATTTACATAGCATTTACATTGCATTAGGTCTTATAAGTAATCTAGAGATGATTTAAACTATTCAGGAGGATGTGCATAAGTGCTCTGTAGATACTACCCCATTTTATATAAGGGACTTGAGCATCCTAGGATTTTGGGATCCGAGGCGGGTCCTAGATAGAACTCATGGCTTGTATACCAACGGATGACTATCTGTTGTAAACTGGAAACTTATTTTAAATGTGAAGATATAAATCCTTAAAGGTAAAAAGATAGACAAATATAATACTGTATAAGCACTAACCAAAAGAAAGCTGGAATGACTTGATTAATATCTGATAAAATAGACTTAACAAAGATTATAAACAGGCATTAAAAAGGTGTATTTCATAATGATCATGGGGTTATTTCACCATGGAAGCACAACATTGTTCTTAAATATTCATGTACTTAACAACAGAGCAGTAAAACATAAAACAAAAACAGAATTGAAAAGAGAAATAGATTCACAATTTTAGTTGACGGTTTCAACACTCCTCTCTCAGTAATTTATAGAAAAAGTAGACAGAAAATCCATAAGGATATAGAAAAATCTAAGCAACACTATCAACCAACTTGACCCAGTTGGTGTTTATGAATCAGTCTATCCAACAGCAGCATACACATTCCCTTTAAGTGTACGTGAACTACTCAAAACAGTAGATCATATTCTAGGCAATAAAACACATATCAACAAATCATAAAAGAACTGAGTTATTCAAAGTGTGTTTTCTGACCATGAAAGAATTAAAGTAAAATTTAATAACAGAAAGATAACTGGAAATCTCCAAGTATTTGGAAATGAAGCAACACATTTCTAAATTACTCATAGGTCAAGGAAGAAATCTCAAGGGAAATTAGAAGATAATTAGAATAGGATGAAAATGAAAGTAGAATATATCAATATCTGTGAGATGCAGTTAAATCGATGCCTAGAGGGAATTTTATAATTTTAAATGGTTACATTAGAAATAATTTAAATTCATTGATCCAACTTCTTAAGTTAGAAAAGAAGCAATGAAGACAATACAATGTGTACATAAGGATAGATGTACAGATCAATGCAACAGGATGGTCCAGAGATAGACCTGCACATACTTAGTGTTGAACCAACAAAGGTGCCAAGATAATTTAATGGAGAAAAAGAAAGAAGGAAGTCTTTTCAACAAGTAATACCAGAACAATGAAATATTATACAGAAAAAAAAGAACTTTGATTTCTACCTTGTACTCTACACAAAAATTAACCTGAAATGGATATTAGACCATATTTGTGTTTACACAAAAGCGAAAACTTTTAAACTTGTGAAAGAAAATATAGCTTACAGTCTTCATGACCTTGAGGCATGAAAGACTTCTTAGGACAGACTGTCCATCAAAGAAATGTCAATAAATTGGAACTCATCAACTAAGCACCTCTGCTCTAAGAAGGACTCCCTGAAGAAAATGAAGAGCTGAGGTGCTCACTGGGAGAAAATCTTAGCATCACATAAATCTGACATAGGACTTATTTCTGGACTAAATAAAGAAGTTGTACAACTGAATAATACAACTCAATTAAAAGGTAGAAAAAACATTTGTCTACACACCTCTAAAAAGAAGAGAGGAGGATTCCAATAATCATGTACAAACATGCTCAACGTCATTATTCATTAGGGAAATGCAAATTAAAATACAAAGTACAATAAAATACTACTACACACCCAACAGAGTGGCCAAAATTTAAAAAGACTTACAACCCAAGTGTTGACAAGGATGTGGAACAACTGGAACTATCATACATTGTTGGTGGGATTGTAAAATGGTAGAACCAGTTTGTAATATAGTTCATCAGTTTTTAATAATGTTAAATATGATTTTCCATATGACCAACAATTTCACTTCCTGGTGTTTACCTGTGAAAAATGAAAACGCATGCCCATAAAAAGACTTATACATAGATATTTAAAGCACCTTTATTTATAGAAACAACCCAAATGTCTGTCAACAGATGGCTGGGTAAACAAATTGTGGAATATTCATACAATGGCATGCTGTTTGGCATTAGAAAGGAACGAAATACTTATGCACATAGCAATATGGATGAAGCTGTCTCATGTCAAACAAAAGAAGCCAGACACAACAGACAACATAGTGTGTAATTTTATTTTATATAAAATTCTAGAACTGGAGCATGAATCTATGTTATTAGAAAGCAGGTCAATAGTTGCCTGGATTCTAGAATATGGGGAGATTGATTTTAAAGGGGTGCTTTTTGGGGCAATGGAAATATCCTGTATCTTAAGATAGTAGTTACATAGGTGTATATGTTTGTCAAAAGCACATTTAACAATATACTTTCTTTTTGTTTTTGGAGACAGAGTCTCATTCTGTCCCCCAAGCTGGAGTGCAGTAGCACAATCTTGGGTCACTGCAACATCTGCCTCCTGGGTTCAAGTGATTCTCCTGCCTCAGCCTCTCTAGTAGCTGGGACTACAGACACGCACAACCACACCCAGCTAATTTTTGTATTTTTAGTAGAGGCGGGGTTTTACCATGTGGGCCAGAATGGTCTTGAACTCCTGACCTCAGATGATTCACTCGCCTCGGCCTCCCAAAGTGGTGGGATTACAGGCGTGAGGCACCTCGCCTACCTAACAATATACTTTAAGTGTGCATTTAATTGTATATAAATTTGCCTCAATTTGTTTTAAAAAGTAAAAAAAAAAGTAATGCTAAATTATTGTTCACTCCCACCATCAGTGGATAATAGAGATTCAATTTTCTACTTTTTCCATTTGGATAATCACTTTTGGGGTTCAGTTACTGAATAATCCATCCTTTCCCCATTTTTCTGACTTGCTACTTCTATTATATGTCAAAGTTGAATGTATGTGTGGTTCAGTTTCTGCACTGTCTTCCATTTCCTTGATTAGTTTGTTTATCCTGTCTTTATTATTTTAACTTTGTAATAAGCCCCAGTATCTTTATTCTCTTTCTTCAGAAGTGTTTTGGCTATTATTGATCCTGTATTTTTTGTATAAATTTTAGAAATAGCTTATTTATTTCTATGTTCTATGAAAAACCCTATTGGAATGTTAATGGGGATTATATTGATGTCATAGATAAATTTGGGTAGACTTCAAACTTTTACAGTATTAAATTTCTCTGTTTATCACTGTGGTATATCTTCCTATTTATTTAGATCCTCTTTAATGTCTCCCAATACAATTTGTAATTTTTCCCATCAAGTTCTTGCACATATTTTGAAAGAATAATTTCAAAGTATTTGATGTTTTTTATTTTATTGCAAGCTAAGTCTTTTAATTATGTTTTGTGCTGTATTGTTGCAGTATAGAAATATGATTTTAAAAATATTAATATATCTAGGGAACTTTTGCACTTGTTTTAGAAAGAAGCTCATTTATTGATGAGCAGAATTTGTGGTGGGGGGGCACAGGCATGTGTGGTGTGTACGTGTAGGGTGTGTGCTGTGTGCATGTGTTTGTGCGTGCAGACACATTTGTGAATATTTTGGAGAGCAGATATATTGAGGGTGGGTTTTCAAAACCCTGAAGTTATTTTCTGCAGTTGAGTTTCTGCGTGTTAAGGTTGGCCCTGTGTTGCAGGAGGGGATGGTGGCTAAGGCCATGAAGTTTCTGGCTTTTAGGCTGGTCTGCATTTCACGCAGTTGTGGCAAGAAGGGTCTCTTGTAAAGCTGATATGAAGTCAAGACATCCGTATCTCTTCCATCCTGGGGATGGTTACTCACGATGTAGGCTGTATTGTTAAAAATGTGTCACTCTTCCCTTCCAGTATCCGGAGTGTGATGCAGAAGTACCTTGCAGAGAGAAATGAAATAACCTTTGACAAGATTTTCAATCAGAAAATTGGTAAGTCCTGCTTGTTCATTTGGCATACGGTAATTTTAGTGATGAAATTGGGCGATACTATAGTAATATATGAATGCACCCCCTAGTGCTTTATATCCTCTATAGCTGTGGCTGGGAATAAAGGAAATTTCATGTAATTAATAAGGTATTTAATGATGACTTACATTCCTAGTAACATATTCTATGATTAAGCTCTTGGGAAATGGGTAATTCTAGGATTTTTACATGAACTCAGCGTTGCTGAATGTAAGAGAATAGGATATTCCTTTCTTTTCTTTGCGTCTTGCCTGCCTCGTGGTTACTGAGGTGGTTTGCTGGGGAGCTGTGTGTAATAGCTTTAAAATTATTTTATGGCTGGAGGAAATTACTTTATGAAAATTCCAAGAAATTAAAGTTCCCTAGAACTCAATTTGTGCTCTGTTTCCATGATTAATAGACATAGACTGATAGATCCCTTTAAGACTGCGTATTCTTCGAGATAATTCTGGGCTTGCCCTTTTGTTTGCTGATGAGGAGATGTAGACACAGGGAGGTGGAGTGACTTGTTCTGATTCCCAGTTCTCCTTCTTCTTTACTCCGATAATAAAATATTAACCAGTAAATAATAAAATAGTTACCAGTAGAAGCTGGTGCAGAAATCTTTGGATTTTTGTAAACCACTTTATCTGTTTTACGAAAATTAGCCTGTCTGTGAAGAGGTTCTTTGGTAGATACAGTTTCTTTGATCACGCATGAAGTACAGTGGGGAAAAGGTGGACGGAGTGGTTTGGAGAAGCAGATGACATTGGTCTGTCTGTGCCTGAGCACTGTGTGGAAAGTGATTGGTCTTTGCCATATAGAGATATTTCATCCTGCTCCTCAGGAGTTGGTTGGGGAACAGATAAGTTAAAAGAGTTTGGCTTTCATTTTGTTAGTTCTTACGGCTTCTCATTACTTTCATGGTGTGTGGTTACTATAAGCTACACAGATGTTCTCCTTTGCTTCTGATTTTGTGCTAAAAAACAAAATAAAACTCATGATAACAAGAGAGAGAAACTCTGTATCTCTGAGAGTGGAGGGAAAAAGGAATTATCTTTTTATTTGCTAGTTAAAAATTTTTTTAATTTATTTTTTGTGGATTTATTGAGGTATATTTCACATAGCATACAATCCACACATTGAAAGTAAACAGTTGAGTGACTTTTTGTGTATTCACCGTCATACAACCATCTGCACTGCCTAATTTTAGAATGTTTTTATCACCCCAAAAAGAACTTGTACCCATTAGCAGTCCTTCTGCCTTCTACCCTCCCTCAGCTCCCGGCAACCACGAATTGAGTTTCTGCCTCCATGGATTTGCTTGTGTTGGACACGCCACATGAAGGGAATCACACACTGTGTGTCCTTTTGCACTGGGCTTCTTCAGCATAAGGCCTTCAAGGTTCGTTCTGGTGGTTGTATGGATCAGAACTTCAGCCTGCTTTCCCTTCAGCTCTCATTCCAGTTTCTGAAATGCATCCAGGATTCTTCTTTTGTGTTTTCTGTTCTCTCTCCCTTCTGTAGCTCCTTTCCTGTCTACAGTCCCCGCAAACATACATACAGCCCCCCAAACATGTATTTTCCATAGCCTGGATTAAAACCTTAACTGACCCTGGCACCGGGAGACTCTGACCTGAGCTCCCAATGGCATTAGTGTGGCTGAGTATCTCAGTTGCACGGATTGTTCTCTGAGAGCAGTCTCACTGGGCGCTGATGGGCTGTGCATTTTATCTGAAGCTGTTAAACATTGTTTAAATAAATAATTTCTTCTGTTCCCTTCAATTCGTGACCTTGGATCTGGTCAGGAGAAGCTGAGTTTGAGCTTGGGAAGGTCATGGTCACAGGAAAGAAGAGCAGCTGATCGGAGGCTTAGGGAGAGCGCACACCACCATCTGTAATTACGTTTTGACGGAGCTGTCTAGTGTTGTTGGCCTGCTCCCCGTTTTTCTCTGTAGTAGTCTCACTTTCTGCCTGGTCTCAGGCATTGGGGGAGAGTGGAAGGTGGGCCATGGTGGGAGTAAATGTGTCTGACACTCCAGGTCTTCCTTTTCCAGGTTCCGTTTGCGCCTTCCATCACTGACTCCATGCGTTCCTGCCCTACTCTTTCCCTTCTCCATCTTTCCTTCCCTCTCCCCTCATTGTTTTGCTGGTCCTCTTGTTTTGTTTCACCCTCTGTCTGCCTACCCATCTGTTCCTTTTCCCTCTTTCCTTACCTCCCAAGGTCCCCGACACACAGGATCACCACAGGGCTTGGGAACTGCCCTCCAATGTGTGCTGTAGGCAATTGGTAAAAATGTTTTCAAAATGAAAACCATAGAAGTCTTTAATTTACTTGGCCTCTGAGGCATTGCCGAACTGGGAGATTGTTTGGCTACACCCTGAAGTGGTTGTTATTTCATTAATTTTTATCTATAAAAGTAGGGATAATAATAGTTCAGGTCCGTGAGGCTGTTGAGAGGGTTTAGCTGGTAATACACATGAAGCCCTTAACACGACAATTGGCTCTCAGCAGATGCTCAGTGAATAGAAGCAAATTGTTTATGTTAAAAATTTTCAACACACAGAAAAGTAGACTAGAATAATTAACCCCATATGTATGTATATGTATGTGTTTGTGTGTGTGTGTGTATATATATATATTTACATCACCTAGATTTGATACATTTCACCATTTTGCTATACTTTGTTTTCCCATCCCGTCTTTTTTTGTGGTTACTGAATTAACAAAGCAGTCACAGCGTTTTGTGCTATATGCATCTCTAAAAAGTATGCATGCTTTCTTATACAGCCGCAGTACCTTTATCCCAAACGTGAAATTTATCATGATTCTTAGTGTACTCTAATACCGAGTTTATTGTCAAATTTCTCTGATTAACTTAAAAATGTTTTTTTTTTTACTCTTGGTTTGAATCAGTATTCAAATACTGTTCTTGTATTGTAATTGATGATAATATTTCTTGTAATCTAGACCAGTTCCCCCACATTGCCCCCGCCAGCACATGCACAGGTAATTAACTTACCGAAGAAATTGGGTCCTGTGTGTTGTAGAATGTTCCACGTTCTGGGCTTTTCTGTCTGCTTCTTAATGGTATCATTTAAAAAATTTTTATTTATTTATTTTTTGGGACAGAGTCTTGCTCTGTCACTCAGGCTGGAGTGCAGTGGCACAATCTCTGCTCACTGCAACTTCTGCCTCCCAGGTTCAAGCAGTTGTTGTGCCTCAGCCTCCTGAGTGGCTGGGATTACAGGTGTGCACCACCATACCCAGCTAATTTTTTTTTTTTTTTTCAGTAGAGACACGGTTTCACTATGTTGGCCAGGCTGGTCTCAAACTCCTGGTCTCAAGTGATCTGCCCACCTCAGCCTCCCAAAGTGCTAGGATTACAAGCGTGAGCCACCATGCCCGGCCTTTAATGGTATCATTTAAATTGTACTTCTGTTTCCTACATTTCCTGTAAACTGAGACTTTGCTCTAACAGCTTAATGAGGTTTAGCTTCAGCTGCTTTTTGGTAGGAGCACTTTATAGGTGGTGCTGTGTACGTCGTAGCAGGAGGCACATGCCATTTAGGGTCTCTGTAGTCAGGTCTCTAAAGTGGGCTCAGATGTGGTCGGTGTCAGTTTCTCATTGACAATCATTGTCTAAATCAGTTATTTTATTAGGGATCAACTTAACTAATGTTAAGACACATAATTTCTATATAAGGATGAGGATAAAAGTAGCTGGCACTTAACCCCTTTCTTCTTAATAGTGGCAATTAAAAACAAAGAATGAAGTTTATTAGGGAGTTACAAAATGGTGAGTTTTCTAAATACAAGATTCCTTCTGCATTGATTACTTTTATTCCTCAATGGGAGGATATTTAGTTGCCTTTAAATATATTTTAATTAGAAAGGTACGTGTTCATGGTGCAGCCTCATGACCCTTGCCTCGTGGTGTTGCCCCCATGCGTAACATGGCTAAAAGAGATTCTGCAGGTGGAATTAAGATGATTGTCCGAGTGGGCTTAATCTACTCACATGTGCTCTTTAAAAGCAGAGTTTCCTCAGGCCAGCAGCAAGGAGGAAGTCAGAAAGATATGAAGCTCAGGAAAGATTCCACACTGTTGCTAGCTCTGCAGATGGAGGGCGTGTGGGTGCTCACTAGGAGCTGAGAGTGGCCCTGGCTGGCAGCAGCGAGGAAACAGCCACCTCCATCCCAAACCACAAAGCACAGAATTCCATCCATAACTGGAATGGGTTTGGAGGCAGATTCCTACTTGGAGCCTGTAGATAAGAACCCGGGCTGACCGACACCTTGAATTTGTCCTGGTGAGACCCTAAGCAGAGAATCCAGTGGAACCCACTCACACTTCTGACCTATAGAACTGTGAGATGATACGTGGGTGTTGTTTTCCAGTCACTAAGTTTCTGGTGACTTTTGACACATGAGAAAACTAATACAGCAGGCGAAATCTCCATTTGTTGTTTTTAATTGCCACTATTCAGAATAAAGGGGTTATGTGCCAGTTACTTTTATCCTTATCCTTATATAGAAATTTTATCTTAAGAAATATTAAGTTGATCCCTAACTTGCTGCCAGTAAAACTTACACATTTAGACATTGACACAGTATGTTTGGTTTTAAGGGGATACTGGTTATTGAATAGACAGGAAAATCATTGTATCAGTTATAGTTAAGATTCTTTTGTGACTATTTTTCTTCTTTAAGATACATTGAAATTGTAATTTCATCATATGAAGTGAGGCACATGGCATTTGATAAAGTCCATCTGTCTGTGGACAATCTACTTAGCTTCTCTGTCTGCAAGTTCACTCCTGTTAGAGGAGCATGTTTGAAACTATAAGAAGACTCCAAAACAGATCCTTTTTTTTTTTTTTTAAGACAGTCTTGCCCTGTTGCCCAGGCTGGAGTACAGTGGTACAATCTTGGCTCACTGCAACCTCTGCCTCACAGGTTCAAGCAATGCTCTTGCCTCAGCCTCCCAAGTAGCTGGGATTACAGTCATGTGCCACCATGCCCAGCTAATTTTTGTATTTTTAGTAGAGATGGGGTTTTGCCACGTTGGCCAGGCTGGTCTCAAGCTCCTGACCTTGTGATCTGCCCGCCTGGGCCTCCCAAAGTGCTGTGATTACAGGCTTGAGCCAATGTGCCCAGCCCCCAAATCGATACTTAATACATGAAGTATGTAAATGTCATTCTCATGTATAAAGAACGTGGTAATATAATATTATATCACATACTGCCATTAAAGGCATTTCATTTTATAATACTGGCTTCAGAACTCAATCCCCAGTTTGAATAGTAATCTTTTTCAATTTGTGTGAAATAATTTGGTGTCTGATATATAGACACAAAAACTTTGCAATTTTTACTTTTTTTTTTTTTTTTTTTTGAGACAGAGTCTTGCTCTGTCACCCAGGCTGGGGTGCAGTGGTGCGATTTTGGCTCACTGCCATCTCTGCCTTCCCAGTTCAATCACATCTCCTGCCTCAGCCTCCCGAGTAGCTGGGATTACAGGCACACGCCACCATGCCTGGCTAATTTTTGTATTTTTTTTTAAGGAGACACAGGGTTTCACCATGTTGGCCAGGCTAGTCTCAAACTCTTGACCTTGTGATCCACCCACCTCGGCCTCCCAAAGTGCTGGGATTACAGGCGTGAGCCACCTCACCCAGCCCTGCAATTTTTACTTTTTAAAAAATGACTTGTCCAGGTGTGGTGGCTCATACCTGTAATCCCAACACTTTGGAAGTCTGAGGCAGGAGGATCACTTGAGGCCAGACGTTTGAGACCAGCCTGGGCAACACAGTGAGACCCTATCTGTATAGAAATTTAAGAATAAAATTAGCTGGATGTGGTGCTGCATACCTGTAGTCCCAGCTACTCAGGAGGCTGAGGTGGGAGGGTTTCTTAAGCCTTGGATTTCGAGGCCTTAGTGAGTCGTGATCGCATCACGGCTGTCCAGCTTGGGCAAAAGAACGAGACTCTGTCTCAAAAAACAACTCTCAAAATGCAAAACTACTATATACCATTCACCCATTGTAAATGTATTATGTGATGATTTTGGTAAATTTCTACAGTTGTGCCCCCGTCACCACAATACAATTTAAAAACATTTCCATGCCTCCAAAAGATCCCTCCTGCCCATTTGTCGTTACTCTGCTCCCATCCTCAGCCCCAGACAAACACTCATCTGTCTGTTTCTATCTGCCTTTTCTAGACATTTCATAAAAATGGAATTATACGGTATAAAGTCTGTAGTCTCTTGCATCTGGCTTCTTTAACTTAGCATAAGGTTTCTGAAGTTAATCCATGTCGTTGTGTGTATCTGTACTTCATTCCTTTTTGTTGCTAAATAGCATTCCATATTATGGACAGAGCACACTTTTTTTTTGTTTTTTGTTTTGAGATAGAGCCTTGCTGTGCTACCCAAGCTGGAGTGCAGTAGCTCGATCTCTGTTCACTGCAACCTCCGCCTCCTGGGTTCAAATGATTCTCGTGCCTCAGCCTCCTGAGTAGCTGGGATTACAGGTGCATGCCACCACACCCAGCTAATTTTTGTATTTTTAGTAGAGACAAGGTCTCACTATGTTGCCCAGGCTGGTCTCGAACTCCTGACCTCAAGCCATCTACTCACCTCAGTCTCCCAAAGTGCCGGGATTACAGGCATGAGCCACGGTGTCCGGCCTACAGAGCACACTCACTTCATTCAGCAGTTGATGGGCATTTGGATTATTTCCACTTTTTGCCTGTTTATAGAGCAGTTATTGCCACTTTTTGCTTGTTTATAGAGCAATGCTACCATAAACATTTGTGTACAAGTATTTTATGGACATATGTTTTCATTTCTCTTGAGTCTTTACCTAGGAGTGGAATTGCTGGGTTGTATGGCAAATTTGTGTTTAACTTTTTAAGAAATTACCAAATTGCTTTTCAAAGTGGCTGTACTGTTTTACATTCCCACCATCAATTTATGAGCATTCCAGGTTTACTATATCCTCACCAATACTTGTTGTTACCCGTCTTTTTTGTATCCATTTGAATGGATAGGAAGTGGTATCTTGTTGTGGTCTTGATTTGTGATTCTCCAGTAGTTAATGATATTAAACATGTTTGTGCTAATTAGTTATTTGTATATCTTCTTTAGTAAAATGTCTACTTAAATCTTTTACCCATCCTGAAATTTGGATTGTCTTTATGTTATTTGTTGTTTATGTATGATTTACAAATGTTTTCTTCTGGTTGGTGGCTGGAATCCAGTCTCTTTCATTTTCCTAATGGTGACTTTTGAAGCACAGGTTTTATTTTTGAAGTCCAATTTATACATTTTTTTCTTTTATGACTCATAGTTTAGTGTCTTTTTTTTTTTTTTTTTTTGAGATGGAGTCTCACTCTGTCACTCAGGCTGGAGTACAGTGGTGCAATCTGGGCTCACTGAAACCTCCACCTACCAGGTTCAAGTGATTCTCCTGTCTCAGCCTCCAGAGTAGCTGGGATTACAGGAGCACACCACCACACCCAGCTAATTTTTTATATTTCAGTAGAGACGGGTTTTCACCACATGGCCCAGGCTGGTCACGATCTCTTGAGCTCAGGCAATCCACCCGCCTCGGCCTCCCAAAGTGCTAGGATTACAGGTGTGAGCCACCAAGCCCGGCCTTTAGTGTCATATTTAAGAGCTTTTTGCCTAACAAATTTGCAAAGGTTTTCTTCTGTTTTTCTTCTAGTAGTTTTATTGTTTTAGCTCTTATATCTTGGTCTGTGGTCGAATTTGAGTATATTTTTGTCTGTGGTGTAAAGCAAGGTCTAAATCTATCTTTTTTGCATGTGGATATCCGATTTTGTGTTTCTCATTAAATTTGTTCCCAAGTATTTTAATCTTTTTGATGCTATTGTGAATGGAATTGTTTTATTTATTTTAATTTTGGTTGTTCATTGCAAGTACATGGAAATAGAATGAGTTTTTTTGTAGTGATCTTGTATCCAGTGATCTTCCTGAATTAGTTTATCAGTTCTAGTAAGGTATGTCTGCATGTGTGTGTGTGTTTGTGTGTGTGTGTGTATTCCTTAGAATTTTTTATGTATTGAATCCTATCTGAATAAAAAGAGTTTTACTTCTTTGTTTCCAGTCTGGTGTCTTTTATTTCCTTTCAGTTTTTACTTTTCACTTTAATTTCTTAAATGTTTTTTAAGTTGGTCTCAAACATATTTAGCATGATATCAAAGAACATTTACCTAGAAATAATACATAAATTATATTTGACATTTAGGGCCAAGGCATAAGAAATGTACTTGCTGTGGGCTTTGAAAGCAAAGTGTATGTTTCATTATAAAAAGAATACATTGATAAAAACAGAAACTACTACCTCTAAAAGTTAAAAAAAAAAAAAATCTGAGCAGTTTCTATAATAATAAAGATGGATGTAGATAGACCACAGATGCTTATTTTAAAAATTTGGTAATTATTAAAAAAAACCCCAAAATACTAAAAAACAAACTAAAACATTTTAGGATCACTTTTTTGTCAGTTTCAATGAATAAACTTGCCACTCGATTTCATCATTTGTAAAATTATTGCTTGACATGTTTAATATCTAAAATATAACATAGATGGTTAAAAGCTGAAAACATGTATAAGTCAGCAGCTTTGGATTCAAAAGTTGAGGTTAAATTACAGCAAATAGAGCCGTCTTGCATAAGGTTGTAGAGAGGGAACTGTTATCCTGGGAACCAACTTCAACTTTGTTTTCCTCTGTGTTCCTACCTTTGTTTGGAAGTGTTTGTTTCTGTCACAGTGAAGGGCCTCCCCTGACAGATCCCCTGATTGACAGTGACACAGTCAGTTCCCACCCTGCCTTATCTGTAAGAGTTCTCTAGCCAGAGCAACCACAGCCTCAGAGAAGAAAAACCTGGGGCCCTATTCAATTCTGCATCCATTATCCATGCCTTTGTGGAGACTTTTCCTGAGGGAAAGAGTTAAAGAGGCACGTAAACTTTCAAACAGCAGAGACCAACAGTGGACTAAGCACAGCGAATTGGATTTTCTGTTGAAGAGGCAGTGCAGTGGCCGGGTTCAGGCAGTAACGGGAGCCTGGGGGACTTAGGGTCACAGCCTCTGCACAGTTTCAACTTGGGTTTCCTAATAAAAATGCTGCCCAGAGAGGAAAGACACTAGGGTAGAGGAAAAGCTGTTTCTTACAAACCTACTGGCAAGTCCGTCTTCTTTTCAGCTGACTTCATCACCTGTGTTGGACTAAACAAGTCTGGGCATCAGCTCCTGGTGCTGGAGTCTGCCTGGGCTGGGAGCCGCCACATGCCCCCGCAGTGCAGCCTCTGCAGCTCTGAACATTTGGGACATCTGAGCATTTTGGGTTAAAAAGGATAAAAAGAGGAGAAAAAGGCTAAACCAGTTCTATGGGAAAATTTGGTTGTCTTCTTTTTTTTTTTTTAAACCCAGCTTAGTAGGGCTGGTTTTCCTTCTTAAAATTATCATTCAAGTTCAAAGACCAGCCATAATTATCATCGCCCCACCCAAAAAAAAATTCAGAAAAGCTACATTTTACTGGAAAAGCACAATCCTTTAATATCTACTAATCACTAGAAACTATAGGAGCACTGATTTGCCAGCTAGCAAATGTATTATCTTTTTTTTAATGTTATTTATTTATTTTTTGAGACGGGTCTCATTCTGTGGCCCAGGCTGGAATGCAGTGGTACACTCTCAGCTCACTGCAGCCTCAACCTCCTGGGCTCAAGCAGTCCTCCTGCCTCAGCCTCCCGAGTAGCTAGGACTACAGGCACAGGCATGCGCCAACATGCCTGGCTAATTTTTGTATTTTTTGTAGAGATAAGGATTTGCCATGTTGCCCAGGCTGATCTTGGACTCCTGGGCTCAAGAGATCCACCCACCTCAGCCTCCCAAAGTGTCGGGATTATAGGTGTGAGCCACTGTGCTCGGCCATCTATTATCTGCTAAATTTTTACTGCTTAATTTTCCCAGAGCTCTTCTGAGTGTGTGATTGGAATACTATTAGTCCATAATTGGATTTACTATTAGTTTAAGACAGTGATGCTACCTGTGTACTAGACACTTCAGTGAGTATTTTATGTGCTGGTAAAATATGATCAAGCTTGCACAACTCCCAGGTGGCAGAGCCAGAGTTGGAAGTCATGTGCTTTTTCTGCCTATAACCAGCAAAATTTAGTGTGGAAATTAGCATGCATATGAAGTTCTTTAAAAAAATGACATATCAACTGTATAATTTTTATTTCCTATATAATAATACTAAAATCCAGGATTTGGCAGCTGTGCACAAAGATCTCTCTGTAGCTGGTCTACTTTATGTGCTTTGCTGAAGGGGACATTCAATCAAATATATTTGAGTCCTTCACTGGGAATGTCTCTTTAAACAAAAAGGCACATGGAGAAGACTAAGACAGAAGGCTCCCATCCCTAACCAGCTCACCCTGCAAAAGATGGACAGCAAAATGTGTGTGGAAGTGCACAGACCTCTGACATTCCAGTACTGAACAGTTGTTAAGTGTGTTTACTATCGCCAAGCAGCCCCTGAGATTCCCAGAAGAGCCTACTGGTCATTTTCCTGAGGCACGAATTTAAATCCTAAAGCAAACGTGGGGAAGTTATTCTCTTAGCCAAGAGGTAAGCCTTGCTGATCAGCCAGCCTCTGCAGCTAAACTCAACTTTGTAGCTCTCTCTCTGCCAGTGTCCACGTATTTTCGGAAAAAAAAATTATATGCTCTGTCAATATTAGCAAATGTGGGATCTTAATTTATGTTGCTAGAGAATGCCAAGGACCTATGAAACAGCACCTCTGCTGGAAAAGTTCTCTGTAAACTTTTTGAACTGACAGTGGGGGACGATGGGGCTGTTTTAGGATTTTAAGAGCCCTCAATTGGTTTTGAAATTCAAGGTGGTGCTGCATTGTCATAATATCTTCTGGTTTTAGATTTTTTTGGAGATAGCTTTTCTGATGGTTTTACACCTTGTCTTTGATTTATTTTAGTATTTCTACTTCTAGTCAAAGTTAAAACCAGGAAATACAGAGATGTGCTGTGGGGGTGATGGTTAAGCTTTGTTTGAAACTTGTTGCTCAACATTCAGTTGTTCGTTTAATAAATTTAACTATGTGCCATACCTTTCTCCTAAGCACTGGGGAATCCCTTAGGGAACAAAAGCAGAAATCCACACCCTTATGGAGTTAACTCCTCCTTCTCGGGGGAGAAAGATCCACAAATACATACTGTCCACAAGGGGGTAAATCTCAAGGAGGGTAGAAGAGCTGCGAAGAGAGGCAGGGAGTGCTCGTGCACATGGTGGCTTTAAACAGGGTGTTTTAAGAAGGTGCCATTCATAAGGACAATTGAGCAAAGTCCTCTGGGAGAGGAGGGGCCGAGCCCCTGTGGATTTATCTGGGGGAAGAGTACCCAGGTGAAGTGTTGAGCAGGGCAAAGACCCTAAGGCTGGAACCTCAGGGTTGAGGCACAGCAAGGAGGCCAGGGGGCTGCAGGGCAGGGAGTACAGTGGGAGTTGGGGTGAGGGTGGAGAGTGGCCAGGCCCTTGAGGCCCTTGTGAGGGTTTCTGCTCTTACCCAGAGTGAGGTGGGACATAGGGAAGTTTGAGAGTTGGGATGGCATAATCTGACTCAAGTGCTCCTGGATCAGTCTGGCCGATGGGGAGGCATGGGCCAGGGAGGTTGTGTTAGTCCTGTCTCACACTGCTGTAAAGGACTGCTTGAGACTGAGTAACTTATGAAGAAAAGAGGTTTAATTGACTCACATTTCCACAGGCCTAAGAGGAAGCATGACTGGGAGGCCTCAGGAAACTTACAGTCATGGCAGAAGGCAAAGGGGATGCAAGCACCTTCTTCACATGGCGGCAGGAGAGAGAGGGAGGGAGAGAGAGAGAGAGAGAGAAAGAGAGAGAGGCGAGGTGCCACACGCTGTTAAACCATCAGATCTTGTGGCAACTCACTCTCATGAGAACAGCAAGGAGGAAATCCGTGCCCATGACCCAGTCACCTTCCACCAGGCCCCTCCTTCAACATTGGGGATTATAATTCAACATGGGATTTGGGCATGGACATACATCCAAAACATTTCAGAGACCTCTTAGAAAGCTAAAGGCTGTGAGAGACGATGCTGGCCTTTAGACCATTGGGGTTGCCGTGGAAGTAGAGAGAAGTCATGGAATTCCCAGTTTTGAAGATAGAGTCAATAGATTTGTAAGAAATTATGTTGCAGTACAAAAAAGGGTTGTGGGGAGAAGTGGTTTGCTGGGGACACTTGTCCTCAGGTCTAAAGATAAAGGAGAGGTTTTGATAAGAGGTTGAGACTGTAGGGCGATGATGTTGTTTATGCCTCTTGGAATTAAAGTAACTTGATTTGCACAGTGGGCCATTTGCTGGAGTATTGTCACACCTCCTTTGCATTCTAGCTGGTGCTTTGAGGTCAGCATTAAGCTAAGAGCTTTGTCCTGAGGCTGATAGCTTTTTGCTAGATGAACAGAGAAGATTCTTACGGGTGTGAATCAGGAGTGAAATCCCAGCTGGGACAGAGAGAGTCCTTCTAGGCCCCCAGAGAGTCTGTTTATAACATTGGAGCACAAAAAGAGAAACTAGGACAACTTTTTAAAGAAGCACATATTCTTACCTTATACGATGCACTTACTCTCCAAAGAAATATATATTTTTTTAGTTTAAATCATTGTCAGCCTTTGGAATTTGCTCTTTAGGAATTCATTTCCTTGTCTTAAAATTATGGCTATTTAAGAAGATTGAAATTAGTTGTTTTTGGCTTCTGCTTTTCAGCCAGCAGTTGAGTTCCGAATTGGTGACAGAAAAGAACTTGAAATGGAATAGCTTGCTGGGAATAGTGATTTTGGCCCTTTCTCTCAGTGTTGCCTTTTAGTTTATTTTCAGAATATACCCGATTTCCTATTCATGAGGTACCAAATACAAGAATCCAATGTTATTTTTTTCTCGTTTACTAATAAATGTGCTCTGTACTTGTATTCTTACTTTTTAAAACAATTTAATTGATGTAAATATGCATTTCCATAATATGCATTTCCATAACTTCAGAAAGCATAGTCTTGCCCTTTGGGTTCAACCCACCCCAGCCCTGGGCAGCCACTGATCTGCTTTCAGTCACAATAGATTACATTCACCTTTTCTAGAACTTCATATAAATGGATTCAAACAGTACATGCTCTTTTGTGTCTGATTTATGTGGCTCAGCATAATATTCTTGAGATTCTTCCATATTGTGGCTCCTGTTATCAGGATTGCTTTTCTTTTTTTTTGAGATGGAGTCTCACTTTGTTGCCCAGGCTGGAGTGCAATGGCTTGATCTCGGCTCCATGCAACCTCTGCCTCCTGGGTTCAAGCGATTCTCGTACCTCAGCCTCCTGAGTAGCTGGGACTACAGGCACTTGCCACCACGCCTGGCTAATGTATTTTTAGTAGAGATGAGGTTTCGCCATGTTGGCCAGGCTGGTCTTGAACTCCTGACCTCAGGTGATCCACCTGCCTTGGCCTCCCAAAGTGCTGGGATTACAGGCGTGAGCCAACATGCCCAGCCAGGATTTTGTTTCTTTTTTTTGCTGAATATTATTTTACGTGCATTTAACACAGTTCACTTATCTGTGGACACTGGAATTGTTTCCAGTGTGGGGCAAATATGAATAAAGCTGCCACAGGCATTTCTGCACAAGCCCTGTGAACATACACTATCATTTCTCTTTGGTAAATACCTGGAAGAGGAATTGCTGGATCGTGTCTGATAGGTGCACACACATTACGTTTGCGATGTCTTTTTGAGGAGTTGACTTATTTATATCACAGTGAAATGTCTTTTATCCTGGCAATATATTGCTCTGGTGTCTACTTTGTCTAATATTGATTTAGTCACTCCAGCTTTCTGATGTTAGTGTTTGCATGGTACATCTCTTCTCCATTCTTTGATTTCAAAGTGTCTCTATTTAAAGTGTGTTTGTTACAGGCAGAATCTGCTTGAGACTGCTTTTTAAACCCAGACTAACAATCCCTGTTATTTCATTAGAATGTTTAGATCATTTACAATTAGTTATCAAAACAGTTGGAGTGAAGTCTCCCATCCTTCTAACTGTTTTCTGTTTGTTCTTTTTTCTCCTTTTCCTGTTGTCTTTTGAATTGAATATACTTTGGTATGTTAGGTTATTGCCACACTGGCTTATTAGCTGTACCTCTTCATTTTTTTTTTTTTTTGGTGTTTCCAGGAACCTCTGCATCCCTGAACTCTTGATGCCCTCACCTCAGCAAGACCACCAAGGTCTGCTTGGGTGTCCCTCCTAGCGCTGCAGTTCAGTGCAGTTGACCACTGTCCTAAGGTACCTCTAGGCCAAGAGCCAGCTCATCCTGGGATCCTCCTAGTTTATTTTCCTTCTCTGAAAGACCGCAACCCTTTCCATGTCTGAAAACAGTTATTTCATAGAACTTTTCTCTCTAGCTTCCTGGCTGGTCATGGTGAGAGATTAAGTCTGGTCCTTATTATTGTATTATGCCCTTGAAGTATAATTTCATTTTTGAAATATTTGGCTCTTGGTGAGAAAATTTGATAAATACTTGAAACTGAGACTCCCTGTAAAATCCTAGACATATAGCGCCTTTGTTATAACTTCATGGTGCAACACAAACATGATGGTTGGCTTCCAGGTTACCCATAACAGCACAGGTAAGTCTAAGAAGCTTTAGAAAAGGCTGTATCCATACAGTTTGGGTCATGATAACAGTTAATGAGCCCCTTGGTGCTCAGTGCTCTACATACGTGATCTCATTTAGTCTTCAGAATGACCCTGTGCAGATCATTCTTGGCCCCCTTTTACAGGCAAGGAGCCGAGCCTCAGAGGTGAAGGGATTTGCCTGGTGTCTTGCACATAGTGATGGGCTGAGGTGGAGTCTACCACACTCCAAGCTAAAGCTTTTGACCACTATACTAAGCTGAGTAAGGAGTTTTTGTTGTCGTTGTTTTCGATAAAGGGTCTTGCTCTGTTGCCCAAGCTGGAGTTTAGTGGCGTGATCATAGCTCACTGCTGCCTCGAACTCCTGGACTCATGTGATCTTCCCATCTCAGCCTCCAGGGTAGCTAGGACTACAGGTGCACACGATCATACCTGGCTAGTTTTTTTTTTTTTTTTTTTTTTTTGTAGAGATAGGATCTGGCTGTTGCCCAGGCTGGTTTCGAACTCCTGGCTTCAAGTGATCCTCCTACCCTAGCCTCCCAAAATGCTGGGATTATGAGCCACTGAGCCAGACCAAACTAAGTATTTGAAATGTCTTAAGGGGCAGCAGCAGGTTAGGTGGTGCTGGAACATCTATGAAGTGGTTGGTTTCTTCCTGAGGTAGCTACTTGTTGCCAGGAGAAAGCATTATGATTCATTTCTCACAGAAAGTGGTTCCCTCTCCCCCTTCTCTCTTCCTTTACTCTCTCCTGCTCCTCACATTCCTTCCTTTACTCTTCCTTTCCTTTGTCTTTTTTGTGTGTGTGTGTGTGTGTGTGTGTGTGTGTGTGTGTGTGTGTGTGTGTGTGGTTTTAAGGAGTGGAGAGTTTAATAGGCAAGAAGGAAGGGAGAAGGAAGAAGCTCCCCTGTACAGAGACAGAGGGAGGGGCGCTTCAAAGCCAAGAGAGGGAACCCCAAATGGGGCGGAAACCAGCCAGGTGTATATATAGAGAGGCTGGAGAAGGCAGTGTCTGTTTTGCACAGGGCTCGGGATTGGTTTGACCAGGCCTGTCTTTCACATAGCCCGCGAAAAAGCTGGCCCTCCCACCCTAGCCTTTTAATATGCAAATGCAGGGCACCATGATGTTCTGCACACGTGGGGATATGTGAGGGCCATTAGGTTGCCAGGAACATGTTGGGCAAGGGCAAGAAGTCCCGCAGGGATTGTGGGGATTGTCGTGTTGGGTGGACCTAGTTTCTAATTGCCTGCATTTGCATATCAAAGGTTGCCAGCCCGGCTCTAAGAGCAGGGGCTTTACAAGAAGCTTTTCCCAAGAGGCTTTAAAAAATGAAAACTTCCCAAAACTTTTCCTCCTTGTCTGCCTAAAATACTTTCTTAATAACTCCTACAACATTCCTCCCAGTGGAGACGCCCCACTAGCTGCTGTTAGGAGGTTTTGGGCGACAACTCTTTCTGGCTACTTCCTGCAGAAAAGGGGTGTTGAATGGGGAACAGCAGCTAGGCCTCCTCCTGGAGTCCATCTAAGGGTCCTCAGAAGAATGGCGTGTCCTTGTGTGGTTCAGTTGACAGCACCGTTTGGAGTTTGATTGCTGCTAGGCAAGAAGAAACAATTTGAGTTGTAGTATTGAGTATACAGAGTCCAAATATCAATACAAGACATATCAGTAAGAGGGGGCTTAATAAAGGGGTTAACGAATTCCATCAAGAAGACTGGAATTTATTAAAGAGGGATTGTAGCCACTCGGGACTGAAGCCAGCATTTTCCTTGAGCCTGTCAATAATTTTGATTTGATCTTTAAGTACCTGTAGATTTTCCTTTACTATACTAGAGGTGTTCATCCAAAAGCAGCATGTTTCATTTAAAAGTGCGTCACTAGACCCAATAAAAAGTCCTAGCAGACTTAGTGATAGTAAAACTTTCATGCTTCCTTTTTGTTAGTAACTATTATCCCTGCTATAGAGATAGTAGAGTGAGGACAGCAATTCCCACAAGTGTGGTGTGGTAGGTAATTTCCATCTAAAATTTTACTTGCCAACATATAGAATTCCCCTTTGGGGGTCTGTGAAGTTCCTTGGTTTTATTTTCCCAAACAAAGAAACCTCTGGGTTATGGGCACCTTACTCACTTTCATTACCTGGCAGAATTTGCAAGATAATTGCCCAGAACTAGTATATTGATTCACATGTTTACGTTACCCATCCCTATTTTTTCTTTTTTTCAAGCTGCAGAAGATCACCATTTGATTCACAGGAATAGGCAGAGTTAGTCTAAAATGTAGGCAAAAAGCTTAAAAACAATTAGTGAGACTAGGATTTAATGACAAATATATGATAACCTTTGGAGCAAAATTTTTCTCTCCAGTCCTCATTTTTGGTAAAAACTAATTATGAATAAACTTTAGTCTTATACTTGGCCTGATTATTTGCATAAAGGGCAGCAAGAATGGTTATTTTTACATGGACCTTTTGGATTAGCTTTGATGAAACTCTATTCCACAAGGAATCTTAGACAAGACCCTTAAAGTTGAGCCCAGCCATGGGTTTGTATCCTCAAATACCTGTGAGTTGGGTGATCCTCTCCTCTTGAGGTCCCAAGATAAACTGGGAGCTCCCAGACCTGTTAGAAAGTGACATTCTTTACTGACCACAGGTTAGGAACCCTGTGCAGAGACTATAGACAAGGTATGGGGCCAGTTCTCCCCAAGGGGCTTTTATTGGCTCTACATGTTAAGCTTGATTCCTTAAAGGGAAACACACTGTTTCAGTTAAAGCCTTGGTAAAATAACCAGTTTTTCCAACTGTGTCCTGTTGGCATCCTTTGCCTTTTTTTTCTTTAAACCCCTCCTCTCTTTGTCAAAATAGCAATAAGATCCCCAGCAGAAGAGAATGAAATCAAAACTGACCCCACTTGAATTCATGAAACCACAGAATGTTAGGCCTAAGTGAAACCTCAGAGTCTATGCATTCCAGCCCCTTCATTTGATTGATGACGAAACTAAGGAACACTGGCAGAGAAGTGAGTTGGTAGAACCATGCAGCTTGTCGGTGTGCAGCAGGTCCTGGAATGCAGGGAACACTGACCTTGGGCGGGATGCGGGGATCAGCTCCCTCAGCGTCTGAGGGTATCAGCCAGATCATAGCGTTTGCTGTGCAGTGGGATCGTGAAGAGCCAGGACCTGAAGGAGACCGAGTAGCGCTTACATAGGTTAGTTGTTTAGGGGACATTTCTTTGAGGATGTGATCAGGGGATCATGTGGAGCAGCGTCGTCATCAGCCAGGGCAAGAGGGAGTGCAGTGTGTTTCAGAAACTGCCAGAAGGCCCACGCAGGCAGCTCCTGATGAGAGAAAAGAGGGGAGGCAGGGAACTGCGCAGGAGCCAGGGTTTTGAGTGTGATGGGAAGCTCTGGTGGGTCTTGACCAGGCCCGATGTATGTTTTAAGATCATTCTAGCCTCTTTATGAAGAATGAATTGCTGGGATCAGAGTGGGAGCATGGAAACAGGAAGAAGAATCTGGAGACCCCTGTCGCATTTAGGAAGTCGCCAAAGGTGGCTTTTGTTAGAGTAAGAGCAGCAGAGATGTAAGAATGGGTGGCCTGGGACATATTCTGGAGCCAGAACTGAATAGGGAAGAGAAGACTCAAGGAGTAGTTCAATGCCATAGTTTGGGGGTAAGTGTATACATAGTTTCTGTAATTTAGGGGAATAAATACATTCTATAAAGCATATTTTCTTTTGTTTTTGTTTTTTGAGATAGGGTCTCACTCTGTCACCCAGGCTGGAGGGCGGTGGCGCGATCTTGGCTCACTGCAACCTTTGCCTCCCGGGGTCAAGTGATTCTCCAGCCTCAGTCTCCTGAGTAGCTGAAAACACAGGTGTGTGCCACCACATGTGGCTAATTTTTGTATTTTTTGTAGAGACGGGGTATCTCCATGTTGTCCAGGCTGGTCTCATACTCCTGACCTCAAAGCAATCTGCCTGCCTCAGCCTCCCAAAGGGCTGGATTATGGGTGTGAGCCACCATGCCCGGCCATACTTTCGTAAGTTATTCAAAACTATAGAAGGAGAGGAGCTAGCTAATGCGCAGAAAGATGAAATGACGAGACAGAGTGATGCGGCTACGATGGCATTGGGCCTTCCTAATTCCCGCCGTGTAAGCCCCTGCCTTTGGCTTGTGCTGCTCTCTGTCTCCTGTGTCCTTGTTTGCATCTGTCCCTTCCCACAAGTAACCTCTGCACTTACTTGATGGCACAGCTTTGGTGCAGCCTTAGTGAGCCAGCTCATTTCAGTTCTGTGGTTTCGTTTCATAATGAGTGATTGTTTCTAGTGTAATGTGTTGCCCTTGCCTCTACCAGAACAGATCAAATACCTCACTAATTATCTCCTCCCTGACCAGAAAAACACAAACTAAGAAACCTACACACCTGTATTCATGCACACGCACATATGCACATGCACACCTGGTGTCCTTTCCTCCCTTTCTATTGACATTAATGACACCGCTGTTCTCCAAGCTGTCCAGGATTCAAAGCTCTGAAGCCTCGCTGATGCCTTCTCGTCCTTGTCTCTCCTGCCCCATCATCCTCCATTTCCACCACAGCCACTTTAATTATGCCATTATTACTCTGACCCAGATAGTTCAGGACCTTCCTAACTGGCTATCCTATATTAATTTTTTTCTTTCTCCAGCCCTTTTGTTAAACTTTTAATTTTTGCTGGGAAACATAGCCTCCGGCCAGGAGTCAGGATCAGGCACTTCCAATCTCCAGCTCTTTTCCTGTTATCCGGCAGTCTGAAAACATAGTCTGGTCACGGTGTGATTGCATTCCGAAGCTTTCCTAAGCCCCCACTGCAGGGTGCAGTCAGCTTGTTCCTGTCACTCAGGTACCCAGAACTTGCCTCCATCTTTTTTTTCCTTATCTTTTAATTTCAGCGTTCATTGTGAACATGCGTCATGCTCCTGGCACCCCGCATCTGCTTTCAGTCTGTCTCCCTCTGTGGAAGGCCACCTCCTTTCCTATGCTCTTCAGAGAGATTCACCATTCAAGGATTAGCTTAAAACCCTGATTTCTGGCCAGGCGCGGTGGCTCACTCCTGTAATCCCAGCACTTTGGGAGGCCGAGGCGGGCGGATCACGAGGTCAGGAGATCGAGACCATCCTGGCTAACACGGTGAAACCCCCTCTCTACTAAAAATACAAAAAAATTAGCTGGGTGTGGTGGCGGGCACCTGTAGTCCCAGCTACCTGGGAGGCTGAATCAGGAGAATGACGTGAACCCGGGAGGTGGAGCTTGCAGTGAGCCTAGATCACGCCACTGCATTCCAGCCTGGGTGACAGAGTGAGACTCCATCATTAAAAACAAAAACAAAAACAAAAAACCCTGATTTCTGACTATGAATAATCTCTTTTGATGTTCCTGCTCTACTCATTGTCTGTAGCATTCATTTGGCGCTTACTGTGGAAAGTATAGTACTGTGAGGTGCCTCTTTAATGTTTCCCAACTGATCCTTGAGATCAAAGCTCATCTCTGACGCTATTTTCTCTTTGTAATTCTAAAGCTTCTAGTTCAGTATTTTACACATCTGAGGAATTGACTCTTCTTTTTTGGTTAACTTTCTGTTTCCGCACACAATGATTTTAACTGCCATTAGTATCAAACTGTTATTTGCAGCATTTAATATAAAGAGTGTATATTAGATGATGAATCTCTTTTTTTTTTTTTTTGAGACGGAGTCTTGCTCTGTCTCCCAGGCTGGAGTGCAGTGACGTGATCTTGGCTCACTGCAAGCTCTGCCTCCCAGGTTCATGCCATTCTCCTGCCTCGGCCTCCCAAGTAGCTGGGACTACAGGCGCCTGCCACCACGCCTGTCTAATTTTTTGTATTTTTAGTAGAGACGGGGTTTCACCGTGTTAGCTGTGGGCGGCAAGCCACCCAGGCACCGAGGCAAGAGACCGAGGACACGAGCTGTTCCACTATAATAAAATATAAAACAAGAATAGTTATACCAGATATAGATCTTAGAGATGATTATATATGAATATCATTAATCATTAGTTTGTAGCAATTACTCTTTATTCCAATATTATAATAATCCTCGCTCTGCAATCATAACCTAGGAAAAACCAGGCCATACAGAGATAGGAGCTGAGGGGACACAGTGAGAAGTGACCAGCAGACAAGAGTGCGAACTTTCTGTTATGCCCAGACAGGGCCACCAGAAGGGCTCTTTGGTCTAGCGGTGACACCAGCATCTGGGAAGATGCCCGTTGCCAGGCGGACCGTGGTCTAGCGGCAGCGAAAAGTGTCAAGGAACAACACTCGCTACTTAGCAGACCGGGAAAGGGAGTCTCCCTTCCCCCGGGGAAGTTTAGAGAAGACTCTGCTCCTCCACCTTTTGTGGAGGGCCTGACATCAGTCAGGCTCGCCCACAGTTATCCGGAGGCCTAACCGTCTCCCTGTGATGCTGTGCTTCAGTGGTCATGCTCCTAGTCTGCCTTCATGTTTCATCCTGTACACCTGGCTCTGCCTTCTAGATAGCAGTAGTCAATTAGTGAAAGTACTAAAAGTCTCTGATATGCAAAAATAATGGCGTAAGCTGTTTTTCTCTTTGTCTCCTCTCTCTCTCTGCCTCGGCTGCCAGGCAGGGAAGGGCCCCCTGTCCAGTGGACACGTGACCCACGTGACCTTACCTATCATTGGAGATGACTCACACTCTTTACCCTGCCCTTTTTGCTTTGTATCCAATAAATAACAGCACAGCCAGACATCCGGGGCCACTACCGGTCTCCGTGCATTGGTGGTAGTGGTCCCCTGGGCCCAGCTGTCTTTTCTTTTATCTCTTTGTCTTGTGTCTTTATTTCTACACTCTCTCGTCGCCGCACATGGGGAGAGACCCACTGACCCTGTGGGGCTGGTCCCTACATTAGCCAGGATGGTCTTGATCTCCTGACCTTGTGATCTGCCCGCCTCAGCCTCCTAAAGTGCTGGGATTACAGGCGTGAGCCACCGCGCCAGGCCGATGATGATTCTCTTAGTGTGAAGTCTTAGCCCACGCACCTGTCTCCAAGTCGTCTTGCCGTAGGACTTGCAGATGTTTGTGCACTGTTGGGATGGGTGATAGGATGAATATCTGTGGAAATAGAGGGATCCTTTGGGCAGCTGTTTTGAGTAGGGATCAGGGAATAGCAGCTGTGTCCACTGCCCTTCCCTTGTACAGGGAGTGAGAGGGAGTGTTCACTGATCAAGCCAACTTCATTTCCGCAAGAGATATCCCCACTTCCGGGATGCTATTAAGGCACTGGGTGTTACTCCCTTTAAAACATTCAGAGTGAACTCTCACTAGAGGTATTCACAACTTACCAGATGACTTTAAAAAAATACCTCTGTTATTTAATTGACAAATTATTATATTCAGTTGGTTATAAGTTAAAATGAATTGGGGCAAAATAATCACAGAAACCATCTGATTGCTCTAGCAAGTAGTCATTTTATATGCATTAGATTTCACAGTAAATATGAAAAGCAGCTCTAACCACAAGCTGGTCGGGGCGGCATAGCACCAGGCTGCAGGTTTGAAGATCGGTGCACAGTCAGGGCTATCGTCTGCCCCCAGTGGGTTGGCAGTGGCACCCATACCACCTGGTGTTCCACTGTTATGGGTTTAGTCTTTTGAGTCTTGAAGGCTTTTGATAACATCTTCACATTCTAATAGAAATATTCAGTGGGGCAGAGGTAGGCAGGCACTATTAGTGTATAGGTGTTGACACCCAAGTACCTATTTTAGGTAAGGTTAGGGACAGGGAAGAGGATGCAAGGGCCATCTGGGGACAGGTGTCATGGCAGATAAGTGTCATATTGCAGAGTACCTTGGGGAAGGGGAAGGAGGACAGATTCATAATACCTACCTTCAGCCTTGCTCAGGGACTCCCATGTTGGGGAGAAAGAGTTTCTTCTCTAAAATCCTCAGAACTGGGCTCAAGAGCCGAGTTTTTATTTTTTATGAAACAATTGCCCACTTATACTAAAAACTATTCCCCAGCAGGCTTTTTGGCATTTGAAGCTTTCAGCAAGCAGAGGATTATATAACTGATAAATATTAAGTATTGGAATTTCTGAGGCTGGATCCCTTAGCCTGGTGGCTGAAGGCCAACCCTCCCTGAGCCTCCTTGGCGTAATAAAGCATACCTTCCACCTTTTCCCTGTAGGAACTTGCTCTGCCTAAATTGAAGTCACACTCTTTCCTTATCTCAAGCTAAATTTCCTGCCTTTGAGCACTGATTCATTCTTTCTCCTGACTCTATAGCCCGTTAATCTTTCCAAGTCTAGCTTGCACTTAATGTCTTCCTGAAACCATCTGTGACTGTACCACAACCATCTGATCTTCCTTTAAGTAAATTTATCCAACGTTCATTGAGCCAATTAAGTACTAGCCATTGTGCTAGAGATTAGAGAGAAAAATAAACAAAAACAGACCACTTCCCTCTTGTAGCCCACAGCCTAGTCAGGGAGACAAATGAGGAACCAGCTGCTACTTATTGAACTAGGAAGAGATGTGTCCATCCTTAACATCATGCAGGCTGTCTATTTCAAAGGCCACTGTCATGTTTAAGAGGAGGATGCTAGAGGCATTTCTGTCAACGCCAGGAATGACAAGGAGCCAGGAACAGACACACAGATCACTCACATGGATCTGACCAAGTACCTGAGAGGTGGACATACAGAGGATTCCTTAAGCAATAGTATTGACTTGCAAATCCCAATACAGAAAAGCCCTAGAACCTTCTATGCAAAAGCCCCATCATCCAGGGTAAAACTGGGCAAAGGTCCTATTGAGAGACAGACAGGTCATTAAAACGGGGAAACAGATGGAACTTAAACCTAAGAAAAGATTTTCAATGTTATTCAAAAATAAGAGAAACACAAAGGTGCTCTGAAATGTTATTTTGTTATCTTTCAAATTGATAAAAAGCCCAAAGTTAAAGAACACACTTTTGGTATGGCAGTGGGTTTCAAAATGGGCACTCCTATCCATTGCTGGTGGTAGTAAAAATAGATACTACTCCAGCAGAGGCTAGTGTGGCCATGTCTATTGAAATAACAAAGTGTCCATATGACGTTTAACTTACAAGTTTTTCTCTGAGGAAGGTATCCTGCAAGTGTACTGAATACATGATAAAAAGTGGATGTAGAGGGTTATTTATTGCAGCAGTTTTGTAAAAGCAAAATATTTGGCACAACCCAAATATTCATTGGAGAGCAAGTTATGTAAATTATGAGATGGAATGCCATGCGGTTATAAAAGAGAATCAAGTAGCTCCTCCTGACTGGTATAGGAAGATCTCCAAGGCATAGTGTTTTGGAAAAAAGGCTGATGTTGACAGTGTGTATAGAGTACAGTGGAAAATTAGAGTTCATGTTTGCACTTGCTTTTATATTGTATTCGAAGGTAATACAAACACTTGTAACAAGGAAACCCCAGAATGTCAGGGACTGTACACAGGGAATGTTCTTTCTCATTTGGTAACAGTGCTTGTCACAGGTTGTCACAAGCCTGTAACATTTGTAACAGGTTGTTACAGATCAGCATGAGGCTTTTCTCCATGCACTTCCATCTTGTGGCACTGGTGTCCCTTAGGACTTGGGAGTCCCTTGCAGAGAGCTGTCACATCGATTTCTTAACAGCCGTGGCCCAGAGGTGACATACCCCACTTCCCTGAAAAGATGGAAGAAACTAATAACAGCAGGTGCCTTGGGGGTGGTGATGGTGGTACGTGACTGGGCAGGAAGATGAAGGGCAGGAAAGAGGGGAAAACTTTTAAAATATATTTTAGCAATTTTGAACTATATTATTCATTTATAAAATAAAAACAAATCATTGTAATAAAGCCAGATCATGCTCTGAAAATGGTAAGAACCCAGTGCTGTGGGGGCATAGAAGGGGCAGCTCTGCCTTGCCTCGGGGAGCGGACTTCCAAGTGTGCTGCTTTCTGTGGTGCTCGCTTGAAGCCCTAAAGGTGTAGCAGGTGTTAACCAGGTCAAGCCTGCAGGAAAAGAGGTTTGTGAGAAAGGGGCTAGACAAGTGGATGGCAGAGAATTGCCAGGGGATTGGTGAAGAGAGGGTGGCTGCCGAGATGGAAGGAGTCCATGTGCAGATACAGAGGCAGGATTTACGGTAAATAGGTTAATACAGCATATGGAGCTGTGGGTGCTGGAACCTGCTGGAACCACCATCACCCCAAAGGCAACTACGGTTACTAGTTTCTCCCATCTTTTCAGAAAAGTGGGGTGTGTCCCCTCTGGGCCAAGGCCATTAAGAAATCACTGTGATGACTTCGATGTCTTTTCTCCCAACTCTATGCAAGGGACTGTAAGTCGTAAGGGACACCTGGCTGGTGGGTGGGCAGGTCAGGTCTGGGCAGGTCAGGTCTATGCCAGTGCATTTGCATGGTAGAGGTACAGGACAGAGCGTGGTGTGTGTTGCAGTAACATGAATGTCTTATCCAACATCCTCTGCAACACCCATGGAAAGTTTCAAAGCAAGGAAGTGTCATGATCAGCTCCAGATCTGATGTGAGTAGCATGAAGGATGAGTTGGAAAGGAGGATGACAGGTGGCTGGGAGCTTAGTGAGGGTGCTGTTGCTGTCATCTAAGGAAGGAACACTGACGTTTTAGCATTTCTCCTCTACCAAGTGAATTTGGCACTTAATACAAGACAAGTAAGTGTTATCATTTTGTGTGTAGCTATCAGGATCTCCAATTAGAGTACAATTGCATTGAAGACCCCTTCATTTTACATTCTAGTATCATGCCATAAATACTTCCTGGCTGATTCTCTTATTTTCAATAAACTTTTATTGATTTAATAAAACATACATATAGAAAAGTACTGAAATCATGAGTTCATAGCCACATGAATTATCACAAAGCAAACTCATGTGTATCGATTGGTTGGCTCTTATTCTGTTTCTTCCTTGTTAAAATTATGGTTAGACTCAGCATGCTTACAACCTCCCCACCCCCACTTTGTCCGGAGAGGTGGATAGATGATTTGTGTTGTACACTCAGACCCTGATTTCCATAATGCCAGCTTTAATATTTGTTCTTAGAGAAGTCTCTGGGAAATGTAAGTCGTATGGCTTATTTGAATAATATTTCTATTTTATCTTAAATTATTTTAAATCTCTCTTATTTTAACTGTCAGTTTGTTTACTGTCTGATGTGCAGAGAACTGTGATAAATGAAAAAATTGAGTGCAATCTGGAGAGGAGTATTAGCATGGTGGCATAGTCAGAAATTTTTACTTTTCTGTCATTATATAATGGTTTTAAAAGGCTGAAAGCAATCCAGCCATTGGAAGGGTTTGATAGAATTTTCTCGCCCCTACATTCTTACATTTCCCTCCCAGTCCCAGTTCGCGTTGTTCCTTTTTGAGTCAAGAGCCAATTGCTTGGAACATTCCATGAATTTTTCTTTGGCCACATTCATTTCCATTTGTGCTTTTGTCTGTTGGACTCTTAATATTCATGGCTCAAAATCTCTCCGTTATCTAAATGAATGATCCCATTAATTAATCTAGGAATATTTTATTGATATGCTGGAAGAATACGTATGTGTTGAATTTAAATTGTGGGCAGGATGGAGAACTTGGGTTTTAGAAGAAGATCCAACTGTTTACAATATTCCCAAATTATATTTCATTTATAATTTTCTCCTCCTGTAAAGTTTTAAGTCAAGAAGTAAAAGTTCCAGTTTGAAATGTAGAGTTAAATAAAAATAAGCGTATTTAAGGCTTATATGAAATAGATGATTATAGTTAACTGAATACTCACTTTGATTTATGTTTATTTGCTCCTATTGGAACTTGGAAGAAAAAAAGCAGAGAATTGTTAATTGGGAATGTAGGTTAGTAATCCCTAGCCAGTAGGGACATGACATCTTATGGGAGTTTTCAGGTTTTATAGCTATATGCTTTTTTCTTTATTTATGAATTTGCTTTTTTATTTGTCATCTACACTTTCCCTTATTTTCATTTGTGAAGAATGTTGTGTATCCTGGACGTGTCAGAGTACTTGTTTATGACCTCTGTATTACCAAGAACCTTTCTAATGACTTATTTTAGTCCACACTTATGTGTGTGAATAATTTTATCCTCCATACAAACTTGTGTTTATGAAAACATCCTGTAGACATTGAGAACTATGCAAGTGATCAGGCTGGCTTCTAGAAATTTTAGATTCCAATTTGTGGCCTATTTACAGCCACTGTGAGGGAACATCTCTGAGCTTTATTCCTGGCTCAACTGTATGTGTCCAATTTTATTTTTCTTTCTTCTTTCATGGTGCTATTTTTATTTAGGTGGAGGGTGGAGGTGCAGGTTTATTGAGGTATAATTTAAATAAAGTAAAATTCAGCAATTAGATCTACAATTCTGTGAGTTTTGACCAACGCATAAAGTGTGCAGCTACTACCAAAATCAAGATACAGAGCAGTTAGTTACCTCTCCAAATTCCTGGTGACCCTTCGTAGTCAACCCACAGCTTATGCTCCAGCTCCTGGCAACTATGGACCTGTTTTCTGTTCCTGTGATTTCTCCTTTTCCAGAATGTCTTATAAGTGGAATCACTTAGCATGTAACCTTTTGTTCCTTTTATTTAGCATGATGTGTTTGAGACGCACTTTGCACGTATGAGTAGTTCATTCCCGTGTATTGGGAAGCTTCCATTGTATGGATGCATCGCAGTTGGTTTATCCATCCACCAACTGAACATTTGGGTTGTTTCGAGTAAAGCTAGCTACTTTAAGTATCTGTTTGCAGATTTCTATGTGACTATAAGAGCATACATTTTTATTTCTCTTGGTAAATACTTAGGAGTGGGATTATTGGGTCAAATGACAAATGTTTGTTTAAAGAAACTGCTTTCAAAGAGGCTTTACAAATTGCATTCCTACTAGCAGTCTAAGAGTTCCAACTGCTCCACATCCTTACCAGCATTGCTATTGTCTTTTCTTTTTTGCTTTTGTTATTCTAGTAAGTATATAGGATTATCTTATTGTGATTTTAATTGGTATTTTCCTAATGACTAATGATGTTAATTTTTCATGTGCTCAGTTGACATTTATATATCTTCTTTGGTGAAAGTGTGTTCAAGTCTTTTGCTCAAAAATATTGGTTTGTGTTCTCATTATTGCATTTTGAGAGTCTTTCATATATTTTGGATACAAGTCCTTTAGCAGATATATATTTTGCAAATATTTTCTCCAAATATGTGGCATGTCTTTGCATTTTCTTAAGCATGTAGAACAGAAGTTTTAAAGTATAATGAAATTGAATTTGCCAGTTTTCACTCTTATAGATCTTGTTGGATCTTGGTGACCTTTGCTTTAACCCAAGGTTGCAAAGATTTTCTTGAATTTTTTCCTACAATTTTATAGTTTGAAGATTTATATTTAATTCTATTATCCATTTTGAGTTAATTTTTGTAGGAATCACATATTTTTGCAGAGATGTTCAATGTTGCAGCACCATTTGTTGAAAAGGCTTTCTTCTCATTGAATCATCCTTGCACCTTGGTGAAAGATCAATTGATTATGTATATGTAGATCTGTTTCTGGACTGTATTCTTTTTCATTGATCTATGTGTTTATCCTTTTCTCCAACAGCATACTGCCTGGATTACTGTATCTTTATAATATATCCTTTTTGTTTTTTTGTTTTTAGAGACAGAGTCTTGCTCTGTCACCCAGGCTGGAGTGCAGTGGCGTGATCTTGGCTCACTGCAACCTCTGCCTCCCAGGTTCAAGTGATTCTCCTGCCTCAGCCTCCCAAGTAGCTGGGATTACAGGCACCTGCCACCAAGCCTGGCTAATTTTTTTTTTTGTATTTTTAATAAAGACAGGGTGTCACCATGTTGGCTAGACTGGCTTCGAACTCCTGACCTCAAGTGATCCACCCGCCTCGGCCTCCCAAAGTGCTAGGATTACAGGTGTGAGCCACTGTGCCCGGCCTATAATATATCTTGAACCAGATAGTGTAAATCCTTTTTGTTATTTTCAAAAAGTTTATTATTCTAGTTCTTTTGATTTTTAATATAAATTTTAGAATCCATTTATTGATTTTTTACAAAAATTTCTGCTGGATTTTTGACTGGGATCATGTTAAGTGTATAGATTGATTTGGGAAGAATGGCCATCTTACCAATATCAAGTCTTCCGATCCATTCCATGAACATGGTTTTATTCTTAATTATTTGGATCACCTCTGTTTTTGTTCATTAGTATTTTGTAGTTTTTAGCATACAAATCATGCACATATCTGGTTAGATTTATTCGTAAGTGTTGGGTTTTTTTAATGTTATTATTAATTGTCCTGTTGCTTAAGTTTAAATTTCCCATTGTTCAGTACTAATAAATAAAAATATCAATATGGAATGTGTACCATATATATGAATACATCTATTTAATTAATTTAGTTCTCAAGCAAATTATAATATAGGGCACTTTTGATTCCATTATCTCTTGGCAAAATGGTTGATTGTGTATTTCATGATAATATTTTAAATAGTTTGTTTTTCATGTTTTATTTTAATGCTTTGGTTGGTCAAACTTTTGAAACTTTATAAGAAAATGCATTAAAATAATTTGATAATTTGATTATTAGGGCTTTTTATTATTCCATACAACATAGTTATGGTGAGTGTTCACTATCTGCTCTTTGGATAATTTAATTTTTATTTCTAGACCTTCATGTTACTGTCTAGGTGTTTGTCCCTAGCTTTTAAGGTCTTTCAATAACCAGCTTGCTTTTGTCCATTTCATTTTCTTCTTCTCTTTGATTTCATGATTATTAGTTATGTTTGTATTTTTCACCATTCAATTCATGACTTTCTAATTTGATTTATTTTATTTAGAGATATAGAATCTTAGAGTTGAAAAAATTCTGGAGATTAATCCAAGGGGTTTTTCTTTTAAACTTGAAAAAATGTACTAATATTAGGGAAACCTAACACCTGTTTTGTTAATTTGTTCACATGGAAAAGTTAAGATGCAAGGTCTAACATGTAATGCTGGTTTAGAGATCCTGGTTTAGAGACAATTCTAGTATGGTCAGTGGGGCTGTCTCATGATATGTGTTGTGATGCTGGATGATAAGATGTAAGGTAGTTGTTTCGTGGTGCTTGCAGGGGTTGGAGGGAATTTCCAATTATATGGGAGCTAGTGTGCTTGCTTAGGGTGTTTTACTCAAAAGGCTATAGAGAAATATAATATGTGAAAATGATAATCTTCAAATTGTTATGATAAAATATTTTAGAAAACTCTTGGAACATGTAACTGATTTGCTGCATTAAAGCACCTTTATGTTTCCTCCCAGAATTATGTTTAATTATAAGGGAGCTTATTAACATTGTTCTAGTTAAATTATATTAGCATTTCTATTATATTGTGTTTGTTCAAGGATTTAAAGTGCTGTAAGTTTTCTTCTAGTGCAAATGTCTATATATAGTTTTTAAATGGGTTGGAAATTACTAATTATAAAAGGAATAAATATTTGAAAAGCTAATTTGACAGCAACCATTTCTATTATTAGTCACATAAAATTTCTAATAGTTAAAAGCCAAATTTCAGTTATTTTTCTCTAGCCTTTTTGCCAATAATTATATATAATCTTAGTCATAAATGAGTTTTGTGATTTTGCCGCTTTTCTTATAACTTTGTATTTTGATATGCATTTTAAAATTATATTTTGAAATAACTTCAAACTCAGAAAAGTCGTAAGAATGGTATGAGGAATTTTGTATACCCTTTAAACCAAGCTTGTCCAACTTGCGGCCCGCGGGCTGCATGCAGACCACGATGGCTTTGAATGTGGCCCCACATAAATTCATAAACTTCCTTAAAACATTGAGATGTATTTGTGATTTGTTTTTTGTTAACGTGTGGCCCAAGACAATTCTTCTTCCAATGTGTCTTAGAGAAGCTGAAAGACTAGACACCCCTGCTTTAAACAGTTTCATTGTTTGCATACATTTTGCCTCATTTGTTTCATTATTCATTCTTTTTATGATTTTTGGGGGGTGTAATTTAGAGACATCACTCCTCTTGACCATTATATGTTTCAGCCCCTATTTCTTAAGAACAAGGTTATTCTTTTAGAGAACCACAGTACAATGTTCAAAATCAGGACATTGAACACAGATATAATACTATAATACTACTGTCTAATCCAAAGTCCATATTCATATTTCAACAATTGTTCCCCAAAATGTTCTTTTTTGCTATAATTTTTCCTGGTTCAGGATTGAGTGTGGGATCATGCCTGCATTTCCTTCTCATACCTTTAGTCTCCTTTAATCTGGACTATCCCTCAGCTTTCTTTTACTTTCTTGACCTTAACATTTGTAAAGACACTTTTGTCAGGAGACCATAGGTCAGATGTCGTGTTGTTCTCAAGGCATCATAATGTTACGTTGTCCCAAGTCTGATGATTGTTAATTTTGACCATTTGCTTAAAGTGGGTGTTTGCTAGCATCCTCCACTGTTAGTTATGAGTTTTCCCTTTGTAAGTAAGTAACTCGTGGAAGTTACTTTTGCACTACGTAAATATTCTGCTCCTACTCAAACTTATCCACTAGTTTTGGCACCCATCAGTTTTCTGACTCCATCATTCATTCCATAGTTTTTGACTGGCATTTGACTATTAAGAAAGCGCTTTTCCTTCTCCCTATTTATTTGCTATTTATATCAGTATGCACTCATAGATCCTTAATTTATCTAATGGGTTATGATCTATGACTCTTCTTATTTATTTTGATGTTCAAATTTTCCCAGTTTTGGCTACTAGGAGTGCTTTCAAGCTGGTTCCTGTTCATATAGCTCCATCATCCTACAAGTGCTTGCTTACTTTCTAGCAGATGTTTAAAGCTCATGTTGTTATTTATTCACTGTCCTTGCCCTAGAATCAATCAGCCTTTTCTCTAAGGAGCTCTAGTTGCTTTTAATGGAGAATAGTGTTTAGCAGCCTAAATTTGGACACTAGAAGTGCTCATTGCTGCCGGTGTGTCATTGCTTCTAGACCTTTATAAACAGAGCAAGGAAATGTTTGTGTGTATGTGTACGTGTTCACATATCTACCTACCAGAAACAATGAATTCAAATAGATACTCCCATTCCAATTCAGTGCTACAATGTACATTCTGTTCTCTTTCCATATTTTAACTCTCTTATCCAAAAAGCCTCTTATTATCCTCAATATATTTACTCATTTGTGTAAGCCTAGAGTACACTGTAAATAGTTTCCGAACTGCTAACTCATACTGCTGTGAAAGCAAACCTACTAGCTAGAGTTAATATTTGTTTCCAGTTCTTTTTTAAGGTAAATTTACTTACAGTACTGTACACAATTTAATTCTGATAAATGTATTGACCCACATAACCCCTACCTCTATCAAAAGACAGAATATTTCCATTCTTAGAAAGTTCCTTCATGCCTCTTCCCAGTCAATTTCATGTTCATAGACGCAAGCATTTTTCTGATTTTTTTTTTAAAAACCATAGATCAGTTTTGCCTGTTCTAGAATGTATATATATAGAATTACGCAGCATATACTTCTTTGTATCTGGCAACTTTTGACCAACGTAATGTCTGACATTTACTGATGGTGATGGTAAAGTTTCGTAGTCAACCTGGCTACGTTAAATGTGATACCCAGATAGCTGGTAAAACATTATTGCTGGGTGTGTCTGTGAGGATGTTTCTGGAAGAGACTAGCATTTGAATCAGTGTAAAAAGATCCACCATCAGGGATATGGGTGGCTATTGCCCAATCCATTGAGGGCCTGCAGGAATAGAACAAAAAGGTGGAGAAAGAGCTCATCCTTTCTCTCTTTTTGAGCTTGGGCATCTATCTTCTCCTGCCCTTGGACATTGGAGCTCCAGTTTCTCAGGCCTTGAGACTCCAGGATTGATACTAGCGCCTTTTCCTGGTTCTCAGACCTTTGGCCTTGGCTTGGGAGTTACACCATTGGTTCTCCTGGTTGTCAGGTCTTTAAGCTTGTACTGAGTTACACCATCTGTTTCTCCAGCTTGCAGACAGCATAGCATGGGACTTCTCGGCCTCCATAATCATGTGAGCCAATTCCTGTAAGTCTCCTCTTACTTGCTTATATGTTTCTCTGGAGAACCCTGACTAATACAGGTACAATGCTGGATGTATCAGTAGTTTGTTTTGTTTTATTGCTGAATAGTATTCCACTGTGTGAAAATATCACAATCTACTTATCTTCCTGTTGATAGTCTTTGAATCATTTCAGATAAGTTATGAATAAAGCTGCCATGAAGATTCCCTATACAAGTCTTTTTGGAGATATAAGTTTTCATTGGATAAGTATCTAATAGAGGAATCACTGCATTGTGTAAGTGTGGGTGTAACTTTATAAAAACTTTCAAGCTATTTTCCTAAGGGACTGTATATTCTTTACCATGCTCCAAATCTATATAATGCAGCATTCTCCAGTGATAGAAAAGTAATAGGATATGTGTATATAGACAGAAAGAGACTTATTGTAAGGAACTGGCTTATGTGATTATGGAGACGGGCAAGTCCAAATCTGCAGTGTGAGCTGGCAGGCTCGAGATCCAGGATAGCTGATGGTGCAGATGAAGTCTGGAGGCAGTCTGCTGGGAAATTCTCCCTTCCCTGGGGCATCTGATCTTTTTGTTCTGTTCAGGCTTTCAGCTGATTGGATGCAGCCCACCTACGTTATGGGGAGCAATCTGCTTACTCGCAGTTTACTGATCTAAATTTTAATCTCATTCCAGGACACTCTCCAAGATGAAATTAACCATCACACATCCACCCCTTGTCATCCTGGTGCTCATACACATCTCCTTACACCACGATTAATCTCCACTAAAGGCGATAACAAGGTCATACTTCCACCTAACATGATACAACTAGTCTGCGTACAATGGAAGATGCATTGACTCTTTTCCCAGAAAAGGATGCAAAGTCCTTGGATGATGTTTGCTCTTTTCTTCGATGTCTTGCAACTTAAATACCATCATGTAAAGTTAACAATATTTAAATGCTACACTAGGAAGTCAGTATGTCTTCTGTTACATGATAAAGGGACAAGAAGTGGAGAAGAAAGCAAAGATATTTGCTTAACATACACACACACAATAAGGGGGAAACACTCATGACAGTTGCAGTCCTCATTCCTGTAACTGGTCACATGGTTGTAGCTGGTATTCCTTACTCCCATGGATTACGTGTTCCCTTTACCATCAGCAAGCACCTCAGTCGGTCATAGTTCTGTACCTGGTGGGATGACTTGAATCATTACTCCTAAAAGGTCTGGGCCATTCATAGCCCTGCCTGAATTGGGTTATAGTTTTCCCTTGACTTTAATCACAGGCCATAGTAATAGTGGGGGGATACCCTAGGAAATCTCCTGTATTCCAGACATGCTTTTCCTTATCTCTCTAGTGTGGATCCCCTTGGCAGTCAGGATCAGTTACTCCAGTCAACACAAGATCTCCCTTCTCTGCCTGCTGATTCAGAGGCATGGGGGACCCAAGGTATTGTCCGTCCTCCTCAGCAACTCATTGGAGTTCTGGCTGCCTTGTATCCCTGCTGGCAGTTGGGGTTGTCAATATTTAACTTAGCCATTCTAGTAGTTGAGAAGGGATATCTTAGAGTGGCTTAATTTACATTTACATGATGACCAATGATGCTGAGTCCCTTTCATGGGCTTACTGGCTGTTTCTATCCCTTTCTTGTGAGGTGTTCCTGTGTTGTGATGTGTTCAAATCTTCCTTGAGTTCTTTTATTGAGTTGTTCTTCTTTTAACATGGATTTGTAAGAATTGTCTTTGTTTGTTTCTTTGAATCCAAATTTACAAGGCATTTTTTCTAACTTAGGTTTTATAATATTTTACCCCAGTCCATGGCTGGTCTATTTTTTAACACTGTCTTTTGAAGAACAGAAGTTCTACATTTTGATAAAGTATAATTTATCATTTCTTTCTTTACCCTGCCTAAGAAATCTTTTGCATAAAGATTTTCTGTGAAGATATTCTATATATATTCTAGAAGCATTATAATTTTAGCCTTCACATTTAGTTCTATGATAATCCTTAATTTAATTCTTTATAAGGTGTGAGGTAACAATTCCTTTCATCTTTTTCCCCATATGGATATCAGCTTTCCCAGCATCATTTGTTGAAAAGACTTAAATTGACTATATAAATGTGGGCATATTCTGGGACCTTATATTTCTGTTCCAGTGATTTAATCTAATGCCACTACATTATATAGCCATATTAATCAATCTAATGTATTGATTAAGATTAGTATGGCTATGTAATGAGTCTTGAAATTGGATAGCGTTAAGGCTTTGAACTTTGTTCTTCTTTCTTAAGATGTTTTGGGTATTCTAGGTTTTTTGCATTTCCATATATATTTTCGAATCAGCTTGTCAGTTTCTTTAAAAAGGCCTGTTGGAGTTATGATTGTAATTGCACTGAATCTACAAATTATTCTGGGAAGAATTAACATCTAAGCAATACTAAATCTTCCAGTCCATGAACTGAGTATGTATTTCCATTTATTTAGATCTTCTTTAATTTCTCTCAGTAACATTTTATAGTTTTTAGCATACTGTTCTTGTATGTCATTTATTTGTTTATTCCTATGTATTGATAGTTCTTTGTTATTACAAATTGACTTGTTTTTAAAATTCCATTTTAAAATTGTGTGCTATGAGTTTATAGAAATTTCATTGGTTTTTATCTAATGACCTTATGTCCTGTGGCCTTGCTAAATTTACTTACATATTCTAGTAGTTACTTATAGATAGGATTTGCCAGGTAGGTAACCAGATTGAATAGAATCAGTTTTAGTTCTTCCTTTTCAATTTGAATAACTGTTATTTCATTTTCTTACTTTATTGCATTGGCTAGGACCTCCAATACAATGTTGAAGAGGAGTGAGATTACATATTGCAGCATTTTCTTATCTGACATGCATTGTATTTTGTTTGTCTCACAGCTCAGAAAGGCCTTACTGACCATTCTGTCTGAAATACATCTTCCTCTTTTTATCATTATCTCAGCATCATACTTAATTACTTTATATTCCTTGTCATAAATTATATGTATTTCTTTGTTGTCTGTCTCTTACACTAATCCGTAAGCGCTTTATTGGAAAAACACTGTTTTCACAATCACATCCTCAGTGAATAACACAGTGGCTCTTAGTAGATACTCAGTAAATGTTTTGTAGAATTAGTCAATATTGGGAGGAAGTTTTAGCAGTTATGCAGTCTATTCTCCTTACTGTCTTAATCTCCTTGGCAAAACTGAGGACAAGTATTTTTTCTTGCAAGAAAATTTTCATATTTCTCTTTTCACCTTTCTAATTTTTAGGAGATTTAATTTCAAATTTTCTCATAGAAACCACTTATATTTAATACTTTCAAAAGTTCTTAACTTACATTTTATAAAAAGCAATACAATTCTTTCTACTAATTTTTGAAAAATTATCGTGATGGCGGGTGTTACATACACTAAAAAGTTAATCAATATTCAGCATTTTGCAGTGGTTCAAATATAGCAACAAAGTAAACACATTTCACAAATATCTACTAAGCAGGTGTTAGGTCACCATTTTTTACTCTTTAAGATCTGGAGAAATTGCAGCGATGAAGTGAACTTGTTAGGCAAAATATTTCCTTATTTTTGCCTCTCATATTTTGCCCTAATCTAGGCCATGCTTCATTTGCTTTTTATATAATTTAAGGCTGATGAAGGTAAGTTGCGTTCAGCCTAGGACACAGTGATCTAGGATTTAGCCAAAAGGCAAATATCTTTCTTCCTGCTGCTCAATTTTAGCAGCTCCATTTAAACAGCTGGTAGAAAGTAAAGCTTCAGTTTATGTGCACATAGGAGGAAAATAATATTTTGTGTTTTCTATTGTGTGTTGAACTAAGTCCTTGGCTTATTCTACTGACCGACAATGGAGATTTCCTTAAATAAATAGGTAAACACATTCTAAGTTGGGTGTTCATTCATTCAACTCCCTCTTTCCCTCATCCCTCCTCTTTCTGTCCTCTTCCTTCCTCCTTTCCCCCGACTTCCCTCCCTCTCCTTGTACCTTTGCTCTTTCTTCTACCTTTCTTCCTTTGTTCTCTCTCCTGAGCTCTGTCTTTGTTACAGTCAATGCTCTTGTGCAAATGTAGTAGAGAATAAAACACCTGTACCCTATGCATTGCAGCTTACATTGTAGTGGGAGAGGTAGACAGTAAAGAAGCAAATATAAACATGCGACAATTTTTGCTCATCGTAAGTGCTACAAAGTGTTTTGTGGTGTGTGTGTGTGAATGGATGCGAGATAGAGACAGCAGGACAGTGAGAATGAATGAGAATCATGAAAGGCCTCCTCAAGGAAAGGGATATGTGAAGTGAGCTAGTGAGCTGTTCATTTAGAAGATCCAGGAAAAGTGTGTGAGGCAGTGGGAATAGCCGGTAAGAAACCCTGAGAAGGGAATGAGCTTGGTGTCAGAGAAACTACAGTACAGAAGCTTGGCCTAAGTGAAGTGAGCTTGGGGGGAGCACTGTGAGATGAGGCCAGAGAAGGAAATGGTGACTCCAGAGGACGTGGGTAGGCTATGGTGAAGAGTTTCAGTTTGATTCCAAGTGTAGTCAAAAGACAGTGGTCCATGTGTGGTATTATTTCATTTTGTCATTTAGACATTTTGAAAACATCTCTAATTTGATCAAAATACTTAAGTTCAAATTCTCATGTTAGTTTTGTCTTCCAGAAATAGAAAAAGAAATACATGTGGCAAAAACTGACAACATTGAAAAAAGATGAACAAATCTACAATTACAAATGGAGAGTTCAACACTTCACTGTTGATGATGGATAGAATAAATAGACAGATGGCCGCGCGGTGGCTCACGCCTGTAATCCCAGCACTTTGGGAGGGCAAGGCGGGTGGATCACCTGAGGTCAGGAGATCGAGACCAGTCTGGCCAACATGGTGAAACCCCGTATCTACTAAAAATGCAAAAATTAGCCGGCCATGATCGCGGGTGCCTGTAATCCTAGCTACTCGGGAGGCTGAGGCAGGAGAATTGCTTGAACCTGGGAGGCAGAGGTTGCAGTGAGCCAAGATCGCGCCATTGCACTCCAGCCTGGGCGACAGAGCAAGACTCCATCTCAAAAATAAATAAATAAATAAACAGACAGACATTCTGTAAAGATTCAGAGGATGATCTTTTATTTCTATGGATTTAGGGGGTACAAGTGCAATTTTGTTACCTAGATACATTGCATAGTGGTGAACTCTGGGCTTTTAGTGTACATTGTACTCAATCTGTGATTTTTCATGGCTTACTCCTCTCCCATCCTCCTGCCTTTTGGAGTTTCCAGTGTCTATTATTTTACTCCCTATGTCCATGTGTACCCATTGTTTAGCTCCCACTTGTAAATGAGAATGTGCAGTATTTGAGTCTCTGTTTCTGACTGACTTCACTTAGGATAATGGCCTTCAGTTCCATCTGTGTTGCTGCAGAGGACCATCTTGAAGAACTCTATCAAGCCCACTTGGTTTAATTGCCTTTGTATTCTTTTAAATGAAACACTCCACCCTATAAGAACAGAATGCACCCTTTCTTCAAGTGCCATACAGCATTCCGTTAGATAGACCAAAAGTTTCAATGCATTTAAAAGCATTGAAATCATACCAAGCATGTTCTCTGACCACAACAGAGCTAAACAGAAAATCAGTGTCTGAAAAATCCCCAAATATTTTGAAATTAAACTACACCCTTCTGAAGGACTCACGGATCAAAGAAGAAATGACAAGGGAAATTAGAAAGTCCTTTGAAATGAATAAAAATGAAGAGACAACGATTACTCTTAAAATCAGAATACTAACATACGAACAGATAGAGATGTGTATCCTTCCCATTTGCCTGCTTCTTGAATTTCCTACTTCCTGCCTATGTTGGGGTCGTTGCAGTTTCTCCATGGGAGGAGCGTGGCTGTGCTCCTGCTGCAGGTGTGCGCCTGACCCTGGTAAAGTCTGGCTATGCCTATTTAACTAGTACTCTTAGTCATTCTACTCTAGTTTGAGTGAACGAACACTTACCATTTTCAAAGGCCACGTTCCGGGAACTATGAGGGGAATTTATGGATCAGTTACAGACCAGTTCAAGTTACAAGATCCTTATGCTAATGTTAATTAAAATCTCATCACAGCCACTTCCTTTTTCAGTCCCACCTGGGGAATTCTGGTCCACTTCATCTCTACATGGTAGACTTTGTGAGTCTTTCTTCAGTTCCTTTCTGCAGCTTCTGTTTCTGCGAACTCTCCGTTTAATTGTTTTGACTTTTTGGAATTTTATAATCTTCAAGTATCTCTACCTTCAGTCTGGTATCAGCTTGTTCTATTTAATTTTGTTTATCTAGGCGTCACCATTAGGCATTAAGCTAGGCACTAGGTTTTCAAATGGAATGGGAGCCTTATAAATCAGGTAATTAATTAGTGTGTGGTAAATATTTTGACAGAATGTTGGAAAGGCTAAGTAAACATTCATTCAGTGAACATTTATTGGCCACCTACTGTGTACCAGGCATTGTGCAATAGGGTCTGTCTCATCAGAGAAGACTTCAGAGCACAGTTGGCTTTTGAGTCCAATTCTGGTTATTTCAGGAGTTTTCAAGGTACAGAGAGGGGCGTGGTATTCTAGGCAAAGGTGTTTAAAGGTGAGGCTTGTAGTTGTGAAGGAGTAAAGCATGACCTGGGAATGGGTAATCTGCTCTGGCACTAGGTATTCGGTAGGGACTTGGAAATAGTGAGTGAGTGGCAAGAGAAAGGACTAGAAAGGTTTGGGAAGAAAGGACTAGAAGGGTTCTGGTGTTTTTTTTTTTGTTTGTTTGTTTTTTTTTTAGGGAGTTTGGTCCTATTTTAGTGGGCATAGTGTTTATTAGTGTCTTGGTGATTCTCACCAACACATACTGTCTGTATCTCTTATTCCTTTGGTTGTTATTTTGGTCACTACAATGGTCAGCGGCTCCAAGTGGTGGTGGTGAATGCCAGCCCTGTCGTATCATACTTTTGTGGAAAGTGGGGGGCGGGGGTGAACATGAATAGAGAAGGAATCCTGAAGCAAGGAGCCAAGTATGTGGTATTTTTCTGCCTGGAGTATTTCCTTCTAGGAATTAATTAATTCACTAGCTTCTTGAAATCTTTTTTTTAAAAAAAAAAGTAGAGGAGGAAGAGGTTGAGGTATAAACACATTGCTTTGAAAACACCCTTGTGGGATAAAATTTCAATTAATTGCCCACCCTGAAATTTTTTATTTTTTTCCTTTAGGTTTCTTGCTATTTAAAGATTTTTGTTTGAATGAAATTAATGAAGCTGTACCTCAGGTGAAGTTTTATGAAGAGGTAAGAAGTAACTGTTTTACTGATGCTTTTCTTTCAAAAGCATATTTAAACTGTACTTTGGAACATATTAAGACTACTTAATATCTTACAAATATTTAGAAATTCATTGAAAGTAATTAGTAGTGCAAAATATAGTATCAAGTTTGAGATGCTAACAGGTATGAAAAGCTGAGTATGCCATAAAAGTCGCATTCTTAAAGGCTTCAGAGTGCTATGGAAGCAATGAGGGACAGTTGGACTAAAGTTCCAGAGATGGGAGGCTCATCCAGAGCTGCACCAAGGAGGACCAGTTATTTTATTTTCTGTGGAAGCGTGCTAGTTCTGGAGATGTGAGCAGAGGCAGAGGACTGCTACTAGCTTTGAAAGAGATACTAGCCAAGGTTTTCTGGTCATAATGGACTGACAAATTGGAGATTTGGTGGGGGGTGTGGTGGGGTGCTCAAATGCATGACTGATTTTCCCCATAAGAAATTTGGTGAAATCTGAGGTTGGAGGGGAGCTGAAGAGAGAGGCCAGAAACTTCCAGAAGGCACATTGAAATCTCCTACAGCCTTACAGTGCCTAGGAAACACAGACCTGCTGGAGTCTGGAGTCTGAAAACAGAATGGGCGAGAGATGGAAACTCTAGAAGATGTGGTCTGGTGACATTGGGTATCTACAGCTACTTTTCACCTAGGGTTTCTGTTGATTTCAGGTGTAGCAGGCAGATGGGCATCCAGGCTTGGCTGCTTCTGGGAGACAAAAATTGCAGAAAAGGTTTCTGGAGCTAGAGTTTAAAAATAACACTAGAGGAGCCCCACATATGTGATTAGTCACCCTTTCAAAACACACGCCAAGTTTTCAAACTGAGTGGGGTGGGAGGCCAAAGAGCTAAGCTGAAAACTTGTAATGGGCAGAACTGACTCCAGTGCTAAGGAAATAAAAGTGTCTCCTTGAACTCCATAGACGGCGTGCCTTAGAAACAGGATCAAAGCAGGCCAGGCACGGTGGCTCACGCCTGTAATCCCAGCACTTTGGGAGGCCGAGGCGGGTGGATCACGAGGTCAGGAGATCGAGACCATCCTGGCTAACATGGTGAAACCCCGTCTCTACTAAAATACAAAAAATTAGCCAGGCGTAGTGGTGGGCGCCTGTAGTCCCAGCTACTCGGGAGGCTGAGGCAGGAGAATGGTGTGAACCCGGGAGGTGGAACTTGCAGTGAGCCGAGGTGGCACCACTGCACTCCAGCCTGGGCGACAGAGCGAGACTCCATCTCAAAAAAAAAAAAAAGAAACAGGGTTAAGGCAAAAGCAGACAGGGTCCTAAAAAATGACAACCCAACCTAGCGCCATCCCTCATTGGATGATGAGCTCCCTCCTTACCTGCTTACCAGAGTACAAAGGGAGCCCTTTTTTGTCTTTTTTATAGGTAGGTAATAACATTATATAAGGACTCTATAGTGTTTAGCATGCAGTAAAGAATTATGAGACATGCTAAGAAGCAAGATCATGTGAATCATAAATAAGGCAATAAAAGCAGGCCAGCAGGTGAGTCAGATATTGGAGTTAGCAGACAATAACTTTAAAATAACTATGAATCATATGTTCAAGAAAAAAGAGAAAAAGATGGACAAAATAGATGAAGGGATACATAATTTCAGGATAATTTGAATTTATTATGAAGACTTAACCACTTTAGAACAGAAAGTACTATATTTGAAATTAGAACTAATGGTTCAGTTCAATAGCAGATTGGTTAGAGTTCCAGACACATGTAGGTTTGGAGTTTCAGAAAGAGAAGGGAGAGAATAGGGCAAAAGCAATATTTGAAAAGATAATACTAAGAATTTTACAAAATGATGAAAGACAGCAGCTAACAGAGTTGAAAGCTTAGGAAACCCTAAGCAGAATGAATACATATGAAACACACCTTTGGGTGTCAATATAAGACTATGGAAACTATGACAAAGTTTTTAAACTAGGAAAAAAATATTTAAAATAGCCATGGTGAGCAGTGGGAAGACACAATACTTTTAAAGAGCAGCAATTTGACTGACTGACATCTTAAGAAAAATGATTTTTAAAAAAAGACAGTGAGGCTGGGCACAATGGCTCACGCCTGTAATCCCAGCACTTTGAGAGGCCAAGGCGGGTGGATCACGAGGTCAGGAGTTCAAGACCAGCCTGACCAACATGGTGAAACCCTGTCTCTACTAAAAATACAAAAATTAGCCAGGTGTGGTGGTGCATGCCTGTAATTTCAGCTACTCAAGAGGCTGAGGCAGGAGAATCACTTGAACCCGGGAGGCAGAAGTTGCAGTGAGCTGATATCTTGCCATTGCACTCTAGCCTGGGTGACCGAGGGAGACTTTGTCTCAAAAAAAAAAAAAAAAAAAAAAAGAAAAAGAAAAAAAATGAAATGGCCATCATTAAAGGAGAGAAAGATAATTGCCAGCCTAGAATTCTATTCCCAGCAAAAATTTCCTTCAAAAATGGAGGACGAGGAGGTGGAGGAAGGAGAGGGCCCCGGGCCTCACCTCCACCCACCGCCCCCTCCCACCACCCGGAGCTGCAGCAGCAGCGACTCATGAGAGCACAGCCAGAGGACAGATTTGATAATGGGCTGCATTAAAAGCAAAGAAAACAAAAGTCCAGCCATTAAATACCTGAAAATACTCCAGAGCCTGTCAGTACAAGGGTGAGCCATGGGAGCAGAACCCACTGCAGTGTCACCATGTCCATCATCTTCAGCAAAGGGAACAGCAGTTAATTTCAGCCGTCTTTCCATTCCATTATACCATTTGGAGGATCCTCAGGGGTAACACCTTTTGGAGGTGGGCATCTTCCTCATTCTCAGTGGTGCCAAGTTCATATCCTGCTGGCTTAACACGTGGTGTTACTATATTTGTGGCCTTATATGATTATGAAGCTAGAACTACAGAAGACCTTTCATTTAAGAAGGGTGAAAAATTTCAAATAATTAACAATACAGAAGGAGACTGGTGGGAAGCAAGATCAATCACTACAGGAAAGAATGGTTATATCCTGAGCAGTTATGTAGCGCCTGCAGATTCCATTCAGGCAGAAGAATGGTATTTTGGCAAAATGGGGAGAAAAGATGCTGAAAGATTACTTCTGAATCCTGGAAATTAATGAGGTATTTTCTTAGGAAGAGAGAGTGAAATGGCTGGGTGCAGTGGCTCATGCCTGTAATCCCAGCACTTTGGGAGGCCGAGTTGGGCGGATCACCTGAGGTCAGGAGTTCGAGACTAGCCTGGCCAACATGGTGAAACCCCATCTCTACTAAAAAAAAAAGTACAAAATTAGCTGGACGTGGTGGTGAGTGCCTGTAATCCCAGCTACTCAGGAGGCTGAGGCAGCAGAATCACTTGAACCTGGGAGGCGGAGGTTGCAGTGAGCTGAGATCGCGCCACTGCACTCCAGCCTCGGCGACAAGAGCAAAAACTCCGTCTAAAAAACAAATAAGCAAACAGAACAAAACAAAACAAAAACGAGAGAGCGAAACTACTAAAGGTGCTTATTCCCTCTCTATTCGTGATTGGGATGAGGTAAGGGGTGACAATGTGAAACACCACAAAATTAGGAAACTTGACAATGGTAGATACTATATCACAACCAGAGAACAACTTGATACTCTGCAGAAATTGGCAAAACACTACACAGAACATGCTGATGGTTTATGCCACAAGTTAACAACTGTGTGTCCAACTGTGAAACCTCAGATTCAAGGTCTAGCAAAAGATGCTTGGGAAATCCCTTGATAATCTTTGCGACTAGAGGTTAAACTAGGACAAGGATGTTTTGGCAAAGTGTGGATGGGAATATGGAATGGAACCACAAAAGTAGCAATCAAAACACTAAAACCAGGTACAATGATGCCAGAAGCTTTTCTTCAAGAAGCTCAGGTAATGAAAAAAATAAGACATGGTAAACTTGTTCCACTATATGCTGTTGTTTCTGAAGAGCCAATTTACATTGTCACTGAATTGATGTCAAAAGGAAGCTTATTCAATTTCCTTAAGGAAGGAGATGGAAAGTATTTGAAGCTTCCACAAATGGTTGATATGCCTGCTCAGATTGCTGATGGTATGGCATATATTAAAAGAATGAACTATATTCACCGAGATCTCTGGGCTGCTAATATTCTTGTAGGAGAAAATCTTCTGTGCAAAATAGCAGATTTTGGTTTAGCAAGGTTAATTGAAGACAATGAATACACATCAAGACAAGGTGCAGAATTTCCAATCAAATGGACAGCTCCTGAAGTTGCACTGTATGGTGGGTTTACAATAAAGTCTGGTGTCTGCTCATTTGGAATTCTACAGACAGAACTGGTAACAAAGGGCAGAGTGCCATATCCAGGTATGGTGAACCATGAAATACTGGAACAGGTGGAGCGAGGATACAGGATGCCTTGCCCTCAGGGCTGTCCAGAATCCCTCCATGAATTGATGAATCTGTGTTGGAAGAAGGACCCTGATGAAAGACCAACATTTGAATATGTTCAGTCCTTCTTGGGAGACTACTTCACTGCTACAGAGCCATAGTACCAGCCAGGAGAAAACTTCTAATTCAAGTAGCCTATTTTATATGCTCACATCTGCCAAAATGTGAAGAACCTGTATAGAATTTCTACAGGGATCAAAAGAAGAAAATCTTCTTTACTCTGCACATTTTTAATGGTAAACTGGAGTCCCAGATATGGTTCCACAAAACCACTTTTTTTTACCCCAAGTATTAAACTTTAAAGTACGATGATGAATTTTCCAACCGATTTCAGGGTCCAAAGAAAATAGAGCTAAGATACTGATGACAGTGTGAGTGATAGCATGGTAATGAAGGACAGTGAGGCTACTGCTTATAAATCATTTTCTTTCTTTTCTTCCCCAAAGTCAGAATTGCTCAAAGAAAATTATTTATTGTTATAGATAAAACTTGAGTGATAAAAAGCTATACCATAATAAAATCTAAAATTAAAGAATATCATGGGACCAAATAATTCCATTCCAGTTTTTTAAACTTTCTTATATTTATTATTCTCAAAAGTTTTTTCTGAGTTAAATAGTCAATAGGCAATCTTAATATATGCCTCCTTTTGCATGGACATGGGCCAGGTTTTTCAAAAGGAATATAAACAGGATCTCAAACTTGATTAAATGTTAGACCACAGACGTGGAATTTGAAAGTATAATGCAGTACGTTAACATTCATATTAATGGAACTGAAAAGTAGAATAAGAAATTTTTCACTTCAGTCCTTTTCTGAAGAGTTTGACTTAGAATAATGAAGGTAACTGGAAAGTGACTTAATCTTGTATGAGGTTGCATTGATTTTTTTTTTTTTTTGAGACAGAGTCTTACCCTGTTGCCCAGGCTAGAGTGCATTGGCGCCATCCTGGTTCACTGCAACCTCTGCCTCACTGGTTCAAGTGATTCTCCTGCCTCAGCCTCCTGAGTAGCTGGGATTACAGGTAGCACCCTGTAATCCCAGTGCCACCCTGTAATCCCAGTGCCCTGAGTAGCACCCGCCACCACACCTGGCTAATTTTTTATATCTTTAGTAGAGACGGGGTTTCACCATGTTGTCCAGTCTGGTTTCGAACTCCTGACCTCGTGATCCGCCTGCCTTGGCCTCCCAAAGGCATGAGCCATCATGCCCGGCAATTTTTTAAGGCAATATATAATTGAAACTGTACTATCCAATCCAAGGGGAAATCTTTTAATCTTTAGATAACATGCGGAGTAAGACCCAGCATTTAAAGAGCACTTTTAAAAAAATAGACTTGGTACTGTGAGATATTGCTAATATGTCCTTATGGTGATGGGTGCCACAAATAGAAAATAGAACCAGATCAGGGACTTGAATGCACTTTTGCTCATGTCGAAATAGATGAACAGAGAGAGTAAAATGTATTTCAAAGAAATACGAGAAAAGAAAATGTGAAAGTTTTACAAGAAGAGGGATGGAATGTAATGTTTAATGTTGATGTCATAGAGTGACAAAATGGCATTGTTGGCATTCATAGCTCCTCACTTAGCTATCTTCTGAGACTTTTAAGAGTTATAAGGTATAACTAACTATAAAACTAATTTTTCTTACACACTAAATGGGCATTATTTGTTCAAAATAGTGAAGTTTCGGCTTCACATTCATTCCAGTGGGATACGGCTTTTATGCAAAACATTTTTAGAACTCCAGTTTTCAAATCATGTTTGAATCTATATTCACTTTTAAAGTCTACTTAATGGTGGTCATTTTTTCCCCTTTAGAATATATTAAATAGTTGATTTGGGGAGGAAAACTTATTCTGAATATTAACAGTGGTGAAAAGGAATGTGGAAGTTAACCTTTACCAAAAGAGGAAGTTGGCAAAAACAGCCTTCTAGCACACTGTTTAAAATGAATAATGGCAGCCTAAACTTAACAGTTTTTACCCTGAAGTGCAAAAGTGAAACATACAAAATAAAACTATTTTTAAGAGTAACTAAAAAATTTCAAAATACAAATTTGAATAGCAGCATTAGTGGTATAAGTGTCTAGCAAAGGAAAAATTAAATCTAATAAATAAAATGAAGGTCTAGTGTGTATGTTATAAAATACTCTCTTACAGTCACACCTTAAATTAAACCTTATACTAGGTTCCTCTATTTTCAGGATATAATTCTTAACTATCATTATTTACCTGATTTAATCATTAGATTTGAAATTCTGTGCCATGGCATATACGTTCAAATTCAAACCATTTTAAAATGTGACAGATGGACTTCATGCAAGTTGGCAATGGTTCTCGTACTAAAAACTGTGGTTGTTTTTTCTGTTTACATAACCTGCTTAGTATTGACTCTCTACCAAGAGGGTCTTCCTAAGAAGAGTGACGTCATTATTTCCTCTTGTCAACAACTTGTGACATGAGATTCTTAAAGGGCTTTATGTGAACTATGATATTGTAATTTTTCTAAGTATATTCAAAAGGGTAACAAAATTATGTTATGTACTAAATCTGATCAGGAAAGTAAGCCAGGAAAAGTTGATGGTATTCATTAGGTTTTAACTGAATGGAGCAGTTCCTTATATAATAACAATTGTATAGTAGGGATAAAACACTAACTTAATGTGTATTCATTTTAAATTGTTCTGTATTTTTAAATTGCCAAGAAAAATAAACAACTTTGTACATTTGAAGAGTTTTTCCAACAGCTTTTCGTCTTCAGTGTCTTAATGTGGAAGTTAACCTTTACCAAAAAAGGAAGTTAGCAAAAACAGCCTTCTAGCACACTTTTTAAAATGAATAATGGCAGCCTAAACTTAATATTTTTATAAAGTATTATAATATTGTTTTGTGGATAATTGAAATAAAAAATTCTCATTAAAAAATGAAGTGATATAAGGATATAGTTAGACAAACAAAAACTGAGGGATTTGTCAATAGTGGACCTGCATGACAAGAAATACTAAAGGGAGGTACTTTAGTCAGAAGGAAAATGATCTGGCCAGGCATGGTGGCTCACGCCTGTAATCTCAGCACTTTGGGAGGCCAAGGCAGGCGGATCACGAGGTCAGGAGACCGAGACCATCCTGGCTAACACAGTGAAACTCTGTCTCTACTAAAAATACAAAACAGCCGGGTGTGGTGGCAGGTGCCTGTAGTCCCAGCTACTCAGGAGGCTGAGGCAGGAGAATGGCGTGAACCCGGGAGGCGGAGCTTGCAGGAAAATGATCCAGATGGAGATGCAGGGAGAAATGGAGAGCATGAAGGGTGAATATGTATGTAAAATATAAATGAATGTTGACTGTATAAAACAATAATGTCGTGTTTCTCGAGCTTAAAATAATCTAGAACTAAATTGCATGACAGTAGCACAAAATGCAGGGGAGGTTAATGAAGTTAAAATATTTTAAGTTTCTAGGATTATTGGGGGTTAGTGTAAGTAATAATTTTAGTATAAGTAATAATTTCCATTGGATTGTAATCAGTCAGGGATGTTTATTTTAATTTCTAAGATAATTTATAAAAGAATAGTGTATATAGTCATGCACTGCATAATGATATTAGGCCAACAAAAGACCACGTATATGACAGTGATCCCAGAAGATTTTAATACTATATTTTTACTGTACCTTTTCAGTAAAAGGTACGTATATTCAAAAGGTAAGTATATTCAAATGGTAAGTTTGAATATACTTACCATTGTGTTACAGTTGCCTGCAGTATTCAGTATAGTCACATGCTGCACAGGTTTGAATCCTAGGAGCAATAGGCTACATCATACGGCGTAGGGGTGTAGTAGGTATACGATGTAGGCTCTTGTAAGCATGCTCTGTGATGTTCACACAATTATGAAATTGCCTATTGACACATTTCTTAGAACATATCCCTGTCATTAAGCTCCACATGACTGTATATCTAACAAGTTAAAAGAGGGAAAAATTAAAACAACATTTGCTAATCAACAGAAAGGCAAAAAAAGGAATATAAGTAGGACATAAAATAGGTGGGTCAAATTGCAAACAAAGAGTAAGTAGCTACAAATCTATTTAAGTAATTACATTTCATGTAAAGGATTAAATACTCCAAGTAAAAGATTAGGTTTTTCAGACTGGATAAAGAACCAACCCTCCCCCAATATACTGCTTACAAGAGATATAAACACATGGATGGAAGAGGTGATATAATACGAACACTAACCAAAGCAAAGCCGGCATAACTACACTAGTATCAGGCAAACTATGCAATAATGCTGCTTTTAAATAAAGATATGTTTCTTAATGATAACAGGGCCAATCCAACAAAAAGATATCACAAACTGAAATCTGTAGGTTACAAATAACTTCAAAGAATATAAAGCAAAAATTGGCAGATATAAAATGACAAATCTATAATCCTGTTGGGAGATATTAACACATAACCTTCTAGAGCTTATAGAACAGACAGACAAAAAATTAGTAAGGATATAGAAGATCCTAATAAAATGATGAGTAAATTTGACCTAATTGACATATGTAAAATGCTGCACCTAGCAAAAATAGAATTCACATTCTTTTTTTTTGAGATGGAATCTTGCTCTGTTGCCCAGGCAATGCAGTGACATGATCTCGGCTCACTGCAACCTGTCTCCCGGGTTCAACCAATTCTCCTGCCTCAGCCTCCCAAGTAGCTGGGACTACAGGCACCCGCCACCACGCTCAGCTAATTTTTGTATTTTTAGTAGAGACGGGGTTTCACCATGTTGGCCAGCCTGGTCTCGAACTCCTGACCTCGTAATCGGCCCGCCTCAGCCTCCCAAAGTGCTGGGATTACAGGCGTGAGCCACCGGCGCCCAGCCCACATTCTTTAACGTACACATGGAGCATCAAAATAGATCATGTGCTGAGTCCTAAAGGAAGCTTCTACAAATTTCATGATTGAAATTGCTTAGAGCATGTTCTCTGACAATAGAATTAAGCTCAAATTTAATAACAGAGTTAAACTAAAGAATCCTTAACTGCCTGAAAATGAATATACTTCTAAACAATTTATAAGTCAAAGAGGAAAGTAAAATAGAAATTAGAAACTATTTTTAATGAAAATATATTTAAGAAATGATATATACCATTATTATTAGTGTGATATATCTTTATCCTAAAACATTAAATGGTCAAAAGAAAGCATAGCATGACTGGACCTGCCTGATATTAGTCATCATTGTAAAAATTTGAAAATTGGAGGAATATTCTTTTCTTTCTCATTTATATATGAAAATATACATAAAAATATACATACACATGAAAACTTAGAAAATTATGTTAATGTATTTTTAGGAAGAAGGGTCAAATTATGATGTACGTTTACCATAATGTAAAAACGTAAGCTAAATCCAAAAGGATTTTACTCAGTGACCTTATTATTTCAGTCTGAATCATAATCAGGCATTTTACCTGGATACGTATCCCAGCTTGATCTGTCATAAAAAATTTCTTTCTTGTGTTTCTAAAAACTTCAACTCTCCAGTTTCAGCATTTACTAAGTCACCTTGTCAAACACAGAGAAATCTCCTTTAGCAGATAATTTTTGCTGGGTTGAAACAGATGGGCAATCTACTTGTGGTTATTTCCTAAGTACTTATTGCAGATATGGTGGTGATTGCTGCTCATGCATTTCCATTTGAACTTGAAGCATTGGTGTTTCTCTTAGCTGGCATCCTCCCCAGCTCTTCTCACCTCTCTTCTGGCTTGGCACATGGTGGGTCTGGCTCATCAGATGATCCCCTTGGAGGATGCTGCAAAACTCCTCAGCAACCTGCTCTGTATTCTTTGGCTGAAGATATCCTCCACTCTTGGGGCTCAAGTGCATTTCTCTAAGTCAATGCAGCCTTTACACTTTGAAGTTATTAGTAATTCTTCTCTGACCCCTCATTTTTGTCAGTTTAGTAATTTTTCTTTAATTTCTGCTTGTTGATTTGTGACCCCAATCTCTAGAAAACTCTTGTCAGGTATCTTGAAATGTACATTTTGTACATTGTATTTCCACTTTCCTGTGTCCCCAAACAGTTACCCATTTCCCATGTTAAAGTTCTAACTGCGTATCCTGGCATTCAAAGTATCTTTACATTACTTATTACCTACCTCTCCCTGTTAGTTTTCACTACCTTCTTACATAGAATGTCTACGTTGGCCAAACCTGACTAACCAGCATTCCCCAAATCCAAGCCCATTCTTTTTGTTACTTTACTGTGTCCTTTCCCCAGCCTAGAATGCTGCTGCTTCGCTTGTTGAAAGCCTAGCTTTCTCTAAGGTCTAGCTCAATATGGAAAATTTCTACATTTTCTAGCAAGTCTGTTTGTGCAGCTATTTCCGTCTTCTGTGATGGCTGACTCCTCTGATTCTTACACTGTTTGTTGTCTAATGCTCATGTCATGCCTACCATGTGCCTGCTGCTTGTGTGTGTGTGGTCAGCATTTTCATCTGGACCATTATTTGACTCATCAGCAGAAGACCTAGCTAGGATCTAGGTGCAACGGTGCCTCTTACTTGCTGTGGGATATGGGGCAAGTCATTCAGCAAACCCTGAAGTATCTACCTTATGTCAGACCCTGAGCTTACAAATGCAGACACTGTCCCTGTACTTGAGGCTGTCATAGTATGAGGGCTTCATATCTGAACTTCAGTTACCTCATCTATAAAGTGAGGCTAGTGATCGTCTTCTGCTTACTTCACAGGCTAACTGTGAGTTTCAAATAGGACACCAGATGAACAATTGCTTTCTAAACCATAGTGTCTATAATATGCTGTTCCGTTACGTGCAGCATAGTGGTTGAAAGTTCTAGTGCTGAACTCTGACTGCCTGGATTTCAACTCTACTGCTTACTAGTTGTGTAAACTTGGGAAAGCTTTTCTCTACCTGGGTTTCCTTAGCTAAGAACTGGAATGATTATAGTACCTGTCTTGTAGGGTGGTTGTGTGTATACACAACACACATAGAACAGTGATGCCCCACAGCTACTGCTCTGTGTGTTGATTTATATACTTCTTATTCCAGTTAGATTTTGAGGCAGCTTATAGAAATATGTACATTATGCCTAGATTTAAAAATAAATAATGGGAAAGAGAAAATAAATATTATTCCAAGGTAAAGTTACTATATAGATTTTTTCACTGATTCAACCAATATTTATTTATTATTTTTTAAATTTTGAGACAGGGTCTCACTCTGTCACCCAGGCTGGGGTGCAGTGGTGCAATCATGGCTCCCTCTAGTCTTGAACTCCTGGGCTCAAGTGATCCTCCTGCCTCAGCCTCCTGAGTAGCTTAGATAACAGGGTGTACCACCACACCCAGATACTTTTTTTTTAATTTTAAAAATTTTTGTAGAGATGAGGTCTCACTGTGTTGCCCAGGCTGGTCTTGAATTTCTGGCCTTAAGTGATCCTCCCCCCATAGCCTCCCAAAGTGCTGGGATTATAGGCATGAGCTACTACTACTCCTGGCATAACCAATATTTATTAAACACCAACATTATGCCAGACACTGTTCAGATGAACAGATACAAAGAACTTATCTCTTTGAGCTTGTATTCTGGTTGAGAGAAACAGACAAGAAACAAATAATAAACAGGAAATGTACCTGGAAGTAAAAACTGCTATGTAATGACTCAAAACCTACTCAAAACTCAGCATGTTGTATTGTGACTTGGTGACCACTTTAGATTGATGGGTCAAAGACTGTCTGAGGAGATGACATCTAAACCCAGGTTTGAATGTTAAAGAGGCTGGTCTTTTGAAGATGGAAGCTTGGTGAGGGGGAGAGCATTTTAGGCTAAAGTTGTGGCCAAGACAGAGCCCCTAACATGGTAGGAAAGAACTGGGCATGTTTGGGGAACTGAAACAGGACTAGTGTGGTCTGGTTGTACTGCATGAAGAGAGGGGCAGGTAGTGTGAGATAAGATCAGGTTGAAGAGAGAGGCAGAGTGTTTGGGGCCAGAGTAACACATTTACATTTTATTCTAATGCCCGTGGAAAAATTAAAACAGAGGAGTATTAGGTGTCATGTTTTATAAGTATCAGTTAGGTCAAGGTAGTTGATATGATACCTTCTACATCTCTTTTGATTTTATATCTAGTTGTTCTATCAATTGCTGAGAAAAGGGTGTTAAAATTTTCAACTATGATTGTAGAATGTCTGTTTCTTCTTTTATTTTGTCCATTTTCTCCATAATTTTTGAAGCTCTGCTATTGAGTACAGAAACATTTTTGATTGTTGTGTCTTTCCATATGAAATGTGTCTATCTCTGGTAATATTCTTTGTCTTGAAATTGACTTCACTGGATATTAATACAGATGTAGACACTTCAGTCTTATGCTTACTATTTTCATGAGGTATCTTTTCCCATCGTTCTACTATCAATTTGTTTTTATATATAAAGTGTGTTTCTTTTAGACAGATATAAAAGTGTCTTGATTATTTTTTTCCCTCATTCTGACAGCCTCTGCTTTTTAGTGAAGTAATTTTAGATATTGTATTTATCCTTTGTGGAGTTTGCTGAGTTTCTTGAATCTGTAAATTTATATATATATTTTTTACCAAATCTGGGAAAATTAGGGGCCATTACTTCTTAAAGGATTATTTTTCTACCTCAATCTTTCTTTCCTCTCCTTTTAAGACTGATTATATATATATTTGATATTTGGATATTATCTGTCCTATATATCCTGGATGCCCTGTCTGAGTTTTCCCCCAATATTTTTTCTTTCTTTTCTTTAGATTGGATACTTCCTGTGGATTTGTCTTCAAATTTATTGGCATTTTCTTTTGGCATCTCTAATCTGCCATTCCATTGAATGTTTTTTTCAGATACTCTATTTTTTACTTCTGACATTTTTATCTGGTTCTTTTCATAGTTATTTTCTGCTGCTATTTCCTATCTTTTTATTCGTTACATGAATATTTTCTGTTAACATCCTTTCTGTTATGTCCAGTTATAATAGCTGCTTTAAAATCCTTGTCTGATAATTCTAACATTTGGGCTATCTTGGATTGGTTTTCATTGATGGTTTGTCCTCTTGCATATGGGTCACATTTTCTGTTTCTTCATCTGTAGAATAATTTTAGCTTGTATCTTGAACATGTGATTGATACATTGTGGATACTCTAAACTCTGTTATGCTCCTCCAAGGTGTATGGATTTTTTCATCTGTTCGTTGAAGAATACAGTTAACTTGGCTTACTCAAACTCTGAGCCCTGTCCTCTCTGCAGTGGTGGAAGATGAATCTTGTTCAGTTCTTTAAGGCTCAGCTAGGCTGCTTAGGGTCTGTCATGCTCATGTGTCATTATGGGGCCCACCAGGGATTTTGACTGGATTTATACATAGAATTTTGGAGCTTTCCTTCTGTGGCTCTTTATTTTCTTACAGTTTCTGTTGGATGCCCTTTTCCATTCTCTGTGTTCCTTTGGTCACTCTTCAGTGCTTATTGTCTATGTGTCCAGAATTTTAGTTGTTATCTCAGGAGGATTGTTCTGTTAGGAATTAATTGGTTCTGACCAGAAGCAGAGCCTGAGTTTGTGTTATATTTTGAATATAAAGCAAACGTGATTTGCTGATGAATTGGATGTAGGGGGTGGTGGTGGCAGGGGCGTGGCGAAAGAGTGGAATCACTATGATTATTCATTTTTTGGCTTAAGCAACTGGGAGGATGATTTTACTCATTTTTTTGATAAAGAAGACTGGGAGAGGAGCCCGTTTGGCTGGAGTACAGAGGATGTGGAAGTTAAGGGTTTCATTTAGATGTGTTAAATTTGAGATGCTTTCTAGATATTCAACTGAAAATGTCAAATAGATAGTTAGATATTTAGAATCTGGAGCTCAGGAGTCCTAGAGATCCAGACTTAGTCATCAGAATATAATTGATATTTGAAACTGTGGGACTACATAGCTTTACCTAGGGAGAACTTAGCTGGTGAAGAAGGGGTGCCCCCAGCACCATGCTCTGAGGCAGTTCAGGATTTGGAAGTCAAGCAGAGGAGAGGAACTACCAAAGGAGACCAAGAAAGAGAAGCCTGGAGAGGATAGGTCACAGAAGTCAGAGAAGAATATTTCAAAGAAGGCATCAGTGGACAACTGATTTGAATGCTGCTGAGAAGTCAATAAGGTGAAGGACAAAAGAGAGAGCCTTGGATTGGGCCAGACAGAGATGACTTCACTAGACCATCTCACTACAATGGTGGTGGAACAAAGGGTGGGCGCAGAAGCAGAGACTATGACACCTGTGGACCAAAAGTGCTTGCTCTTAGGGCTCAGGTTATTTAGGCTTCCAGTTCACCTGGGAGCTGTGTAACCACCAAAGCAGAAAGGGACTACAGGTCTGTGAATATTTATTATTGATGATAGTGTTTCTATCCTGCAGTAGGGAAGACTTTTCACCTTGAACTCAGACCTTTCCCTGCCCAGGTTACCTGGACAACCAAACTTCCGGGGTCAGAGATGGCATTTGCTATGTATATGCTGCAATAGGATGTTTGTTTAGAGCTATTGGTAGTCGACTGCATGGTCTTTAATCAGTGGTCTTACTGATTATAGAAAGTGAATACCAAATTACAGCCACAGATGCTTTAGGCTCTTATTTTGCATACCAAGAGTTACCTTTTCTGTTGTCAAGTTGGAGCTTAGAAGGCACAAGGCTCTTAGTCAAGACAGTGTTGTGGTTCAGAGCATGATTTACCCAGAAATGATGGGATTTGACTGTTCATGGGAAGGAGCTTCCACAGAATGAGCATTTGTTTAACCAGGTGTCAATTTGCTTTGCAGGTTTCTTGGAACATAGACTTAAATTTCATTACACTTGTTTTCAAGGATCATCATTCCATGAAGTCTTATTATCCCTTGAGGCTGTTCTTATGTAGAGGCAGAAACTTTTGCCTTTGGTTTAGTGATAGTCTACCATTTTATCCTAGCATTCTGGCATTAACCTTTGGATTTGCCTAAAGCAAAATACAACAAAAGGAATCAGCCAAGCCAAAAATCTTTGATTTATTTTCCGACTCTCCTTCGGATTTTGGTATCTGGCTTCTGTTACTTTGCAGCTACCATATTCACATCTGGTATGGTGCTTGGACATGTTAGACTTGTTCTCCTGAATTGACTTAGAATGGTTAAGCCCTGGTCTTTTGGCTATGTTGACATTACTGGACTGATTCTTCATAAAGATTTTCCTGTTGGATAGAGTATCAGCCTTCCCCAGTCTGCCTGCCTTTATGTCAGGTTTTATTGTCTTCTTCAAGAAGACTCCATGTGAATTTCAGCCATCACAGTGTAACACTGATGATCTTTCAGGACAATTAAGATGTTCCTGGGAATTTCTCAGCGTGTGAACCTGCTAGCCCTCATATGACTCATGGGACCTCAGTGTTTCACGTACCCTTTTTCCCTCACCTGCATGACTGTGCCCTTATCTTTATTAGGAGTCTAATAAATAGGATTTGCTGGTTTTGATTTCAAAGCTGTGAAAGCCGTACTATAAGGTAAAAGGTAACCTTTATTTCTATTTAGTTTGTGAAAGGAAGTCATATGTACTAATCAGTCATTATAGTGAAGATCTTTGTGACAGTTTCCCTCCGAGCTTCATATTTCATGTATGTTTTCATTCTCTTCTTGTCTTTTGGATTAAAAGTATTTCTGTAAATAAATTGGGAACAATTCTGAGGTCCAGGACCTTCTGTTATCAGGTTAGAGCATTGGGAGCCATTTCCACATAAGGCAAATATTTCTAAAGCACAGTTTCATTATTTAGTCATTTTTAACACCAACCAGGTTACCTTTGCTGAATACAGCAAAATACACGATTTGAAGTCACCAGTCACCTGTCTGTTAATACTTTTATAGTGCAGCTGAGGTTCCAACCTGAAAAGCCAATGCTTTCATCTGTGGGTTAATTCCTTTCTATAATACTTATTTGCTTTAGTTGATTTTTGAAAAATCTCTTTGCAGGAATTCTGGCAGTATATTTTTTTCCTCCTTGTAGTTTTGGAACACTGCAGTTGAGTGAGAACATTCCCTATCCTAACTCCTAGAACTGAATTACAGCCAAATTGAAATGATTTGTGCTTTGAAGAGGAGAATTGGCAAGGATGCATGGTCTATGGCTCGTGTATTGTAAGATAATTGTAACCATGGCAGTGTGTGTTTCCTAATATTATGTTTCTACATTTAAGTGATGAGAGTCATCATAGGGAAAAAATCCACTTGTATGTTTCTAGTTGAATTTAAATTATTCCAACTTCATTATTACAACATTAGAAGTAGCTGTTTCCTGTGGAATAGCCGGTTCAGTAATTTGCTTTATCTCATGTGCAAGTGGTTTCTGCCTGGGCCAGTAATATATTTTAATAAGGCAAGTTTCCAGGAAGATACAACCTAACAATGATAACTTTAAAAAACCTAGATAAAGGAATATGAAAAACTTGATAATGAGGAAGACCGCCTTTGCAGAAGTCGACAAATTTATGATGCCTACATCATGAAGGAACTTCTTTCCTGTTCACATGTAAGTATTTCTTCTTACTCTGTTACTTTAGTACTGATGAATAAGGGACCATGTTCAGCGTTTCCAGAATGAAAGTTAAACAGTAGAAAGGTGTTTAAAATTGAAAAATGCACGCCCGGGATGGATCCTATTTCTTCTGCTTTGTTGTTTCCTGGTAATATTACCACGATGTGTGTTGCTTCGTGTAAGCTTAGTTTATTTCCAAAAGCTGATACTTTCACTGCAAACATCAATGAAATAAAATTGCTAATTTAGATCAACTGAAGAAAAAGTCTCAATTCAAGACATTCTAAAGGAAATTAAGCTTTATTATTTTAAAATGAGCTATACTTTAACAATTAAGCTAATCAGCTATTGATAAATATAAATTTTAAATGGTCTCTTTGAATGAATAAAGTGGCTTATAATCATTGTGTTAATTTTGTCCATTAATAGTTCAATAGCAGTTGTAATATTTTTTTTTCCTTGTAAATCAGATAAACAATCTAACTTGGTCATTAGGATAAACTAGGTTATTAGGAAATTATTCTATCAGGAGTAACTGGAAGAACATTTACCATGTAATATCTCTATATTAGGAATGTTTTCCAAAAGGTGGCCTGACAGTCCTGGCCTGCTGTATCAACGCAGCAGCCACTAGCTGCATGTGGCAATTTACATTTAACTTTAAATTAACTAAAGTCAAATGGGAGTAAAAATTTAATACCTCAGTTCCTCATGAGCCACATTTCCAGTACTCAGTGGTTACATGGGGCTAGTGGCTTTTGTATTGGATGGCACAGATACACAACCCTCCCATTGTCACAGCAAGTCCTATTGGACAGCACTGGTCATGGTATTGGTGTATTTTGGTGCTTCTGTATTCATTGTTTATGTACAGTTCTTGCTGACATTTGCATAACTGTGGCTAAAGAGGACGTCTCTTTCTTGCGGCATGCACTGCTCTGTTCCTTGGACCCACCTGGCTTGATGAAGGAATTTCTGGGCCTAGGACTAATTGTTGCTACTCCATGCCTTGCTGCCTCAGTAGGGAAGGACTGAACCCTTGAAGAATGCCAGATGTTCAATGGGAAAGCCTCCGTAAACTTAGTTTTTATGTAGTTCAGCAGTTTAGAGGGTGTTTATTCGTATGATGGTACTTTTAAGCCTTTCTTCTTATTGTACATTATTAAAGAAGACACAATTTGAAGTTTGGAGAGGGGAGGATACCATTTTAATTTTTATCAGTGGGAGCTCCATTTTTTTCCCCCTAGTTCCCCTCGCTGTGGTTACAGTAAGACTTTCCTTAACTAGAGCCTTTTACCACTATGGCTTGACTTTGTAATCCTGACATTAATTCTTAGGGGTATTTTTGTGTATTTTCTCTTATTTGATGGAAATTTTATCTTTTTACAACCCCATTATCAGTTTGTTGATGAATGTATGCATTTAGGGCCCAAACAATCCTCCCATCTCAGCCTCCAGAGTAGTTAGGACTACAGGCGCACACCACCATGCCTGGCTCATTTTTATTTTTATTTTTATCTTTATGGAAATGAGGTTCCACTGTGTTGCCCAGGCTGATCGCGAACTTCTGGGCTCAAGTGATCCTCCTGCCTCAACCTCCCAAAGTGCTGGGATTACAGGCATGAACCAGTGCACTTGACCTGATAATAGGATTCTTTACACTTTATTATCAGAGTGATCTTGAACCCTTCTGGAATTGCATAATGTCAGCCCCTGCATGGTCATTCTTCTGGGCATGTATCTAAGAACTGGATGCCCAGAGGAACAAGCATTTGCTGCGATTGCCTATAAATACTCAACAGATTTTTAAAGAATGTTTGTTAATATAATTACCGTAGGTTACTGTTTAGTAATTGCTGTGTTAAATTTATCTGTTGTGATATTATATAACATACACAGATTGGTTACATTTTATTATTTAAAAATATTATTTTTGACTTTGATAGCCTTTCTCAAAGCAAGCTGTAGAACACGTACAAAGTCATTTATCCAAGAAACAAGTGACATCAACTCTTTTTCAGGTAAGATAAAATTATTCCAAAATAAATAGATAATATTTGCTTAACACTTGGCCTTGGTGACATTCTTTTTGCATGTGCAATTACACTAGAGGACTTGCTTTGTAAAGACTGTGTTCTATTCTGGAGCTTTGTCTGGGACTATTTGAGTTTATTATCGCTTATCTTCCCATTGCAAAGTGTCCTTCTACCAACGTGCTTCCTAAAGCCTTTTCTGAAAAAGGTCATTAGAGCTTTGTCGTAACATTATGTTCTAGAAATCAGTCAAGATAAGACATCAGAGAAGCAAGTTTTTGCCCATTTGACATTCCAGCACCTGTGATGAGCAATGACTCTACAAGATTTATTTTGTAGTGCCAGGCTGTTGATACTTGCTGTGATTATCCTCTAGGGGAAATACAATTTATTTTCAAGATTCAGGAGCAAATGTTTGAGTGATCTTTGAGTCATGGGAAATTGTATTTTACCTTGGCTGTTCATATCTTGAACACAATACCGTCATACAGGTTTAAATGACAAGACTTGGAAAATCAGATTCCCAACTAATAGGCCTATGTATTTGGCATTCCTTAGATGAGGTGGTTTCACTTCCTCCCAAAAGCCTTTTCCATCCTGTGTTTTTTATAGAGGTGGCAGTGGTTTACAAGGACAGTCAGATTCTCCAATGAACAAAGTGCTTTTCATGTTTCTATAAATTACAAGAAATAGGAAAGAATGTCATTGAGTAATATAATGGTTTTAATAAGTGAAAATAATCAACTCATCTTTTTCCTGGATAAGTTGGGCATTTAAAGGGAGGTAAGTTGACTTTGGCATTTTTTTTTTTTTTTTTTTTTTGAGACAGAGTCTCGCTCTGTCGCCCAGGCTGGAGTGCAGTGGTGCTATCTCTGCTCATTGCAACCTCCGCCTCCCAGGTTCACGCCATTCTCCTGCCTCAGCCTCCCAAGTAGCTGGGACCACAGGTGCCCGCCAGCATGCCCAGCTAATTTTTGTATTTTTAGTAGAGACGGGGTTTCATTGTGTTAGCCAGGATGGTCTTGATCTCCTGATCTTGTGATCCGCCCGCCTCGGCCTCCCAAAGTGCTGGGATTACAGGCATGAGCCACCATGCCCGGCCAACTTTGGCATCTTATGATGGTGTTTATGCAAAATGAATTTGATTATTCAGCAGAGCAAATACCGATTTGGCTCTTAGAGCATATTTAGATAGTAACAAATTGGGTGTTACCTTTCTGTGACAATAATTAGATGGACTTTCATAAAATGTAATACCTGTCTGGATAGTAGTGGGTTATAAGCTTGGGTTATGAAATTCATTGACCTGACCTGGCTTTGAGTCCCAGGGCCGTAGCTGGAGGACCTTGGGTAAGCTCCTCCACCTTCCTAACTTCAGTTTTCTCATCTGTAAAGTGGAAATGACACTGCGCTCTCCCTGAAAGGGAGGTCTTGATTCAGTGAGAAGGGTGCACACGGGTTGCTTTGTACGAGGCCCGCCTATCACTGTGCTCCACAAATGTTAGCTATTATCACACATCTTACAGTCAGAAAGTACAGTGTCAATATCTGCTTTTTGTTGTCTCCATGATATTTGAGTGTCAGAATTTCAGTTTTCATCTGACTTTGCCATGGTACGTAGACAGCCTTATGGTCAATTACATTTAACATTGCTAAACCATACCTCATAATACATGGGTTTTACAAATCTGATTTTAGCTTCCACTATAACATAAATAACATTGAAAAAAAATTGTTCCAGTTGAGATACAAAGACCACTAGGATTCTTTCATACCTTCAAAAAACATTCATTTAGAAGCAATTTCTTTCATATATCTTTTAAAAAACACTTTATTGATTTGTTTTGTTCATTAAAAAAATAGTCAAAATTTTCTGGCTAAACAGATATAGAATGGGTATTATTCTTATTTCAGAGGTGAAGAAAATCTTATAAAGTTTATTAAAATAAGGAGTATATTAATGCAATTCTATGTATTATGTACCATCAGAGCATAATGACTAAAGTATAAGTAAAAGGTATATGTCTGAATGTCCTGTTTACAGAGGTACATTAACCAGTAAAGTCAGTTGAAGTTCATAGTAAAACAAAACTGTTTTTAAAGTAAATACGAATGCTTTTTATTAAATTCTTTTTGTTGTAAGATTGCCTTTAGAGGTAAGTAAGTGCATAGGTCCATTGGTGGCGGGCTTGGGAGGGGCCCTAGCTTGTGCTTGAGTGCTTCTAAAATGCACTGTGCCCTGAGCTCGGCTCTCAGTATTCTGAATCTTACCGAATTCTCACGACAGCCTTACAATTTAGATACGACTGTTCTCTTTTACAGATTAAGGGAACTGAGGATCAGAGAGGGAAAGTAGTCTGCTCCTCATCTCACTGTTGAACTCTGGCTTTCATACTCCTTAGCAAGCCTGTTGCGGTTCTTTCTGTTGAAAAGTGGCAGCATGGTAGATTCTACGTAGTCTTAGGAATTCCCAGTGACACTCATCTTTTACTTTATTAGCAGAAAGTAGGGATGTTTGATAAAATATGAAAGAAAAATATTAATTGACATAATAGCTTTTATAAATAGAAAAATCTGTGATCTATAAATGTAGCCTTTTCTTAGATCTTTGGACATTTGAATCTATTTCGTCTCTTGACTCTTTTGAACCTCTTGAGACTTGTCGAGGACTTGGCTAAGATAGATGTTGTGTGTTTCCTGGAATCAGGATTTCAGAGCTGGAAGGAACTTCAGAGAGAGATAATTTAGCTTCCTCTTTCACCACAAAGGGGACAAAGTCCATATGGTTTTCGCAACTAGCTCCAGTGCCTTCCCCAGGACAGGGATAGTTCTGCAAGTTGGGGTAGACTGGCTCACCCCCCACCACCGCCCCCTATCCCGCGTTGCCCGCCAGGCTAGCGTCCTTTCTGCTTGCAGGAAGCAAGGCTCCCAGAAGGACTGCAGCTGCCTCCCAGCCCATGTTTGGTTCCTGTGGCTTCTGCAGACTTCCTATTCTCATCACTTGGTTTGTACTGTTCCATGATGTAGTTTTTCTTTTATTTTGTTTTGTAAACTTTCAGGATGATCTATGAAGACATAAAAAAAAGGTTAAATTTGGATCATTCAATGAGCTGAGGGTGCCAAAATGTTTCCCAAAACTATCTAATTGACTCTGGGCTGAACTGTGAAATATTGTCTCTTTATATTTTTATAGTTCTTGATTTTAAAAGTTCATAACATGGAAAAGGAAAGCTGATGCTGTTTATTCAGTAATGGGTAAAGTGGCATGAAGTTGAAGTAGATGGTAGTTGTTCTCCATGAGGGGAAGAGCACTGTGCATGTGAACCAGGAGCCCTCGCCTTAACCCCAGTTTAGCCATGGACCTTCTCAGAGACCTTGGGAGTGCACCTGCCTGCAGTTTGGTAGCCTTACCTGTAAGATGAGGAGTGGGATTGGATCAACTCTCCCCTGTGGTTTTCTCTATGACTCTAAGAGATAGAAAATCAATAAATAAAATAGCTAATTAAAAAAAATTTCACTTCATGGACCTATTAGCTTTGAGTTTTTAAAACTCAGTGCAGATTACAGATGCTTTTATTAGCTTACAAGTTGTGCCACATAACTTGTGGGGCCCAGTGCAACGTGAAAACGCAGGGCTCCTCATACAAAAATGATTAAGAATTTCAAAATGGCAACAACAGAGCTTTAAACCCAGCACCAGGCTTTTCTGAGTCACACTTCCATGAAGCGAGCCCTGCTCCTGTAAGAAGTGTCTGTGACTTGCCAGGAGTCATATTAGGTAGTAGGAATATAGTGGCAAACAGGGCAGACTTGTCTGTGTCTTCATAGAATCAAGTGGTGTAGATAAATATTGATGAATGCATTAGTGAATATTAGACAAGCACGGAGAAGGGCAGGTACCAGACACAATGCTATGGGGAGTGCATAATTGGGAACTTCGCTTAACCTGAGTCTCATTGGTTTGTGTTTTTTTGATACATTCCGATTCATTCACCGTGGAATTTCTTTTCCATCTCTTCCAGCCATACATAGAAGAAATTTGTGAAAGCCTTCGAGGTGACATTTTTCAAAAATTTATGGAAAGGTATGAAACTTTATGCATATATATACACAATTTTTTATCATGTACGTGTACCTCATCTTATGCCGTAAATGCTGACCTTAAAATGTGTGTTAATCATTTAGCAAGTATTCACTGACCATGTACGATGTGCCAGGCTTTGTGTTAAACTGTTTCCTCAGTACTTTACATTATAATTTTAGGGTTTGTCTATCTTAACATCTCTTTGACCTTCAATTTCTCAGCTTCAATAGAGTCTAAAATATACACTGAGGAACCTCAATTTTAAAAAGTATCTTATTGAGAGACCTTTGCTAATAATGCAAACTTGACTATAATTTATCTGATTCATTTGCTTGGATTTTGGAAACATGTCTCCCAAAGCAGGACAAGCCTGTACTTGATTCTTCATGTAGGAGTAGAATTTAAGGACATAGGTCAATGTCTGTTTATGATCGTGTACATCATTAAATACCTAATAAATATGTCCCTTGGTTACTCAAACTATAGATCTACTGGTCAATTCTTCAGTTTTTTGAGTATGTCTCTGTGACAATGCACCACTGAAATTGGACCCTCTAAAACAGAATCTGCATTGACACTGACTTTATCAGCTTGGCTAATTTCTAGACAATATACGTGATGATAATATCTCATGCTAGAGCTTTCTGCAGCTGCTCAGTAATTGCACTTTAAGAACAAATGCTACTTTACTGTAGTTTTCTTCACCACATATTCACAGAACTAAAGCAATTAAAAAGAAAGTTGTGTTGCAATTCTATTGGAGTTCAAGAGGTAATTTTATCCTGGAGCAGAGTCAATATGTTGGGAAACTAATATTCTTACAGACGATTGTACTTTTCTGAGTAATAGCAGGAACTTTGCCAAAAAGCGCCAGCATCAAAGGGAGAGGGTGGGCTGCTGGCTCAGGGCTGAGTTGCAGCCAAGTCCTGGGCCATCTCCATGGCTGTTGGTCCTAAAATCTGACCTTTCCCAACTCTTGGGTAAACCTAACTTTTGTGTGATCCTTAAGGGAGAAGGGAGAGAGGGGAAGGTAATTGAAAGTGGGGAAGAGGTTCTCCCATGGATATTTTATAACTTTGCCATGCATCCTTTCACTTGAAACCAGGCTCACAGATATAGTGATTTTCGCTCATTGAGACAGTCATTTCATAGCCTCACAGTAAATGCAAACGATGCCGTTTGCATTTTAGGCAAGCAGGCACATGGGATTTTCTGCAGCCATTACAATTTTCTGTAAATAAATTATTTTTAAAGTTGATTTGTTAATTTCCATCAAATTAGAAAAAAGAATTCATGTCAGGTGATAAGTTTGGAGCTTTGATTTTGAAAAGCACAGGGACTCCATCAATATGGTCATGTAGCCTTTGACCTCATAGGGACTGGGCACACGAAGGGCCCCATGGAAAAGGTGATTTTTCCATGACCACCCTGAGTCTGATGGTAAAGAGGGAGCCATCAGCAATGCAGGGACATGTGCGATGTCTTCCCACCTTCCCTGAGGTCCAAGCAGGGCTGTGGGGCTGAGTTCCAGGTGAGGCAGAATTGGAGAGGGCAGTGGAGGCTTTCCCTCTTCTAGTTGAGAGCTATGCGCCTCATTCAGGCAGTGAACTTCAGTTGCTCAGCAGGACAACGACTGAGTCAGGAATCAGAGTTAAAAACACTTCTCCTACTCCACCCTTACTGCATCCCAGGCGTTTCCATGTCTTTAACCTCTGATCTTCTCTCCAAGATCCTTTGAAGTCATTTGCAAGGGCTCTAGCTACCTGAAGCCCTATCATTGTCTGGGCTCTTTCCTTTGTCACAGTTCCCCTCCTGTCAAAAGTGTCCCACTCAGTAACCAGGCATTGATTGGGAATAGCACTCAAATAACCCCCGTGGAGACAGGACTGAGCCTAGATACTCAGGGCCATCTGTACTTCCTAAAGAGGAACTTGTTACAGCAAATCCATTCTTAGTGGGCAAAATATGTAGGCACTTCTCTCTTCCTTGTTTGTTAACCCTCCTCAGCTAGTTGTAAAATGTGTCAGATTTCCATCCCCTGTCACCAGCTCTGGACTCCAGAATCTGTGAGAAAAGACAGTAAGAGCTAGCCTCACAAACCAAGTGCATTTCAAAGACCAGTCATAGATTTATAAATGGGAGTGCACCCAAATGTGGTTTTGCCTTTTGCATGCACCATACTTTTAAAAAATAGGTTGAAATAACTCTTAGAAAGTCTCAAAACATAATTTTAATTGACCAACTTCATTAGACATGTTAGGAGGATCAGTGAAACACTCTTTGTGAGTCATTTTAGATTCATTGAAAAAAAGATGCTATTGTAATTGCAACTATTCCTCTGCTTTTGATTTTTAATTTGATTGTTAGCCTCAGAAATATGTTAAAGATCCTTATTTTTTAAAAGGTCTATTGGTCGGGTGTGGTGGCTCGCCCCTGTAATCCCAGCACTTTGGGAGGCTGAGTCAGCAGGATCGCTTCAGGCTAGGGCTTCGACACCAGCCTGTACAACATAGCAACACCCACTATCTTCAAAAATAAAAATTAAAAACTAATAGCTTAGTGCGGTGGTGTGTGCCTGTAGTCCTAGCCACTTGGGGGGCTGAGGTGGGAGGATCACTTGAGCCTAGGAATTGAGGGTTGTATCGACCTAGGATTGCACCACTGCACTCCGGCCTGGGACACAGAGTGAGACCCTGTCTCCAAAAGAAAAAAAAAAATTGTAAAGCTCATTAAATGAAGCCCCTAGGGAACTGTGATATTTGGATGTCTTTAAGGCATTCCAGTATGATGCTAATATTACCTATAACTCCCTTCCTCCCTTCCTCCCTTCCTCCCTCTCTCCCTGAATCCTGTGTCTGTGTAAGGAATCATGCCAGGGGCAAAATGAGATCGAACCATCACCAGAATGTTCTCTACGAAGTATTCAATCTAGAATGCATTTCTTTTGAAAATAGTTTAAAAAACAAACACCTGGCCGGGAGGGTGGCTCACGCCTGTAATCCCAGCACTATGGGAGGCCGAGGCGGGCGGATCGAGACCATCCTGGCTAACATGGTGAAACCCCATCTCTACTAAAAATACAAAAAAAAAAAAAAAAAAAAAAATTAGCCTGGCGTGGTGGCGGGCCCCTGTAGTCCCAGCTACTCGGGAGGCCGAGGCAGGAGAATGGCATGAACCCGGGAGGCGGAGTTTGCAGTGAGCTGAGATCGCGCCGCTGCACTACAGTCTGGGGACATAGCAAGACTCCATCTCAAAACAAAAACAAAAAACAGGCCAGGCGTGGTGGCTCAGGCTTGTAATCCCAGCACTTTGGGAGGCTGAGGCGGGCGGATCACAAGGTCAGGAGATTGAGACCACGGTGAAACCCCCTCTCTACTAAAAATACAAAAAATTAGTCCACGTGGTGGCGGGCGCCTGTAGTCCCAGCTACTCCGGAGGCTGAGGCAGAAGAATGGCGTGAACCCGGGAGGCGGAGCTTGCAGTAAGCCGAGATGGCGCCACTGCACTTCAGCCTGGGCGACAGAGTGAGACTCCGTCTCAAAGCAACAAAAACAAAAACAAAAGACCCACCTTACAGATATATTGCTCATTAATAAAAAACGTAATCAAAATGTCTTTGTTAAATAGATACAGGATATATCTTTTTCCTCATGGATAAAGAAAACACTCATCAAGCAGTTGAGTGAATTGTGGGAGCATGTCAGTGTGGTGAACCTATTGCCTCTTAGGATTCTAGTCTGAGGGTTTCTCTTCTATACCACCTGTGTCTATTGGTCTGGGTTCAAATTCCACTCTCCCACTCTGTCACTGTGTGACCTTGGCCAAGCCTCTGAACATTTTGATGCCTTGGTCTCCTCAGCTATAAAATGGGGATCATAATAGTACCTGGCTGTAGAGTCTGTAGGAGGAATACATGAGCAGGCCTGGCACATGGCTACTCTTAGAATTATTTGTAAACATTAATTTTTTGTCTTAGAGCTGTGCTTTAAAAGCCATGGCTGTCCAATATGGTAGCCAGTAGCCAGATACAGCTATTGAACACTTCAAATGTGATGAGTCTAAATTAAAATGTGCTTTTAAGTGCAGAATGCACTTCAGATTTCAAAGACTTAATATAGTAACAAGAATGTAGAATATCTCATTAATTCATATTGATTTCATGTTGAATTTTTAATATATTGGGTTACATAAAGTATATTATTAAAATTACATTATATATGTGGTTCATATCATCTCCGTATTGGACTCTGCTGATTCAGATAAAAGTGGTACCATAGCTTATGACAATTAAAGAAGAAACATGAAATCTTTCATTTGAATCATGAAATAAAGCCATGAATACGGGTGAATGCTCTGTGAAAAAGGGTTTCAGAAAACTTAACTTTATTTGACAAGCAACCCAAGTAATGCCGTTCTAGTCTGTCTTACGGTGTTGTTTTGTAAATCCAGTTAATTTGATATTTAACTTTTTAGTAATTATTTTATTCTCTTTTAGTGACAAGTTCACTAGATTTTGTCAGTGGAAAAACGTTGAATTAAATATCCATGTGAGTATCATCTTTTTCTTTTTTCATTTTTTAAATAAAAACTTCCTCTGGCTTAACCTCATGAGAAAATACTTGATTCTGGAACGTACTCCCAGAGGGTCCACTGCCCAAACAGATGTCTGTCTTACAGCTTTAAGTACTAAGCATTCACCCTCCCATGCTTCCTTATAAACAATAGAAGCTTTAATCCTTTTTCATATTCATATGAGAATGTGCTTGTTTATGTAAGATATTTTAAGAGGTAATTGACTCTTTAACAAAAATAGTAGTAAAAATACAAATCTTTTACTTAATATAACTCCTTCATGTCCTTGCCTTCTGCCATTCTGGTAGAGTTCCTTTTCTTTTTCTTATTATTAGATATAATAATACAAATTGAGTATCATAATGAAAATGATGACATCTTTTATCAGACCAAGGCTTCATCTTCTTTTTTATCATTTTGAGAGTGATAAAAGCAATCTTCCAATACAGGCCACGTTCTAACACGTCATCTCCTTAGTGTTTCATCTACTTTAAGTTTTCAATTTCAGTCATTCTTATTGCATCATCCTTATTGCAGTTTGAAAATGCACACATTTCTTTGCACAGTCTTTCTTACATTCTGTTTTATAATCTCCCTTCTCATAGGCTTGCAATTGGGCAAAACAATCAACCGGAATTTTTTTTTTTTTTTTTTTTTGAGATTTTTTACTTGAATGGTATTGTTGGAAGAGGGGCTTTTTTTTTTTTTGAGACGAGTCTCGCTCTGTCGCCCAGGCTGGAATGTAGTGGCGCGATCTCTGCTCACTGCAACCTCCGCCTCCCGGGTTCACACCATTCTCCTGCCTCAGCCTCTTAAGTAGTTGGGACTACAGGCACCCGCCACCATGCCCGGCTAATTTTTTGTATTTTTTAGTAGAGATGGGGTTTCACCGTGTTTGCCAGGGTGGTCTCTATCTCCTGACCTCATGATCAGCCCGCCTCGGCCTCCCGAAGTGCTGGGATTACAGGCGTGAGCCACCGCGCCCAGCAGGAGTTTTGTTTTTTTTAAAAATACTTGATCTTCACTAAAAGGCCAAGAAATGATCTATTTTTTTTTTTTTCAATTTCTAACCTCCTTTTCCCATCATATTTCCTGGAAGGATTTAGAAGCAAGAGGCAATACCAGATACTCTAAAAACCCCTTATATCTGCTCTGGGTCTTTCATACGCTTCTGCCTCGGGAGACCCTGTGTCCTTGTGGACTCTGAGAATCAAACGTGAAGTCTGTGGCCCAAACGCAGGTTTCTATAGGATGTTTTAAGGTTGTTTGGGGGAGCCCTTAAAGAATCCCACCCTTAATTTGCCAGGATATGTAAAGTAGTAGGTACTTGCTATTGTCTTACGGCCTCTTACGTGAAATGTCAGATTCACTATCTGTCTTTGTGCCACTTAACATTATTAAATCTAATGATGAAGTGGGGCATTACTGAGATATTATTGACTGAAGGAAAGTGCTTATGAATACAGCCTCTGTATATACTTCACTCACATTTAGCCTTGTTTCACGCTCACATGGCCAGCATGAGTCCTCTCTATTCACTGATGTTACCAATAACAAATTCACATGGCCTGCATCTGTTGGGTTTCCTGATCATATGGCCTTGTATCATGAACACATAGATGCCCCTGACATGGACTCTCATTTTTCAACTCTGACAGTTCTCGGAAGCATTGGATTGTTCCCAAACATTAGGCTTCGGAGTAGCTAAGGCTGCTTTTCATTTTGATTAGACATTTCACATTCACTTGTCCTCAAGGTATACATATTGTAATCTGGGATTTGTGAGAGTGGAGAAACAGTTCGGCTTGGTTCCACTCCATCATCTTCCCTTGTGCCTCCATTTGGTGCCTCGTTTATCCTGGAGGTGGAGCTGAGGGAGGCTGTCAAAAGTCTTGCCACCCCTGGGGCATCTCATCCTTCAGCTTAAAGACTCAGTCATGAAAAGGGTAGATCCCTAAGTCAGATTGCTATTTTAATTACTGTCTATGTTTTGCATGAAAAAATCTTTAAAACACCATAGCTTTGTGTAATCTTATGTTTTCATTTTGTGTTTGGATTTCCCAGTTGACCATGAATGAGTTCAGTGTGCATAGGATTATTGGACGAGGAGGATTCGGGGAAGTTTATGGTTGCAGGAAAGCAGACACTGGAAAAATGTAAGCTTTCAATGCTCTTATGTTTTACTGGCACTATTAAAATTTTAATATTTGCATGAAAAGAAAATTCCTATAAAGAAATGTGGAAACCTATGACATTTCTTTTGAAGTACTTTACCTCCAAAAGAAATAAGCTGTAGGCCGGGCGTGGTGGCTCACGCCTGTAACCCCAGCACTTTTGGAGGCAGAGGCGGGTGGATCACGAGGTCAGGAGATCAAGACCATCCTGGCTAACAGGGTGAAACCCCGTTTCTACTAAAAATACAAAAAATTAGCCGGGCGCAGTGGCGGGCGCCTATAGTCCCAGCTACTCAGGAGGCTGAGGCAGGAGAATGGCGTGAACCCGGGAGGCAGAGCTTGCAGTGAGCGGAGTTTGCCACTGCACTCTAGCCTGGGCAACAGAGCAAAACTCTGTCTTGGAAAAAAAAAAAGCTGTATTTTGTTAAGCATGGGGAATGAGAGCAATAAGCTGGAACCTCCACCTCTTAGGGCCAAATGGGAAGTTCAACAATAACCTTGTATCCTGTGCCCAAGATGGTGCGGGTTGTGGGTGGGAGCCAGGGAGCCAGAGGTGAACTAGAAGGGATCCTTGACAACTGTGGCATGTTACGTTCAGCCTCCCCATCAGATCACATGACAAAGAATTGTTTGCTTTGCAAAAGAGAGACATTCTCTTTTAAATAAAGACTCACCGACGATGAAGTGAAGCATAAGCCGTTGTGGCATTTCAGATGCTGGTTCGCTAGATCAGTAGCTGGGGTGCTGGAGAGGAGGAAGCCCTGTGGACAATGATCACCGATCATGGGCTCCATCACTCACCTTGGTTAACGTTTTTCCTGGGAGGTCAGCATTCAGAAACTAACTGCATCTGAGCTGGGTAGAAGGGTCTTCTGGAGAGTGAATGGTGGAATTCTTAAGTGTGGGGGAACATTTTTTTTTTTAACAGAAGTGGCTTAAGACATATTTCTGAAAGCAAAAGATAGTGGAAAAATATGATTTGATAGATCCAGAACTACAAGTTTGGTTAAGTGCCAGGCATGTTAGAGCAGTGGGCTTGGTGGAGTAGTATAGTGTGTGAGGCTTGGTTATAAAGTAATTGAGTCCGTGGGAGAAGGGGTGTTTGAGGCCCCCTAATTCAGTGCCTGCCTCCGGTCAGCCTCTGCTCAGGCACTTCCTGGGATTGGGAGCTGATGGCTTTGCCAAGAAGTCCTTTCCGTTCTCAGACAGGTCCAATGGATGATATGTTTTTTGAGGACTGAAATTTACCTTTGTTAATTTGTACCCATTGGTTGTCTTTCTACTCTGGGGGCCTGGGCAGGGCGAGCCTGATGCCCGGCACTCAGGAGTTTGAAGTCTGGGGTGGTGCCCAAGCAATGTAGCCTAGGGATCTGGAGTAAGGGTCCTGGTATCACACCTGCTACGTCAGGTTCACCCTCCACACTTTCTGCCTTGGACAAAGTTTGGGACCTCTCAATGCCTCCATCTCCTGGTCTATAAAGTAGGAGTAATAAAAGTGCCTTGTTATGAGAATTAAATGAGATTAGACTTTGTCAGGCTTTCGGAAGGCTGCTTGTTGTGTGTTAAGTACAAGGAAATTAGAGTATACTGAAACACAGTCCTCTGCAACCCTGGTCAGTTTCACTGAAACACAGTCCTCTGCAACCCTGGTCACTTTCACTGAAACACAGTCCTCTGCAACCCTGGTCACTTTCTCATGGAAAAGTTCTTTCTTATTCTGTACTTGCACAGTGCACTTTTTCATCCTAAGTGATATACTCTACTTGTTGCTTGGCACCGTTCATTAATTTCTGCTAGTTTTGCTTCATAATTGTATTTAGAATATCTAGTCAGACACTTGATGTTATAGAAGTAAATAATATCGGCCGGGCGCGGTGGCTCACACTTGTAATCCCAGCACTTTGGGAGGCTGAGGTGGGCCGATCACGAGGTCAGGAGATCGAGACTGTCCTGGCTAACACAGTGAAACCCTGTCACTACTAAAAATACAAAAAATTAGCTGGGAGTTGTCATGGGCGCCTCTAGTCCCAGCTACTCGAGAGGCTGAGGCAGGAGAATTGCTTGAACCCGGGAGGTGGAAGTTGCAGTGAACCAAGATTGCACCATTGCACTTCAGCCTGAGTGACAGAGCGAGACTCAGTCTCAAAAAAAAAAAAAGGAAATAATATCAACTTATCTCTTTGTACACATTTACTATTTCACATAACTCTCAAAAATAGCCAGTGGGTAGTAAATATTCTTCTATTCTATAGATCAAGTGTAGATACTTCTCAGGAGCCATATAGCTAGAAAGGGGTCAAGTCTTAAGGCCCACGAACCCTCACTCATGTCTGTTCCTGTCACCAGGCTGCCAGTTGCATGCACACTGGCTCTGCGAGCCCATCAGTGAACCACAAGGTGCACCCCTAGGAGCCTGTTAGGTAGCTCTTTGATACCTTCTAAACAGAGGCCCAAGAATGCACTTGCTTCCCAGAGGCCCGAGGCCTGTGTGCTATCTCCTTTGGTCTGCAATCTAAAGGTTTTATTAAAAACCACCAAGTGCAGTGGCTCATGCCTGTAATCCCATCTACTCAGGAGGCTGAAATAGGAGGATTGCTTGAGGACAGGAGTTCGAGACCAGCCTGGACAACATAATGAGACTCTCATCTCTAAAAATAATATTTTTTAAATTAGATGGGCCTGGTGACAGGTGCCTGTAGTCCCAGCTATGCTCCAGCTACTCTGGAGGCTGAGGTGGGAGGATTGCTTGAGACCAGGAGTTTGAGGCTGTAATGAGGTACAATCATCCCACTGGACTCCAGCCTGGGCAACAGAATGAGACCCCATATCTTAAAAAAAAAAAAAAAAAAAAAAAAGAAAAGGAAAAAAAAAGAAAAGAAATCAACTCCACATGGAAGAGAGTGGTGATAGAGGTAGTGTAAAACATTTTGAAAATTCTTTTAAATAAAAATAAGATATTTGAAGAACATATCACTTCATGTGTTTCTAACATTTGATCCCACATGTAAGCAAATTAATGTCTTGCCAATTGATTTGTTGTAAGAACTCGTAGAAAAGTGGATAAAAACACCAAATTTGAACATTTATCTTGTTTTTATATAACTTAAACATGATAAGTTATGATCAACAAGAAAAAGGTAGATTTTCTGTGTCTGCTACACTGAGACAGTGTCCATGCTGCAGATCCGGGCTGAAGGAAGTAGTCCATCATCTGGGAATTTAGAGTTATACACAAGAACTTTCAGCCTGTGAAACGTGTGAAAACACTTGCAAGAATTCCCTTTTAGCCTTCTGTTGTCCTACCGAAAAAGCTTCCTGTTTTCTATAGAATATGCCATATAACTTGTCTGCATTTTCTAAATATGAGTTTGTTCCAGGTTTTCAAAAATCTTAAGTTGCCAATTGGTTCTTCTCAATTGACTTGCCTCAATGATAGTAGAAAAATCTTATTGATTCTTTGTATTATTTAAAACGTCATAACTTAAATATCAAAATTAAAAATAAATCAATAAAATAGCATTTTAGGACATGCTGTTTTGAATTCATGCCTTCCCTTTCCATTTTGTTGATCATCACTGTTTTAGATTCTTAACCTCTATAAACTCTTATAAAAATTGACCACTGCTGGCCGGGCACGGTGGCTCATGCCTGTAATCCCAGCCCTTTGGGAGGCTGAGGTGGGCGGATCATGAGGTCAGGAGATCGAGACCATCCTGGCTAACACGGTGAAACCCCATCTCTACTAAAAATACAAAAAAATTAGCCGGTCATGGTGGCGGGCGCCTGTAGTCCCAGCTACTTGGAAGGCTGAGACAGGAGAATGGTGTGAACCCGGAAGGTGGAGCTTGAAGTGAGCTGGATCGTGCCACTGCACTCCAGCCTGGGCAACAGAGTGAGACTCTGTCTCAAAAAAAAACAAAAAACAAAAAACAAACAATTGACCATTGCTGAATTCACAATTCCTAGCTGCTAAATATATACATATGCCCTTATTAGTCATAATAAAATTATTTATGTCCATCTACTTTATCATTTATTTAACTGGGACTTCTATCCATTTAATGATACAAATATCTTTTAAGTATTGCTTGATTTTGTTTTCACAATACATGCAAAATAAAAATACTTCTTGCATGGCGCTTGGGTATTACTCTGCTTCTTTTAAACATGGCCTAAATGTTCAGAAACTTGCCCCAGAGTGACATATATTGTTTAAATTAGTCTAGATATATTTACGGCATAGATTTTTCAATAAATTTATGTTTCTAGGTATGCAATGAAATGCTTAGATAAGAAGAGGATCAAAATGAAACAAGGAGAAACATTAGCCTTAAATGAAAGAATCATGTTGTCTCTTGTCAGCACAGGAGTAAGTATTCAATTTCCAGCATTTCTTTTAAAAATGTTTTGTTTGTTTCATAGCAGGATGATTTATTATTTTTCCTTCTAGCTGATTGCAAGGCCAGTGAGTTCTTGGGTGGGTTAGAATCTGATAGTATCTCTTTATTTGATTTTGCAAGTTAGAAGAACACCAGCCACCTCCATTATGCACACCCATGGCTTCTCCGTTTAGTGCCTATTTATTTGTCCTTGACTTCCTTCTTTGCAGAATATGGTAGTAGAGATGGCAGAAAATAATGATAGCCAGAAAAATCACTGGAATATAGTCAAGACCTGACTAAACGACTGGCAAGAAGGACTAACCTAGAGGGGAAAAGTAAGAGAAAAGTGGCTTCTGTCCTTCAGAAGCGAATCGAGAGAAGCGACTTGGATTACTCACATCCGAATTGTCCTTTTGAGATTGTCCCTAGTCAGCGTTTCACTGGAAGGTGATCTTACCTGCCTCTCACTACCTGCTACTCTGTTTATCAGCCTTTCCATTTCTAGCACCATATTTCTACTTATTGGACACTTTCTTTGTATATTAAGCTATCATTTTTAGCTCAACATGTGTGACCCCACTTTTACCCTACATCTTCTTTACTTACTAAATAGCTGCCCATTCCAATTTCTTTTTCTGTTAATGGTATTACCCAAGATCAAAACCTCAGCTTTTATGTGTCTGTACAGATGCCAGTGTATGTGAAGACACATCCAAAAAACCCGTCCTCTCAGTACCCTGTTACAGCGTGTGTGCACTGGTATGGCTGTGACCTGGTGTTCAGAGTGGGTTAGGGAGTCAGGACAGAGAGGGAGAGGCATGGGGTGAGCGTGGAGGGGCCAGACACTAACTAACTGTGTACCCCACATGTGAATGAAACCGTAGATACTCCAGCCAGGAAGGTTTATATTCAGTGAGAAATGTGCGAGACTTCTAGATCCCATGGCTGGATTTTAAGTAAGGTCTTCACCAAAAGGATCTGAAAAAACCAAATTTTAGTGGGTAATGAAAGAATCCCTTTCAACTGCTGAGCAAGTAACCTGAGACCTAGAGAGGTTAATTTCCTTCCCCAAATCTCTAGACTTTTTGGCCAGTGCTCCTTTTATCATCACTTTATAGGCTGTATGTTTTTTCGTTTGTCACCTGTATTTATTGTATTATGGTTTATATTATTCTGTCATTAAAGTGTTTCTGGAAGAGGTATTTGCTATTGAAGCAAAAGAATAGCATAATGTAGCTAAGTTACAACAAATGGAAACCCCATAGCCATAAATAATTTCTAATTATGTGCCTTGACCTCCCACTGTATGGGCATTAAGCATTTCAAATAAGAGTTGCTTTGTGTGTGTGACCAAGTTTTTAACTGATGAGAATGGAAACCAAGCATCCTGCATACTCTGTTGGAGTCAGTGTGAATGGCATTGGCTTTTAATTTCTATTGGAAATGTCTGTATCCTAAATTTCAAACGTGGATGTGAGTACTGGATGAAGATTTTAAGTGGTTATTAAAATATTAATTTTCAGTGAGTTATCTCAAAGCCTTGGATATTTATTCTCAAGAAAGCCTATAGAAAATAAACGTTTTAATGTTGGAAAAACATAAGTATAGTTTTCATGTAATATTTTTATATTGATTTGACTCAGGTGAGAGGAGATGTGGTTAAGTGGTTGTGTAGTTTCTCACTGGTGTAACCCTAAAAGAGTAAATTAAAAAATTAGGGTTATTTTGGGCTATCACTTTGAACTAATTTAAAAGAATTATTTGTATTTTATTTAGATATCAAAACTGTATGGTATTTTTAAAATTTATAAATGCATAATTTAACAAAAATAATTATAGTAAAGTTATTTGGAATTGTTTTTGCTAATCAGGGGATACTTTCTATAGTTTTTAATAAAACTTAGTTGAAAATACCCTCATTAAGTGAAGCTTTTGATCAGACTGTATCGGCAGGCTTTCCCGTATTGTGGACATGTAACTGAAATGCATTCACTCACCACAGTTTTCTTTTTACTGGAAGGTTTTTTTTTTTTTTTAATCTCAACTTGAGTATTCCTACCCATCTCCCCAAAAGACAGTAGGAAGTACTGTTCCCGGTTTTCTTCTGTAATTCTCAGATGGCAAAAAAGGAAATATGCATGTTGGAGAACCAGCATAAGCGTGTCCACAGCTGTGAAGAGCAGTCAGCAATTCATCCAGTCAGTCATTTAAGTTCCTCAGAAGCGTGACTCATTTATTCCCTGAACCACAGTTGAGGATTTAGGTTGAACCAGGCACTCTGCGGCAAGCTGGGACTGTGGTCCCAGTTCTTAGTTCTCATACAGCTGCATGGAAAGGGAAAAGATGTATTATTCAAATGATGACGGAAATGTATGGACAACTGGGACCTGTGGCAAGAGCTATGGAAGACAGGCACACAGTGCTCGGAAGGCCTTTCGCAGGGTGGAGATGGGGTCAGCGAATGCCTTTCTGAAGTTGGGGGTTACCTGGAGAGGAGCCAGTGCACGTGGCTCCTCTGAGCCCAGGCACGTGAGGTTGGGGGAATCAGATGAGGGGCCAGGGTCTGCGGTGGTGGGGGGAGTCGTGCAAGACAAAGCTGGAGAGAGACATGAAGGCCAGGCCAGACCGTGAAGGGCATCGCCGGCCGATCTTGAGGAGCCTAAATGATCTGACTGCAGTTAGAAACCAAGTGTTTTAACTAGAGAGAGACCATAATCAGCCTTGCAGTTCACAAAGATTGCTCCGGCTGCAGTGTGGAGGATTTTCTTCAACAACGACTTCATGGTCCTGTTTTATCACAGTTTTTTTATGGCGAGTTCCTGCAAAATGTAAGCTATTTTGTTGACTTTTAGTAGGAAATCAAAGTAGACAGTTCCTTGCTCAAGAGTTTTACTTAATGGTCTACTTCTAAAAATCCACTTTTATTCTGACTTGTAATCAAGGCAGGCCGTCTTATCCATAATTATCCTTGGAACTGTATCCCACCCTTCATTAAATTGCCACTTATTTTTTCATATTGGTCAGTATTCGGTTGTGTCCTGGACTCCACATGAAACCCATTATAGTGTCTGTTCAGCACCCCGAGAGGTGAGGGTTGCAGTAACTGATTTCTGTAGAGATAACCACATCTGATTCCTTCACCTGCGTGTTTATTTTACATCGAGTCAAAGATAAATATAGTTGGACTTTAGTTAAAGCATTTATTTGGTAATTAAAACAGCATTTATTTGGTAATGACTAGACAGTAAGAGAAATAATGGAGCTCCATTCTGACTTGTGCAGAGGTGACCGGATGTTTTAAAGGGACAGTGGCCTGTGGAGTGCAATGCGGGCTGGAGCAGAGTCAAGGAAGTGAAGAATTTTACAATGCAGGAAGGGGCATGGTCCATATGGGACCCATCTGGGTTTGCTAACTGGGACTTATCCAAGTTAGACTCCTACCCTCCCATGGAGGCTCGGAGATAGGGGCTCTATCTTTGAGTGTTTGCTGGAACAAATAAAAATTCTTTGGGAAGCCTTGATTTCTCTGAGGCAGTCATTTTAAGGGGGGCTGAGCCTCCTAGGGATGTGGTCTTGAGCTGTTAGCTTTAACAATGCAAATTCTGTTTACAGATTATGTTGAAATTTGAACATTTTCTTTGGAATTTAATAATTTTTTGTGTTCGTTAAGAAACAAGATATAGACAATCTAGGCCATTTTAAAAACTGAATCAGTTTAGTGACAAGTATACACTTTATGTAAAGAATCTAAGTGGATTTCATAGATAAAATAGATCTAAATAGAGCTAATAGATCTAGCATAGCACTGATGAATTTTCATAAGGGAATACACGCATCTCCGGCACCCAGATCAAGAGACGGAAAGTTACCAGTATTCTAGAAATCTCTTTGTGCCTCTCCCAGTCACTAACCCTGCACCCAACTTAACTACTACCCAGATTTCTAACAGCATATTTTAGCTTTGCAAATTGTGTTTGAACTTTATAAATGTGCCCTTCTGTGTTTGGCTTCTCTCACTCCATGTTGCTTACAAGATTCATCTGTGGTGTTGCCCACGGCTGTAACTCCCTCCTGTAGCTGTGCAGCAGAGGTCAGAAAGCCAGGTGTGGCTCAGGCCAAGTCTAGCTTGTTGGCCTTATTTTATAGAGCCCATTACCTAAGAATGGTTTTTACATTTTTAAAGGATTGTAAAGAAAATAAGCAAAGAATAATAGATGACAGAGATTATATGCGGCCTGCAAGGCCTAAAATATTTACTTTTTAGCCCTTTGCAGAAAACATTTGCTGATCCATGATCTATATGGCATTCTAGTGTATAAATATACCATACTATCCATTCTACTGTTGGTAGACATTGGGGTTATTTCCTGGCTTGTGCTATTTTGAATGATGCTGTTTTGAATATTCTTGTCCAGGTATCTTGGTGCACATAAGTACAGATTGCTATTAGATGTCTACCTGGGAGTGAAATCACTATGTCAGAAAGCTTGCAAGTGACACTCAGCCTTGGTAGATATCACCAAATGGGTTGCTAAAGTGGCTGCACCATTCGTTGTACACTTCCAGTGGCCATATATGAAAGTTCTATTCACTGTATATCTTCCCAGCACTCAGTATCGTCAGTGTTTTTCTTTTTAGCTGTTCTCGTGGGTTTAGTGATGGCATATTGTAGTTTTAATTTGCGTTACCTTGGAGACATCGAGGTTGAGCATCTGTTCATTAGTTTGGGGGCTATGTGGTATCCTCTTACGTGAATTGCCTATTTTTTTTCCCCATTTTTCTGGGGGTTGGTTGACTTTTTTAAGTTGATTTTTTAAAGTTCTTTGTATATTATAGATATGAGTCCTTTGTGTATTTATGGGTTGCATATATCTTCTCCCATCCTGTGGCTTGTCTTTTTACTCTGTTAATGGTATCCTCTGATGAATAGAAGTTCTTAATTTTATTTTAGTCTAATTAACATTTTTATTGTTACTGCCTTTTGTGGCCTAAGAAATCTTTACTTACCCTAAGATCATGAAGATATTCTCTTTTGTTTTCTTCTGGAAGCTTTATTGTTTTATCTTTTACACTTAAATCTACATCAGCTGGAAATGGCTGTAGCGTATGGTGTGAGGCAGGGGTCAAGGTTCATATTTTATTGTACAGATATTCAGTTGCTCCAGCACCACTGATTGAATAGACCTTCCTTTCCCCAGGCCCTGTTGTGTCACCTTAATAACAAATCAAGTGACCATTTATGTGTGGGCCTATTTTGGATTCCCTTTTCCATTTCATTGGTCTACTTGTCTGTCCTTGGGCTAATACCACACTGTCTGAATTACTGTTGCTTTCTAATAAGTCTTGATATCTGGTCCTGTAAGTTTTCCAGCTTTGTTTGTATTCAAGAATATTGGAACTTTCCTTGACTGTTTACATTTACATATATTTTAGAATCCAACTTGTCAATTTTCATTTCAATTAAGATTGCATGGCATCTATAGCTTAATTAGGGGAACACTGAAATCTTTACAATTGAGTTATTGAGTCCTTGGTCATGATAATAGTTTTCCACTTTCAAAAGCTAATTTAATTCCATTTTTATTCTCAGTGTTTCAAAACAACGCCACAAATAACATTCCTCCCTCCCTGACCCGTGCTGTGATTCCATTAACTTCAGAAGCAGAGATTGAAATGGGTATTTGAATAGCCAGAAACAAAATGTTGACCAGCAAAAAGCCTGGCAAGATGGTGATATGTTTCTGTATCTAGCCTTTTGAAGAGGATATAATTAGGATAGAGACATGATTGAATCCAAGCAAGAAAGGACCTTCAAGGTCATCTGCTCCAATTATTAATGTTGTGTCTCTATGCATTTTATTATGTAACCAGCTCCATTTTACTGTGACTTTAAAAATTACCATATAGGTGTTGGTGCTCAATGCATGGGGTGGCAGCTTGGATAAAAACCCACAGCATATATTGTATATTAAAAAATAGCAAGAAGAGAGACTTTTGAAGGTTCTCACCACAAAGAAGTGATAATGTGTGAAGTGATGGATACACTAACTACCCTGATTAGATCATTATACAACATAGATATGTGTCAAAACATCAAACTGTACACCATAAATATGTACAATTGCAATGTGTCAATTAAAAAATAAAGTAATTTTAAAAATATGTAGCATGGTGTTTGGTGGTAGATGTGCTTTCTAGGCAGCTTTTGCTCTTCTTATAAACTTTTATTGTTTCACTCTAGGACTGTCCTTTCATTGTATGTATGACCTATGCCTTCCATACCCCAGATAAACTCTGCTTCATCCTGGATCTGATGAACGGTAAGCAAAACTTGGAAAATCTGAATGCCTTGAAAGACTTTGCCATGATGTTAAATCTTAGCATGCATTAATCTAGGCAGACTGGCAATGTGGGTCTTTCAGGTAATTAGGTTCCCCCTGAAGTTTGAGGAAACCTTTTACCCTTTAATCTTCACTGAAAATTCATTTTTCAATGTTGACTGCAACGTCCTTCTGGGCCTCCCAGTCTCTTCCCAAGAAAAGATTCTAGAAAAGATTATCATGAAATACTTACAGTGAAACTTGATTTTCTGGAATGCAGCTGGCCTAGATCTTTAATTAGCTTATTTCCTGGCCCTCAACTTTTAGGAATGAAATACCTCATAAGAATATAGGCCAAAGATAGAAATGTATTTAAAAACCAACTTTGAAGGACTGACTTTGGGCCAAGTACAGATTTTAGCCCAATCTTCTGCACCTTCTAAATCTGCACTACTGTACATTGATCTTTTAAACTGTGGATGATGACTTTGAAAATGCTGGAAAACGTTCAGCTAGAAAAGGAGCTTTCTGATACTAGAAGGTGTCATGGTATATATCTAAAGTATTTTTAGTAACAAGAACTGAAATAAAGCATACAATTCACAACTCACATGCCTAGTTTTTTTTTTTTTTTTTTAAGTTCACTTGAAGTTTTATCATGTTCTGAGTGTTTGATTTAAAACCAGATCTAGCCGGGCACGGTGGCTCACGCCTGTAATCCCAGCACTTTGGGAGACCGAGGCGGGCGGATCAATGAGGTCAGGAGATCGAGACCATCCTGGCTAACACTGTGAAACCCCGTCCCTACTAAAAATACAAAAAAATTAGCCGGGGGTGGTGGTGGGCGCCTATAGTCCCAGCTACTCGGGAGGCTGAGGCAGGAGAATGGTGTGAACTCAGGAGGCGGAGCTTGCAGTGAGCCAAGATTACGCCACTGCACTCCAGTCTGGGTGACAGAGCGAGACTCCGTCTCAAAAAAAAAAAACAAAAAACAGATCTACCCCGAAACAGGAAGGAATTTCACAGCGTAATAATGAGCAAAAGAAGCCAAACACCAAACACAGCAGCATCTACCCTAGGTAACCCTGCTTATGTGACTGCCAAAACAGGCAAAACTAATGGATGGGGAGAGAGGCCTTAAAAGTGGCCTTTGTGTGAGTGGGGCTTGGGGGTAAGGTCTTGACTGAAAGGGCATAGTGGTAGGGGAGCTTTTGGGATGCTGGGCATCTTTTCCATCTTGATGTGGTGGTGGTTTTACAGGAATATGTGTATGGAGAGAGAAATATGCTTGCGAAAGCAAGGGTAATAAAGTTGGACACACATTCATTTTTATAAATCAATAGAGGCTTTTCCCTTGTATTTTATAAAATCATTCCCTTACCCTGTTGACAGCATTCTCTGTCTGTGTAATTTGAGGCCATCTGATAATTTCCTTTCTCCAGCGTTTTATTATGAAAAATTTCAAGCAGATAGCAACATTGAAAGAATTTTCCTGGGGACACCCACCACCTGGATTTTTTATCAGTGAAAATTTTACTGTATGTGCTTTGTCAAATATCTGTCTGTATGATCAGTTTGTTGTTGTTGTCTTTTGAGACGGAGTCTCTGTTGCCCAGGCTGGAGTGCAGTGGCGTGATCTTGGCTCACTGCAATCTCCACCTTTCAGGTTCAAGAGATTCTCCTGCATCAGACTCCCGAGTAGCTGGGATTACAGGCATGTGCCACCACGCCTGGCTAATTTTTGTATTTTTAATAGAGACGGAGTTTCACCATGTTGACCAGGCTGGTCTCGAACTCCTGACCTCAAGTGATCCACCCACCTCAGCCTCCCAAAGTGCTGGGATTATAGGCATGAGCCACTGTGCCCAGCCTAGTTTTTTTTTTTGTTTGTTTTTTTGTTTTTTTTTGTCTATCCATAGAGCCAGTTGCTAAGCTGTCTGTTGGATCACTCCATGGGTTGATTCACTTACTAGGATTTAGGTAATCAAAGCAGGTTAGCTAGTCCCACCTTGTGAGAGCAGAACTAGAAGCTGAGCTGTCAGCCTGAGAATGGTGGCTTGGTTTTGCTGTCTTGTCCTTCCTGTCATTGTATTTAAATCTTCTCAATGTTTAAGTTTTCTCTATAACATTTAAGCTGTTGCTAAACTACAGGAATGAAACATAGGTATATAGACCAAGCAGAAGCATAGTTTCCCTTTTTCTGCTGAGTCCTGACTATTTAGGATGACAATGATATTTGTTTCCTTTAAATTAACATGCTTTGAATTAAATTCTGAATCTGATTCCAGGGGGCGATTTGCACTACCACCTTTCACAACACGGTGTGTTCTCTGAGAAGGAGATGCGGTTTTATGCCACTGAAATCATTCTGGGTCTGGAACACATGCACAATCGGTTTGTTGTCTACAGAGATTTGAAGGTGAGGACGATTGACAGACTCATTCTGCATAGTAGGTATTGTGTGAATGGTCCTCTAGAAGTCCCCTTCTATTTCATAGAGTCCTGTCATTTTCCTCATAGCCCTCATCTCAGCCCTGATGAAGTCATTAGCTATATGACATTTTATCTCCTCTAGACCAGACTCTGCGGGGACGGAGCGCATGTCTGTCCCTGTCATTATTATAACCCTGGTGCCTACTACAGTGCCTGCTGCAGCACGTATACTAAGCCAAATATTTAGTTGATTAGTTAATGAAAAGCAATTTAGGCCAGGTGCGGTGGCTCATGCCTGTAATCCCAGCACTTTGGGAGGCCAAGGAGGGCGGATCACAAGGTCAGGAGATCAAGGCCATCCTGGCTAACACAGTGAAACCCCGTCTCTACTAAAAATACAAAAAATTAGCCGGGCGTGGTGGCAGGTGCCTGTAGTCCCAGCTACTCAGGAGGCTGAGGAAGGAGAACGGAGTGAACCTGGGAGGCAGAGCTTGCAGTGAGCTGAGATTGCACCACTGCACTCCAGCCTGGACAACAGAGCAAGACTCTGTCTCAAAAAAAAAAAAAAAAAAAAAGCAGTTTAGGAGCCCTTTTGGTGTCACCCATTTCATAGTTAATTATAATTCAGCTAATGTTCACTAAGCAACTGATTTGGTCGTGGCTCTGTAAAGGGCTGGAAATGTACAATGATGGATAAGCAAAGAACATATATTTTATGGGGCTTAGAAGCTGGTGAGCTAAGACATAGAATGGCCGAGTCATAACTCCTCCAAGGCAAGGTCTATCAGTGAATAGTGGATGCCAACCAGCCTGCGGAATTTCTCTCAAAGGCCACCCTCACAGCTTTACATTGTTTTGAGATTGCCTTAAAAATCACTGATAGAGTTTTAGATCCTTGCACTGTGTAACCTCCAACTGCTGTGCCCGAGTTTCTGTTCTTGTCCTCTGTGAGAGCTCACTCACCTTGAAAGCAATGATATAGGAGTATTCTGAGTTTTTCCATTCCAGAACGCGGTGCTTGGTCCTGGGTTTTACATGTGGGAAGGAGGTAGAAGCTGGCTCAGGGTGTCCATGGTGACACTCACCTAGTTGTATGGCCAACAGCCTGCAGGCAGGCATGGAGAAAAAGGGACCTTGATGAATTAATGATTGCGCAAACATAGAAATGCGTAAATTGTAATAAGAAAAATGATGGGACTGACAATTTGCCAATAGGCGAGAAGATTCCAGGAGAATGTGTTTGCCTCTCATTTCAGATGCCTTCTTGAATGAACCCACAGTGGCCAACTGAAATGTACAGATTATGTTCCTTCCTCTAGGGAGCTGAGATGCTGTGATTGGCTTTTGAAGATTACTTTCTAAGATATTATAAAAATTGTATTTTATTTCCAAGAATTTTTTTTTTTTTTTACAAAATACTTTGTGAATTTTAAACCTTTCTGTAAGGTTACAGAATTATTATTATTCTCTTAGTTTTCCTATAAGCATAAAGAAGAAAAATGTATTTTTATTGAATTAGAAATAACTAGACAATAGTTGGCCCTTGACATTTTATTTCCTTATGCGAGCTTTGCAAAAGAACAAAACACATGCTGACGGCCCATGAAGCGCTATTGTAATACATTCTAATTTAAATCAGTAACTGGTTTCTAATCATCTTTATGCTTTATTTTTATTTTCTAAGCTATTTGGAAGGCAGTGGTATTATTTAATTTCTATTCAAACTTAATTCTAGTCACTCATGATTATTCATGCTTCAGTTTTCTAATAGCATGCCATTTATTTTTATTTCAAGCAAAACAATAGTTGATCGCCAGCAGAAAAATATTAAGATGACTATAATTCAATGTATATCCGAGAGACTAGGTTTGTTTTTCATGATTATGATGACTAAATCTAATCTTCATGGATACATTTCATCAGAGTTGTGGTCAAAATTATATTTGGTCATTTGGTAGGGCCCTATGTTAATGATGTACTAATAAGCAGAAATGACACTTATTGGGATTAGTGTGGCACTATGGAATATTTTGATTGCTTAGGTCAGTGTTGATACATTCTTAGAAACTTCCTGTCTGTCCTGTGCTTCATGGCTTTACTCTTAGAAATCCTTGTGGTTCTCAGAAGCCCAGAAGCTGGTGGACTCACCTCCTGCCCTTGAGAGGCATGCTGTTGTGGCTGCGCAACAGTCCTTGGTACAGTGAAAAGGAAATGCTTTTAATGCTGATGAACTGTTCCCAACATTCCTGTGTTACCTGCCCCATGTTTCATTTTCTAATGAGTAGAATCCTTCGCCTCTGTCATTACCACTTTGCTGCTGAAGTTAACATGAAAGATATTATTCTCAGTATCATGCCCCACTTTGATGTGATGGGCTAAAGCTATAATTTGTGTTTAGGAACAAACTATGATAAAATAGTGAGATATCAGGTGTCTGCACTCAAAGTTCTCAAAGCCTGCATGGCATTTGGGGCACTCTTATTAAAGATTATTCTCTTTCTGTTTAGCCAGCAAATATTCTCTTGGATGAACATGGACACGCAAGAATATCAGATCTTGGTCTTGCCTGCGATTTTTCCAAAAAGAAGCCTCATGCGAGTGTGTAAGTAGTGCGTCAACTTCAGTTCACCACCATTTCTCTCCTGCCCTTTCAAAGGCGTGGCCATTTGTCACCCCATTTCTCTTACCAGTGGTGATTTTCAATATGTCAGGAAGATCCAACATCACAGGTCGTGGGAAAGGAGATAAGAACAGGATGCCTTCCTCACTGTCTGCGGAGAGCAGGAATTAACCCACAGTGGAGTTGAACCTGCTCAGGGACCAGGGTGGCCTCTCAGAAACAGTCAGGACCTCAGCAAAAAATCAGAATCCATGCTACCTGTGTGACCCTAAAAGTCAGTCAGTTACTTAGTCTGTTAGTAATGGTAGTAATAAACCCCTCAAAGTTGTCCTAAGGATAAGTGAAAGAGACTGTGCCTAGAAAGGCACCGGGGCAGCTGCGTGGATGTGGTCAAGGGAGGTCCTCGGGGCCAAGTTTCTGTCTTCATCTACTTTTCCTTCTTTTTCAAAAAGGCTTTTCTTCTTTTTTTTTTCCCTGAAGAGAAATTAGGAATATTTCTTTCTTTCTTTTTTAATTAAAGAAACAAATCATCTGCTTGCAGTTTAGGCTTTCACTGCAGGCCATATTGTTAGACTTGGGTCTTGCACCAGGTCCTCTACGTGATCACCCAGAGGGAACTCTTGAGGCCACAGCTCTCAGCCAGCACCTGACACCTCGGGGACACCAGACTGCTTCTGGGTGTGGCCCTGCTTGATCAGTGCAAGTTGGCCCTGACCTGAGGACTTCTCTCTGTACTCGGGGTTGTTAAAAAGACAGCAGGACTAGGGCAGTTCCCCCGGGGCTCTGCAGAAACACCATGGAACGTGCACTGGTTTTCATTTCTGTTTCTTTGGTAGGTGATGATCTGGGTGGAAAGTATGAACACATGTACAGTTTGTGGAAAAGCAGACAACTTTTGCTTTATTTTGTCTTTTTAGATGTCTCCTCCTTAGCACTGAATCTTTTAAAATTACATTTTATTGACATCTTAAGCTAACATTCATCTCTGTGTTGACTGGTCTTGAAAAAAAACTCCCAGTGGTCTCATTTCATGCATCTGTGCAGAAAATAAACCACAGATCCTTCTCTTTGTGTAACTAGAAGTAAAGTGGTTCTGAACTGCAATACTTTATGAAGGACTGCATTAAATCAAAATTGCCTTTTAAAGCTCTGATCAAATGTTAATAGTGAATAGCACCGTTTCTGTAAACATATTTCTCTTTTTCTACAGAATCTGGGATATGGTGATAAAAGCATTAGCATTTTGCTAGCACTTTACAATTATTAGGCCAGAACCTGTGGTCGTATAAGCGTCTCTCAGGGAGTTCATCAGATTCTTTTAAGAGAGTCATTTGAATTTTTAATGCCACAGTTATTTGGTATGCTAATTTTTTCAGTTTAGTATAGTCATAACTAAATATGAATCCAAGAGTTCATAAGAAATAATCTTCCAGAGGAATTAACTTTCAGATATGGGGTTATTTATTTCCTAGCAGGACCTAGTCCACTTTTTGCTATAATTCACATGTCAGCTCTGAACGGTGGGCTGTTCTTTTGCCTGCTCTGGATAGTACAATATTTGAACAGCATCTGTAAAGAGGTAGGACTGAGAAGGTTGGTTTCCATGTTTAAATAATGATCAGGAGGCTACTACTTTAAAAAGGTAAACATACAACAAAATTTTATATTTTTTATTTTTTTGAGACAGGGTCTTGCTCTGTCTCCAAGGCTGGAGTACAGTGGTGTGATCACGGCTCACTGCAGCCTCCCCCTCCCGGGCCCAAGTGATCCTCCCACCTCAGCTTCCCAGGTAGCTGGGACCACAGTCATGTGCCCCAACATTCAGCTAATGTAAAAAGAAATATTTTTTAAAGACGGGGTCTCCCAATGTTACCCAATCTGGTCTCTAACTCCCGGACTCAAGCAACCCTCCCACTTTGGCCTCCCAAAGTGCTGGGATTACAGGTGTGAGTCACTGTGTCCTGTCAAAATCCTGTATTTTTAAATAAAGGAGGCATTTTGTGGCTAGGAATAAAGGCTCTGGAGCCAACAGATCTGGGTTTGGGTTCTTCTTCCTAGTTGTGTCAGCCTCATTGTCCCTTCTGTGAGGAGGAGAGGACAATGATATTTATCTCCTGTGATAGTTGTGAGGATTAAGTTAACTAAATAATTCAGCAAGTCTTTATTTAACATTTGCTGTGTGCCAGCTGCTGGCGATGCCACGGTAAGACAGAGCTGACCTCAGACCTCCTCGAACGAGCAGCCCTGAGAACTGTGTCCCCTAAGTGACCAGCATATGGAGTAGTGGCGGTACCAGCAGCATTCACTGTGTCACTCACTGAATATCCAGCTGTTCCAGGCTTGCATATGTCATCTTCACGGAAAGCCCATGTATTTATAGGTGTCACTATCCAATTTTTGTGGTATGGAAATTGAGGTTCAGAGAAAGTAAGTAACTTGAACCAGGTCACATGGCTGGTATGCCATGGGGCTAGAATTATAATCCAGTTCTGTCTGATTCCAAAGCCTGTACTCTTTACGCTGTGTGGATGAACTCCCTGAGGCTTTGGCATGATCTATTTAGTACAAGACGGAAGATTTTTAGCCACAATTTCACCCTGAACTTGGTTTCTCAGATCTTTTCAAAGCTGTAGATGTGATTCTTAGATTTCTTCCAGCGGCTGGCCCATCTCCAAAGTAGTATTGTAGTTGAGGTTTTTGATTTGAGCTTAGACTTAGTCCATTTAACGAAAGAATCGCAAATTATTGTAAACTAGAAGTTAACTGTGAAGTAGCCATGAAAAAATCGCAGGAAAACTTTTGGAGCTGAGCAGATTGTCAGTGACTAATTTGAGTACTAGCTTATTTTATCTAAGAACACAAAGCTGTGTCTCATGTCACAGTGTCTTAAAACGTCCAAGTGTTCGTTCAGTATTAATAGTAGTACAGATCTTTAGCAGAATGCGTCAGGAAGCATTAGCAGCTGCCTTAGGCAGAATCAGAAAACCTCAGCAGCAGGCAGTCCAAGGTTGAGTTTTCCTTGTATGTGGTAAAAGCATGGGGGGCTGGTCTGCATTCATTTATCTTATTTATCCTGTAGATATCTATTGTAGATATCTTTCCATTCCAGAACTGTGACTTGATCCTGATAAGTACAGGTTACAAAGTCACGGAAAAGGACTTTCCAGGCAACCCTGAAATTAAACCTTCCCGGAAAATGGCTTGGATGTCCCTCATAGAAATCTCCAACGCTCTCACAGCGTGGCCTGATGACCTTACCCTGTCAAACTTTAGGTTCGGGCTGATTGAGCTTTCCAGAATGCTGGATTTGCCCTGATGGACCAACGCCCATTTTCACTGTTGGATAAAACTCTCAAATACACCTCTTAGACAGAGAGTACCAGACCCATGATGACCCAGGCTTATTAGTGATCCAGGATCATTTATTCTGAGTAGATTCTCACTGTTGCTGAGCATAAGCAAGTTAAAAATTCTTTTTTTTTTTTTTTTTTTTTTGAGATGGAGTTTCACTCTTGTCGCCCAGGCTGGAGTGCAATGGCACCATCTCAGCTCACCATAACCTCTGCCTCTGCCTCTGCCTCCCAAGTTCAAGTGATTCTCCTGCCTCAGCCTCCCGAGTAACTGGGATTACAGGCATGCGCCACCACGCCTGGCTAATTTTGTATTTTTAGTAGAGACGGGGTTTCTCCACGTTGGTCAGGCTGGTCTCAAACTCCTGACCTCAGGTGATCTGCCTGCCTTGGCCTCCCAAACTGCTGGGATTACAGGCATGAGTCAGTGCACACGGCCTAAAAATTCTTACACTAAGATAAGCACAGAGATGCAAATCCCCAACACGAATCCAGTGGCTGCTGTATGTGGCCCCATGACGTTTGTGCAGTGCTCACAGCAACCCTGAGAGGTAGAGATGTCATCTGATTACCCATTTTACTGATGAAGAAAATTAATCGTGGATGAAAAGGTTGTAGGGCATACAACCTTTTGCCAGAGCCCTGTCAGGCTGCATCTTGGAAAGTTCCCCACCGGCTGCCTCGCATGCTTCCTGCTGCAGCCGGGCAAGCTCAGCCCTTCAAGGAGGGGTGGAGAGTGCTAGAGTGGGAAGGGCTTTCGAATTGCAGATGGTGCAGATTATATATAAAATGGTTGTCCTCCTAAGTGATTTTTCTCAACTTCCTGAAAATCATCTTCACATTTGCTTAGTGCTGAGTCCTTTTGACCTTCTGCAGCTTTTGAAACCTGACACGTGATTTCTCCATCTTATGTACAACTGGGCTCATGTTCCTCCTTCTTTCCCATCCCCCTGGGGTCTGTTGGTGACCATGACCAAGCCGATGCCCCTGTGAGCTCAGGTCCTCAGCACAATTGGTGGCACCACACAGGGGTGGACGTCTCCATGCCTTCAAGGTCCACAGCGCCGCAGCGTGGTCGCCTGTTCATCATCCGTTCACTCCTCCCTTTCCCTGCCTCCCCTGACCCCATGCACCTCCACATGAGAGCTCCTGAAACGGCAGGAGAACCTTTGCTCTTCATAGCTGGAGTAGAGAAGGACTAATGAGATCCCGAACTTGCATTTTACATATTTATTTCATACGCTTATTTATGTTAATTCATACATGAGTGAAGGCAGAAAAGATCGTTTTCCCATTGGATGTTCAGTGCATCACGTTTGCGGTGAAGCACAACTGTCCCCTCTCCTTTGTTTACAGTCGCTGCCATCTAATGAAGGACACCCGGACCTTGGGGCGCTGTTAGTGTTTTCTAAAGTGGGCATGCTCTGATAACTGTGTATACTTTCTTCTCCCTAGTGGCACCCATGGGTACATGGCTCCCGAGGTGCTGCAGAAGGGGACGGCCTATGACAGCAGTGCCGACTGGTTCTCCCTGGGCTGCATGCTTTTCAAACTTCTGAGAGGGTGAGTTGAAATGCATCCTTCTAGTGCTGTCCTCATGGCAGCAGGAGCTTGGATGAAAACTGAGAATATGTAGAAATGACTAGACGCTAATGTTATTTTAAATCACACAGTGATCTTTAAGCCATGTGCTAATCTGGAAGACTCTGTCTTAGAAGAGTGAAAGCTGCTTCCCAATAAGCTGCTAGATAAAAGCTTATGGCTTCGTATTTTTATTCTGTACCATGTAGGAATCAGAATTCTTTTAAACCTAAAATTAGACTGCTTCGAATTTTTTTCTTTGATAAGCCACATTGTAGGAATAAGTATTGTTTTGAAATGTAGGTAATTTAAAAAGGTAGAATGATTTTTTCCCTAGAAATTAATTATTCATCATCTTGAGGGTTTACAGATTTTGAGAGTTACAAAAAAAGGATGAAAACCCAAAGTAAACCTATTTTATTTTATTTTGTTTTGTTTTTAGACAAGTTCTCTCTCTGTTGCCTGGCTGCAGTGTAGTCACACAGACATCACACACACAGGCTCACTGTAGCCTCGACCTCCTGGGCTCAAGCAATCCTTCCACCTCAACCTCAGTCTCCTGAGTAGCTGGGACTACAGGCACACACCATCACACCCGGCTAATTTTTTTTTTTTTTTTTTTTGAGACGTCTCGCTCTGTCTCCCAGGCTGGAGTGCAGTGGCACATCTCTGCTCACTGCAAGCTCCGCCTCCCGGGTTCACGCCATTCTCCTGCCTCAGCCTCCTGCGTAGCTGGGACTACAGGCGCCTGCCACCACGCCAGGCTAATTTTTTGTATTTTTTCAGTAGAGACGGGGTTTCATGATGTTAGCCAGGATGGTCTCGATCTCCTGACTGGGTGATCCGCCTGCCTTGGCCTCCCAAAGTGCTGGGATTACAGGTATGAGCCACCGCGTCCGGCCTACACCCAGCTAATTTTTTAATGTTTTTAGAGGTGAGGTCTTGCCATGTTGCCCAGGCTGGTCTCGAACTCCTGGCCTCAAGCCATCCTCCCACCTCAGCCTCCCAAAGTGCTGGGATTAAACGCCTAAGCCACCACACCTAGCCGGTAAACCCATTTTAAAAAGCTTGCGTTTGTTGGGGAAAATGCTGAAATTAATTTGTCTTTTAAAGCTAGTAGTATACTTGGCCCTTGTTCTGAACTACCAAAGATGATGAAATAGAGTAGAAAAGATTATGAGAGGAAAGTACTCTCAAAATATGTTCTCATATTAAACACTTAACAATTATGTTAATGTTGCCATTAATTCTAAGACTTTTAGCCAATTTTAATGGAAAACTTCAGTTAAATTTTTTTATTATTCAGACTCATAAATCATTTTACATTAAAATTTCCTAGTTAAGATTTTCCTTTTAATATTTTCATATGAACACAGTCCCGATAGTTTGCTAAATGTTGCACCTTTCCATCGGAGAGCCTAACTGAGCACCACTGCATCTTACTACATTTAGCACATTCTGGAGAGAGGCTGAATTCTACATTCCCCCAAAACTAGGTTCTGAGCACCCTCTGTTTCGTCAGGACTCTGATAATCCAGTTGCTCTCTACTTTGCATTCACTTGTGATCTAAAATTGTATTATTGCTTAGAAAGTCGGGTTCTGTTATTCCTTAATTGAATTATTGTATTTGTGGAGCCTGGATGGCTTTAATTCATGTCATCAGACTAGCTGACCTAATTAGAGAGTTTATCTAAGCAAACCAGAGAAAGCCATTTCCCCTATGAGATGCTGTTCTCCCCAGTGGAGTCGCTTCTATGCATATGGAGTGCATGAAGACACCCAGGAGATCTTTATTTTGGATCTCTGCTGGAGATGTGGTTGGAGACAGACAGTCCCTACCTACAGAATTTGGAGATGATAAAAAGAAAACTGTGCAACAGCTGAACTGTTGAATGTAAAAATCAGCAGTAAAATCTGACAATCCCAGAAGCCTTGTATTTAGGGCTTTGTGTACTTCTTTGTTTTGTTACTCTAGCTGTTAAAATGGCCATGCATATAGGCTGGGGAGGATTTGCTGTAACACTGCTTCATTTTTTAAAAGACTAGAGGGTTTTGTTCAATAACTCTGTCTGCTCCAACAGTGTGGTTTGTGGCTAATAAAATGAATTCAGTCTTATTTGGCTGTAATTCAGCTTTGGCATACTGAACTGGAAGATATTAATTCCTTTGTGAAGTCCTTGATTGGCCTTGATGGAAGCATTATGTTCAGTGGGGCTCCTGCCGAAAAGAGTCTTGACAGACAGGAAGACATCCTGAGGATGGCCGTGAGGCTGGGAGGGATGGATGAGATAAGTGGAGAGTGGTGAAATAGCTAGAAATGATGGCCTCCGTGGGAAGACTGAAAGAGCTGAGTGCAGAACTTAGGGGAGCGCATGGTTGGCTCCAGCTGCTGGAAGGCCGTCTTGTTGAAGGGATCATATGCATGCTGTGTAACTCCAGAGGGATGCATTTTGAGGAGAAAAAAGATTTCAGTTTAATACAAGAATGTCCAGTCATTTGAGCTACCCAGTGAAGGAGGGTTCTGCCTCATGGATAGCAGGCTCCTTGTCACTGTCTGGTGACCATCGATTGAGCCTGAAATGGAAGGAATCTTTCCAGTGCTTGATAGATAGGATTAGATGAATCTCCCCCACTAGGATTTATTATCTCATGCCATTCCTTCTATTGTTTGTTCAGAAGTCACTCACAGATAGGATATAGCACTGGAGCCAAAGAGCAGGAAACATTTTTGACTTAAGTGATTTAAATTAAATGTGATAAGCATTTACTGCGTACCTGCAATGTACAAGAGACTGCTTGATGCTGTGGGGGAAGGAAAGGAGTAAGGAAGGAAAAAAGGAGAGGGAGGGAGGAAGGGAGGAAGGAGAGGGAGGGAGGAGGGAAGGAAGAAAGGAGGAAGGAGAGGGAGGAAGGAAGGAAGGAAGAAGGGAGAGAGGAAGAGAGGGAGGGAGAAAGAAAGGGAAGGAGGAAGGGAGGGAAGGAAGGAGGAAGGAAGAAGAGGGAAGAAAGGGAGAAAAGGGAAGGAAGGAAGGGAGAGAAAGAAGGAAGGAAGGAAGGAAGCCAACCAGCCAGCCAGGAAGGGAGCCACACAAAATCTTTGAGGGATAGGCAGTCTAGGAGAGTAGCTATTGATATACACACCGGATCAGGAGCTGGCTGAGCTGTGCTAACTTTGACAGTAGCGATGTGCTGCGAGCACAGACATGGCAGAACCAATTCTAACCTGGAAGTGTAGGGTTGACATCATGTGGGAGATGGTCTGTCGGGTAGGCTTTGAAGATAGGTAGGATGACAATACAAAGCCTGGGAGCAGGGGAAATACCAGCTTTCTATGTTTCTTAAGAGGGAAGGAGTGCTGAGGGAGAAGTCTCAGATGGTTGGGTCAGCACTGGGAGGACCTCGGATGCAGTGCTGGGAAGTTTGACCTTTATCCTCCAGGCCCCGAGGCTGAAAGCTTTTCAGCGGAGCAGTGGCAGGGTTGGGTGGCTTTTCAGTAAGATGATTCTGGAAGCAGCCTGGAGCAATGGAGGAACCGAGACAGGAGGCAGGCAGAAGAATGTGAGCAAAAGGCAGTGAGTTTGCGCAGCAGCCCTGGAACCTGACAGGAGCAAATGACATGGCGGCATTGCAGAGTTAGCTTCTGTAACGCTTCAGTGTTTTCGTGGAGTGTGTTTTGTTTTTGTTTTTTTATAGATGGTTGGATATGGAAGGATAGAAGTTAAACATGCTGCAATTTAGATTCAAGATGATTGGGAGAATAACGATGTCATTACTAAAATCAGCGTCTGTAAAATTTCAGTGGTTCACATGAAACTGAAGTGTACGGAGGGCCTTTCAGGAGCAAAACCCTGTGGCGAGGCGGGCAGGAGGTGGGACTGTGTGCAGGAGCCCTCACTGCCTCAGCTGTGAACAAGGGGATAATGCCACCTGTTCTACTTCCTCACAAAGTTGCATGTGGGAGAACCTCAAAAATATGCCTGTCAGCCTCCTGTGCATTTTTCCTGTGTTGTATAGAAGGGAGCCCCTGGCAGCTGTCTTTTCTCAGGCACACGGGGCCTAAGAAATCAACTGAGTGGAGGAGGAGATTGACTAGGCAGGGTCTCTGAGGCACAGGCTTGGGCACAGTCCCCTCTGCATCCTGACACTCCTGGGGCGCCTGTCCTCAACCCTGGGGGACACTGGGCAATGGCTGGAGGCATTCTTGGTCATCATAACTTGGGAAGTGGCTGCTACTGGCATCCCCTAAGTAGAGGCCAAGGATGCTGCTCAACATCCTATGAGGCACAGGACAGCTCCCGCAACACCCCAACAAAGAATCCTTTAGCCCTAAATGTCAACAGTGCCGAGGGTGAGGACCACTGCCCCAGAGCAAATGCCCCTCCCTCCTCCCACAGCTGTGCAGTGAGGTGGAATCAATGGCCACCAAGGAAGGGTCTTTCTATTTTCTTTTCTTTTCTTTTCTTTTCTTTTTTTTTTTTTTTTTGAGACGAAGTCTCGCTCTGTCGCCCAGGCTGGAGTGCAGTGGTGCAATCTCGGCTCACTGCAACCTCTGCCTCACGGATTCACGCCATTCTCCTGCCTCAGCCTTCCAAGTAGCTGGGACTACAGGCGCCCGCCACCACGCCCAGCTAATTTTTTGTATTTTTAGTAGAGACGGGGCATCACTGTGTTAGCCAGGATGGTCCCGATCTCCTGATCCCGTGATCTGCCCGCCTCGGCCTCCCAAAGTGCTGGGATTACAGGCGTGAGCCCCCGCGCCCGGCCGCTCTGTTTTCTGTTTTAATCCTCCTTGCTGTGACCAGCGTGCCCCCTTGCTTCTGCTGAAACACCTTTCTGCACACTTCATTTTGTCTTTATCCCCTACAAGAATACTGCAAGGCACTTGGAGAAGGAGTCTGGATGGGAGAAAGATGTCAAGGCTTCAGAAGGTGTTTTGCATCCCTGGACTCACAGTGATTGACTGAGCCGCTCATATGTGCTATCTTTGAGTGCTGGTCACTACTTCTATTTCAGATGACTTTGTCAGATACTTAAGAGCGTCTGTGTAGGAAGATGCATCCATGTTGCAAATCTGTGGAGCTGCCATCATGATCTTCACCTAGATTTAAGATGTCTGTTAAGGAAATCAATTGATGTGACAGTGGCCTCGATCTTAAGCTTGTCACCGTTGATTGTCTCCCCGTGGAGTTGTCAGACATGAGGGAGAGCCTGGGCAGTGGCCTAGGGAGAACTGAGTGCTGCTGGCGCTATTGAGTTTGTTCCAGGAGGGGAAAAAGGAAAGTTTATAAATATTTTGGCAACTACTGGCTTAGGTTTGAAATGCACATTTAATATAACATGCCATCTTTTGGGTATTTTATTTTATTTTATTTGAGACGGCGTCTCGCTCTATTGCCCAGGCTGGAGTGCAGTAGTGTGATCTTGGCTCACTGCAAGCTCTGCCTCACAGGTTCACACCATTCTCCTGCCTCAGCCTCCCGAGTAGCTGGGACTACAGGCTCCCGCCACCACTCCCGGCTAATTTTTGTATTTTTAGTAGAGACGGGTTTCACCTTGTTAGCCGGGATGGTCTTGATCTCCTGACCTTGTGATCCACCTGCCTCGGCCTCCCAAAGTGTGGGATTACAGGCGTGACCCACCGCGCCCGGCCTCTTTTGGGTATTTTGAAATTAACTTTTGATGTGAGAGTTTTTAATCACATAATTTTTTGAACCCATTGTTTGCCCATGAAAATGATGTAGAGCTAACTTGGGCAGGATGTGTGTTTTCCCATCATTTATAATGTCCTGAACAATTTTCCAACTCATTTAGGGGAAACGTGCAGCTGTTCCATTCTATCTGTAGTTCAGAAAGCTGCACTTGACCACAGGACATGTGAATTCTTTTCCCACAACGCTCCCTGATGCAGCCAGCATGTTGCATGGGAAGAGCTTGGCCGTGCCTTGTAAGCTGTTGACAGGCCTGTTACTGTCTCCTATTTAAAGCGGCTGCATCAGGGAGCAGCTGCGATCACACAGGATCTGTGCACACCACGTGCCTCACTCAGAATGGAGATTATTACTATCATAGGTTTTCTTTAACGTTTTTCAAAATAGAAACCAAGTCTTTGGCTTTGTTCACAAAGAATAATCAAGAATATATTGGAAACAGATGTGCATCAAGATTTCAACTTGAAAGACCAAACTGTCTGAACATGGCAGCATAGACTTGAATAGCTGAAGAGCATTTTCTGATAATTTCTCATTGAGCCGGACATGGAATCGCTATATTTATAAATGGAATTTGTAGCAATGGGGCCCATGTGCTGGAAATGGTTTTGGCACCACTAACTTTAACTCCAAGTCCCCTCGCAAGCCTCCCTGTGGTCTCATGAAAGACTTTTTAAATTTAGCACAGAGCGCTTGTGTCAGAACACAGCAGGCTGCAAGTACATCGGGACCAGATGCAGGAGTGGGGTCCTCTGGCTTTGCACGCAGGAGCCAGGTCCGAGGGATTTGTCAAAACACCAGGAGATCTTCACTTAATCCCTTTTTATACATTAAGGAACATCGTCGGGTGGAAACAGCTAAGTGTCAAGCAGGGAGACTAAGGTTTTCATAAGATTTGATAAACTTTCATTCCTTTTCTCTGCAACCTCAAACATGTTAATATTTCTGTGCATTTTGTATAAAAGAATGATACAAGTATGTTTTTAAAAATTATAAATAACAGATATTGTTTGCTTTTATATCTGCTTTTTAAATGTGGTAATTGTACATTTTTTCCTTGGAAATAAGGCAAAAAGAATATTTCCAATCAAAATCTGTTTTAAAAGTTAACAAATGCTTGCTGGGTGCTAATTTACCTTGTTTTGATCTTTTTTTTTTTTCCCAAATTAATGCTTTTAAGAGATGGCAATTAGTTTGTGTTTCACTGCATGATATGGAAGGAAATAAAGGACTAGAGTGCCCTCTCTTGTACAAAAAGAAAATTAAAGTGTTTCAGACAATAAATGGCCTGAAATGTAATAATCTCAAAAGATAGTTCAATGTATAACCTAATTAATTCAGTAGGATGACCAGCTCAGTAGCAGTAAGTAGCAGTGCAAGATAAGTGGCATTTTAATTCTTTTTTAGAATCTCTGATTTATGTGTTCAACATTCTAATCCATTTTATGGAGTTAATATTAAAATATTTTGCATAATATCCTGCCTGCCTCAGATTATGTCATATATGCCTTATAAATAAATTTATAAGATGACTACTTTGTAGGCACATCTTGTTATAAGAAAAGTCAATCATATGTGTCCCTTTAATTTTCAAAATGAAAAATAAACCATGGTAATTTAGTTTGCATATTTAATAGTGTCTTTTAATGATAAGATTTCCTTTGAAAGCCAGCTTCTCCAAAGTTTTTAAAACATGAGAGTGAGAATAATCTGTTTTACATAGTTCACCAAGTAGACATTCATTTCATAAAGTAAGAGTTATCTTTATTAATTTCACCAGTGGTTACTGTATTAGGTACCTACCGTGTACTGCCATTGTCTTGGCTACTTGCATAGATGTCACTTTAGTTTTTCCCTTCACTGCTTCTGTGAAGTATGCGGCTTGATCCCCGCTTTACAGATGAAGAATTGATACTGAAGGTTTCTATGTGGCTGACAGTCACTAAACCAACAAGTCACAACTTGAACCCAGCTTTTCTGACTCTGGAGTCGGGTTCTGCACAGGGAAAACAGGAAGCGCTCAGAGCTGTGGAGAATCTGCTGGTGCACGGTTAGTTTCTGTTTTCATCAAAGGGATGTATTACTTAAAATGACTGGTTTCTAGGGGTGAATCATTTCATCTCCTTCATGTTTTGGTTCAACTGCTGTTCCTTGGGCTGTTTGAGGGACCAATATCCATTTTTCTGAAAAATGTACATGAAAGTTATTGTTTAGCTCGAACTCTCATATGACAAATGTTATATAAATGACTTTTATTCTCATGATTACCTGTTGGCTAGTTATATATTCTTTTCTAATGATGTTTCCATTGGAACAGCGTATTTTAGGGCCACAAGTTCACTGAAGTGAGATTCAGGCAGTTCAAGTAAGATACAAGTCTTGCTATTTCAGGACCTAGCATTTATTCACCAGTTCTTCCATGGAAATGATAAATGTTTACGGCTTTTGCATTTCTCCAGTTTTGAATGAATAGTGATAGGACATCATACTTTACCCAAATATTAGTCAGTGATATGTTCTATATCACCTGATGCCATATTTTGATAGAACAATTCTTTATTTCTACAGTCACAGCCCTTTCAGACAACATAAAACCAAAGACAAGCATGAAATTGACCGAATGACACTCACCGTGGTAAGGGGATTCAAAACTGTATTCTTGTCTGTATGGTAATTGTCATGCTTCATTCCGTCAATAATAAAAAAATGCTATTACATAAAATGTTATAGGAAATATAAAATTATGTATAGACATAATAAAAATTTGCTTTCTTGAAACAAATAAATGCAGATACAATTTCTAAAAGAATTTCTAGGGGAAACATTAATGGAAATAGATGCCAAGGCAAAAATCAGGATTTACTAACGAACAGTATGAGGAAGCTAAAGAAAATCGAGAACAGAAGTAAAGAAATCAAAGAAAAGGAGAAATTACTGAGATGCCAACGAATGAGAATGCCTTCCGGTTCTTCTGATCTGCCCCCAGCCTCATTGATTTTGCAACTGATTAGTTATCTTTTCATGTTTCTATAGAGTAAATATTAATTCATAATGAGGCTGCAATTTTTAATACTATGCTTATCCCAGTAATAGTCTTTAAGTCTGGTTGAGTGTTAGGATGCTGTTTCATGAACGGATTTTTGAAATCTTACTCGTCTTTTCCCCAGAATGTGGAACTTCCAGACACCTTCTCTCCTGAACTGAAGTCCCTTTTGGAGGGCTTGCTTCAGCGAGACGTTAGCAAGCGGCTGGGCTGTCACGGAGGCGGGTAGGCCATTGTTCCTGCCTTTCGGTATCTTTACCAGAAGAGCAAAATAGTGATTTTAAATACTGTCTATCAAAAGTCATCCCTAGTCATTAAAATCTTCCATTTTGACTTGAAAGGGGAAAAAAATAAATCACATGGGAAATATACAAATATTGTCCTATGTGTTTTATAATTAAGAAGTTGAAGAAGTCACTCACTTTTTTACTTTATTTATTTTTGAGATGGAGTCTTGCCCTGTCACCCAGGCTGTAGTGCAGTGGCGTGATCTCAGCTCACTGCAACCTCCACCTCCTAGGGTTCAAGCAATTCTCCTGCCTCAGCCTCCTGAGTAGCTAGGACCACTGGGGTGTGCTACCACGCCTGGCTAATTTTTGCATTTTTAGTAGAGACGGGGTTTTCCTATGTTGGCCAGGCTGGTCTCAAACTCCTGACCTCAGGTGATCCACCTGCCTTGGCCTCTCAAAGTGCTGGGATTATAGGCGTGAGCCACTGCGGCCAGCCCACTTTTTAACTTTTAAAGATTGACCTTGTAGATGACAGAAGTGAATTCTGATATTTTGTAGTCCATTTGTTTTTTAGTGATGGTTGTATTTGTGATTGTGGCAGTTTAACATTCTGATCAGTTTCTCACATATTTCTCTCATGCATAACTGAGTAACTGCGATCTAACACATGCTCACTATTCTCCTGCCCCAAAACACTCTGAACAGTAATATCTGGAAAGCTTATAGAGAGGGACTTCAGACAGACCTTTTTCCTGTATCTCTTCTCCCCCAGGCTTGCTTGGCATAAGAAATAACTTTTAACTGTATATTACCTATATGTATATCATACATATGTGTATGTATTTTTAGTGTGCATATTATACATATAAGCATTTTATGTAGATAGCTAAATAATGTACATATATATGAGTATGTCCTTATCAATTTGCAAAATTACCTATTCCTGCTATAATAGATGAAGATTTAGCTCACTCATTACTGTCTCTGTAGCCTTCCCTTCCTCCACCTCTCAAAAGTTGAAACGCTATTTTGAGCTCCTCTTTTGCTTTCCTCTGTAGCTTTAAATTCCATGCTTAACCCGGTCTTGCCTTTTTCCAACTATAAACAGTATCTGAGTTGAGGATTTTGACATTCCTATCTTTCATTGACTTCTGTCTCATGTTCTTTCATGTTAATTTTTATTTTTACATTATCAAGATGATACTGCTTTCTATTCTGTGATCATAATCAATCATAATCAATCTTTGTGCTTTGCATATAGGTTAATTTCAAAAGTTGCAAATGAAGAAGGGGTATTTACACTGTTAAGGAATCAAAAATGTTGTTCATTACAAGGCTTTTACTTAGCCTGGTAATAAACCTTAAGTTAGTCATATATATACATATATAGTATGATCTCTCTCTCTCTCTCTCAAAAAAGAATATGATAGTTGTGGACTTTGTTTTTCCATGATGTTTCTTTCGGGAAGGACTCAGCCTGCAGCTGCAATGAAAAAGAGGTGCTCTATTTCTGCTGATTGGCATCATCTCACCCAACACTTCCCTTTCCAGTCTTCTGGACTGAATCTGCCATTCACTTGATTCCCTGCCTCCTGCTATATTTAGGCTAGATATAGAATTCTAAGGAAGTAATAATTTTCCCCCAGAGCTTTGAAACTCTTACTTTATTGTGTACAAGCAAGCAGTCAATGCAGGTCATGGAGCTAGGTTACCACTCGCGATGGCAGACAGGTAGCATCCCTTGTGCTCGGAGACTCGTGTTCTTCAGCTTGGAGACCACCCTTTATTTATTTGACATTTATCCTCCTCTGTTTCTCATAGAACTCTTATTAGCTGGATGCTGGGATTCCTTTCTAGATTTGGGCCTCTGCACTTCTGATCTTGTATATTACCTGCATCTTTGCTTTAATTCTTTGTTTTACTTGCCGATAGCACAAATTTTCAACCCTTTCGTTGATTTCTTTCTAAAAATCTTTAGCAGGTTTAATTTCTTAAAAGTAGAACCTTTCAGGGGTTTTACCCCATGTTAAACACCTTGCTGCAGGTGTTCTGGAGTTGGGTGTCAGGGAAGAAGTACGGCGGGTATGGGTGTGCATTTGTGTGCAAGTGTGCAGCTCAATGCCCAGGCCTGTGTCTCATCCCCCAGCCACACACACTGTGGTGAGCTGGAGCTCAGCATGCTGGCTCCGTCCCCAGGGCAGTAGCTCTGCCCTGCTTTGCTGTCAGTCACTGCCCCTGTGTCAGCACCCCCTCTTGTCTGCTGATGGCCCTCTCTCTCTCGTGGTGGATTTATTTTTTTAATATTTATTTTTACTTTTTATTTTTTATTTTTTTGAGATTGAGTCTCGCTCTGTTACCCAGGTTGGAGTGCAGTGGCACAATCTTGGCTCACTGCAAACTCTGTCTCCCAGGTTCAAGTGATTCTCCTGCCTCAGCTTCCCGAGTAGCTGGGGCTACAGGTGTGCACCACCACGCCCAGCTAATGTTTAGTAGAGATGGGGTTTCCCCATGTTGGCCAGGCTGGTCTCGAACTCCTGATCTCAAGTGATCTATGTGCCTTGGCCTCCCAAAGTGCTGGGATTACAGGCGTGAGCCACCATGTCTGGCCTATTTTTGTTTTTTAAAAGTGATAGTATCTCACTCTGTCACCCAGACTGGAGTGCAATGGCATGATCATAGCTCACTCCAGCTCCAAACTCCCGGCCCAAGTAATTCTTTGGCCCCAGCCTCCCAAGTAGCTGAGACCACAGGCCCACATTACCATGCCTGGCTAACTTTTTTTTTTTTTATAGAGAAGGGGTCTTGCTATGCTGCCCAGACAGGTCTTGAACTCCTGGCCTCAAGTGATCTTCTCCTCTTAGCCCCCAAAGACCTAGGATTACAGGCATGGGCTACCATGCCTGTCTCCTGTGGTGGGTTTATATCTCTGTGTTCCTTTCCTGCCATTTTAGTGGTTATTGAGACTGTGTGAAGTTGCATGCTTTCATGCAATCACTGGCTTGAACAAGAAACCTTTTTTCTGGGGCATTTCTAATTGCTTGGATATATGCAAGTAAACTTCTTATTTAGCTTATCACATTTAATGTGTTGACAATGATGGGTACAAAATGGAACCCAATAAGAAAATCACCGAAGTGTTTCCAGTAAAAATGCACAAGGATATGCTCTGACTTGGATCCCATTCTTTCATTCAATGTCTGTTTACTGGGCACACACTGATGCTACCCCGTGAAGTGGCTGAGGCAGTGCACATGGTAGGCATGGCCCCTGCCTTCCTGAAGCTCATGCTATGGGAAAGCCATGGTGTAGAATTATCAAGTAAGACAGGTCCAGATAGTGAGAAGTACCTGTGTGGAGGACGAGGTGCCACCTTATGAAGAGGCCTGGGGAGGAACACTCCAGCTGGAGGAGTCAGCGAGGGAGGACTTCCAGGTAGAATCAGTGCTCCCGTGATCCAGCAAAGCCAGGTCTCCTGGGCACTGGGTTTGGTTATAAATGCGAAGCAAGACTGGAGAGTTTTGAGCAGAGGAGTGGTGAGTTCATTGAAGAAGATGACTTGGGCGCTGTATGAAGTGGGATGGGGCTGCAGGTGGGCAGGACTAGAGGTCAGAGGAGGAGACATTAGAGTAGTTCAGGCAAGAGGTACCAGGACCCTGGTGCCTCGGTGTTTCTGGCAGTACGTCTATCATCCCTTCCCTGCCCACAAATGCCAGTAGCATCCTGAGCAGGAATCACCACCCCGGCCAGGCGCAGTGGCTCACGCCTGTAATCCCAGTACTTTGGGAGGCCGAGGTGGGTGGATCACAAGGTCAGGAGTTTGCGACCAGCCTGACCAACATGGTGAAACCCCATCTCTACTAAATATACAATAATAATAATAATAATTAGCCGGGTGTGGTGGCACGCACCTGTATTCCCAGCTACTCAGAGGCTGAGGCAGGAGAATCGCTTGAACCCAGGAGGCGGAGGTTGCAGTGAGCCGAGATGGCGCCACTGCACTCCAGCCTGGGTGACAAAAAAAAAGAAACACCACCCCTAAGCGAGAGTCTCGTGAGGATGGGAGGTGGTAGGAAGTAGTCAGGTCTGGGTCTGGCCAAGGGGTGGCTGTGAAGCCTGAGGGAAGACAGGCATCCAGGACCATCCTGGCTGGGCCTGTGCAGGAGCAGTGCGGAGAGGGCTGTGTTAGCCCTGCCTGCATCCTCTGAGTGGGCTGGGGAGTAGGAGTGTCCTGGAACACAGGGCACAGGTTGGTGCTTGGGCTACAGATTTAGGAGTCCTATAAGGGCACTCAAGCTCTGGGCTGGGCGAGATGCCCCAGGGACTGACTACAGGAGGACCCCAAGAAGCAGCCCTGAGCTGTGTGACAGGATGTGGAGAGATAGAAAGTCAGTGGCATGTGCTGGGAGTGCTCCTCCCCCATGCGGGCTTTTCCTTGGAGTGTGCAATTTTTTTTTTTTTTTTCCTGGCAACAGATTCTCACTCTGTCACTCAGGCTGGAGTGCAATGGCACAATCTCGGCTCACTGCAACCTCCACCTCCCGGGTTCAAGCAAATCTCCTGCCTCAGCCTCCCGAGTAGCTGAGACTACAGGCGCCTGCCACCATGCCCAGCTAATTTTTTGTATTTTAGTCGAGACAGGGTTTCATTGTGTTGCCCAGACTGGTCTCGATCTCCTGAACTCAGACAATCCACCCACCTTGGCCTCCCAAAGTGCTAAGATTACAGGTATGAGCCACCATGCCTGACCAACTTTTGCTCTGGGTACTCCAAGTTTTAATCATGACCTTCAAGAAAACTTGTTTCTTCAATTTATTTTTTATTTTTATTTTTATTTTTTTTTTGAGATGGAGTCTCGCTCTGTCGCCCAGGCTGGAGTCCAGTGGCGCAATCTCGGTTCACTGCAAGCTCCACCTCCCGGGTTCACGCCGTTCTCCTGCTTCAGCCTTCCGAGTAGCTGGGATTACAGGCGCCCGTCACCATGCCCGGCTAATTTTTTGTATTTTCGGTAGAGAAGGGGTTTCACCGTGTTAGCCAGGATGGTCTTGATCTCCTGACCTCGTGATCTGCCCGCCTCAGCCTCCCAAAGTGCTGGGATTACAGGCGTGAGCCACCACACCCGGCTAATTTTTTTGTATTTTTAGTAGAGATGGGATTTCACCGTGTTAGCCAGGATGGGTTTCTTCAATTTATAAAGGGTTTTGGTATACATTATATTATTAGATCTCTTGTTTGCTTCTGAGTAAATGTGGTGCTTCACATTCCTGTCATTTTCCTATTACATTATCTATTGCGATGTGTAAATATTTGCTGTAAATTTCTTTAATGTGTAGATATCCAATTTAATTCTTATTTTCAGTTATGTTCTCCTGACTATAGAATTATTGTGTGTGTGTGTGTGTGCGTGTGTATATATATATCTGTGAAAATTTCTAGGTTATCTTAAACTGTAATAACTATCCCAAATAAATGATCATATGGGATAATATTCCCAGGCGCTGCATGCAGTATTCTAAACATCGTAGCATTCCTCCTGTTGTTTTGAAGGAAGCATATTTGTTTGCTTTCTTAAAGGAAAAAGTGGAAATACTTGCTCCCCTGTATTGTTAACAGGAGACAGTTTTGCACAATATTTATTACGTTTCCAAATGCATACTCAGCACTGTTATGACTCTTTCTCCTCCAGCTCACAGGAAGTAAAAGAGCACAGCTTTTTCAAAGGTGTTGACTGGCAGCATGTCTACTTACAAAAGGTACTCACTCCCTCTTGACTCTACTTACGGTACTGCCGCCCCGCCCTTACCCGCTCATCTCTGTCTCAGTTTCTGTCTCTGTCTCTCTATGCACTGCTGGCTTCCTGGCTGTGTCTCCCCAGCATCCCCACCACCCACCTCCCCCAGCATCCTGTGTCCACACTCTCTTGTTACCCGAGAGTTACCATGTAGCCAGTTCCCTTTGGGGCATCCTCTCACTCTTCATTTCTCTAATAGAAACATTTTGAAAATATCTCCTATATCAACTAATAAAAGGTAAAATGGAGCTATTATCTAGTTAATTCAAATGCACATATAATTGAGCCTTTTTTAGTTTTTGCTCTTCTTCTTGAATTCTTATCTCAATGTGACTGTATTTTTACATAGATCTCTATAAAATGTACGTGAAACTTCTGCCATAAACGTATGTATATTTTCTAGCCCAATACTACATAATTTAAGAATTAGCATGATTTTATATCAGCATGATTTCCTTTCCTTATTTTAAGCTTCATTATATTTGCGTTGATACAGGAAACACCCCAAATTCAATTTTTAGAAAAATGTTGATTATCAGCTTTAAACTTGCTTTGCGTGAACTCAAGCTGCAGAGAAATGACGATTTTCTGTAGTAAAGAAAGACTGATCTGTCAGTCCTACTGAATTAGAGTCCGACCTCTGGGTCAGTTAACACATACCTTGGAGCGTTTGCAGATGTGCCCTGCTCCCTCCAGGCCCCATTGTCTGTTGTGGCTCCGGCAACCCAAAGGTGGTGTTGCGTCCTCTCAGAGAATGTGCTTTCTTAAGCTGAGCTGGACGGATATGCAGTCCTGAGATTTTGTTATATTTGAAAATTATTGAAGGCTTTGGACATGAATCCTATTTTTCTTTAATTTGTCTAAAATATAGGGCCTTCCTTTGGGGCTATTGAGTGCAGTGGCTTTTCTACAAAATATGAAATGTGATTTGTTACAAGTTTGAATGACATGCTGCGCAGTGGAGCATGCGGATATCTCGCACTGTGCTGTCTTTGTAGAATGTTAGGTTGGGACAGGGCCATACGATCATCTGAAAACTGTACCATGCTTGTTTGGATCTTCCAGTACCCACCACCCTTGATTCCTCCCCGGGGAGAAGTCAATGCTGCTGATGCCTTTGATATTGGCTCATTTGATGAAGAGGATACCAAAGGGATTAAGGTACACATGTGATCATTTATTTCTTTATTTTTATTTTTGGATGGGATGATTTCTGTTGGAAATCAAACTTAGTGGTTGTTTTAATATTGGGCTGTTTATAGTATTTAACTTACAAATGAGTATCAACATATTTGAAGAATGTGTAAGTTAAGGATCTAAATTAAAGGCTTTGAAAGCTTTCTTCAGACTAATAATTTTATTTTTGAGGAACTACATGGTAAAATATTATTGATTTGGAATATTTGTGATTGAAATAAAACTTGAATTATACCTGAAGCAGGAAAAACAGCTGTGTGATATCAAACATACTTCCCTAGTGCAAAAGAGCCAGCTGTCTCAATTCTTCTAAGTTTTTAGATCTCCCCGTGTTAGGATGAAAGAGCAAACAGCATGAATCATTTTGCATTTGTCAATCAAAGGTGAAATAATCACTGTTTTTTTTAATACAATCCTCTGCATTTTTCGAACTTTTGTTCATATCGTTATTCCCCCAAGTAGAGACAAGACATAATTAGAGATGGTGAGTCATGAGAGAAGATCATTCTGTTTAAGATGCTGGGTCAAAGTGTATCACTACATCAAGCTCTCACCTACCCCCATGCTGGCAGCTTGCCCCAGGCTCTACCCCCTGCCCCCGGGCCTTCCCTGTTTCTTCTCAGCTGCCCCCATTTACACCCTTCTGACACAAACCCGCGTTGCCTTCCCCACCAAGTAGCTTCCTTCTCCAGAAGGCTGCAGCACTATTAAAACACACACCTGTGAGGTGTAAATAAAAGAGTGACAAGTAAAATGCAAGGGCCTAGCAGGAGCTATAACTGGAGACACGTAGGACTGGGACCAGCTAGACTGTGGGACAGAAAAGCCAGTAAATGGCTGGAGGAAGATGGGAGGATTGTGGGGAAGGAGAGCAGCATGTACACGCCAAGTGCACCTGGGGAACCCAGTGGCAGCTGGTCAGAGCTAGGGGCCCCAGGAGATGAGGGGCTGGGCCATGATGGTGATTGGGGTGTTCATGGGACCAGCTTTTCTGGTGTTGGAGGTTAGGTGAAGGCAAAGTGCAGAGGGCCCAGGTCACAGGGCTGTGAGGATTGCTGACCAACTGAGGGACACCCTTCTGTGGTCTGGAGCAGTGGCTGGGGTCAGCATTGAGACCGATGCCTAGACCTGTGCACAACCAGGCATCGTCTGTAGCCGGAACCATTGATACCTGTCAGGTATATGAGTATACAGCAGTGCTTTGGGGAACAATCCATTTACAAAGGTATTTAAAAAATTTACTGCTGTCACAATAGAATTTTTTCACCTGCTGTATACCACTATCTGTCCGTCAGAGTACTAAAAATAAAACACTATTACGTGGGTGCCCACAAACATTTTTTAATGTTAAAAAGAGATGATCATACTTAAAAATGTTGTAAACCAAGATCTAGGCTTTGGAGTCAGACAGACTGGGCTGGGATCTGCCACTGAGCTGAGTGAATGTGGGCCATTCTGCAACCTCTCGAGTCTTGGCTTTCTCACCTGTAAAGTGGGTGGTTTCATTGCCAAGCTTTCTCTGAGGATAAATGAGGTGGCCTGCTGAAGGCTACAGGCATATAGTCAATGCTTGACAAACTAGTAGCTTCTATTATTATGTTTTGGTTCTTCCTGAGCAAGAGCTGAGAAAGAGCACACTTAGAACAAGAAGTCCTGTCTGGTAGGGATTCAGCTGTAAACAAGAAGCCCAGGTCCTGCTCCCGTGAGAGCTGAGTCCAGCAGGGAGGGCAGGGGACTGCATTTTAAGAAACTGTCTTTTAAAAACAGCCTAAATAATACATTTTCTTTAAAAGGGTGGGGGAAAACTCACCTCATGTAAACATAAGTTCTTTTTTAAAAAAATTCATTTTCAGCAAGGTGGGCTCAGTCATAAAGATCAAGTCTTTCTGAAATTATAGGCGGTAGAACAGTGTCTATTAAACAGAGTTGGCCATTTCAGAATAACTGCCTGGGCAAGGAGCATGCTTTGACTCTTTGCCAGACCGTTCAGAGCCTGTCCCTGTGTGCCTGATCTCAGGTGCTCATCGGACCTTGAGGTTTTCAACACCCCATCACTCACACACACACTCACACACGCACCTCCAGTCCCATTCAGAGCAACTGAGGGGCTCAGCTATGGGCTTAGATAGAATGTCTGAAGAAAACAGAAAGAGGAAAAACTCTACAGGTCAAAGCGACCTCAGAATCAACAGATTATTATAATAGATCAATGAGACTGGATGGAGTAGGCCCCATATTGGCATGTGGGATGCAGCTTCTTCTGGTGTTCTGTTGATTTGCTAAGGGAGTGTGTGCAAGTGCCTTAGCCTCCTTGGTCTTTCTTGCCCTTCTCAGTATTTTGCCTGTTATGATACCTACCCCTGCTTATCTTTCAAGGAGTAAGCAAATCAAGTTTCTAAGGAGGTCTGTGCTTCTAAGACAAGCATGTATTTACCAGCAGGCTTGCTAGTATTTCTGCTATAAAAATGTAGTTCACATGCAGAAAACCATTTTCTTTGCTCATATTCAAAATGCAGCCTTACCTAGAGGGCAGAAAGAAGAATTTTGAATAATCGTTTAGAAGAAAAATGCTACCATTAAGTATAATTTTTGTTCCAGCAGCTCTTAAAGGCTCCATTGCCTGAACTCCCCATATGTCTTGAGATTTCTTATACATATGATTATGATGTCAAACTGTAAATAGTTGGAAGGTTCATGGAATTAATAGGAAGCTCAGCTTCATTTACCTTTTGTTTTTCTAACTTTTCAGATTAATTGAGGGTAGGTTCAAAAGCCCTCTTGGCTTCTCCCTTATAACTGTTTCTGAAACTATAGAAACAGTTTTCCTACCTATATAAACAAAATATCCTTACCATAATTGAAATTTTACTTTGTTGTCAGAATCTCAGTACTTCAAGTAAAATTCTGTATATGTGAGTTTTCGTTGGCAAAACATGTCATGAAGATAGTATACAAGATTGGGTTGATTGTAGCTGATCCAGGACTGAAAGTGAAGTGCTCATCAGTTCTGTTTGTGGATGATGATTGCTTGAGTTGTCATTAGCAGAGATTTATGATAACTAAGAACCTGCCTCGAAATGATTACTGCTGCCATCTAGTCATCTTCCTATATAGAGTTATGATAGAGTCACCATGGATGTGGCGCCGCGGACTCTTACCTTTGTAAGTATGTTAAATCATAAATATCTTGATTTCTTAAAATAATCAGCTACTTGATTGCGACCAAGAACTCTACAAGAACTTCCCTTTGGTCATCTCTGAACGCTGGCAGCAAGAAGTAACGGAAACAGTTTATGAAGCAGTAAATGCAGACACAGATAAAATCGAGGCCAGGAAGAGAGCTAAAAATAAGCAACTTGGCCACGAAGAAGGTAAAATAGCTCACGTGTCTCAAAACATTTCTAATGCAGTAAATTTTCAAAATTTCTTGTAAAGCTGAAAAAGTATTTGGGTCGTAAGGTATTTTGCAGTCGAGAAGAAAGCAATGCCATAAATCGCTTTAGTTTGCTCTGGCTTGGAAGAGCTCAGTCTAATATTTCAAAGTCTTCAGGCAGCACACAAATAAGTCTATGGAGACAGGTGGCCGGGTTTCTTTAGTATGCCCTTTTATCTTGGAGTGCTTGGGGACTGGTTTGGACGTTTTTTCCTTCCAGATTGAGTATGACAGTGTCTGGAGTGGGGTTGGTGTCATTGGTGTGTGCCCTGTGCGGTCATCTGGGCACCTGACTCAGTTTAGTCCTCTGTTGTCATCACCTTGAGACTCTTAGTCATTTTTGAACAAGGGGCCTGCCTTTTCATTTTGCACTGGGGCCCGAGAAGTATGTAGCTGGTCCTGGCGAGGAACTTAGCACGACATGTCACTTGTCAAGAGAGGTAAATGTCTCCCATTCAAGTACTAACCAGGCCCAACCCTGCTTAGCTTCCAAGATCAGATGACATCGGGTGTGTTAAGGGTTGTATGGCCATAGACAAAAGAGTTAAATATATAAAGACATTTATATTACAAACAGCATTTTAAAAATTGCCAAATCAGGCCAGGTGCAGTGGCTCATGTCTGTAATCCCAGCACCTCGGGAGGCCGAGGCAGGAGGATCACTTGAGTCCAGAAGTCCAAGACCAGCCTGGGCAACATGGTGAAACCCCATCTCTACAAAAAATAAGAATTAGCCAGGTGTGGTGGCATGCACCTGTAGTCCCAGGGACTGGGGGGCCGAGACAGGAAGATCACTTGAGACCAGGAGGTCGTCTGCAGTGAGCTGAGATTGTGCCACTGCACTCTAGCCTGGGTGACACAGCGAGAAGCTGTCTCAAAAAAAAAAAAATTGCCAAACTGTATTTTTATGTAAATAATTCAATGCCCTACTAAACATAACATCAAGTAGGAAACATAAGTTTTAAATAAATCAGTCATTCTCATTTCACTGAATATGGTTACTCTTGATTTTTCTAAGATTTCATGAATTGTGGATAATTAAATTTATTGTAGTCGATGATTATGTTAAGATGTAATTTCATCTTCCCTCTGAGCAAAGACCCTTGCAAGGTTAACCTTATGTAACAAGAATGGCCAGAAACTCTTTCACTCTATTAATAGGTTACTTTGGTAGCAGCATCTTGGTATAGGATTCCTTGGTCTTATCTGATGATTTTCCTGTGGCATTTAAAGTGTCTTCAATTCTGGATGACTTACTCTTTATATAAACGTTGCCAGAATACACCAAGGGAATCCTGCATTCTTTTAACTCTGTTTACCTCAATTCTGCAGGGACACATAGCCTTTATTTGTAAGCTCTTCTTTTTTTTTCTAGATGGAGTCTCACACTGTCACCCAGGTTGGAGTGCAGTGGCGCGATCTCGGCTCACTGCAACCTCCGCCTCCCAGGTTCAAGTGATTCTCCTGCCTCAGCCTCCCAAGCAGCTGGGATTACAGGCGCCCACCACCACGCCTGGCTATTTTTTTTTGTATTTTTAGTAGAGATGGGATTTCACTATGTTGGCCAGGCTGGTCTTGAACTCCTGACCTCATGATCCGCCTGCCTTGGCCTCCCAAAGTGCTGGGATTACAGGCGTGAGCCACTGCGCCCGGCCATAAGCTCTTCTTTAGAGAACCGGTCCATTGTGATCACACTGGGGTGTGTTTGCCACAGCAGATTTTACACAGGAAATTGAATCAATGTCGACTTGCTCAAGGGGGGGTCATGGTGTCACTAGAATCCTGATTAATTGGATCCACAACTATATATAGATCTTCATAAGCATGTTCAAGTGTATCCTTCTAGTTAGAGCTGTAATTAGAAAGTTTAGCAAATCAATGAATTTATCTTCCTGTGTTAGTAAGTAATTCGTGCATAAGTAGGTCTTGGCTGACAATCTCAGAGGTCACCTTTATAGAAAAATATAGTCTAGGCTTAGATTCCTGAAAAAAAAAAATTATAATAAAGTTGGTCCTCCACATCTCAGGTTCTGCATCTGTGGATTCGACCAACCATGATCAAAAATATCTGGAGAAAACCAATAAGAATAACAATACAACAATAAAAAATAATGCAAATAAAAGCCATACAGCAGGGGTTCCCAACCCCCAGTGGGGAGGCCAGTTAGGAACCGGGCTGCACAGCAGGAGATCAGTGCTGGGCGAGTGAGCATCACCACCTGAGCTCCGCCTCCTGTCAGATCAGCAGTGGCCTGAGATTCTCGTAGGATTGCAAACCCTATCATGAACTGCGCACGTGAGGGATCTAGGTTACGTGCTCCTTATGAGAATCGAATGCTTGATCTGAAGTAGCACAGTTTGAACCCAAAACCATTCCCCCATCCCCGTCTGTGGAAAAATTGTCTTCCACTAAACTGGTCCCCGGTGCCAAGAAGGTTCGGGACCACTGCTACACAGTGTAACAACTATTTATGTAGCATTTACACTGTATTAGGTATTATAGGTAAACTAGAGGTGATTTAAAGTTTGTAGGAGGATATATGTAGGTTCTATGCAAACACCATGCCATTTTATATTGATGACTTGAACATCTACTGATTTCGGTGTCTGCTGGGGTCCTGGAACCTACCCCTTGTGGCTACCAAGGGATGACTGTGCTCGTATTTTAAACAGATTTCGGAAATGCAAGCACTTCTCAGTGAAAAGGACGACTCCATCCTTCCCCATCACCACTGACCCTCCCTGGCCCTCCCTCTCCTTTGTTCTTTACCTGCTTGTCTCCAGATGACTTGACATGGGTTTTACGTGTTTACTTATGGTCTGAAACACTCACTAGATTGTAAGCTCTCTGAAGCAGGGGTTTTTGTCTCTTGTTCTCTGCTGAACCCAGAATATCTGGAACATGCCCAGCACCTGGGCATTCACGTGCCACTTGTTGAAGAAATGAGTGTGTGACTGAATGACTTTAGGACAATCACCAAAGCCTTTAATACAGACTTTAAAATTAACCTTTTCTTTTTTTAAGGACACAGTCCTTCACTGTAAAAATGTAATCAGGACTCAACAATGTCTGTGAATTATCTCTATACATAACCATATATTTGAGGAATAAACCTAACATTAAGCTGAGGAAGGAACCATTTTTGATCCTTATGTTACCTTAAATTACTTAGACAAGAAAATTCCCACTATTATTATTTTTAAGATAAAAGGGAGATTAAAGGGGGAATCCCAACCCCACGTAAAGGCGAAGGTACTTTGGGGATAGCTTGACTTTAAATACCGTCTATTCTCCGGTTCTCATTACACATAATGAAAAGAGTTTGGAAACTAACTTTTGCCCTCCCAGAGCAATAAATGAACATCATGGATTTATCAGCATATTGAGAAGCAATCATTTACTGTGTGAGCAGAGAGAGCTGCAGAACCCTCTGATCTTTAGATCCCCAGTACACATGCACTTAAAACTAAAATCGTGACTTCTGTAATGCGTTCTATTTATAGAAACCTGCTTTTTCCAAAAAGCATGTCTGTTCTTTTTTCAGAGAATAATGCTGCTAAGACATTTTGTTTCAGAGCCTATTTAACTCCTAGTGATTTTGTATTCCTCAGATTACGCTCTGGGGAAGGACTGTATTATGCACGGGTACATGCTGAAACTGGGAAACCCATTTCTGACTCAGTGGCAGCGTCGCTATTTTTACCTCTTTCCAAATAGACTTGAATGGAGAGGAGAGGGAGAGTCCCGGGTAAGTCTAAGGCAGCCTCACCGAGCATGTTTCCCAGTACGTACAATGGCATATGGTTATTTCATGTTGCTGACATGTTTTATACACTATCCTCCGAAACTCTGTGATTCTATTTTACTGCTCTACATGAGATTGTAATGTGCAAACTTTAACTTGTTTTTAAACTTCCAAGTCAAGGAACAACTTGGTAATACCTGAAAATAGAACATGCTTTTTAGTGAGGTCAGAAGCACCACATCATCAGATGGATTTGAAGAAGGCTGGAGAGCAGTTAGACAGATCTAAAAAGAAAAGACAAGCTGGACTTTGAAGTCAGACAGAGGTGTTCAGCTCCACTGCTGAGTGTCTCTGGGACTTTGAACACGTCACATTGACTCTCTCAGCCTCCGTTTTCTCATCTGTGAAATGAGGGAAATAGAAATCATAACAACTGCAGTCAGCCCTCCATATCCACAGATCCCCATCCTGGGATTCAAACAACCAAGGAGAGAAAATATGCGGGAAAAAGAAATTTAAAATAACAACAAAACAATAAAAACTAATACAGAAAAAAAACAACACAGTCTAACGACTGTTTACATAGCATTTACGTTAGAGGTGATTTAGAGTATACAGGAGGATGTGTGAAGGTTATATGCAAATACGATACCATTTTATATCAGCAACTTGAGCATCTGTGGATTTTGTATAATTTGGACCTGGGCAGATTATACATTTATTATGCTACTCAGGGGTTCCTGGAACCAGTCCCCTGTGGATACTAAGGGATGACTGTACTGTAATTTTTGCATGTTTATCTGAGGTCAAGTGCTGTTAAAAAAAAAAAAAACTCCATGTGTTTGGGAACCTTTGAGGGTCCAACTCTCATTTTATAAAGAGGAAAGCAGGCTTAGAAGAGGAAAGTCTGCCACCCAAAAACACAACTGGACAGTTAGGAGGTGGAAGGGTGACTCAGACCAGGTCATCCTGTGCCCTCAGTCTCTCCATTGTACGGCCTCTCCTAGTTGGGTCAAATAAAATGTCCCAGGCCATGACACTTGGCACAGAGATGAGGTCACCAAAAGATGCTTCCTTGTGTCTCCACCTTGTTGAGAATTTGTAGGTGGATCATACAACAGACAGCAAGATGTAGCTGCCCTCTAAGATCCTTTCGAGAGCTAATGTTTGTGAACAAGATAAAAAGAAATTTCTGATCCGCACTACCTTTCAGCAAATCAGGCAGCATTTATTAAGTGCCTACTGGGTGAAGAGCCCAGGGCTTGTCAACAAGGAAGGAGCCAACCCTGGTGGAAGGCATCTTTTCTTTTCTTGGTGGGGTGGGGGGGGGGCCTGGTGAGTCATCGTAAGCAGGACGATGGTCCCAAACACTCAAAACATTGTTTATGTGTTGGATATGTTGGAATACCACCCATCTGTTCTCCAGAGATCAGAAGTGTGGAAAACAGGGCACCTAAATCTCATGTATTTGACTTTGGACTGTATTTTTAGTTTACTGTTAGCAAAGTTTTCATTCAATTATGAATGATTACAATTGCATATCACTCCATTTCTTTGAAAAGAAAGAAGATCTTCCCAACCATCACTCCTGCCATCGAAGTTATTTTTGAAAAATTAGAATCTAGGATCTAAGTTCCAATTAATAAGATCCTTTTGGGGACCTGAAGTGTAACTCAGGGCTGGGAAGCATCAGAGTAGCTCCCCAAAGCTCACTGTATTTCCAGGTAATGAGCGGACCTGGGCAGATTATACATTTATTATGCTACCCACTGGCATGTTAAAAGGAAATCACCCCACTTTTCAGGCTGTTTGAAAACTTAAAAAAACAAAACTTTTACCTTTGTTTAACATTGGATGCAATAAATGAGCTTGGTTTTAAAAGGTTCAACATTTAGTGTTCTATTTAAGAAGCTACATAATATGCATGAGCAGATTTGTAAGTCTAAGTAAGGAAAAAGAAAACCTGAGTGTTTATCAGAGTGCCATTTCTCATTCAGGATTCCTGAAGTATTTATTTAAAACAAAAACCGTAAGACGCTAAGGAACTCATGACACTATAGCATTCACTTTAAGGAATAATACTATAGACTTTTTTTTTTTTTTTTTTTTTTTTTTTGAGACAGAGTCTTGCTCTGTCGCCCAGGCTGGAGTGCAGTGGCGCGATCTTGGCTCACTGCAACCTCCACCTCCTGCGTTCAAGCGATTCTCCTGCCTCAGCCTCCCGAGTAGCTGGGACTACAGGAGCCCGCTACCACGCCCGGCTAATTTTTGTATTTTTAGTAGAGACGGGGTTTCACCATCTTGGCCAGGTTGGTCTCGAGCTCTTGACCTCGTGATGCACCCGCCTCGGCCTCCCAAAGTGCTGGGATTACAGGCATGAGCCACCGCGCCCAGCCTATAGACCTTTTAATCTTTTAATGAAACCACCTCTATTTATGACATCATTGGGATACTATCAAAATATTGTTAGCTTACAAGCTGACATCAGTAAACATTTACTGAGTTGCTGCCTTAAAACTGAACCACACACCTTTGGCTCACATAAATCATATGTGGCTCTGTTGCTTCCTCACAATGTTATTGACAGAATGTATATGAGTGTGCCATACAGCAAGTAGGCTTGCGATTCATCATCATTCAAAATCAGTTCTGTGTTGAGGGAACAGCTTTGCCGTTTTTCCCTAGCAAAACATTGCTTTCTCTGCAGTTTTCCTTGAAACATTATAATTTGAACTTTTGTTTGTGTTCCTTTATAGCCATTTTCCCCTTACTTCTAGAATACCATCAAAGAAAGAAAACCGAATGTGTTTTCTTTTTTTACTTGTTCTAACTTGGTAGTTTTTGGTATTACTACTTAAGAAATCACAAAATAATTTGAATTTTAAATTTCTGTTTTTATGGTTAGCAAAATTTACTGACAATGGAACAGATTCTCTCTGTGGAAGAAACTCAAATTAAAGACAAAAAATGCATTTTGTTCAGAATAAAAGGAGGGAAACAATTTGTCTTGCAATGTGAGGTGAGTTTTTATTTTTTCTTAGGTGAATGTTAGAATAATTAAATATTCAGCAAAGTTGACTGCCTGTCTATAAAACATTTTCTTATGCCATGTTTTATCACTTACAAACTTAGTAAGAAAGCCCCAAGGTACAAGGTTTTCAGCAAATTCATCGTGATTTTTTAAAAAGGCAAATATTAGAAAATGGCAGGAGGATGCAGGTGAAATAATGTCATTACTCTATCTGGAAAATCTGCTCAGTATTTAATAGGGCTGGAATTTTATTTGTTCTATAACTTTGAAGATTTTTCGGCATGTTCGATGTTAAGGTTTATATATTTAGATAAATATAAGACGGCAAACTGAAATGCCATCTTCTCTAAACGAAAATGCCATCTTTTCCTCAAAGTTACATTGTAACACAAATTTCATTCCTGGACACTTTGTGACTGGTTCACTAGTGTGTGTGTTTTAAGAGAGCATATTTAGAGAAATAAACACGTATTAGATGCAAAAAAATCATTTTTACTAACATCAGTACTACATTACATACATGAATATATATTTAAAACATTTTTTAATTTGTCAAAACTCCTTCCCCTATATTATTATAGATTTCAGTTGTTTTAGAAATCAAAAGTAATCTCTAAACAAATTAAAGGCAGTGATTCTCAGAGTGGGATTGTACTGGAATCATCTGAAGGGTTTTAATGTGGCCTTTCCCTGCTCTTTTCAAGAGATTCTGGAGAAGGTGGCAGCGTGACCCATCAGCTAGTAATGCCACTGGGGGTGGACACGTAGGGTGTGCTTCCTTCAGGGGTTCCAGGGACGCTGGTAATCAATAGGGGCAGCCTCCGCTGTTGGCAAAATGGGTGAGCCTGTCACAACGGCTGCCTTTGTATTCCCCCTCAGAGTGATCCAGAGTTTGTGCAGTGGAAGAAAGAGTTGAACGAAACCTTCAAGGAGGCCCAGCGGCTATTGCGTCGTGCCCCGAAGTTCCTCAACAAACCTCGGTCAGGTACTGTGGAGCTCCCAAAGCCATCCCTCTGTCACAGAAACAGCAACGGCCTCTAGCACCCAGAAACAGGGAGGGTCCTCGAGGAGGACACACCAGGGTCTCAGCCTTTTGGGGTGAACGAGGATGAGGCATCTGATCTATTCGCTACCGGGACTCCTCCAGGCTCCCGAGAGGAGTCGGGACCCTTCGGCTTGGGGTCAGCTCAGCTCCCTGCCTTGTCACATTTGTCTGCATTAGAAACTACTGAAGAAATAAAAGTTCTTTTTCTTTGCTACACACTTTGGTACCTATGAACCTAGAACTTGAAGTGACTCCTACTTATCACGTAAATTTTTATGTCTGATATCAAACACATCTTAGACTCCCCAGAATGGAATTTAAAGATGTTCAGTGTTGGGTAACAGATTGCCCTAAGCATTGCCACATATTCTGTCTAGTCACTGCTGATTTTCTATGTCTTTGCTCCATACTGCTGGGGGATGGGAGAGCCACAGTGTGTTTCTTTTGTGCACTTCGCAACTGACTTCTTGTCCTGGGGTTAAAAGTTGAAGATATTTTCTGATGATATTAAAAGTTGAAGATATTTCTGCACTTGGGCCCTCCTCTGGGAGCCGCACCCACATGACTGCCCTGCCTCTGACCAGTCTGTTCCGGGGCCCCCTCAGCCAGGTGGGAATGACGGACACGTACTATCCAAGTGTATGGGATTAACTAATCATTGAAGGCATTCATCCGTCCATCATTGGAAAGATTTACAGTGATTCTGAAGGACAGGCCGTGGAGTTTTAGGTTTCAGGGGCAAGAGCAGTTTTCAAAAGTCTTTGAGTCCAGTGTGCACGAGTCGACAAGCAGTACCTGGCATGCAGGAGCACTCATGGGTGAGTCCGTCTCAGGTCTCGACAATTAGCAGTTGTGTGACAGTCATTCTGGTTCCTTCTGCCTGACCCTGGGAGACATATCAGTAATGGATGTACAAAAGCAGGTCTGTTTTATGTCTTAGTATAATTTCAGATGAATTGTATTGAAAAAATGCTGAGGAATGAATGTGTCAAAATGGGTTAACTGTGTATATTGACTTTCATGTCGTCATGCATCTGTCATGAATGAATGATACTTTGCACTGGGCTGTACGACAGTGAGGACCTTAGGGCATGAAGCCTTTTTCCTGGTCCCAGCAGCATCTGCCCTGTGAAGTTTGTTTTCTCCCACTGCCTCCAGGCCCCACTGATACCCCCAAATAGATGCTGGGTTATGAGAACCAGCGAAATCCCCCATGTCATCAGTCTTAAAAAAAAAATTTTACAAATCCACGTATTTGTCCCATTCTTGGAGTAGTTTTAGTGTATGTCTTTACATTAACTACTAACAGTATAAATAACTTGACATCGTAATTGTCTGCATCCTGTCCTTGATATTTTTAGCAGTTCCAAATCTTTGTTTTTGTATTTGTTTGCTGTGTTCATGGGCAAAGTAAGTACTTTTTAATGCAGTTATTTTGAGAGTTTGGAAGATAATTACCAAAAGGGTCCATTATTTCATAAGAGTTACTTTGCAAAAAAAAAAATGTGGGTTTTTTTTTTTGTCTATCTCAACTACTAGTTGGGGTTTAAATTAACATACATTTTCTACTATCTGTTATTTCCAGTGTGGGAGGAGGGATGTACTACTTACATGCATTCTCCTTATTTAAAAAGGAAGAATAGTATTCAAATTCTGTTGAAACACACACACACACACACACACACACACACACACACTCCAGAAGCAGAAAAGCCATTGTTCTTAAAGAGTGAATGTCTTCCCAGCCCTGGTTAATTATAGCTGTGACTGATGCCGTTCCCGTCTGCATCTCAAGCTCATAGGTTCTCAGCATGTGCAGTTGAGGATGCGCTGGGCCTCATGCCTGTTCTAGATCTCCAGGATAAAGGGCCTGCTGTTGACTCCACCAGGGTCTGGGCTTAGCGTCTAATATCTCGTACCTAGGGCGTGAGCTGCACAAACGTGTTCAGAAAGATTATTCAACTTTCCCATACTTGTTCTAAAATTGAGCTGATCCGCATCTCTTTCAAAAACTAGAATTTCTGCTCTAAGAATAGAACATAAGGCTCCACTCCCTTTTAGAAAAGATATATGAATTGGAAAATGCTCTGAAAGTCCTTTTGCTTCAAACAAAAGTGTAAACTTTTACACTTCCCCAACTCACATTTGATTTGTAATGATATGGTTGAGAAGTACATCTAGATGTCATTTATTAAAAGTGCTTTGTAAGACTAGATTGAGCTGTTTCTGAGGGCGGTCACCAGTTGTGTTGGGGTCTGGTTTGAGTGCCTTCTGCCAAAATGTTGTGATGGAGGTGTTTCTGCGACCAGACACAGGATACCGCTGTGTCTGCACCCGGTTGCCTGCATGGCCAGAGGAAAAGTCAGTTGGATTAAACATCATGGTATACTTGGCTGTTGTTTTTTTTTAATTTTTTAATTTTTTGGGATAGGGCCTCGCTCTGTCACCCAGGCTGGAGAACAGTGGGATGATCATGGCTCACTGCAGCCTTGAATTCCTAGGTTCAAGCAATCCTCCCACGTCAGCCTCCTGAGTAGCTAGGACTACAGGTGCATGCCACCTTTCCTGGCTAATTTATTTTTTGGGTAGAGATGGGGTCTTGAACTCTTAGGCTCAAGTGATCCTCCTTCCTTGGCCTCCCAAAATGCTGGAATTAGAGATGTAAGCCACCATGCCCAGCCATAGTACTTGGATGTTTTAGAAGGTTTTCCAAGTATTACATAATTCCTAGATGTTCACCCTTATTACACTCCAACTATTAAAAAGGTCAAAATTCAGCCTATTTTTTTTCATTATTTTAGATTCCTGTGGTTGGGATATTTTAACATTGATGAGAAAAATAATTGAGGTTGATATTTTTACAAAATCATGCGGTAATAAGTCTTGATTTCATGATTCAAAAGAATCAATAAAGCCTAAAAATAATAGATTACTTTAAGCTGCTATGTAAGATATATATGGAATAAATTAAAAACCTTTGTGAATTCAGGTTTATTATTTTTAACCTAAAACATTCTCTTTGGTTCATTCATCCCCTCATGTCATGGGGGCTCATTGGTTTTCCTTCTTTGTCATATTTAAGTATGATTTTTCAACAAAACTTCTAGAAGTCAGCTTATTATGTCACCATTCATGCAAAGTGCTCATGCCTCTGATTGGTCCATTCACTGACGTGACAATTTCAGGTCCTATGTTTAAAAAGAAGGGGCTGGCCGGGCACGATGGCTCACGCCTATAATCCCAGCACTTTGGGAGGCCGAGAGGGGCGGTTCACGAGGTCAGGAGATTGAGACCATCCTGGTTAGCAGAGTGAAACCCCGTCTCTACTAAAAATACAAATAAAAATTAGCCGGGCGTGGTGGCGGGCGCCTGTAGTCCCAGCTACTTGGGAGGCTGAGGCAGGAGAATGGCATGAACCCGGGAGGCAGAGCTTGCAGTGAGCCGAGATTGCGCCACTGCACTCCAGCCTGGGCGACAGAGCGAGACTCTGTCTCAAAAAAAAAAAGGAGGGGGGCTAAATATCCAGTGAGATGCACTGAGGAAAGGAAGCATTTTGCTGAAGACAGCAGCAGCAACAAACAATGGTCTGTTTGTTGCAAACAAGATGTAGCTTGATTTCTGGTCTGACATATGCCATATACAGATATTAGAAACGACTGTTTGAAGGCCACACTGGTCATCTACAAAGTAATGTTTACCAATTGACGACAGGGATTTAACTAGATTAAAAAGATCAAAGTGTGGTTTTTCTCTGCTTTTTAAAATTTCACTCGGAATTTGTAGCTGGGCCAATTCAACACATTTTACTTTTCAGTGGAATTGATTTTTCTAATGTTTCAGAATTTTAACATATCAAGAAGAAAACAACGTTCTCAAAGTCTGGCCTCTTTAGCATGATGTAAACCTATAGAAATGCTTTGAAATGTGCTGGTGTAAGATAAGAGTTATCTTGTATGATTTAATCATATGCAGTGTTGTCTCAGTTACGTTCAGGGAAATGTTTCTGTGTCATTCAGAGATGCTTGATGAATTAACACCTCCCACCCTGAGTGAGGGGTTGACTTGTTGGGAGATGATTTGGGCTTCACTGGGATCTGTGACAGGTGGGGGCTGGGCTGGGTGTCACAAAGAGAATAGTGGTAGAAATCGGGCGAAGGAAGAAAGAAGTTACTGGTAAAAATCATTACACCATAAAGCACCAAGGAAATAACTGAGTTAAAATAGGTGAAGTTTCTTTTTTCCCCCCTGTAACAGGAGAGTTTTCCTTATGATAATTATTCTGAGACTTGGTCACTTTGTTTTTGAATGTGGAGCTGCTGAACTCATTCAGAAGCCATTTGCTGCCTATCAGGACTTTCTGAAGAAGTTCTTTTGCCTCTGCCTACCCTCTGGCACCCTCCCATGGAGGCACAGGGGACCCAGAGCTAAAGCATTACCAGGCCATCTCCAAAACACCCCGTGTGTGTGTGTGTGTGTGTGTGTGTGTGTGTGTGTGTGTGTGTGCACTTTGCAGCCCCCGAGGTGGAGAGGCAGTGTCTGGATCACTGTGAATGCATTGCCCCATTGGTCAGTTGGGGACACTGTTACAAATCCACTGAAGTCCTGGTAAAACTGTCAAGAGTAACAGGCCTCTTCTGTTCTACCCTGCTCACTTCCACGGTGAGTTACCAGCCTGGGCAACACAGCAAGACCCCATCTCTACAAAAAAAATTTTTTTAAGTAATTAACCGTTTAAATTTTTTCCTAAAGATTTAACATGATTTTTCCCTCCTATGTAAAGTTTACTGGAGAGACTTGAATTACTTAAATTCATGTTAATATGATTTTTTTTTAATCCAGGTCACATTTTAACAAAGTTTATTATGAAACAAATGAAATTTGAACTCTAAAATGGTACTCCTTGGCTTCCTCAAGTCACAATGAACTTTATATTTTCTTTGTCCTTAAGGACTAAGATAGTTGTTTTATTTCAGCCGAATCACAGAGATAACCACTCCTGCAGGCCCCCACAGCTGGCCCAAAGGGGCTGTCTTTCTGACCTGGCTGTGTTAGCACTGATTGAGAAACGCAGGCTCCCAAATTTTAAATTGCCTTTATTAAAAACACAAACTACAGAAAATGGGTTAAGAGTATACGCATTTCATCAAACACATATAGGGGAAAAAATCCTTCAATTTAGAGTTAAATAACTCAGCTTTGTATAGTAGAGTTAGCGCTCCAGTATCTAACAATCTCAGAATCATCTCTGAAAACTGGTAACTATGCTTCCATTTTTAATTTTGTCCTAAATATCAGATGTCTTTGATGTAAGGGTAGGGAATGGAGAAATATTTTCAATTGTGTATTTGTATTACAAAGAACTTGAAATTTACTTTCTTAGTTGATTATATTAAATGATGTATATATTATATGTGGTTTATAAGCTCAACACTGGCCATTTTTTTAGTTTTATTGTTAAATGGTATTTTTCTATGTTTAATTATAATAGATCTGGCTTTTTCTGGATAGCATAAAGATCACTGAACTATATATATATAAGAAACAAGAGTTCTATTTTAGCACAAAGGCATTTTATATTATTTATTGAATCCATAAGTTTGTTTTCGTCAAAAACATTCCATATTATTTCTGCTCCTTTTTATTTGTATAGTTTGTTATTTAAAGAAATGGCAGTCCTTCCTGTTCTTAATACAATAAAATTGAAATAATGCACCTAGTAATGTGGCCGACATCTCTTCTCACCACCATGGACTGTTTTCAACAACAGTTGATCTTCTGGTCTGTGCTGAGAGGCGCATGCATGTCTTTCGTCACGTCGGGCAGCACACCTGCTGTGAAATACTGCTTTCATCTACCTCTTCAGAAGGCTTCTTGCTTGTTGACAAGTACCGCAAAGGCTTTATTCTGGACTGGCTATCTCATAAAAGGATTTCTGTAAGACTTTGCAGTGTCATTCCCTCAGAACCTAGGTTTGTTTCTAAAGCCACGGTATTGTCCAGGAGCCCCTGTGTGTGGGGCAGGTAGCTATCCCTCCCATGTCATTAGTAATCCTTTAGGATTTAAGGTACAACTGGACAGCATCATTCCTTCCCCTTATTGTGCCAAATCCCCACCATCAGCCTTGCCATTGCCTTAAGATTTGATTATTGCACCCAATTACCTAACCACTAAACAGAAAGGCCACCTTCACTCTTTGAAAAAGGCAAGCTGTGCTTAGAAACACTGCTTTTAAGAGTAGCACATTTGAGTGTGACTTTTTCCCCCCTTCACTATTTCAAAATGGTTTTGAAATGGGGTCTTAAAGGTAAGCGCCCTCATACATGACTGAAACTTTGTGAGAGGTCTTATATTTGAATGGACCCTTAATGATTTATGTGAAATAGAATGAAGTCCTGTCTCTGTGAGAGAACGTGCCTCCTCACTCATTTGTCTCTGTCTGTTTTCATAGCCATCAATATAGTAACATATTTACTATATTCTTGAATACCCTTGAAGAAAGAAATCCGTTTTCTATTGTGCATTGCTATACGAAGTGAAGCCAGTAAACTAGATACTGTAAATCTAGATATTGTACCTAGACAAAATATCATTGGTTCTATCTCTTTTTGTATCTGTTGTGCCAGGGAAGGTTTATAATCCCTTCTCAGTATACACTCACTAGTGCACGTCTGAAATAGTATCCCACGGGAGATGCTGCTCCACGTCTGAGGTCACCTGCCCTGTGTGGGGCACACCACCGTCAGCACCACCGTTTTTACAGTTACTTTGGAGCTGCTAGACTGGTTTTCTGTGTTGGTAAATTGCCTATATAAATCTGAATAAAAAGGATCTGTACAAAGATATCGACTTCCGTGTGCTGTCTTTCCCCTCAATTAAAAGCTGCATTTCTTTACCAAGCTGTTAAGATATCAGAAAGTGACTGATTGGAAAGAATCCCGACTCTGGGGGGAATTCACGCAGAGGCTGATTTTAAATAGAGGAAGAAGGGGACTGCCGAAAGCATTTCTGCTGATTTGGTGGGTCGCTGGAGCACAGCCAATTTCACAGTTTCAGGGTTTGGGACACCAGCGCTTGTGCCCCAGAATAACACGTTGCAAATGAAGAGCCTGGAGAGCCTAGGCAGTGAGGAAATCCAGTAGGTCTGGCTCATCTAGAAGCTATTCCATGCTCCCCAGCCCACTACGGGGGAGCTTTGGATTCCCTCCCAGAAGACAAGACCTCTTGCTCCCTATCCCTGCTCCCACAGAAATGTGCTGAGATGCTCCCCATCTCCCACCCCTACCGGCATGGTGCCTGTCACTGTAAACCAGAAATCCAAGGTGACAGTCCCCAAGCCACAGCTGCCTGGGCATGACTGTCTTCCTGTAGGTCCGCGGGTCAAGGGCAGGCTGGGTATCTCCTGTCTTTAAGCTGGCGGGGGTGGGGAATACCCTCTCTCTTGCTAGTTCAGGAAAGAAGGAAGTCACGATTGGTCCATGTAGCCACTGAGTAACCCTGGGGTGTATTTGTGCTTGCCAATTTGAAAACCATTTTGCAAAATAGTTGACAGGGGACCGAGCTATGGAGTGTGTAGCCAGGTCCATGGGCAGGAGGTGACAACCATCATGGAACCCTTGGTCTAATGTGTTACGTAACCGAGGGAAGCTGGATATGGGGGTTCAAACAAGCACTCCAACCCCTCTCAAGAGCTGCAGAAATCAAGTCACCCCCTCAGGAGCCAGAAGGAGGGGAAATAGCATCAGGATCTCAATTCCCAGCATCATCACTTTGGACAACCTCTTTGGCCCTCAGTTTTTTCACTCCTATGTTACAAGGATCAAATTAGAGGATCCTGAAAGGTCATCCAAGCCAAAAACATCCTCCGTCTCTGACTTGAGGTAAGTGACGTGTTGAGGCTGCAAAAAGGAAATGCCTTCCAAGTCCTAGGTTCCTCCTACCTTGCATTATGAGTAATGATGTTAATGTCCCCCCTTTAAACTGTGAGTTCCTGGATGCAGGAGCCCCTCAACTATGTACTGAATTTGAGGAGAGCCATCTAACAACTGCAAGGCTTTCTTTCCCTAGGCACTTTTACCAGTTTGGATATTGGAGTTCTAAAAAAGAGTTTTTCAGGCCAGGCGCAGTGGCTTATGCTTGTAATCCCAGTGCTTTGGGAGGTTGAGGCAGGACGATCACTTGAGCCCAGGAGTTTGAGACCAGCCTGAGCAACATAGCGAGACCCTGTCTCTACAAAACTATAAAAAACTAGCCAAGCATGGTGGCACATGCCTATGGTCCTAGCTACTCGGGAGGCTGAAGCGAGAGGATTGCTTGAGCCCTGGAGGTGGAGGCTGCAGTGAGCTGTGATTGGGCCACTGCACTTCAGCCTGGGCAACCGAGTGAGACCCTGTCTTAAAAAAAAAAAAGGAAAGTTTCTCAGCCCAAATTACTCAGGCTATTTCCAGAGATCAGATTCACCAAATAAAACCTTCAGCTTTTACTTTGTGCTCACATACACAGTTTTGGACGTGCACATAATTAATGAAATCCATGAAGGGAAATTTAATGGCTCATTTTTTTTGTTTTTTTAATGTTTAATTTTTGTGGGTACATAATAGGTGTATATATTCAGGGGTACACAAGACAGTTTGATACAGGCGTTCAATATGTAACATCCCATCAGGGAAAGTGGGGTATCCATCACCTCAAACGTTTATCCTTTCTTTGTGTTACAAACATCCCCATTATACTCTTAGTTATTTTAACATGTACAATAAATTATTGTTGTCTATAGTCACTTTATGGTGCTATCAAATACTAGATCTTATTTATTAAACTATGTTTTCGCACCCACTAACCATCCCCACTTCCCGCCCTCCATCCCCATACTACCCTTCCTAGCCTCTGGTAACCATCATTCAACTCTATCTCTCCATGAGATCAATTGTTTTAATTTTTAGCTCCCACAAATGAGTGTGAACAAGCAAAGCTTGTCTGTCTGTGCCTGGCTTATTTCACTCAACATAATGTCTTACATTTCCTTCCATGTTGTTGCCAATGACAGGTTCTCATTCTTTTTTTTTTTTTTTTTTGAGACGGAGTCTCGCTCTGTCACCCAGGCTGGAGTGCAGTGGTGTGATCTTGGCTCACTGCAAGCTCTGCTTCCCGGGTTCATGCCATTCTCCTGCCTCAGCCTCCTGAGTAGCCGGGACTACAGGCGCCCACCACCAGGCCTGGCTAATTTTTTGTATTTTTAGTAGAGACGGGGTTTCACCATGTTAGCCAGGATGGTCTCGATCTCCTGACCTCGTGATCTGCCCACCTCGGCCTCCCAAAGTGCTGGGATTACAGGCGTGAGCCACCGCGCCCAGCCGAGAGGGTCTCATTCTTTTTTTATGGCTGAATAGTACTCCACCCTGTGTATGTACCACATTTTTTTTTTAATCCATTCATCTGTTGGTGGAAGCTTAGATTAATTCCAAACCTTGGCTATTGTGAATAGTGCCGCAATAAACATGGAATGTCTTCAATATACTGATATCCTTTCTTCGGGATATATATCTCACAGTGGGATTCTGGATCATACGGCAGTTCTATTTTTAGTATTGCAGGCACTTCTATATTGTTCTCCAAACTGTTCTCCATACTGGTTATACTAATACACATTCCTACCAACAGTATATGAAGATTCTCTTTTCTCTGCATCCTCACTAGCATTCATTATTGCCTGTCTTTTCAATAAAAGGCATTTTATTTTATTTCTTATTTTATCTTTGGAGACAGAGTCTTGCTCTGTCGCTCAGGCTGGAGTGTAGTGGCGCAATCTCAACTCGCTGCAACCTCCACCTCCCACATTCAAGCAATTGTTGTGTCTCAGCCTCCCTAGTAGCTGGGATTACAGTTGTGTGCCACCAAGCACACAACTTGCCACCAAGTCCTGCTAATTTTTGTATTTTTTGTAGAGACAGGGTTTCACCATGTTGGTCAGGCTGGTCTCCAACTCCTGGCCTCAAGTGATCCACCTGCCTCAGCCTTCCAAAGTGCTGGGGTTACAGGCGTGAGCCACCACACTGGGCCAATAAAAGCCATTTTAACTGGAATGAGATTAGAGGCTCATATTAATGGGTCTGTAATTTGAGAAGGGAAATGGGAAACGAAGGCAGAGAAGCACAGCAAGGAAGCATTTTGCATAGCTTATGGATATCCGAAATGACTGGATTTTATTTAATACATTTTTATATTTTAACCATAGTGTCTGGGTAAAACACCCGGTTTATCATTTACCCTTCTGGGTGTAGACACAGTCCCTATTTGATAGCGTATAAACCCAATCTCTGCCTGGGGGTAATATGTGGCAGAAGGAAGTGGAGTCAGTTTGTCTAGGAGCTATACCAAGCTCCTCAACTTGCTCCCAGGGTGTCCTGAAAAGTAGCTCCCAGGAACCCCCAGGGACCTGCACCGTTTCATCTATACAACGGGCATGATGATAACACACACCCCACATCCATTACAGGTTTTCTGAGGAGGTTGTAAGTAGAAACATACCAAGCGCTCAGAACGGTGTGCAACATACAGTATTCTCACAATGCAGATTGACTTTTTATTTCTATGAATATTTTGAACTGTTTGTAGATCCACCACAGCATATTTTAAACTACAGCTCACTATACCAGGTTGGGGAATGCCATGAAGTCTGCAGCCCAGGCATTGAAGGGTACCTCTTGTCTCTCATTTTCAGAAGTGATAGGCAAAGCCGGTGCTTCCTGCAGAAGGCAGGAGGGAATGGGGGTGCCGCCCTTCCTCATGCCCTCAAAACCTACCCAGTGGGTCAGTCAAGGTGCAGCTACTAGGTAAGGAAAGATCTACGCTTAAGATCTATGTAACTGAAATGTGTTTAAATGTATAGATTTACACCAATCACAACTCAAACCACATGTGGTGTGGGTGTGCCAGGGGTTCAAACTTAGCTTTGCGCTTGGGTTTTTTTGTTTGGTTGGTTTTGGTTTTTGAGATGGAGTCTCACTCTGTCACCCAGGCTGGAGTGCAGTAGTGTGATCTCGGCCCACTGCAGCCTCCATCTCCCAGGTTAAAGCGATTCTCCTGCCTCAGCCTCCCAAGTAGCTGGGACTACAGTTGCGTGCCACCCATGCCTGGCTAAATTTTTTTTAAGTATTTTTGGTAGAGGAAGGGTTTCACCATGTTGGCCAGGCTGGTCTTGAACGCCTGACCTCAAGTGATTCGCCAACCTCAGCCTCTCAAAGTGCTGGGATTACAGGCGTGAGCCACTGTGCCCGGCCACGCTTGGAATTTTTGATGCCGCTGCCTTTGGATAGTCTGTCTGCTTCAGGGAGAAGCAGATTCAAGGTGTCCTTTCTGGCCGGGCGCAGTGGCTCATGCCTGTAATCCCAGCACTTTGGGAGGCCAAGACGGGCGGATCATGAGGTCAGGAGATCGAGACCATCCTGGCTAACATGGTGAAACCCTGTCTCTACTAAAAATACAAAAATCAGCCCGGCGCGGTGGCAGGTGCCTGTAGTCCCAGCTACTCGGGAGGCTGAGGCAGGAGAATGGGGTAAACCCAGGAGGCGGAGCTTGCAGTGAGCCGAGATCGCGCCACTGCACTCCAGCCTGGGCCACAGAGCGAGACTCCATCTCAAAAAAAAAAAAAATTCCTTTCCACCTGGTAGAGGTGCCGTTAGTATTACCTCTTTGTCAGCTGGTCTCTTAAAATTTCCTTTAGTGTTTCTAGGGGTTGCACCTTTCAGATTCTTATTGTCTTGAGCTCATTCTTCACCAGGCCCGGAAGATGAAGTCACGGACGCAAGTCCCTGGTATTTGATTCTTACTGCCTTTCAGAGTTGCTCTGAACGTTGCACTTGGAGGCAGTTCCAAGGTTCATCATCAGGTTTCAGAATTGGAGGTTTAAGCTCTTAGCCCCCTCACCAAAGATCAACATGGCAGAGGGAACCAGTAATGAACATGAGTCATAATAAGGTAACTGCAAAAAGGAGGAAGCGTTTTCTTATTCATTATGATTCAGGCTGCCTAACTTTAAAAAATGTCAACTGGGTAAAATATGGATACATTTTGGACTTGAAGTTCAAAATGCGTATTAAACATTCTATGGCAACCACTGAAAAAATAGAAAGAGTGAATAACTACCAAACTAGTATCAAGAAAAGTTGAAAATTAAGGCTGGGTACAGCGGCTCACACCTATAATCAATCCCACTGCTTTAGGGGACTGAGGTGGGAGGATCACTTGAGGCCAGCAGTTCTAGACCAGCCTGTGCAACATCGCGAGACCTCATCTCTGCAAAAAGTTTTTTAAATTAGCTGGGCATGGTAGTGTGTGCCTGTAGTCCCAGCTATTCCGGAGGCTGAGGTAGGAGGATCACATGAGCCCAGGAATTCAAGGCTGCAGTGAGCTATGATTGCACTACTGCACTCCAGCCTGGGTGACAGAGTGAGATCTTGTCATAAACAAACAAACAAAACAGAAAATAAAAATGGAAAATTAGAAAGGAAAACCCTTCCTCCCCAAAAATGCAAGGAAGGATAAGTATTTAACTTTTCTTCACTGAAAGACACACAGAATGAAAGACAAGCCATGTAACTGAGCGAAGATATTTGGGATATGTATGACGCAAGGACTAGCAGGTATAACATATAAACAACTCCCATCAATCAATAAGAAATCAGTTCATCCGGTGAAAAAATGGGCCAAAGACACAAAGTGACAGTTCATAGAAAAGAATCCAAAAGTGGCCCAAAAACCCAAAAAGATGCACGATGTTATCAGTAACCAGGGAACTGCAGGTTACTAATTTCCACTTCAGAAAGACAAGAGTTTAAAATTAAAGTCAGATAATTTTCTTTTCTTTTCTTTGTTTCTTTTTTTTTTTTTTTTTTTTGAGACGGAGTTTTGATTTTGTTACTCAGGCTGGAGTGCGTTGGCGTGATCTCGGCTCACTGCAACCTCCGCCTCCCAGGTTCAAGTGATTCTCCTGCCTCAGCCTCCCAAATAGCTGGGATTACAGGCATGCACCACCACGCCCATCTAATTATGTATTTTTAGTAGAGACGGTGTTTCGCCCTCTTGGTCAGCTGGTCTCGAACTCCCGACCTCAGGTGATCCTCCCACCTTGGCCTCCCAAAGTGTGGGGATTACAGGCGTGAGCCACTGTACCCGGCCAAGGGATTTATTTTCTTTTAGCTTGTCCACAGTGGACTTGTGGTACCCATGTAATATGCTTAAATGTTTTGTCCCAGGAGTCTTGCCCATGTGGACTAGAACAGCAGGCTCCCTTAGTGTCTGACTTTTGCTGGGGTTCAGAAAAAGGAGGCCTCTCAGGATAACAGAGGGCAAGAGGTGAAGGAAATTGCAGTCACAGTCCCCAGGCTCCTCCCTCCAAGTAACCTTGAGCCAGCTGTTCCTGCAGCTGTCAGCCGCAGCTCATCAGGCAGCCCCTCTCTGCAGCTTTCCTGGCCACATACTCCTTCTTCCTTCAGGCCAAGAAGTGGAAAAGACTTTCTGCCACTGCTAGCCCCTGAGGCCTCTACACTCCTTGTTGGTTTTCCTAAACGCAAATAGTGTCTTTTTTTTTTGAGATGGAGTCTTACTCTGTCGCCCAGGCTGGAGTGCAGTGGCACGATCTCAGCTCACTGCAAGCTCCGCCTCCCAGGTTTATGCCGTTCTCCTGCCTCAGCCTCCTGAGTAGCTGGGACTACAGGCGCCCGCCACCATGCTTGGCTAATTTTTTGTATTTTTAGTAGAGACGGGGTTTCACCGTGTTAGCCAGGATGGTCTCGATCTCCTGACCTCCTGATCTGCTCGCCTCAGCCTCCCAAAGTGCTGGGATTACAGGTGTGAGCCACCGTGCCCGGCTGCAAATACTGTCTTTATTAAACTCTGCTCAGATTAACCAATTTGAGGGTGTCTTTACTGCTGTGACCCCCAGACGAATACACACATACTTCCTCCCACATCCTGCCCTCAATGTGTATGGTATAGACTTCTTGATAGTACTGGTGGGCTATGACAAGATGCCCTCTCCCTCCTCAGGAGCCTGGGGTTATAACTGTGTCAAGAGGGTTTGACCACAACACCACTGACAGTTGAGGCCAGGTTCTTTGTTGGAGAGAAGGTGGTTTTCCTTTGCATCATGGAATAAGTAGCAGCACCCCAGCCTCTATCTGCTAGACGCCAGTAGCATTCCCCCCTCCAAATCTTCACAACCCCAAATGTCTTCAGACATTGCCAAAGAAAGGTACCTTCAGGGCAAAAATTACTCTCCCCCACCAACCGCCGCACCACCCCATTTGAGAACCACTGGTTTAGATGATAGGAGATTCTCGGTGTGTGGCAGATAGGATTGAGGTTGAAGGCTGATGCCAGGTGTAGGGACCAGGGCTCTAACTCCTCAGAGAGCACGTAAAACATGAATCTACCCTGTAGTTGCTGTGCCCAGATTCATTGCCATTCCAGGAAATGAGCTTACCACATTGACTGTTGAAGTCACGCCAGCCCCAGCATCAAAAGCGAAGGAGTGGATGTTTCAGTTAAAATTGCGGGAGGGGACTTGGTCCTTCCTGTTGCTTCTTCTGACACCTGCATCACCGCTTTCTTTTTTTCTTTTCTTTTCTTTCTTTATTTTTATTTTTATTTTTTTTTGAGGTGGAGTCTCGCTCTGTCGCCCAGGCTGGAGTGCAGTGGCGCGATCTCGGCTCACTGCAAGCTCCGCCTCCTGGGTTCATGCCATTCTCCTGCCTCAGCCTCCCAAGTAGCTGGGACTACTGGCACCCGCCACCTCACCCAGCTAATTTTTTGTATTTTTAGTAGAGACGGGTTTTCACCATGTTAGCCAGGATGGTATTGATCTCCTGACCTCGTGATCCACCCACCTTGGCCTCCCAAAGTGCTGGGATTACAGGCCTGAGCCACCGCGCCCAGCCTGCGTCACCCCTTTCTTGATGTCCATGTATCTGATATAGTTTTCTAGACAGCAGAGCTGCAGATCCAGAAGACACAGTTGGGTCAGGGACCTGAAACGCCGTGCTGGTGAGCTTCCCATTCAGCTCAGCCTGTGCTAAGGGAGGTTGAGATGCAGGATTCCTGCAGTAGACGGTGAAGGAAGAGATCAAAGAGCTCAGAGACGTCAGCATACTTGAGGGGATATATTAAATAAGGCCAGACCACCCACTGGGGACCCAGGACACACGAAGGCCACTGGGAGAGAGGGCACCCACATTGCTAAGAATTTTAGTAGTGGCTCTCCCCCGCAGACAGCACCAGTGGTAGGAAAGCCTTTTACAGACCTAAACGCAGCCATTCAGTCATTCAACAAACATCCACTGAGCACGTACTATGGGCCTCGTGGACTGTAACAGTCACTGTAACAGCCCCTTCAGTGGGACTTTCTCTGCATCTCTTCCTCCTCCACACTCCCAGTTGCAGCCCTTTGTTCACTCATTACTTTGTTCACCAGAGAGTCCATGAGCAGCTACTCAATGCCAGGAATGAACCAGGAGGCTAGAGACCGCTGGAGGATAGACAGGTAGACAGACAGACAGACATCTAGGGAAAGCACAGTGCAGGACTAGGTCTTCAGACACTCGCTCCAGTCCAGTTTCCATGCGTTTACTGTAAACCAGCCTCAAGAGACACAGAGACAGTTTCTCTTCATTGCTACAGGGATGGTGGCACACAAGTGAGGCCCCTGCAGTGGTCACAGGGATGGATTTTCATGATTGTTGTACATACGAACACGCATAGGCCTGTTCTCCAGTTTATTAACACACACATCCATGCACATCCATGCACATATACTCACAAACTTCCATGCTCACTGTACAGTCATATCCTACCCATGGGCACACAGGACAGCTTCTCTCTCTCTCTCTCTCTGTCTATGCCTGTCTCTGTCTCTGCTCTGTCTCTCTCTCTTACACACACACACACACAGTAGTTCCCCCTTATATGAAGGGAATACCTTCCAAGCCTCCCAGTGGATGTCTGAAACTGTGGATAGTACTGAACCTCCCTATACACTATGTTTTATCCTATATATTCATACCTATGATAAAGTTTTATTTATAAATTAGGCACAGTAAGAGATTAATAAAAATAATAATAAAGTCAACAATTATAACAATATACCTGTACTATAATAAAAGTTACATGAATGTGCTGTCTCTCTCTAACACCTTAATGTACTATACTCACCGATTGTTGGATGGTGGTTGACTGCAGGTAACTGGAACCTTGTAAAGTGAAACCACGAACGAAGGGGGACTTGTATACCCACACGGCTCCCCGATAGCAATGGAGATGACAGGACCCCGGAATGATAGAGATCAGGTGGCAGCACTCATCCTAGTGAGTGGCAAGGTGGAAGCAGCTCACAAGACGTATGGAGACGATTAACAGAATGTAGCATTCTAAGGGCAGAATAGATGGGCCACCAAAAAGGGTCCACTCCATTTGTACCATTAAAAACATTAAGGATGGGCTGGGTGTGGTGGCTCATGCCTGTAATCCCAATGCTTTGGGATGCTGAGGTGAGAGGATCACTTGAGGCCAGGAGTTCAAGACCAGCCTGGGCAACATAGCCAGACCCCATCTCTACCAAAAATTTAGAAAAATTAGCTGGGTGGTGTGGTGTATGTCTGCAGTCCCAGCTACTTGAGAGGCCAAGGTGGAAGGATCACTTGAGGTAAGGAGTTTGAGGCTTCAGTGAACCGTGATCAGGCCACTGTATTCCAGCCTGGGTGACAGAGTGAGACCCAGACTCTAAGAACATTTAAAGAAAAAAATTAGGGGCCGGGTGCAGTGGCTCACGCCTGTAATCCCAGCACTTTGGGAGGCTGAGGTGGGCAGATCACCTGAGGTCAGGAGTTTGAGACCAGCCTGGCTAACGTGGTGAAACCCTGTCTCTACTAAAAATACAAAAATTAGCCAGGCATGGTGGCAGGTGCCTGTAATCCCAGCTACTGAGGAGGCTGAGGCAGGAGAATCGCTTGAACCTGGGAGGCAGAGGTTGCAGTGAGCAGAGATTGTGCCATTGCACTCCAGCCTGGAGGACTAGAGCAAGACTTCATCTCAAAAAAAAAAATTAGGGATGATCAAGAGATAGAAGTCAATTGTCCATATAAAATGTCACAATCCCTTGGCTGTTTTGTGGATCCAGAACTCCTTAGCCTAAGGAGAGGCCAAATCTCCAGGGGAAAGGAACAACAACCCCACAGCAGGTATGTAAAGTGATGATTCCCTTGGTCTTTGCCCAGACAAACCCACAGCCACTTGAACTGTCCTGACACCCAACAGAATAGCACCACGATCCACTCTTTCCATGACACCACGCCAACTGGATCAGATGAGCCCAAAGCAGCCGGTTCTCTGGATGCCTTGATAAGAAAGCCTCCACCTTCTCGTCTTTTCCCCCAGCCTGGGGAATGAAGCCTGGAGACTGGACAGTAAATGCTCAGCTGGGTGACAAAATCTTGCTTATAAGGGCTGCCCTAAATCACCGTGTGCTCAAGGTAATACTTGGTCATCTTGTGTAGCAAAAATCCACCCACCACAGGTACCAACAAGGTGAATGGAGCAAACACATGCCATGTTGACTCCTTGGGGAACGGAGGTCCCTTCAAGTCAACGGAACCATCACTGCAGGTCATGGCCTATAGAGAGTCCCAGCCCTGGGCCCAGAGAATCATTTCTGCATGTCAACTCTACCACTTCAGACCAACAGCGTCGGAAAGACAGCAAGGACAGAAAAGCCCAGGAGCCAATGGTTCAGGACTTGTGATGCAAGGGGCGGGAGAAGGGAGGTTCTTGTTTCAATGTCAAATGATCTAGCACAACCTGGAGAAAACAGCTCACCGGGACCTGTCTCCAAACTCTTCCCCTGGTGTGGCCTAAATGTCCCATGCCACTCTCCACTGGGGGCCGCAGGGACCCCTCCTCAACCTCATGTATATTATGTATATTGTATTTTCTTTTTCTTTCTTTTCTTTTCTTTTTTTTTTCAAAATGTAGTTTTGCTCTTGTCGCCCAGGCTGGAGTGCAATGGCGCCATCTCTGCTCACTGCAACCTCTGACTCCTGGGTTCCAGCTATTCTCCTGCCTCAGCCTCCCGAGTTGCTGGGATTACAGGTGCCCGCCACCACGCCCAGCTAATTTTCGTATTTTTAGTAGAGGTGGGGTTTCACCATGTTGGCTAGGCTGGTCTCAAACTCCTGACCTCAAATGATCCACCCGCCTTAGCCTCCCAAAGTGCTGGGATTACAGGTGTGAGCCACCATACCCGGCCTAGACTGCCATTTTCTAAGCAGCCTTCCCTTAGTGTTTCAATGAACTTCTGATTGAATGCTAATTTTCAAGACCTCGGCAGAAGTGAGTACTTTGGGAAAATATTGCTCGATGAGCTCTGGGGAAAGAGGAGCAGCACCACATAGCAATTATTGAAACAATTCTCACAGGAGCAGTATCATGCTGGGCTGATTGCGGTCTTTGGAACCAGAAAGACTTGGATTTGAGTCATGACTCTACCCTTTGCTAGCTGCATGGACCTGCATGGTTTATCCAATTTATTGAAGTCTGTACTTTGCTCCTTTTAGGCAGTGGACAAAGCACTTTTTTTGTTGTTGTTTTTTTGAGATAGAGTCTCTTATCGCCTAGGCTAGAGTGCAGTGGCGTGACCTTAGCTCATTGCAACCTCCGCCTCCTGGGTTCAAGCAATTCTCCTGCCTCAGCCTCCCAAGTAGCTGGGATCACAGACAACCACTACCCCACCCAGCTGATTTTTTTTTTTTTTTTTGAGATGGAGTCTCTCTCTGTCACCCAGGCTGGAGTGCAGTGGCGCGATCTCGGCTTACTGCAAGCTCCGCCTGTAGCTGGGACTACAGGCGCCCACCACCACGCCCGGCTAATTTTGTTTTTGTATTTTTAGTAGAGACGGGGTTTCACTGTGTTAGCCAGGATGGTCTCAATCTCCTGACCTCGTGATATGCCCACCTCGGCTTCCCAAAGTGCCGGGATTACAGACGTGAGCCACCGTGCCAGGCCCAAAGCACTTTTTTATAGCCCCTAGTTTGCTGTTGTGTCTGTTTCCTCTACGGCCCGCACAGCCTGGGTTTGAATTCTGGCTCTCCATGGCCTTGGGCAAGTTGGTTAACTTTTTGTGTCTCAATTTCCCCACTTGTAAAGTGGGGCTGGGGAAAAACCCTACCTCATAGGGAACATTAAGTGAGTTCATGAAAGCCCTCGGTGTGTGGCATGCGATAACCACTACCTAAGCATAAGGTATGTTTACATGCACTGGTTGTTTACCACGACGCACCAGCATTCATTCAAGTTATTTTCTTCCAGAGTCTGCCTGGAATGTAGAACCGGCCAGCTCTCCTCCTCAAACAGTTCCTGCAACCTCTGGTTATCTGTGTGGGCAGAGGCGGGAGTGTGGGTGTGTGGCCCTGCCCTGGGACAGGGATGACGAGAGAGCATGTGCTTGTGTCCAGAGCTGTCCCCTTCCCTGCTCAGGGGCCACCAAATATGTCCATGGTCTCTGCTGCCTGGTCAACGGCCACCCCGGGCTGCCGTCTCCTGGCCAGACCTGGAGCTCACAAGCTAATTTTAGAAATGACTGGTCGACTCAGCTGCTGCTATCACATTGGCCCAGAAGGAGGGTGGGGGGAGGACGGGTCGGGGAGGGGCAGTAAGGGGAAGGGATGTGTGTCGGTGTGTGTGGAGAGGGTGCTCCTTCGCTCCTGCTTTCCCGGCTCGGTGGGGTCCCTTCGCGGCCACCCGGGGAGACGTCTTAGACAGTCGTGGTTCCTGTGATCTGTGTCCTCTTTGCAGAAGGTACTATTGGGCTGGGTTTTAGACGGGCACCTTGCGAGCGGATCGGCGAGTTTTAATTTTCCGGAATGCGCTGCTGGGGGCTGCGGTGGCAGGCCTCCGGTCTTTTGGTCTATTTTAGGCCTTTCTGGTGTTGAGAGCTTCCGAGGCCTGATTCCTTTGCCTGTTGCCCGTGCTGCTCACTTTGAAAACAAGAGTGTTTCGGTGGAAGGATTTGAGAACAAAATGCTGGGGCAAATGGACATTCGTAAGAATCACTCTCCTCAGGCCCCAGCTGTTCGCTAATAATTTTTAAAAATGTGTTTAGAATCATGAGTTAATCTCCACTGTGAATCTTTGCCCGCAGACGTCAGGGTTTATATTTTTCCTCAACTACCAGTAATTTCTGCTTCACTGGTGTTCAGTTATGGTCGGGGAAGAGCCAGGCTTCCCCTTTCGTGTTAACAACGCTGTTGAGTCGAAATGTTAATTTTAATGTTCTTTTTTAAACTGCAAATTAAGCATGTATGAGTGTTGGGGGAAGGGCAATGGAAGTTCATGGCTGAAGGTTTCAATTTCATGCCACCTTCCTTGAGCTCTGTCTGAGGGAAGGTGTCTTATCTGGCACCCCGGATAGCAGGCATTTCTCTGAATGAAGAAGATTCACAGGTCCCAGTGGCCCCATAGTGGGGCAGAAGGGGGCTATGCTTTGACATGGAGCTCTCTCCCAGGAGAGGAGAAGACCTCACCAGCTACAGGCCTCTGGGCTGCTGCCTTCCTGCAGCTTTTCCATGGAGGAGGCCAGGAGTGGGGAGGCCCGGAATGGGGAGCCCAGTCGGCTCCCAGTCGGCTCCAAGCTGTCCAGTCTGGCCTCAACCCGCAAGTGTGGGGATCTGGGCTTCTATCCTGTAGGGCCTGGAATACGACGAGGCTGTTACTTTCACTTTGTGGCTGTCCAAAAAGATGCTGCCTCATTCAGTGCACCAGCTCATGGAGGCTGAGTGTCCCACTAGGGCTTCTAGACTCCAACAAGGATAATGGTGGCCTTGGGTGCTGTATCCATTGCTGACCTAAGTTGTATTCTCCTATGCCTGGGTACCATGTCCAGTGTGTACCTTGGGAGCAGAAAAGAGAGGGGTCTATATACTCTTAGGCTATGGATGAGTTCTAGAAAATAATAGTGGAGAGGAGAGAGAGAAAAGAAGGAAGAGGAGGAGGAGAAGGAGAAGAAGAGAAGGAGGAGGAGGAAAAAAGCAGGAGGAGAAAGAGAAGAAGGAGGAGAAGAATAATAGCAAAGGAAAAGGCCAAAAGAAAAGGCCAAGTGGGTGGAGGAGGGAGGAGAAGGAGGAAGAGGAGGAGGAGAGGGAGTCTCCTGGTCTCCTGGCTTTTGAAGGGCTGCATGTTACCAATCAACAAATATTTGATGTCACCTGCCTCCAGGCCTGGTCACCTTGAATATCCTGGTGTGGGCTCTGTAACCTTGGATGAGTACTCTCCCCAGTCGGAACTTAGTTTCTCCTTCTAAAACCTGAGGGGGTTGGGCTAGACCACCTCTGGGATCTTTCCTAGGATTCAGCATCCAGGAAGGTTTTTCTTGAAGTGACGGTCGTTGACGACCTACCCATCAGACTCATGTGGGGCAGGAGGCGGGGGGCTGTTTTAAAATGCAGATTCCTGGGTTCATCCTAGACCTTTTGAACAGTCTTGGGGGAAGGGGCCCAGAAATCCACAGATTTTAAACCTCACAGGTGGTTCTGGTGCCCACCCAAATTGGAGAAGAGCTTTTCCTTTCACTTGAGCTAACAAAACCACAGAAGGCTGTTGCTCAGCACCTGCCCTGTCAAAACTCATGGAATTTCCATGTTTCACAAACATGGAAAACGTGCACAGCACTTTATTAGGGTCTAACTATCGCAAAGATTTTATTGGGCAGGTGTTCCTCCAGGGGTAAGATCAAGACTTTCTATGGCATTTTGAGGTGGGAATGGAGGGCCCCCAAACTGAGCAGAACCACTTCCAGCTGCCAAAAGATAGGGACCTGGGGCTGTGAGCCTACAAGGCTATGGGGAGATGGCCCTTCACTGGGTCCTGCTAGATACAAACAACTGTCTGAATGGCCCATTTGAAGCACATGGTCAGCTGCTGTGGTGTGTGGCATATCTTTAATATTTAAACAAAGTGGCCGGGCGCGGGGGCTCACGCCTTTAATCCCAGCACTTTGGGAGGCCGAGGTGGGCAGATCACGAGGTCAGGAGATCGAGACCATCCTGGCTAACACGGTGAAACCCCGTCTCTACTAAAAACACAAAAAAAAATTAGCCGGGCGTGGTGGTGGGTGCCTGTAGTCCCAGCTACTTGGGAGGCTGAGGCAGGAGAATGGCATGAACCTGGGAGGTGGAGCTTGCAGTGAGCCGAGATCACGCCATTGCACTCCAGCCTGGGGACAGAGAGAGACTCCGTCTCAAAAATAAAAATAAAAATAAAAATAAACAAAATGAAATTAAATTTTCTGAAAAATGGAGGAGGTGGGTTTGAGACCAGGGAGGATCCCCCTCCCCTCCAGAGTGCTGCCAAATCCAACCCCTCCTGTTGAGAGATGGTGCAGCTGAGGCACAGAGAGGGAAAGCCACTTGTTCAAGGACACACAGCCCTGCAGCAAGAGCATTGGGCCAAGATCAGCCCCTGCTGTCACGGCTGGTGTTCAGGGAGCAACCACGAGCCCCTTATGTTAGAAATAATAGTCAAATCCACCATATATATTATCCCCCCGCACCAAGATCTTAAGGAAAGGATAAACCTCAGCTCTCATTTGAATGGGGGCAGCAAAAATAAATTGCGTCTTATTTTATTTTTATTTTGAAACAAGGGCTGGCTCTATCACCCAGGCTGGTGTGCAGTGGCCCAATCTCGGCTCACTGCAACCTCTGCCTCCGAGGTTTAAGCCATCCTCCCATCTCAACCTCCTGAGTAGCTGGGACTACAGGAGTGCACCACCACGCCCGGCTAATTTTTATACTTTTTGTAGAGATGGGGTTTCACCATGTTGCCCAGTCTGGTCTCAAACTTGGGAGCTCAAGTGATCCACCCACCTCAGCCTCCCAAAGTGTTGGGATTACAGGCGTGGAACCACTGCGCCTGGCAGAAAATGAACTTTATGACACAAACAAGGGCCTTGGACATCAAGGTAGATTTCTCTCTCTCTGACACACACACACACACACACACACACACACGCACACACATCTCATTCAGTCTGAAGGATCCAGAGACACCATTAGCTTCATATGAATCTCTCCTCTCCCACAGCCTGACTCATCCAGTTTCATAATTTTCCCTATCTGCTTCTTTTTTACTGTGTTTCTCCCTGATGCTGATTTACTTTTAAGAATTGTAGTTTCTGGCAACAGAGGAAAGATCCTCAAGAATCGGCAAAGTGAGTTTACCCCTTGGCCAGTGCTCATGTGTAGGGTAGCAAGAATTTCAAGGTTCAGGGTTTCAAGTGAATTTTTCTCTGCCCATAAAAGATGGAATGCATTTTCAGCTGTTTCTTGGGTACCAGCTGGGGTTTGAGTTTCAATTTCATGGAGGGCAGCTGGATTAACTGTTGCGTTGAGGTAGAGATGGTTGCTTGATGGGATTAAATGTCTCATTCACGCTTAATATTCCAGTGAGCTTGGGCGTGAGTTATTAGCCCCATTTTACAGGCCAGGAAGTGAGATTTGGAGCCTGGAGTGACCCCAGGTTATCCAGGGTGAAATAAAAGCAGGACTGAATACCTTCCTGCCAGAGACTGGACTGTTCAGCATAATGTAATAAACAACATCCGTTGAGATAATAAATTGTGTGGCATTGTTTCACAGAGACAGATAAGAAAGCTTTTTCACATTCATTACCTCATTTAATCCACTGATGATCAAGGCAGGTAGTGATATAGTCCCAGTTTTATAGAAGAGGAAACTCAGCATCAGAGAGGTTTAGTGACTTGCTTTTCTGCTTGTTTTTCTGCCAACAGTGGATGACTCATTTTTTCAGTTCTTTCCCTGTTACACCTAGTTATTATTCAAAGCAAAGATGATATTGCCCTCTTCTTCTCTTGATGCTCCTTCCCATTTGTCATGATTCTTCCAGACCAGGGTTCTAGACCAGTGTCAGCGTAGACACTATTGACATTTGGGTTGCATATCTCTTTGTTGTGGACCTGTCATGTGCTTGGAAAAATGTGTAGCAGCATCCCTGTCCTTGACCCAGTAGATGCAGGTAGCACCTCCTCTCCAGTTGTGACAACCCAAAATGTCTCTAGGATGTTTCCAAAAATGTCCATTGGCAGGCACAATCACCACTTGGTGAGTTCTGTCCCACACAACTTTCTGCGATGATAGGAATCCTCTGTATCTGTGCTGTCCAACATGGTAGCCATGAACCACGTGGCTCATACAACTGAGACGCTAAATTTTTGATTTAATTTAGTTAGAATTCATCTAAATTTAACAAGCCACCTGTGGCTAGTGGCTACTGTATTAGTACAGCTCTAGGTAGCAACACAGTAGTGGATAGAAAATTAGCCCTTTGAGGCTGGGCGCAGTGGCTCATGCCTGTAATCCCAGCACTTTGGGAGGCCAAGGCAGGCGGATCACGAGGTCAGGAGATCGAGACCATCCTGGCTAACACGGTGAAACCCCGTCTCTACTAAAAATGCAAAAAAATTAGCCAGGCGTGGTGATGGACACCTGTAGTCCCAGCTACTCGGGAGGCTGAGGCAGGAGAATGGCGTGAACCCAGGAGGTGGACCTTGCAGTGAGCCGAGATGGCACCACTGTACTCCAGCCTGGGCAACAGAGTGAGACTCCGCTTCAAAAAAAGAAAGAAAGAAAATAAAAAAAGAAAATTAGCCCTTTGATGGAGCACTCAATCCCTAAAATCAGTCAGGGGAACCTGTTACCAAAAGTCTAACCAGCTTCTTGCTTCATGGTGGCCGGGAAACACTAGGTTGGAAATGGCAAATACTTGGCACAGGTTCCATCCCTAGCCATTCCTATACCCGTGCCAGACATTGCTAGTCAATCACAGCATGCTGTCTTGTTCAGCCCAGGCACAGCTCAGAATGTTTCTCAATACAACACTCTGGGCAGCCCCCAACTACAGATCAGTTGGTGCTGGCAGGTGAAAGAAACATTATTGGCCATCCTGGCACTCAGCCACGAGGCCCATCTGTGAGGTCCAGCATCTCATCAGCCTGTAGGAGTGGCCTGATGACTCACCGGGTGGCCAGGAGTGTGTGGCCAGCCTAGGTCAGTGGAGCAACCATGATACAGAGAGGGGAGAGCCAATGGGCTGGAGGAGCTGAGATTTTTTTTTTCTAATTTCTCATAGAAACACCCACTGCATGATTTAGCAATGGAGGCTGGCAGGGTGGGGTGAGGCTACTGGCTGGTCAGCCACTGATATGCAAAGCATTTGAAGATTTTAATCTGCCTGGGACTGAATCTGAGTCAACCGGGGACATAGCTGCTGCCAAGGACATGGTAATAACGTCAGAAATGGCTCACAGGCCTACGGAGCATCTAGTACTCAAACCGCTCCGTGAAGTGGGTGAGAAAAACTGCATCCCCATTTGACAGACAGAGGAGTTGGTGACCTGAGAGGTTTGACAACAGGCATAGTGAGGCCCACTCTTAGATCTAAGACTTCCAGGGCTGCTGTGGACCCATGGAAATGCAGGAAGCCTGCTGTGTGTACCCTCATCAACCCTTTGCAGAGTGAAATGTCCACTTCTGCGGCAGAAGGCAGGTTAGAGAAGTCCCAGGAGACTGAGCATTGTTCTGAAGAAACTAGGAGCCATGTCCCCTGAGAAAAGGCTGAAGGTGACAGATGAGAAAACTGGGGGCGGATTCCATCATTTCAGTTGGAAAAGGGGTTAACCTCGTTGTCTGTTGTTCCAGAGAGTGGAACTGAGGCCACTGTGTGACTGTCCTGGGGAGGTAGCTCTCTGAGAAGGAAGAAAAAGCATCAGACTTTACTCATTGGGACATGAGGACCTTAGTTCTGCTATTGTCGCTGTAGGACCTCGAGAAAGTCACTTCCCTTCCCTGGTCTATGGATGCCAGGATATAGGAGAAGTAGGTTTTGTGGCTTCTGAGGGCCTTTCGGAGCTCTGGTTCCAAGGAAGAAACACAATTAGAGCAGACTCCAAATGTCCTATGTATTAGTGACCTCCCTGTCAATGGACATGACCAAGAGGGAACTCATTGACTGTCTATCCTGGAAATTCCTTGTGAAGTGAGCTGGGTCTCTGGGGTTTCTCCATGTGTAAAGGCCCCAGGTTCTGATGCTGAGGGGCATTTCTGGCAGCCTTCACACCTGCTGCTCCCTGCCCGCCATTCTTCTTCATCTCACCACCCCATCTGCTTTTCTCTTCCTTCCTCCCTCCCTCTTCAACATTTCATTTTCCCTCCATCAACCTTCCTGCCCTTGCTTCTCACTCATCCCTCTCCCTTTCTCACCTTCATGTGTATTGTTGTGAGCACGGTCTGAATCCCTGGCTATAGCTGGCTGTGAGCCACCCTTGCCCTGATTAGGGAGAGGATCTGTGTGCTGGGCAAAGTCCCTTTTCATTATTGCCTGGCTCTTTGGCCATCAAACTCCAGGCTTGGGTGAAGTAGGCTGGACTTTGTATGGAATCATGAGTCTCTTTTGTCCATTTAGCCTGTGGATGGCAATAGATAGCACTTATGCCCCATTCCCTCTTTCCACGCCCAGGGCAGACATTAATAAACAATCAGAGCACCCTTCTTCCACTCAGCCCAGATAAAAGCTCACAGTCCTTCCCATGTAACCCACGAGGCAGCCACTATCCGTCTATCAGGATTGATATGTGAATTAAAACCTACTTCCCTACTGACTGTATCAGTCAAGGGCCCACTAGAAAACAGCACCCTCAACTGGTATCCTGGAGAGCCTTTTTAATGAAAGAACTCTCCCAAGAAATGTGTGCAGGGTTAGGGGAACCAACAAAGCATGTTGAAGCCCTCAGAGATAAGCAGTGGTGGGAATACCTTACTAGCCTTGGGGCTGTATGGGACAAGGGAGAGGAGGGGTGATTTAGGAACACAGAGATAGCTGGAGTTGGTGGACAGGGACCACTTGAAGGGTGTTGTGGTTGTAGATGGAGAAACACAGCATTTCTAAAATTAGGGCCTGATACAGAGAGAGGTGGGTAGAGTGGGAACTAAATACCTTGACCACTAGTTCCTCTCATATGCAGGTCCTCCCAGAGCCTTCCATTGGCCAAACGAGGGGAAGCCAGAGAGCAAGAGAGCCTGGGGGTAGGGAGCACAATGCCTAGTGGTCAGCTCCTGGGGCACACAGCAGTGTGGCCTGAAGGTGGCCCTTGGAGAGGGCATGCCACGTGGATGTCAGGGCGGTCGTCTTGTTCCCCATTACTCAATCCTCTCCTGGGACGTTCTTTTCCTTCTTGGGGTGAGGCAGCTGTAAAGTCAGGGCTATAGTAGGGTGCAGAGGGCTCACTCCAGTGGGGCCATTTGAGGAGTTTAGGAAAAAAACTGTTTACCAAAGTAGGGGCAGGATGCAATGGTAGCATTAAGGTTAACAGTCAGCAAATGACAGCCCACGGCCAGATCCAACTCTCTGCCTGGTTTTAAAAATAAAGTCAAATTGAAACAGCCATGCCCATTCATTTACGTACTAAGTATGGCTGCTTGTGAGCCGCAAGGGTGGAGCTGAGTCATTGTAACAGAGAACCTACAGGCCTCAAAGCTCAGAAGATTTCCTATCTGGCGCTTTACAGAAAATATTTGCTGCCGCCTCCTTTAAGGGATGCTGCAGCACTTTGAGGATAGCAACAGTGAAGCTGTTACTTTTCTGGGCCTGAACTGTCAGAGGAGGGAGCTGCTGCCGCAACAGGAGAGGGGAGAGAGTGGAGAGAACAGCCTGAAGGCGCCTTTGGGAGAGGGAGGAAGGCAACCATGGTCATCCAGGAGGGAGAGTGAGTGAAGACACAGATGCCCTCTGATCTCCTACTAGTGGATGATTCCCATTAGCTTAACCCACCTGGAAGATGGAAAGTGAGGGAGTCCATTGGAAGAGTCCACAGGGTCAGCAGCCAGACATAGAGCAAAGTAGAAGAGATGGAGGGGGAATCTGAAGATGGTGTCTTCAGTTCTCCAGCATCCTTTTTTTCCCTCGCTGTCTGGCCTCCGATATGACCATCACAGAAACCAGGTGTCAGGCAGTCAGATCATTCCTGCTGAGCATCTAAGCTCCATGCTGGTGTTCTCACTGGCCAACCCCTCTGCCTGCCTCCAGGAACCTTGTGGAACAGCTGAGGAATTACATGCTTACACTCACCAACCAGACTATGGGCAAGACAGAATTCTAAATGAAGATCCAATTAATAAAGAACCAAATAGTGACCTAAGCCTTGTGGCCAGTGGAGGGGAGGGCAGGTGACAGCGGGTGTTTGGGTGGAGGCTGCAGGAGGCTGTCATAGAATCCTGCAGGGTGACATTGGCTGGCACCCTCAGGCATGGTGTCATGGAGGAAGGTGTCCCCACAGGCACGTGAAGGATGGCGGAGTCAGAGCCAGGAAGGGGAAGGAAACAGCTTTTATTGAGAAGCTGCTGTGTGCCAGGCACACGTGGCAGTCCATGCTGGGAGGCCAGTGTGCTAAAGTGGCTGTGAGCTCAGCCTCTAAAGTCAGACCATCTGGTCCACGAATCAGCCCCACCACCTCCTGGCTGGGTGCAAGACACATCCCCTCCCTCTGCCTGAGTGTCCTGAGATAAGAGTTACTCAGAGAATCCACCTCTTCGGATGGAAAGAGTAAATGATGTGATCTACTTAAGTCCTCAGTATTGAGTAATGCAGAAATCCTAGTGGTACCATTATCCATAGCCCTGATTTTGTCGTGTCCCCTCCTGCTAGGGAGGAAGGACAGAAATCTCAGAGTGGAACAGAAAAAATACAGGGATTTAGGCACTTAGGTTATCTTTACCTCCTCCTGTGTGACCTTGATCCAATTTGTTAACCTTTCTGATCCCAACTACCACACGCCCTGTGCTGTGACTAACACCAAACAGATGCTAAGTAAATACCAGTGCCCCCTGCACACTCTGCCCTACCCCTGAATGTACCTACTTGAGCCAGCTTCCTAGGCTTCCACAGCTTGCCACCACGACATAGGGCACGTCTGAGGCTTGGCCTGGCACCCACAGATTGGTCCTCTCTTATCATCACTGATGTGGAGCTTTGATGGGAAGCTGAGCATGTGTGGGAGGAGTCAGGCACACCTTGGGGTAAGTCTCACCTTGGCTTTCTTGCTGGGGGACCTCAGACAAGTGTCTCGACCTCTCTGAGTCTGTCTGTTCTGTGGGAGTGATGCCAACCATGTGGTCCTATTGTGGGAATGAAATGTGATCATGGATTTTAATATAATGAAATTCCAGGTCCAGTAGGAATATAAGGGTCATGGGGGAGTTTAGGAGTAAGGATCTATATCGGTGCTTGGCACACGGTTGGTTCTCCCTAAATGTTCTGTGAATTGTCTTGTGCTGGGTGCTGGGCTGGGGTCTTCAGTCCGGTTTTAACCGTGGAGTAAAGGGAAAGTGAAAATCTGATTGAGAGAGGTTACCAGGGATCCAGCACATGCTTGTTATGTGGGTGTCCTCTCACTGCACGGCTAGGAAAACTGAGGCTCAGAGAGCTCCCTGGGGTGTCAAAGGATGTGAACTCAGGCCATGATAAACATGCTTTCCCATTATGTGTGGATGCAGACAGCACAGGGGGACATCAGAAATCTCTGCCCACAGACTTGCTGCTCTGTCCCTTCTCAGGCTCATTTCTAACTGTTCATTCATTCACCTACTTATTCATTTGACAAATATTTAACTTTTATTTTAATTAATTTTTTTTTTTTTTTTTGAGACGGAGTCTCGCTCTGTCGCCCAGGCTGGAGTGCAGTGGCGGGATCTCGGCTCACTGCAAGCTCCGCCTCCCGGGTTCACGCCATTCTCCTGCCTCAGCCTCCCAAGTAGCTGGGACTACAGGCGCCCGCCACTACGCCCGGCTAATTTTTTGTATTTTTAGTAGAGACGGGGTTTCACCGTTTTAGCCGGGATGGTCTCGATCTCCTGACCTCGTGATCCGCCCGCCTCGGCCTCACAAAGTGCTGGGATTACAGGCGTGAGCCACCGCGCCCGGCCTTTAATTAATTTTTTAAGAGACAGAGTCTATTACTGCCACTTGGACTGGAGAGCAGTGGCGTGATCACAGCTCACTGTAGCCTTGAACTCCTGGGCTCAAGTGATCCTTCTGCCTCAGCCTCCTGCATAGCTGCAAGCCACAGCTATGCAGCTGCCACTACACCTGGCTAATTAAAAAAAAATTTTTTTAGACATGGGGTTGAGAGGTGACAACATGCTAGCAGCCCTTGCTCGCTCTCGGTGCCTCCTCCGCCTCGGCGTCCACTCTGGCCATGCTTGAGGAGCCCCTCTCTAGGCTGGCCGAGGCCGGAGCCGGCTCCCTCTGCTTGCCGGGAGGTGTGGAGGGAGGGACGCAGGCGGGAACCGGGGCCAGTGCGAGTTCCGGGTGGTCGGAGGCTCCGTACTCGGAGCGGCCGGCTCGCGCCGCTAGCCCCGGACAGTGAGGCGCTTAGCACCCAGGCCAGCAGCTGCGGAGGGTGCGCTGGGTCCCCCAGCACTGCTGGCCCGCCCGCGCTGCGCTCGAATTCTCACCGTGCCTCAGCCGCCTCCCCGCGGGGCAGGGCTCAGGACCTGCAGCCTGCCATACCCGAGCCCCCCACCACTGGTTAGGATCGCGCGCGGCCAGAGCCTCCACGGCACCGCGTCCCATGGACTGCCCAAGCGCTGATCAGTGCGGGAAGCTCAGCCCGTGGCCCCAGCGCAAGATCCACAAGGCGACCCCAGCTGGCCTCCCGGTCGGCAGGGGCGGGTGTGGGGGGGGCGGGGGTTGCTGGATTGGAGAACTTTCATGTCTAGCTAAAGGACTGTAAACGCACCAATCAGCAGTCTGGCACTCTGTGTCTAGCTAAGGATTTGTAAACGCACCAATCAGCACCCTGTCAAAACAGACCAGTCAGCTCTCTGTAAAACGGACCAGTCAGCTCTTTGTAAAACGGACCAATCAGCTCTCTGTAAAATGGTCCAATCGGCAGGATGTGGGTGGGGTCAGATAAGGGAATGAAAGCAGGCTGCCAGCACCAGCACTGGTAACCCGCCCGGGTCTCCTTCCGCGTTGTGGGGTGGTTGTGTTTTCGCTCTTTGCAATAATTCTTGCTGCTGGTCGATTGTTGGGTCTACGCTGCGTGTGTGAGCTGTAACACTCACCGCAAAAGTCTGTAGCTTCACTCCTGCAGCAGGCGAGACCACGAACCCATCAGGAGGAACGACCAACTCCAGACGCGGTGCCTTTAAGAGCTGTAACATTCACCGCGAAGGCCTGCAGCTTTACTCCTGAAGTCAGTGAGACCGCGAACCCATGAGAAGGAAGAAACTCCAGACCCGTCCGAAAGTCAGAAGGAACAAACTCTGGATATACCGTCTTTAAGAACTGTTAACACTCACTGCGAGGGTCCACGGCTTTATTCTTGAAGTTAGCGAGACCAAGAACCCGCCAATTCCAGACACAGGGTCTTTATGTTGCCCAGGCTCTTTTGGAACTATTGGCTTTTAAGTGATGCTCCTGTCTTGGCTTCTGGAAGTGCTGGTGTTTCAGGTGTGATCTGCTGTGCCTGAACTAACAAATGTTGATTGAAAGCTAAGTATGTGCTAGGCACTAAGGACTACAGTAAGTGAAGAGAACGCGTTGAGAATTCTGGCCTTCATAGGGGCTGCTCTGGAGGAGGAGTAGGGTGGGATTGGGAGTTAAGCTGCAATTTAAATAGGGAGTGAGCACAGGCACATTGAGAAGACTTTAGGTGACGATGTGAGCCATGCAGCAGGAAAAGCATTTGAGGCAGAGAGAACAGCATGTGCAAAGTTCTTGAGGTGAGAATGTGCTTGGAAGGGCGTATCCTGGAGGTCAGTGTAATTGACAGGGAGGATAGAAAGGGAGGGTCGCTAGGACAGGTGGTTATGGCGGGGGCGCTACAAAGACTTGGGAATGTATTCTATGAGACAGGTGCTATGTTACAACTGGACATTGTGGGGTAGTGGGGGAAAGCCTTGAGGGTCCCATGGAACCACTACTCAGATCCAGTATGTGTACGCGGAAAACAGTTTCAAGTCATCTCCTGGCTTTGGGGTTGCGTTTTCTCTCCCCAGCCTCTCTCCCCTTTAAGGGGAGACTCGCGATTTTATACCGTGAATTCCAAATGTCTATGGCCACCTCATGGGCTTAAAACAGCAGCTGACGAGGCAGGTGTATGTTTTGGGCCCGGACCGGAGTATGGCGATAAGAACACTTGCTTAAATTAAGTCTTGACAAAACCTCCCCGGCGGGATTGGCTCCTGGCCCTGGGTCAGTGGAGCTGGCGCAGGACCTCTGAGGGGGCAGGACATGAGGGGTGAGGCCCCACATGGGGTTCCCTCGCATTGTCCCTTTCTGCTAAGGCCCTCTGGGAAGGCTGGCAGCCTCAGGGCTAAGGACAGCCCCTACGACAGCCAGGATTCCCCCTGGAGCCCGAAGCTGAGGGTGATTCTTGGGAAGCGGCTGCTGACGTGGCCAGGCCTGGGCTGGAGAGGAAGGCGGGTAGTGGCGGCCAAGGCAGCCACCTGACGTCAGGCCTATTTATAATTCGGGCTTTGCTCCTTAGGCATGGAGTCTGTGAGTCACTCGGGGGCCTCGCCAGTGTCTCCCAAGGGGACGACGGGAGGGGAGGGTGTCTTTCCTTCTCTTCTTTCCCCCATCCCCTCTCCCCTTTTGTCCACCCTCCCAGCTTCTTGTGTCTTTTTAAATTAAATTTTATTTTATTTTTTTTTTGAGACAGAGTTTCACTCTTGTTACCCAGGCTGGAGTGCAATGGCTCGATCTCGGCTCACCGCAACCTCCGCCTCCCAGGTTCAAGCGATTCTCCTGCCTCAGCCTCTCCAGTAGCTGAGATTACAGGCATGCGCTGGCACGCCCATCTAATTTTGTATTTTTAGTAGAGACGAGCTTTCTCCATGTTGGTCAGTCTGGTCTTGAACTCCTGACCTCAGGTGATCCGCCTGCCTCGGCCTCCCAAAGTGTTGGAGTTACAGGCGTGAGCCACCGCGCCCAGCCACTTTCCTGTGCCTTTGTAAGCTGGAGATCTGATACAATTTGAATGTCTGTTCCCTCCAAATCTCATGTTGACGTGTCATCCGCAGTGTTGGAGGTGGGACCTAGTGGGAGGTGTTTGGGTCATGGGGGCAGATGCCTCCTGAATGTCTTGGTGCCCACCCTGGGTTAATCAGCGAGTTCTTGCTCTATTTGTTCACGGGACAGCTGCTTGTTCAAAACCAGTCTGGTACTTCCCTCCTCCCTCTCTCTGTCTCTCGCTCCCTCTCTCATCACGTGATGCCAGCTCCCCTTCTCCTGCGGTTATTGGAAGCTCCCTGAGGCCTCAGCAGATGCAGGTGCAGGTGCAGTGCTTCTTGTACAGCCTGCAGAGCTGTGAGCCAGTTGAACTTTTTTCTTTCTTTCTTTTTTTTTTCTTTCCCCCCACCCCCGTTGCCCAGGCTGGAGTGCAGTGGCACGATGTCAGCTCACTGCAAGCTCTGCCTCCTGGGTTCACGCCATACTTTTGCCTCAGCCTCCCCAGTAGCTGGGACTACAGGGGCCTGCCACCACGCCTAGCTAATTTTTTGTATTTTTAGTAGAGATGGGGTTTCACCGTGTTAGCCAGGATGGTCTTGATCTGACCTCGTGATCCGCCTGCCTCAGCCTCCCAAAGTGCTGGGATTACAGGCATGAGGCACTGTGCCTGGCCAAACTTTTTTCTTTATAACTTACTCAGCCCTAGATATTCCTTTATAGCAACACAAAGCAGACTAATGCAAAAGCCCACACTGTGGGAAACTTTTTCTTAAGGTAAAGACTTCGCTGTTGGCACTTGGACGTGTATTTGTGGCCTCCCATTGGGCATGTGACCTCATTAGAGCCGAAATGCTCCTTGGATTTTTGGATCCTGGGATTTCACTCCTGCAGGGCTGCGTAGGCATGCTGAGGTCTCAGCTAGTGACATGCTGATAGGCGTGGAATGGCCAGCTCCCAGAATAAAAGACCTGATTTGTAGCATTTGCCAATTTCCGTGGTGTAAACACTCCCATGGCTGCCGTTAAGTTATGAATTAGGCTTTGCTGAATGCAGACTTGGAAAGAGATGTTCACAATGGACTCTCAGAAGATGAATAGTGGGGGCTTCAGCACAGCAGCAGGGACCAGCCAACTCTTGGGCTCACCAGCTTCCAGGATGTGAAACTGCCTAAGCAGCCTTCATCTTTTCATCTCAAAAATGTACCATTTCTCTGTTTTGGGAACATTCCATGTCCTTCTATTTGAAACTATATATTGTTGGCTGGATGCAGTGGCTCACGCCTGTAATCCCAGCACTTTGGGAGGCCGAGGCAGGTGGATCACTTTAGGCCAGGAGTTTGAGACCAGCCTGGTCAATATGGCAAAACCCCGTCTCTACTGAAAATACAAAAATTAGCCAGGCATGGTGGCATGTGCCTGTAATCCCAGCTACTCAGGAGGCTGAGACAGGAGAATCACTTGAACCCAGGAGATGGAGGTTGCAGTGAGCCGAGATCGTGCCACTGCTCTCCGACTTGGGCAACAGAGCAGGACTGTCTCAAAAGAAAAGAAAATATATAATATTATTGTTAACTATAGTCATATAGTGCTATAGAACACTAGTACTTACAAAAGCTTTACATACGCCTCTTATATGGCATACTATTCTACTCTAGGTATCAGGCAGGGAATGAAAATGCATGTCCATTCAATACTTTTGCATAAAAATTCATAGCAGTTTTATTTATAATAGCCACCTTCTAGTTAAGTCACTGAAGGGCAGCTACTTCCAGGCTTACAAGGCCTTGAAGTCCTGGTCAGGCCAGGTGCAGTGGCTCACGCCTGTTATCCCAGCACTTTGGGAGCCGAGGGTCGGATCACAAGGTCAGGAGTTCGAGACTAGCCTGGCCAACATGACGAAACCCCATCTCTACAAAAAATTAGCGGGCGTGGTGGCACGTGCCTGTAGTCCCAGCTACTCAGGAGGCTGAGGCAGGAGAATTGCTTGAACTCAGGAGGTGGAGGTTGCAGTGAGCCGAGACCGTGCCATTATACTCCAGCCTGGGCAACAGAGCAAGACTGCATATCAAAAAAAAAAAAGCCAACAAAAAAATAAAACTGCTGGTCAGTGGTTACTCTGGCAGCTGGGATGGAGGGTGGGTGTCTCTCAGGAGGGGTCAGTGAAGCACATTGCTCAGAGGGCCCGGCCAACCAGAGCTAGAAGTGAGAAAAGCCAAAGGCAGAAGAGACACCTTCCTCCACTCAAGACCGCTTCTACTAAGACCTTGGTATATTTCCTCCCACTTGATTTTCTACAGGAAGTGTTTTGTTCATTTTGGACAGCTCTGGTGTGTGCAACATTGTACTCAATCTTACTTTACAAGCTGAGACAAGCACCTTTCAATGATTCTGCAAATGTTTCCCAAACAACTCTCACACACTGCAGGGGTGGGGATGTGGAAAAAGATATAGTCACTTTGGAAAACAGTTGGAAAGTTTCTTTGTTGTTTTGTTTGTTCGTTTGTTTGTTTTTGAGACCAAGTCTCACTCCATTGCCTAGGCTGGAGTGCAGTGGCACCATCTTGGCTTACTGCAACCTCCGCCTCCCGGATTCAAGCAATTCTCCCACATCAGCATCCCGAATAGCTGGGATTACAGGTGCCTGCCACCACACCAGGCTAATATTTGTATTTTTAGTAGAGACAGGGTTTCCCCATGTTGGCCAGCCTGGTCTCGAACTCCTGACCTCGGGATCCACGCACCTCGGCCTCCCAAAAGGTTGGGATTACAGATGTGAGCCACCACAACTGGCAGGAAAGTTTTTTTTTTTTTTTTGAATTAAACATAAAATTATTATACTACCCAGCAGTTTCACTCAGAAGAACCTATGTGACTTTGTAGCGACATTATTCGTAGTGCCCCTAAAGTGGAAACAGTCTAGCTGCTCATCACCTGTTGCATGGATTAAGAAGAAAAAAAAAAAGCAAAAACATGTCTATCCATGCAACAGGAATGCAATTGAGCAACAAAGTAATGAGGGGCCGACGCACACAGGAGCGTGGATGAATGTCAAAAACATGCAAAGTGAAAGCGGCCAGGGGTAAATGACCAAATACTTTATGATTCCGTTATAGCGAATGTCCAAAAAGGGCAAATTTATAGGGATAGAGAGTAGATTTGTGGTTGCCTGGGGCTGAGAGAGGGAACAACTAGTGACAGTAAATGGGCATGAAAAGAAGAGTTTTTTTGGGGGTGATGAGAATTTTTTTTTTTTTTGGAGACAGAGTCTCACTCTGTTGCCCAGACTGGAGTGCAGTGGCATGATTTCTGCTCACTGCAAACTCCTCCTCCCAGGTTCACACCATTCTGCCTCAGCCTCCTGAGTAGCTGGGACTATAGGCACCCGCCACCATGCCCGGCTAATTTTTTGTATTTTTAGTAGAGACGGAGTTTCACCTTGTTAGCCAGGATGGTCTCGATATCCTGACTTTGTGATCTGCCTGCCTTGGCCTCCCAAAGTACTGGGATTACAGGCGTGAGCCACCGCGCCTGGCTGGGGTGATGAGAATTTCTAAAGTTAGATTGTGGTGACAATTGCACAGCTCTGTAAATTTATTAAAAATCAAGTTGAAACTTAGCTGAATGTTATGACATACAAATAATACCCCAATATAACTTTAAAAACAAATACCCAAAGGATTATAAATCATACTACTATAAAGACATATACACATGTATGTTTATTGTGGCACTATTCACAATAGCAAAGACTTGGAACGAACCCCAATGTCCATCAGTGATAGACTAGATAAAGAAAATGTGGCACATGTAATACTATGCAGCCGTAAGAGAGAATGAGTTCATGTCCTTTGCAGGGACATGGATGAAGCTGGAAACCATCATTCTCAGTAAACTAACACAGAAACAAAACCAAACACTGCACGTTCTCACTCAAATAGGAGTTGAACAATGAGAACACATGGACACAGGGAGGGGAACATCACACACTGGGGCCTGTCGAGGGGTGGGGGACTAGGGGAGGGAGAGCATTAGGAGAAATACCTAATGTAGATGATGGGTTGATGGGTGCAGCAAACCACCATGGCACGTGTATACCTATGTAACAAACCTGCATGTTCTACACATATATCCCAGAACTTAAAGTATAATAAAAATAAAGTTACAACTTTGGCTGGGAAGTAACAGGTGTAAATAAACAAGGAAATATAGTAATTGTATGGAGATATGGCAAGTAAAAACAATGCTTGCTAAACACTCTTTTTTTGATGGTTTCATACTGTTACTGCGAATTGGAGGTACTCTAATTTATTTGACATTCTCTAGTTATCGGACTTCATGTCTGCTCTTTCAATGCTACAGTCAACATGGTGATGAAATTTTCTGGTTTAGGATTACTTCCTCAAACTTGTTTCCCAGAAAAGGGCTTTCTGGGTCAAAAGTTATCAAAATTTTCTAAGGCTCTCAATATGATGACAAATGATTTCTCCAAGCGTGGGACAGATTGAGAGCTACAGTTTCCTGCCCTTACCTCATCTTCCAACTATGGAACCAAGTATTCCCTTCACAAAGAAAACCCATGATTCATGGTGTTAGAAGTCAGAATAGTGGTTTCCTGGCTGGGCGTGGTGGCTCATGCCTGTAATTCCAGCACTTTGGGAGGCTGAAGCAGGCGGATCATGAGGTCAGGAGTTCGAGTCCAGCCTGGCCAATATGATGAAAACCCTTCTCTACCCAAAATATAAAAAATTAGCCGGGTGTGGTGGCATACACCTGTAATCCCAGCTACTCGGGTGGCTGAGGCAGAATTGCTGGAACTGGGGAGGTGGAGGTTGCAGTGAGCTGAGATTACACTACTGCATTCCAGCCTGGGCATCAGAGCAAGACTCCATCTCAAAAAAAAAAAAAAAAAAAAAAACACAAAAACAAATAATAGTGGTTTCCCTTCAGGAAATATTGACCAGAAGGGAGCATGAGGGAAGTTCTAGGTCTCTGTTTACTTTTTGATCAAGCTACAAGGCTTTTCCTAAGCACCAGAAGGTTCCCTCATGCTTCTTCCCAACCAAAAGCGAATGGCTCCTCTGACTTCCTTTACCATAGATTAGATTTGCCTGTTCTTGAACTTCTTATAAATAAAATTATAACTTTTAAATCTTGATCAGGGTGCTAGTTATATTGGTGTGTTCTTTCTGTAAGAGCCACTGAGCTGTACCTTATGATATATTTTTCTGGTTGTATAAACGTGTGGGGCCAAGAGGAAGAATATTTCAGGGCACTGTTCACTCCGCGGCCTGCAGGGTCCTGCCTGACCATCCTCCTTGCAGAGGTAGCTGACAGTGTCTGTACCTGACTGTGCCCATTCCCCCATGTGGTCTTGGTTTATGGCGTTGGTGGGGGTGGGAGTAGGGCTGTGCCCATGAGCTAACCTGTCTCTCTCTTCTCTCCCCACTGTGTCCCTGTGTGTCAGTTCTGTGTCCATCTCATGTGCTGCGTGTGTCTGTAAAGCCTCATTCCGTGCTGTCTGGCAGGAAGCTCCATCTCATCTCATCATCTCACGGCCCTGGCACTGCCTCAGCATGGCCATCTCATCACGCCTCGCCCTGTGGGAGCAGAAGGAAAGTGACACTCATGGCTGGGGCTGCAGCCATCTGCAGGGACTGACTCGACCCTCGGGAGACAAGTCCGACCTTTCCCACCTTGAGTGGGGAGTCTGACATCCAGCCCTCCTAGTAGCATGTGCAATCCCACCTTCAACCTTCTCCCAGCCAGCTCGGTTAGCCTTGGCCTTTCCAACCCAGCTGGACACTGATGGCCATACCCTTGACGCCCCCCCGAGGGCTGCCTGGTTGTTTCCTGTTCCACAGGTGGTGGTGGTGGTGGTGGGGGGTGGTAGACCAGCTGTCCCAGCTGGATCCTCATGGCAGCTCTGATGAGCACTGGAGTTTGGGTGGGAGGAGGGGCACATGGGGGACAGAGGCAGGGCTGTCAGCTGCCAGGTTTATGCCACAGGGGTGGGTTTCTGTGGTCCCTGCCTTCGGGCACCATAGAGAACCGGAAACGGGCTCTCCTCCCCAGATATTCCTTTCTCCCCTTTAGTATTTTTCATGATACGCTACGAAGGGCTGCCTCTTTCTAAGATGCCTGTTACTTCCTGCACCCTCACTCCACCTTGTGCATGTGATTTGATGAGTTGGAGGTGGGAGGGTGAGAAACTTCTTTCTGGCTGCCTCCTGCCTGCCCCTGCCCCTGCCCCTCCCAGCCTGATCTGGGGGTAGCAGCTAAAATGGCATTGGAAGCTGCAGAGGGTGCCTTAAGACTGTCTCTTGGCCAGGCGTGGTGGCTCACGCCTGTAATCCCAGTACTTTGGGAGGCCGAAGCAGGTGAATCATGAGGTCAGGAGTTCGAGACCAGTCTGGCCAACATAGTGAAACCACGTCTCTACTAAAAATACAAAAAATTAACTGGGTGTGGTGGTGTGTGCCTGTCATCCCAGCTACTCAGGAGGCTGAGGCAGGAGACAGAGGTTGCAGTGAGCCAAGATCGCGCCATTGCACTCCAGCCCGAGCGACAGTGCGAGACTCCGTCTCAAAAAAGAAAAAAAAAAAAAAGACTGTCTCTCACTTATGAAGTGTCTTTCAGTCCCACATCAGGAAGGAAAGAAGGGAAATGATGTTGATGTGGGCCCTGCAGTGCTGCCCCTGCTTCTCTGTCCCTGGGCAGAGGTCTGCATTCACCAGCTTTATCCCATGGCCTTGTCTCCTGGCCTTTGCTATCTCCTTTGAATTCCTCCCTTATCAGTTGGGCTACACACAGCAAGTCTTTACCATACATGCACAGAGGTTCTTGATAAGGAGGCTATTTTAGACCAGTATGGAGCTCTTCCGTATAAAGCACTGGTGACTTTTTTTTCTTCTCATGGGCTGTCACTGATGCAGGCTAAAGACACACTTCAGTCGGCCACAGCCGGTCTCATGCCTCAGCCTCCAAGTCGCTGTAGCCAACAGCGGGGTCTCAGCTGCACCACAAGTCCAGCCAGTGCTGGCCTAGGCCGTATTTCTGGGGGGTAAAATATCAGGGTCCAACCTGCCTGTTCTAGGACCCAGTGTTAGAGAGCTCCTGGCTGACCAAGTCCTGGTTTAAGGACTGTCAGGAAGCCACAGCACTGTGTCAGTTGAATGGGTTGGAGCCACAAGGTCAGGTCCTTATATAAGTCATGGCTGTAAGCCCTTCCCTATCTTACCATGTTCCTGGTGCATAGTAAGTGATTAATTGGTTCATCTATTATATTAACTATAAGCTGAGGGGGACCAGGAGAGCGTGGATGATTCCCTGTGATCCATCCCCTTCTGGAAACTGGGAAACCTCCTTTCAGAGCAGGTCCTTCTAGAAATGGGCATGTCCCATGGCAAGGAAGGGAACCAGCAGCCTTGACCATACAAGTGACTGTTCATATCACAAGGAGAGTGGATCCAGGCAGAAATCACATTGACCCGCATAATTCCTGGCTGCCCCTGTGTTCCATTTTCATGCGCTGTCTCAGGGACCCCCCTGAGTCGTGCTGGGCCTCACCTGCTTGGCTGTGGCTTCTCATACATGGGCTTGGTCATGTATGTCTCCTCCGCCCCCTCCCAGGCTCCATCACAAACTTTGAAGGGCAGCTTGCTCCTGCTGGTTGACTCACTGAGCTCTCTCTTTCCTTGCTTCTGCAAAACAGATTCGGGAAGAGGACAAGAGCCCTCCACCATCCTCGCCCCCTCCTCTTTTCTCTGTCATCCCAGGGGGCTTCATTAAGCAACTGGTCCGGGGGACTGAAAAAGAGGCCAAGGAAGCGAGACAGAGGAAGCAGTTAGCTGTCGCCTCTCCAGAACGAGAGGTAAGTGGTTCCTAAGAAGGAGGACCGTATGCGTTTCCATACCCATCATTCTGTCTTGTGAGCTTCCTCTGAGTCATTTGTCATCCTGCCTTTGCTCCTGCTGTCCTGGTTTTGAGGAATGTCCTTTATTCAACTTGATCTATTGAGCTCTTATGTACCCTTCAAAACCCAGCTCAAACAGCACATCTCTGGAAAGTTCTTCCATTGCCTGCCTTCCTCTGAATCCTGCTGCACCTTCTATGCCTGTCTTAACTGTGGTTGGTTGGCATAGTACTTATTTGATTATATGACTTATTTGACTAGAAATTCCTTAAGAGCAACAATGATTTCTCTCATTCAATTCTGTATCTTAAGCAGCCCTCATAGTACTTGGTCAGTAGTGAGTGCTTAACAGTTTGTTTAGTGAATGAATAAATGATATTCATTGATGCATGGTTGGTGGGGATTACTTGAACACTATTTTTATAGAAAAGGAAACCTAGATACTGGCTAAGATGTATAGTTGGTTCACTTTAAGCAGAAAGCTATTGAGTTGGTACTAACTGGTGTAGTTGCATTGATTGTTAAAATATTGAATCCTTCATACCAGGTGGTAAATGGTTGTAACCCTTGGCCCCCCAAGTGCCCTCAGCTGCCATGTTTACCCAGGTCCCTCTCCTGAGTCCCTTGGAATGGCTACAATCCAATAATTACAGGGTTAATGCTTGGCACAGGTAGGAACCTCAGTACCTTCCTCCAGCTGGTGTCCGTCCTGATTGGTTGATGTCCACTAAAAATCCTTAGCTATTCTGAATAGCGCTGCTGCATTGAAGCAATAGTTGAATGCAATGTGGCCCTTACACTTTAAGGATTTGTAAACTTGTCGCTGGTGGTGGCCAGTGCTATTTCTCTCTTGTCCTCTTTAGCCATGGAACCTGGGCAGGATGACAAGGTGGACCATGAGGGAGGCAGGCTTGGAATGCAATGCATCTTGGGAGTATCCCTGTGTTAGGTAGAAAGGGCATCTCTTTGTGTCTCCAGCGCCCCCTTCAGACAAGGTGAATGCTGCAATGCTTGGGCTGAGAGGTCTGGTGGCCTCAGGGCCTGGTGCTGGCTTGAGCCCAGTGACCCATCCTGACTCTTCCTTCCCCTCCCCTTCAGCTTTGGTTTGCCCGGCTAGTCCCACATGTGCCTGCACCTGTCTGATGAACGACTTTGATGCATTAGAGAGGTCTTCCAGCAACTGAACAGTAGCAGCTGCTGAAATACCTCGGCCAAGTCTTTGTTGGGGAGGTTGACAGGGAGGACAGGCTCTGTTCCCACTCTTGCCTGACCTAAGGCATAAGTGGGGGCCAAAGTTGACCCCGGCAGGCTGTTGTTAGGTTATGATGAAATGTTACTGTGTGCTGTTTATCTCCAGACAATGCTGCTTTGCTGCTCATGGGCTCATTTAATACCCCGTGCAGCAATGCAGGTGGATGGGATTCTACCCATTTATCACAGGTGGAGACTGAGGCCAAAAGAGGTCAAGTGATTTTCCCAAGGTCATCAGACCAGATAGAGGCAGAGCGAGGGGGAGAGCCTGTGTGTTCTCTGCTCTCACAAGATGCCTGGAAAAGGACCAGTCTGGTGAGTGAGGTGGCCGGGGTGGTGCCACAGAGACCTGGGGGAAAGGGTTCCATGAGATTGACACCAGCAGCGCTGGTGTCACTGTGAGCAAGTAAAGAGGCAGAGTTAAGCCATGGATGGGGACAAACTGTCACTGCTGTGCCTGGATGGAGACTCAGAGCCAAGATGCAGGATGGCTCTGAGCCTCAGCCCACAGCAGGTGGCTGGACCATGGGCCAAGATATTCCTGGGGCTGGAGCAAGGGAGCCTCAGGACATGTTTCCACAAGGCAGCAAGCTCTGGCTGGTTCCTGCCAATTTAATTTTCTTGTCCCAATCAATAAATAACTCCGTACTCTCTTGCCTTGTCCCAGCACAACTGTTTCATTTGATCCTCATCTAATCCTTGCAAGAAGCCATTAGAATCCATCCCATTTTGCAGGAATGGAAAACAAGGCTTGGGGAAGTGACCTGGTTCTCCTAGGGCTACCCAGTCAGTGAGGAACAGGGAGAGGCTGGAATAACACTGGAGTGGAAAGTAACCCGTATTGAATGTCAAGGAGACCTAGATTCTAGCTCTGGCCCTGCCGCTTTTTGTGGTCCTGGCTAAACCCCTTCCCCTTTCTTGGCCTCAGTTTACTCATCTGTAAAAATGTGCTATTAGTTTCTATTGGCCCCAGTTATTCTAGAGGTGCTGTTTCCCTCTATATGCTAAAAAGGGTGGCAGGGTGGGGGGACCAAAGGCTTTGATGACTTTGAAGGTCCAAAGGAAGAGAATCCATGGGCATATGAGGGTGGGGTGGGAGGAGGCTGGCACTGGTTATCTTGTTTGGCCCACCCCATGTTACTGTCTCCTCTGTGGTGGTTGGTTAAAAATAAGGCACTGACTTACTTTTCAATATGGTGTAGACAGTGGTGAGATTTGCCAAGTGCAGTCAATCCCCCTTCCAAGGCTATGTCCTGCCTTCCCCCAGAAGGTCAGGAGAAGCTACTCGGCCTTGGGCCCCAGAGCCATGATGCTGAGCACCAGCTGAACCTCGTAATCACCCGGGCAGTCACAACCCAGGCAGACTCAATCAGAGTCTCTGGGAATAAGGCCAAGGAGTTAAGGTTTTTAAAAGTGCCCCAGGAGATTCCAGAGAGCCCTAGAGAGAAAAGGAAGGGCATCTAATATGCCGCAGTTCAAGGCACTGGCTTTGGAGTCAGAGAGAACTGGCTTTACATTTCACCTTTGTAGCTGGGTCACCTTACATCTTTACATCTAGTTCTTTGCTTGTAGAATGGGGAGAAGTTCAGAATCTACTCCAGTTGTTCCTTCGGAGGATTAAATAGGAGATTGCATGATGGTGATATAGGGCTCATTGCAAGGAAGATATAAATGATAGATACTATTATTATTGTGATTATTACAAAGATGAAAACAGAGACTTTGCTGTGGCATTGGTCACCTAAAACAGGAGAGAGACACAAAAGCCAGAATGGAACGCAGAAGGTGGCCACGCTGTGACTGGTGTACTAGCATAGTGCTCTGGAACTTTGTGCAAGCTTGGAACAATTTCTGATTGAGGTCTTCAGGCAAAGATTTGTAGAGAGGAGATAGAAGAGATATTTGAGCTGGGTATAGAAGATGAGTAGACCATGGACAAGTGAAGAGGGGAAAGGGCACGCCAGGCAGCAAGCTCAGCATGGGCAACAGCCTGGAAGCAGGGACTGGTCAGGTAGGAGAAGGTGACCAGTACAGTTCATGCATGGGAACAAGTAGGGACAATATGGTCAGATTGGAGGCTGGGGTTCCTTGTTGAGGAATTTGAAAGACCAATGGTGGTGCCAAATGATTTTCCTTTAGGCTGTGGGCAGCTACCCAAATCTTTTGATCTGGTATAAAATGGCTGGCAGCAAATTGAAGGGACAGCAGTTCACGGGCTGTGGCAATGGCCCAAGTGAGGGATAGCGGACATGAGTTTGGAAAAAGAGACATAGATGTGAAGCTTGGCAGGGTGGAATCAACATGCCCCTGGGACTGGTTTGAATGCAAGAGGAGGGGGAGAATCCCAGATTCCCAGGCATGGGTGTCTGTGAGGCTGTGCTGGCATTGTCCAAGATGGAAGAACCCAGGCTAGGGCTGGTGGTGAAGCGAGACATCAGGGTAGAACTTGCTTATGAGGTTGAGGTCTTTTTCTGCAGAGATGGAGGCACAGCTGGACCTGTGAGCTCTTCAGGCCATAGCCAGGCTGGTTTGAGGATGAAGCTCTGCACAAGGCTAAAATCACAAGGCAGTAACAAGGCCTGGGAAGGGAGCAGGCAGTGGAAACCCCTTGGGTGTTATGCAGTCACAAATGTCTGGGTCAGGCAAGAGTGGGGGACCCCAGGGGCAGAAACCAGGGCCCTCAGCTGGTATGGGAAGTGTGATATGGGGATCAGGGCAGTGGAAGTAGCAGCAGCTCGGTTTATTCTTCTCTCTCTGATCTCCAAAGTGCATTTCTACATCTCATCCTATAAAAGATCTGGATGGTCAGGTGGTATCTGCCTGTACTGGGGAAACCCGAAGCCCAGAGAGAAGAGATGGTAGCCCAGATAGACATAGAAGGAAGCCTAGCTGGAGAGTGTTAGAGCCAAGGTGAGAACAGGTCCTCTAGTGACAGGCCCTGAGTCCTTTCCTGGATCCCCTACTCGCCTAGGAAAAATCCAGGCAGAAATAACAACAGTAGTAGCAGCAGCTACTGTTGTTGAGGACACACTATGCGCTGGGCTCAGTTTCTACATATTGTCACACATTCTCACACCTACCCTGCAAGGTAGGCTTTTATCATTCTCATTTTATTGATTAAAAAACAGACTCAGAGAGGAGAAGTCATTTAGCTAAGGTCACACAGCTATAGAGTGTCAGAGTCAGGAGTTGAACTTGGTTCTGTTGGGCTCCAAAGTCCACTCCTTCCACTCCATCACTCAACTTTGAGGGGCTAGGCCAAGGTCAAGGGTGCTAGGCTTGGCCATGCCTGTTGGATTTGGAGGTGCTCGAGCATCTGTGGAAGGATGAATGGAGAAGTGAACAATGAAATGAATGAACGAACACGAGTGAATGACAAAGCTGTCAGGTCAGCAAGCAGCTATGTAGGCATGGTTGTGTTCTTTCTCCCAGATCCCAGAAATTTCCATCAGCCAACCCAACAGCAAGTCCAGCAGTGGCACCAGATCTGGAAGCCAGCAGATCTCTCAGGACGACCAGTCAAGCTCTCCTGGGAGCTCAGACATTCTGGGCAAGGAGAGCGAGGGGTCCCGCAGCCCCGACCCTGAGCAGATGACAAGCATCAATGGTGAGAAGGCCCAGGAGCTGGGCTCCAGTGCGACACCAACCAAAAAGACTGTCCCCTTCAAGAGGGGCGTGAGGAGGGGTGATGTGTTGTTGATGGTGGCCAAGCTGGACCCGGACTCAGCCAAGCCAGAGAAGACTCATCCCCATGACGCCCCCCCTTGCAAGACCTCTCCCCCCGCCACAGATACTGGAAAGGAAAAGAAAGGGGAGACCTCTAGGACTCCTTGTGGCTCCCAGGCCAGCACCGAGATCTTGGCCCCGAAAGCTGAGAAGACCCGGACTGGGGGTCTTGGGGACCCAGGCCAAGGAACTGTGGCACTGAAAAAAGGCGAGGAGGGTCAAAGCATAGTGGGGAAGGGGCTTGGGACCCCCAAGACCACAGAGCTGAAAGAGGCTGAGCCCCAGGGCAAAGACAGGCAGGGGACCAGGCCCCAAGCCCAAGGGCCCGGCGAGGGGGTGCGACCAGGGAAAGCAGAGAAGGAGGGAGCAGAGCCCACAAACACGGTGGAAAAGGGGAATGTCTCTAAGGACGTAGGGAGTGAAGGGAAGCACGTAAGGCCCCAAATCCCTGGGAGAAAGTGGGGAGGTTTCCTGGGAAGAAGGAGTAAGTGGGACGGTCCCCAGAATAAGAAGGACAAAGAAGGGGTGCTCTTAAGTAAGGCAGAGAAGACAGGTGAGCCTCAGACCCAGATGGAGAAGACAAGCCAAGTGCAGGGCGAGTTGGGGGACGATCTGAGAATGGGGGAGAAAGCAGGTGAGCTTCGGAGCACGACTGGGAAGGCAGGTGAGTCCTGGGATAAGAAGGAAAAGATGGGGCAACCCCAGGGTAAGTCCGGGAACGCAGGTGAAGCTCGGAGTCAGACAGAGAAGGGCTGTGAAGCCCCAAAGGAGGTGAGCACAATGGTGGAGTCGCCAGCAGCTCCTGGGAAGGGAGGCTGGCCAGGAAGCCGTGGGCAGGAAGCAGAGGAGCCCTGCTCAAGAGCAGGTGATGGGGCTGGTGCCCTGGAGACAGAGCTGGAAGGACCCAGCCAGCCTGCTCTGGAGAAGGATGCAGAAAGGCCTCGGATACGGAAGGAGAACCAAGACGGGCCAGCCCCGCAGGAGGAGGGCAAAGGAGGCCAGAGCAGAGACTCAGACCAGGTGAGGGGGCTGCGGCCCTGGGAGCGGGAAGCGGCAGACAGGCCTCTCCAGAGATGCAGGGATGGGAAAGATCTGCCCCAGGGATGGACAAGGGGTGGACGGGGGGTGGGCAGGGAATTGGAGAGGGGTGGCTGGAACTGCAAGGCACCCAGAGGAGGGGACGAGCACTTCCTCCATGAGCAGAAGTCTTGAAGTTTCCATTGCACCTGCCCTGGGGTGGGAATTCCCCACAGAGTGAGGGAAGGTCCCCAAAGTGTGAGGTGTCTCCTCACGGCTGACATGGTAGAGCTTGCTTATGATGTCACACGACAGCTTTCAAACGGGATGGCATAACGAGTAGATTGTTAAAAATGCAGATTCCTGGGGCCAGCCATGGAGTCTCTCATTTCAAAGGCCAGGAGTGGGGCCCAGGAATCTGCATTTATGTAGTATTTTTTTTTTTTTTGAGACGGAGTCTTGCTCTGTCACCCAGGCTAGATGGTGCAGTGGTGTGATCTCGGCTCCACCTCCCGGGTCCGCAACGGGAATCTGCATTTAAATAAGCACACTCCCTCTCCTGTTCTCCCCCAGGAGATTCTGGTTTAGATGGCTCCAGAGCACACTGTGAGAAACCCCCGTGTAAGGTAGAAGATGGGCAGCGGTGCCATTTGCTGGTTTAATTTACGTGATGTTGGTTCTCAGGCTCCTGAGGACAGATGGTATGAGGCAGAGAAAGTCTGGCTGGCTCAGAAGGATGGATTTACTCTTGGTAAGTAGGGGTGTTAGCACCTTTGGAGGGTCTGAGTCTTCTCCTGTGCCCCCTACTGCTGCCAGCCATATGTTCCAGGTCCTGATTATACTTTGGTGGTCAGGAGGGAAGAGGAGCAGTGGAGACTGTCTTTCAAAGGCATTTGTGTCTTGATAATGAGTTATTTACCTACTGTAACTCACTAATGCAACAAGCATGCTTTCTTCCTACGGCGTTCTTCGAGGAAGCCAGAGTCTGGTACAAGTGGGCCAATAGATTTGATCTCATGAGCCTACTTTTGTCGATTGGTTGTGGCTGATCACTGCACTCTACTGAGAAGTGATGCTGAGTCTCAGTCTGAACATGGCTGGGAAGAGTGGTTGATTAGTGATGTCTGCCATGGGCACTGGAGGGGGAAATGGCAGTCTGTGTGTGAGATAGGCCAGTGTACCCAACTGTCTGGGTGCCTGCTCTGTGCCTGGCACTGTGACAGCTGGTAAAAGCCTAAGGTGAGTCAGACTTAGCCTGACCTTAAAGGATTTGGGGTCACAACTCAGCTCCAAGTGAATAGACCCCAAATGGAGACCTGTCCCAAGCCTTCTCCCAAGCTTGCTGGCCCGGCTTAGAGCCTCTCTTATCTCCTGCCCTCGCCTCTTTCCCCTCTTCCCCTCCCATCTCCTCCCCGTTCCCCTTCTCTCTCTGGGATGTCCAACCAGCTACGGTGCTAAAGCCAGATGAGGGAACAGCAGACCTGCCAGCAGGAAGGGTGAGACTTTGGATTGATGCTGACAAAACCATCACTGAGGTGGATGAGGAGCATGTCCATCGGGTGAGTCCCCTGTCCCGCCGTCCCCCAGCATGAGTCCCCTGTCCCACTTCACCCCAGCTCCATACCCTCCTTCCCCAGTCCTGCAAGAGATTTCCTTGTTCCTGACTACCAATACCATTTTGGCTTGATGCCCTGGAGGGAGTTATAGTGAAGAACCCCACTGAACTCATTGCTCTACTGGAGGGGTACTATTAGGGGGTCATTCACCCTTTCCTGTGGTTTCCCTTAATGAGGACACATCAAAGAACATGTTTGTCAGGTCTTGGCCCTGGGAGTTCTTCTGATGGACCCAAGAAAATGACTGCTTTTAATTTATAGATATTGGATATTGCAAATCATACTACACAGCATGTTTCTGTTTTCACTCTGGCCGCCAGGGAACTCAGAGCCAAATTTGCTGCTTGCCATTAACCATAGCATAGGTTCTAATGGCCTATATTTTGGCATCAAACTTTCTTTCAGCTTTGCTCTTTAAATTGCTTTGAATACATTTTTGTTGTGCACCATAAATCCTTTTGAGGACAAGTCCCAGTGTAGTGATAGAAAAGAAAGGTTCTGTCATGCCCTTTCCCCCCGCCCCTCACAGCCTGCTATCTTAGGAGTTTTCCTCCTTGCTCATCTGCATTCCTTTCTGCTCCTCCTCTGCCCACCTCAGGCTTTCTCTCCCGCGTTGGGCATTTACAGAGGCTCAGTGGCCTTGCAAGAAAGGCTGATCCATGAGAGGGCTCAAGCTTGGCCCAAACCTGAGACTACCAGGTTCAGAAAACTCACTGAAGCTGGAGAGAATAATAGGACGCCTCTTAGAACAGATGTTTTAAGAAGCAGCTTCACATAACCCTTGCTTCTAAGGGTTTGGGTGGTTTCCTAGGAATCAATGCATGATGGGCTATGAGACCAGTGAGGTGGTTTGGCCATTGGCCTCCACTCCTGGGTATCATGGAGCATATTGAGAGCTTCCTCGTAAGACCCAGAAGAGGAGGAAATGGCAGCGGATGCTCGCACACACTGGAGCATCACCTGTCTTTTTGTGGTGTTTGAGATCCAGAAAGTGTTTTGAATTTTGTCAAGTCTGCCTTGGGAGCGTCTCCCCTCATGGTGCATGGAGTGCAGGACCACAGCGAAGAGGGGGTGCCTCATAGGTTGCACAGAGGGCAAGGAGAAGGGATGGCCCTATTTTATTTGTAGGGCTTCATTGCTTTCCATCCAGAGTCCCTGTGCTCTGTTCTGGTCTTTGGCACATAGCTCTCAAGAGGAGGGCTTAGTGTGTGTTTGGTTGCGGGGGGGTGGGGTGGGGGCAGGGGGCCAGAAGGCCAGAAGGCCAGAGGAGACTCTGTGTGATGGTTTCACAGGCCAACCCTCCTGAGCTGGACCAGGTCGAGGACCTGGCCTCTCTCATCAGTGTCAACGAATCCAGTGTCCTGAACACGCTTCTGCAGCGCTACAAAGCTCAGCTGCTGCACACCTGCACAGGGCCTGATCTGATTGTCCTCCAGCCCCGGGGGCCCTCGGTGCCTTCTGCAGGGAAGGTGAGGTGGGACCATTGTGGGCAGGGCTGAGGGGCTGAGGGCAGGGGGGCCTGGGGGGATCCCTCTGCATCTGAGGTGACAGTAGAACCATCAGAGCCCCCAGTCGACCTGTCTGCAAGCAGCATCCTTCTCGCGGCATTGTGGCATCCTGTGGCATGGACCATGAGATTCCCCCATTCCCTGGAGGGAAAGATCAGTCACCATTAGGACAGAAACAGCAGCATTAAATATCACAAGAGTAACGAAAGAAAATACTGAATGAGTGTGAACTCTACCAGACACTGCTGTATGCACCTTCTTGTATTAACTCAGTTGAGTCTCACATATCCACCTGAAAACACAGGTACTGTGATTAGCCCATTTTACAGATGAGAAGAGCCGGCTGGGCCAGGCGCAGGCTAAACTCTCAGGTCTAGCGAGCAGAGTTGCTGGGAGAAAACCCAGGATACAGGGCTCCTGTGTGCTCTTCATCCCATGCTGAACTCTCAGGAGTCCTGAGCACCCACATCAACGGGGAAACAGAAGCTTCAGTTGTACTTTAGTTTTTTTCCTCGGAAGTGTAGAAACGGCCAATTTTTGTTGAGATGGGCAAGAGCAAAGGAAATCTCTAAGCGCCACCTTGTGGACGCACGAGGCACCTCAGCCGAGTCATTGAAGCGTGGGCCCCTTCATTCCTTCAACCCATAGTGATTGAGCTATTGATTGAGGGTCTCCTACCGGGCCACGCACAAAGAACATCAGGGAAGGTGCCAGGCGAGCAACCCTCCCCTTGTGGAGTTGCTGTTCTAGGAAGAAAAGACAGTCCATCAACAATAAAGATAAGAGTGGCCCGAGCAGATGAGTGGAGGAAGAGGTGGGAGAGGTTGGGAAAAACCAGGACAGAGCCGTGTCAGTTCTCAGGGTGATGATTCTGGCTTTCACTCTGAGTGGGATGGCAGCTACTATGGGTATTTATTTATTTATTTACTTTTGAGACGGAGTCTCTCTGTGTCGCCCAGGCTGGAGTGCAGTGGCACGATCTCGGCTCACTGCAAGCGCCGCCTCCCGGGTTCACGCCATTCTCCTGCCTCAGCCCCCCGAGTAGCTGGGACTACAGGCACCCGCCACCACGCCCAGCTAATTTTTTGTATTTTTAGTAGAGATGGGGTTTCACCGTGTTAGCCAGGATGGGCTCGATCTCCTGAGCTCGTGATCCGCCCGCCTCGGCCTCCCAAAGTGCTGGGATTACAGGCATGAGCCACTGCGCCTGGCCGATTTGTATCTATTTTTTATGAACTGGGCAGCCTCCTGAGCCAGAGTAGGCTTAGAGAGAGTCCCTACTGGGGTTTTTAGCAGAGCAATGACATGCTGTGACTTAGGTTGTAAAAGGATGCCTTTGGCTGCTGGGTGGAGGACAGATGGGAAGAGGCTCAGTGGAGGCAGGGAGGCCTGTCGGAGGTGAGACATCTTACCTGTGTGCTCTTCTGGAGACTCACTGGGAAGTCAGAAGCCCCTAGGACACCTGGTGTCTAGGAAAGATCATGATACCTCTTCTGGTTTCCATGTTCTCCTCTGCCAACTGGGGGTGAAAACACATCTTGCCCTTTGGGGCCCTGTGGGACAAATCCATCCCTAGTCCCTGAGGCAATGCTAAATCCATTAAAGGGGATATAGTGGGCCTGTACCCCTCTCTCCAAGATTTTTCTCCTCCAGAGTGACCCACACCACACCTTCAGTCACTCCCAGGGGCTCTCCCACCACCGCTGTCCATGGTCAAGGGCCTGGGAGGACCTCAGAAGCTCTGGGTGGGCCAGAGCTTGGCACGTGCCCTCTCCCGTCCTTGTGGTGAGTGCTTAGGCTTCTGTTGCTGCAGCCCAAGGCCTCTGAGCTGTCCACATTGCCGAGGGACTCCTCCGGCTCCCTGGAAATCCCTGGAAGGGACATTTTTATAGACCCAGATAGCAATCAGGTCCTCATTGGCCATCCTGGATTGAGGCATCAGAACTTAGGCAAAAGCGCCAAAAGATGCAGGCATTGGTACGCACTCTGAAGGTAGATCCCCCTACTTCCCTTCCTAACCCTGGGGTGGGGTGCGGCACTGGTCCGCACCCTTCCCTCAAGTCTTCCAGCCTCCCACACTCAAACCCACAGCCACCTCCTGTCCTTAGGCCGGATCAACCTCTGATTCCCCAAATGGCCACCAGGTGGGAGCACAGGCCTGCGGTGAGGCTGAGACCACCTCGAGGATGGGCTGGGTGGGGTCTGGACACACCGGGGGACTCTCTCACTATGGGGCTAGCCCCACCAGGCAGCTGGGGTCTGGGTGTGTGCCTGGGGACATGGAGGTCTAGGTGAATAAGAGGGTGAGTTTGAGCATGGGTGCGACCCCGTGGGTAGAGGTGGATCCCATCTCTGTGTGCAGAGCCCGCCGCAACTGTTGCGTGCATGTGCCTACAAGCACACTTCTGTGCATGCGTGCAAGGGCACATGTACACAGATGCAAAGGCATGTGTGCATGCATGCATATAGGAGGGCCTTCAGGAACCTGGATGTGCAGAATTCTTCCTTCTCCCCCTAGGCAGTGGGCCTGAGCAGGCTGATGGACAGGACTGCCCGTTCATTGAACTTTAGTTTTCCCAGACTGGGGGATGGCTCTAGGACTGAGACCCCAGGACCCTCTGACTGCCTTAAGCCCTAAGGCTGTGTCCAGCCAGTGTGGGGGCATATCCCTCCTTTGCCTGCATTAGGTTCCTGCTGAGCCCTACATCTGGCATCAGGATAGGGACTCATGACTGTTCCTCAGGGGCTTGGAGCAGGAAGAGCCAACAGTGGATTGGAGACAGCCCCAGCCCCAAGCTAGACATCTAGGCTGAGGGGAGGGCCATCACACCAGGGTTTGTGCCCCTAGTTCGGCCAAAGGACTGCGCTAGGGAGGGCAGATGGGGCCTTGCCGGACCCAGTGGACACCCTCAGCATCTTGGGCTTCAGACATCCTCCTGCAGCAGGGCCCATTCCTCTTTTCCTTTTGGTGCCCTCCTGCTGACCTCACAGTAACCTCCTGCCCTCTTCCCTCGCTGCCAAATCCAATGTCAAGTCTCTGGTCTCTTACTGAACTCAGCAGCATTTCCCTCCCTCTTCCTGGAAACACACCCTTCCTCGGCTCTAAGACTCCGCTTTCCTGGTTTTCATTCCCGCCCACTGGCCGCCCAGTCAGTCTTCCTTGTGGTCTCCCTGACCTGTCCCTGTCAGGATGCTCTGTTCTCACACTCTTCCTTGGTGATCTCATCCAGGCTTGTGGCTTTCAAACGCCTCCCGTTCACTGTAATTGAATTAATTTCTTTCATCGATCATCTCTGTCTTCCCACCAGAAGGCAAGCTCCACCAAGCAGGGACTTAAAAAAAAAAAAAATCAGGCTTACATTATAGTCCAATGCACCTTTTTAGTGTACAGTTCTGAGCATTTTTGACAAAGGTGTATAGTTGTATAACTGCTTTGACAATCAATTACATGACAGTTCCCGTCACCCCCAAAAGTTCTCTGGGCCCCCTGTGGTCAACTCAGCCCCAAGTTCTACCCCTGGTAGCCACTGATCTGTTTTTTTGTCCCTATAGTTTTACCTTAAAAAACCCATATAAATGGCATTGTATGGTATGTAACCTTTTGAATTGGCTTCTTCCAGGCAGCACAATGCATTGGAGATTCACCCATGTGGTTTTATTTATCTACAGTTTGTTCCTTTATTTTATTTCATTGATGCACTACTGTGCTTATTTGTTCATAGGGTGACCTCTTGTCCTGGTTTTCCTGGGACTAAAACGTTTTCTGGGACATGAGACTTTCAATGCCAAAACCAGGATAGCAATTTGGGAGGCCGAGGCTGGCGGATCACTTGAGGTCAGGAGTTTGAGACAAGCCTGGCTAACATGGTGAAACCCCATTTCTACTAAAAATACAAAAATTAGCCAGGCATGGTGGTGCACGCCTTAATCCCAGCTACTCAGAAGGCTGAGGCGGGAGATTCGCTTGAACCTGGGAGGTGGAGGTTGCAGTGAGCTGAGATCGTGCCATTGTACTCCAGCCTGGGCAACAAGAGCAAAACTCTGTCTCAAAACAAAAAACAAAAACAAAAACAAAAAAACAACAGGTTGGGTGATTATCCTAGTTCACTAGTTGAAGGACATTTGTGTTGTTTTTAGTTTTTGGTGATTTTGAATATATAGTCAATATAACCAATGACATAGAGGGGTTTTTTGTGAACATACATTTTGATTTCTTTAGGGTAAACACCTAGAGAGGGGTTGTGGGGTTGTGGAGAGGGGTAATGAGTGTGTATCTCACTGTAGAAGAAACTGCCAGGCTGTTTTCCATAGAGGCTGTATCATTCAGCATTCCCATTGGCATTGTATGAGAATTCCAGTTGCTCCTCATCTTCACCAAAACTTGGTAGTGACTGTTAAATGTTTTTTTCAGCCATTGTAATAGGCATTTAATGGTATCTCTTTGCGATTGGCTGGAATTTCCTTTATCCATTTTGTGTTATGCTGTGCCCGAGTGCCTGCTGCATAGTAGACACTCAATGGATTATTTTACTGAATGAAGTATGAATGAATGGATGAAGCAGATACGGTTTTAGTTATCACCTAAATCTGTTATGGCAAATATATAGCACACATACCACTAACTCCCCCATGTGCCATTCCCTGTGTCCATAGCAGACATCACTAATCGTAATGGATAATTATGCTATCGATCCAGCTGCCTCGCTTCAGGCAGATACCATTCGATGCTTTGAGTAACCAGTGAGATGAATCTCATGGATGAATGCAGCTCTCATTCAAGCCTCTAACTAAAGAGGAGAACTAGGTTCAGAAAACAGGCATGGGTTGTCCAAGGACTCACAGGGAGCCAGGGGCAGGACTAGACATACAGGCTTGGCTCCTCCTAGTCGAGTAGGAAGGGAGTCAGGGATCTGGAGGCAGATCTGGAGGCAGGGACACAGATCTGGACCCTAGGCCTGGGGCGGGGCGCTGTCTTAGAATGCTCCCTAGGCAGTGGCTGGATGGGATGGCTGATACCTGTGATCTTCCTGCAGGTGCCCAAGGGCCGCCGGGATGGCCTGCCTGCCCACATTGGCTCCATGGCACAGCGGGCATACTGGGCGCTGCTGAACCAGCGGAGAGACCAGAGCATTGTGGCCCTGGGCTGGAGTGGCGCTGGGAAGACCACCTGCTGTGAGCAGGTCCTGGAACACCTGGTGGGGATGGCAGGCAGTGTGGATGGCAGGGTCTCAGGTATGGTGGTCTCTAGGTGACATGGAGAGTTGGGGTCAGCACGGGGAGAGTTGGAAGGGGATGCTGAGCTGCTTTCTTATATTCATTCAGCTAGCATTCACTGAGCACCAGATATGTGCAGACCCCATGCTTGCTACTGGGCAGGGCTATCCCTAGGTCATTGGGATGCATTTGTTGAAATTAGAATAAGGTACTCCTTCCTCAAGACATTGACGGCCGTTTGCAGAACAATCATCATACATGGACATTGTTAGAACCGGATACTTGACTGCCATCTGCTGGGAAATCGTCCTAATAGACGTACACAAATCTAGGAGAGTGTGATGTGAATGATGCACCCCTGGGATGTGGTGTCTTTGGGCAGTGCACAACTTGCGGAACTGAACAGAGGACTCGAAGAGTGAAGCTTCAAGGGCAGAGTCTACACTCATGAGAAGCTAATAGCCAGAGAGGAAATTGAACTGTACCTACGTTCAAAACTTGAATGTTCTTCAAAAAGTGCTGGCAGGGCAGGCTAGGGAAGAAACTCAGGGAGCGCAGAGGAGGGCTGCAGGAGGGCTTTTTTTAGGATGTGATATTTGATCTGGGCCTTAAAAAAGAGTACCAATTAATAATAACAACTACAATATTAATAACCATCAGAGTAAATGCTTGCTGAAGCCTAATGTACCAGGCCCTATTCTAAGGATACTAACTTTATTATTATTATTATTATTGAGACGGGGTCTCACTCTCTCACCCAGGCTGGAGTGCAGTGGTGTGATCCCAGCTTACTGCAGCCTTGACCTCCAAGGCTTAAGTGATCCTCCCACCTCAGCCTCCTGAGTAGCTGGGACTACAGGTACACGCCACCACCCTTGGCTATTTTATTTTTATTTTTTGTATTTTTTTGTAGAGATGGGGCTTCACCATGTTGTCCAGGCTGGTTTAGAACTCCTGGGCTCAAGTGATCCACCCACCTTGGCCTTCAAAAGTGCTGGGATTATAGGTGTGAGTCACTGTGCCCAACCTGAACTTTTTTTTTTTTAATCTAAAACAGCCCTATAAGGTAGGTATTATTATTTTATATTTTATAGATTGAAGGCATTGAGATTCAGAGACGTTAACTAGCTTGCCTGATGTCACACAGCAAATACTCCTAGCGCTGAGATTCAAACCCAGGCCTACTGGCTGTAGAACTCTAACCATTGTGGCAGTGTTCTCAGCTTTTTTTCATTATTGCACACTCTGAAAAGCCTTTTAAGACATTTATTCCCCTTAATCATTTCCCCTATGATGAAATGTTAATACCACAGATAAGCTATATATTCCTTTATGTGTATTTGTGCTTTATACATAAAAAGAGTAAAATTTTTTTTACCACCACTTCTAAGAATCAGTTTTTGCTCTTCTCAGGGGCAATATCCTCCCCACTGAGAATATATGATGCAGGGAATATTGTGTTTCTAATAATAATAACTATAATAACAGTTCCACTTTTGGAATATTTTCTAAGCATGTGACATTATTAAATCTTTTGGTCCTCATGACAGCCACATGAGGACTAGATTTAATTAGTTAATTATTAATGAATTAACTAGTTAATTAATTTGCCCCAAATCAGGTAACCAGGAAAGGGCAGATCCTCAATCTCTTTTAACTGCTGGGCTATACTGCTTCTCCACTGGGGTTATTCCAGTGTTTTGCTGAACACCTACTCTACATCTGGCTCATGCTAAAAGCTAGAGATACAGTGGGAAGAGGCACAGTCTCTCACAATGTAGTTGTGCTGTGAATCGCATGTGTCTGAGGGTGGAAGTCAGGTCAGGCTGTATCGAGGTGCTTAGCACAGTGCTTGTTGCATTGTAGGTATGCAATGAATAGTAGTGGGGAGATTATAGGATTTTGCAAGCCTGCCTCTAAGCTGTGAGTGCAGGCCCTAGAATGTTATCCTCACCTCTTCCTAGGCTCCATTAGGTCTGGGAAGCCCTAGGGCAGCCTCTGTTACCCAGATTGTGCCTAGCCCTGGCCCTTCTAGATTGAGTCTTGTTTCCCCTACACTAGAGCTGGTAGTACAGGTTCAGCCCAGCAATCGGTGCTCAGTGAAATGTATGTGGTTTATAGTTGGGTTGGGCAGGGAGTGGGTGGCAGGAAGCTCACAGGAAGCCCACCGGGGGCTGAGGCCAGGATGGGGACTGGCCCAAGCAGGGGCCGTGGAAAAGGTGGACCTGTGTGAGGTGGCAGTGGCAGCACCTGGGCCATCAGTGACATGTGGCCCCATGCTGCCCCCAACAGTGGAGAAGATCCGAGCCACCTTCACTGTCCTCCGGGCCTTCGGCTCTGTGTCCATGGCCCACAGCCGCAGTGCCACCCGGTTCTCCATGGTGATGTCGCTGGACTTCAACGCTACAGGCCGCATCACAGCTGCTCAGCTCCAGGTGAGGCCTCTCGGGGGATGTGCAAGGGGGCCCTTGGGGCTGCTGTGTCTCTAACCCCGGGACTCAGCAGAGCCCACGCCTCCAGCTGGGACTCTAGGATGTGTCTGAAATGGTCATGGCGGTGGCTCAGGCCTGTAATCCCAGCACTTTGGGAGGCTGAGGTGGGTGGATCACCTGAGGTCTGGGGTTTGAGACCAGCCTGACCAACATGGTAAAACCCCGTCTCTACTAAGATGCAAAAATTAGCCAAGTGTGGTGGCAGGTGCCTGTAATCTCAGCTACTCGGGAGGCTGAGGCAGGAGAATCCCTTGAACCCAGGAGGCGGAGGTTGTAGTGAGCCGAGATTGTGCCACTGCACTCCAGCCTGGGCAGCAAGAGCGAAACTCCATCTCAAAAAAAAAAAAAAAAAAAAAAAAAAAAAAAAAAAAGAAAGAAAGAAAATAGTAATAATAATAATAAAATAATGAAATGGTCATGGATCCCCTAGCTGGGGCCAGTTGCTCCCCACCTCGCTAGGTGCCCTGGAACGTCCCCTTCTGGAGCAAGCCAGCCCGTCTGTGCTTCAGACTTTCAGGCGGATGAAATATTCATGAGCAAATAGAGAATTCAGGCTGTCATTAGCCGGGTCTTAAAAGCGCAAGTTGAAATTAAACAGACGCTTGCCAGCCTTCTGCAGCAGTCCGCGTGTGACGAACACATGGCCTGTTTGTTCCTATCTCCAAAATCACCCATACTCCTCCCCGTCTCCCTCAAACATCCTGTTTGAACAGAAAATAGGATTAGGTTATTAGAAGGGTTGTTTGTAACATGGAGCTGGTATAATATCCAGACTCAAGGAAAACCCCTTCATGCCAAATAAGTCCCTTTTCTGTCCTGGCCCTGAAATCCTACCCTTAATCACTATTTGGGTTAAGGTATTAAAGGCTTCTATTAAAAAGGGAATATGTTGGAAGGTGGCCTCATTTGATTGTTATTACCTTTGATACCTTAATTGAAATGAATCTATTGCATTAGTTAATTTCCTAGGTGGACTCTGAATTAGTGAGACAAAGGATTGAGAAGTTCTGACGTGGAGGTTGCCAGCAAAATTAATTTGGACCTGAGATGTTGTCTCGAAGAGTGGATCAGAGGCTGGGCGTGGTGGCTCACGCCTGTAATCCCAGCACTTTGGGAGGCTGAGACGGGTGGATCATGAGGTCAGGAGATTGACACTATCCTGGCTAATGCGGTGAAACCCCGTCTCTACTAAAAAAACAAAAAAATTAGCCGGGCGTGGTGGTGGGCGCCTGTGGTCCCAGCTACTCGGGAGGCTGAGGCAGGAGAATAGCGTGAAGCTGGGAGGCGGAGCTTGCAGTGAGCCGAGATCACGCCACCGCACTCCAGCCTGGGCAACAGAGCGAGACTCCGTCTCAAAAAAAAAAAAAAAAGAGTGGATCAGAGTGGGGCACCCCAATGGGGCTTCTGGGTAGCTGCACTTCAGGCATGTGCAGATGTACCCAAAGCACTGACTGGGTGCCCCTCTTCTCTCCCTGCAGACAATGCTTTTGGAGAAGAGCCGCGTGGCACGGCAGCCGGAAGGGGAAAGTAACTTCCTGGTTTTCTCCCAGATGCTGGCTGGATTGGACTTGGATCTCAGGTGAGCACTTGGGGCAGGAAGAGACAGCTGAGGGCAGTGCGACAAAGGGCACATGTTCTTTGGGGGCCCAGCCTTAGCTTCTGCCCAGCACTGAGAGGCCGTGGGACCCAGGGATTAGGAACATGGCGTCCGATTCCAGCTGTCTGGGTACACGCAGCTCATGGGCTGGGTGACTTTGGTCACATGTCATCCACCCTGAGCCGCGGTTTCTTCCTTTGTAATGTGGAAACAACACCTTGCATAGACCTTATAGGATTAAGAGAGATAATTTACATTCAGCTCTTTATAGGTCACATGTCATCCACCCTGAGCCTCGGTTTCTTCCTTTGTAATGTGGAAACAACACCTTGCATAGACCTTATAGGATTAAGAGAGATAATTTACATTCAGCTCTTTATAAATGCTGGGAGTCAAGGCTGTCTGCTGTGATAGTGGCATGTCAGTACTGGCCCTGGCAGCGGTATGGGAAGAGGGAGAGGGACAGCAGACCCCCATGTCTTCCAGAAGTTTCTAAACTTTTGTGGGAGCTTTGGGTGTATGGTAGGGTATGCCTACATGAGGTTCCTCAGGATGGACCTGGAGCTGAGTGGAGCAGTGAGCTGGGTAGTCAGGCAAGCCTCATCTTGGAGGGCCTCCTGGAGGAGGTGGCCTAAAAAGCCATCTCTGCCCTTCCCCAAATCTACAGGGCATCCTTAGGCATGTGGCTCATGTGGCTTCCTCTCCCAGAGCCTTGGTTTCCTCCTCTGTTGGATGGATGGGCATGGTCCTAGTGAAGTGTCGGGGAGAGGAAAAAGTGGGTTTTCCCACATGAGGGGTGATAATTTGTGGTTACTGTGCTCTAACCTCACCATTGTTTGTTCCCCAACCTTCCCTCCCCATCTGAAGGACAGCCTCAACCTGTCTGGAGTGTCCTGGCTAAGGCTGGAGGGACAGCTGTAACCTGCAGAGAGAAGGCAGAGTAGAGAGGGAACTCCCAGTTTTTAGAGTGATTGTAACTGAGCAGCAGGGAAACTTCTAGAAGATCTTGAGAATCTGTAGAAGAACTTGGAGTGGGGTGGTATAGCAGAGTGACAGGTACCACAGACTCGAGGACAAGGCTGTGTGGATTTGTATGTTGGCTTCTCCACTTGTTGGCTGTGTGACCTTGAGCTAATGACTTCACCTCTCTGAGCCTGACTTTCCTTATCTACAAAAATAGATGTGACTGTATCCCAGTGTTGTGGTGAGGATTAAAATATGATCAGGCAGACAATACTTCTTAAAATAGTGCCCGGACATAGCAAATGCTTTGTGTGTGTGTGTTCTTGTTTTTGGAGGATTTGATCTGCCTTGATACCCCTGACAGGCCCTGACCAGGCCCTGACCAGGTCATCCAAAGAAATGACTTTGGATTCAGAGAGACATGGGTTTGATCTGGGCTTTGCCCCACATGGGCTTCTCTGAGCCTTGGTTTCTCCTCCTGTAAAATGGGTTCCTACTAGTGCCAACCCCGTAGGCATTTAAATGAGATCGCATGTCAAGGCAGCAGGGGCCATGTGCGGTGCATAGTAATGGTGTAATGTGGGAAGGAGTAGGTAGGTGGGCCCTGAACATAGGAATCCCACTTTCAGCCCCGTGGCCTCACCTCTTGGGACCTCCATTTTCTCACCTCTCAGAACATCTCTCAGACACACACATCACCCTTGTTCCAGCCCTGGAGTTCCACACTGGGGCTCTCTCTTCTGTACCCCATGGGTGGGGCTTGGCTCTGGGGATAGAAGCATTGCCTCCTGGAGAGGGGGATTTGGAGGCTTACCCTGGGGTGGGCCCAGGAAGGATGAGGCTCAACTGTGGCTAGCAGAGGATGCCAGACGTTCATTCCAAGCCAGGCCTAGGCCAGGGGCCCTCCATGCTGGTGGCATCCTTATTGAGTTTGGCATCCTTAGGAGCTGGGCCAAAGCTGCCTCTGAGAGGAAGAGGTGGCCCAGATGAGTTTCAGGGACCCTAAGAGAGTGAGTAAAGTGCTTGGAGCAACTCAGCCCCCTCAGGGAGTCATTGTCATTCTGAAGCCTCATTGGTGATCCCCCAATTACTTCCCTTTCTCTACCTCTGCTGCTGCCAACTTGGTCCGTCACCCATATGGAAGCTTCCAAAGGTCAAAAACGGGTTCTCACTTGCACAAATGTCCTTTCTCCCATGCACTCATGTGGGAAACTCCTATTCATCCTTCAAAACCCTACTCCAGATCCCTTTTTTAGAGGAGCACTGCCTGATTCTTGCTCCTCAGTTTCTCCTTTATACTGTTTTGGTGCCTGGTATGTGCTTCTGGTTCAAAAACCTGCCAGCGCAGTCTCCCTTCCTCACCAGATGGACTGGGAGATCTTTGAATTGGGGCCCTGTCATTGTTCTTTCTGCTTTCCCAGTACCTAGCCCAGGGCTTGGCACCAGGTAGATGCTTCTTAATTATTTGTCAGATTTAATTTCCAGTGAATGGAAGAGAGTGTGAGGAAAACAGAGCACTTACTCCATGCCAGCCTGGCAGTGTGAGTTTATGTATAATATCTCATTTAATCCTGGGAGGCAAGTAGAGTAGGGGGCCCATTTTACAGATAAGAAAAAGTGAGTTGCAGAGAAGAGAATTACCTTGTCTGCCACATGGCAGCACTGGGGTTGGACTTGAAGCCTAGCTGGTAAGACTCCTTCAAAGTCACGAGGCAGAGAGGGGTGTGGGGTCTGTAGAGAATCCAGGGAGAGGACACTGAAGGCCTCAGAACCAGACAAGCTGGCTGGAGACTGATGAGTAATCCCCACTTTCCAGGAACCAATTTGAACCAACGTGGGATTGGGGATCCTAGGCTGGGCTCTACAATGCTTTTGTGAGTAGAGAGTGTGATTCGAAGGGGCAGGGGGCATAGCTGTGCCCACCCCGCCTTTGGCTTGCATTCCTCAAGCCTGCAAAAGTGGGTGGCCCATCTGCTGGTCTCACTCTCGAGGAACCTGCAGGTTGAACACGGGAAGGAGCCTTAAACATTGTGTTGCTTCATAAAGTGCAGACTGAGGCCGGGAGAGGTGCACGTGGCAGGATAGCGCGGAGTCTGGGCTCGAGGGGCCAACAGACCTCAGCTCAGCTTCTGGTTGCATGCTTGCTAGCTGTGAAGTCTTGGGGCAGGTACCCACTCTCAGTGCCTCTGTTTTGTCAACTGTAAAATGGAAATAATATTTGTACCCATGGAGTGGGGCTGTCATGAGTCATCTTAGGACTTAGCATGCAGTAAGGGCTCGTTCATGTTGACTGTTTTAATATTATCCTTGAGTGAGGTCGCTCAGCTGATTAGAAGATCTGGGGTTAGTCCCTGCTCTCCTGATTTTCCTCTACAACCCTTTCTCCTGGGATTTCCTGGCCTTTAGGAAGGGCCAAGTGAGGGCTGTGCGTGAGGAATATTTGGGAGATTGAAGATATCCCAGGGCAGAGTTAGTGGGGCCAAGGCCAGGGACAGGGACAGCCCCTGGGGTGTCCGGGCAGTTGTGTGGAGCCTCACACTGTGACGACCACCTGCCCTGCCAGGGCTGGTGTGGACAGCCCCCCTGACTCCTGGTTCCTTCTGTGCTTCCAGGACGGAGCTGAACCTGCACCAGATGGCAGATAGCAGCTCCTTTGGCATGGGCGTGTGGTCCAAGGTAAGGAGGAGGTCCCTCACGGGTGGGATGTGAGTCTGTGTCTGGGGCTAGATGGGAGGGTGATGAGTCGCCGTGCAACTTGTCTCTTTTGGTACTGGGGTTCATAGTTGGCAAGGGTTGGTCATGTGGAAGAGTTGGCACTGCCTTTGTAGGGTCTCGGCTTATTGGGTAAAGAAGACTCAGACAAATAAAGGAAACCAGACATAGTATACGTAGAGGTAGGATTAGGGCCCTGGAATCAGTCTAGTTCAAGCCCCAGCTCTGACACTTGTTACGTAGGTGAACCTCAGGCATGGACCTTAACCTCCTGGTAGGTCTGTCTCTTCTTCAGTACAGTAATGATAGTAGCAGTATCTGCCTCATAGGGTTGTTGTGAGGGTGAAATGACATGATGTGTATAACGTGCTTAGAACAGGGCTTGGCCTAAATCAATCAATAGGGTGCTCTTTGTCAGTACTAGTGGTGGTTAACTTGGGTAGGGGCACTCAGCGATGGTTTCCTGATGAATATAGTCTATGAGTGGGGCTGAGAGTTAGGTATTTCATTGCTTAAAAAAGCAAATGGTTCACTGGTTTGATATTTTATTATTCAATTATTTTAACCATTGTTTTCTCCCTTCTCTCGCAAATACCTTCATCACCACCTATGCTGGGCCTGTGTTGTGTTAGGTGTATGTTCCTGCTGAGTGCTAGGAGTATGATCCTCATCCATGGATTTTCACTTTAGCAGGAGACACAGACTTGGAAATTAATGCAATCATGTGAGATAAGAATATGTCAGAGGTTGCATGAAATGCTGCGGGCACCACAAGATAGCTGATAGAGCTACTTGGACTTTGCCAGGGAAGACTTCTTAGCCAAGGGAACATTTGGCCTGGGTTTTGAAGGATGAATAGGAGTTCACCAGATGGAGGGAAGTAGATAATTTCCACTCCAAAGCCTCTTTTCAAATATACATGTCTGGGAAACAAATAGTGCTGGAATAATTGGATATCCTGGTGCAAAAAAAAAAAAAATCCATATTTCACATGATATACTAAAATTAACAAAAAATGAGTCACAGATCTAATTGCAAAACTTCAAACCACAAAATTTCTAGAAGAAAGGTGAGAAAAATCTCTGTAACCCTGAGCTGGGCAAAGATTTCTTAAATGAGACATCAAAATCCCAGTCCATAAGAGAACAAATTAACTTTATCAAAAGGAACAGCATCTGCTCTCTTAAAGTCACTATTAGTATGAAGAAGCAAGCCACCGACTGGGAGAAAATATTTGCAAATCACTTATCTGATAAAGGATTTTTATCTAGAATATAAAAGTAATTCTCAAAACTCAACCCAACAAAAAAGATGGGCAAAATATGGAACATACAAAAAAAATGTAAATGGATGGCAACTAAGCACATGAAAATATGCTCAACATCATTGGTCATTAAAGAAATTCAGCCAGTGCGGTGGCTCACGCCTGTAATCCCAGCACTTTGGGAGGCCGAGGTGGGCAGATCACCTGAGGTGAGGAGTTTGAGACCAGCCTGGCCAACATGGTGAAACCCCATCTCTACTAAAAATACTAAAAATTAGCTGAGCGTGGTGGCACATGCCTGTAGTTCCAGCTGCTTGGGAGGCTGAGTCAGGAGAATTGCTTGAATCCAGGAGGTGGAGGTTGCAATGAGCAGAGATTGTGCCACTGCACTCCAGCGTGGGAGACAGAGCGAGACTCTGTCTCAGAAAAAAAAAGAAAAAAGAAAAAAAAATTGCTAAGCCTGTGTGCGTGCAGGCGCGCGCACACACACACACACACACACACACACACACACACACAGTCTGTCTTACACAGTGCTGAGTATTATCTGCAGAGTTTCTAATTCAGTAGCTCTGGGTGAGGCCTGAGAATGTGCCTTTCTCACAAGTTCACAGCAATGCTGATGCTGCTGGTCCAGGGACCCCGCTTTGAGAACCACTGTTGTAGAGTCTGTTTCTGCACTGGGTGAGGTGATGTGTCTGCCCCGTCTTTGAACTCTGGGGGCTAATCTACTTGTCACCTTATAAGTATGTCCCAAATATTGTATGGGCAAGCCTGGAGAGTTGGGGGCATATCAGAGAGGCTGCTTGGAAGAGGTGACCAAGAGCTGGCCATGAGAATGAGAATGAAATTTCTTTCATTCTCAAAACTCATGCATGAAACAAGCTGGAATGAGAATGAAATGAACAGATGCAACGAGGCTGGCATTCTTGCTAAACCAAATACTAGGGGGGCAGCTTCTTTACTTGGGGGACTCAGCAGTGTGTTCTTTTTTCATACCCTTTACCCCGTGATCTGGGGTCATGAGGAGCCCAGACCTCCACCTTGAAGGCAAGAGATGAGAAATTACCTCAGCACTGATTTTTCTCATTCATTTAATGAGCTTTGGCCCAAAATATCCGTATGAATCAGCAGAAGAGTAGTTGTTTATTTTCCTACTGTTTTTGAGAAGGAAAAGGACCCAAGCTGGGGTCCTCTGAGCTTTCCCCCAACCTGACCTGTTTGTTAACAGTCTGCATAAAGCCATTGGTCACAGCGTGAATTTGTGTCAAAGAAGCATTTGAAGTGGTTTGCTTTTTTTCCTCTTTATTTCTGTGGGGCATTTTTTAGACCAATTGATTTGCAGGAACTGGTAGGGTGTTTCTTTGTTCTCTCTCTGCTACCTGGCAGGTATCAAGAGAATGTTTTCTCTGTTCTTTCAGAAGAAAAATAAAGTCTGAAAATTCATTGGTCTTTGATACAAGCCTGGGCTAGTTACTGGGGTCGGGCAGGCCAGGTACAGCTTCATTAAGGGAATCTGGTGATCAGGATATGTCCCCCAATAATGGGAGTTGCTAAGTCCCCAAGGCTGTCAGGCTTAGCAAATCATACAGGATGCCCAGTTAAATGTGAATTTCAGATAAACATTGAATAATGTTTTAGTATAAGCATGTCCCAAATATTGCACAGGGAAGCCTGAAGGGTTGGGAGCCTATCAGGGCAGGCTGCCTGGAGGAGTGGACCACAAGCTGGTCCTGGAGTGAGAGTGAAAGTAGTCAGATGCAGTGAGGCCAGCATTCTTGCTGTACCAAATATTGTGGGGGACATATTTATGAAAAAAATTATCCATTGTTTATCTGAAATTCAGATTTGACTGGATGGCTTGCATTTTCTTTGGCAACTCTACAACCCAACTTCAACCCAACTTCATCCCTGGCTGAGCCCTCCTCCTTCCTTCTCCTCCTAGCCAGCCCCCGTACTATGATTAATTCTGCTTCTGTTTCATCTGTAACAGCTGGTTCCATCTCCACTGAAAACTCACTGGCGACAGTGGAGTCTGACGTAGTGATGTTCGAATCCCAGTACCAGCGGTTAAGCTGGGTGGCCTTAAGCAAGTGACCTCATCTCCTTGGGCCTCGATTTTTTCCTTTTCGAAAACTAGGAGAGCAAGAGTCCACCTTGACCTCAAATGAAATGAGATAAAGCCAATGAAGTACTTCGGCAGTGCCTGACACTTCCAATGTCAGCCCTTCTTCTTCTTCTTTCTTCCTTCTTTCTTTTTCTTCTCTTTCTCCTCCTCCTCCTCCTTCTTCTTCCTCCTCCTTCTTCTTCCTCCTCCTCCTCCTCCTCCTCCTCTTCCTCCTCCTCCTCCTCCTCCATCATCAAGGATGGCAGCATTGGGCAAGTTGGGAGGGCTTAGCCTGCTCCCCAACAGCAAGACACGCTACCTAGCCACTCAGTTCCCATTCCATGTTCCTTGGCAGCACGTCTTGTTTTCCCTCTTACTGAATTTATCTCTATTCTCTTCTAATTCATATTTTTAATGAAGCATCTGTTTAAAAAAAAAACAAAAAACTAAATTATGGCTGGGCTCAGTGGCTCACACCTGTAATCCCAGCACGTTGGGAGGCTGAGGCGGGCGGATCACCTGAGGTCAGGAGTTCGAGACCAGCCTGGCCAACATGGTGAAACCCCATCTCTACTAAAAATACAAAAATTAGCCAGGTGTGGTGGCACGTGCCTGTAATCCCATCTACTTGGGAGGCTGAGGCAGGAGAATCACTGGGACCTGGGAGGCAGAGGCTGCAGTGAGCTGAGATCACACCACTGCACCCCAGCCTAAGTGACAGAGCGAGACTGTCTCAAGAAAAAAAAAATAACGAAATTACTACATACTTCCTATGGAGAAATCAGAAAAAACACAAGGGCAAAACCAAAAACCAGAATACACACACACACTCGAGCAAACCAGAAAACAAGCGCCATTCACCTCACCACCCTGAGAAACCCACTGGTCCTATACCTGCAGGTGTTCTTCCAGTATTTTTCCTGCAAATATTTTACATAATTCATAACAAACTGTATATCATTAAAACTTTCTGGCCGGGCATGGTGGCTCATGCCTGTAATCCCAGCACTTTGGGAGGCCAAGGCAGGCGGATCACCTGAGGTCAGGAGTTTGAGACCAGGCAGACCATTATGGTGAAACCCTGTCTCTACTAAAAATACAAAAATTAGCCGGACGTGGTGGCGGGTGCCTGTAATCTCAGCTACTCAGGAGGCTGAGGCAGGAGAATCGCCTGAATCCAGGAGGCGGAGGTTGCAGTGAGCCGAGATTGCGCCACTGCACTCCAGCCTGGGCGACAGCGTGAGACTCCGTCTCAAAAAAAAACAACAAACTTTCACAAATATTATTTTTAATGACCAGACATTCATGGAGGGGACGTGGTTCACCGAACTGCTGTTTCCCTAATGTCCATTTACATGGTTTTATTTATTTTTATTTTTTAATTATACTTTAAGTTTTAGGGTACATGTGCACAACGCGCAGGTTAGTTACATACATTTACATGGTTTTAAACCTTTTTGTGGTTCTTAGTGATAAGGTGGGCGTCTGGCTTGTATTACCATCTCCGACTCCCAAACCTCCGTCTAAGGAGATGTCTCCAGTTATCGTCTTTCCTGTTGTCTCCTTGCTAACAGTCTCCCATCTCTGATCACACTGTTTGTTTATGATTTGTCTCCCCTCGGCCCTAAGTTCCATGAGGGTGGGAGTCTTACTTGTCTTGATCACTCCTGAATAGACAAGGCCTAGCACTCAGCCAGGCATACAGCAAGTGCTCAGTAAAGGTATGTTGAGTAAATAAATGAACGAGCATGCCCAACTCACCACCACTTAACTAAAATCACATCTTTTCAATTTTCGAATCGTTTGCTACTGTGGTCAGCAGAGATCGGTTAATTAAACTTTATTTTCTCCCCAGTATCATTTCACTAGGTCTTTGGGGATCTCATGTCTGCCTTTGGACCCACTCCTTGGGTCCTGGGAGCTGGGGCAGTTGCTGGGAATCTCTGAGGACCCAGAGAAGGGGATTAGAAAGCCTGGGGGTCCCATCCCTCAGTCATTGTGGGCAGCCTGGGGTCCTCAAATCTGGGCTGAGTAGTACTGTGGACCCAGCTCAGTGGGTGAACTCACTCAACCCCACCATCAGTGGCTCTTATTTGGGGATGGTCGCTAGAAGCTCATTGTCAATGGATATTTATTGATCTTATTAGATGCCAGGTATTGGCACACAGAAATAACTCAACTGGGTCTCACCCATCAAGTGACTCACTTTTGGGAGGTGGTGATGGGCTGCCATGTCTACATCAACAGATCATTCCAAGCTGGAGAGATATGTGCCTGAGTGGAGGTGTATGTAGGCTGAGGCCAAGCTGGGAGGAGGAGAGGCATATCAGGGAGAGCTGCCTGGCGGAGGCAACCATGAGCTGGAGCTGGACTGAGAATGAATTAGACAGGTGCAGGGAGGCCAGTGTTCTGGCTACACTGAGCACCTGATGCAAAGGTAAACATGAATGGCCAGCCAAAGCAAGGACCCCAGGGTAAAAGTGTGGAGATCCCCAGTGTGGCGCTGGCCGGGTCCTCAGAGGCTGTGTGTACCCGGTGACTGCCAGTTTCTCCTCTTAGTCCTCACACTGTGCCCTTGCTGCCTGCCACATTGCAGCTTGTAAATGGAACTTACTTGAGATCTGCCAAGCACCAGGATACATCTGAAATCACAAAGCTTTCATATTATTTTCGTCTTCTCTATAATTTCTTTTTTGCAACCTAGCCTAATTTTTTTTTTAAATGTGCCCAGCAGCAGTGGTAATAATAATAATAATCCTTGCCACCCAGCAGTTTGCTTCTGGCTGTCACATTCCAGGCCTTGGCCCGAGGCACATTTATTTTTTATGACCCAGTTGTCAACTGTTAGGGAATGGTGCCCAAATGGAAGGATGAGGGATCACTCACTCGTGCCAGGGGCTCTGCCAGGAGCTTGCTTTTACTTAATTCTCCCAACGGTTCTTTAAATAAGGAATTATGATCATATCTGTTTTTCAGAAGAAGTAGCCAGGCTCAGAGAGGTGAAGCTACTTGCCCAAAGGCACACAGCTTTTAAGTGGTGGAGTCGGGACTGGGATCCAGGTTGGCCTGACTTTAAATTTGGTACTTTCGTTCTTCCCACTGTCATCTCAGATCACGATTCAGATCGTGGCTGAAGACAATGTGCTCTAAGGTCTGGTCCACGTTCACTCTTGGGTCACTTCTCCCAGCCTCAGTTTTTCACCTGTGGGATGGGTAAAGCAACACCCTTGGATGACACCAAGGATTGGGGGCTCAGTGACACTTACTGACCGTGCCCTTCCCCAAATGGGTGGCCTTGGGCAAGTAACTTCACCTCTCTGAGTCTCCATTGCCTCCTCTGTTGGTTGGAGAGACCTATGCCTGCCTCGTGGGGAAAAAGCACCCAGTACAACAGAATACGTGCTCAGTGAACACTTTCTCTCCTCTCCACTTAAATGGACTCTTGATGCTGAGATAAGAAGTGGATTGGTGAGATGCTGAGCGACGGGTAGGGCAGCTCCTGGCTGTGGACTGACACCTGTCCTGCCCTCCCTGCAGTCTCCATGAGGTTCACTGGCCTGTGCGGGCACCTATGTGATGTTTCTTTTTTTTTTCTTTTCTTTTTTTTTTTTTTTTGAGACAGAGTCTGGCTCTGTGCCCAGGCTGGAGTGCAATGGCGCGGTCTCGGCTCACTGCAACCTCCACCTCCTGGGTTCAAGCCATTCGCCTGCCTTAGCCTCCCTAGGAGCTGGGACTATAGGTGCGCGCCACCATGCCCAGCTAATTTTTTTATTTTTAGTAGAGACGGGGTTTCACCATTTTTGCCAGGATGGTTTCAATCTCGACCTCGTGATCTCTCTGCCTCGGCCTCCCAAAGTGCTGGGATTACAGGCGTGAGATGCATTGAATCAGTGTCCAGCATTTTCCTCCCCAAGTTAGCTCCCGTTCCGGGAGGCAGAGGGGTGGGAATCCTTGGGCAGGTTGGTTGTAGAAACATCCTTCCATTCAGTTCCTTTACCCCTGCCCAATGTCTCCCAGCCCATGGTGTGTGCTCTGTGTGTCATCTCTTTGCACACCTGTCCCCTTCAGTGGACTGGGAGCCCCTTGAGGGCAGGGTCATACCCGATTAACTTGTTATAGAGTATGGGGCATCAACTTGGGCAGCAATGGGGAACGGTGTCTCTGGAAGGTGGAACAGCCTGGGTGAAGGCATGGAAGGAGAGAGGCAGCAGTAAGTGGAAACCACCGTTTATTGAGTACCACTGTGTGCTGGCCTCTGTGCTGGGTGCTTTACACACATAAACTCATTTAGTCCTCATAGCAGCCCTGGGAGGATGCTAAGATATGATTTCCATTTTATTTATGTATTTTGTTTGAGACAGGGTCTTATTCTGTCATCCAGGATGGAGTGCAGTAGTGGGATCATAGCTCACTGCAGCCGTGAACTCCTTGGCTCAAGTAATTCTCCTGGCTCAGCCTCCCAAGTAGCTGGGGCTACAAGGACATATCACCATGCCTGGATAATTTTTATATATTTTTTATAGATACGAGAGGTCTTGCTATGTTGCCCAGGCTGGTCTCGAACTCCTAGACATAAGCGATCCTTCCACCCTGGCCTCTCAAAGCACTAGGATGACAGGCATGAGCCACCACACCTGGCCTTATTTCTTCTTTGAAGAAGTGCAAACTGAGCCTCCATGCACGGGGCAAGGGACTTTTGCAAAGTCACATGGTTGGGAGTGCAGAGTCTAGAGGGCGTCCAGCTCTGACTCCAAATCCAAACCTGGCCTCTCTCTGGATTGTAGGAATCTCCTGGGCGCTCTAAGCCCAGCCTGGTTTAATGGAGAGAGAATATTTTGGATTTTATTTTCTTTTACCAAATTACCTGAAGACTTTGATTGACCTTGAGACTTTACCTCAGACAAACCCTGGGCATCTTACAATTTGAATTTTATCCATTGATTTTTAAAAATTGAGGTAAAACATAAAAGTGTATAACGTATACTAATTTTAAGTGTACAACTCGATGTTTATATTCTCTCTCCCATATTCTTTGTCTCTCTCTTTTTTTTTTGAGACGGAGTCTTGCTCTGTCGCCCAGGCTGGAGTGCTGTGGCGCGATCTCGGCTCACTGCAAACTCCGCCTCCTGGGTTCACGCCATTCTCCCGCCTCAGCCTCCTGAGTAGCTGGGACTATGGGCACCCGCCACCACGCCAGGCTAATTTTTTGTATTTTTGGTAGAGACGGGGTTTCACTGGTTAACCAGGATGGTCTCGATCTCCTGACCTCGTGATCCACCCACCTCAGCCTCCCAAAATGCTGGGATTACAGGTGTGAGCCACCGCACCTGGCCTTTCTCTCTCTTTCACCCAGGCTGGAGTGCAGTGGTGTGATCGTGGTTCACTGCAACCTTGATTTCGTAGGCTCAAGCAATCGTCCCGCCTCAGCTTCCTAAGTAGCTGGGACTACAGGCTCATGCCACCATGCCTGGCAGATTTTTAATTTTATTGTAGAGACAGGGTCTCACTCTTGCTCAGGCTAGTCAACTCCTCCCACCTCAGCCTCCCAAAGTGCTGGGATTACAGGCATGAGCCACCACAGCTGGCCATGTTATTATTATTGTTTATTATTTATTTATTTTTTTGAGATGGAGTCTCACTCTGTCACCCAGGCTGGAGTGAGGTGGTGCAATCTTGTCTCACTGCAAGCTCTGCCTCCCAGGTTCACGCCATTCTCCTGCCTCAGCCTCCCGAGTAGCTGGGACTACAGGTGCCCGCCACTTCGCCCGGCTAAGTTTTTGTATTTTTAGTAGAGATGGGGTTTCACCGTGTTAGCCAGGATGGTCACGATCTCCTGACCTCATGATCCATCCATCTCGGCCTCCCAAAGTGCTGGGATTACAGGCGTGAGCCACTGCACCCAGCCAATGTTAATATTATTAAACACACATCAGCAACTATCTGCCAGATCAAGATACAGAACATTCCTCCTTCCATGAAAGGCTCCTTTGAGCCCCCTCCCAGGCAATCTCCATCAGAGGTACCCATCTCACTCCAGACTAATTGTCTCAACTTCTCTTACCATGTTAGTTTCTCCCATTCTTGAACTTTGCATAAACAGAAGCACATGGGATGCAGGCTTTTGTGCCTGGCTTCTTTGACTCCACACTGGGTCTGTGAGATGCCTATATGTGGCTGCGTGTCTCAGTGGCTTGTTCTTTTTCATTGCTGTGTAGTGCTCCATCGCTGTGCTCTGGGTATACCACTCTTTGTGGCTCCATTCTCCTGCTGATAGACATTTGGGTTGTCAGTTGACTTATTCTGTTCACTTGACTTCTTTCTGTTTTCATGATTTTGATCCAAAGAGTTTCTTTTGTCAGGGCACTCTGCAGAGGTGTTTGAAGAACAATTGGCTCTCTGGAAATTTAAGAAACTATGACTGTTTTCATGATCCTAATCATTTTGAATCAGAAACATATATATTTATTGATCCATGTCTTCTGTTCAGAAAAAAGACATTGGGAGGGGACAAGGAAGAGAAAGGAGCAAATGAGCTTTAGTGGAAGTTTTCTCATTCTTCTCTTCACACAAGCTACCTGGTAGATGGTGGAATCCTTCTGTAATTTAAAGTCAAATGCTCATAGGCCACAGTGGGAGCCATAATAAATGTGTGGGCACTGTCCTTTTGGCGCCCTTTTTCTGCTACTTTGAGATCTCATAAATAACAGAGTATGTTGCTAAGATGCCTTCCGTCCCTCTGTTTGCTCCAGCTGCAGTTGCTAGGTTGAGCTCCTGGTTGCTAGGGATTTTGTGATCCTGTGGCGGCCCAGAAATATGATGGATCAATGGAACATGCTTTTGCTATTAACTGAAATGTTTCCCAAGCAAATCTCTTAATGTCACTGTATGCTTTGACGTCGTCCCAATTGGTTGATGATTCTTGCAAGTTTCCCAGTTAGAGGAAGTGGCTTGAGTGGAGGGGACAAGTATCTTGGACTGGGAATCAGTTCAAGAATCAGAAAAGCCTGCTTCTAGTCTTGTATCTGATACTAATTTGCTGTGTGACCTTGAGCAAGTGTTACCCGCTCTCTGGGCACTGGTTGCTGCAAAATTCAAAGACTTGCTGGCTTTAACAGCTTACAGTTCATCACCCAAGTTCTCTAAGCAGGCCAAGTGCAAATCAGTTTCTCATTATCGGCTGGTGGATTATTGACAAAAGAATTCCCATTCCCGGCTCACTTCCTTTCCACCCAGCAGGCTTCTGGGCTGAGTGTCCTTGGCCAGATGGTGTGTGCATAGTAGCTTCAGACTAATTTTAATATTCAATCAAACATAATTGGAATCATAAATCTTAAAAAAAAATCCTATAATCCATAAACATCTGATCATGTCATTTTCTGTTTCCTTCTGTTAAAATCTTTGGCAGGCTGGGTGCAGTGGCTCACGCCTGTAATCCCAGCACTTTCAGAGGCCATGGTGGGAGGATTGCTTGAGTCCAGGAGTTCAAGACTAGCCTGGGCAACATAGCGAGACCCCATCTGTAAAAAAAATGATAATAATAAAATAAAATCATCTGGGCATGGCAGTGTGCACCTGTAGTCCCAGCCACTTGGGAAGCTGAGGTGGAAGGATCGTTTGAGCCCAGGAGTTTGAGACTGCAGTGGGCTATAATCACACCACTACACTCCAGTCTGGGCCGTAGAGTGAGACCCTGTCTAAAAAAAAAAAAAAAAAAAAATTAGCAGTTTTCTATTGCTGCACGGAAGACAGAAAACAAGTGCCATTTCCTTTAGTGGGAAAGCTCAGTTGGTGGTGGCTACAAGAAGCAGTATCCTGAAAGGAATCTGGACTCACTGGCTTGCTGTAGGATCTTGATTGATTAATGATGTCTGTTATGAGCTCAGGAATATCGTGGGGGCACGTATCAGTATTTACCAATCATGACTGGAGTTTAAAGCCCACGCCCTTTAGTATCATGGTTGAGGCCTTCAAGGGTGGCCCATGCTGGCTTCTCCAGCTTTATCTTCTCCCCATCTCTATCTGACCCACCTCCAAAAATAACTGCTTCCAGACGGCGTGGTGGCTCACGCCTGTAATCCCAGCACTTTGGGAGGCTGAGGTGGGCAGATCACTTGAGGTCAGGAGTTCAAGACCAGCCTGGCCAACGTGGTGAAACCCTTCTCTACTAAAACTATGAAAATTAGCTGGGTGTGGTGGCGGGTGCCTGTAAGCCCAGCTACTCAGGAGGCTGAGGTGAGAGAATCGCTTGAGCCCGGGGGCGCGGAGGTTGCAGTGAGCTGAGATTGTGCCGTTGCACTCCAGCCTGGGCAACAGAGCGAGACTCTGTCTCAAAAATAAACAAAACAAAAATAACTGCTTCCGTCGACCACCTATTGTCTCCCCAAATCCCCTTTGCTCATGTGGTTCCCTTTGCCTGTTGGGACTTCTATTATATTAAATTGGCCAACTCTGCCTATTTATCTTTCAAACTGCTATCACAATTTGATCTGCTCTATGCTATTCCCTTTGGCTGTCTTGGGTGGGATTAATTACCCCTTCTTCCTCTGATGTCCCATGATTCTCTGCATAGACCTATAGCACAACTTACCCTACAGAGCCTACCTCTAGGCCCTACCTATAGACCCTATATGGCCTATGTATCAACCTGTACCCATAGCCTACCTACCACTTAGCCCTTTTCATACTTAGTTGCTTTTATGTCTCTTTCCAGTTCTACCTTGAGAGGGCCTCAAAGTCAAGGTCTGGGCTTTGCTCATCTTTGCATCCCCAGACCAGAGCCCCGCATAGAGCAGAGCTTCCATAAATCTGTAATGCGTGCACACATGAAGGAATAAAAGCCACACTGCATTTCAAAGTCAGAGAAAAATGATTTGGATAACTTTCCCAGTCGCCTGAGTTTGTCTGTCAGTACTCCTCAGCTTAATTGTGGGTAATTTATTGTGGCAATAAAATGACCCCCGCATTCCTTCGAGACGGAGCTCAGCTTCAAGTTGTGAGCTTGTGTTTTCTCCATCGCGATGGCCTTGTTTTCTTCCTCTCTCCCTTTGCCCGCAGCCTGAAGATAAACAGAAGGCGGCAGCTGCCTTTGCCCAGCTCCAGGGTGCCATGGAGATGCTCGGCATCTCAGAGAGCGAGCAGCGGGCTGTTTGGCGGGTCCTGGCAGCCATCTACCACCTGGGTGCGGCGGGGGCCTGCAAAGGTACGTCCTTCCTGCCGGGCTCACCTGGGAGGGCAGCTGTCTCCTTTGGCAGGTGCCTGACAAGGCCCTTCTCTCGGAGCGGTGGGAACAGGGTCAATCTGTCACCTTCTATGTCTCTGGGACTTCCCTTGGGGAGGCTGCTGAAACTAGGCGTCGTGAGGAGGACACAGGGCTGGCTTTTCAAGCAAACCTTCTAGACCAGCTCTGTCCACAAGAACTTTCTGCAATGATGGAGATTACTGCGGTTCAGTGCAGTAACCACTAGCCACAGGCTGCTACTGAACACTTATATATAGTAGTGCGACTGAGGAATTGAATTTTTAATTGTATTTAATTCTACTTAATTTAAATTTAAGTAGTCATAGGTAGCCAGTGGCTACTGTACTGGCAGTACAGTAGGGCAGCTCTAGAATATGCAAGGGAAGGTTGGGTCTCTGCAGTAAAGGTGCTGTGTTTTTTTCTTTTTCTTTTTAAAATTTTCATTGAGATAGGGTCTTGCATTGTTGTTCAGGGCAGTAGTGGTGCGATCATAGCTCACTGCAGCTTCCACCTCCTTGGCTCAAGCAATCCTCCCGCCTCAGCCTCCTGAGTAGCTGGGACTACAGCTGTGCACCCCCATGCCTGGTTAATATATATTTTTTTATTTTTTTGTAGATAGGGGTCTCACTTTTTGCCCAGGCTGGTCTCAAACTCCTAGGCTCAAGCAATCTTCCTGCCTTGACCTCCCAAAGTGGTGGGATTACAGGCATGAGCCACTGTGCCCAGCCAAGGTGCTGTGTTTCTAGTTAGACATCCTGGAGATGTTCCCTGCCACATGCCCTGAAACTGATCTTGTATCCTTGTCCCCATCCTTAAGTGTCTGCTTGCGATTTTCCCCATTTTGACCTGGTCTTCCAAGTGGTTCCTGCCATCCCCCTAGTTCTTACCCTCTCCGTATCCAATCATTCACTATGTTCCAGAGATAGTCTCTGTGACATCATTTCTGTCCTAGTTTCTCTATCCTTACTGTTATCACCTTATGCGGTGTTTACGTTTGTGTGTGTGTGTGTGTGTGTGTGTGTGTGCTTGGATAGGTGCAGTAGCCTCCTTGCTGATACCTGCATTCCTCCTCCTACCCATTCTCATCATGACCATCAGGTTCCTTTCTACAACATAGACCCGTAATGTCATTCTCCGCTTAGAATCCTCTGGAGGCTCTCCCTTGCCTCCAAGTCAAATAAAATTCCTTGGCTTGGCATTCAAAGCTCCTCACCTCCTCACCTCAAAAGCTGCTCCCTTTTTTGGCAATATAGAAGGTTCTGGGGAGAGAGTGGGGATGAAGAGCAAGGGTTTCTGCCTTCATGGGGCCTTTGGTGCATTGTATTATGATTGTGACTTTGTCTAGCTCTTATCAGTGGCTGGTGGCTTCCTTTGGGCCCAGAGCATAGAACTGGAAGTTGCTTATTGAATGAACATGTGTGTGAATTGAGGTCTGTCCTGGGACTGTGCATGGATTCTGGCTGACATTCTGGGCTGTTACCTTGGCGGGGGCAGTAGAATCTTCGAGAAGGTGCTGGTGCATCCTTTCCGTCATCCCCACATTCCCGGGCCCTGTGGCCTATTCCTTTGATTCTCATCCATTTGAGCCACATACATTAACCCATTGTTTTGATTTTGGAAATTTGTAGAAGTCATACTGAGTCAGGAGTAAGTAAGATGGGGATTCAACAGTTGATCCAAGCCAAGGACAGACATGCTGGGCTGGGGCAAATATGAAAATACCAAATGCCACTTGTTTTTCCAAAAATCATCCATGGACATTCACAATGGCAAAGATATGGAACCAATCTAAGTGCCCATCCACCAATGAGTGGATAAAGAAAATGTGAGATATATATATATACACACACACCATGGAATACTACTCAGCCATAAAGATGAGATGAAATAATGTCTTTTGCAGCAACTTGGATGGAGCTGGAGGCCATTATTCTAAGTAACTTGAGAATGGAACACCAAATATCATACATTCTCACTTACAAGTGGGAGCTAAGCTATGAGGATGCAAAGGCATAAGAATGATATAATAGACTTTGGGGACTCAGGAGGGGGAGGTTAAGAGGGGGTGAAGGATAAAACACTACATATTTGGTACAGTGTACACCGCTAGGGGGGTTGGGTATACTAAAATCTGATCAATCACCACTAAAGAACTTGACCAAAAACCACCTGTACCCCCAAAATGATTGGAAAAAAAATCAGCCGTGGGCCATGCTCAGCGCTTGGCTGTTTGGGCATCACCACTACTTTGTTCAGGGAACTGTAATGTCTCTCACTCAACGTCCTGGTCACTGAGGCCAACCTGAGTCAGAAACAGACCCTTAGACAGAGATGTGGGAACATGTTGCATATTTGGGGAAGGACCCCAGAAGGCTGTGGCAGGGAAATGGGAAAATGACACAGGAGAGGGAAGGCAGGTAGTATAAGGTGCATGAAGGAGTGGCTTACCCCTGGGAAACTGAGGCTCAGTCCAGCTGGGGACCCCTGGGAGACTCTGAGGAATATGCCTCCTGGTTGTCCTATCCAAGAGACAAGGAAGTTGAGATATTTATCCAGAGACTAAGGGGGAGCCCCCTGGCTTATTAGCCTGTCACCAGGGAAGTGTAGGAGCTCAATTTTATTCCTGAGTTTCTCCTCCTGGGGCAGAGTGGGGGGGCCCCCGCCCCCTGATGTGGGCTCAAGGACCTGACCCATCACATCAGTGCATCTGATGATAAGAGAAAGTCACTTTTATAAATATTTTACTAATACTTGATGATGGCAATAATTTCTGCCAGTCCTCCCCCTATCCCACGTTATAAATTATTTTAAGAAGAGCTGCCGTCAGTCTGCCTGGGAGGCCTGCCCGATGATTTACTTACTTATATATTCTGCTTTGAAAGATTTCATAATAGGTTGCTCTAAAATCAGCTATTAAGAATTTCAAAGTCGTACATAAATGTCTTTGCTTTGTGTCATAACAGATCATTTTGAAATATATTAAGAATCATTTTCATTAATCAGGTTTTTTTTTCATTAAAATGATACTCCCTTCTCAGTGTGCCTGGCTTCCTAACTAATTCTGAGAGCCCCAATCCTGTTTTTAAAAATCAATAATAGTTCCCTTTGGGGAGAATTTGGGCCTTATAACTGGACACAGGGTTTTTGAACTGTTATAGCAATGACAATCACCACTAATATTGGCCTGGTGTTTGACAGTTTCAAAAGCACTTATACCTCTATTATGCCCTTGGATTGGATTAGATGTATGTGCTAACTTAATGGGCAAGAGTCAGGAGTCAGCCTGCTGGATATGAATCCTGGCTCAGCCTCTCTGAGCCTCAGTCTCTTCCTCTGTAAAATGGGGCTAATGATGGTACCCACTTTGTAGGCTTCTCGTGAGAACTGAAGGAGTCAGTGGCAAAAACTGTGGTACACAGGACTTGGCTCCTGGCGGGGTGTTTCATAAGGGTTCATTTTCATCCGTCTCATTTTATAGACAAGCAAACAGAGGCTCAGAGAAGGTATGCCACTGATCTGGTATCACACAGCCAGTACCTTCCAGAGTGGGGTTTGGGCCATTCTCATTTTCCTGGGGCCATTGTGCTGAGTGTTTATAGACCCGATGATGTCACCACCTCCTTAGAACAGCCTGGGAGGGGTGAGGACTGTTACGATGCCCATTTTATAGGGAAGAAACTGATGCGCAGCAGAGAGTTTCACGCATATTCCTCAGGACATAGAGCTAAAGCTAGAGATGGGATTTGGACTTAGGTCTGCCTGAGCTCTGAGCCCTGAGACCAGCCTCTGGGACCACACCTCCTACCTCCCACCTCCCAAGTACCCTGTGTTCCTGCCTATGGCAGGCCTACAATTCACCTCAATTCTGAGACTATCCTGAGTTAGCAGAGTTAACACAGACCCTGCAGGTTAAGGATTCAATCCTACAAGACTGTCTCCACTTCAGATGCCAGCTGCAAGTACCCGACCTCCCATACTTCTAGCCAAGTGGCTTTTACATAGTGAGTTCTCATGACCCCCTTCTCTTGTCTAATAATTCACTAGAATGACTCACAGGATTCAAGAACACACTTTACTTACAACCACTGCTCTATTATAAAGGATACAACTCAGGAACAGGGCAAGGGATGGGGAGAGGGCAGAGACTCCTGTCCTCTCTAGGCATGACAGCCGACAGCCTCCCAGCACTTTGATGTGTTGGAAGCTCTCTGAACCCCATCCTTTAGGGGTTTCCATGGAGGTTTCTCTATGCAGGCATGATTGATCAAATTATTGGCAATTAACTCAATCTCCAGCTCTTCTGTCACATCTTAAAAAGAAATCCTATAGCTGGGCCAGGCACGGTGGCTCACGCCTGTAATCCCAGCGCTTTGGGAGGCTGAGGCGGGCAGATCACAAGGTCAGGAGATCGAGACCATCCTGGCTGATACAGGAAACCTCATCTCTACTAAAAAAAAATACAAAAAATTAGCCGGGCATGGTGGCAGACACCTATGGTCCCAGCTACTCAGGAGGCTGAGGCAGGAGAATGGCGTGAACCCGGGAGGCAGAGCTTGCGGTGAGCTGAGATCGCGCTGCTGCACTCCAGCCTGGGCGACAGAGCAAGACTCTGTCTCAAAAAAAAAAAAAAAAAAAAAAAACCCCTATAGCCTTTAGCTATTGCCCTCTAAACACCCATCCCTAAGCAATGCTTTCCCCCAGCCATAAACAACCATGAATCTACTTTCTGTCTGTAGATTTCCTTGTTATGGATGTTTGACATGAATGCAATCATGTAATATGTGCATATCTTTGTTGTCTTTTATGACTGGCTGCTTTCTTTTTTCTTTCTTTTTTTTTTTTTGAGACAGAGTCTTGCTCTGTCGCCCAGGCTGGAGTGCAGTGGCGCGATCTCTGCTCACTGCAAGCTCTGTGTCCCAGGCTCATGCCATTCTCCTGCCTCAGCCTCCCGAGTAGCTGGGACTACAGGCATGTGCCACCACACCCGGCTATTTTTTTTTGTATTTTTAGTAGAGACGGGGTTTCACTGTATTAGCCAGGATGGTCTTGATCTCCTGACCTCGTGATCCGCCTGCCTCAGCCTCCCAAAGTGCTGGGATTACAGGCGTGAGCCACCACGCCTGGCTGTGACTAGCTGCTTTCATGTGGTGTAGTGTTTGCAAGAGTCATCTATTTTGTAGGATGGATCAGTATTTTAGTCCTTTTTATTATGGCTGAATTATATTCCATCATATGGATATACCACATTTTGTTTACCCATGGACCAGTTTTTTTTTTCTTTTATTCTTCCTGAGAGCTGGGTCATAGTAACTGCTCAGAAAATTCTAGTAGAATGTATGCCCCAAACTGGCTTGCACAACAGGTAAAATTAGGCCCATTTTGTAAAGGAGAGCCCAGAGGCAGAGCGGTTCTGTGATGGGTCAAGTATGTATGTGTATGCCAAGAAGACTAGACTTTGCAGTCAGCCACCTCCAGCCAAGTTTCAGCTCTGCCTTTTAATGGATGTGTAATCTTGAACAGGTCACTTCCCGTATCTAAGCCTCAGTTCTCTCATCTATAAAATGGGGACAGCTATGATACCTTCTCTATAGGGTGAGGAGTGATGAAACGCAACGATGTTCATAGGAAGCCATTAGTTCAGGGCTTTGTGGTTCTGGAAATGTGTCTGTTTTGTTTGTCCTGCAGATCCCATGGTAGACATAAACCAGTCCTCTGGGTCTGTGTCCCCAGTCCTCTCTTAAACTTCTAGCCAATTACTCTGAACTTGTTGGGGTTTACACTATTTTGACCTCAACTTACGGTAAGAAACATTTTACCTCTTGACCCAGTGAACACACACACACACACACACACACACACACACACACACACACATATTTTATAGAGACTAAACCACAGAGGGAATCTTCTGTATTCGTGAGTTTGAAAAAAGAAAAACAAAAACACGCCAACACTGGCAGGTAGCTACAACCATGCCCAGAAACTCACCGTGGTAAATCCACTTTCTCTGCAGCTACAAATCCCATTTTGGGTTTTGTTTCACCTTTATTTTGATTTTTAACCTTATACAGTCTCTCCACCTGGCCACCAGAGTGGCCCTTTTCACACAAAACCCAGCCCACACCATTCCTCTGTCCCCATGCCTGCCCAGGTTGCTCAGAGGCAAGCTAAGGCAGCCACAAAGATCTCCAAGCTTCCACGGAATAGGGGAGCAATGATTCCCAAGCAGTCTCTGTGCTGAGTTACTTGCTAGATCACCGGACCTGAGGAAATATTCAAGATAATGCCTTAAGGTGAGTGTGGTGCAGTTGTGGCTCAGAGAGGTGGTGTGACGTGCGCAAGGGCACACAGCTGGGAAGTGATGGAGCACAAAGCTGCTTGAACCTAAGGCTCTCAGGCTTTACACAGGGACCAGGACCCTTCTTAGTTACATTAGCATAGTTGAGGTTTTCTTCTGTGTGTGTGTGTGAGAGAGCACTCCTGAAGTCTAAGCAATTCTCCTGTGTGTGGAAGGTAGCTTTTGGCACAAGCCAGGTGGGCTCAGGTGGACACCCTCCATATAAACTTCTTGGTTGTCCAGGGCAACTGTACTTTGCTCAGCCTGGATGTCAGGGGGTGGCCCTGCTCTGTCTGGCAAGGTCCCGGCAGCGAGAAGGCTCCTGAACTTGCATTAGATGTTGCCTGACAGCCTTGGCAGATGGGGCACTGTCAGGACTGTGAGATCGGATATGATGGAAGACCGTGGGCATCACCCATAGACCCCTAATTGTCTGGTTCACCTAGGATGTCCATGCTGCGCAAAAGGTGTGGTGGGCTTGCCTGCTGAGGAGGGCTCAGCGAAGGGCCCATGGCTGTGATGGGCAAGGAGATGCTCATCTCTCAGCTCCTCTGGTGTCTGGAGGTCAAGTATGGCCTCCCCTTTCCCTCACTCCTCATGTACAGGTTCTGAGCGTGCCCTCCCTGTGCCCAGCTCTCAGTGGGGATGGAACTGGGCAGCCCCATGTTAAGGCACCCTTCCCATGCCAGCCCCACGTTGTGATTTAGCACATGGCATCCCATTCGCTCCTCCAGATAAACTCATCTGCATTCTGCAGATGAGGAAACTGAAGCTCCTCCAGGAGAAACCACTTGCCCAGGGCACACAATGAGGCTGCACCCGAGCTTGGACTGGGACTCAGGTCTGTCTGGCTCCAAGGCCTCTTCCTTCCACTGCAGCATGCAAAAAGGATGGTCAAAGGACAAATGTTCCCTGTTTGGGGACTCTCAGGTTGGACCAGGGCAAGATCGCTGTGGATTTATTCTTGGAGCCTCAGCTGGGAGCCCTAGAGCTCTCTCCAGGGATCCTCGTCTTATGATCACGTCACCCAATTGGACATAATCTCTGTCCTGGAAGCCTGGAATGGCTTCCCAGCTAGTCTCCTGGCTTCCCTTCTTCCCCATCCTTTCTACCCCGATCTGTTCTCATGCCGCAGCCAGCAGGAACTCCCAAGTTCACACGTTTGGTTGGGTTACTTCAGTAGAGCTACCGATGACCCTGTATGAGGGCAATTCCAGCTGGTCTGGTCCCTGCCCACCTCTCCAGCCTCAGTTTGCACCCATGATGCTGTGGCTCAGCTGCAGAGGATGTTTCCAGTTTGACTCTCTTGCTATTCCCTGCAAGAGCTGTGGTATGGCAGTCTTGTCCTCTCCCGCTGTCCCTACTTCCCTTTGTCAACCCCTCAGCTCTTGATTCGAAAGTCACTGCCCCCACAAGCCTTCCCTGGCCCTGAGCAAGGTCTGGTTTTCCTGCTCTGTATGCTCCAGGCATTCCCTGGCCACCTTTATTTATTTTTCATGTGGGACGATTGATTATTGGATTAATGTCTGTCTCCCATGCTGGGCTGTAGCTCTGTGAGTACAGAGGTCTTGTCTGATTCTGCTCATCGTTGCATCCCCAGGGCCTAGCACAGGGCCTGGTACATAGTATGTGCTCAATAGGTATTTACTGAGCCATGTGACTTCTTGGCAACTCTCAAAGGAGGGAGAGGTTGCCCTGGAATGGAGGTGCGATGAGGGATGTGAAGGGGTTGTGCACTTAATCACATTGGCAGGTGAAGGAGAGGGACCATGCAGGAGGACAGACAGACAAGGGCACTGAACGACAACCACTCGGCTACTGTGGGCATCCCCTCTTGCCCTGACTCTAGGACACCTCCCATCACAGGACAGGTGGCTCCTGGGCTTAGTCAGTTTATTACAGATTTGTCTCGAGAGGCTGGGCACAGCTGGCCTTTGGATCTTAGAAGCCTGCTCTTGTGGTGGCAATGAGACTGCATCCCTCCCTCTGCCTGCATAGTATCCACACTTCCTTTCTGTCTCTCTGGCTTGCCATCACTGATGGGTTCCTGGGGAAGGCAGCGGGAGGGGGCTCTGAGGGCTGGCACCACATGGCAGGCAGAAAACACCAGGTGATTTGACATCGTGGTTGATTTGCTGTTCGCCAAGGCTCATGGCTCAAGCCATCACTCCAGGTCCATTAGACAACAATTCATCCAAGCTCATGCTTCTCTCCTTTGGCAAAAAGTGGCCTGTGGAACCATTAGCTGGTGCTTGTGTATTTCGAATGGCAGGCAATGGATGCTCTCTGGAGCTAAACTTGGTAAAGAGAGAGTAGGGAGGAGGGGAGAGCTGGCTTCCCAGAACTGGACAGAGAAGCATTTGAGTCCAGGCTCCCTGATCTCCTGGCAGTGTGATTCACCCTGTGTCAGTGACTTTTCATCTCGTTGGACCTCAGTTTTCTTGTCTGATAATAACTCCACCTACCTTCTACAATCATTGTACAGTCAGATAATAAATGTTTAGTACTTGGCACATACGAGGTATTCAGTAAGCAGTAACTCTCTTTTCTTTGCAAAGCATTTTGGTTGTCATTTCTTTCTGTTGGCATTAAAGCCTGCCTCTGAGATGGGCTTGGTGAGGGTTGTTAAACCCATTTGGTGAGTGAAGAACTTGCACCTCTCAGAGGTGTGGCTCCTCACCTAAAGTCATAAAATGAAACTTCTGTGCTAGAGAACAGCAAGTTCAGAACCAGAATCCAGTTCTAGACTCTCAGCTCAGTGCTCTTTACACAGCTTAGCAGAAGGCCCGAGAGGCCAAGGGTAGTGTAGGGCAGTGGTTAGAGCACAGTCTAGAGTGACACAGATCTGGACTCAGATTGAAGTAAGAATTCCAGCACTGGCTGGCTTTGTGGCTGTTCTGTTACAGTGCTGCTGAAGGAATCAGCCCCAAAGCCCATGGCTTGAACAATCACTTTATTATTTCCCAAGGCTTCTGTGTATCTGTACTTTGGAAGGGCTCAACTGGGAGGTTTTGGCTTGGGGTCTCTCATGTGGCTGCAGTCAACTGGTGGCTGATGAAGCGTAGGAAGGCTGGAATAGCCCATTTCCCAGGCTTCATGTGGTCTCAGGTCTCTCCCTGTGGGCTAGTTGGGCTTCCTTATGGCATGGTGGCTTCAGGACTCCAAGTGCAAGTTTCCAGGAAGCAAGATGGAAGGTGCATCACCTTTTCTGAGTGGCAACACTTCTGCCATGTTCTGTTGGTAAGAATCGTGTCACAATTTCAAGGATGAGCGAAACCAAATTCCACCCCTAGATGAAGGAGCAGCAAGATTCTAGGACGTATAGGATGGGAGCTATTGGCGTGGCCATATCTTGCCATAGTGGCCTTGAGCAAGTAACTTAAGCTTTCTGAGGCTCAGAAAACTGAGGCTCAGTTTTCTGAGCCTCACAGGTCTGTTTTGCAGATGAACTGAGATGCTGTTTGCCAAGAGCTTTGGGGTACAGTGCCAGGCATGTAAGTAAGAGTTAGATTTTAAAAATCATAATGTTGCAAAGTTTCCATAGCCAATGCATCCCGGTCCCTACTGTGGTGGGGATGGAATGGCTCCTGAGACTTTTGCTCTCTGTTTTATTACCAGTGCCCCCGACCATTCTCTGAGACCCCCAAAAGACCTTCTTCCTACAGAAGAGTAAATCAAGGATGAACTCTATGTCCTCTTTGCAGCAAGATACGATTTCTCTGTCTTGGGGCCTCTTTTCTTGTATGAGATTAAAATCAGACACAATCCTCTTCCCAGGAATGACCTCTGTTAAAATCCTCTCCAAGTTTTCCCTGTTCTCCACCTCAGCCCCAGGCTGGGGATCACTTTGCATAAATTCTCACTTTTAATTCTCACAGCAACCCTGACAGGTAGGGAAGGAGTCACCATTTTTGTGGTCCAAGATGCTGAGTCTCAGGATCTTGCAATCTTTGTCAAAGTCAAACAGCAGCATGTGATGGGGCCAAGGTCAGAACTCAGTACCTGTCTGCCTCCAAAGTTCTTGCTCTTCTCCACTACAAGGCCACCCAGCTGGCCAAGCTGGTGGGTACATTCTGGGTGCTAGGATCTCCACCCTCTCTCCTGAGAGCGCCTCCTCAGCTCCATCTAATCTCCATCCAGTCCCCAATTTGGAAGGTTGTCCCTCTAAGCAGAATTGAGGAGAGCTCAGACTCGGGGCTAAAGGCATGGGGTCTGGAACCAGGCTGACCAGTGTTCAACCCTGTTTCTCCTGCATGGTCCAGGTGACTCCTTTGACCTGTGAGACTCAATGTCCTCATCTGTAAAGTGGGGATAATCAGAGTGCCTGCCTCCTAGGGTTCTTGTGAGGCTGACATTATTGAACTTGAGTATTTAAAGCTGTGTCATTGCTATCATTGGCATTATTGTTATTAACGAAAAATCAGTCCAGGGCCCAGGAGAGTTTTCCCCAGCAACTTTTAGAAGAGGCTGACCTGGGCGGTTTTTTTTGAGACAGAGTCTTGCTCTGTCACCCAGGCTGGAGTGCAGTGGTGCAATCTTGGCTTACAGCAACCTCCGCCTCCTGGGTTCAAGAAATTCTCTGCCTTAGCCTCCCGAGTAGCTGGGATTACAGGTACCTGCCACCACACCCAGCTAATTTTTGTATTTTTAGTAGAGATGGGGTTTCACCATCTCTTGGCCAGTCTGGTCTTGAACTCCTGACCTCATGATCCACCCACCTCAGCCTCCCAAAGCGCTGGGATTACAGGAGTGAGCCACCAGCCTGGGCTGGTCTTTAACCTTCTCTGATCCCTGTGGTCCTGTAGCTGTAAGAGTTGATGTGCATCTCCCTGGAGAATCAGACTATTGGTCCACCTGCCTCCTGTCCCTCACCACTTGACAGAAATGACAGTAATGTTCGGAACTCAAAATAGTGACAAGGATGAGCAATGCTTGTCTTGATGGGGGCTTTGCTTGGTTTCCTTTTTCTCTGAAGGCCCATGGGTTATTTAGTTTATTTGTCTCTCACGAAATTTGCCAGTCTACTTGCTGCTGACCCATTACTTAATATACGACGCAGTCAGAACCAAATATATCCCAGCGAGGTGCCCCATGATGGGGTTATGAAGGGAGGCTGCTATCTAGCTGGCACCTCACTCCCCGCCTGCTACCATCATAAAGTTATCAGTGCTGGAATGGATGGGGCTGTAACTCAGGGAGCCAGGAGGTGCTCATGGGGAGGAGAGACAATATCAATAATGACAAGGGCCCAGTCCCACACAGAACTGGGATACCCCGACACCAGTAGCAAGGACGGTCCATCCAGGGGTAGGAAGAAGTGGCTGGATGCTCTTCAAGCTGTGGTAAGACCTGAGTGTAGATGGTCAGTGATAGTAACAGAGGGACTGTTAACATAACACAATGACCATATATTCAAGAGCTTTGGGAAGTGTTTTACCAGTCTTATTTTAAAGCAATCATATGAGGAATACGTCAATGTTGTATGTCTATAAAAAATGGAAATAGTCCAGAAGAATAGAAAGTTTAAAAAAAAAAAAAAGGTCTTTCCTCACACCCCAGTGCCAAATCCCATTGCTATGAAAGGTGACCACTGTGAACAGTTTGGGGTATACCCTTCCTTCAGGCTTTTTTTTTTTTTTTTTGAGACAGAGTCTTGCTCTGTTGCCCAGGCTGGAATGCAGTGGCACCATCTCGGCTCACTGCAAGCTCCGCCTCCCGGGTTCATGCCATTCTCCTGCCTCAGCCTCCCAAGTAGCTGGGACTACAGGCGCCCACCACCATGCCCAGATGTTTTTTTTGTATTTTTAGTAGAGATGGGGTTTCACTGTGTTAGCCAGGATGGTCTCGAGCTCCTGACCTCGTGATCCGCCTGCCTCAGCCTCCCAAAGTGCTGGGATTACAGGTGTGAGCCACTGTGCCTGTCCTCCTTCAGGCTTTTTTTTTTTTTTAATAGGCTATAATTTTTTTTTTTTTTTTTTGAGATGGTGTCTCTCTGTGTCACCCAGGGTGGAGTGCAGTGACGTGATCTCGGCTCACTGCGACCTCTGCCTCCCAGTTTCAAGCGATTCTCCTACCTCAGCCTCCTGAGTAGCTGGGATTACAGGTGTGCGCCACCATCCCAGCTAATTTTTATTTATTTATTTGTAGAAACAGGGTTTTACTATGTTGCTCAGGTTGGTCTCAAATTCCTGGCCTCCAGTGATCATCCCGCCTCAGTCTCCCAAAGTGCTGGGATTACAGGTGTGACCCACCGTGCTTGGCCGACTTTAATTCTGAAAGCATTTTAGATTTACAGAACAATTGAACAGAAAGTACAAAATTCCTACATACCGCTTCTCCCTGTCCCCACAGCTCTCCCTATTACTGATATCTTGTGATGAACCAATACTGATACTCTATTAGCAGCAAAGGTCCATCTATACTCTTTCTGTTGTGTTCCTTGATGGGTTTTGACAATTATATAATGTCATATATCCGTTGTTAGTATCATACAGGATAATTTCACTACCCTAAACTGGCTAGTTTTGTTTTTTTCTTAAACTTTTTTTTTTCTTTTGTGAGACTGAGTCTCGCTGTGTTGCCCAGGCTGGAGTGCAGTGGTGTGATCTCGGCTCACTGCAACCTCTGCCTCCCGGGTTCAAGGGATTCTCCTGCCTCAGCCTCCCGAGTGGCTGGGATTACAGGTGGCCGCCACTGTGCCCGGCTATTTTTTTTTTTTTTTGTAGTTTTAGTAGAGATGTGGTTTCACCATGTTGGTCAGGTTGGTCTTGAACTCCTGACCTCAGGTAATCCTCCCACTTCGGTCTCCCAAAATGCTGGGATTACAGGCATGAGCCACCGCGCCAGGCTTTTTTCTTAAACTTTTGATTTGAAATAATTATGCAATCCCAGGAAATTGTAAAAATCACACATAACATTCCATGAAACCTTTCCCAGCAGCCCCCAGTGAGGGCGTCATGCATAGCCGCAGTACATATTGAAACCAGGACATCGACAGCGGTGCATTACTGTAATCCAAGCAGCCGTATCTTCAGGCCTCAAAACTGAGCATTTAACTACATCTATGCATTTAACACATATGTGGATTAAGTGGTTGGTTATTGCTTTTTATGCCAGTGGGTTCACACCACCTTTGTTCTATGCCCTTTGCTTTTTTCACATGTCATATCTTGCCTTGGGCCTCTTTCCACATTGCTTCATAGTGATATTCCTGATTCTCTTCGTCAGCTGCAGGGGACTGTCCAGAATGAATGGACCTCTGTGTATATGACAGTTCTGTTCATGAGCATTCAGGTTGTTTCTTGCCATTTTGGTATTATAAATAACAGCACACTGAACATCCTTGTGTACAGACAGTTGTGCGCATTTTGGAGGCATGGTTTCCTGGCAGGGGAACTGTTAGGTCAAGGGTGTGTCCAGTGTTCAACATTTCAATGAACCCACCCAATTCACCTCCCTGGATGTTAACACGGACAGGTTGACTCATTTAGCCCTCACAAATCTATGGGGTAAATACTATGAGGTTATCATTTCCATCTGTAGGTGGGGAAGCTGAGGCTCAGAGAGGTGCAGCCACTAATTCAGGGTCACACAGTCCCAAGTGGCACAAAGCTGGACTCTCTGTCTGCCATGCACTGTGTCATTGGGGGTCCAAGGAAGGCTTGGCATTTTTAAAGGGACTTGCTCTTTCCACTTTAAGGATGCTACCTCTGTCCTCTCCTCCAAGACAGGCCTGGCCTGTCTGCATCTCTGGGCTCACATCTATTTTCTTAGGTGAAGAATGCGGGGCTCAGAAGAGCCCGACCAGGTGCCCATCTGGTGGCTTCTGACTGCAGCTCATAACTCTGCTTGGCTCTCCTCCAATTCTGAGAGGCTTCTCCCTTCCTTCTCCACCTCCATCCCAGCTGCTTCCACCCCTTAATGAGGTGAGCTTCACCCTGTAATGAGGTGCTCCAAGCCCAGAGTACATTTACTTCCCCTACATTTTTCCTGAGGGTGCTGATTAGAGTTGGTATCTGGGACCCAGCTGGCTGGGACAGCTTTCTTCAATTCTTCAAGCTCTGAATTAAAGGGTGTGAAGAGTGGTGGAGTCAGGAGAAGCGGGAGAGCTGCAGGGCTGGGCCTGGGTGGCTTCTCTGTGCAGAGGGCCTTGGACAAGCAAGTTCAGCCTCCCATGGCCTCAACTTGCCAGGGCTCTGCCAGTTCCCATAGAGATCTCTCTGCATGGTTGAAAGAGCCAAGGAGTCACTTGCCCACTTGGCCCTAAGAGCATCCCTGATGGGTGGAGAGTCCAAGGGCTGGAAAGGGACTTGGACTGCAGTCAGCCTAAGCCGCTCTTTGAACAGGGCAGGGACCAAGGCTCAGAGAAGGGAAGAGACTTTCTCAGGGTCACCCAATGAGGCTACAGGGGACTCGAATCATGGTCACCTGACTCCTGAGCCAGTGTTCTGTTGATCTTGTTTGACTCTGTCCCTCCTTCCCTCCTTTCTCCTCTTTCTCTTCCTTCTCTCCTTTCCTCCCACCTCTCTTCATCCTTCTCTTCCCTCCTCCTTTCCTTCTTTCTCATCTCCTTCTCTCTTTTCTCTTCCCTTCCTTCTTTCTCTCCCCTCCCCTCTTCCCTCTTCTATTCTCCTCTTTCCTCCACTTCTCCCTTCCCTCTCCCTCCTCCTCCTCCTTCTTCCTTCTCCTCCTCTTCTTCCTCTTCTTCTTCCTTTTTTTTTTTTTTTTTGAGACGGAGTTTCGCTCTTGTTGCCCAGGCTGGAGTGCAATGGTGCAGTCTCAGCTCACCGCAACCTCCACCTCCTGGGTTCAAGCGATTCTCCTGCCTCAGCCTCCCAAGTAGCTGGGATTACAGGCATGAGCCACCGCACCCTGTCCCTCTCCCTTCTTTTCTTCTCCTCTGTGCCTATTGGATGATAAGCCCTCACCTTCCAAGATGAAATTTCAGTGGAATTAAGAAAGATAAACCCAGGCTATCTTGGATGGTGGATGATGCTGGGGGCAAGAATTCTGGGCAGGAGACAACCAAAGTTGAGGGTGGTCAGCTCCACTCAAGGGTTTCTAGAGGCAGAGACCCTTGAACTGAATCTTGAAAACAGAATAAATTAAGGAGCGTGCTCTAGGCAGAGGAACCTGAATGGCAAAGACACAGTGGCTTGATTCAGCATGGAGCAGGTTCAGGGTCCTCCTTCTCAATGCAAGGCCTAGGGCCTCTGTCTTCCTGTTCATAAAGCATCAGCCTAAGGGCCCCTGCACTGGTGCTGTGAACCTAAGGGCTCTAATGGAGACAGGATTGCCATGTGGCCTAGCATCCTGGAGATTTCATTGATCCATCCTTGGACCCAGTACCCTCGAGGCCTGTCACCTCCTCTGCCCCATTCTGCCCAAATGCCTTCCCACGGCTGCAGACCCTGCATCCTCCTCCCTGCCCCAGCTGGTGACTTGGCTCTCAACCTGACAGCTACTGCAACCAGGTCTATTCTGGGCTGCAGGCAGGGATTTATTCTGCATTTTCTGAGCATGTAGAATTTATTCATAAAGCTGGAATGCTGCTTGGGATGTAAACAATTAAATATTTTTTAAAAATACATGCTCAGAAGTGGCGATGCTGGAAGACGGAGCTCACTGGTAGTCCCACACCTTGGGAAGGTGGAGTGAGGAGATTAGGACACCTGCGGGACCCTGATTTCAGACTGGTTGAGCCACTCACTTGTTGAGTGGCTCTGTGAAAGTTCCTACCCTTCTTTTGGGTCTCTGTCTCTCCTAAATAATAACAGTAGCTCACATTTAATCAGTGCTTGCCATGCTCCCAGGCACCGTTCTTTTTTTTTTTTTTTTTTTTTTTTTTTTTTTTTTTTTTTTTTTGAGACAGAGTTTCACTCTTGTTGCCAGGCTGAAGTGCAATGGCACGATCTCGGCCCTCTGCAACCTCTGCCTCCCAGGTACAGGTGATTCTCCTGTCTCAGCCTCCCAGGTAGCTTGGATCCAGACACTATTCTAAGAGCTTTGGCTACTTCAACAATCTCATGGAGTAGATGCTATTATCTTATTTTACAGATGAAGAAACTGAGGCTCAGAGGGGAGAAAGAACTTGCCAAATGGGGTGGACTAGGTGCTCTCCAGGGTCCCTTTTTCCTTGATTACCAGATACCCTATTCACCCCTTTTTGGAAGGGAGATAGTGATGGCTCAGTGAGAACTCCAATATGTATGAGTTCTGGACTCATCATTCAGAGACAAAGCATAACAATACTAGCAATAACAATGACAGTGGCGATGATGATGGAATGAATTGTTAATATTTACTCAGAATTCATCTTCTGCCAGACATGATTTAAGTGCTTTGTATGGATTATTCCATTTAATCCTCATAACTCTGTGGTAGATTATACCCATTTTATGGATGAGTAAGTGAAGGCTCAGAGAAGTAAAGTAAGTTACCTAAGGTCATGGACATAGGGAGGGGAAGAGCCCAATCTGGGACCAAGAGGTTCTGTCTTTAAATCCTACACCCTTATTCTTTACATCACTGAATTGCAGGGTTCATACCAATAAATGGAATTCATAATCATGCCTTTTTGTATGGTTGTTGCATTGATGAGATTATGTGCTTAGCACAGGCTCAGACGCATGGTGAGTACTCAGAAAATGCCAGCTACTCTTGGGCTTCCCTTGGACCCAGGAAATAGCTTTAAAGGGGACAGTTTGATAGATTGAATGGCCCCTGCTCAGCCTGCCTTGGCGAGGGGCATGTGAATGTGGAAAGAGCATTAGAGGGGACCATCTAGATCTGGGCTTGGTCCTGGACTCTACCTTGCTAGCTGAGTGATCTCAGGCAAGTCGTGCATAGACTTGCAGCTGGTCCATTCTTTGAGCCTTTGCCCCTGCAGGTGCCCCATGTGACATCTTCCAGCCAAGGTCTCCCTGACAACTCTGCTCCTCAGGTTGGGTCACCTGCTCTGGGACACACTCCTAGGTAGCTTGACACATTCAATGTCTTATTTCATTCTTAAAACAACCAGATGGGAGAGGAGCTACCCCATTTTACAGATAAGGCAACTGAGGCTCAGAGAGCTGATATCTCCTACTTGAGATCTTGCAGCCAGGTTGAAATTATCTTTGGACAATCAGCTTCCAGTTCTTTCCACAATTCCCACCACCTCAAAGATGCCTCCTTATCCATCTTTCTCCTCCAGCTTCTTGATCAAATTAGTTTGAGAGACACCCCACCCCCTCAACAGGCTCCCTTCCTCTTGTAAATTCCGCATACATGTTGGCATATTCAAGGTTCTGACAAGTCCTGCAAGAGGGAAACCTGTTTTGCTGAGTTTAGTTTGATGTTGCTCCAACTGATTTGTCCATAAAGCCTTCTTTTCCCCCAAACACCTGCTCATAGTCCCCAGAACACTGGGAATGGTTTGTGTGCTGTGTTCTCAGTTGTTAAGGTTCGGGCAATGATTCATGTTGGATTATGCATAACTCAGCATCAATTTATAGATGGCACATCGGCCAGGCCTTTGGACAACTTTCTCCAAACCCAGTCAGGTGGAACAATATGTCCAGGTTTGTGGGGCTGCATGGCACCTGAGGGCAGCAGGACCTGGAAGGAGCCCTAAGAAACAGGAATGGATTTGAAGTTCTAGCCTCTAAGAATGAGAAGGTTACATTTTCCATGTTCTCAAAAATAGAACTTTTCTGGTTGTCCCTGGGCAGAAAGCCACAGCTGCCTGAATTGGATTTTCTCCCGGGGTTTCTCTTTCTGACCCATTTGTCATTTTTAAGGGAGGAAATCTCTGAGTGGGATCATAATAGAGTTGACATTTACTGAGCAGGTTGCCTGTTATGCATCCTGCCCGTATAACCTCATTCATTCTTCTTTTATTTATTATTATACTTTAAGTTCTAGGGTACAGGTGCCCAATGTGCAGGTTTGTTACATAGGTATACATGTTCCACATTGGTTTGCTGCACACATCGACTTGTCATTTACATTAGGTTTCTCCTACTGCTATCCCTCCCCCAGCCCCCCACCCCCAGACAGGCCCCAATGTGTTGTGTTCCCCGCCCTGTGTCAATGTGTTCTCATTGTTCATCTCCCACCTATGAGTGAGAACATGTGGTGTTTGGTTTTCTGTCCTTGCGATAGTTTGCTTAGAATGATATAACCTCATTCGTTCTTCACAAGCACTCCATGGAGTGAATTCTGTTCGTCATTCCCATTTTACAGAGGAGGAGACTGAGGCTCAAAGTGTTGACATGACTTTGCCAACATCACGCGGCTGTAAGCAGTGGAGGTGGGATTTGAACTGAGGCAGTCTGTCTCCAGAACATTGCCTTTTCCTGTAGCAGCTACAGCCTTTTAGACTTATCTCTTCTCTACAGGCAGCCTCCTTCCTCACAGGCCTCCGAATTGTAAACCTCTGTGTGAGGAAAAGTGAACCAGATGCAGCAAGATTATAAAGAAGTCACATAATGTTGAGTAATTCAGCAACAGCACAGCTATTGTTGGAAGGAGAAATAACTTGGTTATTAATAAATGCAGGAGGCCACAGTAATTGATAGCAATTGAACTCATAGTGGGTGGGGAAAAACAGCTATGTTATTTCTCTCTCTCGCTCTCATTTTGTATCGACATAAAGGGAAAAACCTGCCTTTGCAGGTGGATTTGAGCAACTCAGAAACGGCAGTTTCATTACTTTCCCTTGTTCCTTTTCCTCCCTTCCTCCCTTTTTCTTTCTTTCTTTCTTTCTTTCGTTCTTTCTCTCTTTCTCTCTCTTTCTTTCTTCTTTTTCTTTTTCTTCTCTTTGTCTCTCTTTCTGTCTCTTTCTCTCTCTTTCTTTCCCTCCTTCTTTTCTTTTCTTTTTCTTTTCTCTCTTTCTTTCTTTCTCTCTCTCTCCTTCCTTCTCCCTCCCTCCCTCCCTCCCTTCCTTCCTTCCTCCCTCCCTCTTTTCTTTCCCTTTCCTTTCCCTTTCTCTTTCCCCTTCCCTTCCCCTTCCCTTTCCTCTTTCTTCTTTTTCTCTCATTTCTCTTTTGTTTGTTCTCTCAATTCAAATCCCAGCCTGCCTCTTACCAAAGGAGTGACCTGACAAATGGCTCAGGTGAGGCAGTTTGCCTGGGGTCACCTGGTTAGGTAACTACTCTTTCAGCTAAATCACTCTTTCCAAAACCACTGTCTCATGGATCATTAGATCCGCAAGAGATTCTGTAAATGCATTCTGAGGCCAACTAAGTCTGAACAGAATTTCTCCTTCTTACAGATTCATAAGATATACTTTAAAGGCTCTGAGAAGTCCTGCAGTTAAGAAACTTATTTAACCAAGCAATGACCAAATTGATATGATACAATATTCATTTATTTCCCAGTGATACTGATGACCATTCCATAGAACAACCACTACAAGGTGCACCTTTGGGGAACTCTGATCCCCACCTGTGTGGCCGGCCACTCTGCCCTGCTTCACACCCATTCTCCAGGAGGGCAGTGAGGAAGGGAAATGGGGTAGGAAGGCAGGAACTGTGGGCCCATCTGCCATGGGGACCTGTTTCTCCCTAGCAACCCGAAAAATGGCTGACAACCAAAAGCACAGACCAGAAATGATCTCTGCACTTAGCTTTGGGATTTCCTTGTCTCCTAATCTCCTTGCCTCCTGGTGGGTGGAGAGAAAAGTACCTGGATAGAGTGTGTGATCCCCTCTGGAGTGGGCTGGGGGCAGGGGAAAATCCACTTCCCCCAATGGGGAGTTCCCTTTGAGGAATAATTTCTGTCCTTTCTCTCTGTTTCTCTCTCTCTGCCTCTCCCTCTTTGTGTCTCTCTGCCTCTCTCACTTTGGTTTTATCTTGTATCCCATCTTCCCTTGCTGTGGCTTTGCAAAGAGCTGATGGTCTACATGGATGGTTCCTTGAGCATGGAGCCTGAGATCAGCCACAGCCGGGCAGAAATCACATCTTGTACCTCTTTGCACAAGAATTTTGACTTTACTGGGTCTGTTCTGCATTTGTGCACTGCCTCAGAGGGTTTTGGTGAGATGAGGCATGGAAAGCCTTTAGCTCAGTGCCTGGCACATAGGCTATGCTCAACACTCGATGGCTTGAGAAGAAGTGACCTCAGCTGACTCAGAAGCTCTGGGGTGTGACCCACATCCCAAGTGCACCAATCCATTATCCATTCCACATGGCCTCTTTAAAAAGCAGTGAATAGACAAGAACCTGCAGGGGAAGTCTCTGCAGCCAGCAGGACAGGATAATCCCTTCTGGGCTGAAGGGTACCCTCCTTGGTTTTGCAGGTGGAGAAGGGAATTGCAATTTTTTGAGCACCTTTTCTGGGCCAGGCACTCTGCTGGGTATCTCACATGTAACCATCTCATCTCCTTCTTGCAACCCTATGAAGAGGTGTTGGGGGTTTTAAGATTCCGTTTCACAGACAAACTGAGTCTCAAAAAGGCCGTGTACCTGGCTTTGTGCGACAAACTGGGAATAGCAGAAACAGGAATTGGACCCAGATCCAGTTTGGGCCAACACCCATGTTATTGCCCAGTTCCTTTTCTCCCTGCCTCAGGTGCCAACTCAGGGTTCTTGACCTCCCCTGGGAAGAGACTTTGGTCACTACCCATGTCCAAGCAAAGATAGAAGAATCCATGGGATTGGATTTTGTGCACCGGCCAGCCTTCGGGGAGCTGATAGTAGAAGATGCTTTTCCTGGCAAAGCTCCCTGTGTGCCCACCTGGATTGCACCAGCAGCATGCATCTCAGCTGCACCTGCAAATATCCCCCCTAGGTCAGGCAGGATTTAGAGAGTCCAGCCAGCATCCATTAACCACTCTTCTTTTCAGAAATATCAATTGCCAATTTCCTTTATGACTTCTCCCAGCTCGTTGAGGCCAGAAACAGTTGCAAGTGTTTAGAGAGCAGGCATGGAGTAGAGCAAGAGGAGGGGACAGGACCTCACCTACCTAGAAAGACATCTCCTATTTAGTTCACTCTCAATCCCCAGCACAGGAAGAAGAAAGTCTCATTCAGTGCTAATAGCCTTTAATGCCTCTCTCTAATATTTGCTTCTTAACAAAGAGAGAGCAGATTTCAGGCTCACAGGTAACAGTATTTAATTAGAATCTAATGACATTATTGTGCTTGTGTAATATTTGTTTCTACTTTCTATTTGTGGCAGGTGATAATGAATTCTCATTTAACATAGTGTGATAATATTTCTGTTTACAGTGTATTTAAGTGAAGATGAAAAGTGAGTCCATTTAAAAGTAGAGTCACAAAGATATGGCAAAAAAGATGATATTTGAAGGACTGATTTTGGTGAAAATGTAGTTCTTCCACTTAGTATCAGCCTGTTTTCTGGTGACTTCTCTCAATTAGATTTTTAATCTATAAAATGGGATTAATAATAGAGCTTTTTAGGACTCTTGTGAAGATTTAATAATAACAATAATAACAAATAACTACAACTAATAAGTACTGAGCTTTTTCCATGTGTCACTCCTGGAACAATAACCCAGGCTTTTCAACTGTAAAAGTCATGAGCTGAACAAAGACGCAATGTTGAATAAAATCAGGTAAGTGAATTAGATCACACCATCATCACCATCATCATCACTATCATCATCACTGTCATCACCATCATCATCACCATCATCATCTCCATCATTTTTTAAAGTGACAGGATTTTTAAAAATTAGCCATGTTACCTGAGTCTCAGTTTCATCATCTATAAAACGAGCATAGTCTGTAAAATGAGGTTAATACAGTGATGCTCTTGTGACCAGTGCAGAGTAATTGGCACATTAGGAGGATGTCAGTAAGCAATATCTATTTGTAATGCCCTTAGTGATTGGGGCCAGACCTCTTCCTTGGGTAGGGTCAAAGTCCTAGATAAAGTCCTTTTCCAAATTTCTAGTTTTGCCATAAGCCAGATTGGTTCTTCAAGCTGTCTACTTGAAGAATTGGGCCCTCACAATCTCTTTCTGATTGATTGAAAAATCCCTGTTGGTGGCTGTGATTCTTATTTCAAAGAAGGAAACACATTTATAGGAAAATAAGAGATGAAAGAGAGAACTTTTTTTAGTTTTATTTTTTAAGTTGACATATAATAAGTGTACATATTTATGGGGTACATAGTGGTGTTTCTAAACATGTACAGTTATCAGGGTAATTAGTGTATCCATCATCTTGAACAATTATCATTTATTTGTGTTAGGAACATTCAATATCCTCCTTCTAGCTATTTGAAACTATATAATATATTACAGTTAACTACAGTCATCCTACAATGCTATAGAACACTAGAACGTATTTCTCCTATCTAGCTGTGATTTTGTGTCCTTTAACAACTCTCTCCCTATCCGCCCACTTACCTCCCCACAAACCCTTCCCAGCCTCTAGTATGCTCTATTCTGCTTTCTACTTTTATGAAATCTTTTTTTTTAGCTTCCACATATGAATAAGAACATGTGATATTTGTCTTTCTGTGCCTGGCTATTTCACTTAACGTCCTCCAGTTCCACCCATGTTGCCATGAATGACAAGACTTCATGCTTTTTTATGTCTGAATAGTATTCCATTGTGTATATATACCACATTTTCTTTACCCATTTGTCTGTTTTGGACACCTAGGTTGATTCCCTCTCCTGGCTACGGTGAATCATGCTACAGTAAACATGGGGTACAGATGTCTCTTTGATGCACTGATTTCCTTGGGATAAATGCCCAGTAGTGGGATTGCTGGATCATACAGTAGTTCTATCTATAGTTTTTTGAGGAAAGTTCCTACTGCTCTCCATAGTTGCTGCACTAGTTTACATTCCCACCAACAATGTCTAAGAGTTCCTTTTTTTTTTTTTGCATCCTTGCCAGCACTTTTGCTTTTTGTCACCCCATCCTACTGGAGTGAGACGATACTTCATTGTGGTTTTGATTTGCATTTCCCTGATGATTAGAGATGTTGAACATTTTTTCATGTATTTGTTAGTGAAAATGTTTTAAGGACGACACTATTATTTGTTTTAAGAAGTCATTTATTGGCCGGGAGTGGGGGCTCACGCCTGTAATCCCAGCACTTTGGGAGGCTGAGGTGGGCAGATCATGAGGTCGGGAGATGGAGACCATCCTGGCTAACACAGTGAGACCCTGTCTCTACTAAAAATACAAAAAATTAGCTGGGCGTGGTGGTGGGTGCCTGTAGTTCCAGCTACACGGGAGGCTGAGGCAGGAGAATGGTGTGAACCCAGGAGGCGGAGCTTGCAGTGAGCTGAGATTGTGCCACTGCACTCCAGCCTGGGCGAGAGTGAGACTCCATCTCAAAAACAAAACAGAACAAAACAAAACAAACAAAAAAAAGAAGTCATTTATTTTTCTATGGATTAAAAAAGTAGTGCTCAACCATGGTAGAAAATTTGGAAAATAAAAAATCCCTTTACCTAGCTGTGATGGTTAATATTTAGCCATATTTCCCTTTTATTACTTTTTACAGCAGTTTAGAATGATTTGCACAGTTGATATCACTATGATATCATTTTCTAATCTGCTTTTCACTTAGCATTCAGGTGTAAGCATTGTCCATGGTATGCACAGTCTTCACTGCTAATTTTAAATGGCTTTATAATGGTCCAAAGAGTGGCTCTCCATTGATTCTTTAATCCCGTCTGGTTCCTCTCCCCACCCCGTTACATTCCAGCCACACTGGTTTGCTTGGCATTCCTTTAACACACCATGCTCATTTCTACCCCAGGGCCTTTGCACTGCCTCCTTCAACCTCTGAAGCACTTCGCTGGTTCTTTATGTAGTACCTCCTTCTCACCTTTCATAGCTCAGTTAATACATCACGTCTTCAGATAGAACCCACTTTGACCACCATAGACACCAAACAACTCCTTTGGTCTCTCTTGATCTCAGCACCCTGCTTTAGTTTCTGTTTGGCAGAGGGCAGAGGGAACTTTATAATTTTATGGCTGGAAATGATCTTATCTATTTGTTTACTTGTCTGTTGTCACACTCCCTCAATGGACTATAAGCTCCATGAGGACAGGCACCTTGTCTGTCTTGCTCATTGATTTTGGTGGCAGACACAGTGCCTGTCACATGAGGGGAGCTCAGTCAACATGTACACAGTAAGCAGATGGCTAGTTGGATGGTTGGATGTGTGATTGTGTAGCAGGACGAGTCACAGACAAAACTCCTCAGACACCGGATTAAAGAAGGAAGAGGTTTATTTGGCCGGGAGTGCCGGCAGACTTGCGTCTTAAGAGCCGAACTCCCTGAAAAAGAAATTCTTGGCCTTTTTAAAGGCTTACAACTTTAAGGGGTCCGCATGAAGAGGTCGTGATAAATCGAGCAAGCTGGGAAACGTGACTGGGGGGACTACATGCATCAGCTAACAGAATAGAAAGTTTTGCAATGCTTTCCCATACAATGTGTGGAATTTACAGATAACACAAGTAGTTTAGGTCAGGGGTTGATGTTATTATTATTACTTTTTTAACTCCTAGGGCCGGGTGGTGGTGCCAAGGTTGTCTGGCTATTTATCTTACTTCTGTTTGTTTCCAACTTTTTGCTTTCTCTTTCCTACTGTCTTGTGAACTAGGCAAGGTTGGGGGAGGAGGGCAGCAGGAGTAGTAGTGGTCTCCTTCCTTAATTGGATGAGGAGTTGAAAGGATAGGTAGGTGGCTTGCAGGGGATAGTGCATGCCTGGATGGGTAGGTAAATGGATATGTGGGTGGGTGAATCAATCATAATTTTACCAACCATCCCCCAATTTCACAGTTAGAGTGCTTCCCCATGATATTTTTAATCGCTTTGAAAAAGTAAGCAATGCAAATGGCGAGGAAGTCGGATAAGCAAGTCTCTTGGGAAATCCGACTCCTCCAGGGCCATTGCCTAGGGGCCCAGGCCTGGGCAGTTGTCCAAGCTCCCGGCTGAGGAGGCTGGCCTGGAGATTGGGAGGGTGCTGAGATTCTCCGAGGTCCTCTCGGGTGTTCATTCACCCCATGCCCAAGGCCTCACTGCCACGCCTCTGTTTTGTCCCCTTTGCAGTGGGTCGGAAGCAGTTCATGAGGTTTGAGTGGGCAAACTACGCAGCTGAGGCCCTGGGCTGCGAGTATGAGGAGCTGAACACGGCCACCTTCAAGCACCACCTTCGACAGATCATCCAGCAAATGACGTTTGGGCCAAGCCGATGGGGCCTCGAGGATGAGGAAACCAGCTCAGGTACATGGCTGCTGCCTCTTTGGGTGAGCTGGGCCCCCCTCTGGGCCAGCTCCTGGGGATACACCAGCATTCTTTAACTTTTTTATCAAAGATTTGTTAAGGGCCTATGCTATGAAGGCGTGTGTTAGATGCAGGGGAAGCCATCGTGGGTGGAAAGGGACCGGTCAATGCTAATGCTCAAATAACTATCTCCATTCAGTGGCCATGAAGGCTGCTGAAACCTGGCAGGGAGCCCCGCGCTGTGGGGAGGGGATGCCGTGGGCAGGGCCGATGGACCAATGCATTTCCATCGGATTTCGTGTTTGTTGAGCACCTACTAAGTAGGGGAAAGACTAGTCTTTCTGTTTGAGGGATGGAAATCCCGAGTGGCTGCTGCGAGGTGGAGGGATGGGAGAAGATGAGGGTGGAGAGCAAGGTGTGGTCCGCTCACTAAGGGTTTATAAACGAGGGTTTTCATTCTCAGGCCCTTGGGAAGCCGTGGAGTGGCTTAGGCAGGGGGATGGCATGATTTGGCTTTAAGAAGCTCAGCCTGGATGAAGGTTGGGGAGTGAGTGGGAGACAGGAGACCCACTGGGAACCTATAAAAATCACCAGGTGATAGGTGGTGGTCGGAAGTGCTAGTGGAGACGGGGCGAGGTGGACAGATTCAGGGGCTAGTTTACAAGCTGAGGTGATAGCATGGGCCCTAAGAGAAAGACAGAGACCAGCAGTGGCTGCTAGGATTTTGGCCCCAGCAGCTGGAAGAATGAGGATGCTTTGAACTGCCGTGGGGGAAAAACAGGAGGACTTTGTACTGTACTTGCAAGGATGTGATCTGCTGGGTCCCAAGTCTGCAGCCTCTGTGCATCTTTGGGAGCTCTCTAAGAGCAGCTGTCCTTGAGACAGCAGAGTTTGGGGTTAATGAGTAGGAGTGTTGTGAGCTGTGATTTTGGGGCCCATCTCTTGGAGCTCCTTTGCACCTTTGGAGCTGCTTCCACCTTCCAGGGACTTCGGCGTGAGGACTGATGTCACTTGGACCCCATTGGCCCTCTATGTCTCCTTTCAGGTCTGTGCTCTGGTGTGAACTGTGGTTTTCTTGAAGATTACCTCTCCTCTTCGACATGCACACACATTCCCAGAAGCATACACACACATGCTTATGCACACATGGTGTGCACACCATGTGTGCATCACACATGAACACACCACACATATGCACAGCACAACTTGTGTATGCACACATGTGCACAGATACCACGGAATCACACACATGCACAGACACTGGCACACATATACTGCAAGCATACACAGCACACACACAGATATGCGTGGCACATGTATGTGTAAACATGTGCACAGATATATATATAACACATGCACATACCATACAACTACACACACACGCATAGACACAAGCACACACGTGCACACATATGCACAGGCACAAACACCACACACATACTTAAGGATGGGTGCATCACACACAGGCACAGACAGATGCAGTCACCACTTTGTGAGTCTGAGTTAACCTCTCAGGCTGAGGTCTCAAGAGTAGACATTAAGCAGGCAGGGGACCTTCGGGCTTAGGAGAGATGCTGGGAGGCTGTGGGTTGCCTAGCAACAGCCCAGGTTGGGGGTGGATTCAGAGGAGGGGTGGGAAATGCTTTCGGGGCTGCAGTGGGCTGCCTGGAATGTACAAGCAGAATTACTCCTCCAGGCACTAGTGCGCACTGATTTGGAAACTGTGTTTTCAATTTTTTAGATAGAACTGAAACTTAAGGGACGGAATTTGTGATCTGATCCCCTACACTCCTCACTCTGCTTTGTTCAATGCACCCTAATCAAGGCTGGTGATTTTAATGGGATGCATATACATGCGTGTGTGTGTGTATTCGAGCAAAATCAAGTCCACAACTGTAATTATAGTTTTTGAGCCTTTATATTCCTCCTAACGTTCTAGGTAGGCACTTTTCCAATCTCATTCAGTATTCTTCATACCTGACTTTAAGCATTCCTTTGTATGGGTAGACTACAAATTACCTAACCCATTTTCTATTGTTGGTCACTCAAGTCATTTCAAAAAGTGATTTTTGCCAATTTAATCAACAATTGGAAGAACCTGTGTCCCCAGAAAGCTTTATTTCTCTCAATATTTCATTAGAATAAAAGCCTAGGAGTGAAATTATTAGGTCCCAGTATACGAACATTTTATGGCTTCTAATACAAAATTGTCAAATTTCTCTCCAGAAAAAGGGAATCATAAACATTTACTGAGTGTCTGCTATGTGCCAGACACTGGCAATTTAAAGGTCAGCAAACCCAGGGACAGCGCCTATCTTCAGGGCACGCCCAGCCTCATGAAGGAGACACAGGTTAATAAAATAACTATACTAGAAAGATGATGCTATGGGAAGTGCTATTAGAAGCAACACAGAGCTGGGAATTGGCCTAGTGGTGGTGATGGTGGTAGTCAAGGAAGGCTTTCCTGAGGAGGTGTCATTTGGGCTGAACCCTGAGTGATGAGCAGATCACTCTGGGGTGAAGGTAGGGCAGGTTACATAGGACGCTGTAGGCCCTGAAAGGACACTTAGACTTTGTCCTAAGAACCTGGGGAAATAATTTTAGCAGTGGAGGGATGTGGCAAGAAAAGAAGGATTTTCTAAATTGAGTGGTCCCTACTGCTCTGCAGTGATGTCCTTGGCCCCAGGCAAGATCCCTAACCAAGAATGCTGATTCTGTCCTCTTTCCCAGGGCTCAAGATGACAGGAGTGGACTGTGTGGAGGGGATGGCCTCGGGCCTGTACCAGGAACTCTTTGCGGCTGTGGTCTCACTCATCAACAGGTAACGGGGCCTTTTCCTAGGCACACAGTTGGCCTCTTGCAGGTGCACAGATGAATTCACATACCGGGCAGTTGAACAAAGTGGCAGTTTTTGAGCTGGCGAGAGGGTTTCTAAGGTGGACAGTGCTGGGTTTAACTTCTACCTTGGCCACCCACTGGCTGTGAGGTCGGCAAATCAGTTCACTTCTCTGATCTCCCTTTCCTCGTCTGTACAATAGCTCTCTTCCCAAGGACTGTTGTGAGGATTAAAAGAAATAATGAATTTAAATAACTCTTCCTGGCCAAGCGTGGTGGCTCATGCCTGTAATCCCAGTACTTTGGGAGGCTGAAGTAGGAGGATCACCTGAGATCAGGAATTCAAGACCAGCCTGGCCAACATGACGAAAACCTGTCTCTACTAAAAATTACAAAAATTAGCTGGGCGTGGTGGTGGGCGCCTGTAATCCCAGCTACTCGGGAGGCTGAGGCAGGGAGAATTGCTTGAACCTGGGAAGCAGAGGTTTCAGTGAGCCGAGATCGCGCCACCACACTCTAGCCTGGGTGACAGAGCGAGACTCTCTCAAAACAAAACAAAATGAAACAAATTCTTCCTAACAGTGATTGTAAAAATGCCAATAATAAAATCTAAGTACTTTTGAGTGGCTACTGAGGGCCAGGGATTGCACTAATTGTGTAACCTGCTTTGCATCATTGAATACTCACATGGGCCCATTGTACAGAGGAGGAGACTAAAGCTTGAAGGGGTAGAACCGAGATGCAAACACAATGCCACCTTCTCATGTCATACCTTCAGTTCCCCTGAATAGCCCAATACATTGCTCTCATCCATTTATTTTTCAAAATTGTCTTGCTGGGGATGGGAGCAACATGGTAGAAATTTGGAGTGGGCTGGGGTGTGCCTCTGATGTGTGTCTGCGGGGCTGCAGGCACCAGGAGCCTCTGTTTTCCATCGTTACGCACAATGCACTGAGCCCATGCTTGGAAACCCTTTTAGCAGTTTTTTCAGCAGAGCTAATTCAGAGCCTAGGCAAAGGCTTGCCTTCCTCCTCTGTGAAAGCAGAAAGCATAATTAGGCTTCTGAAATCCTGTTAAAGGGATGAGGCTGGCGCGTAGCAACAGAGCAGCCGGGTTTCTCCAAGTTGTCGTGGACACAGAATCAACTCCCTCTGACGCTGCTGAAGTAATTACCATCTGAGCCCACAGACATATTATCTAGAAACCAAGGGGATCATGCGTGCTTAGAGAGGGAGTACTGGGAATGGGAAATGAACTGCTGGCGGAGGAAACTGCCTTCACCAGTGAAGGGCAGCTGCTTCAAGGTTTGGGTTCTCAGAGGCCACATCTGTGAAATGCCGCATGGATGATCAAAGTACCTACTACAGCATTTATAAGCACCTAGTAGGTGTCTGTCTTGCCAAGAATAAACCGACTTCATCTTCATGCATGTCTGTGTGGTGGCTGCTCTTATTATCCCCATTTTATAGTTGGAAAACCTTGGCAAACAACAGAAGAACCAAGGTTCAACTAAGGGCCTCCAAAGCTCCTAGCTGATCATACTCGTGGTGATGAGAGCAGGTGGCATTTACTGAGCACTAACCACATGGCAAACTTTGCTTTCACAGCCATGGAAGCTTATCACACCCAACCCTCACAACAGCCCTCTGAGCTAGTCACCATCATTAACTGAGACGGTGGCTAAGACGGTGGAGGCTCAGAGAGGTTGGGCAACTCTCCCAAGACACACATCCCCTCTGTCACAGAGCAAGGATTGAAGCCCACATGTGACTGGCTCCAAAATCTCTTAAGTCCTAAATTTTGATGTGAATAATCCCTGTTGTGTCCACCCCTACAGATTCATCAGGAGAATACAAGGAGGTGATAGCTTGAAAGAATTTTGTAAACTGATGTATTAAATAAAATAGTTTTTTGATTTTAATAGGCCTCTGAAGAAAGAAAAGGAGGGCCTAGGCTTCATATGGTAGCCAACTTCTGGGTGACCTTAAGCTAGTCATTTTTTTTTTTTTTTACTTTGGGCCAGTGGGAGGCAGTTTAATTCCTTTAGTCCTTATAGCTATCCCTGGGATAAGCCTACTCACCCCCATCCTCATTTAACAGTTGGGGAAACCCCTGCTCAGAGAGGTTAAGTAGCTTGCCTGAGGTCACACAGCCTGTAAGAGGTGAGCTTGGTTTTGAAACCAGTTCTGCTGGAGGCTTGGATCAGTGTGCTCCTAGATTCCATGCCATCTCAGACATTCCACCTCTCTCTTCTCTCCCTAGATCCTTTTCCTCCCACCATCTCTCCATGGCCTCCATCATGGTGGTGGACTCTCCAGGCTTCCAGAACCCCCGGCACCAGGGCAAGGACCGGGCGGCCACCTTTGAGGAGCTGTGCCACAACTACGCCCATGAGCGCCTGCAGCTGCTGTTCTACCAGCGGACCTTTGTCTCCACGCTACAGCGATATCAAGAGGTATGCCTGGGCTGGAGCAGGGCTTTCACCAGAGCTCCGTGGATGGTGTAAGGTCAGATGGGAAGGGGTGGGATTCCCATTCCCCAGGAGCCTGCAGCTTCACCCTGTTTGGTTCACCAGAGAACAAAGCCCTTTCCCCAGGCCTGGCTCCCCAGACCTCTGTTGCTCCCTCCACAGCCCAGCCTCCCCCTGCCACCTTCTGAACCCCGCAGCCCAGAAGCACCAAGGAACTCGGGCTTCCCCAGTCCTTGCTTCCACGGCTGTCCTTTCTTTGGGATGACTGCTTCATTCTCTCCCACTTCACTTAAGCAGAAGGCTCCTCCAAGAGTCAGTCTGCATCTGCCCAGGGGGGGAATGCCCTTTGAGTCCTGTGGGTGGGTGGCAGCAGTGGGCTCCACACCCCTCTGCAGCACAGCACGGTGAGTCTCACAAAGTTGAAGGTACATGCATCACAAAACCCAGCAATTCCTCTTCTAGGAGGCACCTGAGAGAAACTCTGTGTGTGAACCAGGAAGCATGTACAGGCATGATCCTGCCAGCCCTTCTTTTTTCATAAAAAAAAAAAAAAAGAGGTTAAGTTGAAATATAAGGCCAGGCACGGTGGCTCATGCCTTAATCCCAGCACTTTGGGAGCCCGAGGCGGGCGGATCACCTGAGGTCAGGAGTTCAAGACCAGCCTGACCAACGTGGCAAACCCCATCTCTACTAAAAATACAAAAATTAGCCAGACTCAGTGGCGCACGCCCATAATCCCAGCTACTCGAGAGGCTGAGGCAGGAGAATCGCTTGAACCCGGGAGGTGGAGGTCGTGGTGAGCTGAGATTGCGCCACTGCACTCCAGCCTGGGTGACAAAGAGAGACTCCATCTCAAAAAATAATAATAATAATATAAAATAAAATAAAATAAATAAAATTTACAAAGAAAAGTGCATAAACCAGAAGCATATAGCTCAGTGAATTTACCCAAATGAACATACGTGTGTCTCTATCACCCACGTGAAAATGAGAGTATTTTCAGTTCCCCATATGACTCCCACCTTCTTCCCTGAAGGTGTGACCACTTTTATTCCAATAAGTACCACTGGCAGAATATTAGAAATGGCCATATTGTTCACCAGTTGAATAATATAGAATAATAGGTATTGAAGTTCCAGTCATTTTTTTGGTTGGTAATAAAAATAAAGCACCAACATAAATGAATCTCAAACAGATGATGCTGATGAAACCTGAGGTCTGATCCTAACTCTGTCGCTTATTGGCTGTGTGGCCTTAGGAAAGGCACTCACCCTCTCTGACCCTCAATTTTTTTTTTTACGTGGAAAACAGAGATAATAATACTTTTGTATCAGTTATGATTTGCCATAATAATGCTGCGTAATAAACTACCCCCAAGTGTAGTGGCTTAGAAAAAAATCTTCGGTTGTTGCTCACAAGTGTCTGGATGGCCTGGGCAGCTCTCTTGGTCCAGGATGGTTCTTGAGCTTGTGTTCAGATTCAGGTGTAGGTTGGGGTAGATGGCTCTGATGATCTTGGCAGGGCTCGCTCATGCGTGGGATCAGCTGGCCATGAACGGATCTAGGCAGGCCTTGTCTGGGGTAACCTTGTCCCTGTTCCACAAATGTCCCATCCTCCAGCAGGCTAGCTTGGGCTGTCCTTGTAGTGCTGGGCAGGGTTCCAAGAGAGCAAACAGAAGCGTGCAGGGGACCTTGAGGCCTGGACTTGAGGCCTGCACAGAATCACTTCCACTGTGTTCGGTGAGTCACAACAGGTCTAAGGCTGAGCATGGATTCAAGGGGTAGGAAAACAGGCTCCACTTCTTGATGGAGGCACTGCAGTGTCACTCTGCAGAGAGTATAGATACAGGGAAGTGCAGAGAACCAGGGTTGTTTTAGATCATTGTTACCAGACTCCCCAAAGGGGCCGTTTTGAACATTTAATGAACAAGAATAAAGAGTGTAACAGCTATTTTATTTTTCCCATAATATTTCACTTATTTCTGATTATCAATGTAATACATTTTTAATTAAAACGCTGGAAAGTTCATATGAGTATAAAGAAACTAAAGATACAATCTCCTTTGGCGCTTCTATCCAGAGGCAACCATTGTTACTATTCTGTTTCTTTTTTGTTTGTTGTTTGTTGTTGTTACCATTTTCCCTTTATTATGTTGTCCGTGGATTTTGGATCTTCCTGTATATATGAGTTTGTTGTCTGTCATTTTCCTCACAGTATTACATTATTCACATAACCTCCCTCCACTTACAAATCTTAGTAAACCTGCTTGCAGTGGTTAGATCTGATTGTATTCCCTCTCCTATAGACATCAGGGTAGTTTCTAAGTTCAAGGCTTTATAAACAATACTGCAGTGAACATCCTTGTCCACAGCATTTCCTGGACATTTCTAGTGATTTTTTAAAATTTTTTGTTTTTTAGATGGAGGTTCGCTCTTGTCGCCCAGGCTGGAGTGCAATGGAGTGATCTCAGCTCACTGCAACCTCTGCCTCCCGGGTTCAAGCGATTCTCTTGCCTCAGCCTCCCAAGTAGCTGGGATTACAGGCACCTGCCACCACGCCTGGCTAATTTTTGTATTTTTAGTAGCGATGGGGTTTCACCATGTTAGCCAGCCTAGTCTCTAATTCCTGACCTCAGGTGATCCGCCTGCCTCGGCCTCCCAAAGTGCTTGGATTACAGGCATGAGCCACAGCATCCGGCTTCTGGTGACATGATTGTGGCAACTATTATTCCCCATAGTTTACATTTGTTACTTCCAGCACCGAACACTCAGCCTAGCACTCATTAGGTTCTCAGTAAATATTTTAAAAGTTTGGACCGAGTTATCAGTTTCTGATAAAGCTCTCAGCATGACGGCTGACACGCTGCATGATGAGCAGAATGTCATTGGAGTGTGGATTTACAATCTTTCTTCCTACACAAAGGCTAAAAGGTGATGAATAAACAAACAACCCCATTAGCAACTGGAAAAATTAATTAAACAGACATTTCTCCAGAGATTTACAAAAGCACACAAAAAGAAGCTCACCATCACAAATCGTAAGAGAAATGCAAATCCAAACCACATTGAGACACCACCTCCCACACACTACAATGGCTACTATTAAAAAAAATCAGAAAATAACAAGTGTTGGGGTGATGTGGAGAAACTTGAACCCTTGTGCAGTATTGGTGGGAATGTAAAATAGTGCAGCCGCTGTGGAAAACAGAATGGTGGACCTCAAAACCTAAAAAAATAGAATTCCCATGTGATTCAGCAATTCCATGTCTGGGTATGTACTGAAAAGAATTGAAATTAGGGACTCAAACGGGTATTTGTGCACCAGATTGCAACATTATTCACAATAGCTGAAAGGCAGAAGCAACTCATATATAGATTGCAATTGACAGGCGATGGACAAGCAAAATGAGATACGCATATTACGAGATACGCACTTACTAGGAAGTATTATTCAGCCTTCAAAAGGAAGGACATTCTGATAAAATGGTACATGCTGGATGAACCCTGAGGACATTATGCTAAGTTACATAAGTCAGACACAAAAGGACAAATACTGTATGGTTTCACTTACATAAGCTACTTAGAAAAGTTGAGATCAGAGGCACAGAAAGTAGGATGCTGGGGGAGAAGGAAATAGGGAGTTAAGTCTCATGGGTACAGAGATTCCGTTTTGAAAGATGAAGAAAGTTCTGGAGATGGTTGGTGGTGATGGGTGCACAACAACATGAATGTACCTTATACCACTGAAATGTATACTTAAAATGACTAAAATGGTAAATTTTCTGCTATGTATCTTTTGCCAAAATTTAAAAAAACGATTTTTTTAAAGGGCCAAGAGGTGATGGAAATCCTCTCCGCTTTTTCCTTCTTCAGAAGTTTTCTTCCCCCTTCAGCTCGCTAAAAGTGCTAACTTTTAAATCCTGTTATTTTCCAGGAAGGTGTTCCTGTGCAGTTTGACCTCCCGGACCCCTCCCCAGGGACCACCGTGGCTGTTGTGGATCAAAATCCCTCTCAGGTAACACAGGGCCCAGCCAATCCAGGCTCTCAGATGCCAGTTGGCCATATTGAAATGCTGGTGGATTTGAGTCTTCAGTCTACTAGTTGTCAATGCCGTGTGCACCTAGAGTCACCCCGGGATCATTGGCAACGTGGATGCCTGGGACCCAACCCCAGATTCTGTGTAAATTGTTCTGAGGGTATGGCCTGAACAGTGGAAATTTAAGCATCATCAGGTTGAGAACTGCTGCTGTCCTTTATGTCTGAGTCTATGTCTTAGAATAGACTCGTGCCTGGGAGCCTGAGGCCTGAGCCAAAGTGAGTTCAGGGCTCATGGCCAGAGGCCACCAGCCACTCTGGCCTGGAAAGGTCAGATGTTTGAATGAAGGTGCTGTGCCCAGCAGAGACTGGGGACCTTGGGCACTGGAGAACAGGGGACCATGTTGGGTTCAGGGCCCTGAACTCATCTGGGGGCAGACAGGCGTTAGTTTGAGGGAAACTGAGTCTTTACCTCACTCTCTCCACCCCTAGAACTCACTTTGCTACCCCAGATCTGCACCTCTGCTCGACTCAGAACTGCCCTTGACAATTTCACTTGATTTTTTTGTCTTCCTCTTCACATTTTATTACAAAAGTGCTTGGGCCATGAAACCTGCCATGCTTGGGTCCAGTCTTGGTGACCTTGGGCATGTTACTTCACCTCTCTGAGCCTCAGTTTCCTCATTTCCAGAATGGGGATGCTACTTTTTCTGGGTTGCTGTGAATATCAATGAGATATTGCACATAAGGCACCTGGCGTGATGCTTGGCACACAGGAGGTGCCCTGCCGGTGGCATCTCTCCTGCCATCTGACACTGCAGGCTGCCCCTCCCCTTTTCTTCCTTCCTTGTCTCCTGCTGACCAGAGATGGCTTGCAGGCTTTCTCTTGGCACACAGTGGGCTGTACCCATCATTGCAAAGCCCTCTCCTGTGTAAGCCCAGCTGACTGTTGTCAGTGTGTTCTTCTGGTTGGCATCTGTCTAGTTCATTTCCTTCCACACTGTGCTTCCTCACCTGTGCCTCTCCTAGGAAAGGGTGGGCCTGAAGGGCTGATTTAGCAGTGTTGGCTGGGAAGGGCGGGGTAGTCTCCAGGGCCTGTGGCTGCAAATAGCTACCTTCTTCTTCTTTTTTTTTTTCTTTTTTTTTTGAGACAGAGTCTCACTCTGTCACCCAGGCTGGAGTGCAGTGGCACGATCTTGGCTCATTGCAACTTCTGCCTCCCGGATTCAAGCGATTCTCGTGCCTCAGCCTCCTGAGTAGCTGGGATTACAGGCATGCACCACCACACCCACCCTTAACAACTATTTTCTGAGGACCTTCTGAGCGTGGGCTGGCTATCAGTTTCAGCCCCAATAAAGAAGGCCAAGGTGAAGGATGCCTGGGATCCAGTTCCAGCTCTGCATCTTTGACTGTCCATCCGGGAGACCCTGGATGTGCCCCTTCCCCTCTCCAGGCCTCTGAGGGGTGTGGATTCCTCAGGGTGACCAACTGTCCTGGTTTGCATAGGACTTTCCCAGCTTTAGCACTGAAAGTTTCATGTCCCGGGCAAAGTAGGACAGTTGGTTACTGTGCATGTTGCATTTCCTCTATAACAAGTTGGTGGCCTTTTTTTGGTTGTGCCAACTCCTTATGGGCCCTCAGAGAGGCCCTTTAAACTCCCCAGGCCTCTCTCAGTTTCCCATATGCAAAATTACAGGGTTGAGTAGATGGTCTCTGAAGCTTGTGGCTAGATTTCAAATTCTACGTCAGTGCTATTGACTCGTGTTCACCTTCTTCTCTGAAATGTTCTTTGAGTGCTTTTTTTCTCCTCCCCAAGATTTTAGTTTAAAAAATACAAGGACTTCTTAGAGGAAACGATACAGACAGAATTAATCCTTTCTCGTTTGTGCACAAATAGACCAGCTGCCTGTATGTATCTAGAAATGTGTAATTTCCAGAGGGTTCCCCTTGTTAAATCCCCACCATGGCCCTCCAAGGAAGGTATTTTCAGTCTCCATTACACAGGAGGAAACAAGGCTCAGAGAAGTGTAGTAAGTTGCCCAAGGCCACACAGGAGGTGAGCACAGAGGCAGGATTCAGACAGTTTGCAAATGAGAGGTTGCTATAGCTTCAACACTGAGAGTCTGGGGTGATTGGGAGCATGGTTTTGGGTAGGCACGTTCTGAGTCCTGACACTTGGGACTTGGATGCTCTCATTCCCTATCGGTGGGAAGAGAAGCCCAAGACAGGCTTCTGATGGGTATCAGGGCCCTTCAGTGAATCCTGGTTCTCCCAGCAGGTCCGCTTACCAGCTGGAGGAGGTGCCCAGGATGCCAGAGGCCTTTTCTGGGTCTTAGATGAGGAAGTCCATGTAGAGGGCTCCAGTGACAGTGTGGTGCTCGAGCGTCTGTGTGCTGCTTTCGAGAAGAAAGGAGCTGGGACTGAAGGTAAGGAAGCAGGGGGCTGGGGATGGGGCCTGAGTCCAGCCTGGGTATTAGAATCTGTTCTTCTCTGCTGCAGGGAAAGCCCTGACAAGGCCTGCACAGAGGCTCCAACGTGCAGAGGTGAATGTGCATGAGCCTGTGTATGCTTTCATTCATTCAAGTATTCAGTGAACGCATTGAGCAGCCACTATGTGCTGGGTACTGTTCCATGTGTTAGTTAACCAGCCTGGCGTGGGCCAGTCCTCATGGGGAAGGCACAAGCTCACAGCCAAGCACATGCGTGCACAGTGAGCCTGCAACTGCACTCTAATGGGGCGCATCAGGGCGTTTCTCATTTTTCTGGTAGCCAGTGGGAGATGCGTGCAGATGCATCTAACAGAGAGCCAGGAACACGATGCAGGACAAGTTTGGAGATGGCTTCTGGGCTCAGACTGCAGAGGCTGTTGCTGGTCATGCAAAGGTCTTAACCCTAGAGCAACGAGAAGCCATGAAGGATTCCAGGCAGTGGGAGGCATGATGAGCTTCATGTTCTGGAAAGTTCCCTGAGGTTGTAGTGTGAAGATATGGTAGGAAGGCAGGTGGTCAGGGTGAGAGAGGAGCTGGCCTGCCCCAGGAGGTAGAAACCTCTGGAAGTGTTTAGCAGGTAAAGTCCATAGCACTTGGTGGGAGTTGGATTGGTGGAAGGGGGAGCAAGAGGGGAGATGAAGGCGTGAAACCAGAACAAAGTGATCATGAGATTTGGTATCCATGGGCTCCAAGTTGAAGTCCAGTTATTTCTGCTTTCCCCTGCATGATGTGGGGCAAACCTCTCGTAGTCTTAGTTGATGTGCTTTTAAAATTGGGAAAGAAGTCACCCCTGGCCCTTTTTTCTCTAGAATTTCTGCTACGATGATTGGGTAATATTATGTGCATGCAGAGCTTTGTCACCGGGGTCAAGGTGTTGCAGGTTTATTGATGAGGATGAGGATGCTGATGGTGATGGAGAACATGATTCTGGGGTTGGGGAGTGTTGCATGTACTGCACTCAGAGCAGCATACGCAGCTTTATGGATAGCTCCTGGTAGGATTCTGTCCCACACTTGGAGATACATATTCTTATTCAAAAACTGAGTTCCAGAAGTCCTTGTGCAAGGTCACCCAGAGGAGAGAAGGGTCAAAAGACAGATTCAAAACATGGTTTGTCTGGATCTGAGACTCAGATCCCTACAACACTAGGCACTTAAGAAGGCAAATGTAGTGGCCGGGCGCAGTGGCTCACGCCTGTAATCACAGCACTTTGGGAGGCCGAGGTGGGTGGATCACTTGAGGTCAGGAGTTTGAGACCAGCATGGCCAACGTGGTGAAACCCCATCTCTACTAAAAATACAAAAAATTAGCTGGGTGTGATGGCGCATGCCTGTAGTCCCAGCTACTCGGGAGGCTGAGGCAGGAGAATTGCTTGAACCCAGGAGGTAGAGTTTGCAATGAGCCAAGATCGCACCAGGGCACTCCAGCCTGGACAACAAGAGTGAAATTCCATCTCAAAATAATAATAATAATAATAATAATAATAATAATAATAATAATAATAAGGCAAATGCACTTAGTGATCTTATCAGTCCCAACCCTCTTTGAGGCCAGGATATGTGCTCGCATTCATTCATTCCTTGGTCCCTTCAGAAAATATGGATGGAGCACCTAATATGTGGCAGCCACTGTCCTAGCCCAGGAGATGCATCTTCCAGCAGAGAAGAGACAGTAAGGCAGGTGCATCCGAAAGGAGAAGACTGAGGACTGTGACTCTGGTTGAGGTCACTGAGAGAATGAGGCTTGGTAGAGAAGATGTCCAAGGACTAGGTTCTGGGACATTCCTATGTCAAGGTGTCAGGGACAAGGCAAAAAACCAGCACAGGAGACTGAGGTGTGGCCAGGGAGGCAGGAGGGAAAGCCAGGAGAATATGACTCCCTGGAAGCCACAGGAGGGATTGACCTTATCAAATGCGGCTGAAAGGTCAAGTGAGGTGTGTGCTGGGGAATGACCATTGGATTTGGCCTCGTTGAAGTCATTGGAGACATAGACAGATGCATCTTGATGGAATGTTTCGGGTGATTGTCCAACTGGAACAGTTTATAAGAAATTGGGAGAAGAGCCAACCATCCAGTGAGTGAGCGCCGGCAGAAGCTTCCAGCTTATGGTGACCAGCAGAGACCTCTGTCCGAGACATTCATGGTAGATTCCTGTGCCCATATCAGGACAGGATTGTCTAACCAGTGAAGCAGCAACAGCATCTGATGCCTCCTGCAGCTCTCTCTGGAGCAAGCTCACAGTGCAAATTCCTAAATTATTCCCAGAGAGCTCGGCTCTGCCAGTGACTGGCGCAGAGCTGACTTCTCTGCCCATCATGGAGGCACAGTGCCCGGTGTTCTGGGGGCCCATGAAAATGTTGTTTTTCATTTTTTTAAATTTTAAGGTCAGGGGTACATGTGCAGGATGTGGAGGTTTGTTATATAGGTAAATGTGTGCCATGGTGATTTACTGCACAGATTGTCCCATCACTCAGGTATTAAGCCCAGCATCCAGTAGCTCTTCTTCAAGATGCTCTCCCTCCTCACCCTACGATGTGCCCAGTGTGTGTTGTTCTCTCCCAGAAAATGTTTTAATTTCTGGAAAGAAAAAGAACTTTTAGGCCAAGGGCAATTCTTTAATATATGCCTATATATTAAATTATACACACACACAAATATATATATAAATATATGTAAATATAAATATATATATACATACATACAGAGAGAGAGATGGAGTTTCACTCTTGTGGCCCAGGCTAGAGTGCAGTGGCGCGATCTCAGCTCACTGCAACCTCCGCCTCCCGGGTTCAAGCAATTCTCCTGCCTCAGCTTCCCAAGTAGCTGGGATTACAGGCACCTGCCACCATGCCTGGCTAATTTTTTGTATTTTTAATAGAGATGGGGTGTCACCTTGTTGGCCAGGCTGGTCTGGAACTACTGACCTCAAGTGATCCACCCGCCTCGGCCTCCCAAAGTGCTAGGATTACACACACACAGTCATGCACCACATAGCAGTGTTTCAGGCAACGGACTGTGTATACAAATGGTGATTCCATAAGATGATAATACCGTATTTTTACTGCACCTTTTCTATGTTTAGATACACGAGTACTTACCATTGTGTTATGGTGGCTTACAGTATTCAGTGTGGTCACATGCTGTACAGGTTTGTAGTTTGGAGCCATGGGCTGTACCATACAGCCTATGTGTGTGGTAGGCTCTACCATCTAGGTTGGGGTTAGCATGCCCTATGGTATTCCCACAAGGACCGAATCACCTAACGATGCAGTTCTTAGAACATATCTCCATTGTATAACTGTATGTGTGTGTGTATGTGTGTATGTCTGTGTGTAAATATATGTGTATGTGTGTGAACATGTTTGTGTATATATATATATATATCTGTGTCTATATGTGTATGTGTATATCTGTGTGTGCCTGTGTGTGTGCATGTGTGTGTATGTCTAGTTGTTTGTATATGTGAGGGTATGTATGTAGTGCATGTGCCTGTGTGTATATGTGTGTGTGCACCTGTGTGTGTATGTATGAGTGTATACATGTGTGTGCATGTGTGTATATGTATGTATATATGTATTAGTGTGTATACGTGTGTGCGTGTGTGTATATATGTATGAGTGTTTGTGTATATGTGTATGAGTGTGTATATATGTGTGTGCATGTGTGTATATATGTATGAGTGTGTTTGTATATGTGTGCACGTGTGTATATGTGTGTGTATATATGTATGAGTGTGTTTGTATATATGTGTGTGCATGTGTGTATATGTGTGTGTGTATATATATTTTCATGGAGGAAGGTGCCCATGAAAGCAAACGTGCCTAGGGCCCAGGAAGTTGTGCTGCGGCCCTGGCCGTGCTCACCCTGCAGGAGTCCTGGCATTTACTTAATCCTGGCAATGATGGAATCCCCTCCACACAGGCTGGGGTGTGAGATGTGTCTGCCCCTTTGCTAGCTGGGGAAGGAGAATGAATGAGTGGCAGAAACTGCTAGTTGTGGAGCCCTTGGTTGGAGCCAGGCCTGTGGGCTTTACTGCACCCCAGCTACAGGGAGGTGACTGAGTCCTTGCTGAGGTCCAGTGGCTTCCCAGGGCCCTATAGGCGCCGAGCACAGGGCTAGCGCTGAACCTGGGTTGCCTTACTGCAAAGGCCAGTCGGACTTGTGACTTTCCGGGCTGTCAAAGGGACCCCTGTCTCTATGTATGATACGGGCTCAAGAGTGGAGATTTTGGGGAGCAGGGGAGGCATCTCACTCAGATCCAAAAGAAGCCAAGAGAAAGAGCTGGGGAAGCCCAGGCTTTGGGCCCCAGAGCCCTGAGCTGGCTTCTGCTCACCGCTCAACTGCACTGTTGGCGACTCCTGGAAAGTCCCCTCCTGGTTCTGTAGGATGGCAGTCCTGGTGAAACCCGTGGGCTGTGGCGAGGATGGAGGTGCTGTTTGCACGGAGCATTTCCACCTCCCCCTCCTTCAGCTCTCTGCTCAGAGGTCACCCTTTAGATACCTTCCCTGCCCTGTCTGAAGCTGTCCCCCTGGCAGCCTCGCTACCCCATCACAACTCCCTGTTTCTTCCTTCAGGGCCCTTGCCAGCTCTGTGAAGTTGTGGTTGTTTCTCTGCTTGCTTGCCTGCTTGTTGCCATTCTCCCCACAACCCTGGGCGCTCCCCGAGGACAGTTGCTCCTGTTCACTGTCTCCCCAGGGCCCTGATCATAACAAGGCCATATGTGCATGTTCCTCTCCTCTCTCCTGTCACCATCACACAGCTCTCTTTGCTGCTCTTCAAACATAGCATGCACATTCCCACCTCTGGGCCCTGGCTTCAGCAGCTCCTTCTGCCTGGAGGGCCCTTCCGCCACATTCCAGCCCAGTGCTGCTCATGGACTTTCCCTGACCTCTTTGTAAAAAGCGGTGACCCCTCCCTGCCTGCGATCCTGGCTCCCTCCCTGGTTTTTCTCTTCCCCACTGCATTGGTCACCAGGGCATGTCCCACACTTGCTCATCAGTCATTTCCCCTTGGGGAAGGCCAGCTGCATGGTGACAGGGGCGAGGCTGGTCACCTCTGTGGGGATGACGCCTGGCACAGCTGGCGGGATGAGGTGCACAGTGAATACTTTTTACAAAACTGATGAATATGTGAAAACTCAGTGATCTAGAATCAAGGAAATGTATTATCAAAGGGAATGTTTTCTGGATCCTGCCTTGTAGGTAAAAGAGACGGAAAGTAGGGTTGGAAGCAGAAGGCATATGGTAGGGTGAGGCTGGAGTGGGCAGAAGGGGATTTGGCTAGATTTGTGGCCCCTCCCCTTTTATCCATGAGGTCTATGGTGTCAGTCCCAGATATCCCTAGCAGTGTGCTATAAAGCCCTCAGTACCCAAGGGAGAGACTCTGTCCATATCCTTTGCCTTAAACCCCCTGAGAAGACACATTAATTATGACATTTTGGTTAAAAAGAAAAAATAGTTCTCTTCCTCTATTGCTTTCTGGTTGGCTCTGAGTTAATGAGAACATTCAATCATCCAGAACACTTGGGGCATTCCGGCTAACCCAGGGCTCGCTGTTCATGACCTCATTTCCTTACCTCAGGTACATTTGCTGAGTGTTCCCACAAGGGCCAGCAGGGACTGGGATCAACTCTCATGGAGCCCAGGCACAGTGGACAGTCAGGTGACAGGCCCTCATCAACCTCCGAGTGTGACCTGCAGAGGCTGAGGGGGCCCTCTCTGGGGGGTTCAGGCTGCTGGGGGAGGTGACAGAGTCTGAAGCTGTGAGAGAGATATGCTGGATAAGGCTCCATCTTCCAGAAGTATCCATGGGGCTCCTGAAAGCCAAAGACTTCATGGGAAATGCTTTCATGGACAAAATTGTGGAATAAAAGTCAACTTCAGGATAAAGGAGTGAATGAGGGGAACAAGCAGGCCTGGAAGCTGGGTACTGTTTTCCAGGACATTGCCTGAGAAATGTGGCATTTCCGTGTGCTGGACACCATCCTGGACAGAGGCAGGCTTTTGGACCAGCAGACCTGTGGCCTCATCCTGCTGTGCCCCATTAGCCAAATTGCCTCATGTCTCTGAACTTCAGTGTCATCTTCTAGAAACTAGCCCAGAGATGCTAACATTACCAGCCAGAGTGAAATCACTCATGCTAGCATGTCCAGCAGAGAGTGCTAGGAGCCGGGGCTTAGCAAACATCAACATCCTTTCTTCTTTCTTCCCTGTCCCCTACTCGGTCACGATCCTCATTCAGAGCTCAGCCCTGTACTGGCTGCTGAGCCTAACAATGAGTCAACCAGTCCCTGCTCTCCAGTTGCTTCTAGGACAGTGGAAGGAGGCAGCCAGGTAAACAGATACCTGTAGCATTGTAAATGCAGCACGGACATTTGCGCCAAAGCCTGGTGTGTGCTTTGTCACCTTACTCCCTGTGGGTGCTTTACTCTCCCATTGGAAGGGGACTTTCTTGAGGGCAGGGACTGCACAGCTCTGAAAGCGTCACAGGACACTCTTGAAACAGGGAAACTTCACTTTGCTAGAAGGGTTCTGTGCTGGTAACTTCCGTTATCCTGGACAGGGGCAATCTGGGAAGTGAGCACACAGTACCTCTAAGCAGCCACACAGGTGGCAGATGCCACGCCCTTTACTCCTACAAAGGCTCACGAAAGCCGCAGACTCTCACACTGCTGTATTTTGCAGAGAGTTCCAAGAAATGCAGGTCCTTTGTTTCCTAGCTTACTGGAGTTTAGAGGCAGCAAATTAGGATTTGAGGGGAAGACTCAGGACCCTAGTGCATGCAAGTACGTTGGCAATAGCAGGATGGGAAAGCAAAGTAAGATCGTTCCGAATAGATCCAAGAGTCATGATAATCTGACCACTCTTAATAGGAATCCATCTGGGGGCCAGGTGCGGTGGCTCACGCCTGTAATCCCAGCACTTTGAGAGGCCAAGGCAGGCAGATCACTTGAGGTCAGGAGTTCGAGACCAGCCTGGCCAACATGGTGAAACCCCATCCCTACTAAAAATACAAAATTAGCCAGGCATGTTGGCTCATGCCTGTAATCCCAGCTACTGAGGAGGCTGAGGCAGGAGAATCACTTGAACCTGGGAGGTGGAGGTTGCAGTGTGCCGAGATCGCTCCATTGCACTCCAGCCTGGGTGACAAGAGTGAAACTCCGTCTCAAAAAAAAAAAAAAAAAAAAAATTCATCTGGGGCCATTCAGTATGGAGACAGCTATCCCAAACCTGTGACTGCAACCTGTGAGCATCACAATAGTTAGAGTAATATTATAAATGAACAGCAATCCATTAATTAATTAATCCATGCATTCATTTTGCAAGCACTTCTGGACTCTGCATGTGCCAAGCATGATGCTGGGCACTGGGGATGTGAACATAAACAACACTTTGTGATTCGGGAACATCAGCAAAGGTTTAAGTGCAGTCAAGGGCAGTGACAACCATTACTGCTGACTGAGTGACCATTATGTGCCCGGACACTATACTAAAATATTTTACATACATTATCTCCTTTAAGCCATAAGCCACTCTGGGAGGTATGCTTTATTTAATCCACATTTTACAGACGAGGAAACTGATGCTCAGAGACTTACGGGGCTTGGCACCTTTCACACAGTAATAAATGGTAAAGAACCTAGGATTTCTCTAGCCCCCAAGATCAGGCCCATTTTTTTCTCCCACCCTGTCTCTTGGAACCGATGTGCCTGTATCTCCCAAAAGTATTCCCTGTATTTATTTGGTTGATGGTATTCAAAATGATTTTACGCGGCATAAAACTAAATATTTTAAAAATATTTCATCATAATTTCCATGCATATCAGAAAATAAACATATCTTGCACATCAAATCGGCAATATGATGCTTCTTTTAAAATGAATGTACTGTACTTGTGAAAATGTAAGTCGATTTAAAGAAAACATCAAGTAAATCACAGTCCAGGTGATACGTGGTTATATATATAGAAAAACTCGAGGAGATCGAGTGTACGGATGATGTTTGGGAAAAACAGGTGTCCTAGATTTAAGAAAGCAAGAAAGAATAAAATCCACTTTGGAAATAATGTACACAAATTCACTACAGCAGGAGAAATGTGGGTGCCTTCGACCATGAGCGTTAGCTATCTGGAAACACGTTAAGATGGATACTGTGCGTTTAAGGGATGCCAGCTGATTGCAGAGTGTCCTCAACAGGCTCCAGCACTCATGCCACCATGTCTGTTTCCAGGGTCCTCTGCCCTGCGGACCTGTGAGCAGCCCCTCCAGTGTGAGATTTTCCACCAGTTGGGATGGGACCCTGTGCGGTACGACCTCACGGGCTGGCTCCACAGAGCCAAGCCCAACCTCTCGGCCCTGGATGCACCCCAGGTCCTGCACCAGTCAAAAAGGTGAGTTGGGTCAGGGTTGGGGACGGGGATGGAGCATTGGAGGCACTGTGTTTTCCTTCCCACCTAAACTAGGCAGTCACTACAACACAGTGTGGGAGGGCCAGCCCAGGAATCCCATCCCTCCATAATGGAGCAAAGAACCATAACTTGAATTGGAGCAGTGCAGTGTCTCCCTGGGGCCAGAGTGAATCCAGCTGAGGAGAAAAGCTGGCCTCCTGGGGAGGTGGAACAAAAGCTAAAAAGCTGTGACTTCTTATTTTGGCACTTTGCCTTTCATTAAGTATCTGAGAGATGATGTGACTGGAACAACTTTTATGGACATTCAAGAACTAGGGGTTCATAAAACTGAAATGATACGTTTTGTAGCGTTAAAAAAAAGCTCACCATGTTCCCTGGCTGCTCAGCCCAGAGTGCTGGCGTGAGGCCGGCAGCATTCTCTGCTTTTAGTTCAGAGGCTTATTGGAAAATGCTGTGTGTGTGTGTGTGCATGCACACTCCCAAGTTCAATGCTGGAATTCCTCAGGGGTAGAGCTTAGAGACAAGAAGAGAAACTGAGACGACCAGGGAGGTGCTGGTGTCTCAGATGGGCACCAGGATGAGAAAGAACCACTTACTCACTACTCCCTATGTGCCTTGGATCAGCATAAACGCTTTATGAGTATCTTCTGAATCCTTATCACAACACAAGATCCTTAGTCCCATTTTACACATGAGAAAAATTGAGGCCCCGAGCAGTGAAGTGGCTTGCCTTTGCTCACACAGCAGAACAGTGGCACAGCCAGGACCCAACTTGAGTCTAAGAGATGCTTGGAGAATTCCCAGAACATTATGTCAGAGCTGATTGGAAACCCACATCCAGGAGTGGGGCTCGTGAACATCCAGCTCCTGGAGAGAGATTCAGGCCAGGGCTGGGGCAACAGGAGTTGCGAGCACACAGAGGACTGAATGATGACCCAGGTGGCACAGGTTGAGTCTCAGCCCTGCCCTTTGTCACCTGAGTGACCGTGGGCAGTCGCTCTCCCTCATCTCGGTTGTTTCTGCTTCCTGTACCATAAATAAGAGCAGGACGATGCTACAAGACTCAGCGGCTGTAGCCCAGCTTTGGGGACAGGAAGATGTTCAGATTCCGTTTTTCCCTCTTTTAAGCTACATGACCTGGACCTCAGTTTCATAATCTGAGAAATGGGAATGAGGTTCCAAAGCTCCCATGTCTGATCTAAGAAGGCTTTGGTGACGTAAAGTAGCAGATGACCTATTAGAGAGCCCGGTTCGTAGTTGGCTCATGGAAGAGGGTAGGCCACTCTGCTTTACTGGAACAGACACTTGAAAAGCTGGCACCCTTGGCCGGGCGCGGTGGCTCACGCCTGTAATCCTGGCACTTTGGGAGGCCAAGGTGGGCAGATCACGAGGTCAAGAGATCGAGACCATCCTGGCCAACATGGTGAAACCCTGTCTCTACTAAAAACACAAAAATTAGCTGGGCCTGGTGGCGTGTGCCTATAGTCCCAGCTACTCGGGAGGCTGAAGCAGGAGAATCGCTTGAACCCGGGAGGCGGAGGTTGCAGTAAGCCGAGATTGCACCGCTGCACTCCAGCCTGGCGACAGAGCAAGACTCCATCTCAAAAAAACCAACAACAACAACAACAAAAACGAAAAGCTAGCATCCTGGCCACTAACCTCAGAATCTGTCCATGACAGGGATGCTGAGAGAAGGCACTGTCTGCTCAGGTATCAGGCTGGGTATTTATTTGACATTATCTTGCAGCTCCAGAAACTGTGTGCCCAGCCTGAGTCATTCCTTCTTGCATGAAACACATGGCACGTGCCTACTGTGTGCTAGGCCTGGTCTAGGAATAGCAGAGAGGACTTTGACCTCTAAGAGAGTACAGGTGTCGTAGCATTGCTGTAGGTATGTAAGTGACAAGAATATCCATAGGACAGATGCTCTAAGCCTAGGCAGGGAGGGAGCATTTGAAGGTAGAAGACGGGCATCAGGAAGGAGCTGGCATTTGCCATGAAGCAAAGCCTCACCTGGCAGGAGGGGCTGTGAATGAAGGGGAGCAGCTGGGACACATGACTGTAGAGGAGGCTTTAGGAAGCCGAGGAGCAGGAAGCAAGAAGGCTTGTTCCCTTTGCCACCACCCAGGCCAAGGCTTTCCCAAGAACCTCCTAAAGCTCCTCTCTCTTTTCCCTCCTCCCCACCAGAGAGGAGCTGCGGAGTCTATTCCAGGCCCGGGCCAAGCTGCCTCCTGTGTGCCGGGCTGTGGCAGGCCTGGAGGGCACCTCCCAGCAGGCCCTGCAGAGGAGCCGCATGGTGAGGAGGACCTTTGCCAGCAGCCTTGCCGCGGTGAGGAGGAAAGCCCCGTGCTCCCAGATCAAGCTGCAGATGGTGAGTGGGCACCCTGTCTCATGGTGTCCTGGCCTTCACTGCCTCCATCCTCATCTCCTCTGGGCTGAGTCATGTGCCTACATCATCTCTAACCTCCCCAGCAAGGCCAGAGGGGCGAGTGTCACCCCACGCTCCACAGAGGAGGAAATGGGGGCTCCCAGCAGCAATGAAACTTGGCCCTGGTCACACCCCCAGGAAGTGACTGATCCAAATCTGAGGCCTAAGCCTGTGCTGCTTGGTGTTGAGTTGAGAGGCCTGGGGGAGTTCCCAGAAGCTATGAATGCCCTCTTGACTCCAGTGACACATATGAGAGCCAGACTAGCCCTGTCTGCCTTGCTCACCACTAGGTTCCCCTGGGGCAAGGCGGCAGGACCCAGCTGGATGTAAATGTGGTACCTAGACCTGGAATGTGAATCCGTGAATAAATGAGAACATGAGATTGGTCAATGGCCAGGCTGAGCAGAAATGAGAATGGGCTGAGACAAGGGAAGGACACCTTTAAATAAACCTTATAGTGGCCGGGCGCAGAGGCTCACGCCTGTAATTCCAGCACTTTGGGAGGCCAAGGCGGGCAGATCACGAGGTCACGAGTTCGAGACCAGCCTGGCCAACATGGTGAAACCCTGTCTTTACTAAAAATACAAAAAATTGGCTGGGCGTGGTGATGCATGTCTGTAGTCCCGCTACTTGGGAGGCTGAGGCAGGAGAATTGCTTGAACCTGGGAGGAGGAGGTTGCAGCGAGCTGAGATCGTGCCACTGCACTCCAGCCTGGCAACGGAGTGAGACTCTGTCTCAAAAAAAAAAAAATAAAGAAAGAAAGAAAAATAAAATGGACCTCCTAGTGCGTTATAGTGGAAATGCCCTTAGTCCGAGTCCTGAGTTCTAGTCCCAGCTGTTCTGCCACTGGTCTGTATGACCTGGGGCCACTCACTTGCTCTCTCCATGCCTCAGTTTCTCCATCTGTTTCAACAAGAACCATTATTTCTCATGAGCACAAATCAGGCTGTAGGTGGGAGCTCCTTGGTGTGGGACATAGGGGCCCCAAAGATGCTCAGGTTGGGCTTAATGAATATTTGGAGAGGGTCCAGTCCCCTTTCTGTGTCTCTGTGAGACAACTGGCCCTGACCTCCCTCTATTTGGTCTAGGATGCGCTGACCAGCATGATCAAAAGGTCCCGGCTGCACTTTATCCACTGCCTGGTACCAAACCCTGTGGTGGAAAGCAGGAGTGGGCAGGAATCTCCACCACCACCGCAGCCTGGTAGAGACAAGCCTGGGGCAGGTGGACCTCTGGCCCTGGATATCCCAGCACTGAGGGTCCAGCTTGCTGGGTTCCACATCCTGGAGGCTCTGCGTCTGCATAGGACAGGTAAGAGACAGCTAGGACACAGCACCTTGTCTCTGACTCCTGGGACATGTCCACCCACCAGTGGCAGCCAAGGGATGGGAGCCCCTGCCATGTGCTAGGAGCTTCACACCCAGCATCCTGGTTACTCTTCCCAGCAGTCTTCTGAGATGAGGCCACTGATGCTCAGAGAGGTGGAAGTACTTGCTCATGGTCACATTGCCTGGACGTGGCAGAGCCTGGATCAGGACCCAGCTCTCTTTGAGTCTGAAGCCCACTGTTTTTTTTTTTCTTTATTTCTTCTGAAAACACACACACATACACACACACACACACACACACACACAAAATGGGATACATGTACAGCACGTGCAGGTTTGTTACATAGGTATACATGTGCTATGTTGGTTGGCTGCACCTGTTGAAAAAGCCCATATTATTTCTAGAATTGCCTGTACACTCCTAGAAAACTAGGGCTGTGTCTTCCTTTTAGCCATGAATTTCTAAGGAGCATTGTCTTGCAACAGAGGGTGGAATTCCTGTGATGAGTGATATTTTGATGTTCACGATGCTCAGTTTGGTTTGGGAGGTTGCTGTGATCCCAGGAGATGATGATATGACTTGATGAGGGCTCATAGCACCCAGGGATACGGGAGGCCCTGAGGCCTAAAGGAGGGAGCTTCCTACTCTCACTGGGAGTTTGGGGAAAGCTCACAGTGATGTAATACCATAGTCAGGCCTTGAAGCATAAGAAACTGTCACCTCTGGCAAAGGGAGGGAACATTAGGCAGAGGGATCAGCAAGTATGAAGGATGGAGGCATAAAACGGGCAGGTTTTCAGGGAAGTGGATTCAGAATGAGTGAGGAGTTGTGGGAGAAGAGGCTGAGGCATCCACCAGCGCAGGCTGGGAATGCCTCTGTTGGGTTATCACCAGGTCCACCTGGGGAGATGATGGGCTGGCAGGGGGATGGGGGGATTCTAATCAAGGGATTGAAGTTTTTGGGTCTGTATTTTAGTAAGAAAATGTGCACCTGATGTCCCCACATTAGCTAATCTTAGGAGTTGAGTTTGATCTCAGTCCTTGCTATTCTTTTCTGCCTCTCAGTCTCCAAAGGCCACCACACTGACTCCCCTCTCTGACAGTTAGAAATGGCTCAGACAAGGCCATGCTCTCTGCAGAGGACAGGGTGGCTGGGACAGGCAGAAGTCTCAGGTGAGCACCTCATTTGGTTAAAGTCTCCGTGGTCACTAGTGCCCTAGTGTATGGTCGCTTCTCCCATCTCCCCCTGCTGGGTTAATAAGGGACCCCTGGGCACAGAGTATTTGACTGGGAGCAGCTAGAAGCAAAGATGAGACCCTCACTCCGCTGAGCATATCAATGATTTTCCCTCCCACCCGCACAGCCGCAGAGGAGGGAGACAGATAATGTCACAAGAGAAGAGGGGGATGGTCACAGCCAGTGGCTGGTCCCCCACACTTAATCGATTCTATTTGGCTGCTTGGCAGGAAGTGCTGGGCCTTTGCAGGCACCATGGGCCTGGGTCAGACTGTTAGAATGCCTGTGCGCACGCAGGGTCAGGGTGTCCCGTTCCTGTGTTCACGTGACCTCACGACACCATCTCTGTTCTCAGCACAGCCTAGCTCAGCCATGATGAGCTTTCCAACTAAGCGAAGGGTTGATATCTCATGGTAGAAATGTCCAATTTCTGTCTCCTAGACCTGGTTCATTTCCTCTTTTTATTTCTATTGTAAGTCATGTTTGTCTCTTTCACACTCACATGAGATAGATTTGTATGCATACACAGATACGTCAAATATTTATTATTTGGAATCTGTGCATATATAATATATATATGCATATATACACATGCATGTGTGATGCATACTCATGCATGCTATTGAGTACCTACTACGTACTAGACACTGTGTTGTCACCTATACTAAATGAGATCATTTTTGCTGTGCTAAAGGTATGTAGTAAACATTCATTCAACATTACCTATCGTGCAGCCTGGTAGGCACAGCTCCAACTCTGGAGGGAAATGGTTTGGCCTTGATTCTGGCCACCACCTCTCACCAGCCGTGTGACCCCAGGAAATTCCCTAGAGCTTATCTCCCTGTCCTCTCCTATAATAGCTCATATCGCTGAAGGCTGCTATGGGGCTGGGTGCGTCAATAAGACAATAAAGCTTAGAAAAGTGGCAGGTTGTGGAAGAACACATAATACCCATTAGCCACTTTTACTATAATTGTCATCGCATTTAATCCTCATAGTGACCATGTGAAGATAGATCTTGTTATCTCATCTGACAAGTGAAGAAATTGAATCTCAGAAAGGTGAATCAGTTGTCCCAGTCATGGGGCTCATAAGCACAGAGACGGGACATGAATGCAGATAGGTGTGCCCTAAAGGAGGCTGGTAACCTCCCAGGTCCCCCATCTCTGTGCTGTCTGCATCCTTCAAAGCTGGTCTGAGACCCTCCTCTTCCCCAGGAAGTCTTCCAGGATTAGCCACACAAACAATTGCTGTTCTTCCTAGTTGATGCATCTGGCTTATTGTGAAGTCTCAAAAGTGGAGTGAGATTTTACCATACCTTTTCTGATCCAGTCACTTGGGGGGTCTTTTTTAAGCAGTTGAGGCTCTTCTTGTACCCAGGGAAGAGTCTAAACCTCGAGACCTGGAATTTGCGCTCAATTTCCTTTGGGACCTGGTCTCTGCTCGTCTTTGGCTACTCTCCGCTGCCTGGGTTTGAGTCCCAGCTGAGACAGTTACTATTTTGTGTTGTGTAACTAGGTGAATTCATCTCTCTGGGGCTCAATTTCCCCTTTTGTAAAATGAGGATGATAACATAGGCCCATGAGTGTCTATAACACGAGGAAGTTGTTACCCTAGTGATTTGCACACATAAGCTCTCAGTAAATGCTGGCTGTTACTGTGGACTATAAAATAATTTTTTTTCTTTTTTGGGACAGTGTCTCGCTCTGTCACCCAGGCTGGAGTGCAGTGGCACGATCGTGGCTTGCTGCAACCTCTGCCTCCTGGGCTCAAGTAATTCTCCCACCTCCAGAGTAGCTGCGACTACAGGAACGCACCACCACGACTGGCAAATTTTTGTATTTTTTGTAGACACCGTGCCCAGCCTTGGAATGTATCTTATACTTCCCTGTTCTAGGTCTTGTCTGTACAGCCCCCTCTGCCTAGACTTCTCTTCCATACCAAGTTATTTTGGAAAACCCTATGGCTTCTTCAAAAACTGAATCTAATGTCATTTTCTCCCAACAGCTTTTCAGGTGCCCCTTCTCTTCCCAGTTCCCCACATAGAAGGATGCAGTTGCGTCCACCCTGCATGGTAGACTTACAAATGCCCTTAGATACTGCCCAATGCAGCATGCTTCACATACAGTGTATGGGGTGGTAATATGTGTTAGACAAAACACTTTCCTTTGTCAAACGGGTTTGGGAACCTCTGGGCTAACGTTGGGAAACTCAAGGCTTATCAGGCATCTCCCCTGCATGAGTTCTCAGAGCCTTTGACTTGGATGCTGACATGGCTCATGGACCTTCCAAGAGGCGGATGAGTGTGCAGCTTTTTCAAACTTTCAGTGGAGCATTTTATAGGGTTCGTGTTCTCAGGAACACCTCTGGGAAGTGCCAATCAAATATAGTCTCTTAAATTAACAAATGGAGAAACTAAGGTCCCAAGAGATGAGTCCATGCAGCAAGTTAGTAGCCAGGCTAGGAAGCAGGACCCTGCACTCCTGTCTAGGGGTTTAGGGAACTGGGCTGGGTCTTCTCATCTGGACTCTGTGCTCTTCTCCTGCCTGCTCCTACCTCCCTAGGCTATGCTGACCACATGGGGCTCACTCGCTTCCGCCGGCAATTCCAGGTGCTGGACGCTCCACTCCTGAAGAAGCTCATGTCGACCTCCGAGGGAATAGATGAAAGGAAGGTAGGTGGAGCACATGCGAGAGGGGTGAAGGCCCTAGATATGGATATGTTGGTTATTGGACATGTTCCAAGGCTGGGCACGGTGAGTGGCTCATGCCTGTAATCTCAGTGCTTTGGGATACCCAGGTGGGTGGATCACTTGAGTCCAGGAGTACAAGACCAGCCTGGGCAATATGACTTTGACTAAGGTCCAGTGGGCTCATGTTCCATAAGGGATTGCCCCAGGGGGCATCTGGACCAGCTGGAATCTGAAAGCAGGACCATGGGGGCAGTGCTGAGGGCAGCATGAGGTTTCACTCAAATTCTTGCTCTAGACCAAACCCCCACAACAATGTCACTTGGGACCCGACTCAGCCCAGAATGACCCTTCTGACCCCTAGATAAGGAACTTTAGGAAAAGAATAAGAATAGAGTCATGAGAAGAGAGCATCCCAGCTAAAAGGGACCCTAGCAAGGTGAAAGGTCATCATTTGCAAAGTGTGTTCCATTCAGCACCAGCACCCTGGGGTGGTCTATGAAAAGAGGGCTTCAGGGTCCAAAATGTTTAGGAAATATTTACATCAGGGCCCCATGTTTGAGAATTCTGATGAACATCACTCCTTAGGGCCTTTGCACGAGCTGTTTTCTCTGCCTGGAGCACTCGTTCCCCGAATCTTTGCGTGGCTGGTGTCATCTTGCTATTCAGATCCCAGCTCAGATACCATTCTTCATCACATCCTCTTGTTTTGATGTTTATGTAGCACTTATCTGAAATAATGTGAATCTCCTCTGTGTTTTCTGGCTTACAGCAAGAGCTCAATAATGTTTTTGTTGAGTTAATGAATGAATGAATGAATGAATGAATACCCAGACCTAACTTTGTATTGTTGTCCCTGTGTGTCTTCTTTCTCCAACTACACCGTAAACTCATGGAATCTCATCTCTACTTCCAGTGCCAAACTTTCAATAAATGTTTCTCTTGAGAATGGCCACAGGCTTATCGATGATTAGAGAGCTTGTTAGAATTTGCAAAGCCCTATTTCATCTTCATAACAGCCCTGCAAAAGAAGAGCTATTACACTCCATTTACAAAAGAGAACACCACGTTTCTTAAGATGAAGTGGCACTCCTGAGGCCACACAGCCAGGCATTTGTGGGTTTGCTCCTTGGACTCAAGTTTCTCAATTCCAGGGGAGGATAGTTTAAAGAGCATAGTTCATAAAGGGAGGTACTTCAAACTGACTTGAATTTGATTCCCAGCTGGGGCTGTGTGAATGTAAACTGGTTATGTCATCTTTCTGCCTCAGTTTCCTCATGTGTAAAGTGGGAAGGACCACAATGCAGAAAATACATAGGGGATCCACATAATTTCAGGATAAGTGCTACAAAAACTAATTAAACAAGAGGATGTGATGGAGGATGATAGCTGAGCTGGGATCTGAATAGCAAGATGAAAGAGTACTCCATGAAACTCGATGGAGTGTTCTGAGGATGACATGTAATAGTATAGTTCATGTACCTTACACAGGTCCTGGGACATAGTAAGGGCTCAATATACATTAACCACCATCATCAACATCAGCAGCAGCACCATCAATATCATCATCCTCTTTCAAATCCAGGGCGATGACACACAAGCCTCACAGACCATGTGTTCACAATCCTGTTGCAACTGCATGTGCCTGCGTGTGCCTGAGATCATCAGCACTGCAGTCCTCAATGAATGAGTCAGAAGACTAGATGTAAAGTCACAATTCTTAGGTGTCTTCTTAGTTCTTCTTTGCAGTGGGTACCAGGGCACAGGCCACTTTCAGTAGACAAGGCAATGCCTTCTGCAGGGCCCTCCTAACTCACTATGGAGGGGACATCACCCCCAGATGTCTGTGGCACAGGGCTGTCCCTTCTCTGGGTAGTGGCCCATTTTGGAAGCCATGAAATTCTGCCTGACTTGGTGCCATCAACCACTCTGTAGCAGTCTTCGTTCATGGGGTTCCTTATTCTTGGTCTCTGAAAATTTGACTTCATTCAGAGGGGCTGAATGGAGCCACTGAGAGGGTCTTGGGCTCCTCTGTGGTTGAAAATGGTGCAGGAGTCAGGTGTGGGGGAGTTTTTTTGTGGAGGCAAAGGGTGTAGCATATGGAAGTGTTTCTACTCTGAATGAGTCAGCAGTTCTCTGTTGTAGCCAAACCAAAACCACCTCCATACACGCTAGAGGCCTCAGAAAATGGAAAATTACAAGGAGAATGGACTTGGTTGGGAATTTTTGCTTCTTCTTATTCTTTTTTTATTTGCTCACAAATTTTATTTGCTGCAGCATAGAATTTTGGTAGCAACGAAAAGAAACATCATCCTGCCTCTTATGAAAAAACTGATAAATATTCATTTGCCAGGCCACATGATATGCCATGAATTATACATGAACACGTGCTTGGGTGGGCAAACTATCAGTTTCTGTGTGCAAAGCAGTTAAGACCTCAGGATTTAATAAGACAAGGTTGACAGCTAGAAAAGGTCAATATTGTCATTAGACACTAGACGGCAGCAGAGGGGATTCATTGTCAGGGTGTAAAATGGGTCTTGGTGAAGTCCCCTGTGGGTCTAACATGTGGGGTCTGAATGTTGGTGTTTCATGCCAAGACTGTTTCCCAATGAAGTACTCTCATTTGGTGGGTACCTGATGGATATATTGTGTTCCTGAAACAAAAATAGCATATGTCTTTTATCACAGATGCATAAACTCTCATTATAAAATATCAGACATACTATGAAAAGGTTACAGAACCATGAGCTAAGACAGTATTCAAAATATAATTCCCACTCTGGGAATCATCCTCATTTCACAGCGTAGGCAGCTGAGGCCATGACCACCCAGCCAGGTAGTAGTAGAGCTGGGATTTGAACTCAGGCTCTCAGATTCCTGACATAGGGCTTAAAAAAAAATTATGGTAAAATACACATAGCATAAACTTTACTGCCATAACCATTTTTAAGTGTGTTGATCAGTGGTATTAAGTACATTCATATTTTTGAGCAACAATAAGCACCATTCATCTCCATAACTTTTTCGTCTTGCAAAATTGAAAGTTGGTACCCATTAAACAATAATTCCCGATTCCTCCTCCCCTCAGGCTCTGGCCATCATCATTCCACTTTCTGTCTCTATAAATCTGACTATTCTAAGTCCATCATAGAAGTAGAATCATGCCACATATGTCCTTTCATGACTGGTTAATTTCACTTTGCATAATGTCCTCAAGGTTCATTCATGTTGTGGCAGGTGTCAGAATTTCCTTCCTGAGGCTGAAAAATATTCCATTGTGGATGTATACCTTATTTTACCTGTCCATTCGACTGTCAGTGGATGTTTGGGTTGATTCCATGTTTCCTTTTCAACTTTTATTTTAAGTTCGGGGGTACACATGCAGGTTTGTTGTAACAAACTTGTGTCATGGGGGTTTGTTGTACAGATCATTTCATCACCCAGGTATTAAGCCTAGTACCCATTAGCCCATTAGTTATTTTTCCTGATTCTCTCCCTCCTCCCATCCTTCCCCTCCAACAGGCTCCAGTGTGTGTTGTTCCCCTCTATGTGTCCATTTGCTTTCATCATTTAGCTCCCACTTATAAGTGAGAACATGTGGTATTTGGTTTTCTGTTCCTGCATTAGTTTGCTAAGGATAATGGCCTCCAGCTCCATTCATGTTTCTGCAAAGGACGTTATCTCATTCTTTTTTTTTTTTTTTTGAGATGGAGTCTTGCTTTGTTGCCCAGGCTAGAATGCGGTGGCACGATCTTGGCTCACCGCAAGCTCTGCCTCCCGGGTTCACACCATTCTTCTGCCACAGCCTCCTGAGTAGCTGGAACTTCAGGCGCCCGCCACCACGCCTGGCTAATTTTTTGTATTTTTAGTAGAGACGGGGTTTCACCATGTTAGCCAGGATGATCTCGATCTGACCTCGTGATCCGCCCACCTCGGCCTCCCAAAGTGCTGGCATTACAGGTGTGAGCCACTGCGCCCGGCCCTCATTCTTTTTTTGTGACTGCATAGTATTCCATAGTGTCTATGTACCACATTTTCTTTATCCAGTCTATCACTGATGGGCATTTAGGGTGATTCTATGTCTTTACTATTGCAAATGGTGCTGCAGTGAGCATACATGTGCATGTGTCTTTATAATAGAAGGATTTCTATTCCTTCAGCTATATGCCCAGTAATGGGGTTGCTGGGTTGAATGTACAAATATCTCTTGAAGACCCTACTTTCTTTCTTTTTTTTTTTTTTGAACTCTTGTTTTAGGTTCAGGGGAGGTACACATGCATGTTTATTATCTAGGTAAATTTCATGTTACAAGGGTTTGGTGTACAGATAAGTTCATCACCCAGGTAATAAGCATGGTACGCAATAGGTAGTTTTTCAGTCCTCACCCTCCTCCCACTCTTTACCCTCCAGTAGGCCCTGGTGAGACCCTGCTTTCAGTTTTTTGGGGTATATACCCAGAAGTGGAATAGCTGGATCATATGGTAATTCTATTTTAAATTTTTTGATGAGCTGCCATACAGTTTTTTATAGCAGCTGTACCATTTTGCATTTCCACCAATACTGCACATGGATGGCAAGTTCTCCACATTCCTGCCAATGTGTTATTTCTTGTTTTGTTTTTTTGATAGTTGCCATGCTAATGGGTGTGAGATAGTGTCTCAATGTGGTTTTGATTTGCATTTTCCTCATGATTAGGGGTGTTGAGCATCTTTTCATGTTCACACAGGAGTTGAATAGAAGCCCTCTGAGGGCAGGCAAAGTATTTAGTGCAGTTCGTTACAGGACATGCCATTCATGGATATTAACTTTAAATAATTATCATTAATTTCATCCAACTTTAACCAAGTGCCTGCTTTTCACCAGATCCTGTGCTAGGCACCAGCAACTTCCATACAGAGCTGGCTTTGGGACACCCCAGGAGATGCCACTAAAACATTTGATGTTTCCAAGGGAGGTGAGAGTGGGGCACTCAGGGAAGACATTTCAGAAGTAGGTGATGCTTGAGATGAGGTTTGTGAAACACTCTGGAGGAACTGAGTAGGAGAAAGGTTACAGGACATTCTCATGTTGGGTACAGGATTGCAAAGATCTGGAGTCATGGAGGTGCATAGATAGTTTCGTGGTGCTGGAGCATAAAAGATGCCAAGTGCCAAGTAAAGGGGCTGAGGAGTTTGACAGAAGCAAATTCTGGGTTCTTGTTAGCCAAGTTAGAGAGTCTGGGCTTTATCAGGTGTTCAGTGATGCTCCTCTGAAGGGTTTCAGCAGGGGCGTGGCATAGCAGACCTGATCTTTGTGACTTGAACTGGCTTCAGCAAAATTATGAAGGAAGCGAAGTCCATGCTGCCCATTCCATGGTCCTCTCTAGGAAGCAGTGTCCTCTTGCTGACCTCTGGCTATTCCAGAGGCCCCTGTCTCCTCTAGACACCCAGGCACATACTGAAGCCTCCCAAATGACCCTGTCTTCTCCCTGTAATCATCTTCAGTTCCATTCCTGTCTCCCAGGCTACCTCCTCTGGTTAGATGATGCTTTAACCTACACCAAAGCCTACATAGAGTGAATACAAGGGTGGAATCTCAGGCAGGTCAGTGAAGGCACTCTTTCAGCTCACCTTGGCTACGTCCCAGATTCTGGTCCCTTCCATTTTTCTGCTGCTGAAGCAGGAGTTGCCAAGTCTATCTGATCGATGTGAGGAAACCCTTGGGCCTGCCCTCCTCCCCGCAAAGTGTCTACAGTGTTGATTGATTTTAGCCGGCAAAATCTCTGTCCCTGAGGACTTGATCTGAAGAACATAATTAAGGGCTGTCAATCCGTCTTCTCAAAGGCAGCCACTGTTATTCTGTCTCCCACCCTGGCAGACACTCCCAGTTTCCTGTGAATTCATCTCAAGAGTCTTTATCTGCTGGGAAGAAACCCTTATGAGCCCATGGCCAGGGAGGGAGCTGTCTGCTCTCTAGGTGCTGAATAATTATTCATGGGCTCCCACCACCTTCGCTCCTGAAATTTATTCATCATCCCTTTCTTGTTCACCTTGCTGTCTCCCTCCAGTTTGGGTCTATTGTTTTGTTTGTTTTTTGAGACAGAGTCTCGCTCTGTTGCCCAGGCTGGAGTGCAGTGGTGCTATCTCGGCTCACTGCAACCTCTGCCTCCTGGGTTCAAGTGATTCTCCTGCCTCAGCCTCCTGAGTAGCTGGGACTACAGGCATGCGCCACCACGCCAGGCTAATTTTAGTACTTTTGTAGAGACCTGGTTTCGCCATGTTGGCCAGGCTGGTCTTGAACTCCTGACCTCAGATGATCCAACCACCTTGGTCTACCAAAGTGATGGGATTACAAGTGTGAACCACTGTGCACTGTGAGCTGGGTCTATTGTTTTAATTATTTTACATGTTTTCCACTCAATTTTAATCAACCCAATGTAATTGGTGTGTGCATGTGCATTTGGTTTTTGGATAGTTTCTGCCTTTTTCCAGGCATTTCGTTTATAGGCTTGAGCATAAATAGTTAAAAAACAGACACAGTTAGCACCCTTATGGAATGATTTGGCCACTTGTGTGAGAGGCTCAGTGGTTAAAGTATGTGATTTAGAGTCAGATAGACTTGAGTTCAAATTGTGTCTTCTTCCATATCTCTCTCTATGAATCCACGCCCTTGATACTTGATAGCTGTATGACCATAGGCAACATATAGTATGGCATAGCAAAGTGTCTGGTACATTATAGGAACTCAACATATGGAAGCCATTGGACCATGGTGTGGGCTTCATGGGGGCAGGTGCTATATGGACGGCAGCCAAATGGTTCACAGGATGAGTATCCTATTCCATAGACACAGATTCTTCATATCAAACTGTTCATTGAGGAGTGAGTTGGGGAAGCACTTTGCAGCTATGGCTCTTCATTATTTCTGGAGTCTCTCTGCCTGTCTGGCATATACAGCCAAATGTGAGATGTCAGCCCATATGCTTTTCGGGTACACTCTTCTTGAACATTGGAGAGAAAGCTCTTTGCAAAATTCTAGGAAACAATGGAACTCTGTAAGTGGGGGCTGTGGGTTGGATGTGACTGAAATCAGTTAGACCCCAAAATCTGGGCTCAATTTGACACAGGCTATCGGAATTTTCCTACTTAAGGTGGAGAGATCTCAGGTTTGCCAAGAGCCATGTTTGCTGAGGTGTAATGTTGACTTACAGTGAAGACGATGACCCATCTATGCTCAATGCCTGGGATGCTTCACTGAATGAATCTTACTAGTTGTGAATTCGAAGTGGGATAGCTTAACAGGTTAAGGATACAGATTCTGGAGTCAGGCTTTCTGAGCACATACTGTGTCTAATCTGCTCACTGGCTGTGTGACATTTGACAAGTCACTCAGCCTTTCTTTGACTTAGTTTTATTATCTTAAAATGGCATACTAATAGTTTCTAATACTGTTGATAGGAGGATTGAGCAATTTAACGTATTGACATGGTGACTTTCATATACACAGAGTAAATAATAAATGTAATCAATTATGATTTTGTTGTAAAAATAGTAATTTTACTATTTCTATGGATTTTAATGCCCCTTCTATACAATGAAGGCTTTAATATTTGCCTTAAAAACCTCAAATAATTGTTAAGATAAAATATTTTTTGATTAATAGTAGTAGATATTTAATCAACTGATCATCTCTAAACTACATTTGGATAGTTTTTGATTTTCTGACTATTATGAAAAAGGATGTTGTGAACATTTGCATATCAGTCTTTGCACAGAAACATGTTTCTACTTTTTTTGGGTGCATTCTTGGAGGAGAATTGCTAGTTTATATGGTAAATTTATGTGTAACTTTTAAATATAACTTTTAAAGAAACTGTCAAGTTATTTTTCAAAGTGGCTCTACCATTGTTCATCCTCACTGGCAATGTGTGAGGGTTTCATTTTCTATCCTTATCAATACTTGGAATTGTTTGCCTTTTTGATTCAAGCCATTCTGTTGTGTGCAAAGCGGCATCTCATTGTGGTTTTAATTTGCATTTTCCCTAATGATGTTGACTTTTTTTTTTGCATGTGCCTAGTAGCCATTTTATCTCTTTTTTTGTGAAACTCTATTTTTTTTGCCCATTTTAATTAGGCTGTTTATCTTATAGAGTTGTACTAGTTCTTTATTTGTTCTAGACATAATTATTTATCAGATGTATCTTTGAAAATATTTTCTTCCAGCCTGTGGCTTGTCTTTTCATTTTCATAATGATGCACAGAGATTTTTATGAAGTTCAGTTTACTAATTTTTTAAGTGACTGGTGCTTTTTTCATATCTAAGAACGCTTTACCTACCCCTCGGTTACAGAGATATTCTCCCATTTTCCGCTACAAGATTTGTAGTTTTAGCTCCTCCGTGTAGACATTTGATCTATTGTGTGTTAATTTTGTGTATGGTGTAACATACATGCCTATATTCATCTTTCTGCATATGGATATTCAATTGTCCCAGTACCATTTGTTGGAAAGACTATTATCATTTCTCCCAGCGAATTGTGTTGGAACCTTTGTCAAACATTTATTGGCCATAAATAAAGAGTTTATTTTCGTAATCTAAATTCATTCTATTGGTCTGACTGTACTAATTAGTAGCATCTCTTTCTTTCTGCCTCTTTATTCCTTGGTCAGTGTAAATAAACTTCATCAGTTTTGTCTTTTCAAAGGACAAACTTTTGATTTCACTGATTTTTTTTCTCTGTTGTTTTTCTGTTTTCTTTGGTTCTATTGTCTTCTATTGATTTCCACTCTATGTTACTTCCTTCCTTTCACTTGATTTGAGTTTTCTCTACTTTTCCTGGTTTCTTAAAAAGGAATCTTGCTCAAATTATTGGTTCAAAATCCTTCTCCTCTTCCAATATACATGGTTAAAGCATACATTTTCCTCAAAGTACTACTTTGGCTGCATCACACAAAAATTTTCATTTAGTTCAAGATATTTTCTAATTCCTAGTGTGATTTCTTCTTTGGCCCGTTGTTTATTAAGAAGTGTATTAATTTCTACATATTTGGAACTTTCTCACCTTTTTTCTTGTTGGTTTCTAATTTAATTCCATTTTAGTTTGAGAACATATGTTATATGATTTCAGTACTTTTAAATTTATTTTTGTTTGTTTTATTGAGACTTATTTTGTGGCCTAATATTATATATCTAGGAGAGTGTTCAAAGTGTGCTTATAAAAAACATGTATTCTGTGGTTGTTGAGTAGTCTATAGATGTTAGTTGGGGCAATTTGGTTGATAGTATTGTTCAAGTCTTATATATCATTGCTATTTTTTTTTTTTTTGAGACAGGGCAGGCTCTTGCTCTGTTGCCCTGGCTGGAGTGCAGTGGCACGATTATGGCTCACTGCAGCCTTGACTTCCTGGGCTCAAGCGATCCTCCTATTTCAGCCCCCTGCGTTGCTCAGACTACAGGCATATGCCACCACACCTGGCTGATTTTGTTTTTTAGAGATAGGGTCTTACTGTGTTGCCTAGTCTGGTCTCGACCTCCTGGGCTCCAGCAATCCTCTGGCCTCAGTGTCCCAAAGTCCTGGGATAACAGGCGTGAGCCACTGTGCCTGGCATGTTGCTATCGTTTATGTTTAATTGTTCTGTAAATTATTGAGAGTCAGGTATTACGCTCTCCAACTATTAATGTTAAATTTTCTATTTATCCTGTCATTCTATGCATTTTTGCTTCACATGTTTTGGGGCTCTGTGGTTAGGTACAGACATATTTATAATGCCGTATCTTCTGGATGGATTAACCCTTTGTTGCTATAAAATGTCTCCCTTTGTTTCTAGTAATGATTTTTGTTTTCAATTTTAAACAAAATTTAAAACAAAATTTGTCTGATATTAGTATAGCCACTCCAGCTATCTTATGTTTAGTGTTTACATGATAGATCTTATTTCATTTTCCCCCTTCCAACCTATCTTTGTATCTAACTGCATCTCTTACAGATGGTATATAGTTGAATCTTTTTACAAAATCCAGATTGACAATCTCTGCCTTTTTATTAAGGTGTTCAATATATTGATCTGTAATGTGATTTACATTATAGCCATTTTGCTATTTTCTGTATGGGCTTCACGCCTTCTTTTAGTCCTATCCTCCTTCACTTCCTTCTTTTGTGTAAACTAGGTATTTTCCAAGGGGCCATTTGAACACCCCTTCTAGTGATTGTTCTACGGTTTACAATATGTATTGTAATTCAAGATGCTCCACTTCAGATTAATACTAACTTAATTCTGGGAAAATATAGAACCTTTGCTCCAATATAGCTCACGTCTTCCTCCTACCTTAGTGATACTACTGTAATACACAGTCCACCCTCCATATGTATCTGTGGGTTCTATATCCATGAACTGAACCAACAACTGACTGAAAATATTTGGAAAAAAAAGGATGGTTGTGTCTGAACTGAACATATACAGACTTATTTTCTTGTCACGGTTCCCTAAACAACACAATATAATAACTATCTGTATGGCATTTTACATTCTATTAGGTATTATAAGTAATCTAGAGATAAAGTATACAGAAGGATATGAGTAGGTTATTTGTAAATACTGTGCCATTTTATATAAAGGACTCATGCATCTGCAGATTTTTGTATCCTTTGGCGGTCCTGGAACCAATTCTCCATGGATACTGAGGGATAACTGCAGATCACATCTATATATGTTAAAAAATCAACAATAAAGCTTTATGATTTTCTTTTATTTAATCTTATGTCTTTTAGGTAAGTTAAGGGAAGCAAAGGAAAAAAATGAAGATTTTTACATTTTCCTATGTGTTTTTGTTTTCCCATGCTCTTTAGTCCTTAAGTATTTGAATTACGTGTGATATGATACCTTGCATCCTGAAGGACTTCCTTTAATGTAAGTGAAACAGTAAGGCAGGTCTCATAGCAATAAGTTTTCTCAGCCTTTGTTTACCTGAGAAGGTCCTTACTTCACCTTCATTTTTGAAGAATAATTTTGCCAGATACGGAATTCCTGATTGACATGTTTGTTTTTTCCTTTCAGCACTTCTAACATGTAATCTCACTGCATTCTGGACTTCATTGTCTCTGAAGATAAGTCAGCCACTAATTGTTTTGATGCTTCCCTTTACACAATAAGTTATTCCTCTCTTTCTGCTTTCAAGATTTTCAATAGTTTATAATAAATCTTGGGGTGGCTTCTTTGTGTTTATTCTATTTGGAATTCAATGACCCGCTAGGATGCATAGACTTTTTTTTTGGGGGGGGGTGTCAAATTTGGGAAGTTTCTAGCCATCATTTTTCATACTTTTTAAAATCTTTGTCTTTCTCCTCTTCTTCTGAGACTCCTGTTGTGCATATATTGGCACGCTTGATTTGCCATACATATCTCTGAGGCTCTATTTATTTTTCCTCCTTCCTATTTCTCTCCGTTCTTCAAATTGGATAGTTTCTATTGATCTATTTTCAAGTTTGCTGACTCTTTCATTTGACATCTCAGATCTGTTGTTGAGTCCCTTTGGTGAATTTATCATTTCAGTTAATTTACTTTTCAAATGAAGAAGTTCCATTTGGATCTTTTAAAAATAATTTCTATCTTGTTATTGACATTTTTTATTTAAGGAGTCATTATTATTACACTGTCCTTTAATTCATTAAGCATTGTTTCTTTTAGTTCTTTGAACATACTTATAATAGCTGTTTTGAAGTGTTTGGCTGTTAAGTCCAAATTCTGAACCCACAAAGATACTTTCTACTGTTTCCCCTCACCCTTAGTTTGGATCATAATTTTACGTTTATTGCACATCCTGTCATTTTTGCTGAAGACTGGACATCTTAGATGATACATTATAGCAAGTCTTCATTCTGATCTTTTCTTAATCATTTAGTATTATAACTTGTTTTGACTAAAATTACAGGATCTGTCTCCTCATGGTGTGGGACCACTGATATCTCTGCCCAATTTTTAAAAATTTGTGTTTTTATTTTAAATCTGACTTCCCAGGAGTTGCGCCTATGTCTGCATAGCTTAGAGTCAGCAGAGGTTGTTATCAAACATCTTGAATATTTGAGGCTTTTCCATTTTCCTGTTGGATCTGTGTGGGGGTTGGGAAATGTACTCAGCATTCAGGCAGTTCCCAGTTATGCTTCAACCTCTACGTTCTGTTTGGCCCTTTCACATAGTTTCTGCCTGTACACATGGCTTCATGTTCAAATAAATAGGGATATGTAGATAGTGAGGGCCTTTTCCAGTCTCTCTTATTCTTGTGTTTAGCCTGGAGCCAGGAATATGTGGGAACTTATCAAGCCCACTGTGGCTGTCCTATTTCCTGTGTCTCCTGTTAAATTTCTGGCATGTTTAAGGTCCAGTGCTTGCCTCAATCAGGACAACAACCTTAGGCTTAGCTGTGCCATTGGCCTTCCTCATTTGTTTCCTGCCAAAATTGCTACTGTTTCTGACAATGCTCCCAGGTGTGGGTTTTTTCCATGCTTTGCTCCATATAGGTGAGCCCCTTCTGGAAGCAAAGCTGTTGTTTTTCACAGCTGCCTCACCCTGGAAGAACTACTGCAGAGAGAGAGAGACAGAGCTGGGGTGGGTGGTGAGTGGGAGAACCTGTAATCAATATTGCCACAAACTCTCACTGTTTCTACCTGAGATCCAATAGGTTTTCTTGAATAAATGCTTCTCATTTTGTTGTATCCCATTGTCCAATTTCCAGAGTATTGAACCTGTGGTTGTTGGAAATTTTATCCATATTTATCTTGTTTTGGGGGGAGGGGAGAGGATTTATTAAGCTCCTTCCTCCACCATTCTGGAAATATCTCCCTTATATGCTACTTATATGACCTTATTAAATCTCCACTACATCCTTGTGGGACAGGCGTGATTACACCATGTTGTAGAAAGCAAACTGAAGACCAGAGAGGAGGAGAGGCTTGCTCAGGGTCACACAGCTAGTGAGTGGTGGAACTGATCCCAGCGTTGGAGGGTGGAGAAAAGATCAGGAGCTGATTCCTTGGGTTCAAACCCCCTACCATCACTTCCTAAACACGTGAGCTTTGCCAAGTCATTTAATTGCACTGGGCCTCACTTTCTTCCTCTGTAAAATGGGCATGAATTAGTACCTGCTGCAGAAAGTTGGAAACAAAACAAGTTATGTGTAAAGCAGTTGGAGCAGGGCTCAGACTCAAAAACAGACTGAAAACTGTGTTTTCTTGGAGAAAAATGGCCACATTTGACTCACGAAAAAGCAGCATTTTATGCTGCAAAGGATAAGTTTCAATTACCTGGGCAATTCCAGTACATGGAAGAGGTGATTCCATAAAGACACAGGACAAGGAGGAATTTCTTAACAGTCACTTGGATCCTTGCTGTGTCTTTTTCCACCAACTGGTTGTTGGACAATGATTATGTTATGTTGAACTAAATGAAGTGATTGATATTTGACCTAAACCAATGACAGTTTCGTATGGTTCAATCTAATTGTAACGTTAAATGGGGATAAAAATAACAGCATTTAAGTGCAAAGTAATTTATAAAGTCCTTTTCATATAGTTTCAATTAATTCTCTGAATTGCTGTATGGTCCAGGCAGGGAATATTCTCACCACTTTGCAGGTGGGGAAGAGGGTCAGTTGTATAATTTAATACCTGCACTTACCCACTCATGCCACTGTTTGAATCCAAGCTTTGTTGTATGTAAAATGAGATCAACAGAACAGAATATCTGTGTTAGGGCTAATGTTCTCAGCTACATAGACATCTAAAGAGTTCTCAGAAAGCAAAGAGCTGGAAAAGGAGTCTCAGTTATGGTGGGTTGAGCATGTGCTTTGGCAGGGTTTGAAGTGTATCTGAGAAATGGGGGCCTTCATTCATGTTTTGCAGCACTGTTCCAAGGTTTTGACCAAAACAGAGGTGACTATAAGGATGAAATAACTCCTAACATTTATTGAGTGCTTACTATATGCCAGGTGCTATGTAGCCCTGCACAAGCACAGCCTCAGAATTTTCTGAAACAGGTGCCGTTATTGTCCCCATCTTTCTGAATGGAGTCTGAGGCTCGGAGTAAAGCACTTCCCCAAGGCCACACAGTTTATGGAGTGATAAAACCAAGATCTGAACCCAGATGGATCTAACTCTGGATCATGATTTTTTTTCCCCCAAAACATCTGCCATAGACTTTACCTCCAAGGTACACTTAGAAAAATTTCATTGGTCATATATTTCCTTTTAAAAATTCATCCATCTTATCTTCAGTCAATTTTTTATTGTTTTTTTTTCTTCTTATGTAGAGAAAAAAGGCATTATATTTTGGATATATTGGTTTTATTCATTTCTACCACCTACAGCTCCCTTGGAACATGTTTGGCTAAAATGTGATAAGTGAAACCACCGACATTTTGGAAGAGTGTCATGGAATGTTCTTCCAGGAGGTTGGAAGATGGAGCTTCCTTCCTGATTGCAGTCTGGGACTAGACTATTAATAAGGATTTTTTTTTTGATATCTTAGGAAGTTTTCTGTGATGTCTTTGACCCATGGAATTGAAACTCATTTACTAAATTACTCCAGCCTCATAATACCTTTTGCTTCCTGAGCATTGCAATTACTTTTCTGACAGTTTATTCTTAAAATAGACTTTCTGATTTTCAGTGAGTGAAAGACCAATGAGGGGGTAGTATGAGGGTGGGTGGGAGGGGAATTGGCAGTCACTAAGCAACCAGGCACAACCTGGGTTTATCTGAGAGTCCAAATCTCTGGCTGATTGTTTCAAAGCCTGCACCACTATTTGACAAGGGGAAGATTCCATTAAATGGCGATTAGTCCATGCTGTATCCAGAAATCTCTTTGAGTAAAATTGTTTCTCCTGCATGGGGCTGCTTTTCCTCCCTATGGAATCTCTCTGGTTTGGGTGTTTATTCATTCAGTCATCATATCTATTGGGCTCCTACTGTGTGTATAGAACAGTACTATAGGCTGGGCACAGTGGCTCACACCTGTAATCCCAGCACTATGGGAGGCTGAAGCAGGTGGATCATGAGGTCAAGAGATGGAGACCATCCTGGCTAACATGGTGAAACCTCGTCTCTGTGAAAAATACAAAAATTAGCCGGGCGTGGTGGCACATGCCTGTAGTCCCAGCTACTTGGGAGGCTGGGGCAGGAGAATCCCAGCCTGGTGACAGAGCGAGACTCCGTCTCAAAAAAAAAAAAAAAAAAAAAAAAAAAGAATAGTACTATAGTGCGTACAGAAAACACAGGCTCCTCTGCCATAATGTAGATCAGGCAGGTGAGGTTATTGACCATGTCATTTATTTAGCAAATATTTGTGGGAGTGAGGCAGTCACCAGCAAGAGCAATGAGAGAAGCATAGAGCGGGGAGGCTATCACAGGAGGACTTAGTGAATTACTAGGCACGCAGTACTGTTCAAGACATAGCTGTGGCCAGAAAGAACTTAATGGGAATCTGTCTCTGCCCTGTGTGCAAACTTGTAATCTTGAAAAAAAGCCCCTTCATTTAGTTTTTGTTGTGTGTGTGTATTAAAATATATATAACATAAAAGTTAATCTTAACCATTTTAAGCATACAGTTCAGTGACAGTATATTCTCAGTGTGGTGCAACTATCACAACATCCATCTGCACAACGCTCTTCCTCTTGCAAAACTGAAACGTTATACCCGTTAAACAATAAGCCTTCATTTCCCCCTGTCTCCAACCCCTAGCCACCATAATTCTTTATTCTCCATGAATTTGGTTACTCTAAGTACCTCCTTTATAAGTGAAATCATGCAGTACTTGTCCTTTTGTGACTGACTTATTTGGCTTGGAATAATGTCCTTGAGGTTCATCCATGTTGTAGCATGTGTCAGAATTTCCTTCCTTTTTAAGGCTGAATAATATTCCATTGTATGGATAGACCACATAGTGTTTATCCATTCATCCATCAATGGACATTTGGGTTGCTTCCACATTTTGGGTATTGAGTATAATGCTGCTATGAACACAAATATATAAATATCTCTTCAAGACCCTGATTTCTTTCTTTCTTTCTTTCTTTTTTTTGAGACGGAGTCTCGCTCTGTTGCCCAGGCTGGAGTGCAGTGGTGCAGTCTCGGCTCACTGCAAGCTCCGCCTCCCAGGTTCATGCCATTCTCCTGCCTCAGCCTCCCGAGTAGCTGGGACTACAGGCGCCCGCCACCATGCCCGACTATAATTTTTTGTATTTTCAGTAGAGACGGGGCTTCACCATGTTAGCCAGGATGGTCTCGATCTCCTGACCTCGTGATCCGCCCACCTCAGCCTCCCAAAGTGCTGAGATAACAGCCGTGAGCCACCGCGCCCGGCCAAGACTCTGATTTCAGTTCATTTATGTATATACACACAAGTGGGATGGCCAGATCATCTGGTAATTCTATGTTTAATTATTCGAGGAACCTCTGTACTGATTTCCCTAACAGCTGCATCCTTTATTTCATTTCGTATCTTTGGTTTTCTGCTCTGTAAAATAGGAGGATGAAACAAATTGGTGTGTGTATGAAGGCAGAGTGGATGGCACACAGTAGGTGCTCAGCACCTGCACCTTCCTGTGTGAGGTGGGGCTCTGTTAGCCAAAGCTCACAGACATGTGGGGTCATCCTCCGTCCTGGCGCATCAGCCATCGAGCCAGCTTGACTTTCCCCTTTAGGATCCTCCTACCTTCTATGCTGTCTAACTTCTCTCTAATTTTTTCCCCAGGCCGTGGAGGAGCTCCTGGAGACCCTGGATCTGGAAAAGAAGGCGGTGGCTGTGGGGCACAGCCAAGTGAGTAGAGCTGCTTTCTTACAACATTCGCCCATCACATCAGGGACCCAGAGATGACCTGATTCTTGTCCTACCTCAATTGTCTATTATCTCTGTACGTCTCCTTTTTCCCAAACTGAAGGTAGAGCTAATGATTTTCTGCCCTGCCTATCTTACAAGGTCCTGGAGAGACAATGTCATAATATGAGTTGAAATCACACTGGGAAATATCATTTCTTGGAGGCTTCACTCCTGGGGACCCCAAGTGGTTTGGAGGAATTAGCATTCTGGTCCTCAAGATGACCTTCTGAGTCTCAGAAAGAGCTGCCATAAAACCTGAGAAGAACTGCTCATCTTCACTCACAGCCTTTTAACTTCTGCTTTGCAACCAGCTCTAACACAGCTATAGTCATAGCTGATGAGCAGCAGTAAGGGAAAAGAAAGAAGGGGCTTGAGAGGAAAGCCCGTGATTATTCAGGTTGACAGAAATAGCTTTTCCCAAACTGGTGTTGAGCCCAAAGCTCTTCCAAATATGCTCAGATGTTTAGAACAGAATTTCACACTTCCCCGATATGCTTATATATGCTGAAGTTTTCAAGGTGGGATACATGGTATTTAGGGTTTCTCAAACTATTTGACTGTGGAACCCCCAGCCTTTTGTTTGTGTGGAATACCTAGTACCATCTTCTGGAGCTAGTGTTCCATGGATTATAGTTTGGGAAGTGGGGCACGGAGATTGTAAACTCAAGGACCAAGGAGTGGGGGCAGGGGAAAGGGACACAGTTTAGAAATACAAACTAGAGGCCGGGCGTGTTGGCTCATGCCTGTAATTCCAGCACTTTGGGAGGCCAAGGCGGGCAGATCACCTGAGGTCAGGAGTTCGAGACCAGCCTGGCCAACATGGTGAAACCCCCATCTCTACAAAAAATTTAAAAATTATCTGGGCGTGGTGGTGTGCGCCTGTAATCCCAGCTACTTGGGAGGCCGAGGCAGGAGAATCGCTTGAACCCGGGAGGCGAAGGTTGCGGTGAGCTGAGATCGTGCCACTGTACTCCAGCCTGGGCAATAGAACAATACTGTGTCTCAAAAAAAAAAAAAAAAAAAAAAAAGAAGGAAGGAAGGAAGGAAGGAGGGAGGGAGGGAAGGAAAACTGGAGAGGAACAGACCAAAAGAAAGACTACTCCACACATTTCCCCACCTAGTTACTTACTGGTTGATGAATGCCATCTAAGAAAACTTTGTCAATGGCCTTCCACCTCCAGGAGCTATGTGAGGTGGTGGGAGGGTTCTGCTCTCCAGGAGCCCACCAGGGTGGCATTATTGGCTATTTGTACTTCATGGAGCCCTCCCTATCATATGCATCCGTGAGAGTGGTCCTTTACTCAGGGAGCTCACAGTCATCTACACTGGCTACCACCCCTCAGCCCACCCTAAACACACTAGTGTCTCCCCACTGGCCTCTTGGTCCTGCTAAGGTATATGGCGGAACCTGTTATTCCGCTGTGATCTCAAGATACTTTATCCTGATAGGAGTTGCAGCATCCCAAGTCTTTGAAGCCTTTTTCAATAGAGAGAGTAAACCTGTCAGTTACTGGACTCCCACGCACTATGTGAGGCAACTTCACGTTTTGTTCTTCTTTGTTCCTCACTCACAGTCTTCTGTGAGATATCAAGTGTGTTCCTGCTTTACAGATGAGGAAGCTGTGCCCCTGGGAAATAAGCCTCTTTTCAAGATCCTATCTGTAGCCAAGGGTTCAGACTCCACGCAAACCTGCATTGGTCCAAATGCCAGGGTCTTTTCCGTACACTCTGGGTCCTATTGTTTATGAATGGAAATGCAGTCACGTGTGGCTTAACAATGGGGATACATTCTGAGAAATGAGTGGTTAGGCAATTTCTTCACTGTGGGAACATCACAGAGTGTACTCACACAAACACAGATGGGATAGCCTACCACGCACCTGGGTTAGATGGCACAGCCTATTGCTCCTAAGCTACAAACCTGTACAGCATGTGACTGCACTGAATACTGTAGGCAGTTGTAATACAATGGTAATGACCTGAGTATTTAAACATAGAAAAAGTAGAGTAAGGATCTGAGTATTTAAACACAGAAAAAGTAGAGTAAAAATATGGTATTATAATGTTATGGGCTCGCTGTTGTGTATGCGTCTATTGTTGACGGAAATGTCATTAGGCGGTGCATGACTGTACATGACATATTCTTTACAGATGGATCTTTACGGTCCTGAATCTGTGGAATTGTTCTTCAGCTCCAGGAACTTCATCCTTCTAGACCAGCAGTTCTCAAAGTATGGGCCCTGAACCAGCAGCATCAGCATCGCCCAACAGCTTGCTAGAAACACCCCAGACCTAGTAAATCAGAAACTCTGGAGGGGGGCAGGGCTGGCAATCTGTATAACAAGCCCTCTAGGTGATTCCAATGCACTCTCAAGTCTGAGAACCACTGGTCTAGATAATGACTCAGTTATGTCATAAATATGAAAATCAGTGCCTATGATCCTGGCAGCTCTTGCAGAAGAAGAAAGAAAACAGTCATTACATGCAGTTTACAGTGGCAGGAGTAAGAAGTCTGTACACCTAAACATTCAGATAATAAAATATGACTATTATTGAATAATACTTGGTATTGACTGAGAAACTGTCAAAAGCAAATCAAGGTCAATGTGTCCTTTTGGAGGCCAGGCTGGGGGATACTGAGACCTTTAAGGGCAGATGCAGCATCTTACGCATTGCAGGATTGGCATGTAATAATGGAGAAGGCTATGAAGCTCAGGGGACAAGAGAATCGGCTGACCCAGTCCACACCCAGGCTCCACCACTTCCTAACTGTGTGAATCTTCAGTGACTGGTTTAACTTCCCTGAGCCTCAGTTATCTGTAAAATGGGGCCATTACTTTCTACCTCCCAAGATGGCTGTGGGGATCCATAAAGTGTCATTTAACAGGGGGTGGCTGTCACTACTTGCTGAATACATTTGTCAGTGAGGCAAGAGGCTTATCAAGCAGGATAACATTTTAATGTTTAAAGAATTAAACTCCTCTAATCTGTAAAGTGACTAAGAGGAGAGGAGCTAATTCCTTGGCGGTACCAGATATGGAAGCTGTTTCCATATCAGATTTTTTTAAAACCTGGGCCTTCAGCATTGTTAGAGGAAAAACAGTTTGCGTGGTTTTGTCCCCCGTGGATTCCTTAAAAGTGGGGCTTTGGGGATGTTACACTCTGTTTGCATCCGATAAGCTGCTGGACCCATGAAAAGCAAATAATTTAGATTTTTCTTCGTGATTTTTCAGCCTCTGGCGCCTTATCAAGGCTTGTGCTGAGGGCCATGGCATTTGTGGGAAAGGTGTGATTCCACGTGCAGTCGGCCTTCTGGTCGGCAATATGCTCTTAAAAGGCAAAAAAAACAAAAAACAAAAAACAAAAAACCAGAGAGAAATTGAGATAAGATTCTGCAAAGGCTTATTCCCATTCTGTGTATGGTTGTTTCCAATTATCTTTTTAATGAAAGCTTCATAATCAATAGTGGTTTTGGCAGCACCCGCCATCTATTGTAATATACGATCTGGTGCTGTCATAACTTTGATCATTGATTTTTTTTTTATAGCAGCTTTTGGGACTCACTAGCTTGTGAAATTAATACAGTCATTATTGAAGCAATCTGATAGGTAATGAGCCAATTGTGTCTTTATTTCAATGAGACTAATGGTCTTGGTGGCCCTGTCTGATAGGAAGTGTTCTGCAAAGCCATGGAGGGTTAGGAAACAGAGTTAGTACCAACTGGGCATGCTAATTTTTATTTTCCCATTGAGAAAAGGCATAGTGCAGGATGGTCGGAGATGAGTGGTCTCCATTACGAAAAATAGGGTTTAGGGTAATGGAGAATCGATCGAGACCCTTTGTTCCACCTGGAATCAAATTGCAGTTGAACCTCGCACTTCAAGTGCTTGTATCATAATGGATAAGAAAAGGCAGCTTCATGTTGACGGACATTGAGAATGGGTGCAGGAAATAAACCTGAAGTTCTGGGCTCAGGTCTCAGCTTTGTTGGCAACTGATTCTGCAAACTTGAGTCAATTTCATAACCTGCCTGAGCCAGTACATTCCTCATAGAGCTGTTTGAGTATTAAAAAGAGACCTAGGAGAAAGCACTTTGGAAAATGTAGATGCATGTAATGTTCATGCTATTCAGTGATAATTGTACCCTTGTCTGAAGTCAGATAGAGGAAAATAAATCCTGGTGTTGCCACTTGCTTGTAAAGGATCGTGGGCCAATGCCTTTTTTTTTTAAGCCTTAGTTTTTTCCTCCATAAAATGTGAGAATCATCGTAACTACCATATAGGATTAGACATGTAAAGTGTTTTCCCTGCATGTCGAGTGGTTGTTTAGTCCAGTTCCAAAACACAGTAAGTGCCCCCTAAATGTTATCCATTAATTGATAATGTCATCAATGAATACAGAGTTATCCAGTGTCTCCAGATAACCGCCTCTGGGATTATAAACCACATGTGACAAAGAAACACATGGGACTCTTTTTAGAAATAAGCAGCATAAGGGCATCAGAAAAATGACTTCTTCCCCTGTCACTGACTGAAATCCCACCATAAGAGCATTTTTCCTCTGCCTCTGGGAAGTTGAGAAAATGACCAAAGCAAACCAGAGCTACCCTTGCGCATTGGCAGGAGCAGGCCTGGCCCAGAAGCTTCAGGTTCTCGCAGAAAAGCATTTAACTCAAACCTCCAGGACTCTCTGCCTTAATCTTTTGCTGACAGTCAGTCCTGGGGTCCTAGCTTCCCTCATTCCTGTTCCCTGCAGTCTACTAGAAGGTGGCTTTGTGGGGTGCCGAGGAGGCATTGATCAGAGTGCTGCAGAGGCCATCATCCATTATTGATGAGTTACGGTCTGGAAATCGTGTACCGAGAGCTGTTTTCTGCTAGATCCCTCAGCACCTCTGTGGGTGGCACCAGCCCAGCCCCATCCTCTCCAGACCAAGAGGACTGCCATCCCTTCCCCCACTGTCTCTGCCCCTCCTTACAAGGCTGGACTGAGGTGTTTCTTTTTTCTTTCCTTTCTTTTTTTTGAGATGGAGTTTTGTCTGGGCTGGAGTGCAATGGCACTATCTTGGCTCACCACAACTTCTGCCTCCCGGGTTCAAGCGATTCTCCTGCCTCAGCCTCCCGAGTAGCTGGGATTACAGGCATTCGCCACCACGCTTGGCTAATTTTGTATTTTTAGTAGAGACGGAGTTTCTCCGTGTTGGTCAGGCTGGTCTCGAACTCCTGACCTCAGGTGATCCGCCCACCTCAGCCTCCCAAAGTGCTGGGATTACAGGCATGAGCCACCACGCCCGGCTGGAGTGAGTTGTTTCTAAGCCACTGCTTCACTCAGATTGCTGTGGGTGCTTACCCAAAATATTCACATTCCCAGGCCTGGCCCTAAACCCACAACCCAGCCTTTCCTGGGGCCTGGGAATCTGCATGTACTGCACTTTCCAGGTGGTGACCGTGCACAGAACAGTTTAGGCAAGTCCATGCTAGCTGTGCTTCTCAAAGGAACGTGCACAGGAATCCCCGGGGGATTGTGTTAAAGTGCAGGTTCTGATTTAGCAGGTCTGGAATGGAGTGCGAGATTTTGCATTTCCAACAAGCACCCAGGTGGTGCCAATGCCACTGGTGCGTGGGCCACACTGAGTATCCAGGGCCTAGGGGAAGGGAGAGAGGAGCCATCAGCAGACAAAATGCTTTGATAATTTAGACTCCCCCACCTCCCACTTAAAGGGCAACTGCCAACAAATATTGCAGGTGGGTGCAAGAGAAGTGGGGTCTGATTTGCAAGCACCCCCCCATTGTAGACAGCCTTCTTCAGCAGAGGACTCACCTGAAACCTTCCCTCTCCCCAGGTTTTTCTCAAGGCAGGTGTGATCTCCAGGCTTGAGAAGCAGCGAGAGAAGCTGGTATCTCAGAGCATCGTTCTCTTCCAGGCGGCTTGCAAGGGCTTTCTGTCTCGCCAGGAATTCAAGAAGCTGAAGGTACTGCATGCCGTTCCCATGAGGAGTCTGATCCAACGGGTCTGGAGCGGGCATAGGGTCTGCCTGTCTTTCAGGATGATACCGGTGCACCGGGTCCAAGGATCCAACCTGAGCAGTGAGACTTTAAGTGAGGCTTTGCAAGATGTTATGACTGTTTCTGGGACATTGACATCAAATTATCCATGAGGTCGGCCTTGCGCTAGGTAGCCATGAGGTTGTCCAAGCCCTCCTGGGCTGATTCATGACTTCAACCTGTCTTGTTTCTGGAGAAATTCACTTTCACAGGTCAGCAGACAGGGCATGACCAGGGCCCAGCCACTGAGGTTTTGGGGACCAAAGGCCAAGTCAAGCTTGAAGCACTGACCCATTTAGGGTCACCATCTTCAGAGATCTCTGGAGACTGAATTTCCTCTCTGTAGCTGCACAATAGAGAGAAAACCACGTGGCTCTGGGAACAAGTATTATATATGTTCGAATTCCACCTCTACCTCTTAGTAGCTGGGTGAAGGTGAGATGAAATGATGTGCACTTAATACAGTACATGGCACATAGTAATTGCTCAATAAACTCTAGCTGCTATTACCTTAGAATTGTTATTCTTAATTACTGCTACTACTAGAATGGAGTCTTGTTGTATGTGCCTCCAGTTTATGTGAACTTGTAAACTCAAGTATATGTACTTGGCAGAAAGAGAAAAATGATGAGACCGTGAATAATGAACATATTGTGGGCAACCCCACTGGCCTTCTGTGCTCATGTAGCTCATACCTTGGAATGATGTGGAATAGAGTTTCAGACCCTGGGCTCTGCAGCCAGACTGCAAGGGTTCAAGCCTGCTCTGGCACTGAGAAGCTGGGTGACACTGGGCATGTGACTTTACCTCTCTGAACCTCACTTTCCCCATCCGTAAATACATAAAATAACATGATCTTCCTAGGACTATACTGAAGACCAAGTTGAGGTGTGTGAGATGCTCAGGGCAGTGCCTAGCACTTACGAGCCTCAATGTCTGCTGCACAAGAATCAGCTGCTGTGATGGTGATGAGGGAAAAGCATCTCTTGGCCTGTCTGCCAGTCAGTGCTGTTCTGGTCCCCCCCCCAGTGATAAGAATGAAGCGGGTCAATGCTTCTCAAACTGTGGTCCCAGACCAGCAGCATCAGCATCACCTGGGGATTTGTTAGAAATGCACATTTGCAGGCTCCATCCCAGAGTGGCTGAATCAGCACCTTTGGGGGTGGTGTCTAGCCATCTGGGGTTTAACAAGCCCTCCAGGGGATTCTGATGCACATTCAAGTTTGAGAAGCATGAAATTACTGTTTAAATACACTGTGAAAATGATCTCCCTTCAATATAAGCTAATAACATAATCGTGGACATTGTTATTTGTGGGCAGTTTTAGAGATTTTTCAGTGGCAGTTTTTGCCTTGCATGATGACCTTTAAACCTAATCCTCATGTAAGATGTAACCTATTGTATAGTTTCTTTTACTCTTTCTCCTATTATTATTTGGCCATGCAAGACTAAATTATGGCATAATGTTTGATGCAGAGAGCCTGACATATCAAAAAGACTACAAGAAAGGAAGCCCGTGTGTGTGTGTGTGTGTGTGTGTGTGTGTGTGTGTGTGTGTATGTGTTTTAAGGTATCCAGTCCCTTCCACCGGGAAATAACCCCACTTCCTCCAGCCCCTTTGCTACCCTCTGCCTCCTCTCCTTCCTTTATCCTCACCTGGGTTGGAAAGGACCCTCCAGTCTGTGTTCTCCTTCCCTGCAGATTCGCCGACTGGCTGCACAGTGCATCCAGAAGAATGTGGCTGTGTTCCTCGCAGTCAAGGACTGGCCATGGTGGCAGCTGCTTGGTTCCCTCCAGCCTCTACTTAGTGCCACCATTGGAACTGAGCAGCTCCGAGCCAAGGAGGTCAGTCTATGTGGCAGGCAGGGTGCTGGGTGGCTACTCCCCACACCCTGCTCCTCCTGTTTGCATCTAGCACCCTGTGCCCCTATTCCTGAATGTTCTTGATCTAGGAATGCTCAGCCCAACAGCCTTGATGCCCCTTCCAGATGTTCCTCTGCCTCCAACAACACAGACAATCCTCCATCCCATGCCCAGCTCCTCTCTAGGCTGTGGGTGTTTAGAGATGCTATTACCACCCTGGGGGTTCATGAACACTCACTACTTAACCCAGAGAAGCTCAATGGGCAGAGTCTTTGAGTCCTTTATTTATTTATTTATTTATTTATTTATTTTACCTCTCAGACAACACTCTTTTTCTTTCATTCTTCCCTGTCACCACCTATCTTTTATAACTGTTTCAATTGGTTTCTGGTTCATGCTTTTTGTTGTTATTATTTTGCAAAAATTAGTAACTATACACACATATTTAGTTCTTATATTTCTTACATAAAAAGTAGAATACTACATATACTCTTCTTCGACTTGTATTTTCTACTTAAAATGTATTCTGAAAATCTTGCCGTTTCCATTCTTGTGGAGCTCCTCCTTGTTCTGTCTTTATGGCTGCATAGCCCTCCTTTGTGTGTCTGCTCCTTAGTTCATTCCACCCGCCTGCTGTGGGTGGGCGGTGAAGCAGCTTCTGAATGGTGCTGTCATAGGCACAGTGCTGAGCCACTGGCAGAAAGGCAATCCCTGGAGGATGAAGTGCTGAGCACCGTGTCCATACTTGTGTATACCCAGTCTCAGGCAAAGCAAGGGACTCATTCTGATGATTTGTGTTCAGCCCCTAGACTGGGCAGGGCTGGAACAGACTTGCATGAACAGAGACATTGAAATTTGGAAGTGGTGAAACAAAAAGTCTCTTGTTGGAACCTAGCACCTGGGTATCTTCATGGATGCTGGCTGAATTACTCACTCCATTCCCCAACCGCTCTTTAAAAAAAAAAATTCATCTTTAATTTACAAAGAGTAATCGTACATATTTATGGGGTATAATGTGATGTTTTGATATATGTTTACAATATGAAATGATTAAGCAAAGCTAATTAACAAATCCATCACTTCATTTATCATTTTTTTTGTGGTGAAAGCACTTAAAATCTACTTTTTGTTTTTGAGATGGAGTCTCGCTCTTGTTGCCCAGGCTGGAGTGCAGTGGTGCTATCTCGGCTCACTGCATCCTCCATCTCCGGGGTTCAAGTGATTCTCCTGCCTCAAGCCTCCCAAGTAGCTGGGATCTCAGGCATGCACCACCAAGCCTAGCTAATTTTGTATTTTTAGTAGAGATGGGGTTTCTCCATGTTGGTCAGGCTGGTCTCGAACTCCTGACCTCAGGTGATCCGCCCGCCTCAGCCTCCCAAAGTGCTGGGATTACAGGTGTGAGCCACTGTGCCCAGCCAAAACCTACTTTTTACAAGCAATTTTGAAATATACAGTGCACCATTATTTGTTATAGTCACCATTCTGTGCAATAGATTGCTAAGGTTTATTCCTCCTAACGGAAACTTTGTGCCGTTTGCTCACTCCTAACACAGGTGGAACTTAATCTCTGGCCTGGAATGGTTTCTGTTCATGTGTTTGTTTTTGTAGGAGGAGCTTACAACGCTAAGACGGAAGCTAGAAAAATCAGAGAAGTTGCGGAATGAACTCCGGCAGAACACAGATCTGCTAGAAAGCAAGGTATCCCCATCCCTCCTCTTGGGTCCTTGTGGGGGGTCTTTATGTATGTGAGATCTGTTTAATGGGGAGAACAATGATATGCCTGAAAGCATGCTAATTGCTTTACAAGCACCCCAGAATTACCTGTGAGGCACATGCTGTTATTGAACCCATTTTACAGTGGAGGAAATTGAGGCCCTGGGATATTAAGTATCTTCCTCGAGGCTGCACAACCGGCAAGTGTAACTGAGATTCAAACCCATGTCACCTGGTTCCAAAGGGGAGAATTTCTTAAATAAGTCACAAAAGCACAAATCATAGGGAAAAATGATAAATTTGACTATATTAAAATAATGAACTTTTGTTTATCAGGGCATAAAATGAAGATGTATATTACTTACTTGGAATAGAAATTTGCAAACTGGAAAAGAGTATCCAGAACATGTAAAGAGCTTTCTCAAATCAAATGGAAGAAGGCAAACACTCCAATAAGAACGGAAAAACAAATATGAGCCAATAATATGAATGGGCAGTTCCCAAGGAAGGGACGCTTGTTTCAAGAGTTTAAGTGTTCAAAAATTCAAATGGCCAATAAACTCATGAAAAGACACTCAACCTAATTAGCAATTAGGAAGTGCAAATTAACACCTTAATAGGTACTGTTTCACACATCAGATTGGAAAAATTGAAGAGTGTGATGTAGCCAAGTGTTGGCAAGGTTGTGTGGCAGTGGGAATTCTTATTTACTGCTGCTGGGATCATAAATTGATCTCATCACTCTTGAACAATTTGGCATTATCTGTGAAAGTTGAACCTGTCCATGCCCTGTGGCTGGCCATTCCACCTCTAGGTATTTATGCTAGAGAATCTTATCCACGAATATATGAAAATACAAGAAGTTCATAGCAACAGCCTTTGTCCTGTTGAAGGAATGTAAACACAGGAAAGTAAACATTCAAATGGGAGCTTATTAACAGAACAGTAGGTGAATATGTTTTGTGATATTAAAAACGAGCTCCCAAGAGTGAAAATGAATGAAGAGACAGGGAAAACTGTGGCTCACAGGCTAAATTCAGTGCACCACCTGCTTTTTGTAAATAAAGTTTTATTGGAACACAGCCACGCTCATTCCTTTATGTGTAGTCTATGACTGCTTTCATGTTACAATGGCAGGGCTGAGTAGTTGCAACCTGAAACTACTCAGCCTTGCCATGTGGCCTGCGAAAGCTAAAACATTTACTCTCTGGATCTTTACAGAAATAGTTTCCTGATCCTTAAACTAGAAAATGTGTATCAACATGCATGTATTGCTCTTGCAAACATAATGCCAAAGGAAAATAATTCAGTTACAGAAGAGTACTTGATTAGGGGTATATCCTTGTATACTTATGGTGTCATTATATTTATGGGAATCATAACACCAAATTCAGAGTAGGGGTTACCTGGGGTACGGTCATGTGACTGGAGAAGGTTATGTTGGTTGAATGTGTGACCGTATTCCCTATGCCTTCTCTCTTTGATTTCATGGGCTGGGGTGACTTCATGGGCATGGGTATTGATTTCATGGGCTGGGGGTGACTACATGAATCAGACAGTTCCCACTCCAAGAAGGTCACTGCAAATTACAGATAGACTTCTAGACAAAGTCATATGCTGTGCTAGTCCATTCTTGCACTGCTCTAAAGAAATACCTGAACTGGGTAATTTATAAAGAAAAGAGGTTTGATTCGCTCAGGGTTCCACAGGCTGTACAGGAAGCATGGCTGGGGAGCCCTTAGGAAACTTACATCATGGTGGATTGTTAAGGGGAAGCAGGCACATCCTACATGGCTGGAGCAGGAGGAAGAGTGAGAAGGGGGAGGTGCTATACACTTTTAAACAACCAGATCTTGTGGGAACGCACTCACTATCACTAGAACAGCAAGGGGGAAATCTGTCCCCATGATCCAGTCATCTCCCACCAGGCCCTTCCTCCAACACTAGGGATTACAATTTGATATGAGGTTTGGTCAGGGACATAGGACCAAATCATATCATATGCTATTATGTTGCATGTGGTCAGCAAGCCACGGCTAGACCAAAGAGGAGCTTTTCGACGAAAACCTGCTGTTCTATGTAGACTTTCAGGACTGGGGAAAGGGAGGCACTTGACTAGGGAATAAAATGTAAGGGGTCACCAAAACACTCAGCAAAGTAAATAATATTTTAAAATTGTAAAGTAATGCAAAAAATAATCCCTGATGAACAAAACATCAAAATTTTAAGTAAATGCAAAATTTGTAGGCCAAGATTAGGGTGAGGCAAGTAAACATTCTAAACAGTGTGAACCAATCTTTATATAAAATGTTGATATTTTCTTTATCGTGGATTTTTTGACTAATTGAGATTTTTAAAATATTGAATTAAAATCTTATTTATCTTGATTTCTGAGAGTTTTTTTTTGACACCTCCTTACATGTTGCACCCTAGGTAAGTGTTTTACATGCTTCATTCTAGTCTCAGCTCTGTTTGTCCATGAAGCTCTGGGTACCTCCAAGGATTCTGTTAAAGACCAAATGAAACCCATTTTTTCACCCACTCAACAAATGTATATGAACATCTCCCATGTGTTAGACATTTGACTGGACACCTTGATAGAGCTAGGAAGGAGGGAAAGTCCCTGTCCTTACACAAGGTCTCCAGGCCGATAGAGGGAGACAGACCACAAGCAAGCTTGTCACACATGAAGTGCTACGGATATGAAGCAGAAGGAGGTGACAGTGATGGAGGTTAAGCATGGGCTCTATTTGCCTAAGTGGTCAAGGAAGAATTCCATGGAAGGGGATGTTGGACTCTAGATCTGAATGATTTGCTGTAATCTATATGCAGATCTGGTGGAAAGAGTAGATATGGCAGGTGCCGAGGTCCTGGGACAATGTGAGATAATATTTGTCAGTCCAGGACAAAATTTAAAGATTTCTACACCCGAGAGCACCTGGTGTTATTACTTGCTTATAATGTTGTTTGGCTTGGTTAATGGACAATGGTAACTGTAAATGGATTTATGATTAAGCCAACAGAACCTACTCTTCTTCCCATGTTGATAACCCAAGTTGAGCCTGAGATGGCTCATGTGGGGATGTGGAATGAAGTTTGAGAGGAGGCCATCTCTTTTCTGCTTCTTCTCATCTTCCCTGTAAGATTGTGTCCATTCTCCCCACATTAAAGTGTCAACCGTGGAGTTGGCCACGGAGAAGGCAGAAGCCTTGCTCCTTGCAGGAAGGACCACATCCACACAAGAGTTAAGAGAGGCTGGGCTGAGATACACCTTGAGCCTATGCTCCTCCTATGCAAAAGACTGTAAGGGGGAGAAGAAATGACACACACGTGCCTGATGTCTCATTCATGTCTTGCGAGAGCAAGCTGTCTGACCTCTCTTGCTGGCAGCAACAATGAGTAGAACAGCAGAAGTGAAAAATTGGAGAGCTGTGGGCTGGTTGGGAATATCAGGGACTTCCCTGTAGAAATTCCTTCCCACCGAGCTGACATTTGAAGCAGTCATTAATCACGAACTGTCAGGTTGGATTTGCCATGCATCGGCTGTTGGGGGAGATGTGCGGGGATGAGATGAACATCTTCAGCATCCAGAGCTGCAGTTTACAGGACACTTGGAGAAGGAAGGGTGGGGGCTCAGGCTTCTGCACCCTGAACCAAGCAAACAAATGCCAACACCTACAGAATATTCTACTCAGCCTCTTTAACTCTTTGCTTATATCATGGTTACAACAAGATGTATGGGGCCTTGAAAAATTAAGATAAAATTTAAAAGTGAAGAAAGCCAGAGCAAAGGGAAATAAGAGTTGATGAGTGTATGGAAGCCAGGGGAAGAGGTAGAAAATGGAAATCTACCTTTGGCCTTGGATGCCCTCTCACTTCATAGCCTTCACATGTGCTGTTCACTCTGCCTGAAACACTCCCTTCATCCTCTTCACCTGGTTAATACCTCTTCATCCCTTGTCACTCATTTTAGGTGGCACTTCCTCTAAGAAGCCCTCTTCAACACTCTAAGGGTGGGTTAGGGCCCTACTCTGTGCTACCACTAGCCTTGTTGTTTCCCCTCACAGGATTAATTGACTCTTTCCTAGTGACCTCCTTTATCTGTGTCCCAGCTAGACTGAAATCCCTGTTTTCATCCCTGTTCGTCAAATAATCCCAGTCCCTGGCACAGGATAGATAAAGAATGGTCAAATAGAACCATTAAAGTTGGGCAGAAAAATCCAACACTGAACTTCCTAGCAGCGAAAGCTAAGAGGGAAACAAGCTATTTCATAGACATATTGCATGTAGATTGAAAAAAAAAAAAGAAACACCTGTTACATGAGATAAGAGTAACTTTTCTGGCTATTGAGGTGTTAGGGAAATTTATTCCATGGATTCTCATAAAAGGGGCACTAAGGCATTTAGCAAAGTATGACTTCAGCAATATTCACACAGCAATTGAGAAGGGATGGGTAGGAGCACTTTTGGAGCATCATCCTGAACTGTAAGCCAAGAGCATGATGTCATTTCTTTCAAAAATGAATCAATTGAAATCAAAGCAGTGCTTTATCCAGGAAGCACGTTTGATGACTGAGTATTATGATGACTTTATCTTCCTCAAATCTTTCTCTTCCTTCCCACTTCATCTTCCCCAACTTCCAGTGCTACTACTGGTTTATGTCGGTCACTTTTACATTAAAAAATTTTTAAATAGTTTTAGAGCGTACAATGGCAGTTTTTTTACATGGATGTATTGCATAGTGATGAAGTCTGGGCTTTTAGTGCAACTACCACCCAAATAGTGTGCCTTATATTCATGAGGTCATTACTCTTTTTTAATTAGTTAATTAATTTTTATTTTTATTTTTTGAGACAGAATCTCCCTCTTTTGCCCAGGCTGGAATGCAGTAGAGTAAACACAGCTCACTGCAGCCTCAACCTCCTGGGCTAAAGCGAACCTCCTACTTCAGCCTCCCATGTAGCCAGGACCACAGGCGTGCATCACCATGCCTGGCTGTTTTTTTTCAATTTTGGTAGAGATGGGGGTCTCACTTTGTTGCCCAGGTTGGTCTCCAATTCCTGGGCTCAAGCGATCCTCCTGCCTTGGCCTCCCAGAGTGCTGGCGTGAACCATTGCACCAGACCTGTAATTACACTTTAAAGAGCATTCCAGTCACCTGGGGAACAGTTAGCTCTGTATCTTCCCCAGTCCACCTCCTGAGGGTCTGACCCAAGAGGAGGTTCTTGGTATGGGGGGTAGGGAGCCCTCCAGCCCCTAGGCAATCCTGATTCAGAGGGTGAGGTTGCTTTAGAGCAGTGGTTCTCACACTTGCAAATGTGTCAGAATGCCCTGTAAGACTTCTCCGAATACAGATTGCTAGACTCCAGCCTTAGAGATTCTGAATCAGTAGGCTTGGCGTGGCCTTGGGGAGGCTGTATTTCTAACATGCTAGAGTGCTAAAGGTGCCTGTCCTGGGACCACACTTTGAGACACATTAGGCCAGAGAACAGCTAGAAGATATCTTCTTCCATGTGCATCTGCTTCCTTGGAAGGGAATTTCTGTTAACAGACAGGGATCAGACACCCTTCCAGGACCATGCATCATGATGACACCCCTGCTGCGGTTCGTGGCCTCTGCATGCCACCCCTTTGTCTCTGGAGGGGGAGAAACAGTAATATAAACATTGCTAAAACGTGTCGTGTCTCGTCAGTGAAAACTCCATTTGACTAGGCTTATTAAAAAGACATCACTATTGCAAAATGATTTAAGTGCTTCATTTGTGAAGGAGCAGAAGAGGAGATGAGGAGCCTCTAAGAATCTGGCTATAAATACTCTTCAAGCATGCAAAATGTGCCTTGATGCAAACTGGGGTTTTTTTATTTTCATAAGAAGGCAGTGCTGGCCTTCTTGTTGGAAGCACCTGTAAGGTTTTGGGACCACATGGGATATAAAATGAGGTGGGGTGTTTTTCCACCCCTCTCTGGAATAGGTTCTGGATTTTCCCCCCAAGACCTTATTTATGGCAAAAGACAGGCCCATGCACTCCTCATTTCTGGCCTCATTAGCCTGAGAGGTTTCGCTTTTGGTAAGAAATTGTGGAGACAATCCACTGACGGGGACTGCAGATGTATGTAGGTCAGAAAGTCTATTTGCAAAGTGCTGAGGGAGTTTGATCATGGGTCATGAGTGTGGCTTCCAGCTTGTCTCTAGCAGGAGGTAGGAAAGTGACTTGTTGGGGTCACATGGTCACTGGTAACTGAGCCCAGACCACATCCCAGGTCTCCTGACTCCTCGCTCCATAGTCCTGCCACAGCATCATGCTTCTGTGAGGAACTGGACTGGTAGCTCCCTAATCCCCGGGGGAAATTAGACAGCCTGGTTTCTTATCTGTCTTAGGCTATTAGGATCTGTTGAGCCTTCACTGTTGGGACATGCTAGGGAGTATCTCCTGGTGGACAGTGGAAGAGACATGGTGGTCATATTCATAGATGGTCCTGGTGGAAGAAACTAAGGCCTCTCAGCTAAAGAACAGCTGGTGTATTCTTTCTGACTGTGTGCCTCAGTTTGCCCATACAAAACCGAGTCCATAATCTCTTCTCTACCTGCCTTGTAACACAGATGAATAATCTGGGCACTGTACAAGGTAAGGAATGAATGCAGTGACCTGACCTTGTATGTCCAGTTTGGAGGGGCAGAGGGTCGAGCCAGCTTGAGTTCCAGATGGCTGACTCTGTACCTTCATTGCTACAAGATTGTGGGCAAATTCTTCAAGTCTCTTAGCCTTTGTTTCATCATCAGTAAAATGGCAATGGTAATCATTACTTCATCTTGATAAGCCTGTGGGGAGAAGGTGCATGTAAAACAGTTATAACACTGCGTGCTATCTAGCAAGCCACATCACCACTATTACCAATAAATATATTTTTTAAATGTTTACCCTCCCCCCAGTAGAGTGAATTCCTCAAAGAAAATGACATATCGTAGACAGTTTTATACCCTTCTGTGTCTAGTACAAAGCATTCAATGCAAATTCAGTGAATGGAGTCATACTGAATTTAATTAGAAAAATTACATTTAATGAGTGATGTTCTGTGCCAGCTGCTGCGATAAGTCCTCTCAGCATTGTGAGCATTTACCTGCATTATCTAATTTTACCTTTAACTGAAACTGTGAAGAAGGTGTTAGTATCCCCATCTCACAGATGAGGCAAGGGAAGCCCAGAGAGCTGAAGTGATTTGTCCTACATCACTCAGCTGGTGAATGGCAGAACTGTGATTTGAACCCAGGGCTGGTCAACTCCAAACAGACTGTGATTGAGGAGAAGCATCTACTCAGGTGGGAAATGGGGTCAGGGAGGGCTTCACGGGGGAGAAGTCATGAAGGATAAGCAGGAGCTGGCCAGGTGACAAGGTGAGGGGACATTCCAGGTACAGGGCACAGCAAGAGCAGAGGCGGAGAGCAGAACCTGGTCTGGCAGGTGCAATTCTGGTGGTTGGAGTGTCTTGTATGGGGATGTGTTTGTGTTTGGGGGGTTGAGGGGTTGCCTATGGGTTAGAGATGAGGCATGAAGCCGGACTGGATCGCAGGGGGTCAGGAGAATCACATTCGAGGTTTGGACTTCATCCTGAAGGGGAGGGCAGGACCAAAGGACATTTTCAAAAAGAGGTATGTGGGTGTCATGATCTTAGGATTATTTCCTCTTTGTGCTGAAACACTTGGGGGGCCCTAATGGCCCTTGAAACCCCCTTATAAAGCCCCTGAAAGGCCATAACTGTCCCTTCATTCTAGAGGGACCCCCAAGGCCAGTGGGTGGTGTGTCACCCTCCTATGCCCAGCTCAGAGGCATAACCTTTCTCCTGGCATTCTTACAAGATTGACCCATTCCCACTGACATCCAGAGCCTATAGAGCCTTCCCATGTATGAATTGCTGTCATGCACTTGTTAGTTCAGTCAACCCGTATTCATTGAGTCCTCAAGAGTCAGTTTGGCAGAGTGGTTAAGTAGCCACCACCTGGCTGGTGTCCTTCGGTGAGCGTTTGCACCTTGGTGCCTCAGTTTCCCCATCTGCCACCTCGAGACAACATCAGTACCCACTTCTCAGCATTTTGAGCATTCTGTGGGCAAACCTGTGCATGTGGTAAGCACTATCTGTGGTGGCGATGGTTATTATTATGGTTATTATATGTTACTTAGTAGCGAGTGGTGAACCCAGCTGGGATGCACAGCAGAGGGCTGGAACTGGTGTCCAACAGGCATCTCTGGGGAACCCGGGAGCCTGCCACTAAGCTGCAGATTTATTTTGAATTTCCCCTGCTGACTGAGGCAGCTCTGGGGGCAGTACCATGAGACTGAAGCCATGGCTTAATCTCCTTGACGAACATCCCACAAGCCAGCTGGTACTGCAGTTGGGCTGGCCCTGTATCTACTGCCTCATTTTGTCTTTTCTTCACTCAGGTTGAAGGGGGTGGGAGTGGGGGCTTCCCTTCCACTGGGCATCCACCTAGGCTCTCTTTGGCCAAAGTGTCCAGCAAGGGTGGTTGAGGTCCAGATCTTACTTGGTCTTTGATCTGTACCCACTGGCTACTTAATCTCAGCTCTCTGGGCTATGGCTGCCTGGTTTGTTCTAGGTGGATAATTGCTTTACTAACCTCCAGATGCCAGAGGGGTGAGGGAGGTCAAAGAAAGGGTCAGATGGTAGATGTGGGACAGAAAATAGTGGGGTTGTTGTGAGCCAGGTGCTGGGAATCAGGCAGCCCAAGCTGGGCTACCTCTGCTACTTACCAGCTATGATCCTAAGCAAATCACTCCCTCTCTCAACTCCCCAGTTTCCTGTTCTGTAAAAGGGGAATAACAAAAATGCCCTTCTCATAAGGTATTTGAAGGGCTTAAGGCAAATGACATATGCCAAATGCTTAGGGCATACCTATCCTCAGCATTTCAAGAGTGTGAGCTGTTTCTCACCCAAGGGGTTATAATGAACAGATCTTTCTGTGCAAATTGCAAAGTATGGGAGGAGAGCAAAAAGTTGCTGTTTCCTGCTGTCTGCAGGTCAGATGGTTTTTGGGCTTGACAGTCTATGAATATAAGAGCTGAGGACAGGATCAAGCCAAGACCCGTGTGTGCCCCTGTGGTTTGTTTGTCTCTCTGACTGGCCAGTGGGGTCCTTCAGAACAGGACCTGGCACACAGTAAGTGCTCACATAGTGCTTGTTGGATCCGTGAAGAACAAGCAACAGTGACGGTCCCAAGGACCCCAGGTGTGTCCTCCAGCATTTAACATCCGTGAAATCCCAGTTACTCACTGCTCGCCCAAGCTGCAAATGAGGCCAGTGCACAGGATATTTTTTTTTCTGTTCCACTCCATACAAAATATACAACAAATTTATTAATTCCTGTCCCCTTCTCTCTGGCAGGCCCTTGGAGTAATTGTCCCTCAATAGAAAGAATATTTCTGTTGGTTTGGCCAAGTGGTAGATCCGGAGAGGTTTTCAAGATAATTTCTGGTTAATTGGTTCTTGAGTAATCTGCAAGGACTCTTCTGGGTTTGCAAACCAGACTCCCCCCTTCATTAAATTGGTTTTCAATTTGCAATCGCCTGACAGCTCTGAGCATGGTGCCTGCTCCTCACCTCCATCCAAAGCCCCTGTGCCCCATGGTGTGGGAAGGGATAGGGATTTATGGGGACAGGGGAAGGTCAGGGGCACCTTGTCTCTGAGAAAAACATGTGTCATTTCCCCCAATTTGAAAAGACTAATTGTCCTTTGGGCTCCAGACTTTGGGTTCTGTGAAACTCAAAATTAATGCATCAAATTAATTGTGTGGTCCCCTTGCTCAGGCCGGTTAGCATAAATTAAATTTCACACTAATTGGCTAAGGTGGAGAGAACACAGTCCTGGTGCTTGGAATTAATGCTAATTTCAAGGATGGTGTTTGGGGTGTGACCTGGGGCATTCCTGGCTTGCACCTCCCTGTATTGTGTGGCCAGTGCAAATCAGCACTCTTGCAGCAAGAATGATTTTGCACAGCCTTAAGCAAATCTAACCCCTTCAAATCCAAGTGTGAGGCCAAAATTAGGAGGAGACCCTGGCAGTTTCTATGGCAGTAATTCCTAAATTTTTTTGTTCATAAAAATCACCCTGGAGCAGGTTGAAATGTAGATTCCTGAATTATGCTTTAGAGATCCTGGTTTGGGGGTCTGAGAGTCCTATAATTTGCATTTTCTTTTATTTTTTTAAGAGTCAGGGTCTCACTCTGTCACTCAGGCTGGAGTGCAGTGGTGTGATCATAGCTGCTGCAGCCTAAACCCCTGGGATCAAGTGATCCTCCTGCCTCAGCTTCCAGAGCAGCTGGGACTATAGGCACACACCATCTCGGCTGGTTTATTTTTAAAAACTTTTTAAAGCCAGGGTCTTGCTATGTTGCCCAGGCTGGTCTTGAACTCCTGGCCTCAAGTGATCCTCCTACCTCAGCCTGTCAAAGCACTGGGATTACAAACATGAGCTATCATGCTCTGCCCTAGAATTTGCATTTTAACAACCATCTGAGGTCATTGCCACATAAGTACTTCCCTGGTGCACGGTGTAAGGAACAGCAAGAGAAAGCTCCCATGCTGGAGACAACCAGGAACACCCTAGGAGAGTCCCTCATTAATTAACTGGAGGTCCTGACTTGGACCTGACTGGTCTGAGTTCAAATCTCAGTTCTGCCTTTTACATGTGATGTGACTTTGCAGTGCTTCCCCCAAGCCTTCTTTCTCCTCTGCGTCTATTGAAATGTGCATTTTGGTCTCAGCAGTCGGTGATGCGGTCAACAGGGTGGGAGGCAGATGGGCTGGAGAAGTGAAACAGATGGGGAGCATGGAATGCACAGAGCAGCCTCAGATTTTGTTCACTCTTTTTGAAAGATGTTTTGTTTTCTGATTACAAAATCAGTTAAAAAATCAACAGTACAGAAATGCATCACAAGAAAATTGGAGTTCCCTGTGAGCCCATCCTTCCAGGAAAAAAAAAAAAATCTCAATTAACAGTTTGGGAGTGCTTTGTTCTGTGCAAACAAAAATGGGATTACACCAAACATTCTATTCTGGAAATTTGCCTTTTTTTCCCCTTTGGCAATATATCTTGGGGATATATTTTTTTTATGTCAGAACATAGATCTGCGTCTTCCTTCTTCATGGGACAGCTGAATAAATTTTGAGCCTGCCTAAGCTGACAGTACCGAGAGAGGCTAGCTCGGGAAGGGCAGCTACGTTGCTCATTGTAAGAACCATTTACCTTCTCAGTAAAGATAATGCAGAGTCGCCTCTAAATATCAGTCATGATGCAGAGGGTCCGATGAAAGAGTGAGGCATTCTAACATCTTCACATGCAAAATTTACAGCAGGAGGACATGTGACCGCACCCAATTCAATGCATTTTACAGCTCAGGTGACCAAGGCTCCAGAGCAGGAGGGAATGTCCAAGGTGTTAGTTGTTGAGTCTGGACTCGAACCTTGCACCCTACCTCTTTCTTTTTTTTTTTTTACAATTCTGCTGCCTTCCATAAGAGGTAGCCTCAGTTTTATGAGCTGCCCTTCTCCTACATAGGGTTGTTTCTCTGCCTCTTAGCCATAAACACTCCACTAATATATTTCTCCCGTTACGTACTCTGCCATATCCTCAAACCCTGAACGCTTCATTTTGGAACGATAATGCCACAGAAGCCCTGCTCATTTGGCATCGGTGGCTGGTCAGTTAATCAGAAAAAAAAACCAGTGCAGGTGGGAATTCATTTAAAAATTCCTATTTTAAAATTAATTACATGTGTAATTTAAATCACTGCATTTCTGAGGCAGGACCCATCCATTTCTTTCTTTCTTAAACCACGCTCCTAATATACAACCGTATGATTTCCAATTTTGGCTTCTTTAAAACAGAGCAAATGGCAAAGTAATTTGAATACAAAAACCTAATTTTTTACTTCAAGTTTCTTTTTAGTTGTTGCAACAACACCTATTTGGCAGCATTTTAAAAAGCAGCTTACCTTTATTAATTCCTTCCAAGGCATTCAACCTAGTTTTCATGGAAACTCTGTCCAGCCATATTTTATAAGTTTATGTAGTAGCTAACTGAATAGATAGCTATGGTAAAAATGCAATAGGCAAAAACAGTTTGGGAGCACACACATGTGATACTGGATGTGCATGCCTGTCACCTGCTAGAGGCAGATAGGCCATGGGGCCATTGTAGAGAGGTGGTCTGGTGGAGAGCATTCTGGTGCAGTGGGCATCCATCAGTGTGTCTTACTGAGGGACAGTGTTGGTACATCCAGTGAGATGATTTGCTAAAAGCTGGTTACGAAGAGATTCCACTAAAATGGCCATTTTTAAAACTGAGCACTTACTACGTGCCAGGCACCGTGCTAAGCTTTCAATGGATTATCTCCTTGAATCCTCAAAAATAATGATGTATGTTGTTTTCCCCCCTTTAAAGCTGAGAAAACTGAGAACCAGCAAGGCATCCTGCTTGGTGTAAAATCACACAGCTAGTGAGTGTTGAACCACATCAAGACCAATAAAATTCTGAAGTCCATCCTCTTAACGAGTTGATTATACTCAAGGGTTGCTTTCCCATGATAGTGATTTGTCCAAAGGCGATCCTGTGCATGGGGAGAGAAGGGTTGGTGGCTCCATCGAGTGACCGTTCCTTGATCACCCCATTCCCCATCTCAGATTGCTGACTTGACCTCTGACCTTGCCGATGAGCGCTTCAAAGGTGATGTGGCCTGCCAGGTGCTGGAGAGTGAGCGGGCAGAGCGGCTACAGGCCTTCCGGGAGGTCCAGGAGCTCAAGGTGAGTGGTCAGGGGTGGCCAGGGGTGGCTGAACACGGTGGCTAAAAATGGTTGGGTCTGCTCCCCGACCCTCTCATTGGAGATCAGTAAGCTTAAGCAAGATGCACAGGTTGACTGACTGCTGGGCTCAAGGTCCTGGGGGACACTTAGGTCTCCTAAGGCTTGGCCTTGGGGGTGTTATGGGTGGATAGTCCCTGGCTAGAGAGGCGAATAGGAGAGGATTGTGCAGAAGGTGGACAGTCTTTGGCCTTGGAGGTGATTTGGGTGAGAAATATGCCGAAGGTGGCTAGCCCATGGTCCTGGATTCTGCATGGCTCAGGGCTGTGCAGAGGGTGGCCAATCCGAGCCTTGGAAGCACTTCATGGGTAAGATGACCAGCCCATGTCTTCTGTCCAGCTCTAGTTTAGACCTTGAGCCCTTTCTTCTAGAGCAAGCATGAACAAGTCCAGAAAAAACTGGGAGATGTGAATAAACAGTTGGAAGAAGCCCAGCAGAAAATTCAGTTGAATGACTTGGAAAGGAATCCCACTGGAGGAGGTGAGCAGCCTGGGACCCTTGGGGCTGGAAGGTGATGGACAAAGTTGTCTTTCCCATTTATTCAGTCACTCATAGAGCACTTTTTAGGTGCTAGATATTGCATGAGGGGCTGCGACTTTGGCAGAGCAAACAGGCACAGCGTACTCTCTTGGAGCTTACAGTCTAATGGAATAAGCAGATATTAATCAGATAATCCAACAATATCCCAGGTAACAAATTATCTGTATGATATGTGCTATTTAGTTTTAATGCAAAGAATGATTTTTAAATAGTGGCTTTATGGGCAAGGTACTTTTATGTTTATGTGAATATTTTAAAAATAAATTTTGAGAGGCCTGGCGTGGTGGCTCACACCTATAATCCTAGCACTTTGGGAAGCTGAAGTGGGAGGAGTGCTTGAGCTCAGGAGTTCAAGACCAGCCTGGGCAACATAGTGAGACCCCATTTCTACAAAAAATTTAAAAAATTAGCCTGGTGTGGTGGCATGCACCTGAAGTCCCAGCTACTTGGGAGGCTGAGGTAGGAGGATCACTTAAGCCTGGGAGACCTAGGCTGCATTTCAGCCTGGGCTACAGAGCAAGACCCTGTCTCAAAAAAATAAAAGCAAAAAGAAAACGTAAATTTTGAGGAAGGCTGTCTAGTGGTTAAAAGTTGGAACCTATGAAGTTGTATTTCTGGATTTGGATTTTGGGGCAAAGAAATTGCTGTGCCTCAGTTTCTTCCTCTTTCAAATGGAGATTGTCTTGGATAATTGATAGAAAATGTTTAGCCACATGTATAGAATAGAGTGATGAATAGCTAATAGCTACTTTACCATTATTATGAGGAATGATGAGATCACAGTTCATCCTTATAGCAACCTGTGGAACAGAAACTACTGCTCTCCCCATTCAAAGAGGGTAAAGCTGTGTCAGGCGCACAACAGTTACCAAATGGCGAGAAGGCGAGAGGACTCTTGGTTTTACCCAGGGATATTATACATTTGTTCAGTAGTGCCAGGAGTTTCTGGAGGTGTCCTTCTTATACAGTTTCCTGGAGACCTCGTGATTGGATGGCATGGTGACATCTTTGCCACCTTGTCACCGTGCCTCTTACTCTCCCCAGCCTAATGGAGTTGGGTGAGAAGGATATCCAGTGGGTCAGCTTCTATAAAATGTCAGCATTATTCCCTCCGTGTGTCCAGAGAATTTGTGCCCTTGAGATGTCCAGGGGAATGGAGATCAGGGGTCTGTGGAAAAGAGACAATGAGTATTTATTTTCTGTTTCATTCTTGTTCTTGTTATCCTGGCTACCCCCGTGGCAGGCATTTAGCAGGGAGGTTAATACAGATGAGTTTGAGGCTCTCTTATAAGCGAGACCCAACAAGGTAGGGTACACATAGAGAGAGGGGAACATGTTGGTATAAAATCAGTAGTGTGGGACAGTCTCTGGCCTTGGAGGTAATTTCTATAAAATCCCCAGAGGGGCGCCAGTGTCAGTTCCATCTGCGTGAAATTCATGTCTAAATAATGCTTCCCAGTTTGTTTTCCTCTGTTAAGATTGGGGTGTTAATGAGAGGGGGACATGTGCTTAGCTCATGGGCACATTAGTCACAATGCTATATAGGCTCTCAGCTCTGGATGCTCATTCCAAGAAGCCAACCCACAAATATTTTGTTTTTCATTATGAAAGTAATACATACTCATTATAGAAAATGTCTAAAATATAGGAAATTTGAAAGAAGCAGTAAAACATTTTAATCATATCATCGCAGTGGTACCACAACCACCTCTATGGTTCAAGATGGAGTATGAATTATTTAAAAAAATATGTTTTCCTTTATGCATGGCTAAATATTTAAAGAGAACCTTTTGTGATATGCACTCAGCGTGGAGCTGGACACTGTGGGGGTTACAGAGGGATTTTAATTGGGCCCTGCTCTCAAGATATTCACGATATAAATGGGGATATCAGGTAAACTCAGGAAAACATGTTGATTAAGGGTGGCACTCATGGGCAGGGAGGTTGAAGGTAGAGATGAGCCTTGAAGGAGAACAGTTTCCCCTCTTGTTCGTGTTGCCCACTCATGCCACTTGCTCTATAGCACATCATAGCACAGAGTACATGGGAAGCTGCAGAAATGCTTTCTGCTGCTGCTTCTTACTTTTGCAGTCCATGCTGCTTGTGATTGTGAGGCTTTTCCTGGTGGAGAGATAGTGTGCTTTTCCCATCATGATGTTTTTACCTTGGTGGAAGCTTGAACAAGCTTTAACTCTTTATTATTATACCATCCGTTATTTGGTTAATGATGTAGAAATCTCTATTGAGGTCACCTCTTTCAAGAACTTAATCCTACCATCCATCCATCTATCCATCCATCCACCCATCCACCCATCCACCCATCCACCCATCCACCCATCCATCCATTTATCCATCTGCCCATCTACTCACCCACCTATCCATATACCCTACCACTTATTTATATATCAATCCATGCATTCATCCACCCATGCACCCACTTCTCTGTCTACACTAACATCCATCCATCCATCCATCCATCCATTATTCCACCTATCCAACCAACTATTTATCCATTAATCCTCCACCCTATCATCTAGTCAAACGTCCTATCCATTCAACTATCCACCTTTCCAGTGGAAGTTATTGAGCATTTACTATATGCTAGGCATTATAGCATATTCTAGGAACACAATGATGAACAAAACAAGTTTGTTGTCTTATTAATTTTGGTTCTCTTCTGGATTTCTATAAGCTTCTTTATGAAAGCCCTGATCATACTAGGCTTCAGCTGTCTTTTTACTTGTTTCCCTTGCTTGATTATTCTGGAAGGTGGGTGGATATGGCTTCTTATTCATTTCATTATCTTGTACAAAGTAGTGTGCTCAATGAGTGTGTGAATGGATGGATGGAAGGATGGATGGATGGATGATAGATGAATAAGTGGGTGGTCTCTATCTTTGGTCATCCACTTGTGGAATGTTTTCCACAACTTCATTAACTTAATGGGCATTATTCTATTATTCAGATAGTCAAAAGATAAGACATCTTAGCCTAAAATATTCCATTCTAATCAGTCAAACAGTTTTAATCAAACCAGCCAATAATTTTTTTGAGATGTTTACCAAATCAAGGGATTTGGTATCCATCTTATCTTGTGGAGACATCTTCTGAACAGTTTAGTAGAGTCTTGAATTATTGCTAATTTACTCATTTGTTAATTGCACCAACAGCCAATGATTATATACTCTGTACAACCCAATAAAGTTGGCCAGTAGGATGACTCTTTTTATCTGATTATTGTATTAGGTTCATTAAGCAATCCATGAGCTTGTATCAACATGTAGGGGAATCTGCTTGTAGGGAACTCTTCCAGAGGGTGTGAAGGACTCACAGATGACTGAAACAGCTCCCTTGCCCTTAAGGATTATGAAATTTCCTTGGAAAAGGGAAGATATGAATACACTTATAGAGACAACTAAACAGTATAAGGCAACCAATCTTAGAAGAGTGAGCACTCAAGAACTTTAGACAGTTGGAGGTGGTCAGGACAGGCTGCCTGGAGGAAGCGTTATTTAAAACTCAGAGTTAAAGCATAGTTTCTTGGTCCAAGGTTGAGGCTCAAGGGCTCTGTGAATATTGTGAAATTGCATGCCAAGAGCCAAGAAAGTGGAGGAGAGCCACTCACACTCTTGCCTTACACTCATTTGGCCTCTTATCCTGGTCTCCCTGACTCCGTTAAACAGCAGACGAGTGGCAGATGCGCTTCGACTGTGCTCAGATGGAGAACGAGTTCCTCAGAAAGCGTCTGCAGCAATGCGAGGAGAGGCTGGACTCGGAGCTGACAGCCAGGAAAGAGCTGGAGCAAAAGGTAAGATGTGGGGATAGTCTGGGCCACAGAAGTGTTAGAGAGTGGGCAGGCTCTCACCTCCACTGTGGGTGATCGAGGTATTAGCTGAGCCTGAAGAGGGAGGAAGAGGACACAAACCCCTTAAGGTTTTTCCATCTCCACTATTATTACAAATGCTGGTCACTGTGAGACATGAAAAATATTGTCTGTACATGTGGATCTTCTATCCAGAGACTGCTCTGTGGTGTAAAGAACATGGATATTAACTCAGGATATCTGAGTTCCAGTTCCATTTCTACGTGAACCTTGTGGAAGTCACTTTAACTCATGTTTCTTATCTATTACATAATTATCAGCGGTCTCAAAACCTTCACATTTCCCTGTTGCCTCTGTTCTAATCTGCTACCTTCATCTCTCATCCAGACCAAAGCAATAGCCTCCTAGCTGTGCTCCTTGCCTCTGGCCTCTCCTCTCAACCACCTGCCACACTGCAGCCAAGGAATGTTTCAGGGTCTCTTTCAGATTGTTCTGTGATCATAAAGTATGCTGACTCTCATGTTGGATTTTTTTCCTTGTGTGTTTTGTAAATTTCGTTTTTGAGCTCATCTTCAACAGGTTTCTGTGCTCCTCCCCCAGTAGTCACAGGTGTTCTGCATTGTGGAATGTTTTTTTTTTTTTCCGCTCCCAGTGAATTTTTGTGTGTGTATTTAGCTATTTTTTATTGTGAGTTCACCTTCAGCAGGAGATTTAATTTTTTTAACATTCTGTTGACTTTGATGGGAGCCCTTTGATAACAGGGTCGTGGGTGTGTTCTGCTAGAAGAAACCCTTTTTCACTTTCTTTGGCAGCAGTCCTTGAGATAATGCTAAATTCTTGGTCTCAGATGTTTTGCGGCATGTAAAAATTGTCAATTGGATCTCTAAACCCACATGAGGCTTAGACCTGGGGTTTAAAATTCTTACGAGAGTACTTCTTGCCCCACCTAGATCCAGGGTGAAAGCAAGCTTTCTTACCACCTTCCAGGCCAGCAGGTGGAGCTTTTATTTTCTCTTCTCACTGAGGTGCATGCAGTTCTTTGAGGGGTTTGTCAATGCAACGGTCTTCATTCCAACTCTTCACCTTCCATGAGCCCAGAGCCTTGTCTCCTGTCTCTGTCTGGGCATTGAAACACAAACCTCTATCCTAAAGGACACTTCTGGATCTATCAACTGCTCTTCCCCCTCATCCTGGCCGCCATAATATTAGTATGTACCATTACTGTTAGGGCTTTGTGTCCTCTGCATTTCTGATATCCTGAAATTTCCTTCTTTCTTGAAGGTAACATTACAAATCTAATGCAATCTTATCTATATATAATATATTTTTATCTAGCCTTTCTAGATGAATGTACAGATAGTTTGGTCTCTCTGCTTGTCTTCTGTGGCCTCCAACTATCCCTCGTCTACATTCTAACCAGTTCACACTCTAACAAATGGTGTGCTAGTAAATGGCTCCCTGGAAAAAAACAAAAAGCCCTGATTTGTAGCACTTGCCAATTTCCCTGGTGTAAATACTCCCACCATGGCCAATTTCAAACTACCATTGTGATGTCACTAACATGGAATTTGAAAGGGATGCACAGAATTAGCTCTGTGCATCTCTTTCAAGTCGGTACCAGCTGACTCTGGCACACCACTGATTCCAGCCACACTCAGTTTTTTTTCTTCTCCTTCCAAAAATGCCTGATTCTTTCTCACCTCTGGGACTTTGCATGTGCTATTTCTTCTTCCCCGAGCAATCTTTCTTTTTCTCTCCTGCCTAGATATCTCCAACTATTCTTAAGATCTTAGCTTAAATGTCACTCTCTCCAGAAAGTCTTTGCTGACGCAGATTGGGTTGGGAGTCCCTGAGTTGTCTTCCAAAACATAGGCCTCATCATGTTGTATTGTAATTACCTACTCACTTCATAGTCTCTCCCATTCGATATCGGAGCCATAGGGTGGAGGTTATATTTGTGTATCTATTCTATTCTCAACGTGAGCAAAAAGTATCATGTGATTGCCTTGCAGAGGTGGGCCTGGGTGAGATCACATGGGATTTTATAAACAATGGAAGTGACTCTTGATATCCTCTATGCTGATGGTGATGATTTTAGTGGTCGCTTTCAAGGTGAACATTGCATCGTGGTCCTCAAGAGACATCTTGAACCATAGATAAACACAGATGGACAACTGCAGGAAAGCAGCCCAGTTCTTTAATAACAAATTATAAAGTTGAGTCAGTTTCCCTGATGAAGGGGGATATTTATGCTACATTAAAAAGTAATAAAACAGCAACCTTTTCTGAGCAGCAGAATATAAGAGAACATCCCATTTGCCTTCAAATACTGAATTTAGAATTACAGGCTTCATTAACTCAGAGTTTTGCTTATTTAAAGCAATTTTTTAATGAGGCCATTTCTTCAAAGCCAGTGTGCTGAGTTGCGTGCTCTTTCCCAGATCTAAACTAGGACATTTGGGAGAGTGTTTCCTGGAGGAAGATGCAAGAGTCTTGACTTTTGTTTGTTTAAGGCCGTGTGCATTCTGGTATTAATTCAGTCCATGCAAAGTGCCATTTGCTGCTTTAACCTTTAAGGCTTGTCACTTGGGATTCCGGGTCAGATTTTCTAGGTATGTCATTTTGGCTGCTCTGTGGCTAATCCTCACATATCCCTTCTGATCATGTCGGCTGGTGGGGATATGAGTTATCCGGTGGCTCAGGGGTCATCAAGTTGAGGCAGGGTAGGTAAAGTCTGTGGGTGCATTGGCTGGAGGTTTATTGAGCAAAAGTAAAATCAACCTTAAGAGATTGATGGAATTATCCCCACTTTACCTCTGAGCAAACTGAGGCTCAGAAAAGTAGCTTCCTGGAGGTGACCCTGGAGGAAGGTAGTCAAGACAGGGTCTCCCCATTCCAGCATCTGCTGTTTTCTCATTACACACCTTGGAAATAGCAACTCCTTGAAATACAAAGTAAAAAGCTCGTTCCATGCCCACAGAGCCGGGTAATTCATTCTATTACTCTTACAGCTTGGGGAGTTGCAAAGTGCTTATGACGGGGCCAAGAAGATGGCTCACCAACTGAAGAGGAAGTGCCACCATCTTACCTGTGACCTTGAGGATACCTGCGTCCTGCTAGAGAACCAACAAAGTCGAAACCATGAGCTGGAGAAGAAGCAGAAGAAGTGAGTTGCATCTCTCACCATCACCTGGGCTGCCAGGGTGGGCTACATTGGAGCTGGCGTTTTCTGGGGTATCCAGGTTCTCCTAACTCCCTCACTTCAACTCCCTTGTTTTGCTCTAATCTTCCTCCCTGTCCCGTCACACCTTATTCCTGTATGGTTCTCCCAAGAATCCAGCAAGAAATTATTCTTTTCTCTTAGCCAGCCTCAACTATGTGGCCAATTGATCTTGTGACCTTGGGGAACTTTCTTTGCCTTTCTGGGCCTTAACATCCCCATTTGTCGAGTGAAGGGTTTGTTGCAGACGGTCAAGACAGCATGGCGATTAGGAGCCCAGGCATTGATATAAAAGTCATCTCATTCAAGTCCTAAAGGTGCCTCTTTCTAGATGTGTGACCTTGAGCAGGTCATTCAGTCCTTCCCAGCCAGATTCCTTATCCGTAGGTTGGTGATAAGATCGCCCCCTTGTGCTGAGGACTAAATGATGCAGTCAGTACATCTAAGTGGACTGATCCTGGTTCCTCTTCCTGTTGGTGAAAATTGGGCTAGAGAATAAGGAGGAGGCCAAAATATGGCCTTCTCATTTAGGACTTGGACTCTCAGATCACGTGAGCCATTCTGGCAGAGACTGGGCCTTGTGCACCAGCAAGATGCTAATCTTGAATCTGCACGGTGTGGTTCCCATATTTGCATTCCCTTTGGGTTGCTGTTACAGTGAGGCGATGGTGGAGCCTGGATTTGTACCCAGATTCGCACACTCATAGGCTTCTTCATGCAAAACCTCAGAACCTGTGATGCTTGGACGCCTTGGCTGTGTCTAAAGTTCTCCAGCTCACTCGGTGAGGGGAAAGGTATACAGGGGTCCTGTTTTGAGCCAGCCAAGTCCTAATGGAGATGTCATACTAGGCAAATAGGTGGGAAGCAGCCTCTTTTAGAAGGCCCATGATAAAATACAGAAAAATGTTCCTGTGTGAGCCAAGATGTGAATTTGTGGAAACTGCCTCCTTTCCAAGAAGTAGGAAGGAGAATTATATTTCCATGGAGGTGGCATAGATTTTGAACTTGATCTGCATTAAATATTATTTATCTTATTTATCCTACAGCTTTCCTGAGCTGGCTTCTTCATCTGACAAAGGTCTTTGGGGGATTGTTAGCGTGCTCTGCATCCCCAAAATAAGAAAGATTTATTTTTTGTTTATTGATATCTCACTCTGTTCCCCTTTCCACCTCCCTGTGGGTGCTCTGGCTGAACCTTACCCCTGCAGTGGGGAAAATGGCTTGGCTCCATCTTGGCCACCTGCTGTGTGTCCTTGGCAAATAACACCACCTCTCTGGGCCAGAGAGTGACTGATGGTTCAGATGGTGCAGAAGTCTCAGTTTAACAGGTCATCTGATCTGGAAGAATGGCTCTGACATATACCCCTGTCTGTGAAACAAGAGGTTGGGACTCCATCATTCCCCAAGTTTCTCCCAGCTGTGACCCTCTTGGCCCCCAACTATGGGTTCTACTCCTGTTCTGAGAGGCCTAACTGAGGGTTTCAACTCTCTGATGAGTAAGGGGCCAGCCTCTGGAGTTTGTGCAGCCAGAAAATTCCATCTGTCTGGTCTTTCCTTTTCCCTTTGGACAGAATCCCTCATTCCAGGCACTTATGAATCTCCCCAGGATACCCCCCAAGCAAAGTTCCTATTTCTTCATATTTGCATGCCCTCCTCTCAAAACTTAGCTTTCTTGTGATGCCCTCTGCTCTGTTACCATCTCTAGGCAGAAGCTAATTTATGTTTTGATGCCAATTGCAGATAGCAGGCATTACCTTTCCAGGTAGATTAGCATTTTATGTCTCAGTCTAACTGTGGAAGTTCAGGCAGAATGACTATGGTGAAGGGAAAATTTAGAAGTCAGTAATACTTCCTTGCATCTCTCGATGCTTAATCGAAATGTAGATGCAGCTGCCTCCTGAGTTTGCTGGGCCCAGGATAGAGTGATGCCTCCACATTGGTAGAGTTCTCTGTTTCCCGCTTTGGCTTCTAAGTTCAGAGTGGCCTGGGATGGTTTCATTTTGGTTGGATTGTTTGTGGCATGATTACCCTATGGGTCACAAAGCTTGGTTCTGAGGGCTGATGAAATTCCGGGTAAGCCCTGTGCTAGACTCACTGATTCCCACACTCAAGGGTGGCTGGACCCAAGGCCCTTTCTTAACAGATTGAAGGTTGTGTGCAAACCTATCTGGCCTCAGGCAATTGGCTGGTCAGTGTGGGCTGTTTGCTAGGAGCTGGTGTTTGTAGTAGCTATTCTTTGGCATCAAGTGGCCTGTTAAGTCAAGGACTCCTCTGCACCATCAGTTACTGTCTGGTCCCTACTGTCTTACCTCACCTGTCCCAGGAATGGACAGGTAGATGGGGGACTAGCTAAGACATTAGGGAAGCCCAAGTCCATTTCTACCACTTTGGAATTTGGGGCTGAATCACTCCTCCTCTCCGAGTGATTTCAGTTTCCTCCTCAGTGAATGGATCGAATAACATGTTTCTTGCTGAACTGTTGTAAGGACGACATGGATCCCAGCCCAGGACCTGACACACTGGGACTGCTGGATCATCACCCTCATCACAATGCTTCCATTCAGAGGCAGCAAATAGTGCCCCTTGAATGATGTCACCAACAGCCAATCAGAAAGCTCCTGAGCTGTTCCAACAGGAGGGCTCCATTATGATTGGGTCTCTCAGAAGTCTGAGACTTTGAATGATAGTCTAGTATTAAGGAACACTGGATAGTCTTATAATAAGCGAGACTTTCTTGCCACCAAAGGCCAAACCCCATGCCCACTTCTGCCATATCAAGATCTCTGGAACAATGGGACTTCCTGTTTGGGCCAAGGGGAAGTGACTGAAAGTCACACCTTACTGAGGCTTGGCAAAGCCTTCTCTATCGGTTTCCTCACCTGTGATACTGCCAGGAGGCTGAGACAACTGAACAGAGTGACATAACATCCAGGAGGGGCTTCTCACCCAGTGGTCATCACAGAAGGGCAGGAGGGCCCCTAACAAGGCATTAATTCCCTGGATGACTTTCAGTAGGACTGACTAGTCTTTGTGTTTTCTGCTTGAGAAACAAATGAGGACAAGAATGTATAAATGTCCATCATTTTATTGATAATCAGCATGCTTTAGTATGGCATATGAGAGTATAAGCCAGACAATATGTTAAAATATGAAATGTAGAATATCCTCATTCTACTTACATCCATTCGTTTGTTCATTGGTCAGGAAATATTGGAAGTCAAATGGGGCCTGGTAGATTTAAGGGGCCTTGACATATGCTGGCAGACCAGATAGATCAGGTTTTTGGGTTGGTTTTTTTTTTTTTTTTTTTTTTTTGAGACAAGGTCTTGCTCTGTCACCCAGACTGGAGTGCAGTGGCACAATCATGGCTCACTGCAGCCTTGGCCTCCTGGGCTCAAGGGATCCTCCCACCTCAGCCTCCAGAGTAGCTGGGATTACAAGTGCATGCCACGATGCCCAGGTAATTTTAAATTTTAAATTTTTAAAGTTTAAAAATTTTAAAAATAGAGATGGGGTCTCACTTTGTTGACCAGGCTGGTCTTTAACTCCTGGCCCCAAGTGATCCTCCTTCCTCGGCCTCTCAAAGTGTTGGGATTACAGGCGTGAGCCACCATGCCTGGCCACCTTTAAAATATATCCTTTATTCTATATCTGTATATAGTTTTATTCTATTTTTATTCCTGTCCATATATTTTTATTAGATTTTAGGGTTAGCATTTAGATTAGCATTTTAGTAGGGAGATGATGGGGGCAGCAGAAGTCTCAGTCTAACAGTGGAAATTCAGGCAGAATGACTATGGTGAGGGAGAAATCTAGAATTATAAGTATATCGAATAGTTCTGTGGCAAGTCTACCTCAACCCTAAAAATTGCTCTGTGGTTTTTCAGATTCCCACCCTACATCCACAGCCTTACGTAAAAGCATTGAGAAAAACTTCCAACTTCTCATACTTTCTCTATCTCTCTTCTTCCTTTTGCTCTCTTTCTAATGGTTCTTGGGAAACTAGCGGCCTCTCTGCAGCCCCTCCCTGCCCCTGCCTCAATCACTCCCCTGCCCACCTGCCTACGGGGCCCTGACACGTGCTCTGCTTTGCACAGGTTTGACCTGCAGCTGGCCCAGGCCCTAGGTGAGTCAGTGTTTGAGAAGGGTCTCCGTGAGAAAGTGACCCAGGAGAACACCAGTGTCCGGTGGGAGCTAGGCCAGCTTCAGCAGCAGCTGAAGGTAAGGGATGGGGGACACAGAGCTATCTTGGCTCTTGGTGGCTAAATCTCGGGAAACTGCATCGTGCACCTGCTGCAAATGGTGACAGAGAGAAAACTTCACAAGGGTATCCTGGTCTGTCAAGCAGCTGAATCCCAGTGTGTCTTAATAAAATAGCAAATGGTGGCTGGTAAATTGATAATCAGACTTTGAGCAAGATTGATGTCTTGATCTTGCTTCAGTTACCTGCACAGGTTCCGAGGTGCTTACCTGGGAGGTATAACAGGCTCAGCAGAGAATGAGTTAGCTATAACCTTGTCCAGGAGCAATGTCCTGGTCCAAGCAGGCTCCAATGCAGAGAGATTTTACTAAAATACAACACGGGTGCCTCACTCAGCTGCTCCTCATCCTTTTGTGGTTCTCTACTACTCGCAGGAGAACCTCTGAGCGCTTTAGCCTGGCGTTCAACTCCTTCACGATCTGGCCCAAAGTTATTTGATCCTGGAGCTGACTTTGTAACCTGGAAGAGTCATTTCTGAGCACTTTGCCTCCCTGCTCCAACATCTCAATCCCAGCCTCAGACGGCACACAGGGAAGCTTTAGCTGTGTGCCTCCACTTCCCTTACAAATGGGGTCAACCCTTCCTGTAGGTGCTCTGAGATCGAACTCTAGGGACAATTTATTCCAATCCTACCTCCCACCCCCAACTCCATGCCTGTAGGAGCTATACCAAGAGCAGCCCTTGCTGGTGTCCCACAGGGGGCGCTGTGAGGGACGGTGGGGTCCAGGTGGAAATGGCAGGCATTGGAAAGTGGAAAACGCCACTCCAGCCCCAGTTGGTTGTAGAGGTATCCCTGGGGGAGGAGGGAGGCATACTCATGTGACTCCAGATCTCTGTCCTCTTTGTCTCTGTAGCAAAAGGAGCAGGAAGCCTCACAGCTGAAGCAGCAGGTGGAGATGCTACAGGACCATAAACGGGAGCTGCTGGGGTCACCCTCTCTGGGGGAAAATTGCGTTGCTGGCTTGAAGGAGAGGCTCTGGAAGTTGGAATCCAGCGCCCTTGAGCAACAGAAAATCCAGAGCCAGCAGGAAAACACCATCAAGCAGCTGGAGCAGGTAGGAAAGCCCTGTCTCAGGGCAACACCCTGTCCCATGTCTCCAATGCAGAGTGATGTTATTAAAATACAATGTGGGTGCCTCACTTGGCTGCTCCTCATCCTTCAATGGCTCCCTATTATCCCAGGGAACCTTTAAGCTCCTAAGTCTGACATTCAGATCCTTCCTGATCCAGCTCTCCCCTGCAAGGTTCAGTGTCACCTCCTCAGAGAAGCCTGCCTTAATCATCTTGCAAATAGCTCCCACTAGGTTGCATTCATTTCCCATCTCCTTAGCTGGGTTGCTTTACTCTCTGGTACCTGCCATCGTATTAGATAGTATTTTTTAAAAGTTTGCTTTATGCCTTTCTCTCTCATTAACATATAAGCTTCATGAAGTCAGATTGTTTTTCTCTTTCTCTTGCTTCTTAGTGCAATCCTAGAGCCTAGAATGAGGCCAGGTACATAGCTGATGCTCAATAAATAGCTGTTGACCAAATATCTAACATTCATTGAGTACTGTCTGTATACTAACCTCAGCCCTAAGCTCTCCCCACACATCTCACGAATCTCCACATGAACCTTATGTAGGGAGATCTTAGTATTATCCCCACTTTACGGATGTAGAAGTTGAGACTCAGAGACATGGAGAAAGTATCAGGGATGGGATTTGGAACCTGTGTCATCTGACCCCACACTGCCTCGAATGTCTGCTATGTGCTAGGCATTGTGCACAGCTTCGGGGCAGATTGAAGTGCTACTCTTTGGGGAAAATAAAATAACAAAGGGAATAAGACAAAAATATCAAATACTCTTGTACCAGTACCCTCTGCAAAGTACCAGATGAATACTTTATTTGTCTGCTTGCTTATTTATGTACTTACTTATTTACCTCATTCTATAAATAATTTGAGGCAGCTTACAAGATACATGTATAATAGAACACAAAAATTGTAAATAAAACAATCCAAACCACAAAAGTACAAAATAAAATAGACACTAAGGAGGAGGGTGGGGGCAGTGAATTAATAGGCAGATAAAGCATAACATATGGTCTTACACACATAATAATTTTAGCTCTAAAATTCCTGGTGGCCAGAAAGAAAAAGGAAATGTGAGTTACATGCCTGAGATAAAAAAAAAAAAAAAATTTCTAGGGGAAGTAAGACTTCTTCTGATGCTTGGCTCTAAACGAATTTCTCTTGTGGGATTTTGTAAAAGGCAATTATTTTAAAGTGTTTTTTTTAAAAAAAATGCTGAGGCCACCGTTATGCGAGAAAATGTGACCAGGTGTCATGAATGTGTAAAGCAGATGAACTCTGAGCAGCTCTGTTGAACTGAAGTGGGGATGGGTGGGACAGGGGATGGGGGAACCAGGGGTCAGCTCTTGCTTCTTGCTAACCACTGCTCCAACAAGATGGAGCCTGGTGAGTATCAAGACATGTGGGTGGTGGGTGTTGGGGAACAAGATCCAGGAAGTCTTGGATGCTCACTAAGGAGCGATAAGGAAGACAAGTCTTTTACTCAGTCAGCCTGTATTTATTAAGTACCTCCTCTGCATCATGCACTCTGTGGATGCTGAGGGTGCAATTGCAAATAAGACAGACACAATCTCTGCCCTCCCAAAGTTTATAGTCATGCTTAGTGTTAGGGGAATGTTGAACTTGAAGATCTGGTCGTGACAGCAGGGTTGGGGGAGAGATCGGGGAAAACTTCCTGGAGGAAGTGATATTTACTGAAGAGGGAAGCTGGAGGATGAATCAGAATTGGCTGAATGAGAGAGTTCTAGGCAGGGGACCAGCCTGTGCAAAAGCCTGAAGACAGACAGGATAGTCGTAGGATATTCAAGGAGCTGTAATACGGGGTCTTTGAGGCAGCTTGTTGCCTGTATGACCTTAGGCAAGCCCCTGTTTTCTCCAGACATCAGTCTCCTTATCTGTACAATCAAATATGGAGCCTTATCTCTCCCCTAGCTTCCTGCCAACCACAGCTATGAATCAGTGAAGGTTTGTGAAGAAGGTGGAATATCTGTGTAGGTCTTTAAAGGGCATGGATGACGGTGCAGTGCCATGTAGCACCCCAGTGTTCCTTGTGTTCCTTAAATGAGCAGGATCTTCACAGAGCCAAGAATAAAACAAGCCCTCTTGAAAACTGTGTTAACTCTTTAAGATACCACTGGGGGACCACTTAGTGCTCGGAAGCAAAAATGTATTACCATGGCCTCAGGGACCCAAAACTTAATGCAGCTGCCTGAATTTCCATGCTCAGTTCACCCAGGAGATGAGGCTGACTCAACACTTTCATCCGTCTTCAGCTTCACCCATAACCTCAGGCTGCATTGTGCCCTTGTAGACATCCAGTGGATATTTATTGATTATAATACAACACTTTTTCCAGGGAATTTTATGTTAACTCGTATAAGTTTGACATAAATGGTATTGCAGATGTCAAGAATGTCCAAGAGGCTAGAAAAAATGAAAAAGAAATATTATAGTTACTTGCTCAGGCTCCTTGGTTTTGGATTATCTTCCCACAACCCCTGTCATTTTAAAGGAAAAAAAGGCAAGAAGTTGACATTTAAAGTGAGCCTACTTTATGCCAGAAACTGTAACAGGGCCTCTGACGTACACTATCCTTTTGCTCCTCACCACGGCATAGCAGGGAATATTATCAACATTTTAAAAGACCCAGATTGTTTTTTTCTGTCCATGTTGGGGACAGCACTTGTTAAGTTCCAAAAGCTTGATGAGAGGTGCTGGGACAGTAGAGTAAATGATCAGAAAGTTATCATTTCTACAATGTAACCCATTGTATTAGTCTGTTTTCACACTGCTGTGAAGAACTGCCTGAGACTGGGTAATTTATGCAAAAAAGAGGTTTAATTGACTCACAGTTCCACATGGCTGGGGAGGCCTCAGGAAACTTACAGTCACGGTGGAAGGGGAAGCAGGCAAGTCTTACATGGTGGCTGGCAAGAGAGAGTGTGTGAAGCAGGAGCAGTCACGTATAAAACCATCATATCTTAAGAAAACTCATTCACTATCATGAGAAAAGCACAAGGGAAACCACCCCCTGTGATCCAATCACCTCCCACCAGGTCCTTCCCTTGACCTGTGGGAATTATGGGAATTAAAATTCAAAATGAGATTTGGGTGGGGACACAGAGCCTAACCATATCACCCATCTACGCTATTGAGTTCCAAATGCTTTTTCATGATCCAGTAACATTAAAGAGTATAGACAGATAAAGGAAAGCTTCAAAGCTTTCTTGGGCCCTGTACCCTGGGGATTCTAATCCAGTAGGTCTAGGGTGAAGCCCTGCAATTTGTATGTTTTAAAAATGCGTTTGTAATTCTAACGTGCCACAAAATTTGAGAAGCCAGGGCTTGGGCCAATCTGTAAATCATGCAGATCAGGAAAGTGAAGTCTTGAACTAGACCTAGAACTCATGACTTTTTTGCCTTCCACTCTAGAACCCTTTATACGACTTCACACAGTTCCAACATTATGCACGGCTCTATGCCTGTTGCATGTGTTTTGGAGGTTCTTGTTTGAAAGACCCAGCTCATTCATGGGATCACAGCTCTTAATTATGTCAGGTTGCCAGGGAGGGAGGGGATAGTCTTTTCTGTTTTCGAAATAATGGGGAAAGAGAAAGTAATATTTATGTATCAGATACTGTGCTAGGTGCTTTATATCATCATTTAATTCTCATAGTAGCATTCTAAGACGGTTGTTTTCTACAGAGAAAGGGGACTGACCTAGAGGTAAAGTGAATTGTCTCAGATAACATTTTGGGCAAATCATCTTCTTTTCCAGGCTTTCATGTCTTCATACACTTTTGTCCTACCATTCATCTACCTATCCACTCACCCAGAAAACCATCGCTGTTGCCTGCTCCAGGAATGAGAAATATGTTTCATCTTAAGAGTGTTGAGAAGGGGGCCGGGCCCGGTGGCTCACACCTATAATCCCAGCACTTTGGGAGGCTGAGGCGGGTGGATCACCTGAGGTCAGGAGTTTGAGATCATCTTGATCAACATGGAGAAACTCCGTTTCTACTAAAATACAAAAATTAGCCAGGTGTGGTGGCACATGCCTGTAATCCCAGCTACTTGGGAGGCTGAGCAGGAGAATCGCTTAAAGCCAGGAGGTGGAGGTTGTGGTGAGCCGAGATTGCGCCGTGGCACTCCAGCCTAGGCAACAAGAGGGAAACTCCATCTCAAAAAAAAAAAAAAAAAGAGTGTTGAGAAGGATTCTGAGGCTGCTTCTAAACTCAGTGGGAAAGTGTGATTGATGAGTGATGTCTGTTATAAGCACAAGAATGGATAGAGGCAATATTTAATCTATTTACCCACCATTTGTGATCTTCCAGGATGCCTAGGGCAATAACTTGACTCTCATTTATGTATTCCAAAAATGAGAAATGCAATTGGAATGCCAAGGATGACATGGAGGGCTTGGAGAGTTAGAGTGGGTCACCCTCACGTGCTGTCCTTGCTGCCCCCGCAGCTCCGCCAGCGGTTTGAGCTGGAGATCGAGCGGATGAAGCAGATGCACCAGAAGGACCGTGAGGACCAGGAGGAGGAACTGGAGGATGTCCGTCAGTCCTGCCAGAAGCGGGTACGTGAGCAGTGAACACAGCTGTGCCCTTGGATCCTGGCAGGTCTGGCATGGATTCCCTCTTCCTTAGAGCGAGGAGTAGGACAGGGTCTGGGATCTGGGGACAAGCTCTTTCTGCAATCATCTGAGACCTTAGCTTCGAAGTGACTTCAAAGGTGTAGGAGCGGAAATGCCCATCTTAAATATGATCTTGGAACTTCCAGAAGCCTCTGGAACTGTCCAGCATAATGGCTCAGAGATTTCTACTAAGTCCCCGTAATGCCATGTGACTGATGCCAAGGACTTGTAAATTTCAATAATAGAACCAATTCTTTCTTACTATTTTCTTTACAAGTCAAATCATTTCTTAACATTTTATCCAAAGTCTTTGTAGCCATTCCGAACAGTGTGTAAGAAAGCAATAACCCCTTGACATGTTATCACCTAGAAGCCATCATTATTACTATTTTAAGTGTTCTTTTATAGCTCTCTTTCACTCTCTGTACACACATGCAGATTTGCAGAGATATCATTTTCACTAAATGAGGCCATGTGGTTCTGAAGCCTGTTGTCTCTGCAGTTTGTCATGGCCTCTTTTCATGTCTGTAAATACAGATCTAACTTATATGTTTAATGGCTTAACAGTTTTTCACCCAAAGCTTATCCTCTAACTTATACAGTAAATCCCCTATCACTGGACATTAGGTTGTTTCTAGTTTTCTGCCCTTATAACCAGTGCCGAGATAAACATTCTTAGAGCTGTATTGATGGATTTGAATGTAGGATCTTCAAAGTGGAATTGCTGGAAAGCTTCGGGTTAAGCCTCGTTTAACAGGTTCTCACATGTACTCTATAAGACCTTCCCTCCCTTCTCGTCCCCTGAATCATACCTATGTACAGAATACACTCAATTTTGCCTTGCTTGATATATAGTTTTGTTATTTTGTGTGTTTTTCAAGATGGGTTTTAGCTTTTCCAGTCTTTATTCTAAAAACAGATATAAAGAGAGCGCCTTGTATTTCTCTCCATCCTAAACGAAATTTCTGAAACGAACTTGCTTTCTATAGAAGTGACCATCACTCAGTACTTTTTCCCCCTCCATGGGTCAGGAGATGGAATCTCTCAGTCCCTGCCCATATTCCTTCAGGTGAAGATTGCACACATTTCTGGTTTATTCTAAGAATGCCTCAAAGTATGGTGTGTGCCCTGAGCCAGGGCTCCAGTGAGTTGGAGATGTGACCCAGACTCTCCTGAGGCTTTTCTCTGGATAGATTTATAAAAGGAGAGAGTGAAGTCAGAGAACGGTGTTTTTCTCCTTATAACAAATACTGATATTGACTTCTCATTCTGGTGACTGCTCTGTTCAGTCTATCTCTCACGTTGGCAGGAAATCAATAGTTAGTGACCTGGGTGGGAATGCTGGGGCTGTCTGGGGTGGCAGAAAGAGCTGGGGTCAGGAGAGAGGACACTAACTCCTCTAAACAGCAACTAATTGCAGAGTATGCACTTCGGATTTTCCCTGGGTCTTAGTTTGCCCACCCGTGAAATAGGATCTCTGATGGCATGAGGTGGAAATGGAGGATGGATAATATATACAAGAGAGGCTGGTGGGGGTGGTCTGCAAAGCACAGCCACAGTAGGGTGTTTGCTCTAGTGGGGAATGTCTGTGTTTGCTGGGTAATTGCTGAGAAATCAGAGCCAGTTGCAAATTAAATGAGTCGCTCATAGTCAGATGTCTGAGTTCAGGCTGCTGTAGCAGAATATTATTGTCTAGGTGGCTTAAATGATAACATTTATTTATCACAGTTCTGGAGGCTGGGAAATCTGAGATCAAGGTGCTGGCAGATTCAGTGTCTGGCGAGGGCTGTCTTCCTGGCTTGCAGACCACCACCTCCTGTTTGTACGCTCATGTGGTGGAGAAAGAGAGTGGAAGACAGCTTTCTGGTGTCTTCAGGCACTCACCCCACCATGAAAGCTCTACCTTCATGGCCTCATTTAAACCTAATTACTTCCCTAAGGCCCCACCTCCAGATACCACTGCACTGAGGGTTAGGGTTTCACCATATGAATTGTGGAGGGACACATATAGTTTATAACACCAAAAAATCTCAAATGCAACTTTTTTACTGCATCATTGTGTATTTAATAATGGAGGGGATGCATTTTTGATATGTTGGTTATAATATTGTTCAGAGCCTTTAAAAATCAAAGTGCAAAGGTTTGCAAATATTCAGCAGTGGCCATGGCTGCAGGAGAGAGGCATCTCTTCTACTGGGGACCTGGGGGAGGGGGTTTCACAGTCAAGGGCAAGGGGTTCCCCATCATTGACCAGCCCTCCCTACTGTTGTCCAGCTCCCAAGCTTTTAGGCTCTTAAATTCTCCCACAGAGACACTACCACCCAATCACTAGGGCAGCCTCATGGAACAAAGCCACAAGCTCTACATTCCTCCGCCTTCTGAGGGTCCTTGCCTTGTAGGATGTGTCTGGATGGAGTTCATTTACCCTGTGATGTTTCTTCCCTGTGTATCCACAGCTTCATCAGCTGGAAATGCAGCTGGAGCAAGAGTATGAAGAGAAGCAGATGGTCCTCCATGAGAAGCAAGATTTGGAAGGCTTGATCGGAACCCTCTGTGACCAGGTAAGGGGGAGACATTGGCAGACATTCAGAGGAGTATCTCAGGGACCTATTTGAGAGATGGGCTCATGGAGAGAACAGCCTGAGGGATACCCTCTCCTCCATCAGCTCTGTTCCCACCATATTCACTGGCTCTTCAAAGGAGACCTTCAGGTGCCTGCAAACAGCAGGGTTTTTGTAAGAACCCATGGGGAATAAAGAGAGTGGGGCCAGCCAGGAGCAATGGATGAGGCTGTCTTTGCCTTCAGCAGCTGTTGGGATCAGAGTCCACCAGACAGTCCTTCCTTTAAGGGGATGTATGTGAATGGCCACTGCACACATGACTGCCCTCCTGAGAACATGACTTTTGCTAGAAGCAGTCAGCCTTGGAGCCAGGCAAATGTAGCTTTAAGCTCCAGAGGGACCACTTCTGTCTGCACGGCTTTGAGTGAGCTAGTTAACAGCTCTGAGCTTCTGGAGAGTGGAGCCTTATGGGGTTGTGGCTATCACTGTACACCAGGGTTCTCGACTGTCCATCAGTGTACACCAGGGTCCTCAACTGCATCACTATGAACATTTGGAGCTGGATCATTCCTTGTGGTAGAGGGCTGTCCTGTACATTGCGGGATATCACGCAGCATCCCTGACCTCTACCCACCACATTGCAGTAGCCCACACCTCAGTTGTGACGACCAAAAATTTCTACAGACATTGCCCAATGTCCTTTGGGGAAAAAAAATCAACTTCCCTCACTACTGAGAACTGTTGCTGTACTAATGTAGCCAGCAGAGCTCAGAGGCAGCTTCCGATTTCAGAGTTGCAAGGAATGACTCTTCCACCTCCTAGATACTCTATTCCCTTCCTGTGCTGCTGCTGCATGAAATCCCAACACGGGAGAGAAATGCCTGTGGCTTCTATGATTTATTTTAAAGTATCAAAGGAGTGTATTTTAATGTATTTGCTTAACATGGGTTCGATGTCTATTAATTAGTAATGGTCTTGTTATCAATATCCTTCCCTAAATTCATTAACTTTATTCACAAAACAATGTGGGTGCACTTCAGGTGATCATCTTGGGCAGCCATGCCTTGGACAAAATAAATGCTTATTATGTATTAAAAAACAAATTGATTTAATGAGTGAATTCCACAGCAGGGACACACGCGGCAAGAGTAAGAGTTGGAAGCTGAGGGAGTCAATATAATCTTCCTTCTTCTCTGGGTTTTCTAATTTTCCAGCCAAACAATTGAGACCATTGAATTCAGAGCCATTGAGGTGACTTTCCTTCAGCATCAGGGCAAGAGAGCACAGCCCAGTACCAGATTCTAGAATGATAGAGGGGAATCACTGCGAGAAGGTTGCATTCTATTCAGCATAGTCTGAGAAAACAGAATAGATAATCTAGTAAAGCAAGGTTTTTATACAAATTGCAAAAATAAATTTTACATGTAAAGAGAAGGTAAGTTTAAATGAATAAAAAGCCATCTTTGTGTTAGTCACCAAGTTGGATCCTTTTAATAAATTAGCACTTTTGATGATTTTAAATGTTTTTGTTATGACCTTTGCCAAACCCATGGAAAAGCAGAACAAATAATGTAATCGGTGTTTATGAACCAAGCACTCAGGGTTCACATAAATTAACATTTTGCCATTTCTTATTCAGATGTTTTTAAGGAAACAAAACGTTTTAAGAACGGTTGGTGGCCTCTTTATGTCGCTTCCTAATCTCAATCCTGGCTCTGCTTTTCTCTTTCTTTCCTCCCTCCCCAGATGAAACCATTCCCCGGGGTTTGAGGTGTATAATTCCCCTGAATGTATATTTCAACTTCAGCCACATGCAGCAATATGATTCTGCACTTTACTTTGTCCCCCTCTATGTTATGTTTTTGAGATTAGTCTATAATGATACATGCAGTTCTAATTAATTCATTTCATTTCTACACAGCATTCATTTTTTTAAAATCTCCTACTTCTATTGGTGGGTAGTTAGTTACTTCCACCCTAAAACCCCAAACTGCAGTGCATAGTCTCGTATCTGCCTCACTGTGCACACGGGCGAGTGTCTCTCCAGGGTATGTAGCTGGAAGAAGAATTGCTGGCTCCTGGGAATGTACAATTTGGGAATTATTAAATATCGCTCAGATTATTCCCCAAAGTGATTGCAGCAGTTTCCATCGTCACTAGCCGTGTCTGAAATTTTACTTCTTCATGTCCCCACCAACATGTGGCACTGTCAGACATTTTTAAACATTTTTTCCAGGCATCGGGTGCTAAATGGTATTGCGTGGCCCTCCACAGGGATGCTGTGCATTTTTCACATGTTGATTGTGGCTTTTTCTTTTCTTTTCTTTTTTTGAGACGGAGTCTCGCTCTGCCTCCCAGGCTGGAGTGCAGTGGTGTGATCTGGGCTCACTGCAAGCTCCGCTTCCTGGGTTCATGCCATTTTCCTGCCTCAGCCTCCTGAGTAGCTGGGACTACAGGCGCCCGCCACCACGCCTGGCTAATTTTTTTGTGTGTATTTTTAGTAGAGACACAGTTTCACCGTGTTAGCCAGGATGGTTTCGATCTCGTGACCTCGTGATCCACCCGCCTTGGCCTCCCAAAGTGCTGGGATTACAGGCGTGAGCCATCGTGCCTGGCCGATTGTGGCTTTTTCTTATGTGAATTGCCTATTCATAGAAGTTTGTCTCCTTTTTCTCTATTGATCATTCATGATCTTTATACAAGATGCGAATCCATTTTTGGTTACGTATTTTGCAAATATCTCCTACACTATGGATAATTGTTTCACTTTGTTTATAATGTCCTTAGCTTAATAAAAAATATTTTTAATACAGTCGTGTTAATCAAGCATGTTTTATGGTTTGCGCTTTTATATCTTAAGATACTGTTCTTTGAGTTCACAAAAATGTCATCATGTGTCTTAAAAGTTCTAAAGTATTGCTTTTGACATTTTTAGGTCTCTAATCCATCTAGATTTTATTGGGGTGCATAGTGTGAGGTAGGAATCTATCTTCCTCAATATGGATAAACTATGTTTTAGTTCATAATTTTTTTCCTGCAATTACCATGTATGCCTGGGTGTGTTTATGAACTCCTCATTGTGGCTCATTGGGTTTTTTTTTGTCTATTTCTCCACCATATGGTCTTCATGGCTGGGTTTTGATAACTCGTAGGACAGCTTACCTTGACTGTTTTTAAAATTGCCTGTTTTATTGACCCTTTAATCTTCTTATTTAGGTTCTACAACAAAACCTGATGTAATTTTTATTGGAATTGCATTGATTTACAAGTTAGTTGGGAACAATTGACTTTTTTTATATTGAACTATTATATTATTGCATATGCCCTCTCCATTTATTTGTGGCTTTCAGTAATGTTTTATTATATTTTTCTATACAGATCTTGGACTTTTTTGTTAGATTTATTTTCAAGAAACTTGTAGTTTCTATGGCTATTATGAATAGAATATTTTTCTGTATTCTATCTATATTTCAACTAGTTATTGTGGCATATGGGAATACCATTGATTATCATGCATTAATCTTGTATCTAGCAAACTTCCTGAACGTTTATTATCTTTCATACTTCATCTGTAGGCTTTTTTGTATTTTCTGCCTTGACAATCTTATCATTTGAAAATAAGAATAGTTTTGACTCTTTTTTTTTTTTTTTTTTTTTTTTTTTTGAGATGGAGTCTCGCTCTGTCGCCCAGGATGAAGTGCAGCGGCGCGATCTCAGCTCACTGCAAGCTCCACCTCCTGGGTTCACGCTATTCTCCTGCCTCAGCCTCCCGAGTAACTGGGACTACAGGCGCCTGCCACCATGCCTGGCTAATTTTTTTGTATTTTTCATAGAGATGGGGTTTCACTGTGTTAGCCAGGATGGTCTCTGTCTCCTGACCTCGTGATCCACCCACCTCGGCCTCCCAAAGTGCTGGGATTACAGGCATGAAACACCGCGCCCGGCCAGTTTTGACTCTTGACCATGGATTGGGGCAACAAAGATCTCAACAAATTTAAAAAAAAAAATGTTATACTTTCTACTTCTTGTTTCTTTTTCTTACCTTATTTCATTTGCCTCCAGTATAAGATTGAATGGTAGAGAAAGATATTTGACATCCTTTTCTTGTTCCTGACCTTAATAGGAGTGCTTGTAAAGTTTTGTGATACACATATTTGCAGTGTCTTTGATAATTACAGTGATGGATTGCTTAGTGACAGGGATACTTTCTGAGAGATGCATCATTAGACAATTTCATCATTGTGGGAACATCCTAGAGTGCACTCACACAAACCTAAACGGGATAGCCTTCTACATGCCTAAGCTATCTGATATAGTCTATTGCTCCTGGGCTACAGACCTGTACAGCATGTTACTGTACTGAATTTGGGAGGCAATTGTGACACAGTGGTAAGTATTTGTGTACCTAAACATATCTCAACATAGAAAAGGTACAGCAAAAGTATGGTATTATAAGCTTATGGGACCACCGTTGTATATACAATCCATCATTGATGGAAATGTAATGTGGCACGTGACTGTAACTTTAATAAGGTTAAATCAGTCTTGTATTTGTAATTTTCTAATATCTTAAAAAAAGATGTTTTATTATTGAATATTATATGTTTTTTCTGCAATTGTTGATAATCTGATGACTTGTCTCAATCTATCAATGTAGTATATTTTAGATACTTAAGGTATCCTGATATATTTCCCAGATAAACCTTTCTTAGTCATATGTTTTCAATACACAGCTCTTTCGGATTGCTAACAGTTTATTTAGGATTTTTGAAACCAGGCACATAAGTAAGATTGTTTTATAATTTTTTTCTCTTAGACTGTCTTTGTCAAGTGTTGTACTAATCTCATAAAATGAATTCACAACTATTTCTGAGACAATTTTTTGTAAAATTTGGATCATGCAGTTCTTGCAGATTAGATACAATTTGCTTGTAACCCTATTTGATTACTGTGTCAAAATGCTGTAATCATAATTGAACACAAATTCAGGTATTATTCTTTTCCTTATTGAGTGAACTTTGGTAACTAATGTTTCTAGACATTTATTATTTCATCTAATTTTTCAAATAGGTTGACATAAAAAATATTCATGGTATTTTCTCGTTATTTAAAAAATTCTACTGTATCAGATTATTTTCTTTTTAATCATAATAATGTTTACTTTTGAGTTATTTTGTGGTTGATGATGATTAGTCTTGTTAGAGTTTTGTCTGTAATCCCTTCAAATAACCTGCTTTTGTTTTATTGTTTCTTTGTTGTGTATTTAATAGTGTCTGACCTTATGTTTGTTTCTTTTTCCTTCTTTTTTCCATTGGTTTAGATTTTTGTTCTTGGTCTTCAGTTTTAGTATTAAAATGTTTAACTCACCTTCAATATTTTTTATCCCACTTAAACTGTTTTCTTTAAGATAATACATTTAAGATAATACATTTACCTGGAATTGCTGTTTTAGTGCCATCTACTAAGTGTCTTGTTGTATCTTTTGTTCTTTTTTTCTTTTAACCTGTAAGTTATCTAGAACTTGAGTTTCAAGTTTATTAACATTTAGGATGATTTGGAGTAACTTTCTATTGTTAATTTTTAATTTAATGGCATTTAGGACAGATAACATGGTAGAATGCATAACATCTTTTCTTTGAAATTGTTGAGATCTCTTTGTTGCTCTAGTTATTGGTAGAGTTTAATAAAGGATTGTGTGTGGCTGGGCACAGTGGCTCACGCCTGTAATCCCAGCACTTTGGGAGGCCAAGGTGGGCAGATCATTTGAGGTCAGGAGTTCGAGACCAGCCTGACCAACATGGTGAAACCCTGTCTCTGCTAAAAATATAAAAATTGGCCGGGTGTTGTGGCGGGCACCTGTAATCCCAGCTGCTCAGGGGGCTGAGGCATGAGAATCACTAGAACCCAGGAGGCAGAGGTTGTAGTGAGCCGAGATTGCGCCACTGCACTCCAGCCTGGGTGACAGAGCGAGACCTTGTCTCAAAAACAAAAAACAAAACAAACAAAGAAACAAAAATAAACTACTGAGTAGAAAATAATGTAACTGTTTATGAGGCACAGGGTTCAATACATGGCAAATGAATCAACCTTGTTAAATTTTTATTTCAACATTACATACGAATATAAAAGCATAAACCATAAAGGAAAAGTTTTAAAATACATGATTATGTATTTTTTAAAACTACCTCCTGTTAACTTTGGTTTTGAGTTCTTAATCTGTTTCTAAGAGAGTCCTGTTATATCCTTACCATGAGAATGGTTATACCAAAGTTTGTTAACAGTTCTGTCATAGTTTCTCTTTATGTATTTTATGGTTATATATTTAGGTGCATCTAAGTTTTGTATTGCTTTATTTTCTTGAAGATCATTGCTTCGATTCTTACTTGGTGTCTTTCTTTCTCCATGAATAAGTTTTGCCTTATTTTATTTCGCTTGATTTATTTTAGTCAGTTTACCTGCAAGACTTTTTCTATTTCATTTTAAAGCTTTGTAGGGGTGTGTGTGTGTGTGTGTGTGTGTGTGTGTGTGTGTATGCATGTTCATGTGTTTTCTTTAAACAGCTGGATAATTTTAATGCAATATTTTAGTCTCTAGCTTTTCATATAAAAATTTAATTTATTTACATTTGTTATAATGACTGATATATTTGAAACTATTTTGTGTTTTGTTAGTTTCTTGTCCCTTTACATTGCTCTCCCTCTATTGCTTTCCTACTTTTGGATAGATTGATGTTTTCTATGTTCTCTTTTGACCTATTGATTCAGAAGCTATAAACTCTATTTCTGTTCTTTTGGTGGTTACTCATACATTTCCAGATATATGCTTAATCATAATTTTTTACTAACATTAATTTTCACAGTAATGCTGTGGGATAGATATTATTATTTCCTTCATATAAATGAAAGAAGTGAGGCTCGGAAAAGTAAAGTAAAGCAACTTGCCCAGGATTGCATAGCAAGTTAGTACCCTAGGCGGATTCTAAATGAGGTCTATATTATTTGAATATCTGTCATTTTAAAAACCTATTATGATTCTGCTTAAAAGCGATAAGGTCCACTTAGCTAGAACCATATTTTTGTGCACCATCTTTTTTTCATAGTGTTCTCAGGCAGCCAGTTCTGCCATTAATTTGTGAAGCCCTCAGCAACACGCATTCTGTCTCCAAGCCTCAATTTCCCCATCTGTAAAGTGGTTTGGTTATCCCTAACGGCACTTCTAGACCATATTTTAATAGTGTTTGGAGATTCCTTTGACAATGGACATTTGACAAGCTCCCCAAACAATTTGCCTTTATGATAAATGGTGAACCAACTAAGGTTGGAATATAGTTACTCACAACAACACTAAACATCATGTAGATTTATTAGTTAATTATTCACCATCTTTATCAAAGTTTGAATCTTTGTGCTTTAAAAGGGAAACTCGCAGAATGACATTTATTTCCCATTAACCTAATGAGTGATATTTTTTGCCCTCCTCTCTGTAGCAATTTGTTATAAATGGGAGGATGACTGGTCTGAGATTTTCTTGTGAATTCTGTTTGCAGTGCTTCCTCTGGAAAGGAGTTAGTGCCAGCATTTTCAGGGCCTTTCAGGCAGTGAAGATCGTAGAATCTGAGCCATCTCTACTGCATGGTCAGTGTCAACATCAGGGAATGTCCCTGATGCTAACTCGCCCCACAGGAGAATTAAAGGCACTTTAGGATATATGCAAAACAAAAACAGACACAAATATAAGAAATGTGCAAAGCCCACTGCCTAAGCATACTCATGAGTCTGGGTTCTAGAGTAAGTAAATCTGAGTTTATGAAGCAGCTCCACTAGGCACTGTGGTGCAGTAGTTACAGACTTACATCCTAATGCTGAGCTGTCTGGATTCAGATCTCTGCACAGCCACTTAGTAGCAATATGACATTGGGCAGATCATTTGCTCTTTCATATCAGTTGTTCCTCCATGTAAGAGCCCTGGATAACCTCTTTCACTTTGTAACCTGCCCCTCAACTCGGGGTTTTATACCCTCATGGCAACCACCCCGAAATGCATAGCCCAGATTATTTCTTGCCTCTCCGCCTTTGCTCATTAAGTGCTTTCTACCTAAAATGCTCTTCCTCCACCTCCCCTAGCTAGGAGTAGCTACCTCCTACTTCCCAATTCCATCCCAGCCTGAGCTGGGTAATGCTCTTCTGTGCCCCCATAATATATATTTTTTCAGAATTAAAGACTAAAACACACCTATCTAATGTTATATTTTACTAAAATTACCACTTTCCAGCCAGAAAAGCTGGATTCATATTCCAACTCTGCCACTTACTAGCTGTGTGATCTGAGGCAAATTACTTCATCTTTGCATACTTCAGTTTCATTATCTGTAAAATGGGAATCATAATACTATACACCTCATTGATTCATCATGATGACTAAATGCATCAATAGCTATAAAGTGTTTAGAATAGTATATGACACTTAAAACTGTCTATAAATGTAAGCTATTACTACATTTGTAAAGGCAATAATAATAAGGTCTATTTAAGGAGATTGTCACAGGAGTTAAATGCAATAACGTGACAAAGAGCCTGGCACAATGCCCAGCCCTTAACTCAGTTCAGCAGGTGAGATTGTGTGTGTGTATGTGTGTGTGTGTGTGTGTGTGTGTGTGTGTATAATAGAACAGCATTTTGAACCTACCAAAACAATACATTTCAGATATAAAGACCGTATTCTGAGAACCAACTCGTTTTTCAAAGAACTCAAAACCAGCAGTAGAGAAATAGAAATACAAAATCTAGAGGAACACATTCGAGGTCTTCAGACAATACTCATAATCCTTTATATTTGCAAAGCACTCAACAGCTTACAAAGTGCTTTGGAATCCATTATCACATCTGATCCTTGTCTTATCTCAACACGAAGGATAGGGTGTTTTTTTTAACCTCTCTTTTTGTGGATGAGAAAACTCAGGTTCAGAGATGTGGCGTGACTCAGCCACTGCTCCATCATCAGCAAATGGTGAGCCAGGGTTTAAAGCCTAGATCTGCTCATTCTCAACCCCATGTTTTTTCTAGAATATTCCAGGACATTCTGAGCATCCCAGGAAATGGTTAGCATTTCATGTGGAGACACAGATTTCCAGGTGTGTAAAAACCACATCCCAGTGTTGAGGCATCTGCACCCTGTTTTCCTTGAAACTCCCCATCTGATGGACAGGCCCGTATTGTATCGTCTGGTCTCCTGAAGAGTCCAAGAAGGGAGTTGTTAGTTTCTTTCAGAGATGTTAACACGTTGTCTTTTAAGTCAGCACTATTTCTAGAGAGGTGACCAGCTGTCGAAATTTCATGTAGGGCCCTGGTGTAATTCTGCACCTCTTCTGTTTTGGCTTAACCTGTACTTTTTGGCCACTGAAGGCTGTCAAGGAGTCTAAGGTCACACTCCTGGTGCCCAGTCCAGGATGCGGCTTCTTTGGGACTCCCTTGACAGCTGTCCCTGGCAAATTCAAGATTCTGGGGGAAGGAATGTACTCACCTCTGGGTAAGGTTCCTCTGCAGAAAATGATCTCATTTGTTTGTCCTCCAACTGGAAAAGAGGACCAAAGGACAGAAAGGATTGACTTCAAAAGGAGCACATTTACAATTTACTGAGGTGTAACACAAATACAGAGTACTCCGTATCCCACGTGTACAGCTCAGTGAATTTTCATAAACTCATAAAACAACACCCAGATCAATAACATTAATAACTCTCCAGAAGTCCAGAGGCTCTGTCCAGTCCCTGCCCACCCAGGACTGTCCTAACTGCTGTCAGCAGAACCTGGCCAGCAGCAGAGGGATTCACCTGGCACATGAGGCTCTTACAAGATGAGGTGAGGTCACACTGATGACTTGCGTGCAAGAGATGGGATGACAGAGTGGCTTTGGATCCATACGGGCTATGATAGCAGCAATGATAGTAACTCATATTTCTTGTACATTTATTCTGTGTCAAGCATTAGGCTAGGCATGTATTTAATTTTCACAGCAGCCCAATGTGGTTGGTGCCAATCCCATTTCTCAGTTGAGGAAACTGAGGCTCGGAGAGGAGAATGGTCTTGTCCAAGGTCACACGGTGTGAGTGGCAGAGGCAGGATTTAAACCAGGGAACCTGATTCCGGAAAACTTAGACCCTGGCCACTGCTTTGCCACCTAAGCTCATGGGTCTCCCTTTGGCTTTCAGATTGGCCATCGGGACTTTGATGTGGAGAAGCGACTTCGGAGAGACCTCAGGAGGACACATGCACTGTTGTCAGACGTGCAGCTCCTTCTGGGCACCATGGAGGATGGCAAGACATCAGTCAGCAAGGAGGAGCTGGAGAAAGTGCACAGCCAGGTGGGTGTCACGGGATCCCCTTGAGAATCAGGCTGGGGAGGATGCTACGACCTGCAGAGAATTGCTGTCCCTCCCAGGTATGAGCGGAACCATGGTGCCAACCTCCAACTTTCACAGATGTGCAGGGAGATGGGGGGCATTTCAGGGCTGTGAGGGTCATGTGGAGTGTAGGTGAGGAGGAGGGGTCTAAGAAGGAGTCCTGTTCCCTTTTTCAGAGATGAGGCAGAATTCTTCTGTCTGGAAGGCTTGGGCAGATCAGCACTGGCCAGAATGGCTGAGTGCAGTGTGCCTGTTGTGTGTGTGTGTGTGTGTGTGTGTGTGTGTGTGTGTGTATGTGTATGTGTGTATGCGTGTATGCGTGTGTGTGTGGTGACTGCCAGGACTAGGTATGAGCCAAATAGCAATAGTGTGTGTGTGTGTGTGTGTGTGTGTGTGTGTGTGTGTGTGGTGACTGCCAGGACTAGGTATGAGCCAAATAGCAATAGTGCAATAGTGCCAGTCATGCAAAACCAATGCTTAACAATAGCAACAGTTATACAAACGTTGGCAGTTTGACTGCCTATTAGTATGCTAATGATATTGATCAAGGCATGATGTTGACCACTGGCTGCTACCAGCTGGAGCCCTCACTAGGTACTGGGTCCTCTGTATCTCTGCACATGGTGCTGCATGGTGTTCTCAGGATTGCTGAGTGAGGTGAGATCATCAACTTCATTTCACAAGTGCAGGTGATCGGGTGGCAGAAAGGTACGATGACCCACCCAAAGTCACACAGCTTGAAAGCGGCAGAGCCAGGATTTGAACCCAGGTCTTCAGGCTCTACCATCCTTGGGCCGACTCAAAGGAGGACAGGAGGAGCGGCAGGTCTGAGGGTGGTAGGGAGGTGAGGCCGGAGCAGAGACTGGGGACCTAAGGAGATGTGATGAGTGTGGGCGGTTGCGGTGGCAGACTGTGGCCCAGGGCAGCTAGTGTTGAGAAGTGTGAATGGATCCCACAGGGTGGTGCAAGCCTTGCGGAGAGATGTCCCAAAGCTGAATGATGTAGCAGGAACTCAGGATTTGCTACCGGTCCCCATGGGGAGCTGAAGACACCTGGGGAGGCTCAGAGCTCTGTTGGAAGTGTTGTGTCCATGCAATTGATGTTACCTTCCCTCGGATAAGTCATTCTTGCTAAGCCCAGATGCCTTCGCCACCTGCCTTCTTGGAGGGTTACTGTCCCTTCCTCCAGTCAGAGGCTGAGCTGGGCCTGGGACCCATGTTTCCTGACTCCAAACCCAGTGCCCTTCTCTCTTCCTTCTGGAGACACAGCCCATGATGACCAACAGGTCCCCAGGAAGACAGCAAAAGGCAGCAGACTATAGCGCCAAGGGTTGGAAACAGCGATCCCACAGCTTCGGCTGCTTCCAGTCTCTGGTGTCAGTTTCTATCTGTAAAACAAAACATTTCAGTTAGAGCTTATTCGCTTAACTAGAAGACCTCAACCAAAACAAAACAAAACAAAAACCTAAATTTAGACTTGATTTGAATTTCACCAGTCTCTCCCATTTCCTCTCCCGGGATCCAACCCGGGACCACACTCTGCATTTTGCTGTCATACCTGCCCAGTCTCCTCTGGTCTGGGACAGTTTCTCAGGCTGACCTTGCTTTTTATGACCCTGACAGTTTTGAGGAGCACTGGACAGGTATCCTATGGCATGTCTTCTAATCTGGGTTTGATGGTTTTCTCATGAATAGAGCGAGTTTATGTGCTATTGGAAAGAATATGGCAGAAGCAAACTTGTTAAACCAGAAGACACTGGGAGGGCCCTTCCATCTTGAAAATTCTGCGACTCTTAGCCATCTCCTTTATCAAATCATTCTCTTCTAGGGTGACCCACCATCCTGACTTGTCTGAGACTTTCTTAGTTTTAGCACTGCCAGTCCTGGGTCCTGGGCAAGCCAGGATGGCTGGTCATTCTATCCTCTTCATGGCCATGTCAGGAAGCCAGTATCACCTGTGCTTGAACGCATTGCCCTGCTTAATCCTCATGATACCCCTAGGGGAGGGGAGGTGGCATTGTGCCCATTTTACAGATGAGAAAATGTTGTCCAGAGGTGGCAAGTGGTGTGTCCAAAGTAACACAGCAGGTAAGTGGCAGAGTCGGGGATTTGAATACCAAGTTTGTGATTCTAAGTGCAGAATTGAGAGATGCTTTTGACTCACATTGCGTCTTCCTGTCTGCTTGGCTGACCAGGTGGGTACGGAACCTTGAGGCACCTGGCTTGCTTCTAGGTAGGCAGAGTTGCTGTGTGATTGCCCAGCCAGGGGCCAGGCATTTTGAGTTGAGCAACTCCCTTGGCAGAAGGCCACATACCTGCCCATTTTCCATCAAAATGTCCCCAGTGCCACAGCACCCAAGCTTCCCTTCCCCCAACAGGTGGATGTTTTTGAAAAGAAACCACACAGAGATTTTGTTACTTTTTCTTTTTTTTTTATTAAGTATTCATGAGAATTCTCCCTCTGCAGGGTTAAAATGCATGTTCTTGGGAAAAAGTGGTATTTAATGAAGGCGCTTTGAGCTGAATCAAAGAGCCTCATTCTTCTGAAAGTCCTTCTTCCTAGTCTCTGCATCCGGCTCCTATCAAAGGAAATCCACAGCTTTGGCTTTTCGTTGCTGTTGTCATGGAAATCGTTATAAGGATGGGATCGCGTGGACCAGAGGTCAGGGTACAGTTGCTTTGGCTCCCAGCGCACGTGTCCCAGATGCCAGAGTCAGAGCTAATCAAATAAAGCAGTGATGACATTGGGCATTGCTGCATCTCCTCTCCAATGTACAGTATTTGTCCTTTGCCTGAAGGCTCCAGGGACATAGGTAGGGAAAGCAGACAGGAGGATGAAGGAAGAGGGAGCTAACTTTGCTGCTGGCTGCTACTTAAGTGCTGAGCATGGTGCTGAACAATTTCATTCATTCAATATTTATGCAGTACCTACTGTGTGTCAGGCAGTGTGCTGGATATAAGCACCATGGATAGTGAGACAGCGGTGGTACCCACCGTCATAGAATTTACATCTGATGGAAAAGAAGACAAACAATGATACGAATAAATAGAATCATCCCACACCTTAATTTGAATGAGAAAGGAAATAAATAGGGTGCTAAGATAGAGAACTGCAGGGGCGTCCTGTTTAGCTTGGGTGGTCAGCTAAAATACCCTGGGAGAAGGAGAAATAGGCAGGGACCAGAACATACGGGGCCTGGAAGTTTGGATTTTATCCCGGGGGTGGTGAGAAGCCATTGGGAGGTTGTGAGCGAAGCGTGACAGAATCTGATTCACGTTTTAGAGGATTGTACTTCTGCATGGAGATTGGATTGTGGAGGGTATGAGGGAATATCCTTAGAAGGCTAATGCACCCTTCTAGGCCAGAGGAAATGGTCACCTGGGTTGGGGGAGTATTGATAGAGATGGCAAGAAGGGACAAACTTGGAGCTGATTTGGAATTGATGGGATGTGCAGATGAGGTTTGGTTAGCAACACTTAAGTGTGTTATTTCAGAAAATCCTTGCCATAACCCTAGGAGGTGGATATTCCTATTTTTAACCCATTTTACTAATGAAGAGGCAGTCTCTGAGAGGTTGAGCAATTTACCTAAGGGCACACAGCAATACATGTCCTATACCCTTACAACTTGGTTTGACCAATACGGGTCCTATTAACTTCTATTGTCAGGCACTTACTATGTACCAGACTTTTCCTTAGTGTCTTGGGGTTTCTCAAATTTGGCTGCACATCAGAGAAGTTAAACACCATTTTAAAATCACAGACTTCTGGATTCTGCCCCCTCCCCCACCCCATTTTAAAAAAATCAAGTTTTGGTTGGAATTCAGGATCTGCATTTTTAAACAACCACATGAAGGGGTTCTGGGGGGAACCATAGGCTTTATTTATCCCTCAGAACACCCTTTCGAGTTCAGTGGTAGCATGTATATTTTGCAGATGAGGAAACTGTCACTGAGGTTATATTAGTGTGACAGATCTTATTTCCCCCTATTTTAAAATTAGTTAATTTTTGAGTAGAGAAAACTGGATCCAGCACTTGCTAATTCATGACTTTTGACAAGTGTCCCGACCTCTCTGAGCCCTTTTTCTAAAGCGAAGCATCATCATCATCATCACATGATGGCCCAGGGGCTGAGGAGGGAAAGGCAATGAAGCCTTCAGAAACTTGAGCAGGTGGCTGGGCACAGTGGCTCACACCTGTAATCCCAGCACTTTGGGAGGCTGAGGCGGGTGGATCACCTGGGGTCAGGAGTTTGAGACCAGCCTGGTTAACATGGTGAAACCCTGTCTCTACTAAAAATACAAAAATTAGCCCGGTGTGGTGGTGCATGACTGTAATCCCAGCTACTCAGGAGGCTGAGGCAGGAGAATCACTTGAACCCGGGAGGTAGAGGTTGTGGTGAACTGAGATCGCGCCATTGCACTCCAGCATGGGCAACAGAGCAAGACTCTGTCAAAAAAAAAAAAAAAAAAAAAGGCCAGGTGCGGTGACTCACACCTGTAATCCCAGCACTTTGGGAGGCCGAGGAGGGTGGATCACAAGGTCAGGAGATCGAGACCAAACTGGCTAACATGGTGAAACCCTGTCTCTACTAAAAATATAAAAAATTAGCCAGATGCAGTGACAGGAGCCTGTAGTTCCAGCTACTAGGAAGGCTGAGGCAGGAGAATGGCATGAACCTAGGAGGTGGAGCTTGCAGTGAGCCGAGATTGTGCCACTGCACTCCAGCCTGGACGATGGAGCAAGACTGCGTCTCAAAAAGAAAAGAAAAAAAAAGAAATTAGAACATGTTCTGCGACCTTCACATTCGCTCACTGTGATGACAGAAAACCTAGAGAAAGGTGTTTTTTTTTTTAAGACAGTGTCACTGTGTCATCCAGGCTGGAGTGTAGTGGCCCTATCTCTGGCTCACTGCAAACTCTGCCTCCCAGGTTCAAGTGATTCTCCTGTCTCAGCCTTCCGAGTAGCTGGGATCACAGGCATCCGCCACCATGCCCTGCTAATTTTTGTATTTTTAGTAGAGATGGGGTTTCACCATCTTGGCCAGGTTTTACTGAGTTGGTCTCTAACTCCTGGCCTCAAGTGATCCACCCACCTCAGCCTCCCAAAGTGCTGGGATTACAGGTGTGAGTCACCACACCTGGCCGAAAGTTTTGTTGTATAAAGGACATGTAGGAGGGAATGTGTTCGAATGCACATGTTAGAACTGTGTTCACTCTGCAAATATGGATATGATCTCCACTCTGGGATGAATTTGAGGCCAAGCTACAGGGATAAAGAGGAAATGTCAAGGTCTCTGCCCTTAAGGGGCTCCTAGTCCTAGAAGCAGGCTATAACAAGCAGAGTGATAAACTCTTTTGTTGTGGGAAATCAGGGACCCCAAATGGAGGGACCAGCTGAAGCCATGGCAGAAGAACGTGGATTGTAAAGATTCCATGGACATTTATTAGTTCCCCAAATTAATACTTTTATAATTTCTTATGCCTGTCTTTATTGCAGTCTCTAAACATAAATTGTAAAGATTTCATGGACACTTAACACTTCCCCAGTCAGTACCCTTGTGATTTCCTATGCCTGTCTTTACTTTAATCTCTTAATCCTGTCAGCTGAGGAGGATGTATATCGCCTCAGGACCCTGTAATAATTGCATTAACTGCACAAATTGTACAGCATGTGTGCTTGAGCAATATGAAATGTGGGCACCTTGAAAAAAGAACAGGATAACAGCAATTGTTCAGGGAATAAGAGAGATAACCTTAAACTCTGACTGCCGGTGAGCCGGGCGGAACAGAGCCATATTTCTCTTCTTTCAAAAGCAAATGGGAGAAATATCGCTGAATTCTTTTTCTCAGCATGGAACATCCCTGGGAAAGAGAATACGTGCCTGGAGGTATAGGCTTATAAACAGCCCCCCTAGGTGCGCCTGTCTCTTATGGTCGAGACTGCAGGGGTGAAAGAGACTCCAGTCTCCCATAGCTCTCCCAGGCTTATTAGGAAGAGGAAATTCCCGCCTAATAAATTTTGGTCAGACCGGTTGATCTCAAAACCCTGTCTCCTGATAAGATGTTATCAATGACAATGGTGCCTGAAACTTCATTAGCAATTTTAATTTCGCCTCGGTCCTGTGGTCCTGTGATCTTGCCCTGCCTCCACTTGCCTTGTTGTATTCTATTACCTTGTAAAGTACTTGACATCTGTGACCCACACCTATTCGCGTACTCCCTCCCCTTTTGAAACTCCCTAATAAAAACTTGCTGGTTTTTGTGGCTTGTGGGGCATCACGGAACCTACCGACGTGTGATGTCTCCCCCGGACACCCAGCTTTTAAAATTTCTCTCTTTTGTACTCTGTCCCTTTATTTCTCAAGCTGGCTGACTCTTAAGGAAAATAGAAAAGAACCTACGTGAATATCGGGGCAGATTCCCCGATACTCTTTATTGGAGGACTATTTGGATTAGCTAAAGAGGAGGCCCTTAATTTTGCTTTGAGAGAGGAGCTGGTAGCTTTGGTTATCTCTTTAAAGATGGAAATGAATTGCTGGTTAGATAAGGTACATGTATGTAGACATTCTAGGAGGAAACACCAGTGCGTAAAAGGGCAGAGGCACACAGAGACAGAAAGCATATTCAGTTCGGCATGGTATTGCTGGAGTATAAGGTATCCAGGGGTTAAAAGGGCAGAGAGGATAGTGCTGGTAATGGAGGCTGGAGCCAGTTCATGAATGGTTTAGTGAGCTTGGCTGAGGAGCTTCAGTTTTATCCCAAAGCCACAGGGAGCCATAGAAAGCTACTGAGCAGAGGAAGGTGTGGCCAGAACGGCTTGTAAAAATTGGCAGGATTCCAGGTGCAATGTCTCACACCTGTAATCCTAGCACTTTGGGAGACAGAGGGAGGTCTTTTTCTCTGAGCCCAGGAGTTTGAGACCAGCCTGGGCAACATAGTAAGACCCGGCCTCAAAAAAAAAAAAAAAAAAAAAAGGCAAGTCCCCAGCTAAATCACAGGAGCCCTGATGTGCAGAATATCAGGCTCTACCAGCAGCAACAGTTTCCCTTAGCTACAGCATCTTCTCTCCAGATGGGCAGGCACCCCCTCTGTTCATTGCCCCTGCATCTAGAACCCTAAGATAATCATTTGGTTCTTTTCTCCCAGTTTCCCTCCACTGGGAGCTTTGGATACATCTCAGTGAACACCTGAGGCTTAAAACCCTCCTGATACAATACAGAAGACTCCTGAAAGCCATATATAGGATTCAAATCCTGCCAATGACACTTACCTTGCTGCAGATCTTGGGCAAGTCAGCTGCCTTGCATAGAGTCTTTCTTGCCTAATAAGGGGGTACGATAATCTCAGCTGATTGGGCTGATATAAAGAACACTGGACCATGGATTTGAAAGGAGTCATTAAATTGAAAACCCTAAGACAGTGATCTCCTGGCCAGGCATGGTGGCTCATGCCTGTAATCCCAGCACTTTGGGAGGCCAAGGCGGGCGGGTCACCTGAGGTCAGGAGTTCAAGACCAGCCTGACCAAAATGGAGAAACCCCTTCTCTACTAAAAATACAAAAATTAGCTGGGCATGATGGCGCATGCCTGTAATCCCAGCTACTCAGGAGGCTGAGGCAGGAGAATCGCTTGAACCTGGGAGGCAGAGGTTGTGGTGAGCCAAGATCACACCATTACACTCCAGCCTGGGCAACAAGAGCGAAACTGTCTCAAAAAAAAAAAAAAAAAGACAGTGATCTCAAAATATAACATAACATCCCCAATTGGCTCTCTCCTTTCATTCACCGGTGTCAGCTATTGGAAGATTTTAGTTTCTGAGCACATGATTTTATAAGACCTCTTGGAACAGGTAGGCAGACAAGGTGTGGGGTTGATCTAATGACACCTGTTTTTTTTCAGAGCTGATTTCTAATTAATTCTCATGGAATGTTTCCACTGGAAACAAACTAATCTGGAGACAGAAGCAGTTCCAACAACCAAGATATATAATTGAGATAATCGCTGTGCACAAATAACATCTGTGAGCAGCAGATGCTAACACCTGGCTCCAAGGAGAAAGTCGGAGATGATGTCTGCTCCAGGGCAGCAGTTGCTTTTTCTCTCCCCCTATTTGATTCATGCTTCTGACCTTTGTCTCTTCCACAGAGGCAATATGTTACTTGCTTTCTGTTAGATAGAGAAGGATTTGCACTGAACTCTTTAGTCGTTTACTTAATTCATGCTGGGGGCTGTATTCACCTCTTCCTTCTGAGAACAAAGCTGCCACCAAGTCATTGTACCCTCTAAATAGCTCTGAAATGCATCCCCCGTCTCTCTCTGCTTGTATTACAGTCCACCTGAATATCTAGTACTTGGATTTCTCTCAAGTTGGCTGGCCTCTGGTCTTGTCTGAGCAATCTTTGTACCGTCTGATCTTTGGAGAGAGAATTTTAAAATTTAAACGCAAAGTCGGTTCTTTGTGTGTTCAAGATCCATTGGTAGTTTCACATTGCCTTCAGCCTAAAGTCCAGGTTTCTTCCCTTGACCTACACGGATGCATATTTTGGCACCTACCCTCCTGTCACCCCTCACCCGAAGCTTAGGATGGCTTGGTGTCCTCTGCACCTGCCCTCACCTCTTCACCTTTGCCCAAGCAATGCCCTTGGCTGGGTTCTTGCTTCTTTCACTGATCCCTCTTTGCCTGATAAGCATCTAAGCATTCTGTGAAATTGACTTTGGGTGTCCTCTCTTGGAGCCCTCTTGGTCCTCCATGGGCTGGGTGAGGGTGCCGCCTCTCCTTCCCCACAATCTGTTGGGCCTGCCCCTGAGTTAGTACTTGTCACTCCCTGTAATTATTCCTTTGTTTCCATCGTTTTTTTTCTAAACCCTTAAAGGCAGGGACTGGGGTGAGTAAACATAGTAAAAGACTTAGCCAAAGTCACAAAGGTAATTAATAAAAATCCCAGCCTGGGTTTGAACTGAAGGAATCCGACTCAGGTACCTGGGAATTTAACCTCTCCCCGCCATGCCACCAATGCCTCCTGTTGGTCCTCTGCTGTCTCGGGGCTATTACATCCTTTTTAATTTTTTTTTTTATTTTGAGGCAAGGTCTTGCCCTGTCATCCAGGCTGGAGTGCAGTGGTGCAATCGCGGTTTACTACAGCCTCAACCTCAAGCAGAATACAGGCATGCACCACCACACCTGGCTAATTGTTCTGTATTTTTGCTAGAGACAAAGTTTCTCTGTGTCGCCCAGGCTGGTCTTGAACTCCTGGGCTCAAGTGATCCACCCGCCTTGGCGTCCCAAAGTGCAGGGACTACAGGCCACATCTTCCCTGGACACCCTGAGTGCTCCTGTAGGTCCTTCCACTTGGGAATTCTGGGTCAGCTCCGGTGTTTACTCAGGTGGAGCCACAAAGCCTTGTGCGACTTATACACTGTGAGCTCCCAGCAGTGGTTTGTTAATAGCCCGAGGCTCTCTGTTAGTGCTTAGAAGACTAATAACCCTGGATTCATGCTCAGTGCCCTTAATTGGGACATTTATCACCGTGTGTCATCCATGCTTCCATGAGACATTGGAAATAGTTAGTAAGCACTGGGAAGATGACCCTGATGGGAGTCTTTTGTGTGTGGGCACCTGGGGAACATTTTTCCCCAGCCAGGAACTATGGAACAGGTGGCTTCCTGCGATGTTTTATTTGAAGAGCCTTTTTTAAAACGATTATGTTGGAGTGAATTTATTCAATGTTAACATAACCTCCTGTCGGAGAAGATAAAGACAGAATTGTAATTGGTTAAAAACATGGTTATCACAGGCCTGTTCACCCCACAAATGTTGACACATTCAATGCTATGATGAATGAAGTGGGAAGAGGCTGGTTTCATTATAGGCAAGAAGGCGGGGACATCTCCCCAAAAGGACCTGTTACCATTTAGTCATGGAGGGGCCTGTCAAGGTCGTGATAACTATTCTACAGCAACGATATTGACGGGGAACATTGATTCTTTACACTGTGCTAGTCATGGTGCCAAATATATCAACGTCATGACCTGATTATATCCCCCAAACCCACTTGAGTGCAGTGAATTCTGCAATGGCAGGAGCCTTTTCTGTTTTGAACCAGTGTGTGGGAGTGTGACTGTATACAGCAAGTGCTCAGTGAATGAGTGGGGAGAGACCGGACAGGTGGTGGCCAGACTCCAGAGGAGAGGAGACAGCTAGTATTATGCCTTTTCTTTTTTTTTCTTTTTTCTTTTTTTTTTTTTTTTTTTGAGACAGGGTCTTGCTCTGTCACCAAGGCTAGAGTGCAGTGGCTCAATCATGGCTCACTGCAGCCTCAACATTTCAGGCTCAAGCAATCCTCCCACCTCAGCCTCCCAAGTAGCTGGCATGTGCCACCATGCCCTGCTAATTTTTTTTTTTTTTTGGTAGAGATGAAGTTTCACCATCATGTCCAGCTAATTTTTGTTGTTGTTTGTTTGTTTTTTTGTAGAGATGAGGTTTCACCATGTTGCCCAGGCTGGTCTGAAACTCCTGGGCTCAAGCGATCCTCCAGCCTCAACCTCCCAAAGTGCTGGGATTACAGGCTTGAGCCAACACGCCCAGCCTATGCCCATTTTATACAGGAGGAGGCTCTGCGTAGAGGCAAATTGCTCAAAGTCACAGAGATGGATGGAACTGAGATTTAAGAAAATATATTTTGAAAGAATTTAAAACTTACAGAGAAGTTGCAAGAATAGTTCAAAGGGCTTATTTAAGTTTTTCACCCAGATTCATCAACTTTTAATATTTTTCCACATTTGCGATCTGGTTCTCTCTATAAATTTTCTGAATTATCTAAAAGCAAGTTAAAGACATGGTGCCCCTGTATCCTAATCAAAATCACAAAATTTAATATTGATAAAAATCCTTCCTTCCTTCTTTCTTCCCTTTCTTTCTTTCCTTCTTTCTCTTTTCTTTTCTTTTCTTTTTTCTTTTCTTTCTTTTTTTTTTCTTTGAGACACAGTTTTGCTCTTGTCGCCCAGGCTGGAGTGCAGTGGCATGATCTCAGCTCACCACAATCTCTGCCTCCTGGGTTCAAGCGATTCCGCTGTCTCAGCCTCCCAAGTAGCTGGGATTATAGGCATGCGTCACCATGCCCGGCTAATTTTTTGTATTTTTAGTAGAGACGGGATTTCTCCACGTTGGTCAGGCTGGTCTCAAACTCCCGACCTCAGGTGATCTGTCCACCTCGGCCTCCCAAAGTGCTGGGATTACAGGTGTGAGCCACTGCGCCCTGCCTAAAAATATTTTCTAATCCAGGAGTTGGCAAACTAGGGCCCAAAAGCCAAGTCCAGCCAACTGCATGTTTCTTTGTGGTTTTTGTTTGTTTATTTTATTATAGCTGGTGAGCAAAGAATTTTTTTTTTTGTTTTTAAATGGTTACATTTAAGGTGGTTATGTAAGTACCCACATATATACTTGATTTTGCCTCTTGACCTGCCAAGCCTAAAATAATTATTATCTGACCCCTGATTTTATCTGCTGTCTTTTTAAATTTTGCCAATTACCCCCCAGTGTCCGTTATAGCAATTTATCTCCCAATTTAGGATCCAACTTGGAAAGTAAAACTGCTTCCATTATTTTCATGGTGTCATAGTTCCTCAGTCTGTCTTTTTTTATGATACTGACATTTTTTGGAGAGTTCAGGCCAGTTGCATTGTAGAATGTTCCTCAATTTTGGGTGAACTGGAATGTGAACCCCTATTTCTTTCCAATTTCAGAGCCATTTTTATTTATGCAGGTCTGAGATTCCCAGGACAAAGGACTTTTAAAACCAGAAAGTCCCAGACCAAAAGGGATGAGCTTGTCATCCTAGCACCAGTGTCTCAAGCACTGAGTAATCCTGGGGAAGATAAAATCTCCTTACCCTGGCCCCACCCTCCACCTGGCCTTTGCAGTAAAGCCAGTTCTCAAAAGCCAACTGGTGGTTTTAGCAGAAAGGGTGATGAACCAAATGCCAGTGTGAGAACCTGTCCCCTTCCACACAGGCCTTTTGTCTTCTGTCTTCCCATGTTTCTCGTTAGAGAAATTCTCACCATCCACATGTGCTGGCCTTGTATCTTGCCTTTTTTCCCTCTATTTATGCATGTGAGCTATATTGATATTATTGCGTGTGTTTTAGGCAATTAAAGTAATGGCAAAAAGTAATGGCATTAAATTAATGGCAAAAACTGCAGTTACTTTTGCACCAACCTAATAATTGGTTTATTGTTGTTGCGGTTGTATGTGACTACCACAATTTATCTTATCCATGTTGCTGTTTATGGATATGTGGGTTTTGTCTAGGTTTTGGTTATGAATAGAGCCAGTATGAACATTTTTTTGCACATTATTTTATGGGAGGGGAGCAAATGTATGCATTTCTGTAGGGTGCATAACTAGAAGTGTGGTATCTCTGGGTCATAGTACACATGGTTTTTGTCTTTAGCAGATACTACAAAATAAATTTCCAAGGTACCTGTAGACATTTACATTCCCATCAACAGAACATGAAAGTCCTACTGGCTTCCTGTCATGGCTGGCAGTTGGTATTATTATCAGTTGTTGGCATTTTAGCCATTCCGAGGGAAGGAGAATATTTTTTATTCTATTTTGCACTTCTCTGATGTTCACCTTTTCAAAGTATATCATCCATTTCGATATTTATTTTTACCTGTCCAAGGCATATGCTTATTTTTCTGTTGGGTTGTTTGTATTTTTCTTAGTGATTTGTGGGATACTTTGATAGAAGCTCTTTGCTACATATGTCTATTGCCATTATTTTCTCTCACTTTAGGGTTGACCATTACATTTTCTTGGTGGTGTCTTTTTATGAAGAGAAATTCTTGATTTTGATGTAATCTAATGGGTCAGTGTTAAACATCTTAGAATCCAAATTTTAAATCAGTTGGTCAGGCAGAGGGTGTTCTGTTTAGCTGGATATTCTGGTGAGTTGGGAGTGGTGCAGGATGATGGAAAGTCTACCTCCATGGCCAAGACTCTGTGAACCCCCAGAATTTGAGGCAGGTCTCAGTTAATTTAGAAAGTTTATTTCTCCAAGGTTGAGGACGTGCGCCTGTGACAGCCTCAGGAAGTCCTGACGAAGTGCCCAAGGTGGTCGGGGCACAGCTTGGTTTTATACATTTTAGGGAGACATGAGACATCAATCAATATGTGTAAGAAGTACAGTGGTTTTGTCCAGAAAGGCAGGGACGGCTCAAAGCTGGGAGGGGGCTTCCAGGTCACAGGTAGGTGAGAGAAAAATGGTTGCATTCTTTTGAGTTTCTGATAAGCCTTTCCAAAGGAGGCAGTCAGAATATGCATCTATCTCAGTGAGCAGAGGGATGACTTTGAATAGAATGAGGGCAGATTTGCCCTGAGCAGTTCCCAGCTTGAATTTTCTGTCTAGCTTAGTGATTCGGGGGCTCAAGATATTTTCCTTTCACTACTCGTGGTTCCGTCCCTCAGTGCTCAATCAGTTTCTGCTAGGATTTGAATTACGCTGGTGGTTTCCAGGCTCGTGTGGGTGTGTGCACACACGCGGTGTGTTTTCTTTTTAGCAAAATAATCCACTTATTAAAGAGAAATCTCATTAAAATGCCCTCTGCCCTGACCATTAATAGTGTAACTGAAAATTGGGTTAGTTGCTGGCCACCGCATGTAGAGTCCAATTAACAAGAACCAGGCCTGGTACAGGAAAAGTGAGTTCATTTCTGAAGCTAGCTTGGGAGAAGGGCACAAAACATCCTACTTTAAATGTGCCGCTTTGCCTTTGGAGCAAAAAGCAGACACTTCCATAAGGTCAGGAGGAGAGTGAGCAAGGGAGGGGGGTCTCCCTGCTACCAGGTAGTTACCTAGTGGGCAGTTGAGTTGGCACCTTTCTGGGCAAGAGTAAGTTGTAAAAGTGGCCGAGTGGTCATGCCTTAGGCATGCCCTCCTGAGGCAACCCCCTGGAGGGGGTACTTTCCTGGGGACATGCTTTGATTTCCAAATCAATTGTCTGCTCTGGAGGAGAAATTCATCTTGGAGCACATAGATGAACTTGCTCTATAGGAAACATTGGGTGAGGGGGAGGTGAGAGGTTATTTTGCATTTCAAAAAGGGCTAAGTAGGAAGTAGAGGGAAAGGGGAAAGGAGAAAAGAAGAGAAAAAAAAAAACCCTGTGTCTTAGAAAAATGGGGGTACTTGGTTATAATTGGGCTTCCCTTGTTTCTCCCAGAGTACCCTCCTTCTGGCTCTGAAGAAAGGTACCAGCTCGGGTATGTGGGGTCTGGTGAATAAGGCTGTGGTCACCCTCCCTGTCCAGGTCATTTCCTCCTACAGAGGGGGATCCTGCCCACAGGTCCCACCCCTTGTCCTTCCTGTGGACACTGTGGGTATCTGGGTTAGAGACCTATGCATGGAGGATGGGGGAGCACTCCTGGTTGCGGGCTTCTTCCCAAGGATGCATGCAGTGCAGACAGGCTACAGAGTCAGGCAGTCCTGGCTCACCCTGCGGGTTCACTGATGCTGCTGAGCTCACGTGTCTGCCTCAGTCTCTCAGTACACGACATGTGTCGAGTTCATACTATGTCAGGACCCAGAGTTGAACAAGAGCCAGGTGACCCTCCAGGAGCCCAGTGTCCAGTGGGGAGACAGACGTGGAGGCACAAGACCTGGTGCTGTTTAGGGGAGCAAAGGGGTGCTGGAATATAATAAAAGAGGGATGTAAATGAGACGGGGATCGGGGAGGGCCTTTTTTGGATGTTTTATCCTGCTTTTCTATTTTTCTTTCTCTCTTTGGAGCATCAGTGTGATCCAGATTCATCATCACCAGAGAGGAAGTCAGGATAGAAGCTTTTGAAGTCTGTTCAGTGGTGGAGGATTCAAGCAGTCCTTAGATCCTAAAATACAAAAAATTAGGAGGACTCTTGAACCCTCAAAGAAATAGACTTAAGACAAGTGAAAGGAGGCCTGCTTTACTCAGCAGGTGGTGAACATATTCCACAGGACTTACAGGAAAAAGCTGTGGACTTAAAAGAGACCTCGGTTCAGATTCTGCCACCTTCACTATTAGCTGTGTGACATTGATGAGTTAACTAACCTGTCTGTGCCTCAGTTTCCTCATCTGAAACTGAAAACAGCTACTTCCTAGAAATGTTACATGTTATAAATTAACATGTCTTAATCAGCTCAGGCTGCCATAAAAAAATACCGTAAATTAAACTAGGTAGCTTCAGTAACAGACATTTATTTATTATAGTTCTGGAGGCTGGAAGTCTGAGATCAGGGTACCAGCATGCCTGGGTTCTGCTGTGGGCTCTCTTCCTGGCCTACAGACAGACAAATGCCTTCTCTCTGTGTCCTCACATGGTAGAGAGGAAGGAACTTTTTGGTGTTTCTTCTTCTAAGGGCACGAATCTCATCATGGAGGCCCCACCCTCATGACCTGATCTAAACCTTATTACCTCCCCAAAGCCTCATCTCCTAATACCATCACATTAGGGGGTGGCTTCAACATACACATTTCTAGGGGACAGAATTCTGTCTCTGGCAATGTGGTAAACACTTGATACTAAGTAGTTGTGATTATCCTACTACTAATAATAATATTTATTATTACTTTGAAGAAGATAGAAAAATAAATATTCAGGAAGATTTTTTTTTTTGAGACAGAATCTTGCTCTGTCACCCAGGCGGGAGTGCAGTGAGTGGCGTGATCTTGGCTCACTGCAGCCTCTGCTTCCTGGGTTCAAGCAGTTCTCCCATCTCAGCCTCCCGAATAGCTGGGATTAATGGGTGTGCACCACCATGCCCGGCTAACTTTTGTATTTTTTGTAGAGGTGGGTCTTACCATGTTGCCCAGGCTGATCTCAAACTCTTGGCCTCAACCGATTCGTTTGCCTCGGCCTCCCAAAGATCTGGGATTACAGCTGTAAGCCACCATGCCCAGCAGGGAAGTGTTTTGATACATTGATAAGTGATGGTCTGGAGCAGAATGTCATGAAAATTATGGAATATTCAATATATACCCAAATAGTTTAAGTTAAAAGGCACCAAGAGTAGCCACCACACTGTCTTAAGATATTCTCCCCCATGGCCACTGTCATCAGACTTCTGGGCTGCACAGACCATTGGTGGACCTGGCCTGACATTCTTTTTTTTTTTTTTTTTGAGATGGAGTTTCACTCTTGTTGCCCAGGCTGGAGTGCAATGGCGCCATCTCAGCTCACCACAACCTCTGCCTCCCAGGTTCAAGCGATTCTCCTGCCTCAGCCTCCCGAGTAGCTGGGATTACAGGCATGCACCACCGCGCCTGGCTGATTTTGTATTTTTAGTAGAGATGGGGTTTCTCCATGTTGGTCAGGTTGGTCTTGAACTCCTGACCTCAGGTGATCTGCATGCCTCGGCCTTCCAAAATGCTGGGATTACAGGTGTGAGCCACCGCTCCCGGCCGACATTCTTAATATGTTTGCATTTAACAATTTTGTTTGATGTTAGGGCTGTCTCTAGTTTGATCTGTGGGTGATTCCCTTCAGGGAAAGCCTTAATGTTGAAGGTTGGTTCTTTCAAGTACCCTGATGGGATGTCAAGGCCTGGGATGTGTTGAGAATAGCCTTCCAAAGACACCATTTCTTAACCAGAATGCTTTCCCTGTGGTGTTTGTGATGCACTATTTTTAAATCCCCTCAGTTGTTCAACCAGACCCAGAAATCCAGGTTCTAACCATTCTGCCCAAAGACTGGAATTTTTCCTCTCCACACCTCATTCCATATGTCTAGTCAACTCATCTAGTAGCTTAACAAATCCTAGCAAACATTTCACCTAGGTATTTAAAGCAGGCAGATGGCTTCGCATAGAGAAGTAATGCTATTCAACAGTTTGTAGTTGATGTATATGTGATAGGAATCTCAATTGGCCTCACACTGAATGAAACAGAGGTGGGTGAGGGGAGAGAATGCCTAGATTTAGCTCAGGAACAGAGACTAGTGTGTAGAGGAGTCTTTGGGGTGGCCCAGGAAGGGCATGGGTTTGGAGTCTCAACCACTAGCACACAAGTCTGACCTTGGGCAAATCACTTCTTCCTGGGCTGCAGTTTTCTCATTTGTGAAATAATGAAGGCTGACTGCTTCCTTGCAGGGCTGTTGTGGGCTATAGTGATAATGAATTTTAAGTGGCCACGCAGTGCGTAATGTAGTGAGTGTTGAAGAAATCTCCTTCCCTCTTTCCCCCTCGATGAGTAATCGGGAAAGGGAAATATTGATCCTCCTATGGGTAAGGATCCATACACAGAACAGGTAAACAGTAAATAATTGTTACTCTGTCACAGGGTTTTGGGTGGAACCACTTTGATCCAACTTTTTTGGTAGATTAGCATCAATTAACACTATGGAAGTGTTTGGTTTTGCTTTTTTAAGAGATGGGATTGCCCAAGCTGGAGTGCAGTGGTGTGATCATAGCTCACAGCAGCCTTTCATTCCTGGGCTCAAGGAATCTTCCTGTCTCACCCTCCTGGGTAGCTGGGACTACAGGCGCTCCACCATGCCCAGCTAATTTTTTGCTCTTTATAGAGATGAGGTCTAGCTATGGTGCCTAGGCTGGTCTGGAACTCGTGGCCTCAAGTGATGCTCCCACCTCGGCCTCACAACATGCTAGGATTACAGGCATAAGCCACCATGCCTGACAGATAGCAATGTCTTTTGAGTGTTTATTCTGTGGCTAACATCATGTATGCATTACCTCCTTTAATTCACTCATTTGTATCTGGGTTTTGGGTGGTAACCCAGTTCAAATTGGCTTGCATAGAAAAAGGGAAGTTATTGGCCAAAATATCTGAAAAGTTCTGAGGCTAGGACTGCCTTCAGGTTTGGCTAGATCTAGGTACCCCAATCATGTCATCAAGATTATGTCTCTGCCACCTCTTAGGTCAGCTTTAAGATACAACAGCAGCTTATATCTTAAGCATGTTCCATCTTGTATTCTTAGGCAGACTCTTCGATCTTGCCCAGACTTTCCAAGCTTTTATCCTGCTTCAGAAAGAGTGAACTTTATTTTCATAGTCTCAGCAAAAATCTTGGTGTCAACCATGTCGTTATTACAGAACCAACCACTGTGGCCAACAGGAGGCGATGCTCTGATTGGGTAGGCTGGGTCATGTGCCCCTCTTTGAGCTTGGGGAGCAGGATCTGCACCATCAAAGCACATGGATGTTTGGAGATGGATATTTATCACAGGGAAGATGGGGTCCTTCTCTCAAAAGAATGGGAAGTGGATGCTGGGCATGTACCATACCACATTTTTTGTACAGAGCGTCTGTAGTGGGCACTATTGTTTCCAAGGGAGAGCAAGGTAATGGCTCAGAGTGGGAACTTCATGACCAGACTACCTGGGTTCATATCCCAGCTCTGCCATTTAGTACTTGAATGACCATCAGTAAGTCACTCAACCTCTCTATTCCTCAGTTTCCTCAACTATAACAACAGGAATGGTTGTTGACCCTACCTCGGAGTGCTATTCTGAAAGTTAGATGAATTAATACATGAAAAGTGTTCAGAGCAGTGTCTGGCACAGAGTAACAGCTCATGCTCATAACCTTTGTGCATGGCATCTCCTAGGCTTGTACAGTGCACAACTGATACAGCTGTACTCAGCAGTCCTACTCAATGAACGCAAATCATTTTGTCCCCCATTTTTTGGATGATGATATGGTTTGGCTATGTTCCCACACAAATCTCATCTTGAATCAAAAGTAGCTCCCATAATTCCCACGTGTCATGAGAGGGAACTGCTGGGAGGTGTTTGAATCTTGGGGAGCAAGTCTTTCCCATGCTGGTCTTGTGATAGTGAATAAGTCTCACGAGATCTGGTTTTATAAAGGGGAGTTTCCCTGCACATGCCCTCTTGATTGCACCCATGTAAGACATGCCTTTGCTTCTCCTTTGCCTTCTGCCGTGATTTTGAGGCCTCCCCAGTCATGTGGAACTGTGAGTCCAGTATACCTCTTTCCTTTATAAATTATCCAGTCTCAGGTATGTCTTTATTAGTAGTGTGAGAACAGACTAATACGCATGGGAAAAATCAAAGTTCAGTAACCTGCCCAAGGTCACAGGCTCATAGATGGAGGTACTGGGACTGAAATCCCAATTCTGCCTGACCTTTGGGTCTGCTCCTAACCACCACATGATACTGTGTGATGTTAAACATCCCCCCGGTGGTAGAGAACATAGAGAGAATGCAACCTCTCCTTCCCTCCCATTCTTTGACCCTAGATGGAGCTCATCTCATCTTACCCCTGTGAACTCCAGGCTTCCAGGACCCACAATCACAGAAGAGTCAGGGCCCCACCAAATATCCCCAGGCCAAAGCTTAGCAGCACTTAATTTATGCATAAGATCTGAAGCATGTTTCCCTCTGTAACTACAGTATGGGGAGGACTTGGAATGAACATTTTACTATTTAGTAGAAGAAGGGTCCTATCCCAAGGGAATAGTAGGCAATGAAGCCCTCCGTAGATGCCTGCCTTGCAGAATTCGAGCAGATCTGGGGAAGCCGGGCTGATTTAATTAGAGAACAATAGAATGACTTAGTACGCACGGAGGAAGGTGCTTTTTCTAGCTATTGAAAGTGTTTTGGTGCTTTGTACCCACATACTCATGCCATTGTTCTATTGATTTTACAAAAAGTAAAAATTGGAAGAGAAACAAAAATCTAATGAACTTAAACTAAAATCAAATCAGATGTGTTGTTGAGGGTCTATTGGGATCCAGCCCACACTAGGTCGGGAGACAGATGGAAATTGCAGGACCTTCATCTCACCCTAAACCTCTCCACCCCTGAGAGGCCTTGTCCATGGGGACGTGATGATTACTCAGAGTCGAAAGGTGGGAAGTGTCAGCTGTCACCTCAGGTCCTCATTGTCACACTGGCCACAAGGGTTGGAGAGTGAACATCAATAATTCTTCCCTGTCGCCTGTCAACCCAACCACCTTTACTACCCACTGCTCTCTGATGGCTCTTCCTGGAGCTCCTCAGGGGAAGGCATTTTCAAAGGCGAGTCTGGCCAGTGTTGCGCCACTGAAGGATCTGATCTCTGTCCTTAACATGACTTGCCACCGACTTCATAAAAACATCAGTCAAACAGCCTCCGTATGGAAATAATGTGCAGTGAATTCTTCTTATGCTGGGTCATCCATAATAAAAAATCAGCCAGAGGTGGCCCCATATTTCTTTCTGCTCCCTAAAGTGCAATAAATTGAAACTTTTAAAGCTCAGCATGAAGACAGCTTGTCAGCAGCGGCCTGGGGCCTGCCCCGTGGAGGTCTTGGGCTGGGAAATGCCTGGTCTGGTCTATCCAGATCCTCTTAAAATCTAGACCTGCTTGACTTGTGTGCCTCTGGGACACTGACCTCCCTCTACCCATCCCAGTGGAACAGGAAGGCTAAAATTCCTCAAGATGGTCAGTGCTGAGGCCCTGCTTATCCTGACTGTGTAAACTTGGCCCATTCTTTTGGCTTCCGCTTCATTTTCTTTCTCTCTAAAATGGAGTTAAAAATTCCCACTTCCCAGGGATGAAAGGAGCTCACAACGACAATTGTTACCATTTTGTAATGTTTTCTCACTGCCAGACACTGTGTAAGCACTTTGCATGTTTTCATCCATGTATCCTGCAGACATCCTGTGATGGAACCATCCCTATTTTATAGAGGAGGAAAACTGAGGCATAGCAAGACGGTGCTGCTGGCAGAAGCAGACTGCCTCAGGTCTGGCTCCAGTGCCCAAGCTCTGAACCACACACACAGTGAAATCTGGCACTTAGTGTTGGTAACGTTGGTTTCCTTCCTCTGTCCTTCGGAATGAATGTGTTCATCCCTGGCAGGTTCCAGGAATGATGCATATTTCCACCACATTTGCTCAAACTCCGAGTTCTGTCATTTTACAGACTCCCAACTTAGTCCAGGCTCTCCTGATGCTGCCTAAGAGGTTTCCGTTATAGCACGAAACCACTGAGCTGTTTTCTCTGCAACAGAGCTCTCTCTTTATTTTGATCCATTCCGTCTGTGTGGTCAGACCTCCCAGTGAGTGGCTTTCTATGAGGGGCAGTGAAGCTCAGTAGTTAAGAGCTTGGGCTCTGGCGTTGGAGCAAGCAGGCTCTCCACAGACCAGCTCTGTGATGGTGAACAAGTCACTTCCCCTCTGTGTGTCTCAGAGTCCGCCTTTATCAAAAGGTCCTAATGGTGGCACCTTTCTCCTAGAGGTGCTGTGGGGCTGTCATGAAGCAAGGCAGAGAAAGCACAGTGCCTTGAACATGGTCCCCAAGCAACAGTAGCAGGTGGGACTGCTAATGCCAAAACCATCAGGGCCAAGATAATCCTATCTCCAGCCCAGTATGAGCTAAGAAGGCCAGCAGCTGTCTCCATTGACTGCTGTCTGTGTTCATCTCTCTCTGGGGATAAGTCGTCCCTCTCTCTGCTTGCTCCAAGGAAAGAAGGGAAAGGAAAGAGCATTTCTGGATCATGCACCATTATGCCATCTATAAAATGGGGATAAAAATAGAGTCTCCTTTCTCCAGGGGCTCCGAGGACTGGCGGGATCATGCTGCTGAAACCCTCTGCTGAAGTAGGGGCTGGGCAGATGGGAACTGTGTCATCGTGTTCTGCTTTGCCCTGTTGCTTTATTTACAATGACTCTCTCTTGCCTCCTGGCTCCCAGCCCAGCTCCTTGGCCTGGCAGAGGGGCCCTGCGTGAGGCCTCCTCTTCCACCATTAGTTATCTGACATCATCTCCCTTGATGGCCCATCTGCTCCTGCCGCCCAGACCTTTTGTTGTTTGCATGCCCTGCTGTGCCGATTCTTCCATTTCTTTCCACTTCCACCCCTTCCACCCCGGCTGGAGCACCTCCACCGCCTCCTTCCTGCAGGACCATGGCGATCCCCTCACTGGCTGCCCTATTTGCAATCTGGTCCCACCCTCCCCACAGCAGCCAGAGGGAGATTAGGCCACCTACCTCCTTAGAAACCATCCATGGCTTCCTGGCAGACTGAAATAAAATCTAAGCTTTGTAGCCCAGCTCACAAGCCTCAGAGATGTGACCCGCGTCCACATCTTCAGCATCTCCTCCTCCTCTCCTTCTCTGTGCAGCTGCCCTGCCGCACTAGTGAGGTTTCTGTTCCTCAGCACCACCGTTAGTTCCTGTCTCTGCCTCAGGGCCTTTGCACTTGCTATTGCTGCTGCCCAGTGCGCTCTGCACATGGCCATCTACTTTGCATCTTGTTTCTTTCTTTCCTTTTTTTTTTTTTTTTTTTTTTTCTGAGACGGAGTTTCGGTCTTGTTACCCAGGCTGGAGTGCAATGGTGCGATCTCGGCTCACTGCAACCTCTGCCTCCCGGGTTCAAGCAATTTTCCTGCCTCAGCCTCCCAAGTAGCTGGGATTACAGGTATGTACCACCATACCCGGCTAATTTTTTTGTATTTTTAATAGAGATGGGGTTTCACCATGTTGGTCAGGCTGGTCTTGAACTCCTGACCTCAGGTGATCTGCCCGTCTCAACCTCCCACAGTGCTGGGATTACAGGTGTGAGCCACCGCAACCAGCCCTTCCTTTGCATCTTTTAGGTCTTAGCTTAAGTGCTTCTCCTTCATGAGTCCTCTGACTTCTCAAAAGAGGGGCTGGTTTTGCCCTGCCTGCCTTCAGGGCAGCCCTATCACCCACCTCCTAGCCATGGCAGAGGCACTTGAGTTACCTGCTGGAAAATAAGACCAGGCCTGACATCTCACTTCTTCTGTCCATTATGCTCTAACAAGGCCAATTACCTTCCTTTGCTCTACATCAATTTTCTCAGTGTGTCTCAATCCCTCCCATTTGCCGACTGAAATGGGCCCCCAGCCCTCTTTTGCTGGGCCCAACTGCAGGAATACATTTTTCTCAGGGGCTGGAAAAGGGGGTTTTGTGAGTTGTGACCCATCCCTCTCTGAGCCCCGAATGTTTACCTTAGGTGATTTCTAAGAGTGTTTTCTGTTCCGAGATACAGAAAAGGGGGATAAGAGGGCCAACGGGACTTACTGTAGACCTGCTAAATGTTCAGCACTCTGAATGTGCAGGCATCCTGCTGTGAGCTGAACATTATAAATGAGCTGAGTTAGGCTGGGCATGGTGGCTCACGCCTGTAATCCTAGCACTGTGGGAGGCCGAGGCGGGCAGATCACAAGGTCAGGAGTTCAAGACCAGCCTGGCCAATATGATGAAACCCCGTCTCTACTAAAAAACAAAAATTAGCCGTGCATGGTGGCAGGCGCCTGTAGTCCCAGCTACTCCAGAGGCTGAGGCAGGAGAATCGCTGGAACCCGGGAGGTGGAGGTCGCAGTGAGCTGAGATCGTGGCACTGCACTCCATCGTGGGCGACAGAGCAAGACTCCATCTCAAAAAAAAAAAAAAAAAAGCTGAGTTAGAGTTCAGAAGAGGCAGCTGCCAACTGCAGAATGGATTTAGGGTATGTGCATGAATATGGGTTTCTCCAGTGGGGCGTGTCTGTCACCTGGGGCCACGTACATAAGTAATTGGATGAATCTTGATGACTCCACTTTGCTAGGATAGGAGGCCTACTGTGTGCAGCTGGGAGGAAAAGAGAGAAAGAAAAGTGTGAGAAAGAGCTTTATTTAAGTCGGTGTCTCTTAGCCTTCGAGGATCTAGTGAAAGCTATGAACCCAGCAAAATGCTAAATGCTCACATGCAGAATATTTTGCATACCCTTTTAAAGGGGGTCTGTGGACCCACTTTTAACCCTGAACCCTGGTTAAGAAACTTCCACTTGGCTGGTTCCCATGGGCCGTCAAACCACCTCCTACAGGAAGCCTCCCTCAATTCCCATCCTGTGTTTCCACTGTGCCAGTGTCACCCTCTTTCCTCTACTGCACAAAGAGGTTGTCATTAGCTGTTCTTGCCTGTCTCCCACTGAGAGGGCAGGGGCCAGCTTGATTGTTCCCTGCATGTCCAGTGCCTGGCACTGAATGGGCTTCAGCAAGGATTTGCTGAATGGAACTGAAGAATAACTCCTGGTGATGCACCAGGGGTGACATTTTGAGTGGGCTCAGAACCTGGCAGCTTCAAATGCAAATTTATTTGCTTTCTCCCAGGTGTGAGTTGATGAATAGTTGTGAAGACATGAGGGCCGCCTGTATATTAATCCCATGCCTGGGAGGGGCTGGGCTGAGCTAGAGGGGAAGGACATTGAAGGAGGCAGCCTCATGAGGAGGCCTCTCCTCTCCCCTCGCCTCCCCTCTCCCCTCGCCTCCCCTCCCCTCCCCTCGCCTCCCCTCGCCTCCCCTCCCCTCCCCTCGCCTCCCCTCCCCTCGCCTCCCCTCCCCTCCCCTCCCCTCGCCTCCCCTCCCCTCCCCTCCCCTCGCCTCCCCTCCCCTCCCCTCCCCTCCCCTCGCCTCCCCTCCCCTCCCCTCCCCTCGCCTCCCCTCCCCTCCCCTCGCCTCCCCTACCCTCCCCTCACCTCCCCTTGCCTTGCCTCGCCTCGCCTCCCCTCCCCTCTCCCTTCCCCTCCGCTCTCTTCCCCCCTCCCCTCCCACCTCCCCTCCCCTCCCCTCCCACCTCCCCTCCCCTCCCACCTCCCCTCCCCTCCCACCTTCCCTCCCCTCCCCACCTCCCTTCCCCTCTTCCCTTCTCATTTTCTTTTCTTCTCTTCTCCACCTCTTGCCTGGTCCAGCTGGAGCAGAGTGAAGCCAAGTGTGAGGAGGCCTTGAAGACGCAGAAGGTGCTCACAGCGGACCTGGAGAGCATGCACAGCGAGCTGGAGAACATGACGCGGAACAAGAGCCTGGTACCTGTCCCTTCCTGCAGCTGCAGGGACCTGGGCCAGCATAGGCCTCTGGGAGCTAGTGTGGGCCTAGTGTGCGCTCAGCACTATAGGAAGTATGAGGACATTTATTGTAAACCTACCAGGTAGCACCTTGGAGGTACAGACATCCATTGTAGGCCTTTTATGTGCTCAGCTCTGTAAGAGGGACAAGGGGACTTATTGTAGACCTACTAGGTGCTCAGCGTTCTGAATGTGCAGGCATCCTACTGTCAGCTGAGCATTATAAAGATATAAGGGCATCAGCGAGGCTCAACTGTGTGTTCCCATCTGCAACGATAAGCAAGGAAGTCTGTTGTGGACATAATGGGTGCTCAGTGCTGTGAATGTGCATCTGATGTGAGCTTGTTATTTGCTCAGTACCCAATGTGGAAACACAACTGTATGTTGTGTGCCCACCCTGCTTGCCACTCTAAGTGGTTCTCAGACATCTGCTGTGGTCCTACTGTGTGCTCACCATCATGAGATGGAACTTGTTCCTTATTGTGGGGCTACTGCATGTCCCCTCTAGTAAGTGGAGACAAGGGCATCTCTTGGCCCGCTTAGGCTTATTACCAGGAGAAGATTTGAGCCATTTATTATGGAACTACCCTGTGCTCACCCCTGAATGGGGACACATGGACATATATTGTCGATGTATTATTTTGGTGAGAATTGGATGTAGGTTTCCAAGTCCCCTATCTGGGTGTACAGGGTTGGCTTAGATTTATACTCAATGTATAAAACACTAAAGTTTAGGTATAGTTCGAGTTTTATAGGCAAATGCTTATCTCAAGATCTCTGTGGGCCTTTTTGTCCCTTATGTTGTTGGAACTTGCCTACAAGCATTCACACACACACATACACATACATGCGCACACGTGTATACACAGGAATGAATGTACATATTCACGTGCGATCACCAGGCACACATACAAAATAAATGCCCTCCGTATAGGTAACCTGTGCCTCCAAGTTTATTCATCCACCCAATACATATTTATTGAGCACCTGTTATAGGGCTGGCCTGGTGCTTGCTGCTGAGGTTATGTTTGTGGACAGAACAAAGTCCCTGTTCTCAGGGAGAGCGCCGGGATTTGCATTTTCATATATGTACTAGGCACATTTAAAATGTGCACACATAGATTCCCAAGTGGGATTGCACAGACATAAATTCATACACACATACACCCTGAATTCATAGTCACATGTAATGCCTAATACACACACACACACACACACACACACACACACACACACACACACACACACACACACCAAGCTGTTATACCTACCACATGCATTGGTAACCACAGCCACTCTTAAACATTGATGGTCACTCACCTCACACACCTATAGGCAAGCCCCTCTTTGCTCTTCCTCTGGACCTTGCTGCCCATCCCTCACCCTCTCACCTTGCCTTGACCACTGATCTGCCTCCCCCAGGTGGATGAGCAGCTGTACAGGCTGCAGTTTGAGAAGGCGGACCTCCTGAAGCGCATCGATGAGGACCAGGATGACCTGAATGAGCTGATGCAGAAGCACAAGGACCTCATTGCTCAGGTAGTGAATGAGACCTTGGTGGAAGAAGCTCAGGGACTTGGGGTGGGGTGAATGGGGAATGTTGAGAAGGTGATGTGGTTGGACTACTCCCTGGTCTTAACATCTTGGAGGGATAAGTGCACAGAGATAGTTAGGAATTGTGCATTTCCTGTGGTCCTAATGGAGGACAATGTCACCTTCAGATGGTGTGTGCATCTCTGGAGGACGTGTCCACCATGAAAGATTTGGACTTATTCATGCATCTGTCTGCCCATCCACCCACCCATCGATCATTCATCTGCTCATCAATTCACCCATTCACTTTTCCACCCATCTACTCATTCACCCACTTAACTATCCATCTATCCATTGTCCATCCATCCATCCGTCCATCCAATCATCCACCCATCCACCCAACCACCCATCCATCTGTCTGTCCAACCATTTATCCATCTATCCAGTCATCCATCCATCTTTCCATTCATTTATCCATCCATGCAGCCATCCATTCATTTATCCATTCATCCATCCTACCACCGCTTACCCATTTATTCACCTATCCACCTATCCAACCATCATTTTCTTTTCTTTTTCCTGTCTTTCCTTCCTTCCTTCCTTCCTTCCTTCCTTCCTTCCTTCCTTCCTTCCTTCCTTCTTTCTTTCTTTCTTTCTTTCTTTCTCTTTCTTTCTTTCCTCTCTTTTCTCTTTCCTTCTTTCTTTCTTCCTTCCTTCCTTCCTTCCTTTCTCTTTCTCTTTTTCTTCTTTCCCCCTCTTTCTTTCTTTCTTCTTATCTTTCTATCTGTAGCTATTTATTCAATATTTACTGAATCCTTGCCATGTGTTAGGCACTGTGAAAAATGCTAAGTATATTGTGGTGATCAGAAGCACATCCCATTCCCACCTTCATGTACCTCACAGTTTAGTGGGCTGGGAAGACCTTATCATATGGTCACCCAGAGCAGAGGGCAGACTTGCAAACTGAGCCAAGAGTCCAGAAAGGAAGTGTACACAATTCTGCAAATCCTGACCTAGGTTGGGAGTCAGGAAGGGCTTCCCAGAGTAGGTGTCATTTGGATGGAGATCTGAACAAAGAATAGGAGTCACTTAGATTGGAGTGGGACATTGGGGATTGGGGGTGCCTTCCAAGCAGAGGAAATAGCACATACAAAGGGCCTGTGATGGTGCATTGGAGAGACTGAAAGGAGACCAGTGAGGACAATCTGGCACAAGACAAGCTCAGCAAAAGAAGAGGATCAGATCAGGGTCTTAGAGGCTGTTATGAGATTGGGTTTTATTTTATGGTTGAAGGGAATCAATTGGCAAGCTTTTCAGGGGCAAGAGCAGTTGGAGAGGAGCAGCCAGCATGCCACCCCAGACTGTCATCTCCATAAAGGCAGGACTCTCCTCTGCCTTGTCCAGTGCTGTATTCAGAGCCAAGAAGGGTGTCTGCCCTGGAGGTGCTCAGTAAATCACTGTTGAATAAATGAAAGCTGACTTTGTCCAGGGGAAAGACAACTCCAGCCTGGTAGATGGAGTGAAGATGAGGAGGAGTGGATGGATGGGCTTGGGAGATGATCGGGAGCCATGAGGGCAGCATGGGTGAAACAGAAGCTTTGGGGTGAAGCTGAGGGGTATGATGTGGAATCCCCAGCAGATCTCCACATAATGACTGCATAATGGGGAGAACAGCTCCCTCCTTGCAATACACCATCCAGAGGAGAGCCGGGGTAAAATACCTGCCACGCTCTAAATGCATCTGACAGAGGTTGGATCTGAAGGGATTTCTGCTGGACAAGGAATAATAATAACAAAATAATTGATGATATCATCCACATGGTAACAAACACCACAAAAATAGCCTATGCCAATGTCTCCACTTGCGAATCACACTTATTTTTGCCTCAAAGAGAGGTTAATCTGTTCAGTTACAAAGGCACTATATGCATATGCCCATAATAAATAATTTAAATAATAAAGATACAAGAAATAGAAAGTAAAGAGGTGTTTCTACCCTCTAGAATTCCTCTCTTCAGAGGTAATGAAGCTCAACAGTTGGTTCTATTTTAAAAAAAACCTTTACTCTCCACTGCTTAATTTGATCTCTGAACAAACCCAATACGGAAAGGCTGAGCTGAGATTGTCAGTCCGTTTTACGAATGCAGAGACTCAGGTGCAGAGAGGCTCCACAGCTTGCTAAGGCCAGGGTCCAGGTCTAGAAGCTCAGTTAAATGACCCTCCGAGTAGCTCTCATCCCTCGGAATCTGGTCCTAGTGCCATGGCCAGCCCACTTCTGTCTGGGTTCTCAAGGGTATATAATAAAATGCTGGACAGTGGACCAAATCCAGGGGCTTATATAATTGGAGTGACTCAGCGAACATTGAAATGAAAGATGGTGAGGAGGATGTGAGAGGTAATTTTTGGGAAACAGCTATTATCATAGAAGCTCTGAGAGATGTAGACATCTGTGGGTGGGGAAAGTAGGGATTTTCAGGGGTGGTTTCCCAGCAAGGCTTGTGGACTCAGGGTGATATATATACATTTTTTTTTTTGTCTCACCAGTCTGCTGCTGACATTGGGCAGATCCAAGAACTGCAGCTGCAGCTGGAGGAAGCCAAGAAGGAGAAGCACAAGCTACAAGAACAAGTATGTGCTCAGAGCCATCCTATAGTTGTATTAGTCAGGGTTTTCTTAGAGGGACAGAACTAATAGGATGTGTGTGTGTGTGTGTGTGTGTGTGTGTGTGTATGAGTTTATTGTTTGTTTATTTGTTTATTTATTTTTGAGACAAGAGTCTCACTCTGTCACCCAGACTGGAGTGAAGTGGCGCGATCTTGGCTCACTGCAACCTCTGCCTGCCAGGTTCAAGCGATTCTCCCGCCTCAGCCTCCCAAGTAGCTGGGATTACAGACACCCGCCACCATGCCTGGCTAATTTTTGTTTTTTAAGTAGAGACGGGGTTCTACCATGTTGGTTAGGCTGGTCTCTAACTCCTGACCTCAGGTGATCCGCCCTTCTCAGTCTCCCAAAGTGCTGGGATTATAGGTGTGAACCACCAGGCCCAGCTGGGAAATACGTTAAGTATTAACTTACATGACCACAAGGTCCCACAATAGGCCTTCTGCAAGCTAAGGAGCAAGGAGAGCCAGTCCGAGTCCCAAAACTGAAGAACTTGGAATTCAATGTTCAAGGGCAAGAAGCATCCAGCACGGGAGAAAGATGTAGGCTGGGAGGCTAAGGCCCATCTCTCTCCTTTTCACGTTTTCCTGCCTGCTTTATATTCTCTGGAAGCTGATTAGATGGTGCCCACCAGATTAAGGGTGGATCTGCCTTCCCCAGCCCACTGACTCAGATGTTAATCTCTTTTGGCAACAACCTCACAGATACACCCAGGATCAATACTTTGTGTCCTTCAATGGAATCAAGTTGACACTCAGTATTAACCATCACAGGGAGGAAGAGAGGGATTCTCCCTGGGCACTTACTTATACTTTGGCTCCTGGAAACTGTTTCCTTCATTCTTTTATTCATCAGTTCATTCAAATACTCACTCAATTCCAGTTGTGTGCGAGGTGAATTGAGACCAGTCCTTAGACAGACACATGCACACACACTCACACTCATTTACTCTTGGCCTGTGCTTGTGCTGAATCCAAGCGTGCCCCATGCACTGAGATTCAGCCATTCAGTGCAGAATTTTCTCCGTCTGAGAAATGGCTCCAAGAACAAGAGATGGTCTGTGCAAGACAGGATCACGATCCTCTGCGAAATCTTCCTTTGAAGTCATGGTCCCTCCAAACATCTCTGGCTTTCCATCATTACCTAGAGGGTTGCTATTATCCATGAAATTTTCAAAGCTCTTCTAGAACCCTGGCATGCACCTGCTTAAAGTGACTGTTGGAGTGACCAGGTCTCAAGCAATTTCCTATGGGTGCTGGATAACAACACGCACAACAAATGGAACAGCAGCAGTGGCCATTTGCTGGCTGCTTATTATGTGCCAGTCACTAATCTCCTCTAATCCTCACAAGAAAAATGAAGAAACCAAGGCTCAAGGAAAGGAACTGACTTTCTCAGACTCACACACCAGGCAGAAACCTGGCTCCCAAACCCACACTTGCTTGTATCTTTTGATGCTGTAGCTTGTTGCTCACAGACTAGCTTTGCTCCTTGATCAGAGCAGGGAAGGAGAGAAGGGAAGCACTGATTAAAAGTCTTGTTTTCAATTGTGAAGGCATAAGAAGCATCACCTCCCAGCACCTGAGACCCAGGATCAGGGTCTGGTGTGAGGGTCCAGTGAAGGTCCCAAGATTGACACCTGGCCATTCTTGCTTGTGCAGACATTTAACATGCAGCACACCTGAGTAGAGAAGGAGGTGGTGTGAATAGCTCCTCCCACCCTCCCAGGCTGGGTCCTGCACATGTCTCTGTCCTGGTATCAGGGACAACAGATGTCCAATAGACTTCTCTCATACTTACAGCTGCAGGTGGCTCAGATGCGCATCGAGTACCTGGAACAGTCCACCGTGGATCGAGCCATCGTCAGCAGGCAGGAGGCGGTCATCTGTGACCTAGAGAACAAGACAGAGTTCCAGAAGGTGCAGATTAAGAGATTTGAGGTACGTAGTGATTCATAAATAGTGCCTGGGCCAAGAGCAGGGAGAGCTTTTGTGTAAGCTTCATCCATCCTTCTACTACTCATCTATCTACTCACATGCCTTCATCTAGATATACATTACTCATCCACTTCTCACCCAAGCTCCCTCCCTCCTTCCATCATAGCATCATCCCTCAAGCCACCTACCCATTTACCCATCTATCCTCACGTATGTCTCTCCATCTCCTTCCACCATCATGGGTCCATTCATCCATCCTCCCTTCCATTTGTTCTTCCTTTCACCTTTACTTTTTCCTCTCTTCCTCTATTATTTTTTCTTTAGCCCTCAACCCCTCTGTCTGCCCATTCTTCTATGCATTGATCCAGTTCTTCCTACCTCCGTCCACCTACTCAACCACTTACATGCCCAACACTCATTTTGAACAGAAATTTATTTTGCACCCAGTGTGGGCTAGGCCCTGTTTTAGGTGCACAGAAGACAGATGTATGACACAGATCTGCTTTCAGAAGCATATGTCTTTGTAAGCAATGTGGGTAAGATATGTACATAAATATCTGTAATATGGAGAGAGGGCTGTGATGTTTAGAGGATAGAGATCTTTTCAAGACTCTGGAATCAGGAGGGCTTCTGGGAGGAGGTGGCATTAATGCTGAACCTTGAAGGACAGGTAAGACTTGGATGGGCTGGGGTGAGGTTCAGTGATTACATTCACATTGCCCTTGAGCTGGGAACACAGGTGTTCACTTCTTCAGCTCTGTAGGCCAGTGACATGGGACTCTTACAGAAGACATCACCATTGTCAAAATCCTTTCACATAAGCCACTCCACTTGAGGTTTGATACAGTCCTGTGAGGCAGGTAGGATAAGCCTTATCTGATGAGAAGATGACCCCGGAGAGGTCAAGTGACTTGCTGAAGATAAAGCCAGGCAGTGCGTGGGATAAGGTAGATGGACACCTGACCTTCACTTCCTCCTGGTTACAGGTTCCAATTTCTCTGCAGCCAGCTGGCTTCACCACAGTAAGACAGTGCGTCTAGACAGTTGGGAGGCTGCATTCCTCATTCTGAAACATTTCCCCTTGATCTCCCTAGGGGCATCTGGTCTCCAATAAGGCTGCTATGGATGAAGAACAGAGAGAAATTCTTCTTTGCTTTGACCCTCAGTGGTTCCCAGAAATTGCTCAAGGGATCCCTCAAGGTCTGACTGTCTCTGCAGATCACCATGAAACTTTGATCTACTATATTTTAAATAATTAAATATGTAAAGTTGGGCTATATCACATGCCATTTTAAAACTTGTGTCTAGCGTAGTGAAATGACAGCAGAGGAGAAAAGAAAATGAATGTGGGAAAACTTCAAATGGAAAAATTCTATCTCCAAATTCAATTTTGCCCTCTGCCACTATGATTTGAATTTAGTAGAATCCTGGGTCTTTGAGGTGTAGAGATGGGGTACCTCAAAGACACAGTTTGAGAACTCCTTCCACTCTTCCTGCTGTTCTTGGAATTGTGGCTGAACTTCATTTGAGAGGTGAACTGAATAGGAAAGCATTTCTTTTAGGTTATTATTTGGTGTCTGATCTGCAGGCTGTTATCCCCACTGCCTGTGGCTGCAGAAAAAGGGCTCAAAGTCCTTAGCAGGGGCTTGAAATATTCATGTGGGTCCCGTCTTATGTCAACACTAGAGTATTTGCCCATCAGGATCGATTGGTTCCCGGCTTGTTGGCCAACTAATGAATTCTGCAGAACAGTCTTTGGGTTTGTTTTGTGTGGCACTCGTGATGGCCAAAGCACTTTTCTCTCTATTGTTTCATTGTGTCCTCAAGGATTCCCCATCCCCCCTGCCACCAGGAAAGGAAAAATGTCATAAAATAGTAGGGCTGAGGCTCATGAGAAATTATCTGAACACCCTCATTTTATAAATCAGGAAACAAAAACACATGTGGGGGAAAGGTTTTTGACTTCAGCAGAGTTCTCTCTTCATTGCACCAGCCCCTCGAGATAAATAGGAGCTGCTAAAAAAAAAAAAGAATTAATAATCCCCCATCCCTTATCTGGCACATCCTATGTGCCAGGCACCCAAGCCTTCTGCATACCAAGAAATTAGATTCTGACAGCGTCCCTGGGACACAGGTACTATCATCATCCCTGTCTCTCAGAGGGCCTCCATAACGTGCCCAAGGTCACATAGCCAGGGAGAGGTAGAGGTGGGATTTGAACCCAGAGGGTCTTGGGGGCAAGGGTTCTCATAAATACGCTACACTGCCTCTCAGAATAGCAGTTATTTTATTTATTTATTTATTTTTTCGAGACAGGGTCTCTCTCTGTCACCCAGGCTGGAGTGCAGTGGCGTGATCTTGGCTCACTACAACCTCCACCTCCCAGGTTCAGGCAATTCTCATGCCTCAGCCTCCCAAGTAGCAGGGATTACAGGCATGCGCCACCACGCCCGGCTAATTTTTGTATTTCTTAGAGAAGGGATTTCGCCATGTTGGCCAGGCTGGTCTCTAATTCCTGACCTCAGGTAATCCACATGCCTCGGCCTCCCAAAGTGCTGGGATTACAGGCTTGAGCACTGCGCCCGACCATCATTTTTTGCATGTTGTTAATTCTTCATTTTTGTAGCAGACATCAGTATTCTTATCCTGATTATGAAAACACAGGAAACTCGGCAAAGGATTTATCTTCCTGAGGCTCCCTTGTTTCATACCCCTGGCCTCCAACTCCAAGGTGGGCATGTGTCTCTGCCCCTCCCAGGTCCTGGTGATCCGGCTTCGGGACAGCCTGATCAAGATGGGGGAGGAGCTTTCACAGGCGGCCACCTCCGAGTCCCAGCAGCGGGAGAGCAGCCAGTACTACCAGCGGCGCCTGGAAGAGCTGAAGGCCGACATGGAAGAGCTGGTGCAGCGGGAGGCAGAGGCCAGCCGGCGGTGCATGGAGCTGGTGAGTCCTGTCCCCATCATGGGCTCTTAGCGACTGAGGGTTTGCAATGTGGTAGACCCCCCTTTCTTAAGACTTCTGAATGGGAGACTCATAGGTTTGGGTCCTGGGCCTCAGGGGTGTGCGGAAAGCCAGGAGAAACAAGAAGGGGAGAGTGGGCTGAGACAACACCGTCATTGGCTGCAAACCCTGGAGGTGGGCCCAAAGTGGACCAATGACATTCACTGCTGCCGGATGGCTGCCAAGTTCATTTACATATCAGATCCCAGACTTTCTTTTCCTGCTCCATTCATTCCACTCCAATGGCAGGAAGGCCTCATACAAAAGAGGAAAAAACCGGTATTTATTAACGGCCTATCTTTCACCAGGTCTCAATATCCATAATATTCTATAATCCTCATGTCAGCCCTGTGAAGTCAGAATTATTGCCCCCATTTCACAGATGAGGACAAACCGAGCCTTCCAGAAGGGGAGATGACTAGTCTAAGGCCACATCTAGTAAACATAGAGCTATTTCTGGGCTGTTAATAGCACAACAAAAATAAAAGATACAAATGATGATTCAAGCCACCATGTGTGAAGTATTTGCTCCCTACCAGGTTCTGAAGGAAACATTTCTCGTCTAAATCCTCATTTCAGAACTGTGAGGTAGGTGCTATCTTGATGTCCCTTAAAAAGGTGGGGAAACTGACACGTGGAGATATCAACTTGCCAAATTGAGGCTCCGAATGGTCCATTTGCTTGCCCAGGGTCACACAGGAGTAAGAATTTGAACCCAAGGCTGCCTGACAATGTAGTCTCTGCTTTTAGTCACTAACTCATATTTTGTCTCCAGGATGGACCGAGGAACCTTTTTTTTTTTTTTTTCCCTGGAGACAGAGTCTTGCACTGTTTGCCAGGCTGGGGTGCAGTGGCACGATCTCAGCTCACTATAATCTCCATCTCCCAGGTTCAAGCGATTCTCGTGGCTCAGCTTCCTGAGTAGCTGGGACTACGGGCATGAGCCACCATGTCCGTCTAATTTTTTGTATTTTAGTAGAGACAGGGTTTCACTTTGTGGCCCAGGCTGGTCTCAAACTCTTGAGCTCAGGCAATCTGCCCACTTCGGCCACCCAAAGTGCTAGGATTACAAGTGTGAGCCACTGCGCCCGGCCCCAAGGAACATTTTAAAATTTGTTTCTTGCCTAATGGGAAGGTTTCTCCATCATTCAGTGTGTTGTTCTAAGAAGTTTTCTGCACAGGTCACAGAGCATCTAAGAGTGACTGTTCCACTTTTTCTCCACGGGGCCAGATATCACTAAGGTTCCAGATTTCTGATTCTGTGACCTGGGGTGTATCTGGCACCCCTATCGCCTACCATCACTCAGCCTTCTAGAGACAGCCCACAATATGCCAAGCCTTGGCCCAGAGGTCTCTAAATTACATTTGTTTTCTCCTTCCTGCATTATCCGCTCTGGTGCTGTGAGAGGTCTTACCAACTTGTTCTTCCTGCAGCAAATATATTAATATGTCTCGGGCTACTGTCTTTCACAGCCGGTGTCATCCCCATCAGCTTTGCCCTTGACAAGCTGGCTGTCTGGTTCTTCTGTGAGGGGGCAGTAAGGCACCGCACAGAGACAGAGGTTCCCAGACAAAGTCCAGGCCTCCTGACTGGCGGTTCCTCCACACCCATGGCCCTGGGAGAGAGAAAAGCTCTTTCCTCCAGTTGACAGGATAACTTCCTCATTAACCAGCCCCATTTCTCATGCAGCTGAGCACCCCTCCTGCAAGCTCTGGCTGGGAGGAGAGAACATCCCCAGCCTTTCTCCTCTGATGTCTTCTTTAACTAGCCAGGCACTCAGGCATTCTGTCCAGATCAAATAGTGATTTTCTTCCTCTCTGTCCCTTGACCTCTTTTTCTCTGTCTCTTCTCTCCTTCCCTCTTTTCTCTCTTTCCTCTCCCTGTCCCCATTCCTGGGGCCATATTCTGATCTTGAAAGGCCCTGAAATACTGAAAAGATTATAGCATAGTTCCCACATATGAATCAAAATGGACACAACACAAAACCTTAAAGAGCTTGCATGCATGCTGAAATTAGACCTGCATCTGTCTCCAATTTCTGATGGCAAGATTCTGGATAAGTTTATCAAAGCTGAACTTTTCTCTTTAGTTTGGTGAGTGTGGTTGAAAGGAGTGTTCGTTTCCTAGGATTGCCATAGCAAATTATCACAAGCTGCATAGCTTAAAACAACAGAAATTCATTCTCTCATAGTTCTGGAGGCCTGAAGTCTGAAATCAAGGTGTGAACAGGGCTACACTCCCTCTGAAGGCTCTGGAAGAGCATCCTTCCTTGCCTCTTCCAGCTTCTGATGGCTCCAGGTGCTCCTTGGTTTGCGGCTGCCTCAGTGATGGCTTTCTTCACATGGCTTTCTTTTCTGTGTATGTGTGTCCCAAATATCCCTCTGCCTTTTTCTTATAAGGACAACTGTAATTGGATTCAGGGCTCACTCTAAATCCACGTTGATCTCACCTTAAGATCCTCACCTTAATCATATCTACAAACGCTTTTGCTTTTTTTTTTTTTTTTTTTGGAAACAGAGTCTTGCTCTGTCTCCCAGGCTGGAGTGCAGTGGCACAATCTCAGCTCACTGCAACCTCTGCCTCCTGGGTTCAATCACTTCTCCTGCCTCAGCATCCCAAGTAGCTGAGACTACAGATGCGCGCCACCATGCCCAGCTAATTTTTGTATTTTTAGTAGAGGCGGGGTTTCACCATGTTGGCCAAGCTAGTCTCGAACCCCTGACCTCAGGTGATCCACCCACCTTGGCCTCCCGAAGTGTTGGAATTAACAGGCATGAGCCACCGCGCCTGGCCTACAAACCCTTTTTCTAAATGAGATCACATTCACAAGTCCCAGGTGGACTTGTCTTTTGGGAGGCAACCCTCCAACCCACTACAGAAGAGGAAGGCACATTTCTGCTTGGTTGGCATTCTGAAGTTATCCAGTACATCCTGTCGTTTCCTTAATGCTTCTGTGGAAGAACAAAGCTCCACGAATAAGGTCGGGCCAGCAGCCTCTTCCAAATACTGGATGTCCTAAAACTCACCAACCTATTTGCTCTCAAATATTTCCTTTGCCTTTGAGCTCTGGGAAGTTTCCACTGGGAGAAGGGAGGAAGTCATACTTTCTTGTATCACTCATTTATTCATTCAACAAATACCTATTCAACACCAGCTATGAGCATGGCACAGGGATAGGCACTGGTGAGGAAGGGCAAGGAATCATAAGGTCCTTGCTGTGTAGAAGTTACACAGTGTGCCCAAAACAGGGCTCAGTGGGAGAGTTAAGTCCTCACTGTCATTGAAAGTCTAGTCTTGCTGCTGAGGCCCCTCCTATAGGTGTGGCATCCTGGTACTCTCCCTGGCTTCTGAAGACAGATCATCCCATCTGTTCATGTCTATGCCACCAACTTGCCTTCCCTCATCCCATTTCTATAAGATAAGGGGCAGCTTCTTTGTGCCATATGTTCTCTCTAAACTACACTAAAATCCTGCAAGGCAGCCAGAGCTTTGCTTCTTTCCTTCATGCAATATATATCCATAGTTTTCACTGTGGGTCAAGCCCTGTGCTTTATGCTGGATACCCAGTGAGGAACAGCACACACCTTTGCCCCCCAGGAGCTCATAGATGGAAATATATAACTGCATGAGAAAATACAACTAAGGCCATTCTTAGTGTACTTCGTACAAGTATGGAGTTTCCTCCGTAATGAGAGCTCAGAGCCTTCACAGGCAAAACAAGGGGGCATGCACTGTGATTTGAGGGATTTTAGAAGGCCAGTTGGCACCAAATCTCTCTCCCATGCCCACTGTCACCACCACAAGTCCATTTCTTTGGGCAAAGTATTGCCTTCTCCATCTTCCTTTTTTTTTTTTTTTTTTTTTTTTAAATTGAGACAGGGTCTTAGTCACCCAGGCTGGAGTGCAGTGGCACAGTCATAGCTCATTGCAGCCTCCAACTCCTGGGCATAAGCGATCCTCCTGCCTCAGCCTCCAGAGTAGCTGAGACTACAAGTGCATACCATTGTGCCTGGCTAATTTTTCAATTTTTTAAAATAGAAGTGGGGTCTCACTACTTTGACCAGGCTGGTCTTGGACTGCTGGCCTCAAGCCATCCTCCAGCCCCAGCCTCCCAAAGTGCTAGGATTATAAGCATGTCACCGCTCCTGGCCTGTCTTCATTTTTAGAATTCACATCCTCCCTGGGAGGGATAGAATACATTTCCTAACTCCACAGTCCAAGCATTCATTTATTCATTCCATCAACAAACGTTTATTGAGTTGTTCTATGTTCAAGCCGTTTGCAGAAGTTGTCTTCTTTAGCACTTAATGTCAACCTCAGCAAGTGGAGAACATGGAGGGGCCCGGGTGTGAGGTTGTCCAGGGCTGCAGGGTCAGAAAGGGCAGAGCTGGGATTGGTGTCCCACGTGTCCAATGCTAAAGCTCTCACCAGGTCACCCTGCTGCCCTTTCAACCCAACCTTGCTGAAAAATGGCTCTGCTCTGGAGACCAAAAAAAGGATCCGGTGCTCTGGGCCCTGGAGAGCAGTGGGAAGGATGTTGATGGATCTCCTGTCCACAATCCTTTCCGCCCGTCCCCAACCTGTACTATTTGTCACTGTTGGTGTTGGTTTAAAGAACTGTGAGTTGTTGCATGTGAATGATTTATACCCCCAGCTGACTCTCTGGCACATCCAGATCAGGATCAATTACCCCTCCGGTGGAACTTTGCTTCCCAGAAAAAAGAAAAATGAGGTTTTCCCATTAATTTTAGTAAATGTACTATTCCTGGAGACTCCAGGAGCCATTATGGAGAAAATAATATTCTGGCTCTAAATCATTCCAGTCCCTTTGTCATTAGAGCGATGAAGCAACTCATCTGTGGATGTATATATCCTGTTGTTTTTCAGTAGTTACAGGGCCCGGGGGAACCACCCTGGTCCCAAGACTGGGTAATCAAGGGGTGCCTGAGGAAGCTGGAAGTCCTGATGCTGACGGGAAGGCCTGACTTCGGCCTACCAGGTGCACCTATTTCAGAGGCTGCACCTGTTGGGTTTTATCCCTCATCACCTTGGCCTGATTCTCCGGTTTTGACTTTCCCCTGATCCAGGTGTCCTTTTCACAAGTTCCCCAGGTCTTGAAAAACTTGCATGGTGCTTCTGCTCACTCTTCCTGCATCCACCTGGTGACCTGAGTTAGAAATTGCAGCAACCTGTCTCCCTCTCGCTCACATAGCTTAATGGTCAGACCCGCTGATTTTACCCTATTATTTTTCAAATTCACCCCTCCTGACCCATTTTTGCTCACTCTATCTTTATTTAAGCATCATCCCCTCCAGTCTGGGCTTCTATAGTGACTCCTCACTTGTCTCCCCACTTTCCCTTCAGTCTTGGTCCGCCCTGCAGGAGATCCTTCAAGAAGGAGCATAGCTTACTGTGTTATTTCTCTGCTAAGAAATCTTTTATGGGGCCGGATATGTTGGCTCATGCTTTATAATCCTAGCACTTTGGGAGGACGAGTGGGAGGATCACTTCAGGCCTGGAGTTCAAGACCAGCCTCGGCAACATAGCAAGACCCCATCTCTATGAAAGAGAAAGAGAGAGAGAAAGAAAGAAAGAGGAAAGAAGGGAAAGGAAGGAATTAAGGAAGGAAGGAAGGAAGCAACAAAGAAGAATTTGCTACGTCTGCTGGCATGTACCTGTAGACCCAGCTACTCAGGAGGCTGAGGTGGAAGATTGCTTGAGCCCAGGAGTTCAAGATTACGGTGAACTATGGTTGCACCCCTGCACTCCAGCCTGGGTGACAGAGCTAGCCTCCATCTAAAAAAAAAAAAAAAAGAAAGAAAGAAAACAACAAAAAGATCTTCCATGGGTCATGGGTCTCCATTGCCTTCAGAACAAAGTTCAAACTGCTTCCTATGGCCTACAAGAAATCTAACCTCTCTAGATTTTTCCACCTCTGGTTGTCTGCCTCTCATCCTCTTACCTGTTCTACTTAAGCATAAAGACAGATGTTGAGGACTGCTGTAGTTTGAATGTTTGTCCCTCAAGCATCATGTTGAAATTTGATCCTCAGTTTTGCCATTAATTTTAGTAAATGTGCTATTCCTGGAGACTCCAGGAGCCATTATGGAGAAAATAATATTCTGGCTGTAGATTATTCCTGTCCCTTTGTCATTACAGCGATGAAGCAACTCCTCTGTGGATGTATATCCTGTTGTTTTTCAGTAGTTACAGGGCCCGGGGAACCACCCTGGCCCCAGAACTGGGTAATCAAGGGGTACCTGAGGAAGCTAGAAGTCCAGATGCTGACGGGAAGGTCTGACTTCGGCCTGCCAGATGCACCTGTTTCAGAGGCTGCACCTGTTGGGTTTTACCTGTTGGGACCTCATAGGAGGTGTTTGGGCAGATCCCTCATGAATGGCTTGGTGCCTCCTCATGGTAACGAGTGAGTTCTCACTGTGTTAGTTCTCACTGGAGTTCCCCTGAGAAATGGCTGTTGAAAACAGCCTTCCACTTCCTCCTCTCTGTCTTGCTTCTGCTCTTGCCGTATGATCTCTGCACATATCAGCTCCCCTTCCCTTTGTGTCATGAGTGGAAGCAGCTAAGGCCCTCACTAGAAGCAGGTGCTGGTGTCACACTTCTTGTGCAGCCTGCAGAACCGTGAGCCAAGTAAACCTCTTTTCTTTATAAATTACTCAGCCTCAGGTATTCCTTTATAGCAACACAATTGAAATAAGACAAGACCCCAGTGCCATGTTACTCCTTGATTCACCGCCTTTATCCTCATGCATCCTGCTGCCTGCCTATGCAAATTTCAAAACTCAAATATCAGGTTAAGCACCTCCTTTGTGTTCCCGTACCCCCTGTGCCCACCCCATCAATGCATGTGTCACCCAGTTATTGTAAATGCCGATGTTCTTGTCTTCCTAGAGAGAGAAACCCTGAGAGAAGACTTTACTTGACTCGGGCTGCAACCTCCATATCAGAGTCAGGTATAGGGTAGATGCTCAGTAATTGCTTGCTGAATAATTTTCTCAGCATTTTGAAGTTTTACCTCTTAACAGAATGGCTCAAAAAAGTACATCTTAGAAATGGAAAATTTTAAATCAACCAACTGTTGTTTGTATCTTACTATGTACCTAGCCCTGTGCCTGATGTTGTGGGAGATGCAGACATGGATGGACTAGGGACTGTGCCCTTGCATTTCTCAAGATCTAGAGGAGGAGATGCACATGTCCCTCAATAACTCTGACACAAGATGGGATGTGTGGACAAAGGAAGAAATGGTTTCACACAAACAGGAGCCCTAGGGGAGATTGTATGGAAGATGCATCATTCATCTGAAACTTGTATGGAGTTTCTTGAATGATAAAGCAAATACTGGCTGGCAGCTTTGGGGGAGCAGTGATCCAGTCATGTTTATCACGACATCTCTCACTTGCATTCAGCAAGTGTCTAGTGAATGCCTGCTGTGTGTCAGGCAATGTCCAGGTTGCCGGAGAGTCAGAGAGAAACCAGTTACAGGGATATAAACACAGACTCTTCACCCCTTTCCTTTCTTCTCTTCCTTCTTTCTCATTGCAGCTCCCCTACTGCATGCCAATTGCAAAATCTCTTCCTCCTCCCTCTTCAACCTGTTTTCTTTTGCTTTCCTTGTTCTTCCTTATTCTTCCTTAGTTCTCACTTGTCTAGACTTAGGCATGCTGTTTCTCTCTCTCTCTCCTCTTTCTCTTTCTCCTCTCTCTCTCTCCTCTTTCTCCTCTCTCTCTCTCTCTCTCACACACACACACACACACACACACACACACAATTGTTTTGACTCAGGTTGGGAGGAGGGTCTGTGTTAAATTTCTAGGCTACCATAACAAATAATCAAAACCTGGATATCTTAAAACAACAGGAACTTATTGTCTCACAGTTCTGGAGGCTAGATGTCTGAAATGAAGATGTTGGGAGAGACATGCTCCTCTGAAGGCTCTAGGGGAGAATCCTTCCTTCCCCTGGTGGCTCCAGGCATTCCTTGGCCTGTGGGCTGCATCATGCTTATCTCTGCCTCTGTCTTTATGTGGCCTTCCCCTCTTCTCTTTCTGTCTCCATGTGTCCTCAAGGACACCAGTCATTGAATTCAGGGCCCACCTTAATCTAGTATGACCTCAGCTTAACTCATTACTTCTGCAAAGACCCTATTTCCCAATAAGGTCCCATTCTGAGTTTTTAGGTGGATATGGATTTTTGGGGGACGCTATTTAACCCACTATACGGTGGTTGAAAAGAGCATTGCGCTTGGAGTCTGATACCTCAGACAGCTAAGTTAACATTGAAGCAACTCAATTTCCTCATCTGTAAAATAGGCATAATATGGCCTGTTTTATTGGGTAGCTATGGGGATTAAATGAGATCATGTATACAAAAGTGTCAAATGACAGCCCATAATAAGCACCTAATAGATGGTACTTTATTTTCTTTCTTCCTTTTCTTACTCTTCCTTTGAGTTTCTGATTTTCTCCTTCCACTCAAGCTTTATCATATTCTACCAGCTCCACATCCATGCAGTGCCCGTGAGTGGATGGCAGTGATGTTAATAGGATTTAATATTTGTTTATCATATACTGTATGGTGGGTACTGGGTTAAGTACTTTACATGAATCCTCTGTTTTGAGAACTTGTTTGGAGGTTTGGAGATATACCCTTGACCGAAGACTGGTCCTCCTCTATCAGAGACAGTCATCCTCTTGAAGCATGCAGCTTTGGGAGGGATGAACATGGAGTGGTGAGGGGGGAAGGGGACACCCGCCTAGCCAGCTAGATCAGCCAGATCAACCCTGGCGATCAACAGGGTGACAGATGTTACAGCTAGATCGCCCTCACATCCGAATCCCCTATTTTGAGCCTCACCGTTGGAGGTAATTGTCCTTATTTTATCATTAAAGAAACTAAAATCCAGACAGGTGAAGCAATTTCTCCAAAGTCACATTCCCAGTAAATGGCAGAGTCAGAATTTGAGTGCGGGTCTGACCGACTCAATGAATTTTAGATACGCAGTGTTTACGTGTTCAAGTACAATTTTAAAAAATTAATAATATATGTTAATATTGCTTCTGATTCTGTAATGTAGAGGTTCTCAACCTTGGCATTATTGACATCTAGGATCAGATCATTCTATGTTGTGAAGACTGTCCTGTGTATGGTAAGACATTTAGTAGCATCCCTGTCCTCTACCTACTAGAGGCAAATAGCATTTCTGCCCCGTTTACCATAATCAAAAATGTCTCCAGACATTACCAAATGTCCCCTAAGGGGCAAAATCACCATCTGTTAAGAGCAACCTGTCTGAGATAATCCTCACCATAACCCTTTAGTTAACAACTATGATAACTCCCCATTTTACAGGTGGTTAAACTGAGGCTCAGGGAGGTGCTGTGCCCAAGGTCGCAGGGCAGCTGGAGAAGGGGGAACGTCAGGAAAGGAGAAAGTCAAGAATGGAAAGAGGCGGAAATTAGACTCCCTACCCTTGTAGGAAAAAAACCGGTAGCGGTTCCAGCAAAATCCAATCCCAACCTTCCTGAGACCCAGAGGCGACTTCACAGCAGAATCTAATTCTGAGTGGAATTGAAGGCCTTGCTGCAGACTGTGTACTTTTAATCATGTTTAAATAAAACATGGGACCATGGGTGTGATCTCCTCACTGAGCCTGGCTTGTCAGCCGCTTGGGCAAAGTCATAAATAGTTAATAGGCAACCACTTATGGCTCTACTTCTGTTAAATCTAGCATCAATTATATATGGTTCATGCATTATTTATTTGGTGTTACTTTGGGGTATATCTTCCACCTTCGGGGGAAAAGTGTAAAGAATGGGAGGCGTAGAGCAGATTTGAGGATAGCTTGTTTCCCTCTGTACTGGTCAATTTGTGAAGGCCTTGTTCCCCTCCATATTGGTCAGTTTCCCTCGAAGGAAAAAGCCCATTGATGATTAGGAGATGATTAGGAGATGAATTTGGATCTGAGAGGACTTTACCAGACCACCAGGAAAAAAGATCGGGGCGGTGATGTGCTGGTAAATGTTTAACAACTGCCTTTCCAGGGCAGGTGGATTCCTGGCTTGTAGTGTTTGCCAATTTCTGTGGTGTAAATTCTCCCTCCAGGGCTGATTTCAACCTAACTACATGATGTCACCAAGGCAGAGTTGGGAAGCAATGCACAGTAGCGCATCATTATATATCATTTGCACCATACAGGTACAAAAAGCACAAATACCTTCAAAAGCATAGTTAGAGCAAAACGTTAGCAAAATAATTAGAAAGCAATGTGTTTTGAGTACGTATTACCTTTGTTTTTCATATATTTAGTTGTAAGCTTGTATCATTTAATCTTTAATAATAGCTGTGTTTGACAACTGGCTTGCAAAATTCCCTAAAATTTAGCTATCAGCTCTTGCCAGCCAATATGAGCCACTTCCTGCACTCCTGTGACCTGGCGTCTCCTTGGGGTGGTGTCCCCATACCCTGTTAGAAGGCGGTTGGCAGAGTAGAAGGAGTGAAAGGCTCTTAATCAAGTCTCATCGCTCACTGACTGTCTTTTTAAGCAAGATTACTTCACCATTAGAAATCTGTCCTTCTGAGCATGCTCTTTTAACTCATGTATAAAATAGATGCAATCACATCTCCTGGAAAAGACTAAAACAAGTAATTCATGCCATGCTTCTAGATCTGCCTGTCACATAACTGTCCCCAAAAGCACACCTGCTCCTCTCTCCCTGTTCATTTTCTCCTGCCTTCTGAGAATCTGAACATAGTAGGTAGGGGCCTTAGGAAGCCCAAAGTCAGGTTCTGTTTTTTGTTTGTTTGTTTTTGTTTTTGTTTTTGTTTTTTCATTTGCTTTAATTTTTTTCCACTCCCAAACCCCATGTTTTCAAAAGTCCCCTTCCATCTACTTACTCCATGGCATTCACCAAACCCACAGTGAAGGGGTTCATTTCAAAAAGCCCTTGGTGTTTTCCCCCTGCAAATGGCTATGAACTTGAAAGCGTAAAGATGAATTATTCTGGCTGGGAACTGAAGTATTTAAAAAGGCATTCCACATGGAGGGCATTTGGGGCCATGAGCCGGGTGTAAATAACACATTTTATGGCTCTCCTGACAGGGAGATAGCCCTCCTAATTACTGCCCCGTTATCTCAGTGGGATCCAAAATGACCCAACACGCTTATAAACTCTGTGTTCACAGATTTCCTTTTAATCCCTACTCCTAATGGCCTCCCGCATGCTCAGAGAGCTGACAGGGGAACCCGCGGGTATTTCTGTCACTCCCCTCCTTCTAGGCACTGTGGTTTCCTGTTTGTCTCCCTACAAAGGTTTCTGTACAAAAGAAACTTAGTCCTAATAGGCATTTAGGTGCTGCTAGCCTCAGACATGTTTCTGAAAGTGAATTCTCCCAAGCTGTCTTTATCTCACATGGTGAATGTGCTTGTCTCAATTCAAGAGGTGTTACCATCTAACGAAAGAGTTTCTTTGCGTCTGGCTCTGAGATGAGTTATCCTGATAATAAAATCTATTACCAAAAGCCTACCTAGGAATAATTGGGTCTATTACTCCCCGACTTGTGGCTTTGTTTCTGCATTGAAAACAGACTCTCCAGCAATTAATCAGAATTTAAAGTTGCTAATACCAATTACAAATAATGCGCTGAGGCTCAAGATGGCAAACAGAGGAGCAGATACTAATCTTGTCCCTTGAGATTTCATCAATTGAACTTTCGTCACTTCAGACTTGCTGGAAATTAGAGTAACTTAACTCTGCAAAGTTAATTACTTAAAAAAGAAAGGGGAGAGATATTGATTGAATATGGCAGGAGTATATTAAATTATTCAAATAAATCCAATTTATATTGTTTAGATGAGATTATGCTTCACTTAATTGTATGCCAGGGAGGCTTAGGAAGGTTAGTCTTCATGGTAGAAAGCTTGATCATTGTTACGATTTGACATCTTTAAAAGATAGTGGTCCCAAGGAAATCCAGGGGGCCCCAAATCAGACACTTCATGTTTTTGATTCATTTCCAAAGTATAATTCGGTTTGAAGGGTAATTCTCTTTTTACTGTTCTTTTTTGACAGAGCTTAAACAATAAGAAAGGGAGAGGGGATCTCAGAATATGAGGATCGACCAAGCAGTTGGGAAGCGAAATGGTTTTTTTGGGAGAATTGGCTGGTTTGGAATTCAAAGTGTATTTAGTGGGGAAAGATGAATATAACTTGTCTAGGTTATGGCTCTTTTAGTTGCAAGTGACGGAAACAAAATTAAATTGGCTTAAGCAAAAGGAAATTTATTGGCTCATGTAATGAAAAAGTTTCATGACCTCTGGCTTCAGACTCAGTGAAATTCAGGGACTCAAATGATGCCAACAGGCTGAATTCGGTGTGCTGGGGTCAACCCGTATCTGTTTGCCAGAGCTGACTGTGTCCATCTCTTCCCAATTCCATGCTCCATGACATCACATTGGTAGCTTGACATTGGCCATTGTGGGATTATTTACACTATGGAAACTGGCAAATGTTAAAGGATTTCCACTCATCCCCACAGTCAGTTTTGAACATTTACCAGCACACCACCGACTGAATCCCTCCCTTCCCATTGCCTTGGAGTTGATTGCCATTCTCAGACAGGCTTTCCCTTCCTAGTGGCAACAGAGTTAGGCTGACAAACAGCAAGGCTATCAACCTCAACAGAAAGAGGGCCCCTTCCACCCAGCGGCTCAAACAAAGGCCAAGAAGTAGAATCTCATTGACCCTGATTGGCCTGGTTTGGGTTATATGCCCACACCTAAACCAAGCACTGGTATTTGAAGGGTAGAGGCTGGATTGAACAGTTCTGGGGTACATGCCCAGCCCTGAATCCAGGAGTAGAGTCAGCTCCACCCTAGCCATATGGATGGAGAGTAGAAGAATAGATTCCCCCAAGGAAAATTGAAATGTTAGTGCCAGAAGGAGGAGAAATGGTTTCCAAAAAGGCAAAGCCTTTGGATGCCCACTGTGGAAGCCACATCTGTGGGCCTTGACTCTTGCAGAGATCTCTCTGCCTTGCCACAGGCCCCTTCTAGGTTTTATCTTCTCTGCTTGTGTTCCTGCCTCCTGCTTGACTTTTTCCTCCTCCTTTTTGTATATTTTCTGTTACTCCTGGGGCTGGGACATCCCATAAGTAGGGTGGATCAAAGAAAGGAAATGGAGGCCGGAAGTGGACAGCCTAAATTCCCTTTCTATCTTCTCAAAGGGAGTGGCTCACACAGTAGGAGGAGCTTGCCTTGAAGCCAGGAAGTCTGGGTCCAAGCCACACTTCTGCCTCTGACTGACTCTGTGGACTTGGGCACATCTTTTCCCTTGCTGGACTCACTTTCTCTCTCTGTAAAACGGACCAGACGACTTTTAAAGCTCTTTCTGCTGAGACCCCTGGGCAAGCCCAGAGCTGGTTGGTCATAGAGCTGCAAGCTTTGAGTGTGTCTCAAATGGCTGATAGTCATGGTGGCAGCTTCCTCTGAAACAAGCACATTCCTACACCCCAAGAGCAATGCACAGAGTCACACAATCTCAAACCTGAAGGTGCCCAGGCCTCTTCATTCCAACTGGTATCTTCTCCAACCTCAGACTGGTAAAAATTCCATCTCTGTTATGCAACTGTGGGGTTGGGGAAATTACTACCTCTGTGGGCAACAACATTCCCATAGACCTCCCCTTCTCCATCCCATTCTAGATTGATTCTATAGCTACCCCACAACTGGATTCCAGATGTGTCACCTTATCTGTTGGAGAGAGGGTTTCAAAGGACAGAGAGATATCCCTTGCTTATCTCACCTGGGAGTTAGCAAGGAGGTATCCAGAGATTACCACGTTTTTTTCTTCTTTTAAGTAGCCAAATCTTATTTTAAATCCATAGCTGATACAGATTTGTGGTAAGTAAAAGCAGAGCTCCCCATTAGGGCTCATCTACTTTTCCACCCTGGCCCCTGAGGCAGCACCATAAAATACAGCTTGATAACCTATGGTCAGATCTGGCTGCTGTCCTGATTTTTATAAATAAAGTTTTATTAAGACATAGTCACAAACATTTACCTATTTTCTATGGCTGCTTTGGGGCTACAACAGCAGAGAGGAGTATTTGTGATAAGACCATTTGGCCTACAAAGTCCAAGATATATACTACCTGGTCCTTTACAGAAAAAAAAATCACTTACCTTTGCCCTAGAACATTGCTTAGCACAGAGTAGGCATAAAAAAATACATGCTGAGAGAAGAAAGAGCTTGACAGGACAAAGAACTGGGAATAAGGAGACTTAGATGCAAATCTCAGTTCCATCATGTCCTTACTGTGTGACTTTAGTCAAGGCACTCACTTTCTCTGTTTCCCTGTTAACTCATAAAATGGAGACAATTATTGCAACTGCTTCACAGCATTGTGGGGATTACTTAATAAAATAATGTGTTTAAATACTTATTACAGTGCCTGGCACAAAGTAAGCCCGCCTATCATCATCATCATAATAACCATCATCATCATCATTATCATCATCATTGCCATATCATCTTCTTCATCACCACCACCATCACCACCAACACATCATCTTTTCCACCATTCCCACCATCAGCATCACCTCCATTGTTACCACAACCATTACCATCATTATCTTCATCACTGTCATCATCACCACCATTTGCATCATCATCACCATCACCATCAATCATCATCTTGATCACCACCATCATTATCATCACCATCATTACCACCACCACCATCATGAAAATTATTATTATCACTCTCATCACTGTGACCACCGCCATCATCATCACATCATTATCAGAGTGAGACTAGAATCAAAGAGCACTGCAGAGCCCCTTCAAGAGTAGGCAAGCCCTGTGATTCAGAGCAGGCATATAAGTCTAGGCCAGTGGTTGAATTATTTCCTATTTGAAAATTCTGTGAATGACGTCCCCAAATGCAGTATACCCCACCTTGTGACCTGTGAGTTCATAGATGCCTCCTTCTTTGTGCTCAGTGTCCTGAGTGTCAGCTTCATTGGAATTCTGCCTTCTCCAGCCTTGTCTTGGCTGCATTCCAGGTAAATGACTCGGAGCCCATCTTGCTGCATGTCACCTCTGCCGCCCGCCCGCTTGGATAATTAGAATCAACACATTCATTTCCCTAACAGCATTCTCATCTCCCCCTCTCAAAGTTTTCAAATGGAAAAAGAAAGGCAAAAACAAGCTACATCTGTCCTTGTTCAGGCAATTTGCAGCTGTCTGCAGCTGACATCCACCCAGCTGGGCGGCAGAACTAGCTTTCCTGTTTGCTTTTGGTGGAAGATGATGTGGTTGATGCTGTTATTAAAGTTTGGCAGTGGTTTGGAGACAAAGCGTCCTGCTGGAGAGAGACTTAAACACTCAGGGGGAATCCTTCAGGCTCCTGCCTTTGTGAGCTAATTGCTTGGTGGGTGGGGAGAAGAAAAAAGACTGATGTCACTTTTCAGCAAACAAAAGGAAAGGAACTCAAGAAATAAGATGATTTTCGGTTTTTGCTTCTTTCTGAGAGCCTGCTGAGTTTGCACACAGGTAGCAACTGGATGCTCTGATCCAGGGACTGGCAAGTATTTTCTGTAGAGGGACAGGTAGTAAATATTTTAGACTTTGTAGTCCATACTGTCTCTGTCACAACTACTCAACTCTGCTGTCGCAGCACAAAAGCAGCCCTAGACATTATGCAAATGAATGAATAGATGAGCGTGGTTATGTTCCAATAAAACTTTATTTAGAAAAACAGATGGTGGACTGGATTTGGCCCACGGGCTGTAGTTGGCCAACTCTTGCTCTATGCTCTGTTGGAAGAAGAAGTGGAGTTGGAGGCAGACAGCAGAGCTGGGTTTAAATCTTGTCTCGATCTCTTTCAGGCACCTGTCCTCTTTGAGTCTTTGTTTCTTCATCTGTAGAATGGGTTATCAGGTAGTTGGGAGATTAGAATGTTTTGCACATGTTAAGTGGTCAATAAATTGTAATTCTTTGTAGTACTCACCCGCTGACCCCAGCCAAAAAACATGAGAGAGTGAAACCAAATAAAGAAGGCTGTCTGCTTTCCTGTTGGCCCTAGCTATGGTTACAGTTCAGTGATGCAGATCTTTTTGTAGCTCATTTGAGAGTCTGGCAGCTCTGAGTTTCCCAGGATGATCCTTCTGTTGTCTGTTCCTACCAGTGCCTTCCCACACCAAGATGCCTTCCTGTGTTCAGACTATTTCGTTTCCATCACAAAGGCGCGGCCTCAGTTAGGAAATCCCAAGTATGCAAATTAAGATTCTGTTTATGCACTTTTGTTGTTTAGAGAGAGTAGTTTTTGTTGTAGTTGGGTCGACATTAAAGACTTGTTGTCTGTAAGCCAAAGACATGGCTGCATGTCAAATCTAACAATCATGTTTGCATTTTAACTGGTATGATTTTCAAACAGGGTCCTAGGGACAATTCAGACTTATGTGTGCTGATACTCATAGTTAAGATTCACTTAACCTGAAAGGGCAAAAAAAAAAAATTTTTTTAGTAGAGACGGGGTTTTGCCATGTTGGCCAGGCTGGTCTCGAACTCATGACCTCAGGTGATCCACCTGCCTCTATCTCCCAAAGTGCTGGGATCACTGGGATTCATGCCACTGCATTCCAGCCTGGGTGACAGAGTGAGACTGTCTCAAAAAAAAAAATACATACATATATATATAAATAAAATATATGTATTTTATATTTATATATGACTCACAGGTCATTACATATATATTTTTCCATGAATATATGCATATATATATACATAGGAAAAGTGTGACCAGAACCCCGATTTGTGATTCTGTGGTTAGTTGCTTGCTTGGTTTGCATCTGTTAAGGATGTCAGCTGGAGGTATATTTTAAGTTGCATTATGTATAGCTTGTATTTACTTGTTATTATTACTTATATAACAGCCTATCATTTGTGCCAGGCCTGAGCATGTTTTATACCTCATGTCATTTAATTCTCTTCAATTTCGTGTGACTTATGGCTTTACTTTTCAAAATATATTCGCAGATCAGCAGCCTTGGCTATAGAAATGTAGAGTCTCAGGCTCAGCCCCACACCTTTGAGTCAGAATTGGCTTTTTAACAAGGTCCCAGGTGACTCCTAGGCACAGCAGCATGGCAGGAGCCCTGATGTCGGTATTTCATCAGCACTGAATTGCAGGTGAGGAGACTAAGGCTGAGAGAGGTTAGAGACGAGATCTCGGCTGGGCACGGTGGCTCACGCCTGTAATCCCAGCACTCTGGGAAGCCGAGGCAGGTGGATCACCTGAGGGCAGGAGTTGGAGACCAGCCTGGCCAACATGGCGAAACCCCTTCTCTACTAAAAATACAAAAATTACCTGGGTGTGGTGGTGCATGCCTGTAATCCCTGCTACTCCGGTGGCTGAGGCATGAGAATTGGTTGAACCTAGGAGGTGGAGGTTGCAGTGAGCCAAGATCGTGCCACTGCACTCCAGCCTGGGTGACAAAGTGACTCTGTCTCAAAGGAAAAAAAAAAAAAAAAAAAGAGATAGGATCTCCTCCCATGCAGATCTCACCCACACAATCCACTACACAATTTAGCTATGGTTCCTGCCTCTGTATTACTGATTTGTTTTTTTGCTTCTAGATCTTGTTTCTGAAGGACACTATCTACTTCCTATTGTTAAGCATCACTTTCTTCTTGGTGCTTCCAGTGTGGGGTCCAGAAGCTAACCACACACTTAGTAGGTGTTCCAATATTTACTAATTGCCGAGTGAACCCATGAAACATTCACACATGCAAAAGTGAGAGCTTACTCTTAAAAATGGGGTGGTGGTGGTGGCTGTGAATATCAATCAAAAGGGTTTCCTGAGCACATCTGCCCTTCAGGGCTTTGCATTTTTAGAACATAGAACAATAGCACCTCTTAGAACCTTCAGACCATAGAAATATAGAACACAGAACGTAGGACAGAACCCAGTGGCTCTTGGCCTGGAGTTCCTCCAGTTTTCTCCCATGGGGTGATTTCAGCAGACAGAACAAGTGAAGTGCCATAATTTCTCTGATATTTAGATTATTTTCTATCTCTCTATAACATATATGAATACCCTAGGATGGTGTTGTCAAACATGGTAGCCACCAGCCTCACAGGGATATTTACATTTAATTGAAGTGGAATAAAATTTAAAATTCAGATCCTCGGTCACACCAGCCACACATCAGGTGATCAATAGCTATGTGTGGCTAGTGGCTACCATATTGGACAGCAGGCATGATCTCAAACAAGCATAATCCTTTTGTGCATAATCCAAATGCTTTGTGTTCCCATCTTATTTGTAATTGCCTCCCAGACTTCTCCCTAGGGTGGAGGGGGCTGGACCACATGCCACTTCCTTTCCAATCCCTTTTGAACTCACACATGACTTTTCTCATCATCACATCATTGTCACAAGGAGGGGGACCTGTTTCTGGGGCAACAAATAGTAATACATACTCATCTGAGCCTCATTTGGTCCCACAGCTGTTTTGGGTCAAATCTCAATTGTGTCTTAGGTCATCCTAGTCTTAGGACGGTGAGGAGGCAAACGTTATCATCTCACATCTGTATTTCATCCATTTTTTCCACAAGGTACCATCAACTTGCATTTTTTGAAAAATTAATTTACTCACTAAACTCTTTTATGTCTGCTAATTAATGTTCATACCTTTTCTTCCTCTAATACAACAGCATCTCTTAATTATCAATATGGCTACTCAACAATTAGACCCGCCAAATCTCAGCGTTTGGAATGATAGCATCCTAGAACTTTGATATATAAGACCTTAGAGCCTTCAAGCCAGAAAATCTCAGGATTAATAGAATCTTGAATCATTTGACACGCATAATATTAAAATCTTATTAAATTGAACCATATGAATTTGCCACTTGTATAGGTCAAAATTGGTTCAATATAGCTGATTGTAATTGGCTCAACCTAATAGAAATATGGAATATTGAAATCTATACATTCTTAGAATTGTTAGCTCCTAATGCTACACAATTTTAGAACTTTAGGATTTTAGAACAGGGGCCAGTCAACTTTTTCTGCAAAGGACCAGGTAGTAAATATTTTCAGTTTTGCAAACCATAGAGTCTCTGTCTCAACCTCCGAAGTCTGTCATTATAGCATGAAAGAAGCCGCAGATAATGCATAAATGCCTAGTTGTGCTCCAATAAAACTTGATTTACGAAAACAGGCAGGAGGCCAGATTTGACCTGAGGGTTGTAAATTGCCACCCCTGTTTTGGAACATAAAACTGAAAGGGTCCCACCAAGCACTTGGATTTGCACAGGAAACTCATAGACCTCTCCTATGGTTCCAAAGGGTCCCATTCAAATATGGAGCCATTTTAAGCACAGTTTTGATTGGTTCAGTCCACTGTCTGTCCCAGGGCAGTGTCTGGCCTCCAGAGAGGGAATGCGGGGGAAGAAGGAGACTTTGGAGGCTGTGACCAAAGCGATCCCTGACACTGGGAGAGTGTCAAAGAGCCATGTCCCAGAGTTGGAGAAAAATGGGGGAGACTGTTGGAATCAATGCCTGGCTTCCAAAGTTCTGGAAGACCTTGTGAGTCAAGCCCCTCGATCAGAAGCAAAAGATGATCCTGAGTGCCTGGGAAGGCAGAACTGATGGACCTGGCAAGAGTCAATGGGCCCCAGCTGCGAAGTGAATTTGATGAGGCTGTTCATCCAAGAGGCGTGCACAACCTGGCCATAACCTTGAGATGTGGAGGTAAAAGAGAGCACACCGCTTAGCAGTTGTTTTTCTTTCCTGATGAGTCAATAAATGAATAAATGGACCATGAGTGGCCAAGTGGCTGATATAATTTCAGACTCCGTCAAAAGGAAGATCGCAAAAGTGTACGGAGGTAGCTTCAACGTCTTTATGTTCCGCCGCTGTGAGCCCCGGCATCCTAATATCATATAGTCTGAGAGGCATCTGAAAGCGAGGCAGAGGGCAGCCTGGGGATTAACATTTACTGTATGTCTACTATGTGACAGGCACTGTGCAAAGTGCTTTCGATATACCATCTAATTAAATCTGCACTTTCAACCTTATGAGCAAGGAAATATTTTTATCTCTATTTTACACATTTAACAAAAGAGGCTTACAAGAGTTGAAGTGATTTGCCCAAGGCCAGATAGCTAGGAAAGATTGACACCAACATATGTGATCACTCCAAAACATATGCTCTTAACCACAATGTCTGCATTTCTCCAATATCACCTGTACACAGATCACCCGGGGATATTGTTAAGGTGCAGATTCTGACTCAGCAGATCGGGGGCAGGGCCTGAGATTCTGCATTTCCAACCAGCAACCAGGTGATACTGATGCTTCTGGCCCAGAGACCCCACTTGGAGCAGCTGGTACTATATCATAGTTTCTCTTTATGCCAGGGCCCCCAAAGTTATGAAAGGGTGAGGTTTACACTTTTAAGATGAGGTCACACAGCAAACAGTGGTTTGTCCTAGATTCAAATTCACATCTGTCTGACTCCAGAGTCCATTTCTTTCAAAAATAAAGTCTACTGCTTACCCTTATGCCTGTAGCTTGACCCTCAGCTGGGGGTGATTTTGTCCCCCCAGGGAACATTAGGAAATATCTGGAGACATTTTTGGCTGGCACAACTTGGGTGGGAGGTGCTGCTGATATCTGGTGGGTAGAGGCCAGAGATGATGCTAAGCATTCTGAAATGTACAGCATAGCCCTGTGTAAGCACTCACAAAGAATTATCTGCTCCCAGATATCCCTAATGCTGAGGTCAAGAAACCCTGCTTTCTCAAGACACTGCTCAGTGTCTTTTGGTCAGAAATAAAAATCCACCCAGAACCTCTCTCTTGAGGCCACTTAGTGCACTTAATTTAGAGTTAGTGGACATTTCAACCAATTCCACTAAAAAATGGCCATGAATAAATAAGAGCTGTAGCTACCAAAAAAGTCCATTATGCAATCAATAGGTGGAACTTTCCACTACTTTGAGATGAGGGCTTGCTGTTTACAACTCTGTTAATATCCTTGTGCCACAGCAGATGGAAACCAATCAGGTCCAGAAATCATTGTCTTAATTTTAGTCATTAACATGCCTGGCCACATGCTGTTTATTGGCATCTTTTGCTGTTTATGTTGCATGCTCCGTTTTCTCTGATGGTAGCTTTTGCCTTCACCCTATTTCTGAGGGAGATAGCATTGACTCTGATCCAAGCCTGGGGAAGGCTAGGATCTGGCATTGATCACCAGCACCAATATCTCCATTCCATATCCTCCTTGATCAATTCTTGGAAGAACATATCTAATAATACAAGACTATTGATGAGGCTTGATTTGCCCGAGAGGGATTGTTTCCCCCTTCTTACTCAAGCTCATTTAAGATGTTTCTTTGGCTTGTGGAAAATGCTGATTGAGGTTTCATTTGTTACGAGGTGACGGGATATGCCTGAAAAGAGAAGTGTGTCTCTGAAGAATGAAGAAACAGTATGATAGATAATTATCTCCTATGCATTCAGCTCTTTACAGTTTACAAAGCACCTGAATGTAACTTGGGCTGCACGATGCTCTGTATTGAACATAGGGAAGGAATTGACATCTATTGTAGAGTTGAGGGGCCGACTGTAGGATGTACTCATTGGTGCCTGGGGAATCCAAACAGATGTGGGATCCATTTCTATGTCTTGCAATGGATGTGGTTCTCCTTCTCATATCCGTGCTGTTTCTCCCCGGCTATGCTTATCTGCATAGCTGTTGGGTTACAGTCATTTTAATCATCAGTGGCCTGGATGGCTTTATTCAAGGGGTGATCCGATTTTCCAACTCCTGTATTTGTATTTGTATTTGTATTTGTATTTGTATTTGTATTTGTATTTGTATTTGTATCTGGGTTGCTGTGTCTGTAACCCAAGTAGAGTCTCTCCTGGGACTGCTGTGAACATACATGGATGCTACACCAGGTTAAGACCTAATGTGCCCCAGGGGGTTGTCACATTGGGAGTAGTGGTTGTATCTCATTCTTGGGCATGGTGAATTGTGACCTGACAGTGAGGAAGTGGGACATAGGACGAGCATGTTTTTGTGGAGAGGAGAAAGGAAGGACTTTGAGGCCCATGCTGGGGCATTACAATAGTTTGGCTAGTAGAGTACAGAGCACATGCCTGAGTGGAGAGAATGAGGGGCACAGGGAAGATGGGGTGAGGGTGAGAAAGCATCAAAACAGAGGAGACCCCCCAGGTTGGCATATTGCACAAGCTGTCACTCAATAGTTCTAAGAATAGGAAAGGGAGCTGATGTTTATTAAGCACTTGTTATAGTCTATGCAATGTGTCAAACACTTCCTCTCATCAGTGACTCTTCAGCTAGTCCTATAGCACAACAATGCTGTTATTATTTCCACTTTGCAGATGAGAAAACTGAGGGTCAAGTGGGTGACAAGACTTGCTTGGGGTCACGTTGCAAATGGTGGAGCTGGGTTGCAAGCTCCTGTCTGTGTGAATCGATGGCCCATGTTGGTAAGACCTGCTGCATGCTACCCAAGTTATGAATTTAGGGCAGGAAGAGTTTAAAGTTGAAGTATTTATGTGGTGACTTCTAAGTTCTGAGTACTACACGAGGTATTTGGGATATAAGGCCGAGTACAACCTTATTCATAAGGAGATCAATATAGTAGGGAATTAGACATTGGCAAATAATTCCTATCTGATGGGATATCTGTCTTTCCTAGTGGCTTGTACAAATGCTGGGAGCATAGAAGGGAAAGAAACTAATTCTATGAGAGGGAGCCAGAGAGCACATCATACAGGAGGTGATTATGGAATGGGGTCTTGATGGATGAGTAGAAGTTCACTTGTCAGAGAAGGGATAAGGCAGAGTAGAGCATTCCAGATGGAGCAATGGTAGGTTCAAAGGCACAGAGGCATCAAAGAACATGGCATGTTTGGGAGCTTGGGAATACTCTGGGAATTACTGATGTGGGGTGCAAGGTGTGGGCAGCAAAAAGAAAGGGCGAGTTGGGACAGAGACTTTAAAGGACTTGATATGCGAAACAACAAAGTTGGGACTGTGGGAACTGAGAAGACACTGAAGACTTTTCAGCAGAGGAATGACATGATCAGGTTAAAGAGATTCCTCCTTGGAGGCTTTGTGGAATACAGTTGGAGAGTGGTGTAGATTGATGAGAGGAACACCAGTTTAAAACTATGTGAATCCTGGCCAGGCATGGTCGCTCATGCCTGTAATCCCAGCACTTTGGGAGGCTGAGGCAGGTGGATTACCTGAGGTCAGGAGTTCGAGACCAGCCCTGCCAACATGGCAAAACCTTGTCTCTACTGAAAATACAAAAATTAGTAGGTTGTGGTGGTGGGCGCCTATTGTCCCATCTACTCGGGTGGCTGAGGATTGCTTGAATCTGGGAGGCAGAGGTTGCAGTGAGCCGAGATTGCTTCACTGCACTCCAGCCTGGGCAACAGAGCAAGACTCTGTCTCCATAAAAAAAGAACTATCTGAATCTTTAGGAGATGATGATGAAGACTAAATTTATAAAAAGATAACAGAGAGCAGAGGAAAGATGCAAGAGATTGTATTGATGAGGTACTTGAGGCCTAGAGAAGGGATCCAGGGTAAGCTATAAATTGTTCCCACGCTACACTTCTTTGGAGACAAAATCCAGTGGCCACTTGAGAAGTTTCAAAGTCCATTTTCCCTATTTCTGCAATCACGTGGGCTAGTGGGCTGAGAAGAAATATGAGCTGCATTTCCATTTAAATTGAAATAAGACATGTCAAAGGTGGCTTAGTAATTACCAGCTGGAACAATGGCAGTATGATGTGGGAAGTGTAGTGTCAGTATATGCGGTGCAGATAATTTTTGCAGTTGAGACTTAATTATGTTGATATAATTATTCCCCTGTCAGGAAAATTGGGTGGCACAGATATGTCATATTTGTGTTTGAGCAGAAAAATGAAATGCCTTTTTTATTCAGAGAGCAACTGGGTGGTTGACTCTGGGAAGTTGGGATTGGGGCGTTTGGAGTTTACCCCAGGTCAGGATGTCTGTTTGCATCTGGGGGTTTTGTGAATCCCCTGCTCAGTTGGTATCAACTTTGAGAAGGTTGTTGGGGTCCCATGATGGCTATTCTTTGCCCCTTTCTGAGGATGCTGCATCGGAAGTCATAGGCTGGAGAGGATTTTTAGGGATGGGAAAGCTAGGAGCTCTGAATAGCAAGAGCTTTAAGGAACTTTAGAGAGATTTCTTTTTAAAATTTTTATTTGCAAACCTTGCGACTGAAAAACCCAAGGTAGAGTTGCGTGCCTTGAAGCCTGATCCCTCCTCCCTTTCCCTTCCCCTTCTCCATCCCAATGCCCCAAGAGAGCCTTAGCCACCTTCTCCATCCCTGTGTGATAAGGTCTTGAGGAGTCTGTGCCATCCACTCCTCCCCATCCATCAGGGACTCCAAGAACCAAGTACAAAGCCCCTTCCTCACCATTGAAGCTCCAGTCCCTGGCGCTATGATTACTGAAGTAGCTGGAATGATGTCCAGGCAGAAATGATCCATCTAAAGTGGATGAAATGGAGAGAGGGGTGCACTTGATAAGAGAGAGAGGACAGGGGTAGGAAACTCCCAGGTTGTAGTTTTTTCTCTGCCACCCCGTGACTGAGCAATCTTTACCAGGTGACTTCATGCTCCAAGACTCCGTTTTGGCCCCTGGTATCTGGCATGTGTGTCCAGAGATGCTCATGGGATGTGTGAATGCACACAGTAGTGCAGCCGACTTAGGCATTCTGCAGGCAAACTCTTTATCATCTACATTTTAAACAACTCAAGTTGCCTAAATGTTAACTTTCCAGAAAGCTATAAAGACCCTCAGGCAACAGCTGAGGGCATTTTAAAACCATCAGGTTGAAAAATAAGAAGAGAAAGGAAAGACCAGAAGCAGGTGCCTGGAGCAGCAAGCCCTTCTGCCTGAAGATAAGGGAGAATCCTGGCAGGGAAAGCTGGGTGGTGTACAGTTCCATAGAGTCCCCTGCTTGGCTGCAGAGCCAACTCCATTCTGCCTTTAATATACAAGTGTTTTACCTGAGCGTGAGTCAAATAGATGTTATCTATACTCATACGCAGAAATCAACACAGGATGGAAATACACCAACATATTCATGAAAAGCAGTTGTCCCCAAGTAATAGATTTAAGGATGATTTTCAAAGTTTTCTTTTGTCACTTTTTAAATGTTCTACATTCTCTATAGTGAATGCTATTAGAAACAGAAAAGCAAAGCAACGGTGTTTAAAAGAGAAAGAAAAGAGCACGTGGTGTTGTATTAGTTTTTTAGGGGAGGTATAACAAAGTGCCACCAACTGCATGGCTTAAGACAACAGAAAGGTATTGTCCTACAGTTCTGGAGGCTGGAAGTCCAAAAAACCAAGGTGTCAGCAGGACCATGCTCTCTTCAAAGGCCCTCGGAAAGAAACTATTCCATGCCTGTCTCCTAGCTTCTGGTGGTTCACTGGAAAGTTTTGATGTTCTTGGCTTCTAGATACATCACTCTAATCCTCAATCTTTATGTGACATTCTCCCTGTGTCCTCACATTCTCTTCCCTCTGAGTGTATCTCTGTGTCCAAGTTTCCCCTCCTTAGAAGGATACTGGTCATATTGGATTAGGACCCATCCTGCTGACTTCATTTTGACTTGATTACCTCTGTAGAGACCTTATCTCTAAATACAGTTACATTCTGAAGTCCTGGGGATTAAGACTTCAACCTGTCTTCTCTGGGGATATGATTCAACTCATAAACAGATGTGTTTCTCGAGATGAGAAGTTCTTCCTTTGTAGGTATGGGAGTCAATTGAGATGGGACAAATGTGAAGATCTTTTGATGTTACTGTGACAGCCAGCCTCCCAGATGGTTCTCAGTGATCTGTGTCTCTGGCATTCACACCCCAGTGTTTTCACCTCCCATACTGCATCAGAGTTGTTCTGTGTGACATATTGATTATGTCATTGGTAATAGGTTGTCCTTTCTGAGGTTAGGCTATAAAAGACATTTGGTGGCAGCAGGATCACTTGAGGCCAGGAAGTCAAGACCAGCTTGGACAACACAGTAAGACCCCATCTCTACAAAAATAAAAATAAAAAAATTAGCCTGGTGTGATGGTACATGCCTGTAGTCCCAGGTATTCAGGAGGCTGAGGCAGGAGGATCACGTGGGATCAGGAGTTTGTGGCTGCAGTGAGCCATCATGGTGCCACAGCACTCCAGCCTGGGCTACAAAGTGAGACCCTGTGTCTAAAGAATGATCATAAAGATACATAATAAAAAGACATTTGGCTTCTGCTGTGTTCTCTCTTGGATCACTTGCTATGGGAAAACCATCCACTGTGTCATGAGGACACTGAAGCAGCTCAGCGGGTGTATTAGTCCGTTCTTGCATTGCTATAATGAACTACCTGAGACTGGGTGATTTATAAAGAAAAGAGGTGTAATTGGCTCATAGTTCTGAGGCTGTACAGGAAGCATGGCTAAGGAGGCCTCAGGAAGCACAATCATGGCAGAAGTTGAAGGGGAAGCAGGCGGTCCCTACATGGCTGGAGCAGGAGGAAGAGAGAAAAGGGGGAGGTGCTACCAGATCTTATGAGATCTTATTTGCTAACATGAGAGCAGCAAAGGGGAAATCCACCCCCATGATCCAATCACCTCCCACCAGGCCGGCCCCTCTTCCAACACTGGGGATTACAATTTACCATGAGATTTGGGCAGGGACACAGATCCAAACCACATCAGTGGGAGATCCACGAGGCAGAGAACTGAGCCTTCCTGCCAACAGCTAGTGAGGAAGTGAGGCCTCCAGCCAGTAGCCACATCAGTGAGCCTGCTTGGAAGGGGACCCTCCAGCTGCAGTCAAGCCTGCAGACAACCAAAGCCCTGGCTGGCATTTCGATAGATCCTGTCTTCATTCCCTACTGCTGCTGCAACAAGCAACCACTAACACAGTATCTTAAAACAACACAGATTTATTCTTTTAGAGCTCTAGAGATCAGATGTCCAAGATGAGTCCAAAGGCATTCAAAATTAAGGTATCATCAGGATTGGTGCCTTCTGGAGGCCCTAGGGGACAATCTGTTCCAGCCTCTTCTAGCTTCTAGTGTCTGCCAGCATTTCTTGGCTCCTGGATGCACCACTCCAATCTCTGCTTCCATCCACATCCACATTGCTGCTTTCTCCCCCACTGACCCCCTTGCCTCCATCTTCAAAGACCCTTATGATTGAGTATTTTAGGGACTACCTGGAGAATCCAGGACAATCTCCCCCTACCTCAAGATCCTTAAGATACTCATATCTGCAAGATGCCTTTTGCCATACAAGGGAACGGATTTACATGTTGCCGGATTAGATCATAGACATCTTTGGGAGGACTTTATACACGCTGCCAAATACCTTGAGCCAGAACCACCCAGATAAGCCACTCCTGAATTCTCAACCCACAGAAACCATGAGAGATAATAAATGATATTAGATATTTCAAAACTCTAAGTGTTCGGGTAACCTAGTATACAGCAATACATAACTAGTACAGAATAGGGATCTGTAATCCTGCACTTGATTCTGCAGCCTTGAAAATAATAATTCTGGTGGCCGAGCACAGTGGTTCACACCTCTAATCCCAACAGTGGGAGGCAGAGATGGGAGGATCACTTGAGGGCCAGAGTTCAAGGTCAGCCAGGGCAACATAGTGAGACCCCATCTCTAAAAAAATGAAAAAACCTAAGTGGATGTGGTGATGTGCACCTGTGGTCCTAGCTACTGAGTAGGCTGAGGCAGGAGGATCATCTGAACCCAGGAGTTCAAGGCTGCAGTGAGCTATGATCACACTACTGCATTCTAGCTTGGGTGACAGGGTGAAACTCTGTCTCTAAAATTAAAAAAAAATTCATAATTCTGGATGTCTTACAACTTTTTCCTCAAAATATGGACATGGAAAAGTGTGCAAATCACGTAAGTGAACAGTTTGATGAATTTGTACGGACTGAAAACCCTGTTGTCTGTCTGAAATAATGAAGCCTAAAATGATCCTGGATCCTTCAGAGCTCTGGGCCAGTCATTGCCTGTTCACTTTCAGATCCACTCCTACCCCTTCTCTGTTCTGCTGTAGAATTACAGAAAAGGACATTTCCTGGTTTCCTTGACTTCTGGTAGGTTCTGCCAATGAAAGGCAGTGATGGACACCTGAAGGTCAAAAGAAAGGGAGAAGACAGGATATCTTTCTTTGGCACTGCCTTGAGGCATCCATGGAAGCAGCAGTACCTCCTTTTAATCCAGATCTTATCAGGGACTCTCCTCCTCCATGAAGCCCATTTCCTCTGGGCAGCGCTATTGAGGTCTCACTTCCCATTGGATGGCCCAACTCCTTGGCTTTTTTGTCCAGCCCTAGGTTGGCAGTGCCTTCCTGCTGTTGCTAATCTCTCCTGGCTTTCCCAAAGCATTCTGTAAAATCCTTCCAGCTTCAACAAAACAAGTAATAGATTCTTAGACATCATTTTCTGAAAAATGAAGTTGTCCTCACTAAACACCAGCAGCCCTCGTATTTCCCGTGTCTTTACTTAGAAAGAAGGAAATAGGAACCTGTGGACCAAGTACGTGCTACCAATTTAGGTAGGTGAGGTGTACACAATTTTACATTATTTCATTTGTTCCTTGTAACACCTTTTGTCAAGGAATAATACAGTACTGTCATTTTACCAGATGAGGAACTGAAGGTAAGAAAGGATTAGTAACTCTTTGGGATTTGCGTAGCTGCTTCAGGGTTCATCTTGTTCCAAAGCCAGTTCTGTTCCTGCTGTTTGTGATGTTAGCAGTTTGCATCTCTCCCTCTCCCCACTCACCAGGGCCTCTCTGGAAGTGTGATTAGCTTCAGCTTCACTCGGATCCACACAATACTCACCAATCTTTAAGGAGAAATAAACCTGCGAACCAACTAACTAATATAAATATCTTCTTTGAGGATTTGAATACCATTTCTAGGAGGATTGGGATCATTTAAAAATGTGGCAGAGGCTGGGTACGGTGGCTCATGCCTGTAATCCCAGAGCTTTGAGAAGCCAAGGAGGGAGGACCACTTGACACCAGGAGTTTGAGACCAACCTGGGGAACATAGCAGGACCCTGTTTCTACAAATAATAATAATAATAATAAATATCTGGGCATAGTGGTGCATGCCTGTAGTCCCAGCTACTGAGGAGACTGAGATGGGAGGATCACTTGAGCCCAGGAGTTCAAGGTTACAGTGAGCTGTGATTGTACCACTGCACTCTCCAGTCTGGGCAAGAGAGTGAGACCCCCATCTCTAAGAAAAAAAAAAAAGTGTAGCAGAGTTGAGAGTTCTGATCGATGCTGGCAGATGAAGCACAGGACAGCACTGGAATGAAACACTTGGCTTGGTGAGTTGAGATAATGGATTCTAGCCCCTGATTGCTTGGGTCTCTGCTATGATTGATTAGACATGCCTGCCATGTGTGAAGAAAAGGACAGGAGGTATTGTTGGGTATTTGCTGACCCTTTAGAAATTGTGAAGGCCCCAACTTTTAATCTGTCACTTTCTAGCTGTATGAATTTGGGACCTTTGATGAGTCTCTCTGTGTCTGCTATCACATCATAAAAATAGAATAATACTGGGGCTGGGTGGATCACTTGAGGTCAGGAGTTAGAGACAAGCCTGGCCAACATGGTGAAATCTCATCTCTACTAAAAATACAAAAATTAGCCAGGCATAATGGCAGGTGCCTGTAATCCCAGCTGTTTGGGGGGCTGAGGCAGGAGAATTGCTTGAACCTGGGAGGCAGCGGTTGCAGTGAGCTGAGATCGTGCCACCGCACTTCAGCCTAGGTGACAGAGCAAGATTCACTCTCAAAGAACAAAACAAAACAAAGAAAAAGAAAAAAATAGAATAATGCAATGAATCTTCAGGATAATTATGAGGAAAGGACCCTGTAGAATGATGACCAACTTCTTCCCAGTCGTTATTCCTGCTGGAGACTGGGCATACATTTGGGTTTTCTTAGGGCCACTCCAACTCTTTCCTTTCCCAAAGTGGAGCTTAACACCACCTGCTGATGCTCACTCCATTACCAGTGTGGCCTTTGAGCTCTTGCTGGAACACAATTCACAGGGCGTTTTTTATTTTTATTTTTTTTTTGAGATGGAGTCTCGCTCTGTCACCTAGGCTGGAGTGCAGTGGCGCAATCTCGGCTCAATGCACCCTCCGCCTCCCAGGTTCAAGCAATTCTCCTGCCTCAGTCTCCTGAGTAGCTGGGACTACAGGTGCATGCCACCACACTCGGCTAAATTTTTTGTATTTTTAATACAGCTGGGGTTTCACCATGTTGGTCAGGCTTGTCTCAAACTCCTGACCTCAAATGATCCACCCTCCTCGGCCTCCTAAAGTGCTGGGATTAGAGGCATGAGCCGCCCCGCCCAGCCTACAGGGCTTTTATTCCCCCACTTCACACCCTCCAGCGTCAGCCTCATTTCTCCCAGGCAAGTGACCCTCGGACAATTTGAAGGAAGCAATGGCAGTTCCTCATAGCCTTTCTTTCTGGGAAAGATTCCCTCACCTGGCATCATTGGATGAAACAGGAACAATTAGAAGCAAAGCTGGACAGAGCCATGGACTGCCGTCAGGAGACCTGAGCTTAGCTCTAGATCTTTTCTTGGTTGTGTGTCCCTAGGCAAATGAGTTAACCTCTCTGAGCCTCAGCCTGCTCATCTGTAAAATGGACAGGACAAAGTGATGAAGATTACCTCTCAGCATGGAGCAGGTGGATGAGGAGATTGTTCATTATAGCATCAGAGAGGAATAAAGTATATATTTTTTAACTTGCCTATGATAAAGATAATTCTTATTCTTTACAGAAAATCTTGAGGAGTGCTCAAAGGAATGTAAAAATTGCCTGATATCTTACCACAGAGAGATAATAGCCATTGCTACCACTTTGTTGCAATAATCTCAGCTCACTTTTTATGTTTCTATAGTACTTGACTCTGAGGGTTTCAATAAAGATTAAATGAGATAAAATATTTTGAACATTTAGCAGACTGCCTGTGTATGCAAGAAATGTATCTAAATATATTCACTTATTTAACACGTATTTATTATGTTCAAGGTTTGTTAAACATTTAAGGATATGAAAATACTTGATTATTTTCATCAGGTTTCAGGATATACCCTGATCTATAGGATAAAGTACGTGTTACAGGCAAAATTCAACTCCATTCGATTTTCAAGTTGAAGCCAGAAGGGATTGCTGTTTGCTAATTCTAATCAGCAACCAGATTCTAATAAATACGTCCTTAATATTTGTTAGGTATGCTATGTGCCAGATGCTGGAAATATTTGGGTGTGTATCTACACATGCATGTATTGTACACACACGTTTGCATATATACATGTTTATATATATTTATAATAGCATATGTGTGTGTAATTTTTTTCAGCACCAGGCTCTGTAACATTTTCTGCTTGTCTTTGCTAAATCAGAAGAAAGCAACAAGATGAATTTTCGTCAAGTTTCAAAAGTGTTTCGAGATAGTCTGATCTATAGTGTAAATTGTGTGGCACAGGTGAAATTAACTTTGGGGGGCCTTGGGAGACACCTCAGAAGGTTTGAGAGGCAACCTCCAGAGCTGCAGAAATTAACAAATGAGAGTCTTGTCCATTTGCAGAGAGGAGAGGGTCCTCTGAAGATTGAGATGCTCTGGGCAGAGAAAACAAACAACAAACAACAGTTTTAAATATTAGCCTCTAATTGAACATCACAAGAGGAGATGATTTTAATTGCAGCCATTAATTATCATATGAACTGCTTCTCACATGGGCAACTCTGTGATATGCTCCAGAGGGAGTAGCCCGGGGGTTTAACAAGAAATCATAGTTCTCTCAAGTGATGCTGGGGAGGTCGGCAAGTATGCATATTATCTACATTCTACATATTATTGTACTGATCTCTGTATACACGATATATATATCCTCCATATATTACATATGTATCATGTATATTATGTATGCATTAGAATGTATAATTTATCCCTTATCCTTCCCTCATTCGCCACTAATAGTCATACAATAGCACCATTCATTTCATCCCCAAACATGTATTGAGTACCTCCTGTGTTCCAGACACTGGTAATACAGATGATTTCCCTGCAAGAACATAAGCTCTGTGGAAGTGAGGACTTTATTTGTATTGCCGGCACCTAGATCAGTGCTGCGCCTCATAGGTGCTCAACAAATGTTTATTAAATGTATGCGTGTATGCATGAATGAATAATATATGAATATATAATATATACCAGGATATATGGATGTTGTTTGTCTACAGTGTGTACACCATTATATTGTAGTTTTAGATTATCCCGGGAATGTGGTGTATATCTTAGTGGATTTCTGCTATCTATGCATCTAACTATCTAAATCATTTTGTATCCTAATTATCCCCCACCTCCCAATTTCTCTCCATGCTTCAAATCTCTAAAGAGAGCTAATAACAGAGAAGACTAAGCTCACAATCGACCTCAGCACACAACCCCATTTTCATGGAGCAGCCCTGAGCCAAGCCCGAGCAAGCGTGATTGTCAGATGCTGTCGTTGCCTCCCGCCCACTTCCTGTTTCATGAGAGGGGCACTGGCTCACTTCCCCTTCTGCTTGTGCATCCCTTCCGTGTCTCCGGAGGGGTCTCTGGCTGGGGCCTTGTATTATCTGCCCCAGGGAGACTGTTTGGGGCACTGCGTTTGTTTAGCCTAATGAAATGGTCTCTGCAATCAGCAGACTCCATTTGGTTTTGGAGTTGAAGCAGGAAAGATTTGCTGATTGCTGATTACACCAACACTAAATTTCTCCAAGCTTTCTCCTCAGGGTGCGCCCACTGAGTCTGATGCTTCCCTAGCAGATGGAGGATGGGATGCAGAGGGCGGCAAGGGGGCAATGGTGGAGGGTGGAAGGTAGTGGCAGATCCACGAACCCTGTCCTTGGTCCACATACTCTGGCCTAACTAATGATGGCTTTCTGGTTCTCACCTCTTCTTGCTGTGTCTAAGCCAACTCACCTTCTATGCAGCCCTTGTTTTTTTCATGTCTTTTCTATGTAGGATAGTGAAAAATCTTCAGAGCCAGAGTCCTGCATTCCAATGTTTTTATTTGGTTTGTGACCTTGGCAAATCTCCACAGTGACCTGGGGATGACACTGTTCTTCCTGAGACTCCTTCTCCTATGAGAATTAAAGGATAGCTATGCCACTGTTGGTCAAGTTTCCACTCTGCCAAGCTCATTTACTCCTCGCAAAAGCCCTGTGAGGGAGGGTCTGCTACTGGCCCCATTTCCCCAGTGAGACAACTGAGGGTCAGAGAGGTTCTGTAACTTGCTGGAGGTCACACAGCCAGTGAGCAGCAGAGTTGGGATTTGAACCCCGGCAGCTCGGCTCCAGAGCCTACTTTCACTTTTATGATATTGTGGATTTGACTCATTTTAGACTCCTATTTCTTCTGCCCACTTGCTTAGTCCCAGCCGAGGCCCACCCATCCCTGAGACACTGTGCCTCTTTCTGTCTCTCTCCTCTACCCTCCAGGAAGCTCCCTGAGGATGTGGACTGTACACCTTGCTGCTCCTGCATGACACTGACATGGGCAAGGTTCACCTAAGCAAAACGAGGAGGGGATGTCTGTACCCTTTTCTCATGTCTCAGCACATGTGACTTAAAGGGTTCCCACTTAAGAACCCAAGACCTGGATGCACATCTCAGCTTTGTGGTCTCCCGGCGGCGTGACCTCAGACAGGTCATTTGGTTAGACATTCGTTGAACCAATGCTTTTAGGATTCACTGTACTTAACACATAACCCACAATGGCCCAGATGTGTGGACTTGGGATAGAATCTAAGACAGAAATACAGATTTTTCTGCCTCTGTGTCTTACAAAGATACAGGTGCCACATCTGGGAGAAAGTGGCTAATGCCCAGTGACACTGTTGTCCTGGTCCAGTAGAACAGAGTGGAGCTGGCCGGGCGTGGTGGCTCACGCCTGTACTCCCAGCACTTTAGGAGGCCGAGGCGGGTGGATCACGAGGTCAGGAAATCAAGACCATCCTGGCTAACACGGTGAAACCCTGTCTCTACTAAAAATACAAAAAAAAAAAAAAAAAAAAAAAAAAGCCAGCGTGGTGGCAGGTGCCTGTAGTGCCAGTTACTTGGGAGGCTGAGGCAGGAGAATGGCTTGAACCTGGGAGGCGGAGCTTGCAGTAAGCCGAGATAGTGAGACTCCGTCTCAAAAAAAAAAAAAAAAAAAAAGAGTGGAGCCTGGGCAGATGCTCCCAGAAGCTGCCGGGATTTTGCACCTAGCTGTTTTCTAGGTGCATTTATGAGCTGACATGCTGATGTCCTGGGGTGAGCACCCCCTCCTTCACAGTCCCTCAGTGTCTTTTGTTTCCTCTGACAGCCTGGGGGCCCCAACCTCGGGTTGTCTCTCACCTTGTCAAGGCTGAGATGGGGATTTCACAGTTGGTGGCTTCAATCAACTGGGATGGACTGGCAGCTCCTTCTCATGCCACCACCACGGCGTCCTTCCCGCCACCCCTTCTCCCTCTCATCAGCTTGACCTGGCCCTTAGGCTTACTCAGTCTTTGCCTGCTGCCTCTCTCTCTCTCTTTAAAATCAGAAAACACTGGAAAGGCACAGACTTACAATAATGTGAATGGGCAAGCCAATGTGCAGAGAGCTGAGTGTGTCCCTGTAATGGTCCTCGCTGACTTCCATTGGGGAATGCAGTCATAGCCCCAGAAAGAGCACTGGACTGGGAGCCACCAAGCCCAGGGTTCAGATCCCAGCTCTGCGCCTTTCCTGAGTGACCTCGCTGACTGACCTTGCTGGCTTTAGTTTCCTCATCTGCAAAATAAAGAAAAATGAGGCCGGGTGCAGTGGCTCACGCCTGTAATTCCAGCACTTTGGGAGGCCAAGGTGGGTGAATCACTTGAGGTCAGGAATTCGAGACCAGCCTGGCGAACGTGGTGAAATCCCATCTCTGCTAAAAAATACATAAATTAGCCAAGTGTGGTCGTGGGTGCCTGTAATCCCATCTACTTGGGAGGCTGAGGCAGGAGAATTGCTTGGACCCGGGAGGTGGAGGTTGCAGTGAGCTGAGATCATGCCACTGCACTCCAGGCTGTGCAACAGAGCAAGACTTTGTCTCAAAAAAAAAAAAAAAAAAAAAAAAAAAAAAAAAAGAAAAAGAAAAAAAAAAAGACTCCAGGCTAAGAGAGGGGCTGTGAGCCATTCATTTTCACTTAGCTACTCAGTTCCATGGGGAGCTGGGAATTGCGCTTTGACCCCACATCCTCAAATTTCTCCCCTCCCACTGTCCTCAGGTGGTATGTATGTTCCTTTACACAGCAGTCCAAAAATAAACTTTACATAATTAGAGCCGGTTACAAGAAAAATCCCATCTATAACCCCGCTTTGCCCCATCCATAAATATTCTCAATTCTCCATGAGTGTTATTTGCATAGACTTGAGCATGATACTGCTCGGATCTATTCCGTTTGCTTCATGTTATTTCAAAGAAGCACTCCACGCTGCCACAATTCTTATTTCTAATGTTGATGTCTGCCTAAGAGCATCAAAGTGACACACTGTGATTTCCCTAACCATTCCCAATTGCTGGGTGATGAGGCAGATCCCAGCCTCTCCTTGTCATCAGTAGCACTGCTGCAAACATCCTCGGGCATAGAGCTGTGTTCTGTGTCTTGATTTATCCCCCGTAAGATGAATTAATTACCAGGAGGTTAGATGCTGGGTCTCACCCAGGGTTTCAGACTCAGCACCGTGGACATTCAGGCCGGATAATTCTTTGTGGGATTGTCCTGTGCCTTGTAGGATGTTGAACAGCATCTCTGGCCTCTACCCACCAGATGCCAGCAGCATTTCCCCAAGTTGCGACTGCCAAAAATGTCTCCAGACATGACCAAATGTCCCCTGGGGGGCAAAATCACTCTTAGGTAACAATCATTATGTGTTAAAGGGTAGCAATGTGTAGGTTGCAAATTAAAGTCAGAGATTTTCCCAAGAGTCCAGATAAAATCCAATTAGAAAAGTACCAGAAAGTATTGATCACGAAGATGAGCACTGAGAGGGGCGTCAGAGGCACCGAGCTTGAGTTCCAGCTCCGCCATGAAGTCTTTGCTTCTTAAGGCCTCAGTTCCTCATCTGTGAAATGGGAGAAGAGTAAAGACTCACCTGCTGGGCCTGTGAGGCATGAGTGAGATCCTGGCTGCAAAATACTCAACACAGCTCTGGCCACAGAAAGAGCTCCGTAAATGCCCATCGCGCTTGCCTGTTCTGGAGGGAGCCCAGCTGGGTTTTTCATCTTTGCTTTTGCTGCTGTGAGGACAGCAAGGTGGGGGTGTTTAGGGGACAGACTTGAAACTATCTTTGTTATGTTCTCCCCATGACCTCCTGCACCAGATTTATCCTTGAGGCTCAGCTTCCTAAACCAGACTCCATGACCCTTCTTGGTTTTTACGTTTACTCCTCCATCCAAGATGGGCTGAGTATCCACTGTGCGTGGTGGTGCAGATTCAGAGCATGGCCCTGGGGTCAGATGCATTGGGAGCAGCACCCCCTGCACAGGTGAGCAAGCTCTGTGTGCCATGCCCTGGAGTATCTATTCCCTCCTCTATGAAACTTGGAACACCTGGTTGAGGATCCCATAAATCTGTCCGCAGAGAGAGCCTCTCACGGAGAACTTACCACTTCATAGGTGCTCAGTGAACACTAGGCTCAGCCTGGGGCGTGTCTCTTCCCCAGTGCATGCATGGGTGGTGCATTTCTTGCCCAAGGCCAACGTGTGTTTGCATCTTCTGTCCCCAGGAGAAGTACGTGGAGGAACTTGCAGCAGTGAGGCAAACCCTCCAGACAGACCTGGAGACATCCATTCGGCGGATTGCCGACCTGCAGGCTGCCTTGGAAGAAGTGGCATCCAGTGACAGTGATACTGAGAGGTAACTTGCTAGGGGCTCGGCGGGGCTGGGCGCAGCAGGTGGGCGGCATCCTGGGGAGCTCTATGCCCTTTAGCCGGGCTGGGGCCACATTCACTGGGAAACCCAAAGATGTTCGGGGGCTGGAGGCACCCCTCGTTTACTTGGGTAAGGAGAGACTGGATGTTGCCCTGCTGGTTTAACCTCTCCTTGCTGTTGCTAAAACCTCTCAGTCCAGCTTACCAAGCCTTTGGTGAGGCAATGTGACTGGAACAAGGACTAGCGTATGGTCTTCTACAAGTTCCATGTCCAATCTTGGCCTAATTCTCTCATCTGTAAAATGGGCATAATAATATTAGGATGAATCACATGCAATTGCCAAGATTGGACTATTTTTGACCTACAGACTGGAAGTTTCATATATTCAATCTACTGCCTATTTCTTAGGGCTGTTGTTGAGAGTTAATTGAGTTCACAGATGAACATGACAGATATGTAAGTGCTATGTAAGTGGAAGCTATGTTTGTACAGAATAATGGACATTATTTTACAAGGGCAATGGCTGATTCAAGGTTGCAAAGTTGGGCTGGTAATTAGCGAGACCACCCAAGTTCAATGGCAGGGCTTCTTGCCTTTCTCAGAAGATAGGCTACTTTTCACCATCTCTGCTTGAATCTCAAGCTACTGCAGGCCACAGGTGGACCGCTCAGCTGGAAAGAGTTTGAGGTATCCCAGCTGGGCACATGGGTCCAGGCTGTCCAACTCCTGTAGCATTCTGTTCCCAGGAGCTACCTTTGTACCCTTGGCTTATTGCTTCTCTAGGAACCACAGCTGCCTGTCTTGCCACACATCCCTGCCCCCGTTCTAGCCTCTGTGGCAAAGCCTGGGTAGCAGAGAAGACACTTTCCTTACACAGCTTTTCAATAAAGAATCTACAGGGTGGTTCCCTCCTGCTGCCTGCAAGCTGCCCCTGTACACACCTGAGCAGGCCACATTAAAAGCCTGTTTTTCTTAGTCTTCCTCTCTGCGAAGGCTGTTTTTTTCTGCAGCCAGGACAGTCAAACATCAGTCCTTGGAATGCATCCCTCTTTGTTTCCATATGAGGACCCTGACTTTAGAGAAGTTCAAGGTCACACAGCAAATTAGCTTCATACACTGAGCTAGAACTCAGGTCTGCTGAAGTTCCTACCCAGACCTTTGCCATTCACACCTCTCTTAAGGGCTGGAGGCAGGGGTAGCTGCTGACCTTTGGGACTTGTGGGTGCGAGACAGGCAAAGGAAGCAGAGAGGGTTACAAATCAGCTCTGGTTTAGCCAGAAGGAAGAACCAGACATCTATATTGTCTATATTAGAGCTGACTATGAATAGTCAAGGAAAAAAACTGGAAGAAATACACCAACATTCTAACACTGAGGAAAGGCGTTACGGGTGACAATTTTTTTTTTCTTCAAGTTTATTTATATTTTCTGAAATCTGTGCAATGAACATGCACACACATCTCTAGCTCTACTAGTACTCTCTTTAGGAGATTTTGCTCATGTAAGTTATGTACTCCATACACCTAATTTTAGAATGCGCATAACCTCCTCCCTTAATGCAGTCCTGGGCTGGTCATAGCTGCTGAGGGATTTGTAACCTCAGACTCTCCAGTAACGATGTCTGCGCTCAGCAGGAGCAAGATGGAGAGCCACTGGACTCTAAAACTCCATGTTCTTGGCCAGGCATGGTGGCCCACACATGTAATCCCAGCACTTTGGGAAGCTAAGGCGGGAGGATCACTTGAGACCAGGAATTCAAGACCAGCCTGGGAAACATAAGGAGTCTCCATCTCTACAAAAACTCCTTTTTAAAAATTAGCCAGACATGGTGGCCTGTAGTCCCAGCTACTCAGGAGGCTGAGGTAGGAGGATCATTTCAACCCAGAAGTTTGAGGCTGTGGTGAGCTGTGATCTGTGATTGTGCCACTGCACTCCAGCCTGGGTGACAGAGCAAGACCCTGTCTCAGAAAATAAATTAAAAAATAAAAGTTCATGTTTTGCCTGTAAATAAAAGACTTTGTCTTAAAAAAAATTATTCAATTTGTGCAAAAGTGGCTTCCATGCACATTCCAAGTATTCCCGCTATTCCCTGCTAATTGGCACAGCTGCCAAACTGCTGGTGAAAGGGCAAATCCTGATCTTGCAGCTGCTTTCCAGCTCATGGTTGCATTTAGGATTCCACCTCCACTGCCCCCTCCTCCTGTTTTATTAATTAGTGTCATGGCAGAACTTAGTGTAATTACAAACTCCTTTTGTCAATATTACTTGTTTGATGCTTGGGCTGGCTTCTCCATTCATAGAAACAATAGAGCTTTTGCATGAATTACACCAGGAATGAATGGCTGTAGTTACAACCATCTTTGGCCAGTACACAAAATGTTTAAATTATTTTCACTTGCATAGCAAGAGATTGCTTTTCTAGTAAACAATCAAAGTTAAGTAAACATAACCAAATTGGAAGGAGGCGGAGGGTCCATGCTTGAAGGGTGGGTGACAGGCTGGAAGAAGGTGCAACAAGAAGCAAGGGACAGTGTCCATCAACAGATGAATGAATAAAGAAAATGTGATGCGTATACACGATAGAGTACTATTCAGCCATAAAAAAGAATGAGATTCGGTCATTTGCGGCAATGTGAATGGAACTGGAAGTCATTATGTTAAGTGAAATAAGCCAGACACAGAAAGAGAAACATCGCATATTCTCACTTACTTGTGGGATATAAAAATCAAAACAATTTAACCCATGGGAATAGACAGTAGGAGGTGGGATGGCTAATGGGTACAAAAATGTAGTTAGAATGAATGAATAAGGCCTGGTATTTAATAGCACAGCAGGATGACTGTGGTCAATGATAATTTCATTGTACATTAAAAAATAACTAAAGGAGTATAGTTGGATTGTTTGTAACACAAAGGATAATTGCTTGAGGGGATGGATACCCCATTTTCCATGATATGGTTGTTATGCATTGCACACCTGTATCAAAACATCTCATGTACCCCATAAATATATATGCCTACTATGTACCCACAAAAATTAAAAATAAAAACATTATAAAATGAAAAGGAAAACAAGAAGCAAGGGACAGACATCTCACTGGGAGAATGAGATCCCGGTGGTGAGGTCACAGAAAGTTGCAGACATCACTCCAGTCTTGGCGTAGGGGAGAAATCCCCTCTGGCTTTAAAGGGACCCTGCTGTCACCCTCATCCTAATAAGAGACACCTTTATCTGTCTCCTCTGTTCTGATCTACCCTTTCTGAGCTCCATGCCCTGGAATCCAATCTGAATTCTTTCTTTCTCACTTTTCATGATCTTCTGTCTCTAGGGACTTAAGTCTTCCTCCCTGCTGGGCGTCTGATGTTTTTCCCTTGACTGGATCTCTAGTTTCCATATAACACCTGTCTCATAGCTGGAAGGGACATCACCTGCATTTCAGAGTTGCTGTGAGGTGTGACACGACTACAGAAAACCAGGTGTAAAGAAATGCATCTTGTGCCTGTACCTGGAAAAGCCCCATGCAATGTGCAGGATTATTACAATGGGAAGTCAAGGAAGAATTTGAGAGGGAATAGGCTTTGCACATCAACAAGTCTGATTGCCAATTAGAGATCTAATGGTTAATTTCTGCGTGACCTTGGACAAGTTATTCAACCTCTCTGAGCCTCCGTCTCTTTGAGTCTAAGATGGGTTAATAATAAGAAGCAAGTGAAAAAGTATGGCTTCCTAGCACATTACCTTGCACATAGTAGGGGCTCAACGAGAATCATCATCAATTGCATTCATTCATTCATTCATTTGATAAAGTTTTACTGAGCACCTGTTGCGTGCGAGATGCTGTGTTAAGTGCTTGTTTTATTCCACTTGCTTCTTGTTATCGTTATTCTCCCTCTTACAGATGAAGAGAGGTTGAGTAACTTGCCTGAAGTCAGGCAGAAATGAATGTTTGGAACTGTGTCTAAAGCCCAGTTTGGTTGAATTGCTGAGGAATAGAGAGGGAGAAGAGCCTAGGGGTGGTCCTGCTTTTATCAAACCTGCATTCTGATGGTGGAGTGTGTGTGTGTGTATGTGTGTGAGTGTGTCCAAAAATAGAGTGCACAGATTGATAAATAAAACACGAGAATACAATTGGAGTTACGAGGCCAGAGAACGTAGTGCTATGATGAAGAGCAGGGTAGGCAGTTGTAGCCTCCCAGAGAGGAAGGCATTGGAATTAAGACCCGAATGAAATGAAGGAGCCAGCTGTGGGAAGGCCTGAAGAAAATGAGTAATGGCAGATCAAGGCACGTTCTAGGAAGTGAAAGAAAACCAGTGTCCCCCGGGAAGGTAGATGAGGGAGCAGCAGCCCTCTTGTTCCCCTTTTCTCTTTCTCCATCGCATCTTCCTCTTTCCCTTTCTCCTACCTTTCTTCTCCTCTGAAGATGACCCATAGAAACCCACTGACACCCTCAGTTTCTTAAAATGCCCCAGTGCCCCAGGCAGGATTGGCCACGTCATTTGTAGGGTTCAGTGTGAAGTGAAAGTGTGAGGCTTGCTGGGCGCGGTGGCTCATGTCTGTAATCCCAACACTTTGGGAGGCCAAGGCGGGTGGATCACTTGAGGTCAGGAGTTCGAGCCCCGCCTGGCCAACATGGTGAAACCCTGTCTCTACCCAAAATACAAAAATTAGCCGGGCTTGGTGGTGCACTTGGGAGGCTGAGGTAGGAGGATGGCTTGAACGAGGGAGGCAGAGGTTGCAGTGAGCTGAGATGGCGCCAGTGTACTATAGCCTGGGCAACAGAGTGAAACTCTGTCGCCAAAAAAAAAAAAAAAAAAAAAAAAACGAAGGAAAAAAGAAAGTATGGGTCTCCTTGTTAAAAAATTATTTAAGATTTCAAGACAGTAACACAAGAGCATTAAACCAAAATGCAGGCCCTTCTGGGCATGGGTCGCAAGCCCCTGAAGCCAGCCCTGACCCCAGGGTGGTTCTTAGGGAGCATTTCCTAATTCTCAGCAGGCCTTGATCCTAATATGTTGACTTAGAACTTGGATTTGAGTGGAAACACAGTGTAGACTTCAGTAATATCATAGAAATGGGGAAACTGGGGGAAAAAATTGCCCATGAAGTCTCAACACATTTCAAAGAATTAATATTGTATAAAGCATGTTGTCTGATCACAGTGCAATTAAATTGGTTATAAACAATGAAAAGAAGTATTTGTGTTGCTAGGCTGTAAATCCACCGTCCATAGCAGAACCCCCAGCTCCTGCCCAGGCCCCAGTCTATAGTCTCCACTTGCTAACAGCTCCACGCTACACTTCACTCCTAATTTCCTCATCACCCTGGGGTAAGAGGTTTGGATTAGAGCCTGAGGGACTGGTTCGAGGTACTTCTCCAAACAGAGTTCTCAATTATAATAAATTCAAAGCCAACCCAGGAGAGAAACACACACACACACACACACACACAAACACACACACACACACACACGAGAGAGAGAGAGAGAGAGAGAGATGCTTCAGCTGCAGGTGAGGTTCTTTGAGAGACTTGTTCAAATTACAAAAAGTCACATTTCCCCATGTTGGGAATTAGATCTGAGCATAACAGGCCTTCCAGGCTGGAAACGTGGCTACGTGCTCAGAAAGCCAGGTAGCCTATGTGGCAGCATTTAAACGTGTGCTCTCCTGCACTAGAGCCCTGCATTGTAACTTGCACTGTGGCATCAACCTCCTTAGATTAATGGAGAAATGCTTTAAGCCAGTCACCCAGGCCTAAAGTATGCTCATTATTCTTGGAGGGAGGAATATGCTGGCTGACACAGCCCTGTCTATTCATGGCCCAGGGGCTGCGGCTGCTCTGTCTGTCACCTTGGCTAGGGGGTAAAGGGGTTTGGGCGAGATGTAGAGAGGTCAGTGAATGACCTCTTGCTCTTGGGTCGGCTGAAAGTGCATAAGTACCAGCTGGCCCAATCTGAGACGAATGCTCTGAAAAAAGAGTCCTCAGTTGCTTTGTTGAGTGTAAGTTGGACATTTTCCAACGTACATCCTTTTATAACCTGGCTAAAATTAGGCTGCAGTAGGACAAGTGGAAAGATCTGGGTCTAACGGAAGATTCTGGTTGCTACTGAGGGCACGCTTCTGAGTTAATTTATTCATGAGTGGACCCAGGCTCTGTCCAAACTGTAAAGTTTCTTGCTACCTAGTAGGACAGTCATTGGAACTTCCAACAGCTCTTTTCCTGCAACTTTTTTACTTTCTAGTTTGTCCCCTATGAGTAATGAATGTGCTCCAGGCCAGGGAGAACAGCTTAAAGCATTCCTATTAATCTGAGAAGGTTGATGCTGCAGTTCAAGTTGCAATGCAAGGCCTTAGTACCATATAACACCTGTTTAAATGATGCTGCATAGACCACCTGGCTTTCCTTCTAGCCCATATATCCAGCTAGTAGGATTCACAGAGAGTCAGGGCTCCAAACTACTTTGTCTATTCCAGCATTACGGGAAATAATGATAATTGTAACAATAGGTACCTTTTCTTGAGAAATTACTTTGTGCAGGTACTGTGCTACCTGTTTGGCATATGTTATCCTCAAAACAACTCTCTGAGGCTCCTACCATTATTCTTCCCAGTTTGCAGATGAAGAAACTGAGAAGTCAAGAAAGTTGCCCCAATCCATGCAGTAGGTGATGAAGCCATGGTCTGATGTCCAGGCTGACCCCATAACCTAAACTGCTAATGGCCAAGCGTTGTTGTCATGTCAAATGTAACCTACTTCCTCCTTTCCCTTGTCAAGGTCTCTGTTCTCTGCCCAGTAACTGCCCTGTCGTTAAGGAGAACTTGTATCTGTCACTGTGAGATGGGGCCAATGAATTTACATGTTACTTCCCAGGCAACATTTGCATTTAGACTGGAATTGTCTGGCAAAGACTGACCCTAAAGAAGTACAGCTGAAGACATTGAATTAATTATCTCGCTCATCATCAACACCCTGTTTATAAATTCCTGGCACAAGTTCAAGTTCTTCTTCTCTCTCCCCCTCCCCCTCCTCCCCCTCTTCCCCCTCCCCCTCTTCCCCCTCCTCCTCTTCCCCCTCCTCCTCCTCTTCCTCCTTTCTCCTCCTTCTCCTTCTCTTCCTCCTCCTCCTCCTCCTCCTTTCTCCTCCTTCTCCTCCTCCTCCTTCTCCATCTTCTTCTCCTCTCACTCTGTCACCCAGGCTGGAGTGCAATGGCATGATCTTGGCTCACTGCAACCTCTGCCTCCCAGGTTCAAGCAATTCTTCTGCCTCAGCCTCCCGAGTAGCTGGGACTACAGGCACACGCCACCACACCCGACTAATTTTTGTATTTTTAGTAGAGACAGGGTTTCACCATATTGGCTAGGCTGGTCTGGAACTCCTGACCTCGTGATCTGCCCGCCTCGCCTCCCAAAGTGCTGGGATTACAGGCATGAGCCACCACGCCTGGCCAAGTTCTTTTTTTAAAAAGCCACTTGCACCAAGGGGAGAGAAAACCACTGACCGCATGTCAGGAGATGAGGGTCCCAGACAGCTGTACCACCAAATGAATCAGGACCATGGACAGGTCATCTGCCCTTTGGGCCCCTGCCCACTCAGCAGAAAACAATGAATGGACACCTTATGTGTTGGGACAGGGGGTACAGTAGGGAACAAGCAGACATGGACTTGCCTTGTGGAGCTTGTAGCCCAGAGACACTTTCTTCACATGGTAAAAGGGCCAATGTGTTTCAAACGTCCTCCTTATTGTAGAATTCGTTTTTTATACCAAAGCTAACTCATGTACAAAATTCTAGCTTAGGATGGAGTGCAGCCATCCTCTGATTGGAGTGACAGAGGAAGGTTTTGGGCTAAGCCTTCCTCCTAGGTCTCTCTTCTTGACCCCTTGGTACCCACACTTTACATGGGGTCTCCTAGAACTCGAGGGCTCCATGCACCATGGTATACAAACTCAAGTACTTTCCAGGACCAATAACCTGTGACTTACGTGCAGTCTATATGGTAGTGAGTTCTGCCCATGTGGTTTAATACTTCTCAGGAGCAGACAGTACAAAGCTCCCCACTGCTTCTGCCTGAAAGCCTTTTTTTTTTTTTTTTAAATCTCCTGTCCCGAAGGCTTCATTGCGGATCATCTCATGATAAAGGTGTTAGGTGCCTTCAGCATTTGTTCGTACAATAAACGTGAGCTATAGTTCCCAGAAGCTCTTAATTCAGCCTTCTTATTTTAAACATACTCTCATTTTTTGGAGACCATCTCAAATGGTAGGAAGCATGGGGTCCAGGTCAGATATCACACTTGGTGTGGACAGTATTTCATCATGAATGAACAAACAGACCAGCTGGTGGGTCTTGACTTCAGCCTTAGATATTCTGTGCAAGTTTAGTGAAACAGGTTCATGGGCAAAAGCAACCAGTGTGCAGATACTATAAAAATGTAGGATTAATAAGCAGCTATACTTCCATCTTTTTTATTTGTCCTTGTGGCTAGTTCTTTTCCAGATCAGAAGCTTAGGAGGAGCTAGTAAGGATTGCCGATAATCTTAGGCTCTTATAAGATTGTCCCTTTAGATTCTTCACTGTTTTTTTTTTCTCCCACATTGTGACACTGTGATTAAGGGTGTAACAGTAGTTAGCAGTGCAGTGTTGGGTCATGCCTGCTGTCTGCTTCTTCCTCATATAAACTATTGGCCTAGTAAATGCAGATCTTCCTGTTAAGGTAGAAAAAGCATTGAGATTAGCTATTGTAATAGAGTCTGGCAGAAACTGAAAGACAAACTCTAAATGAAGAGAGCTTAACAAAAGGACTATTTACAAAGGTGTGAGGAAGCTCCAAGGTATAGATGGCGCAGCACCTAGGGAATAGCAGCAACTGAGAGCAGTAACTCCTGCAAGGTCTGAAGGGAGAAAAAGAGGGTGCAATTGCTGGAATCCAGAAAGAAAGAGAGTGAGAGAGAAGCCTGATAGGAGGAGCTCTGGCCTTTGGTTGAGAGCTGGAGCCAACACAAGGAAAGGCAGTAGAGAGAAATCCAGAAATCCAGGACAATAAGTAACTTCAGCTTCCCTGTCTTCCCTCCTTCCTGTCAACTGTCAGTTGCATTCCCTATTGGCTGAGTCCAAGAGAAAGCCATGGGATAGGGAACCCATTGATGTTGTCCATACAGATCAGCCCCCTGTGTGGACAGAGTGGGTCAGAGAGCAGGAGCATGTGGAAGAGTAAGGAGATGAGAAGATGCCCAGCATGATTAGACATCAAGGAGGGAATGGGTCTCTAGTGCTGGGGAAGAGCCCTTTGGAAGAGGGTGAATCTGAATGCCGAGTCCACCCGTGGGGCTAGTACTCATGGAGTCAGCCAGGGTAAATAGTAAACAAGAACTAACACCAGTGTGTGCTTTGATTAGCTATTGGGCTATAAAGACTTTCCTGAGTGCTGGATTCAAGTAAAGATTGGTGTTTAGTCAAAGTAGGTGAGGAAGTACTCAAAATGTAAGTGAATGGGTGACTGTGTTCCAATAAAACTTTTTCCCTGTACAGAAACATATTCCCTTGTTTTGGGGGTTAGAATGTGAACATCTTTGGGGACCATTATTCTGCCTCCTACAAGGCCATTCACAAAAGCTGCTTTTGTTCCACTGCAGAGTCTTTTTCTTTAAAAGGGCTAGATAGTAAATATTTAGCCTTTTCATGCCATGTTGTCTTTGTTGCACTACTATTATGGTGCAAAAACAATCACAGACAAAAATCTCTATTTATAAAAATAAATGGTAGGCTAGAATTGGCCCATGGCTGTTGTTTACTGACTTTTCTTCTGTTGGATTCACCAAGCATTGTCTGAGAACTTCTGGTCTGACTGAGCTTTGGGGCTGAAGGATGAATAAGACTTGTTCTTGGTCCAGAAGGGATGTTGGTCACTGCCTGGACAAATGCATGTAAATAGAAGCCCCCAGGGTGACAGGCTTTTGAGGGTGGGAGCCAAGGAGCAGCAGGTGCAGCTCTTAGAGGAAACAGCTTGATCTTCTAAAAGAGGAATTGTCCAGATTACAGCAGAGAATACTGAGAAGCCCCAGCCTGATGATCCAGATTAAAATGATGTCCTAGGTGTCTGAGGTTTGCGGTTTGGCTGTCTGCACCCACCCACTGAACAATTGCATGCTGATTAGGAGCATGAGCTTAACAGGCCTGGGATCAAAAGCTGTGTGACTTAGACAAGTATGTCAGGTTCCTAATCTCTAAAATGGAGACACATGGGGTAGGTAGATGAGATTGTGTGGGTAGCATATTTGTTGAATGGAGGGATGCTCTCTAAAGAACAGCTACCATCGTAATTAGTATTGGAGTTTCCCACAATGCCCTGGGAAGCTGCCCTGCTCCATGTCTGATTTGCTAGCACTCACAAAGAACATACAGCTAATACCTTGCTTGTTAGCAATAACAATGCTATTAATAATAGCAGTACTAGTTGTACTAAAACAAGAGTAGCGGTAATGGTTGCTACCACTTAATTAGCACTATCTATTTGCCAGGAACCATGCTGAGATCTTCACAAGGGTTATCTCACTTACTCTGCTCCACAACAGAGCCCCATTATTTGCCACATTTTAGGAAGGAAGAAAGGAAGCTCAGGGAAGGCAAGTGACTTCCCTGAGATCACACAGGGGCAAAGGTTGGAAGTGGGATTCACACTCATGTCTGTCTAACGTCAATAACCATGCTTCCAAGCCCCTGGCAGCACGAGGATAACACACTCTTTCTTGTGCCTCTTACTAGTGTCCAGACGGCAGTGGATTGTGGCAGCAGCGGCCGAAAAGAGATGTAAGTTAACCCCAGGTAGAACTGAGCAGCTCACAAGGGTGAGCCCCTGGCTCTCTCTGTCCAGTTTGCAGAGGGAACATCCATGTCCACTTGGAGAATTATCAGTGATGCCCATGAGACTAATGCCTTCATGGTCATAACCTATAGCACTAGGAACATCGTATTGAACTGCCCTAGTTCTTTTAGACAGAAAGAAGCCTATGCCTTCTCATGCTACTGTCCTCAGACACCTTCAATGGCTCCCTATTGCCCCAGAACAGACTTTTTACACTGATGTTTGTATTCTGCACATTCAGACCCTTGCCTTCCCCTCCAACTGTGATTTCTGGTTTCCATATTGTTTATGCCCCGACCTTTATGACCTCCGTACCTATGTGTACGTGATTCCTTCCACCCAAAATTCCGTTCTTCAGTCCCTGCGTGGCCAAACCCTAACCTTCAAAGAAGATGTAGCTCAACTTTCACTACTTGATGTCTTTCCTTAGGCCTCCAAGAAGCAAATCAAGGCTCCCTCTTTGAAAGAAAAAATTATTAATGCTTTATAGAGGCACAGAGGGTAGGTTTTATTAGAACCTACCATTACTAATGCTTTATAGAGGGACAGAGAGCAGGTTCTAGTAAAACCTACCCTCTGTCCCTCTATAAAATATTAATAATTTTTAAAAATTTTATTGTTATTTATAGAGATGGGGTCTTGAGGGACAGGGTCAATGTTAAGTTCATGTGGACAAGAACTGGTGCTTGGCATAAATAGAGCGTCCTATTAAAAAACTATATATTATAATATATATACACATACACACATATAAATAATATTAATAAATATACACACATACATATACACACACATATACATAATGTTGAATGAGTATATCAACTTACGTGGTCTCATTGAGGACCTGTGACGACCCCCTCTCTTTCTGTGCCGCTTTCAGAATCAGGGGACATAAAAGTAGAGTCCCTGTTTTAAAGATGATCCAGATAAGGTAAGGAAGGAGTTAAGACCTTCACACTTGATATATTCCTTGAACACATCAAATTCAATGCCAAACTTTACTCCTAAATTGGAGAGACCTCAACATTTGTAGTGGAGTGTGTATCTCCCCAAGGAAGAGTGCCATGATTAATAGCATGGGCATTGGAATAAAAAGGAACAGGGTTTGCATCCCAATTTCATCATTGACTAGCTGGGTGACCTTGGCCAAGACCCAAATTGGCCTCTCCAAATCTCAGTAATTCCATCTGTGTAACTGTGACAGCACTGGCTCCTACCTCTCTGGGATGGCGAGTGAGGTTATGCAGGTATATCACTTAGCACAATGCCTGGCTTATGCTATGGGTGAATATCTAATTATTGCTGTTACTGTGATTGTCATTGTGCTGATGGTGTCCTGCAATCTTATTCTAGGGATAACGTCTCCATCCTCAGCTCCCAGCCAGAGGGCAGCCTGCAGTCCTGGTTGAGCTGTACTCTGTCCCTGGCCACAGATACTATGAGGACTCCTTCTCGACAGTCAGCCACCAGCAGCCGCATCCTCAGCCCCAGGTAAGAGTATCTCCTTGCTGCCTCTGGATGGCTAATAGCTTGAAGAATCTCAGACTTTGAAAGTTGTTGTTCAAGTCTTTCATTGTCTCTGGCATAGGCAAAAACAAGCATGGTCCTGAAAGTCTGGGGTATAACTCTGCCACTTCCTAGCTGTGTGACTTTAGGCAGATCCTTTACCCTCTCTGAGCTTCTACTTCCTCATCTGCAATACATGGAATATAATTTTATTTACTGATCCAAATGGTTGAAGCAATGAGGACCTAATGCAGTCCTCTCCAGAGCATGGTTTTCCAGATTTTTAAATAGCACAGGGTGAACATTTTAAAAAATAGTAATAGTTGTTATAGTTGCCTTCTACTTAAGGCACATCATACTCTTTTTTCCATTTATGGGTAATTACAGGTTCAAAAAATTTTTAATAAACATATTCACTTAAGCTTTTTTAATGGAAAGTCATTATAAAGAAATTGGGCCAGATGATTTATCACCTGGAGATTTTAGCTTTATTCAAATTTTAGCTTTATTTTTAATTTTATAATTTCCTTACCACAGAAAGGGATGAATTCAGGTGTGGCCTGATATGGGAGCCTCACAAATCTACAGAATTGCCAACAACAACCGCCTCCAATAAATGGGCCTTTGGATTCACCCTTAGTTGCACAGTTTCTATCATCCATCTTCCTTCTTGCTTTTCAGCTCCATTTCTCTGAGCTCACTTGGTTTCCCTTTTCAAGGGTGGCCCTCTTGTAATTAGGAGTTAATGGCCATAAGTCAGAAATTATGGATTAAGATATGCATAATTAAGATGAGATGCTCACAGTTTTTGTGAACAGAAGGCCCAATATGATAAGACTGGAAAAATCACAGACTCACGGAGCAAACCCAGACAACCGCTTCCTGACTCAAAACGTGTTTGCTTTGATGCAGGGGTTGTCTTTACAAAAAGAAGGGAGTGGGAGTTTATGCTAAACTTTTGGGCATATTTGGCAAATGGCAAATGTCTGGTGCATGTCTGCAGATAATCTTAGGCTGAAAGACTTGATGTAGAAAATATCAAAGACAGGCTCCAAGAATGGGTTGCTTCTGGGGAGCTAATTAAAGCAAGATTATCTGATTACTGCTCTTAATTAAAAACAAAGGCCTGTATGAAGAAGGGAATTGTGTCCTCTGTGAACTCCAAACTATGAGGACTTTATCTCTTCTGAAAACTAAATACCTTTGCGTTAGCCTGTCTGCCAGTGGCAGCAGGAGAATTGGAGGCAGCCAGAGAAGAATGTGAATGCTCATTAACATAATAACCAAGTTTCATAATTCTAATTATATTAGGGTGGATAATAAGGATCCTAACAGATGAATTGCAGCCTAACCTAAGTTGTTTGGCACCTGTTTGAATGGGAGATGGTAGGGTATTACGGTTTCGGTGCAGGATCTGAAGTCAGAGCTGGATTCCAATTCTTTTTTTTTTTCATTTGCTGTACATGTTTAAGATATAATTGGCAATATCAATATTGCCAAAACAAAAAGTAGGCACTTTTTACATTGTAATGGCCTGTTGAAAAGTTTTAGAATTGTTATTCTATACAGAGATTCATCTTTAATCAGTGTTCTGGCTGCTTCCAAATTCACTGAATTCTCTAGCACTGGATTAGAAAGCATAATCTATAGGAAAACGTATACAATGTATAGTTTTTAAAGTCAACGTTTTTAGAACAACAAGACAAACCAGTACATATAACTTTCAATAAGCATTTATCAAATGCTTACTATGTATGGACCCGGACATAGATTAAAAAATAATATTCCAATTCTTTATTTGCATATCTGCAGCTGTGAGATTTTGGACAAGCTGCTTAACTTCTCTGTTCATGTTTCCTCCCGAGTAAATCATGATTGTTGTCAGGGGTAATGTGGTGATGCACAAGCCACTCTTTACTCAGAGCCTGGCACCTAGAAAGAGCCACAAAAAATTAGCCATTTTTATCAGCAGCAGTAACTATTTGATGCCCGGAGGAATCCCGGGAGATAGACTTCACTGTCTATCTTCATGTTACAGAAGAGAAATCTGAGACTCAGAGAAGGGGGAGCAACTGATCCATGCATAGATGGTCTTACAGCTCCTGCAGTGGCCCCTCAGGCAAGGTGGGTCTTCAGCATCTCCCAGAGAGCCCTATCCAGAGTCTCTTTCCCTTTTCTTTTCCCTTTCCCCTTCCAAGTTCTTGGGCATGTTCAGCTGCTGTTTGGAGTGAAAGTGCTTGCACCAAGAACAGGGAGGGGGCAGGAGGCAAGGGAGATACTTACACATCTGTAAGAAGGGATTTCTTGTCTGTCTTCCTCATGGCCACATCCCCAGGGCTGGCTCACAGTTGGTGCTCAATAAATGTTTGTTGAATGAATAACTGACCAGAGCATCAAGGCTGGAGCAGAAATATTAATTGTATTTGGTCACAGCTCAGCATTGATTGTGGCACAGAGAGGGTTGGTAGTTTACTAATAGCACAAAGTAGGTAAGTGGAAGAGCCAGAATTTGAACCTAGGTTGGAATCCCACCAAAGCCTCTATTTTATTTGCCATGCTACCACAGCTCTCTGACATTCATCCAGGAGGTAGACCACTCACCTGGTAAAGTTTACTGGAAAAATCTGATCTCTGTTTATTAGTACTAAAACTGCCTAAGGATTATTATGCAACCTTCAATGTTCAGCCAAGACAAAGTGCTACTGAGCACCAGATCCTACGACATTAAGCCCTAAAAATTATGAACCCCTTCCTTTGAATATGTTTATAGCTTGAGGACTCAAGGCATTCTGAGTTGCAAAGGACCACCGGGATTATCCAGCCCAACTTGCTCAGTTTATAGATGGGAAAACCTGAGGTCTGCAGAGGGAAATATCTTATCCAAATTTATGGTATGAACTGACACAGAGTACAGGTGTCTTGACTTCTAGCTCTTTTTAATTGCACAAGCAATCTATGAATACTTCTCTCAAAGAACTTAAAATATATCAGAAGGCTGAAATGCCCTTGGCCACCACTGCAGTCTTAAGCTTCCTTCTCAGAAGGATCCATCATCTTCAGTTTGGTGTATATCCTTCTCTATCTTTTTCTATATGTATATATCATAAACATATACATGTACTTGTAGCAAATATATAGCATATTTGTGAGATTTTTAAAAACATAAATTATATAATTACATGTAATGCTTTTCATAAATTTTTACAATATACTTCTTTCCCTCAGCAATACACCTTGGAGATCTTTCCTTACCAGTATGCATAAGTTCATCTCATTCTTTGTAATTCCTGCACAAGCTGCCATGCTTTATTTAACTATAGTGTCTTTATTTCACTTTTAGGTGCTTTCCAGATATTTGATATTAACTTGTCAAGCTTTGAAAAACACACATTCTTATAAACATGGGTAAATGATTCTCTGGATCAAAGGGCATTTGCATTTTAAACTCTAATAGATATGAGTGTCCTTTCTGCTAGGAGACTGTATCATAGTAGAGAACAGGACTCCTATTTATACCCGCTCCCATATTACCTGGTGCATGGGAAGACCCAATAAATGAGCCTCTTGGATATATCCCATTTGACTGAGAAAGAAGGTCACTCTAAAAACAGAAGAGAGGGAGAAAGCAGTCTTCTGCCAACAAAATAAAAGCATTCCCCACATTATTTATAAGGGGACGTCAACTCAAGAGAAATACACCTAAAGCGTTATGATTTACAGCCTAGGAATCATGCTGCTGCCGCTGATAAGTGCAAGCGCTTCTGGAGACGAAGACACTAAATTACCTTTGTGGCCACAGAGAGGGAGTTTATGGGCTGGATGGTGGCAGTCACACTTTGTTCAGGAGTTTCTCTTAACATCTGGCCGCAAGTGGTGCCTGGGCTGTCCAGGGTCTGGCATGCTTACGTCAGTCCCTGCTGCATGCCTGGCCTCTCCTTCTCGCTCTCCTTCCACTGCTCTGTGGATGAGAGTGCGAGGGCAGTGAGGCTCTCCCAACTTCTTCTTACCCTGACAACACATTGGGCTTCCTGAGCAGGGTCTAAGCCTCATTTCTTTCTAGATCCTCACCCCAAGCCCAGTAAAACCCTAGCCATGGTCACTCACCCTGTTCTGCAAGGTCCACATGCTGACAGGCATGACGACCTAGCTGTAGAGACTGCCAAGGTATTGTCATCGGGCAGTCGCTGTTCTCATTTCCTGGGCAATTATTCCAAACCATCCTGACTTCCCTCTGATCTCTCCCCATCACTCTCAGGAGGCAACTCCACTTCTGTTTCATTCAAAGTAAAATAATAATGCCTTTAACTTCTGCTGTGATGTATATGCATTCATCTCTATTTGCCCCCATATTCCCTCTGGTCTCAGAAGATGAGGTCCAGTCCTGCCCTGTCTGAAGCTAATTGGGATCCAGGACTTCTTTCTCCCTAAAACACTCTGATTCATCTAGTGTCACCTCTGTCTCTTGTGTCCTCAACTTTCCTTGTTTCAGTTCTTCCCCCAGAGGTTATAAACAGCTGAGGTCCTCCCCATCCTAACCATGTCCTCATCCATCACCTTGCTGTCCTATTGAGTTACTGTTTTTCCTTCCTTTTGATTCGAGCTTCTCAGACGTGTTGTTAATAGGTACCATCTTCACTTACTCCACATTCATGCCTCAATTTACTACAGCCCAGAGACTGCTCTGCCACTCCATTGAAACCTTTCTCACTGTGTCAGCAGCTTCCAGAGACACAAATCAGGGGACATTCTCTAGTCTTTATATTTTCCTGGACTTTTCCCCACTGTTGAACATTTCATGGAACTCTATCTGCTTGGCCTTGACAAGATTTCTGCTCCTTGGTTCTCCTCAAACTTCTCTTCCCTGGTCTTTGCCTCACGACCTTATCTCCAAATGCCAGGGTTCACAGGTTACTGCCCTCACTTGGCTGATTCTCTCTCCACCTGATAGCTGGCAATTCTCCTTTTGTGATTTTGGCTCTGCAGCTTTCAGCAGGTGACCCCCAAATACAGATGAACGTCTTTATATTCTCCCAAGTTTTAAATTTATGTATGTTATCTTATTGTCTATACTGATCACCAACCAGGTATCTCCCTGATGTTTTAACTCAGCATGTCCAAGAGGAAACTCATCCTGCCCCACCAGCCCTGTGTTATCAGGATCATTGAGTGGTTCTGTTATTCATAAAGCACCACGTTGGAGCCCTTGTTATCTTAGGTTATCATTCCCCTCTCTCATCCCCATATTCAACGAATCCGTAAGTCTTGTATTCTACCCCCCACCCAAACAAATACTCTTTCTGCTTCTCTCCATCCCCCACTGCCAACACCTTTAAGTCAAGCTACCATAATTGTGCTCCTAGACTCTGGCAAAGACCTTTCAACTCCACCCTCCTTTAGTCCATCCTCTATACTTTAGCCAGTTTGATTCCTCTAAAAGGAAAATCTGGTTTCAGTGGCTCCTCATTGCCTACAGCAGGGGTCCCAGAGTGCAGGTTGAGGGCAGAAGCATGTGGTGGGCTCAGAGAGTTCAACAGGGCCTGACCAGCGGGCCTGGAAAACATACTTCAAGAAAGTAAAGGGTAGATCTGTTTTCTAATACAACCTCTCCTTTACTAGTTCCTGACTATGAGCAAGTTACAGTCTCCGAGTCTCAGCCCCTCCACCGTTAAATAGACTTTAATAATATTCCCTTTGCAGAGCTGAAGAATTAACAACTGTAGCAAATTAGCACTCTAGAGTGCTCATTGGAAGGCCTGCCACCAAGTTGGTGTTTAATAAGCAGAAACTCCCTTCCATCCTCTGTCCTTCATCCCAGAGCAGGCCAGGTAATGCTGCTGTGCCAAAGGCATGGATGCTGACAGGCAGGACCAGGGAAAACTAGGACTGGGTGCTCCACATACCAGAGATTGCAGAAGTGGGCTAAACTCACAGCAGAAAACCATGAGCACAACAGAAAACCTCTTGGCAGTGAAAGTGGAGTTTTGGTGAGCTCAGTTTTAAATATGTTAAACTTCGTGTGTTTGGGGACATCCAAAGAGAATTGTCCAGAAGCTTTTTAAACTCTGACCTGGAGCCCTAAGGAGATACCAAGAAACCTCTGCGTAATGTTAGGATTCTTATGAGTGTAGATGACATAAAACCCATCAACCTGGCCAGAGTAAGAAGGAGCATTTATTGTTTCCTGTAGCTGGGAAACCAAAAAGGAAAATCTAGCTTCAGGCATTACTAGATCCAGGAATTCAAAAATGATCATGGGGATTTGGTTCCCCACCAACCTCTCTGCTCTGCTGTCTTCTATGTTGGTTTCCTTCTGGGGCAACAAGATGGCGGCTAACAGCTCCAAACTCATGCCTGCACCATTCTGAGTCCAGTAGTAAAGAGAATTTCTCTCTTCTTCACAGTTTTCACAAAAAATGCAAGCCTGAGTGAGCCTGAACCAGTCAGAATGGACAAGGGGACTGAAGGAGCCTCTTACCTTTGGCCTAAGTCAGTCTTCTCACCTGGCTCTTGGAAATTCCCACCAAACCATGAGAACATGAAGGGAGGAGGGGTTCCCCAAAGGACAATGAAGGGCCTTACCTGAAGCAGGAGAATGAGGACTTGGTAGATGAAAACTATAAGCATAGAAAATGTTTTCCACCAAGGGGGAAGCTGAATGAACTACAGGAATGGGCAAGACTATGAAGAGAAAGAATGGTGGGGAGGAAGGAAACTTATTAAAGTGTTTGGGGTCCCCATTCAGTAACCTTGGGAAATCTAACTAAAATGGTGTCTCCTGATCAGAGACTTTATTTATCCCTAAATTTCAATGGCCAATCTATCATCACATAATTAGTGATGCTGTGCTTTGAATTTATTACCAAGCCTGGCTTTCTGCTGTTGCTATTGGACTTGTACCATATTGCAATGTGAGCATGGAGATTATTGTATAAATTATTCTCACTCACATAATCATCGTGATTTTAATTACTGTGTAATCTTTGCTAATTACTGTTGTATGTATCATTTGCTTTGGTGCCGATTTAACACAACTGCTTTTCGTTTGGCTAAAAGATGGCATTACAACTTTTCCTTTTTGCAGGAGAAAATTTGCTTTCTGTAAACATTTGCAGCCCCAAACTCTTGGCTTGCAGTTCTTGGTTTAAAAGGAAAGATCCAGACCCTACCACCAGCCCTGTTTGTTTTTATTTGGGATAAGGCTGGCTTGAATAAGTAAAAAGGTCTAAATTACACAGTATTGTCTTTAAAAAAACAGTTGCGTTACTTTCAAAGAAGGGCAATTACTCTACTACAGACAGGAAGCCAAAGATGGGTCATGTGAGGGCTGCTTAAATGATGAGATAAGACTCGTTTGTAATTAGTTCATTAATTATGGATATGTGAATAAATGGTACTTAGCTTTAAAAAACAGCTCGTTCCCAAAGTGGGGTAAGCATCTGATGCTAATCTTATTTCAATAGTACATTTATTTACTGGTCTCGGCATTCTTAGAAATGGAGCTCAGGATAATTTTAATCCATCCTGGAAATACTTAATGAAAGGGCCTCTCATGAATATGGTTTTATGTCTTCCTAGGACATAAGGAGTCTTTTTAGTTTTATCAGTATTAGGAAGATTAGTGGAAAAGATTTTGAAACTGAATGCACAGAAATATTAAATGCAAACACATTAACCATGGACCAAAGGCCTGAGCAAGTGAAAACAGGTGAAGTCTGAATGTAGACACAGGATTTATCCTTAGGACCCAAATCCCTCTCAGACAGGTATTTATAGGAAGGAAGGCTGTTTCCTGTCTAGAACTCGAGGTCTTGGATGGTAGGTCTATGGACCTTTTAGAAAATTTGAGGTTCACCTAAGCTGCAAGTTTGTAGAAAACTATTTGGATACATCGTTGATGGTTCAGAACATTCTTTTAAAATCTGTGGTTCTCTGATTAAGCTAAGGTTTTGTTACGCAAATTTACCATTGAAATATATATACAGGAAAGTGGATCTTGAGGAAATTTTCAAAAAATTGATCATACCTAATTAATTTGTAATTACTAACAAAATCAAGACTGGACCATTACAGTGCCCCTACAACTTCCTTGTGCCCATTCAAGCCACCACCTCCTCCTTCCTCAAAGAAACCCACCATCCTGACTTCTAACACTGTATATTAGATATGCCCCTTTTTGAACTGTGTAAATGGAAGCATCCAGTATGTCCTCTTTTGTGTCTGGCCTCTTTCTTTCGATATTTTTTCAAGATGCATCTACACTGTTGCATGTAGCAGTAATTCATTTATTTTCATTGCTCTATAGTCTATGTCAGTGGTTCTCAACTGGAGGCACTTCTGCACCACTACCCATCTCAACAGGGGACAGCTGGCAATGTCTGGAGACATTTTTGGCTGTCATGCTACTGGCATCCAATGGGTAGAGTTCAGCGATGCTGCCAAATGTCTTACAATGCACAGGACAGGCCACATAGAATTATCGGGTCCAAAATGGCAATTATACCACCACTGAGAAACCACAGTCAATAATATGCCATTGTGTGAACATAGAGTAATAATTAATTTATTCTATTATTAATAGACAATTAGGTTGTTTATGGTTTCCCATGATTATGAATAGTATTACTGTGAACAATCTTGTACACATCTTTTGTTGCATGAATATACAGATTTCTGTCGGGCGTATACTCAGCAGTAGAATTGCTAGGTGTGTTTTCAGCTTTGGTAAATACTGTCAAAACAGTCATTCCAATTTATGTAACCATAAGCAGTGAATGAATGTTCTGGTTGCTCTAAATCCTTGCCAACGCCTGGTTTTGTTATTTAAAAAATTAGCTATTCTAATAGGTGTTAGTAGTTTCAAATTTTCATCTTCACTCACATTTCCCTGGTAAATAAACCTTTTTATATGCTTATATCTTCATTCGAATATCCTCTTTAATGAAGTGTCTGAGAAAGTCTTTTGTCCATTATTTTTATTCTTCTTTGGTTATCCATCTCTTTTGTATTGATCTGTAGTTCTTTATGTATTCTAAATGCATGCCCTTTATAAGGTATGTGGGTTTTCTTCCACTCAGTCACTTACCTTTTTCACTCTCTTAATGGTTTATTTTTATAAGAAAAGTTCTTAATTTTAATGTAACCCAGTTTATAATGTTTTCCTTTATGGTTGGTGCTCTTTATATACTGTTGAAAAATTATTTGCCTACTTTGAAATCATGCAGTATTTTCTTATTTTTTGTAGACATTGTATTGATTTACCTTTTATATCTAGATACACAATGCATCATGAATTGATACTTATTTGTGATGTGAGGTAGGGCTCATTGTGGTGTGAGGTAGGGCTCACTCTTTTCCATATAGATATTGAGTTGGTCTAGCACATATATTTTAGAGAAATGATACTGTCCACATTACACAACAGTATAAATTTGTCATAAATCAAGTGATCTTATGTATATACGTCTGTCTATTCTATTTCACTTTTCTATGTGTCCATCCTTGAACCAATATAGCATTGGAAGTATAAGTTCTCCATATTAATTATTCTTTCAGGTCAGCAAATGACTCTCAGGGAAAGTGCCACATCATACTGTATTCACCTTCAGTGTATTTCCCTCTTTGCAGGATTTGGCCTTTTGAGTCCTGGCTGCTTTGATGGCTTCCCACTGTCCTTAAATTTGAATTCTACTTTTCTGGCTTTCCAAGTAGCTCTGGTGCAAGCTATTACATCTGGAAGCTGAGTGCTGAGCTAGGCTTTTATTCTCTTACATAAATAAACATTTTTTTTTCCAATGTACACTTCCACCAACAGTGTATAAGCATTCGTTTTTCTCTGCAACCTCACCAGCACCTGTCTTTTTTTGACTTTTAAATAATAGCCATTCTAACTGGTGTGAGTTGGTATCTCATTGTGGTTTTGCTTTGCATTTCTAATGATCAGTGATGTTGAGCTTCTTTACATATGCTTGTTGGTCACATGTATGCCTTCTTTTTAAAAGTGTCTGTGCATGTCCTTTGCTCACTTTTTAATGGGTTTTTTTTTTCTTGTACATTTGTTTAAGTTCCTTATGGATGCTGGATATTAGACCTTTGTCACATGCATAGTTTGCAAATATTTTCTCCCATTCTGTAGGTTGTCTCTTCACCCTGTTGATAAGTCTCTTTTGCTGTACAGCAGCTCTTTAGTTTAATTTGATCCCATTTGTCAATTTTTGCTTTGGTTGCAATTGCTTTTGGCATCTTCATCATGAAATCTTTGCCCATTCCTGTGTCCAGAATGGTATTGCCTAGGTTGTCTTCCAGAGTTTTTATAGTTTTGGCTTTTACATTTAAGTATTTAATCCATCTTGACTATTGTAGAAAACAGCATGGTGATTCCTTAGAGACCAAAAGCAGAAAAACCATTTGACCCAGCAATCCCATTACTGGGTATATACCCAAAGGAATATAAATTGTTTTACCGTAAAGACACATGCATATATATGGTTCATCACAACACCATTCACAATAGCAAAGACATGGAATCAACTTAAATGCCCATCAATGGTAGACTGGATAAAGAAAATGTGGTACATATATGCTATGGAATACTATGCAGCCATAAAAAAGAATGAGATCATGTCCTTTGCAGGGACATGAATGGAGCTGGAGGCCATTATCCGTAGCAAACTAATACAGGAACAGAAAACCAAATACCACATCATCTCACTTATAAGTGGGAGCTAAATTATGAAAGCACATGGACACATAGAGGGGAACAACACACACTGGGGCCTATCAGAAGGTGGAGGGTGGGAGGAGGGAGAGGATCAGAAAAAATAACTAGTGAGTACTAGACATAATTCCTGGGTGATGAAATAAACTGTACAACAAACCCCTGTGACATGAGTTTACCTATATAACAAACCTGCACATGTACCCCTGAACTTAAAAGTTTTTTTTCTTACTTTCTACACCTAGGGAAACACGAACTTTCACTTATATTTTCTTCCAGTCCTAACTTAGTGCATCTACCACCCCCTCTAGAATGTAAGTTACTTGAAGACAATCACTATTCATCTCTATATTGACAGCATCTGTCTTCATGACACTCAATAAATGATTCAGGATGGACGCAAGGAAATATTAATGGATGCATAATTTCCATTCAGTTAAAGCTGCATCTTCATGGGGAACTGGGTGCTTTTATGAATGAGTCTGAGATTTTCTGTCACTATTGCCATTTCACCATACTCTGGTGAGACAATGTCTCTGCATGGAAAGTGAAGGGATGCATTAAATTCACTTAAATATGTTGAATCCAAATTGAATCTACAAGCCAAGTAGATTTTAATTACTCTACAAATCTAGAATTGTGTTCTTCAAAACATTGTGAAAATTGTAGCAGAAGGTAAAAGACTCGAGTTGTAGAGCCAGTACTTGCACCATCTCATCAGAGTGTGACTTGGGAAGTTCTATTCCCTTCTCTGTTTTCCTAGGTGTAGAATGAGGGGTTCAAACCAGATGAGGCCCACACCTCCCTCTCAATTTGATATCCTAGAAATTGATCACATCCTGTAGAAATGAAACAAGGCTCTTGGCTTGGTGTTAGAAATATGGAGAACTCACTTTAGATTGTGTACTGGAAGTGGGTTTTGAATCTTGTTTTTCAGCCAGGAGAAGTGGATGTGACTGACCAGTGAGTGGGGATACTGGGTTCTGAATTATTCAGCCCAGGTGAGGCAGCCCTTTGCACATTCTTTCTGCAGTTCCACAATCCCCCATCTTTCTGTTCCTCCATTCCTTCATTCTTTCCATTCTACAAGCTTTCTTTGAGGCAGTCCTGATGCTGGGGATTCATAGAAGAAAGACATGGTCTACTCCAGAAACTCCAGTATCTCCCAGTCTTGCTGGGAGATACAAATAAGTAAATAGACAACCACAGTACAGAGGGGGACACAGGAGGCTGTGGGAGCCAGGAGAGGCCCCAGCCCAGGCCAGAGGGCGGAAAGGCTTCCTGGGGGAAGCTACAGTTGGGCTGAACATTAAAGGGTGAGTGAAAATGTTTGTTTGTGTGTTTTTTCTTTAAATATAGAATAATGGTTTATGAGAATCACCTGCAGAGTGTCAGTTCCTTCCTCTCTGACTCCCTCCTAACTCTTTTTTATTAGGCTAATTTCCTTCCTTCCTTCCTTCCTTCCTTCCTTCCTTCCTTCCTTCCTTCCTCTCTGTGCCTCTCCCTCCCTCCCTCACTCACTCACTCCCTTCCTTCCTTCTTTCCTCCCTTCCACTCCCTCCCTCCCTCCTTCTTTCCTTCCCTTGCTCCTTCCTTCCTTCCTTTTTCTTTCTTCCTTCTTTTTTTAAATTTGTTAACAAAAGAGGACACTATCAACTCGTAGCTTCTACTTTGATAGTTGTTAGAATTTTCCACATTGACTTTATTTCTGTCTTTAGCTCCTCCTCTACATCTATGTTTAAACACATTTTCCTTCTTCCTTCCTTCCTTCCTTCCTCCCTTCCTTCCTCCCTCCCCTCCTCCTTCCTCCTCTCCCTTCTCTTTTCCTTTCCTTCCCCTTATGAAAACAAGTTGACAACATCACAACAGCTCTCCTTAAATAGTTTCGCATCTTTCTTCTAAGAAGGACATTTTCTAACGTATCAGTATCGCACTTAGGAAAATTAACAAATCCATAACATTATCTAAGATCTCAACTTTTATGTTACCCAATTATCCTAAAACTGTCCTGTATCACTGTATTTTTATATTATCCCCTTATGTATTTATTTTTCAAATTTAATTTTTAAAAGCAGTGGGTACATGTGCAGGTGTGCTACAAAGATATATTGCATGATGCTAAGATTCAAAGAATGATTCTATTAAAGAATGATACTCATTATATTTGATTATGCTTCTTTAGTCTCTTTTAAGAAAAATAATAGACTTTTTAGTTTTAAGCTGTTTTAGGTTTTCACAAAAAGAGCAGAAAGCATAGAGAGCTCCCATATATCCTTTTTCCCTGTTCTGTTTTTCTTATTATTAACATCTTGCATTACTCCTCCATCTCTTTTAAATGAGAACGATCCCCTTATCACCACCCAGCTCCAATTTTACTGTTTTGTTTTTTTTTTTTTTTTTTTTTTTGCGGGGGCAGGGGGTGTAGAGTTCCAGGGGTGACTTGAATGGGCAACTCTATGCAAAAATCACTGACCTTAGTCCCTGGTAGCCAGTAAGAATGTGTAGGTGAAGTCAAGGCAAATTCTGCTGAGTCACATAAGGCATGCAGGCAGGTGTCCACTCAGGGCAGCTCGATGGATTGGTTTGTAAAATTGTCAAAGACTCGGCCCCGACCTTAAGCATCAGAGAGAACAGCAAGCAAGCCTTGAGAGCGACCTTGTCTCATAAAAACTGCCATATTGTAAGGAATGTAGGATATTCACTGTGTCTGTTTCCTGACTCTATTCCCCATGTCAGGAGTGGCCAGGCATGGGGACAGCATGGGGACAGATTGCTGCTAATGTCACCTCCTCCTCACTTCCCTGCTCCCTTGGCTATCCTTCCCCCAAACCCCAGCACCCTCCTTGCTTTGAACTTCCCTCTCAGCTAGGGGTGGGGGAGCTTCCTAAGCCTCAGTTTTCTTGCCTGTGCAATTTAGGTATCAGCCCTTGCTGGTCAAGGGTTTTGCAGATTGAATAAGCTAAGAATCAATAGGAGGAATCTTCTGCTTTTGCTTGGAGTGTCTTTCTTGAGCCATCGCCGCCATTGAAATCCTACCCTTCTTCCAAAGCCTGACTCAACCCACCTCGTCAAGAAAGGCTGTGCATGGCCAGGCGTGGTTGCTCACGCCCATAATCCTAGCACTTTGGGAGGCTGAGGTGGGTGGATTACTTGGGGTCAGGAGTTGGAGACCAGCCTGGCCAACATGGTGAAACCCCATCTCTACTAAAAATACAAAAATTAGCTGGATGTGGTGGTGGCGAGCACCTGTAATCCCAGCTGCTTGGGAGGCTGAGGCAGGAGAATTGCTTGAACCTGGGAGGTAGAGGTTGCAGTGAGCCGAGATTGTGCCATTGCACTCCAGCCTGGGTGACAAGAATGAAACTCCATCTCAAAAAAAAGAAAGGAACGCTGTGCACCCAGGCACCAGTATTGACTGCTGTCTCCCTTGCCAATCTCTTGCTGCATTTATAGTCTGTGCTTCACAGTTTCTCTGGAATTTCTTGCATTGCTGACCCTTCTCCATGGTTTTTTTCCAGACTCAACACCTACACTGCTCTCCCCAGGAGGGGAGGGCAGCCCATCTTCTGCTGCTATGTGCTGAAAACATTATAGGTAGACAGACCAGCATGGGAGTCTCAGCTCTGCTCCTTCTCAGCAAGCCCATTTGCCTGTCTTAGCCTCAGCTTCCTCATTTATAAAATGGGACGATAAAGGGCAGTAGAGCAGAGCAGTTGGGAGCCATGGGCCTGGGGTAGGACTCCTTGGTTTAAATCCATGTTCTCCCACTTATTACATGACAAATTACTGATTCTTTCTGAGCCTCAGTTCTGACTTGGGAAGATTGCAATATCTGCTTTAGAGGACTGTTGTGAGCGTAAACTTGAGTAAAGTCTGCAAAGCCTAAAGGCATAATACATGATAACTCTAATGATGTGCTATTTACCTGCACACCACAGTGGCTTAGTAAGTGCCTCCCATTCCCTGCATAATGCATAGTCCTGGGTGCCATGTCAACTTTTGTTACAGACTCTCTGTTGTTATTTTGGACTCAGTTACCAAATATTCAGGTCATCTTCAAAGAGCATCTGGTTTCCCATCTCAGGCCTCACCAGTATTAAAGAACATCAATATGTTTTTAATTTCCTCTTTAATTTCAGGGAGTGGATGAAGAACGGGGGGTGACAGCACGCTTTGGGGGATGATTCACGGTGTCATTAAATCTGCATTGAGTTTCCTGTAGCTACAATTGGCCCAGGCTATGACCACACTCAGTCCTGGGAATTATGTTTTGTTTGTTTTGCTGTGTGATTAAGTCTAATAACAGTAAATCCAGCATCTCCTTGACTTGGACTTTCTTGGTTCATTACATCGCAGTGGATCTTGAAAAATATGTATGTGTAGATGTAAGTTCAACTGGTTGAGTTTCCCGTCAGCCTTCTGCCCAGTAGGTGTGTGATGTAGTGGAAGAAGAAGAATGGGATTCAGATCTGGCCCACCAGGGTTCAAATGCAGGCCCTGCCACTTAGCAGTATGGCCTTGAGCAAATGTTTTCTCACCACTGAGCCTCAGTTTCCTCATTTGCAAGATGGGATGATGCCTCTGATTTTGATGCGGTGATGCTTCTTAGCTTGATGAGATGCTGCATACGATACATGCAGATATAGGTGCCTCCTTCTTTGTTCTTCACCGATTTTCATGGAGCATCTGCTTCTGTGGCTGACACTAGAGATAAAATGATGGGGCCCCATTCATAAGATAATCTGAAAGGGGAAGGGGTATGGTCCAAGCAGGAGACACTGTCTCAGACACTAGCTCGTTCTGAGGCTGAACCAACCACTTCAGTCTCCACTTCCCTTCTCTGTGCTGTTCACAGTAGGCTCATACATAGGAATTGTTTACTCTTGAACATCTGTCCTCAATCTGGGGACTTCTCTAGCACTGATGAAAGAGGTCATTAAAAGCAATCAGACAAGGGTTAAGATTTTAAAATTTATGTTATACTGTTATGTCAAAGGATTAACTTTGAGATAAATAAGTCATGTATGGAAGTTTAACTGTAGTGTCTTTTGCCTCATTGGTAGTACTGGGGGTAATGGAGGTAGAAGTGGCTTCCACTCTTAAATACTGAATATGCATATGGCATGCATCATCTCTCATTTCTAACAAGACCCTGGGACCTAGGGCAGTGTCATTCTCACTCTTACACCTGTGCAAGTTCAGGCTTCAAAAGATAACTGGGGGCCCGGGCACCGTGACTCACGCCTGTAATCCCAACAGTTTGGGAGGCCAAGGTGGGTGGATCACTTGAGGTCAGGAGTTGGAGACCATCCTGACCAACATGGTGAAACCCTATCTCTACTAAAAATACAAAAATTAGCCTGGCATGGTGGTGTGCACCTGTAATCCCAGCTACTCGGGAGGCGGAGGCAAGAGAATCACTCGAACCCTGGAGGCAGAGTTTGCAGTGAGCCATGATCGTGCCACTGCTCTCCAGCCTGGGTGATAGAGCAAGACTCCGTCTCAAAAAATAAAGAAAAGAAAAAATACCTGGCTTGGAATAGACAGAGCTGGGATTTGAACTCAGGTCTCTCTGCATCTGAAGCTCTTTTTTTGCTTTTAGCCTTGCAGGTTAGAAAGAGTGGCAATTTCAGTATTCCTGAGTTTTCATGTCCTAGTTTACCTAATAAACTTCTATAACTTGAAGCAACCCATACTTACAGCATTTTCATATAAATACCCTTATTCATCAGTTCATTTAATCAGTCCAGTATTTATTGGAACCTAGTATGTGACAAGCACTGGAGCATGATTCATAACTTGAACATACATTTTATTGAGCACCTACTATGTGCCTGAGGACTGGCAATTCACTCATGTATCCAACACATGTTTATGGAGCACCTACAATGTGTTAGGGCCCTGGTGCTTCCCTCACTCACTCAACACAAATTCATTGAGCACCTACTGTGTCCTAAGACATTATTCTATAGACACTGGTAGCAGTGAATACAATAGATAAAAATCCTGCCCTCATGGAGTTCTTATCTCCACAGCATTGCAAGGCCAATCTAGTTTCCCTCATTTTTCAGCTAAGGAAGCTGAGGGTTAGAGAAGTTAGGCAATGGTCCCCAGGTCACATGGCTAGTGAGTGGTGAAACCAGACTTGGTTGCCAGCTGTGTGTGCTTGCAGAGGTTACTCAGCCTCTCTGTGCCTGGAGGTCATAATCCCTATCTCTCAGGGTGGCTATGAGGGTAGGAGCCATCCGTTTGCTCTCTCCTATATTCCTGGTATCCAGCACAGCACCTGGCGCACAGTAGGTATCTAGTCAGGGGTAGCTGTTGTGACCAATGACTATTTCATCCACTAAGTTATAGAACCAGCCCCGGCATCTTTGTGGCTGGATGCTTATCCTCTGGCTCTTTCCCATAGCAGGTATACCAGAAGGATATTCCTTTTTGGACAGACTACAGGGTGGGCAGAAGAAGTCTCCAAGGCTTTTCTGGAGCCTCTCCTTGAAGAGTAACAGTGCCCCTGCCTATCCTGCCTCATAGTGACTCTGAGAGCCTTCTATACGTCATCCCTCTCCCTGGCCCAGGCTCTGGGAAGCAGGCACGGTAACATGTTGATTATCTGACATCCCTCCATCATGATGATGGAGAGTTCCATCTGAGCCACACCGACCTGGTCCTGTGAGGACAGCTAGAAAAAAAAAAAAAAGACTCTTACTGGTCCCCGGATGAAGTCAGACAGGATGTGTTTGAAGTGTCCAGTGCTGGGACAGGAATGGGGATGATCATCCAGCCTCACTCAGCAGAACTTGGGATCCTTATCCCAAAGCCTACAAAACGGCATCTGAATTCAGATTAAATTCTTCAGTCTCTATACAGAAAGAAGTGGATGCAAGGAACTTTATACCTTGAGAGGTGGTGCAGACAGGAAGTAGAAAAAGCACTTGCAGAGATGTAGGTGGATTTCTGCATGGGAAAGCCAGGAAGAAGCACTTGGCCGTGCTTCTTGCCCTCTCTTCCTTGTCTCTCCTCACTCGACCCCTACTGCTCCTCTCCAGCCCCCTAGGAGTCTACACTACGTGGCTTGTATTCCTGTTTTAAGCTCACCAGCTGAGGTTTCAAAGGCACCAGACCATTTCAGAAAGGTAGGACTCAGCTCACTCCAATCTCAAGACATTAGACCCCATGACAGCCAGGCTAGGCCTGAGTGGCTGTGCTGGGACATCTTGGCTTCCATGCCTTGTAGAAGGCATTGCTCCTCAAGGGCCCCAGGGAAGGCGAGTGGATCTTGCCCTGTGCCAGCATAGCTGGGAACCTTCCTGGCTTGGGCCCAGCAAACCTATGGCCTCTGTACCTGATTGCCAGCACTCACAGACTGTGACCTCCAGATCCCCATTTCTGGGCAGCTGGCTACTTCGCCATGGACCCCAGCCTATCTCGCCTTTTTGTTAAAGCCAAGATGGCAGATCCTTAGTTGCCGGCCTGAAAGGCCTCTGTTTCCCCTCTCTCCTTCTTGCGTTTGCCTAAGTCTCCTTCCTTCTTCTCCATCACCACCGCCCTTCTGGGTCTCCTTCCTCTTTCTCTCCATCTCATTTCAACTTCTTTCCTGTTTAAACTGCCTCCTCTTCTTTCATGCTCTAGCCTTCCTTCTCTTCTTCCCACATTTCTTTGTCCTCCCTCCACTTTTCTTATCCTGACTACCTCTTCTTTCTCATCTACCTTGATTGAATTCGACAGCATTTGCTGAGCATCTACTACATACTGGGCTCAGTGCCAGTTCCGGAGGTGCAGAAATGAGAGTCAGCAAGACACTGTCAGTTCAGACTTGTGGTCTGTGATTCTCCTTCCTCCTACTTTTATGCCTTTTTTCCCCCCTATGTTTTTGGCTCATCTTCCTCCTCCCTCCTCCTCCTCCTCCTCTACCTCCTCCCTCCTCCTCCCTCCTCCTCTTCCTCCTCCTGGGACTTCTTCACCCTCCGTTTTCATGCCCTGCCCTGGTGTCCGCAGCCAGCAGTGGCAGTGGGAGCTAGGGTGAGCAGGATGGCAGAGTCCCGGGAGATTCAGTGACAGGAGCCCTCAATGTTGCCCTCCTCAGGTGGCAGGCGGTGGATGAGACAGAGCATCCAAGACACTCATTCATCACACCCGCCTCCTTTCAGGGCCAGGACAGGATGGAAATGACTTTTGTCAGTTCTGCGGCAGCCCACTGCCCCTGGCAGCTCCAAGCTGTTTATTAATAAAAAGTAAGGAAGAAAAAAAATACAGGCGTGTGAATGCCATCTTGCTGTGTATTCGAGGAGGGATTCCAAAGCAATGAAGTTGACAAATATACCTTCAGGGAATCACAAAAGAGCCCTCCATCTCCTCTTCCAGCCCATGTCCAGCTATGTTGGGAACAGACAAGAAATAGGAAAGGAGGGAGCTGCTCTGGGCAAACGTGTGGCTTTTGTTTTAGCACATAGGAACCAACCTTTCTTCTTACGGTGAGACAGAAGGTCACTTGCCCATTCATTCTTCTATGCATCCCTCTTTGAACTTCAATTGAGGCTTTTATTGAGTCCAGTGTGGGGTTGGGTTCTGGAGATTCAGAAATTAAATAGTAGTAATATTGATTGCCTTTAATTATTAATGATTAATAACCATTTATTATTGGTTATAAATTATTCATCATAACCACTAACCATTATTTGGGTAATTAGGTGCCAGAGACAGTATCAAGGGTGTTTCTTTCACTGTCCCAGCTGCCCCAGGAGGAAGGCACCATGACTAGGGGTCGGGGAGTAGAAGGAGTACTCCGGGTAGAACCACTCCTGCAAGACCCAGAAGCAGGGAGGGCTTGGCCTATCCCAGGAGACCAGCGTCCTGGAGCAGCATGAGCAAGAGGGCAGGAATAGCAAGCCTGATCACACAGGAGAAGGATTGAGGGTGATGGTCAGAGAGAGAAAGGAGGTAGCTCCTCCACATTGCCACCTTGACACCCAGGTCTTACCGTCACCAGACCGCTGCTGTAACCCTCCTCCACCCATCTGACATAGGGAGTAAGGAGAGGCAGATGATCACAGCCAGCTCTATGTCTTGTCCTCATGAAGCCCTTTAGCCGGGCCCATCATTGCCATGGCGATCTCACACAGGCCCCCAGCCTGGGGAGCTCCTGCCAGACCTGGAGGAGATAGGTTTGTGGGATCACTGAAGCTCTGTCCTCAGGGGCGCTCAGGAAGGCAGGGTCTAGGTGCCTGTCTCAGTCTCTTCTGGCTGCTATAACAAGAACACCATAGACTGGGTGGCTTATAAACAACAGAAATGTATTTCTCATAGTTCTAGAGGCTGGGAAATCTAAGATCAAGGTGCTGGCAGTTACATTTGTTGTCTGATTCATAGATTGCCATCTCACTGTGTCATCACACAGTGGAAGGGGTGAGGGAGCCCTCTGGGGCCTCTTTTATAAGGGCACTAATCTCATTTACAAGGGCTCCACCCTGGTGACCTAATCACCTCCCAAAAGCCCCACCTCCTAATATCATCATATTGAGGATTAGGTGTCAACATATTAATTTTCGGGGGAGACAAACATTGAATCTATTTCAGCCCCCACCTATTTCCCTGGGAAAGACACTGCTCTCCTACCCCAGCCATTCCCTCCCGTGCCTTCCATGGCCATCACCTCAAGGGAGCTTTGGGTTGGCTTCCTTCCCAGATTCAAAAGCCCATTGGGTCACTGTGGTCAGTTCTATTTCTCCTAAACTGTCCTGTGTGATCAGGAGTGGAAGTGGTGTTACCCAACTGGGTAAGCAAGAAGTCTTCCTCAAAGTCTTGTAGCAGAATCTCAGTCACCCTTTATACATAGAGTTCTGAATCCTACAATCGTCCTGATTGTTACAGTTCCAGCAACAAAGCACTCAGAGGCAGGGACCCCATGATTGGAAACCCGCGTGTGCATCGCCCTCAGCATCTCTTCAGGCCTGAGCCCACAGTGGCTTTATCTGCAGTGCCAACACTCTGACATTTGGCAACTTTTTTACTTTTTTAAAAAATAAATTATAACTTTGGTGAGGGGAGGGAATGGGGTCGTTTCTCTTAGAGAGAGGACAAATAGATTTTATTTATTAAAGGAAAGGTTGATGGACTCCAGTCTCTCTCCTTTGAATGATGCCATTTATTTTACAGTCTATAATTTGGTCCCACTGTGAGCCTCCTACTTTTCAGAGGCAAAGTGTTTTTGGCGCTGCTGCCACAAACTCCCTCTGCATAAAAACCACGTCTGGTGTAGTCCCAGAATAGAAACCGTCTGTCCTCTTGTGTATAGTCTTGGTTTTAAGTTGATTTCATGTGAATCTTTCCCTTTTGGGGGAAAAAGATTTTACCTACACCGTCACCCCATGAAACAATCAGGGATGTCATGGGGTATCCCGTGGAGACACATATTTGGGTCTTGACTCTCAGAAGCCCCACTTGGTGGGACTGTCCTCTAGGCTTGGCCCCAAATAAACAAACAGCCCACTGCATGTCCCCTTCCGGTCTTGAAGAAGCAAACTACTTATTTCACAGTAAGCTCTGGGATGATAGGTCCTATCATGTCAGATATGATGCCTCATAAATCTAATTCATCCGTCCTAGCTGCAGTTTTAATCTACTCAAATGTACTTAGCTGGGTTTAATTATAGATAGAAATTGCATTCGGAAAGCAACAAGAAATCATTTACATGGCTTGAATTTGCACATTAAATCATATGGTTCATTTGAGAGTGCGGTAGGGATGGTATTTCCAAAGAAAAATAATATTAGTGCCTGTGCTTAGGGGCTCTCACACCGATTGCACAAATTGTATGAATTGCACAATTTCTACAGACTGCATTTTTCTTCTTGGCACAGGATAAACGAAGAGGCTGGGGACACTGAGAGGACCCAGTCGGCATTGGCACTGAGCAGAGCCCGGTCCACCAATGTCCACAGCAAGACCTCAGGAGACAAGCCTGTTTCTCCCCACTTTGTCCGCCGGCAAAAGTACTGTCATTTTGGGGACGGCGAAGTGCTTGCCGTCCAGAGAAAGTCCACAGAGAGATTAGAACCTGCTTCCTCTCCCCTGGCTTCTCGGAGTACAAATACATCCCCGCTGTCGAGGGAAAAGCTGCCCAGTCCTTCAGCGGCCCTCTCGGAGTTCGTGGAAGGGCTCCGGAGGAAGAGAGCCCAGAGAGGCCAGGGGTCCACGCTGGGCCTAGAGGACTGGCCCACTCTCCCCATTTACCAGACGACTGGGGCCTCCACACTAAGGAGGGGCAGGGCTGGCAGTGACGAGGGAAACCTCTCGCTGAGGGTTGGGGCAAAGTCACCCCTGGAAATCGAAGGGGCCGCTGGTGGTCTCTTGAGGTCCACCAGCCTCAAATGCATCTCTTCAGACGGTGTTGGGGGCACAACCCTACTCCCCGAAAAGTCGAAAACCCAATTCAGTTCCTGCGAGTCCCTCTTAGAATCCAGACCGAGCATGGGGAGAAAACTGAGCTCTCCGACCACACCCAGGGACATGCTGTTGTCGCCCACACTGCGTCCTCGGAGGCGGTGTCTGGAGTCCTCTGTGGACGATGCGGGCTGTCCAGACCTTGGAAAGGAGCCGCTTGTTTTCCAGAACCGCCAGTTTGCCCACCTGATGGAGGAACCTCTAGGCAGTGACCCATTCAGCTGGAAACTCCCAAGCCTCGACTACGAACGCAAGACCAAAGTGGACTTCGATGACTTCCTCCCAGCTATCCGGAAGCCCCAGACACCTACCTCCTTGGCTGGATCAGCCAAAGGTGGGCAAGACGGTTCACAGCGTTCAAGCATCCACTTTGAAACGGAAGAGGCTAACCGTTCCTTTCTCTCGGGGATCAAGACCATTTTGAAGAAGAGCCCGGAGCCCAAGGAGGATCCCGCTCACCTGTCTGACTCGTCCTCATCCTCCGGCTCCATCGTGTCCTTCAAAAGTGCTGACAGCATCAAAAGTCGACCAGGAATCCCACGACTTGCGGGTGACGGTGGCGAGCGAACGTCCCCCGAGCGGAGAGAGCCAGGGACGGGGAGGAAAGACGACGATGTTGCGAGCATAATGAAGAAATACCTCCAGAAGTAGGAACCAGTTCAGGTAAAAGCAACAGGCTGGGGCTATTCTTGGGGGAATGAGAGTTCACCTTGCAGCCTTGGGGAGAGCAGGTGCCACTACTGTCCTTAATGCCACAACCGATTTCTCTAGAGACCAAGATTTTTAGAGGTTTTAGCTGAAGTCATGTGTTGATGGATGCAAAGCTTTTCAGAACCCCTCTGCTGGGTACCTCTACTTCCTTGTACTTTGAAATGCAGACACATCAGAAAGTAAGAGGTTCCTGTGGGATACCGCTAAAGAAGGTGCCAGATGTAGCCGGGCGCGGTGGCTCACGCCTGTAATCCCAGCACTTTGGGAGGCCAAGGCGGGTGGATCACCTAAGGTCAGGAGTTTGAGACCAGACTGGCCAACAGGGTGAAACCTCGTCTCTACTAAAAATACAAAAAATTAGCCAGGTGTCTTGACGGGCGCCTGTAATCCCAGCTACTCAGGAGGCTGAGGCAGGACAATCGCTTGAACCAGGGAGGCAGAGGTTGCAGTGAGCTGAGGGTGCCACCACTGCACTCCAGCCTGGGAAACAAGAGCAAAACTCTGTCTCAGGGAAAAAAAAAAAAAAAAGGTGCCAGATGTTTAAAGTTACCTCACCCTACTGTCATTTTCTTTTCTTAATGTCATTCCACCTGGGTTTGAAGGAGCTGTGATGGCGTTCTGTCCACATAATGACAGAAGATCCGTGGTGGGATCACAGACATGCAAAGGGCCAAGTTGGAAGAGACCTTCAGAATAGTGGAGTCCACTTGCATTGCATATGGAGAGAAACTGAGGCCCTAGGTTCAGGGGGGAGGGAACAAGTACAAAAATCACAGAGCAACAATGCAGGATAAGTAACTACTTGCTGCCCTTCCTCCCTCTCCTAGCACTCATCCTGCCACTCATCTGGAGTCAAGGTAAGAAGAGGAATTCAGGCCGGGTGCGGTGGCTCACGCCTGTAATCCCAGCACTTTGGGAGGCCGAGGCGGGCGGATCACGAGGTCAGGAGATCGAGACCATCCTGGCTAACACAGTGAAACCCCATCTCCACTAAAAAAAAATAGCAGAGCGTGGTAGCGGGTGCCTGTAGTCCCAGCTACTGGGGAGGCTGAGGCAGGAAAATGGCATGAACCCGGGAGGCGGAGCTTGCAGTGAGCCGAGATCTCGCCACTGCACTCCAGCCTGGGCGACAGAGCGAGACTCCGTCTCAAAAAAAAAAAAAAAAAAAAAATTCATTGCTAACCAAGGCTTACATTTATTGAGAGGACACATCAGACAGTCATTTAGTACTCCTGATATCCCCAAGCAGTGGTGAATGTTATTTATTCCCATTTACCAGGTTGACAGACTGAGTATCAGAAAGATTAAAGTCACTTGTACAGAATCACCAGGGCATAATTGGGTTTCCAGCTCTAGAATCCCTACATTTATCTTTAAAAGTTTTCCCTAGGGACACATTCCAGGCATCTTCATGAGTGAAATTAGAGCTGTCTGATAGCGTATGAGCCTTCGTAAATCTCCCAGTCACTGAATCTCAGAACTTGCTGCAGCTCAAGGCTCTGATGGTCCAGCGACTGCACATGGCTCTCAGGGTGCACCTGCTGCCACCCCCAGGCCTCCTTGACCCAAATGAGGCACACGTCCTCTATTTCTTTGAGAGACAGCCTCAGCCCATCAAAAAGCCATTGCCCCTTCCGTGGAGACAGGTTTGGACTCTATCAGAGCAAACTAATTTGACTTAACATGGCCTTCTCTCTGCTCTCAATTACCGAGTAAAGATCTGATATTCATTTACATTATTATGCTCTCGGGGACACAGAAAGCAGTTTCAAAGGCCAAGTAAAGGGCACACATCCATGAGGGGAACAGTCCTTAGCAGAAGTCATCACAGAACATCTTGTCTCTGCCATTCCGTTTTAAACTCAAGTCCTCCTTCCCTACCCTGAGCAAGGTTCTTCTCCAAGGATGCTAGTTTTTCAGCTATACAATGCAACACCTCCAACGATGCAAATGCATGGTGGGCTTTGGAACCAAACAAGACCCCCCAAAGCTCAGTTCTGCCCTGTAACTAGCCATTGGACCCTAGGCAAGTGATACAGTCTCACCAAGCCCCTGTGTCCTCAGTTGGAAAACAGGGGTAAGAATACCAACTACCTAAAGTAACGCTGTGGATTTCATGAGAATATGAGAGATTCCTGGAATAGAGCATGGCACCCCATGGATGCAGTAAATGCCAGGTTACTTTGGAATTTTTGGACCTTTGGGAAATCTATCCCAACTTTTTCTCCTTCTGCCACCTACACTCTGCCATCCCTTTCTGTGGAGTTGCTACAGTAACGCCACCTGGGTATACAGAATTCCAGGCCCTCCACCCCATTCATTGTCTCTATCAAAATGTACCCATCTTCCTGGCCAGGCACAGTGGCTCATGCCCATAATCCCAGTTCTTTGGGAGGCTGAGGCAGGAGGATCACTTGAGGCCAGGAGTTTGAGACCAGCCTGGGCAACATAGTGAGTCCCCACCTCTACAAGAAATACAAAATAAAAAATTAGCTGGGTGTAGTGACATGCACCTGTAATCCTAGCTACTTGGGAGGCTGAAGCAGGAAGATCACTTGAACCCAGGAGCTGGAGGCTGCAGTGAGCTATGATTGCACCACTGCACACTAGCCTGAGTGACAAAGTGAGACCCTGCCTCCAGAAAAAGAAAAACCTTACCCATCCTTTGTCCCATTCATCAACTCTGACCTATGTTTGCTTCCAGCCTCCTTGAAGCTGCCCTTGAAGACTTCCCGACTCTACAATAACTTGGAGACAGAGAGACTGGCCAGGCCTCCCCGGTGGCCAGAGCCAGCCAGCATGGCCACCCTCAAGAGGCGAGATGAGCCCACAGAGGCATATCCTGCGGGGATGCTGGGCTCCCAGTGTGGTTGGCCTGAACAAAATAAAGTGTTGACTCCTGGGCATCTGTGCCTTCTCTATGGCCTTGCTACCTGGGATTCCAGAGAGTTGATGGGGTGCAGATAGGGGTAGGACTGTTAGAATAGAACCAACCCAAACTGTGTGTAGTTTGGGGTGTATACTTCTATTTCTCTTCCTACATGTCTACATGCCATGACCTTCCTCCTCCTCTTCACTTGGCCAGTTTCAGCTCACTTCCTCCAGGAAGTCTTTCCTGATATATCAAACTGAAACAAATGCTCCTCCTCCATGCTCCCTTAATCCCCATGCTTGTCGATTATATTCCTTTGCCAATTCATTTCTCTATCCTGTGTATGTATAAGTGTGTACAAGCATTCAAGAAACTGATGAATGATGAATGAATGAATGAGCCAAAGAACAAATAAATGAGCCCACACACCCTGAACGCATGCGACACACTGATATATATGCATCCTACAAATGTGCACCCACATCAACATTCAAGAACCTTGAATTTATTCCCTTTTTACCAAGGCGAAGCTAGCATATGTGTGCCCACATTTAGGTAGCAAATGCTGCCTTTATTTAAATTCCCACTAGCATAGACTCCATATCCTACCCCAAATTTGTCTCCATCCCCAGGACCCCTCTGGTGTAGCCAATCATAGCTCCCACCCGTGGGAGGGAATTCCCATTTGGATCACAGTTGTGTTAGTGTTTGCTAGGGCTGCTGTGACAAAGTACCATAGCTGGAGGGTTGAAGTCCAGATTCAAGGTCAGCTGGGTAAATTCCTTCTGAGAGCTGTGAGGGCCTCTCTCCGTAGCTGGTAGATGGCTGTCTTCTCCCTGTGTCTCCTCAGTTCATCTTCTGTTCATGTCTGTATCCAGATTTCCCCATTTTATATTGGATAGGGTCTGCCCTAATGACCTTATTTTAACTTGGTTACCCTGTAAATACCCTACCTTTAAATTAAGTCACTTTATGAAGTACTGCGGGTTAGAACTTCAACATTTTTTGAGTGGGGCTGGGGAAGTGGGCACACGATTCAACCCATAATAACTGGTAAGGTCACTCCAAAAAGAGGAGCTCTCATCTCTGATCATCCTCACTAGAGACTCTGGGTAGAAGTGAGGCAAGGGAGGAGGATGGGGCAGGAGGGAAATTCACTGGAGACCTCACCGTCTCTGGAGACCTTCCTGCCTCTCTGATGGAGCACGTTGGTGGAACAGTGGACCCTGTTGTCTCTGATGCAGACACAGTCTCCCACTTATTGAATCCACCATCCACCTCTTGCCATTCACAGGAGGGCTCTGGGTCACTGGAGAGTGCTGGGACACACGGGGAAAGGGGCCAGGACCTCTGCGGAGTCAGAAGCCCTGGCAAAGAGGAGGCACCACCCAAAAGCTCGCCAACACTTAGGTGTGGGGTGGGAATGGGAGAAGACCCAGGCTCTTGCACGAGGTTCTCCCAAAGCTTTCTGCAGTGAAATCCATCAAGTCATGGAGTCTTAGCCAAGTCACTTCCCTTGCTGGGTCTCAGTTTTCTCATCTCAGTAATGGGAACAACAGTTACTAAACTCTAATAAAACCTGGGAAAGGGAAAGTATAGCATACTGTATTAGTTTGCTAGAGATGCTGTAACAAAATTCCACCGCCTGGGTGGCCTAAACAACAGAAATTTATTTCCTCATGTTTCTGGAGGCAGGAAGTCTGAAATCAAGGTGTCAGCAGGGGTGGTTTTTCCTAAGGCCTCTGTCCTTGGCTTGTAGATAGTCGCTTTCTTGCTGTGTCTTCACATGGTCTTTCTTCTGTGTGGCTGCACCTCTGGCGTCTCTCTGTGTCCACATTTTTCTCTTATAAGAACAGCAGTCATATTGAAACAAGGCCTATCCTGATGGCCTGATTTTAATCACCCTGTTTTTTTTTTTTTTTTTTTTGAGATGGGAGTTTCACTCTTGTGGCCCAGGCTGGAGTGCAGTGGTGTGATCTCAGTTCACTGCAACCTCTGCCTCCCGGGTTCAAGCAATTCTCTTGCCTCAGCCTCCTGAGTAGCTGGGATTACAGACATGCACCACCAGGCCCAGCTAATTTTGCATTTTTTTAGTAGAGACAGTGTTTCTCCATGTTGGTCAGGCTGGTCTTGAACTCCCGACCTCAGGTGATCCACCTGCCTTGGCCTCCCAAAGTGCTGGGATTTTAATCACCCTTTTAAAGGTCCCGTCTCCAAACACTGTCACATTGTAAGGTATGGGGGGTTAGAACTTTTAACACATGAGTTTTAGGGGTTCACAATTCAGCCTGTAACACACAATGCAAAAGGAAGTGGTGATTTAATTATTATTATCACTTAATCTATTAATTTATTATTCATACAGAATAATTTTCATACAGAATGAATATTATTATACAGAATAATTTACTATTCATACAGGATACATATGTCCCAAGCTCCCAGCTTGGTCCACAAACAGAGGTAATTCGGGAAGTCAGGAAGAGATTATCAATGCCGGAGGGAACAGACTCACATTGCCTTCCTGGCATTGATGTTTCCTGGGCATTTTAGAGCCTGGAACCTTTGAGTTTCCATGCACTTCTTCTCTTCATGTGCCAGTAATATTATTTATTCAGTCCGTATTTTCTGAGTACCTTCTAAGTGCCTGGCACCGTTCCCCACACCCAAGCTCTAGTGAGCAGGCAGAGTCACCCTGCCTTTCTTCAGGGAATATCTTAGCTGGGGAGACAGACAATAAGCAAGAAAATGAATATACTGTCAGGAGCAAGCTGTACTATGAAGAAAAATAAAGATGAAATTATCTTGTGAGTTCCGTGTTAAAAATTTATAATACGTTTATTTTATGAAGCACGTTTTTATAAAAGAAGAAATCAGTCATTATTCTTCAATGATGTGTAAGGGATGCATCCAAAAAGGTTAATTTCAAGTAATAACAGCAAAGTCTTCCTCATTATGCAGCAGTAAACAGAAATCCTGAAGATGCTCATTAAAAGTCAATTCAACATGCTACAAGTTGACAACCATCCCCATGCCTCTCAAATCCCCCAACCCAACACAGCCTGGAGCAGAAGGTACTTACTCAACTTCATCCTCTTTCTTTTCTTTTCTTTCTTTCTCTTTTTCTCTCTTTCTCTCTCTCCCTCTTTTTCTCTCTGTATCTTTTTCTTTCTTTTTCTGTCTCTCCTTCCTTCCTTTCTTTTTCTCTTCCTCCCTTCCTTCTTTCTTTCTTTCCTTTCTTTTTCTCTTCCTCCCTTCCTTCTTTCTTTCTTTCCTTTCTTTTTCTCTTCCTCCCTTCCTTCCTTCTTTCCTTTCTTTCTTTCCTTCCTTCCTTCCTTCTTTCTTCTCTTTTTCTTTTTTTGGATGGGGTTTTGCTCTTGTCACCCAGGTTGGAGTGAAATGTGTGATCTTGGCTCTCTGCAACCTCTGCCTCCTGGGTTCAAGCAGGTCTCCTGCCTTAGCCTTCGTAGTAGCTGGGATTACAGGCGCCCGCCACCATGCTTGGCTAATTTTTGTATTTTTAGTAGAGACGAGGTTTCACCATGTAGGCCAGGCTTTGAGCCTCTTTCCTACAAGATGACTCCAGAAATTATGCAGTGGGCCCTGATGTCACATAGGCAGTGTGCTCACCCTTAGCACCCGGCGTAGTAAGCGTCATCCAAGTCTGTGACACTACCACTTCTGCTACCTGGGATATCAACATGGCCTGGCCCCTGGCCTGGGCTTTGCCACTTAGCCCCAGGTCAAAGAGTCTCTCTCTGTGTGACCTCACAGATGTCACTGCTTTCTGACCTCTCCTTCACTCATTTGGAAAATAGGTCTAAACTAGTACCAGCTTCCCAGCATCCTTGTAAGGAATCAAGAGCTCATGAATCAGCCCATTGATTGGCAGATAGCCTGCAGTAAATGGTGGCATCATTGTTCTTTGGTCTCAGAACTGCTCCCTGATGCCTCTGTGGCTCCAACCATATGGCTGTGCCCTGCTATGGCGTCCCTGCTGATGTAACCAAAATTATTTCAAAGGTGAGGATGTTGGTGGTCATGAATCCATGTGGATTAAATGCTCTCCTGCAAATGTTTCCTCTTGCTTTTATACCCTGAGGCCATTTTTAACAGGGCGCCCATGTCTTGAAAGAACCCTAGACCATAAGGACTAGATGAAAGCCTCAAGGTAATTTTACAGGTGGGGAAAATGAGTCTCAGAGAAGAAAGTGAGTTTTCCAAAGGCACTCAATAGCAAAGCTGAGTTTAGAACTCAACATTTATTCATTCAACAAATAGCACCTCATGTCCTGAGCACGGTTGCAGGCACTGTAGAAAAAGCTAAGAATGGGATAGGCAAAGGCCCTGTCTTCGTGAAGCTTATGGTTTACTGTGGGGGACGGGTAATATACTTGGAAATACATACATTGGCCATGTCCCTACCACCTGATGTCCCACCAGTAGTCCAGAAGCTACAGGTCATCCTTCTGTGTCTGCATGATATTTTGCCAAACACCAGGGGTTTGGCCTAAGTCCAGTTGCTCATATCGCAGACCATGAGTATTGCCAGGGAAGAAAATCTTTATTATGGAAATGAACAATTATCAAAATACTAACTGCAGTAGCAAATAACAAGCCCAAGAGTGTCCAAACCAAAACAGTCAGGGTGCCTTCTACTCTCAAGCCAGTCAACTGGGCTTGTCCAAACTGCAACAAATGGAAATTTCTTTGGAATTCCCCCAGATTGAGAGGAGAGACTCCTGCTGTCAGGGACCCATAGAGAGCACTCACCTGTCTGGATGCAGATGTCAGATTTCAAAGCCTGTTCTTCCTAGGCAATCAGGAATGCAATTGGGGCTGGCAGTGGTGATGCAGAAGAGAAGGAGACTGAAACCCATCTCTGGCCAAATATGCCTGGGAAGCTGCTAGGAGGGCTTCTGAAATGCTCCTGATCCATGGCCACTGAGCCGTAAGCAATGAATTCCTGATCGGAGAACCAGAATTTTGTTGGCAAACTCCAGGGGTTTGACCTAGGTCTGGCTGCTCACCACACAGAAAGCCAATCATTGAGACAACAAATGTTGCTCCAGAAGAAAAGCTGTATTGGAGGTGACGTCAGCCTAACTGTCAAACCTCTCCCTCCTCAACCAACTAAAGTTAGGGGTTTGTAAAGCAGGGAAGGAGAACAGGAGCAGCAAGAAAGAGGAGTTGGTCAACAGGCAGCAGGTGTGTCTCATTGTCTGGGTGCAGCAATCTGGAAAGCCTCAGCTTTCTGATACCATCCAGGAGGCTCAAAGGTCAATTTCCTGAGAAAGGAACTCAGATAAGCCAAATGTACGTTTCTCAAGTTTCAGAGGCCCTCTCCAGGCCAACACAGACCCAACCCTGTTTCAAGGCCCCTGGCTCTCTGCAGAGTTCAAGGATGGGGAGTTAAGGCTCTGCATTCTTTCCCACTCCCAAAGATTGTACATAGGAAGCAGAGGAGAGGGGAGACTGTTGTTGCAGCTAGAAGAGGCAGGTGTCAAAGGATGTTGGATGCAGCCGTAGAAGGCTCTGGTTGTGATTAATGGCCTGGCCAAGCTCCTGCTGCTGTCTTCAGAAGGTGATGGACAGTTCACACTGGACTCCCACTCCCTGGACCTGGTTGCTTATTTAGCTGTCAATATAGGCAGCTCCCTTCAGAGCATAGTGACAGATGTTAGCAGCTCTGGTGACAAGGTGACACAGTGACCCTGTCACCCTTTGTTAAGAATCATCATAGCTCCCATTCCTGTGTGTCTGTGAGGAGATAGGCACTGTGCTTGGTGATATTCAAACATCACTTCTAAGAGACAGTGGTTGGGATCCACTGTCCTATCCATGTGTTCTATATGTGCAAGGAGAAATATAAAATGACTCAAAATGCTCCTTTGTAAATAGCTGCATGAAGGCCCAGTAGTCTTATTCTGGGCTCGGTGGGAAAATCATTCTCATAGTTCAGGCCTACAGCTTGTAGGATTCACTGGAATGGCTTATTTAATCCTCTTTCCATCTCCCATCTCCTAGAGTCTAAAGTTTATGGTCTTCCTGCTTAGGCTTGCTGCAAAGGGTAGGGGAAGACATGGCTGCATTTACCAAAAGCCCTTGGTCTTCCCTTGATCCTCAGCTTATGCATAAAGAGGTTCTGCAGCAAAAGGTGGAAGGACATTGGAGGATGCAGTCCCTTAAAGCACAGTGGCCTCACCCTTGGTAAAGTGAGTCAGTGTCTGTGGCTGATGGTGATCAATTAAAGAGCAATTTTCATTGTTCAGCGAGTGAGGAGAGAGAACGTAACAAGGGGTCAAGTTAATGACTTTTCCCCATACCAGCCATTGAGACTCAGGACAGAAGCACAGACAAGTGGAGCTGGGATTTGAACTCTGGGCTCTATCTCCAAATACAGGCATTCTTGGTACTAACACCATGGGCTAAACTTGCAGTGTAGATCGTGCTTTCCTATAAGGTCAGCTGGCTGAACGGGCCTATGGATCACATCACTTCACCTGTGCCATCTCCTGGCTAAACAAACCTGGGCCTGCCTGCTCCATCTGGGAGGCAACGGGGACCAGTGTCTAGGACTAGGCTTGGGTTTACTCCTGGCTTTGCCATCTTTTAAGCTGTGTAACCTCAAGTGGTTTGTTAAATCCCTCTAATTCTTGGTTTCTTCTCGAGTAATAAGGGGTGGGAGAGGAGACCCTATCTTTAGAGCCTGTCTGGCCAGCAGGAGCATCAGGACAAGGATTATTATGCCCATTTTACAGATGGGGCAGCTGAGGCTCAGCAAGGCCAAGTGACTGGCCTGAGTTAGCAGTGCAGAAGCTGGGATTAGAGTTCAGAGCTCCTGACTCTTCATTCAGTGCTCTTCCTAAGACAGTCACTCTGACCCCGAGTCCCAGGCCTGGTTGTCCGGCCAGTACAGGGAACATTTGAAAGAGTTCCAAAGATTTCCCTGCACTAGCACAGGCAGGCGGTGCTCCAATCTGGGCCTAACACAGCACTGAGCCCTAGGAGGCATTCATCCCTATTGTTCACTTCAATCTCAAGCGACCTACCTCAAAAATGGGGTGGGGTAAGAGGATTGTTCCATAGGTGCCCAGCCTGTTCTCCCTTCTCCCATGTTTGAGGGAACCCAATTTTTGGCATCAAAGGCCTCTAGAAGAGTTTAAATGTGTCCTTTCCTAATAAAGAGAAGTACTGGAAATTATTCTTGCTGCTGGTGTTTCACTGGGTGTCTCATTTAGGGCTATGTGGGCATCATGGCTCATGGTCCATGGACTAATACCCCATACCTGTGCATGGAAGTCCCAGGAGTGGGTTTGGAGGGCATGGATGGGGACAGGCAAGAGTGTTCCTTGTGGCTGAGGAGCAAACACTGCTGGCAGGGCCCAGCTGGTACAAGTACATTACACTGGCCCCATCATTATTTTATATGCAGAAACAGGACCAGAGAAGGAGCATCTATTGCCTAAAGTCACACAGTAATTTGGAAGCAGACTTCAACCTAGTGTTTTCCCTCTAATTCCTGCTGCCTTCCACAGCTGGAGAGAAATGATTTGAGGATAATTCAGTCTTTGGGTCAATTGTAAATAACTAGGGTGCACTAAAGAATCCTGACAGCACCTCCAAGTTCTGGTCTCAAAGATTTAGGTCTACATTCTTTCTTTCTCTGCAATCCTGAGTGGCCCAAATTCTGTTCAATGTGGTGCTAAGCTCACCATAGGCGAGCTGTATGGGTGGGCAAGGTATGTAGCCTCTCTGTGCCTCTGTTTCCTGCTGTAAAGTCAGGACAACGATGATATTGGATCCATCTCATGAGCCTTCTCAGGTTCTCTTGGTATCATAACTCCTGGAATCTCAATTGCTTCCTGATTCACAGCCATTGCTATGGCAACATACTCCATGCCCATGGAGTCCCACCACCTGAAGCCAAAGTCCAGGGTCTCTGGCTCCTCCTACCACATGCATATTATGAAGAGGATCTCCTGGCAGGGTGCACTTTAAGCGCTGGGAAACAGGAGATTTGAGGGAGCTGTAGTTACACTCTCTCTCCACTCCTCCTCCTGTTGGATTACACCACGAAATTTTCCTATGTGGTCTAACTGGGGACAGACCACATTAGCCAACCAACTACTGTAACCAGCTTGGTAATGCGTGACTGACCTTGTATCTTATCTTTCCTGCCTCATTTCCTTCTCCCCTTAGTCTCTCTGCCCTGAGACTGTACCTTCCAAGGGCATATGAGCATTTAAAACTTGCCCCAGGTGCATTTTCTAGGGAGCCTGCATCAAGACTAAAGCCAAGGCAAAGGGTATTGAGAATTTGCATGAAAAAGCACTTTGAATTGGTCCTAGCACTTTGTAAGCACCCATAAATGTGAGCTGCTGTCATTATTATTGTGGCTGTTAATATCTCTTGGAGTCTGATATTCGAGGTAAAGAAGCATCAAGCAAGGGAGAAAGATGAAGCCTGGAAGACTGAGTAAATCTGCTTTTCCATCTTCTCCTGCCTGCTCTGTTCTTGGTGCTCTGGCAGCTGATTAGATGGTGCCCAGCCAGCCAGATTGAGGATGGGTCTTTCTCTCCCAGTCCACTGACTCAAATGTTAATCTCCTTTGGCAACACTCTCACAGACACTATAGATGTTACTATACCTGGCTCTTCCGTGATGTGGTCTCTACCTGTCTTGCCTGCCTCTGCCCTGGATGCTGCTCCAATCCTAGCATGATCTTTCTCCCTTCTGGGCTTTCTTGCATGCTTTTATCTCCACCTGGAACACTCATTTATTCATTCATATGCTCACTCATGCCCAAGTATTTTTTGAGCATCCACTCAAAAGACCATCCACTGGTCTTAAAGGCTTACACTAGTCTCACCTGCCTTTTCACCTTGTCAATTGCCCTCCTCCCTCCAGATGTCAGCCTTCCTTGACTTCCAGGTGGGGCTGGGAATGCTGCCACAGCCTCCTACACACCTGTGCCTCCCTCTGTTTTTAGGTTTTTTTGTTTTTGTTTTTGTTTTAGTTATATATGTATATATAATTTCAATAGTTTGGGGGTACAGGTGGTTTCAGGTTACATGGATAAGTTCGTTAGTGGTGATTTCTGAGATTTTAGTGTACCTGTCACCTGAGCAGTGTACACTGTACCCAATATGCAGTCTTTTATCCCTCACTCCCCTCCCAACCTTCCCCCTCAACCCTGAGTCCCCAAAGTCCATATATCACTCTTCTTTTCAAGGCAGGCTCTCACTGTATTGCCCAGGCTGGAGTACAGTGCCATGATCTCAACTCATTGCAGCCTCGACCTCCCGGGCTCAGGTGATTCTCCTACCTCAGCCTCCTGAGTGGCTGGGACTACAGGTGCATGATACCAACTCTGGCTAATTTTTTATACTTTTTTTGTAGAGATGGGTTTCTGCCACGTTGCCGAGACTGGCATTATATCACTCTTACTGTTTATGCATCCTCATAGCTTAGCTCCCACTTATAAATGAGAACATATAATATTTGGTTTTCCATTTCTGAGTTACTTCACTTAGAATAATGGCCTCTAGCTCCATCTGAGTTGCTGCAAGACATTATTCCATTCTTTTTTATGGCTGAGTAGTATTCCATGGTATAAAGATAACATTTTCTTTATCCATTCGCTGGTCCATGTCCGCCCTTAGGTTTGCAGCTCTCTATTTACTTGGGGCTCTCTCTACACAGCTGTGGGGTCCAGGGCCCAATTCATGGTTGATGCTAAGGAAATTTATCCATAAAACACCTACTAGGTGTCAGGCTTTATCTGGCACCAGAGATAAAGCAGTAAATAAAACAGACAGATAATTCACGTTCTCCTGCAATTTACATGATAGTTGGGGGTGGGAGCAAATGGTAAACAAGAGGAGTAAGTGAACTATACAAGATATTAGGACGCTGAAAGCCTGGAGGAGGAAAATAAAGCTGTAGAAGGGACTAGAAGGCATTGGAAGTGGTGCAGCGAGCATTTTAGATAGAGTGGGCAGGAGAAGGCCTCCTTGGGAAATATATTTAAGTAAAGATCTGAAGAAAGTGAAGCAACCAGCCTTGTCTTGAACTTGGGGAAGAGCATTCTAGGCAGAGGGAACAGTCAATGCAAAGGCCCTGAGGTAGGAGCATGAGTGGCGGGTTTGAGCACCTTTAAGGAGGCTAGTATGGTTGGAGTAGGGTGATCGAGTGGGTGAGGAATGGTGGACAAGATCAGAGAGGTGATGAGGGTCAGATGATGTAGGGCCTTGTAGGACTTTGTAAAAATGTTGGCTTTAACTGAGAGTAAGGATGGGAGCCATTTAGGGTGACCAATCATCTCACTTTGCCCAGGACTGAGGGAGCTCTTGGGACACAGAACTTTCGGTGCTAAAACAGGGAAAGTCCTGAGCAAACTAGGATGAGGTTTGACCTAGGTCCTAGAGCAGGGTTGTCCAACCCACGGTCCGTGGGACTCCTGTGACCCAGGACAGCTCTGAATGTGGCCCAACAGAAACTCATAAACTTTCTTAAAGCATTATGAGATTCTTTTAGAGCCTTTTTTTTCCTCATAAGCTATCATTAGTGTTAGGGTATTTTATGTGCGGTCCAAGACAATTCTTCCAATGTGGCCCAGGGAAGCCAAAAGATTGGTCACGCCTGTAATCCCAGTACTTTGGGAGGCTAAAGTTGGAGGGTCACTAGAGCCTAGGAATTCAAGACCAGTATGGGAAACATGGTGAAACCCTGTCTCTACCAAAAAAAAAAAAAAAAAAAACAAAACTAGAAAAATTAGGCATGGTGGCACATGCCTGTAATCCCAACTACTTGGGAGGCTGAGGCAGGAGAATTGCTTGAACCCAGGAGGTAGAGGTTGCAGGGAACCAAGACTGTGCCACTGCACTCCAGCCTAGGCAACAGAGTGAGGCTCTATCTCAAAAATAATAATAATAACAATAAAAAGACTGGACACCCTGCCTAGAGCCAGTGTAGGCTTTGGAGCAGAGTTTTGACATGATTTTACCTGGGATTTTTGCTGATCTCTCTGGTTGCTGGATACAAAATAGGCTCTAAGGAGACAAGAGCGGAATTAGGGAGACCAGTTTGGAGGTTATGAATCCAAGTGAGGGATGAAGATGGCTCAGACCAGAGTGGTAGCAGTGCAGGCATGAGAAGGAATGAACTTCTGAATAAATTTAGAAGGCAGCACCAACAGGAAAGTTGGAATGGAGAAATGAGGGCCTGTTCTCTGTGTCACAACCTGGCAGATGACCTCCTGGCAGGTGACATGCCCAGCTCCCCTGGGTAAGGCAAGAGCTAGATCCTTTCTTCCCTGGGCTTCCTCTCAGTCTCACTGGTGGGAGAAGCCAAGAAATAGCGACTATCTGCACCTTCTGAGTGTCCCCAGGATGCTGTCATCACGGCTCCACCCTAAGGAGCCAGAGAAGGCGAGGCCTGTGCCCTCTTTCTACAGATGAAGAAATTGAAGCTCAGAGAGTGATAGGCCCCCAGGCACCCATCAAGCATGTGTCAGAGCTGGAACTGCGCCCTGGGTTCACTCCCCCACCAGGTGTCAGGCAGGCCTGGTGTTCAATGCCAGCCTTTTCAGAGTGTAACTCACCTGGGACACTTCTAAGACTGAGTGTTCTCATTTGTGAAATGGAGACAATGATCCCTGCCAGCTGCATCCTAAAAGGTAAAGGAGACTATGCCTGTGAAAGTGCTCAGCACAGCACGGAACATGACGCCTAGTAGGCCCTCAGTAATATCAGCTTCCCTTCTTCCTCTAGACCCATCCCCCGGCCTGCCCTTGCAAATAAATTAAAAGATGTTCTTAAAGACTGTTTGGGGGAGCCCAGTGGAGCCATTCTGTCCAGCTGAGTGGGGAATATTTACATCTTCTTTTCTAAAGGCAAACAATTTCATAGAGAGGCAGAATTAGTTCCCAAGTAGCCTCAGGGCTGTTTTGTAAATACATAGCTATGAGTGTTACAGGAGCCCCCGTTTGTCCAGCAAACCAGAACAGAGATGCTAAAGGCTGTAAATATCAGGACAGTCTCTCTCCCAGCTCCAGTTTTAGAAAGCCAGAAATTCATTTCACTCCTTCTCTCTCCCTCTTCAAACACTCATTCATTCATTCATTTATGAATTCACTCAACAAGCATTTATTGAGTACCTATTATGTGCTAGGCACTGGGCTAGGCACCACAGAACTAAGCAGGAGCAAGAGAAAACAGGGTCCTGCCTTCATGGCACCGGACCTTGGTGCCTGGTACACAACAAAGCAATGACTAATCACAATGACCATAGCTCATGTTTCTAATTTTTTTGTTGAGATCTACTTTGCGTGCAATGAAATTGCTGAGACCTAAAGTGTGTTGCTCAGTCTGTTTGGATGAATGCATATCAGGACAGGACATTTTTAATCACCCTAGAAAGTTCCCTCATGTCTCTTCCCAGTCAAGTGTTCCCTCCTCCCCCAAGCAACCACTGCCCTGATTTGTATCGTCATAGGTTATTTTTACCTATTCTAGAATTTCATACAAATGGGATCATGCAAAATATACTTTTTTTGGTGCAGACTTCTTTCACTCAGCAAAACATTTTTGAGATTCATCATATTATTAGATGAGTCAGTAGTTTGTTTTTTTTATTGCTGAGTAATATTTCATTGTCCAAATATACCACAGTCATCTTATTTATTTTCCTGTAGATGAATATTTAGACTGTTTCCAGTTTGGGATTGTTATGAAGAAAGCTGCTGTGAACATTTGTGTTCAAGGCTTTTTATGGACATTCGTTTTTGTTACTGTTGGGTAAATACCTAGTTGTATTTGTCTAGATTGCTGGGTCTTAGGGTAGATATATGTGCAATTTCTTGAGAATTTGCTGTTTTCTTCTTCCTTTTTTTTCTTTCTTTTTTTTTTTTTTTTTGAGATGGAGTCTTGTTCTGTTGCCCAGGCTGGAGTGCAATGGTGCGATCTCGGCTCACTGCAACCTCTGCCTCCCGGGTTCTTGCAATTCTCCTGCCTCAGCCTCCCGAGTAGCTGGGATTACAGGCGTGCGCCACCACGTCCGGCTAATTTTTTTTTTGTATTTTTAGTAAAGATGGGGTTTCAGCATGTTGGCCAGACTGGTCTCGAACTCCTGACCTCGTGATCCACCTGCCTCGTTGGCCTCCCAAAGTGCTGGAATTAGAGGCATAAGCCACTGCACCCGGCCTTCTTTTTTTCTTAGAGTTGAGGGTCTTACTATGTTGCTCAGGCTGGCATTGAACTCCTGAGCTCCTCAGCCTCCTGAGGGTTACATGCACACGCCACTGCACCTGGCTTTACTGTGCCCTTTTCTATTCCTGCCAGCTGTGTAAAGGAATCCCAGCTCCTCCACATGCTTAGCCTCATTTGATGATGTTGGTCTTTTTAGTTTTAGCCATTATGGTGGGTGTATAGCAGTATCTTTTTGTGTTTTTAATTGGCATTTTTCTAATAACTAATGAGGTTGAACCCATTTTCAAGAACTTATTGGCCATTTGCATAATATTCTTGCGTGATGTGTCTGTTCAGGTTTTGTTAATTGAGTTGCTTGTTTTTTATTATCCAGTTGTAAGAATTCTTTATATGATTTAGATGCAAGTTCTTTGTCAGAGATATGTTTTGCAATATTTTCTTCCAGTCTGTGGTTTGCCTATTTGTATTCTTAAAGATGTAGTTTGATGAGCAGATGTTTTTATTTTTGGTAAAGCCGGTTTATTATTTTTTCCTTCATGATTCATGCTTTCTAAACCCTTTCTAAGAAATCTTTGCCTTCTCAAAAGGTCACTGAGATATTCTCTCATCTTTTTCTTCCAGCATCTTTTCTGTTTTAGTTTATAATTTATACTTAGATCTATGATCACTTATAATATACTAGGGACATATTAAGTGCTTAACGTGGAGTGTCTTATTTAATTCTCCCTGACACGTCTGTGAAGAAGATACAAACATTATCTCCATTTTCACATAGGATGACTTTCATTTAGGTCTCTTATTGAGTTTCACTCATGTATCTACTTCTTTGTTCCATAAATACTTGCCTACCATTCATTTTGGAGCCAGGAAGAACTGCATCTGAATTTGCATTTGACCATCACATTGAAGACTCTCACTTCTGACGTGGAGAAAACAGCAACTGTAGCCAGGAAGGACTTCAGAGAGGAAGAGGGTTGGGATAGCTGTGGAAGGCTGGGTACAATGCAAATATTCAAGTATAAGGAGAAGAGGCCTCTAGGGAGAGGAAATGCATGGGTGAAGGTGCAGAGGCTGGAATACCTATTGTTGAGATGGTTTGTCCAATGGCAATGAGTGTGGCAAATTGTAATCATGGCCCCAGTAATTCATCTCTCCCTATGCCCTTGGGTTGTCATGTGACCTTGGAGTTCCTATCATCAAGGCAGAGTATTTCCTTCCTATGTGACTGTTTTTTTTTGTTTTTTGGTTTTTGGTTTTTTTTTTGCAAACAGAATGAGGCAGAATACACAGTATACCAGTTTTAAGCCTAGGTCTCAAGAGGGCTTGCACATTTCTGCTTGCTCTCTTGTGTCTCTGTCATCTCCATGGAAACACACCTGGGCTGACCTGCTGGTTCATGGGAGTCACCTGGAGCATGGCTGAGTCACTTCAGATATCCTAGCCAAGGCCATTCAAGACCTGCCAATAGCCAGCAAGCCAGCCTCCAGTGTGTCAGCTGGGTCATCCGAGAAACAGACACGTAGATGGAGTTAGGAGTACAAGATGGTGAAAGACAAAAGGTGACAGAAGCAGAATTAGTCAGGGAAAGGCTTTAGACCTCAATGTCCATCTGATACCTATTATATGAAATGAGGGAAGAGAAACAGGATTGGACAGAGAGTCTAAGATCATGATCATATTGGACAAAGTCTCAACCAACCCAAAAGGGAGCTCTGGAGCAAAAACTTTCCTATATAGGAATCAAGCATTGGGCAGAACAGCCAGGCTCTGGCACTCTGCTCTGTTAAGTCATTATCCGAGGGCTGCACCCCAACTGTGGGGCCTTGGCTTGAAAGCCAAGGGAGATTCTGAAGGGAGTAGCAACTTGAAGCTGTCAAGTAACTGCGGCTTTTGCAGCTGAACATAAAGTTCTTTTTGATGTGAGATGCAAGCAATGTACCTTCAAGACTGCCACCCGCAAATAGGTGAAAGGTCCCAGCGAAGACCAGCAGAGCAGAGCAGAACCACCTAGCCAACAACTCCAAGCACATGAGCAATAAACAGTTACCCGTGTATACCACTGGGCTTCTGTGAGTGTTTGTTAGCAGTGTTATCGTGACAACAGGTAACTGATACAATGAGTTAGTTGTGCTCTCAACTGACAGGCATTTCACCTCTCATTGGGGAAAAATGGAGGCTCTGCTACTGCTGAATAAATAAATAGTGGTTATTAATTGCATATGTGCCTGACTCTGCTAGGCAACCCATTTCCATTTAATAGTATCTGTGCTTATGACTTCAGTAAGTATCAGTTTGTATTGAGTAGCACAATTGTGGCGTCCCAGCAGCTGTTGAGGGTTAGGGGATGGGGGAGATTTTATGCAGCCAGTAAAATACAGCAACTGTCAAAAAAACCTTAGGATACTTGTTACTTATTCATGCTCATCCACTTACACACTTGTGATTTGGGAGCAGAGGGTAAGCATTGTTGTCTGTGCTCATTGAATCTGGGGAAATACCATAAATAATGGCCTCTAGGGAGAGAAGGCAATTTCACCTTCTAACTTGCACTAACTCAGAATTTTTCTAAAGTGGGGCACCATGACAGATGTGAAAGCCTCAGAAATGTCCTCAAGGGCACCTCCCAAGTATTTCCCTTACATTTCTTCAACTTCTCCATTTTGCTTCCTTTATCTAATCTATCAGTGGGACTTTTGACTCTACCAGGAAAATATCCAAATAGGTCCATTGCCCTCTGCTCCCACCACTGCCACTCTTGTTAGAGCACCAGCATTTCTTGCTTGGATGCTGTGATCATCCCCTACTTAGCTCTACATTTTCACTCTTGCCCCTAGCTGTCTGTTCTTAGCCCAATAGCCAAAGCGATTTTGTTAAAAATGAAGTCCAATCAAGACATTGCTTCCCTCAGAATTCTTCCGTGGCTCCCTATGTCATTCCAAATAAAAACAAAATTATTACCATGAGTTGTTCTTATCCATTATCAGGAAACAAACCACCCCAACACCTAGGAGCTTAAAATAATATTATTTCCCACTGGGGTAGCTGGAAAGTCCAATATCACCTTACGCGCATGGCTGGTAGTTAGAGCTGGTTGCTGTCAGAGATCCAGTGGGGCCATCAGGTGGGTGCCTCAGTTCTCCTCCATGGGTTTGCCTCCACATGGCTGCTTAGGCTTCCTCCAACCGTGGTGGTTGAGCCCAAGTGCAAGAGTTACAAGAGGTGAAAGGGGAGGTTACAGAACTCCAAAGGCCAAGTCTTGGAAACTATGCGGTATCACTTCTGCCGCCTTCTATTAGTTGGCCCATTTTTTTTTTTTTTTTTTTAAGACAGAGTCTCGCTCTGTCACCCAGGCTGGAGTGTAGTGGCGTGATCTCGGCTCACTGCAAGCTCTGCCTCCCGGGTTCACGCCATTCTCCTGCCTTAGCTTGCTGAGTAGCTGGGACTACAGGCACCCGCCACCATGCCCGGCTAATTTGTTGTATTTTTAGTAGAGACGGGGTTTCACCGTGTTAGCCAGGATGGTCTCAATCTCCTGACCTCGTGATCCACCCACCTTGGCCTCCCAAAGTGCTGGGATTACAGGCGTGAGCCACCGCGCCCAGCCAGTTGGCCCATTTTTATTGTATGTATGTTTAGGGGGGATGCTACAAAAAGGCATGACTATTGAGAGATGTAGTTCACTGGGAGTTCTGGAGGAGGTGTCGCCAATATAACCGGTTACCACCATGATCTATCCTTGTGTTGTCCAATAAGATAGCCACTAGCCATATTCAGCTACTGAAAGTTTCAAGTGACCAGTCCAAACAGATATGTTGTAAGCATAAAATGCATATCAGATTACAAAGACATGATATAAAAAATGTAAAATAAATCATATTAATAATTGTATATATATAAAATAACTTGAAAATATTTCATTATATTGGGTTAAATATTTTAAATTAATTTCTCTTGGTTATTTATATTCTTTTGAATATCTAGAAATGTTAAACCTATTCTGGCTTGCATTCTATTTTAGTTGCATAGATCTGCTCCAGTCCCTGTTTACCCCCTCTGACATCTAACACCATGTTCCTTTCATTCTTCAGTTCCTGCCACACTGGCTGCCTGTCAGTTTCTTTTCTACCTCTGATCCTTCTCTTTTGCTGTTCCTTGTGTGTGGAATGCTCTTCCCATTGGAATTCTCATGGCCGGCTCCTTCTCATCCTTCACATCTCAGCTTCAACGTGCTTTGCTGTCAGAGTCTAGAGTAGACTTCCTCCGGTTACTTTAGTCCCCACTCACTGTTTATTTTCTTTGTGGTCTGCATCACACGTTGTACTGTAGTTATTGGTCTGCGCGTTTTTTTGTTTTGTTTTGTTTTTGTCTGTTTCCGCTACTACTCAGTAAAAGCCACGAGGACAAGAACTCTTTCCTGGCATGAAACAGAAACTCAAAATATAATTTTAAAAGACTGCCCTGAAAAGTCTTGGCAGATATACTGAAGAGTCCCCAGACTCTAGACCAATGTGATAAATGTGTGGAGGAGTCCCAGATTCCAAGTCCCAAGATCAAGCTTTAGATTTACAAATAGTGCCATCATTGTTATTACCATTATTGTTTTTAGTGGCTGGGGGTTAAAGACCTCTGGGGAATTCTGAGGAACGGGGGTGGGGTGCAGAGCATGACTCCTGTGACCTGCCTGTGGGGTCTTTCTCCATCAGCAGAAATGAAAGTGGCGCAGAACATGCCAGACCTTCTCACAGCTAGAACCCACCATTCTATGGCTTCCTTTTACCCTTGGGCCAAAACCTCTCAACTCTTTATGCTGACCTACAGGACTATAAGCACATAATTGATGCTCAAGGAGTATTTGCTTGTTATCTCCTCTCATTATTAAAAAAAAACAAAACAAAACGTGTTGGCTATTGTGAATAGTGCTGCAATGAACGTATGCATGCATGCGTCTTTATGACAGATGAGTTATATTCCTTTGGGTAAACACCCAGTGATGAGATTGCTGGGTTGAATGGTACCTCTGCTTTCAGCTCTTTCAGGAATTGCCACACTGCATTTCACAATGGTTGAACCAATTTACACTCCCACCAACAGTGGTAGAAGTGTTTTCTTTTCTCCACAACCTCGCCAACACTATTGGGTACTAGGCTTAGTACCTGGGTCACGAAATAATCTGTGCAACAAACTCCCATGACATGAGTTTACCTACATAACAAACCTGCGCATGTACACCTGAACCTAAAATAAAGGTTAAAAACCTCTAAAATCTGAAAAAAAAAGAATGTAGGACGGGAATAGCAGACTACCAGGACAGGGATTGACTGCTCAGGGGCTGCCCCCAGCTGTCAAACAGTACCCTAAAGATCTCCGAAGTGGCAACCAGCCCCCAGCACCTGTTCATCTGAGATGCAATGGCAATGGAAAACAGAAACCATCTATCTAGAGACCCAAGGAGCATTTTAAGAACAACAGAAAGCAGGGGTGAAGTGAATGAAAGAAGAAAGGTAATTTAATTTCAGTGCAATTGCTTCAAGTACAACAAACACAAGCGTCTGATTTTGGAAAGATTGAGTGGAAGAGGATATACTTTTTGTAACAGCCTAGTCCAGAGTCACAGGTCTTATTTGCCATTTATTTAAGCATTGGGGAGTACAGTAAGTTTATTCAAAATGAGGTAATGGATGTGAATGCATTTTGTAAACTTTATAGTGCCTGGGAGATAAGAGGTGATGGTTATTTTGCAAGCATAATGTGCTCTTGAAAAAACAGTCCTAAAGGTTTCATAAGTACAGAAGTGAGACCATCTTGTTCACCACTGAATCCTCAGTGCCCAGCACTGGGAGATACTAATAACTATTGTTGGATAAATGAGTGACTGAATGAAGAAATGAATAATCACTGGGCCGGGACTCCAGAGGCCTGAGTTTGTGTCCTGACCACACCTCTGAGTGGGCTTAGGCAAATCATGTTACCTCTCTGAGCCACTGTTTCCTCATCTATAATCATAGTACCTGCCCTGAGAATTCAGTGGAAAAATGTATGCTAAGTGCTGGACACAGTGGCTGGTATACAACAAGTACAAAATAATAGCATACTTTCTTTTGCACTGCAAAGTCAAAATGTAGACTCAATACATTGGAGCTTCTAAAAATTTAAAGTACAGCTGTCCTTACAAAGTGATTCGGAGTCAATGCTTCAGTTGATTTCAATTCTTACAAGCAATGCCCTCAGAAAAACAGCACTATTTATCTCTGGTAGGAAATCAAATTATAAAACAAGTAAACCAGGGTGAACATTACCCATCAGGCTGTGGCAATGGGTGCGTGGAAACTGATGAGCCGTCATTAATTTCTCCCGCAGAATCACTACCTAAATATGAGTTGGCAGTGTGGGGAAAAGGAAGCCATTTATCTGTGGCCAGATACAGACTCACAGATGCACTGACAGTGTCATAATTACACACCGGAAGTATGTCGTGCAGGGTTCAGTGTTCAGTCAAAGCCCTGTCATCATGGGGACAAGGTAGTTTCCTTGGGAATTTCGATATACAGACTGTAGACCAGAAGTGTTCTCAGAGTTCAGCCATGCCTCTGTACCGGGCTAGGGGAGTGTTTCAAGATTGCCTTCTGCAGTCACTTCTGCTGGTGTTGGGTGGAGGGCTGTTAGGGAAGAGAATAACAAAACTATTTGAACAGATGAGGATCTGGGGATGTATCATTATTAAATGGCACTGATAGGCTGAGGATCTCCTGGTCTTATTGTATCTGAATTTTCTCGACAGGGCACGTAGGAATATGGAAGTCAGAAGGACAACACAGCTCTGCTACGTCCCGGTTCTTGGTAACTTTCTTAACCCCACTATGCTTTATCTTTAGTTTTCTTATCTGTACAGTGAGGATACTAAGAGTCCTTACCTCCCCAGGTATTTAGATGAATTACGTGTTAGAACAGTGGCAGGCGCATAGAAAATGCCCAATAAATATTAGATATTGTTATTGTTGCTTATGAGTAGTGATGAGGGACCCTGAGAAGGTCCACCAGCGAATAGGTCCTATTTGTAGGATAAAAGGTTGGATGAGGTTGGGGAGAAAAATTGCTGGAAAGAGTTACAAGTGATGTTAAGAAGCAAGTATTGAAGGTAAACCTGACAAGCTATTAAGTTTAAGGATAGATATGGTTCTGAGAGAGAGGGAGATAAAGATGCAAGGTTGGGAGACAGGTCACCTGCAGGAACAAAGCGCGTGTTACATATTTAATACTTACATGACAAGTAAGACTTCAAGACAGTGATCAAAGCAGAAAACTACAATTTATTGAGTACCTATTATCTACAAGATGCATGCTAGGTATTTTAGGTACATAGTGTCACAGCCAGAGAAGATATGGATAATTGGTCCCTTTTTTTTTTTTTTTTTTTTTTTTTGAGACGGAGTCTCGCTCTGTTGCCCAGGCTGGAGTGCAGTGGCGCCATCTCTGCTCACCGCAAGCTCCACCTCCCGGGTTCACGCCATTCTCCTGCCTCAGCCTCCTGAGTAGCTGGGATTACAGGCGCCCACCACCGCGCCCGGCTAATTTTTTGTATTTTTAGTAGAGACAGGGTTTCATCGTGTTAACCAGGATGGTCTCGATCTCTTGTAATTGGTCCCATTTTACAGTGAGAAACCAGAGGTCTGAGCAGTGAAATGCTTTGCCAAGTCACATAGCTAATAAGGAAAGAGATGGGATTTGAATCCAAGTCTGTCTCCAAGTGAGTGCAATTTTCTTCCTAAAAATTTCATTATAAAGTAAGACTTGCCTGTGAAAAAAGAAGTATAAAAAGACATGCAGTGAAAAATGTTTCCTTCGTACTTCTACTCTTGGCCCTATTCCCCATGGGTAATCATTCCCAGTGATTTCTTGTTATCTTTCCTGATATATTTTTAATGCATGGACAAGCAGGAATATAAAATGCACAATTTTTTAAAGGTATGTGTCTTAAAAATGTATGCATTTGTGTGAATTTTACAAAAACAAATTTGAGCATATTAAATAAATGTTTCTACACATTACTTTTTGCACTTAAAAACATATTTTGAGGATCTTTCTGTATTAGCACAAAAATACCACCGTAATATGCCATTGCATGAATATACCATCATTTTTTAACCAGTCCCTCTTGATGAACACTTGGATTGTTTTTAGCCTTTTGCTTCTATCATGTTGTAATGAATATCCTTGCATATGCATCTTTGGATATATGTTTGAGGTCATTTGTGGAAGGAATTTTTAAAGGCAAGTGCTATGTTGAAAGGTGTATTTTTCTTCTTGTTGTTTTAGTAGACTTTGCTGGAATGGAAATTGGGTGTGGTTTTTCACTATTCTAAACCTCCCCAGTGTCTGTTGTTGGCTGTTTTGTGGGTTGGCTTTTTAGGGATTAAAGGCACAGGTTGGAGGATGGGATTCCCTCCAACTTGGCTGCAGGTTGTTTTGAGATGGTATTGATAATTTCATACATTATCTTCTTGTCGACTAAGAAAGGTCATCCCAATTTATTGGGCTGGTTACCAAAGATAATGGTGGCAATTCAGCAATTTAGTGTTTGTGTCATTTTATAGGTTGGCCTGTTGCTGTTTTAACAGAAACACTGGGATTAATGGATGTATATTCTCACTCCTTCCCTCCCTTCCCCTACTAAGGAAAATGTTTTCATTGTTCACTCAGCATTCCCATCATCCCCACCAGACATTTATTATGCAAAAAGGAAAACTCATGAGGGGTGAGAAACCAAGGGGTGGGAGTGGAGAGATTTAGTCCACAGATGAAAAGAACAAGAAAGAAAGAAGAGGAAAAGTTGGCAGCTTGCTGAGTTTTTGATTAAGTGTTGAGAATTGTGGAGAGGTTAGGAAGGGAATCACTTTGAAGCTGCTACTGTATGGAAGGATAAGAGGTATTGGAAAAGGAGGCTTTAAACATATGTTGTGAGTTATGAATTGGGTGGTTTTTTTTTTTGGTTTTTTTTTTTTGAGACGGAGTTTCGCTCTGTCGCTCAGGCTGGAGTGCAGTGGCGTGATCTCGGCTCACTGCAAGCTCTGCCTCCCGGGTTCATGCCATTCTCCTGCCTCAGCCTCCTGAGTAGCTGGGACTACAGGCGCCTGCCACCACGCCCAGCTAATTTTTTTTTTTGTATTTTCAGTAGAGATGGGGTTTCACTGTGTTAGCCGGGATGGTCTCAATCTCCTGACCTCGTGATCCACCCGCCTCGAACTCCCAAAGGGCTGGGATTACAGGCGTGAGCCACCACACCCGGCCGAATTGGGTGTCTTTTTAAGATTAATATTGGAAATGCCTTTTAGTGCCTTTTGGCTGCTAGACTGATTCTTTGAATGTCACGTTCCTCCAAAACTGGACCATGTAGTACTCCAAAATGTGCTTGGGTTATGCTAATATCACTGTCATCATCATCAACCATCCTCATCATCACTGCTACTACTTGTTAAACACATTTCTGTGAAAGATACAGCATTAGATGTTTTACCTAATTAAAAAGTAAGGTAGGTAATATTACTATACCTATTTTACAGAGGAAAAAACAGAGGAAAGTGGTTCAGCATTTTTTGCTCCTGGCCTCATGGCTGGTGCCAGTGCTGGAACTTACACCCATGTCTATTTCAAAAGCCCATGCTTGAATCCCCTATCATCCTGGTCACCGTCTTATTACTGTAATCTATATTAATGCAAGGGTGTTCTTAATTTGTCCTCAAATATATGTTTGAGCCCTTTGGTAGTGAACCCCAAATTCATAGTTGCCTAAAAATTTTCCTAGAGAGCTAGGTTGCATCCCTTGGGAAACAATGAAGCATTAACTCCTAGGAATTGCATAAGGGTGATCAGGGCTGGAGTGCATTTGTAGGTAAAGGAAACAAGACCCAGTGACATGGAGTTGAGGAAGTCTACTGATGCTCAAGAGACTGAGTCCGGGTGCCAAGAGATGAGACCACAGAATCAGACCCGGACTAGCTATGAAGGAATCTGAATGCCAGGCTTCCAGATTTGGTTTTATGATACAGATGTGAGAAATCTTTGATGGGTTCTGAGTAGATTTCCCTTCTAAAAAAATCACACCAGCTGCAAAAGAGATGATGCAACAGAAAGGAGAACTGGGAGGGGTTGGGGGACAATGGAAACACTGATGAAAAAGTCTAGGTAAGAGATGATAATGGGTGAACTCGGGCCAACAGGAAGGGCTATGAAAGGACCTAGAAACTAATTGGATGTGGAGGCGGAGAAAAAGAGAGGATGCCTGGATGCCTCTGGGGTTTCTAGTCTGGGTGACTGCTATTTTCCCAGGCCACTGCTTAGCATCACAGAGCAAGGAGTCCCAGGACCATGAATAAATCCTGCAGCCCCAGGACAGAGTTCTGTTGTATCACTTGCTTTCTGCATTTTTACCTCCTTCTTATTCCATAATCCTTGCCCTGTGGAAAGGGGCTGACAGTTTCTTACCAGAGCTCAATTAAATTATCTCTGAGCCCACCCCTTTTGCAAGTCCTGTGTGCCCGCTCAGTTTCCCTGCCGAGAAAATCTGCCCAAGCAGCAGAGCCCCATGCCAGAGATGTACAATCCCCTGTTACTATGATTAATTTGGATAAACATATGTCAGAGAAGCAACAGAAAATGAGCTCTCCTCTGTGAACGAGAACAAGCTGTGTTGAACCTGGGATCATTCAGGCTTCAAATTTGTAGGCAACTTCCAGGGAGCATGGGATGAGGTGGAGTTAGAAAATTTCAAAGCAACAAGGACACTGTATGTTCCTTGAGAGGAATCTCCTCATTGCAATTGCTTCTTCCAAGTTGGTTGATAAACAGAGCTGAGAGCACTGGAGAGGAACTGAGCCTTGATTTTTTCCTCACAGAGCCCAGAGAAAGAGCTACTGTTTATAGAGACGGTTTAATAGAGTGGTCTAGAGCTTTGGCACCAATGTCGATGGGACTTGGGGACACAGCCTGGCTCTGCCACTGACTGTGGAACCTTAGTCCAGAGACTGTGCCTCTGAATCTCACTTTTCATCTGCGAAACATAGGGTGATGATGTGATTTTTAACTCATCTGGGATCTTGAGGATCCCAGATATAAAGTGCATTTAAGCAACATAAACTTTCAAGCATCAGACAGCATGCTAAACATCGATGCTGAGTAAAGCAGACTGGCCACCTGTCTTCTTAGACAGCACAGTCTAGTAGATGTTCACACCCCTCAGGCTTCATTAGTGACTGCCTCCTGTGTGCCAGACACCACACTGAGAGCTTTTGTTTATTATTATCTGCAGCTTCAACCAAAAGCTGAGAGGTAAGCATTGTATAGAGCCCGGTGTTTTTTCTCTTTAAAACACTAAGTTCATTTAAGGATGGGATTGATATGATCCTCTATCCACCAAGCCCTTGGTTAAAGAGGACCACTCTGTAGCATGACAACCTTCCCTTGTTACTTGGGGAGAAACTATCATCTATCTCGGGCTTTTAAGTATAACCTCATTATATTCCATTTACCAAGGTTGGAAAGAGCCATGTTCTGGTCTTGGCTGGGATTTGCAAGACCTGGAGCATTGAAGAGGGCCTGTCTACTCTAATCCGGTGAGAATGAGGTTGCTAAGGAGACCTTTGTCATTATTAAATCAGTAAATACTGGGATGCTGATGGCTTCCCTGAAAAGGGGGTGCTTTCTCTTTTGAGAAAGGAAAACAACTCCCTTTGGACTGGAGGGGAAAAGCCATCGTGGAAAGTGGTGTTTGAAAAGAGAACAAACCACTTTGAAACTCTTTATCTTTCTGGTTTATCATGAGGCAAGAGGAGAGGCAGGAGGGACAGGAGTTGTATTTTACCTTATCAAGAAATCTAGGCTTCCTAAGCTTCCTTCTGGAAACCTTGTGCCCTATACTTAAGAGCAAGTGATTTTTTTAAAAGAGAGAGAGAAAAAATAAAGAAAAACAAAATTAGGAGAGCCAGTGTAGGAGACAGTAAAAGACTGGTTTACTAAACAGCAGGCACCTAATGAGGCAAGGACTTTAGATGTCAAACTGGCTTGAAGATGCAGAAAAGACTGCACACTGCTGGAGGAACTAATCCTACGCCTGAGATGAGCTCATTCTGCTTGCTTAGGAAAAGCAAAGCAAAAGCATTAATCTGTTTCCTGATTGATAGCAGACTTGGATTAATAAAAAAAAAAGTGCCTATGTATGTATTTCTTGCAATAAAATATTTATTACAGAATTTTAAAGAAAGATTAATTGACCAGATGAATAAATAGTATTCCAGGTTGCTGAAGTTTTAAGTTCTGTCCTCCAACAAATATAGATTTATCCAAAGTGTATTCAAATTTTTGAAATCCTCAGCCGTAGCTGGTTGAGCTCTTGTAAGTACTGAGACTGGGTCTATATAAAGCCAAAATAGGAACCCTCCAAAGAACTCAGTTTCTCAACCACTTTCAGTTCATAAAATAAAATATCCATGAATTATAGGTGCTGGATGGAAACATAATGAAAATCTTATCCATCAATTTCAATTTGCAGAAGAAAAGGTTGGAAGCTAGAGAGGTTTGATGGCCTGCTCAAGGTCAAACGGGCCCTAACTAGAACCCAGGTATCCTCACTCCTGGTCCTGTCTACCTTCCACAAAGGAGACCTGTTGGTTTATTTGATGGTTTCAAGTTCTTCATTGAAATTAACCAAGGTATGGCATCCTGTGATCTCCCATCAATTTGAGCCACAAGAATCTAACTTGATCAATTAATTCCTGCCTCATTTTATTCTGTTCTCTTCCTTCTCACAGGAAGTAACATTTCTGCCAACAACAACATCCACTCCTACTCAGCTCTTCGTTCCCTGCAATTCCTGTCTTGCCCGACCCCTGCAGAGTGGAAGAAGGTGATGGATGGGCAGAGAAATGGGAGATGGACAGCTACCAGGGAAGAATCTGTGATTTGGGAGCCTTTTGGTGACATGCACATTCAAAGGACTAGGAAAGAATGGCTTTTTCAAACAGCATAAATAGAAAACCAGTGGGCCCGAGCGCTCACTGCTACATAATGAACGTGCCTGCCTTTTCCTAACAACATTTTAAGTCGGTAATTGGCCCGACAGGGGACGTGAACTGTACACTGAGTCACAGAATAGTACAGAAAATCTCAGAATGGCTTCACCTCCCATCAGGAAAGCCTCCCGTGTACCAAGCCCTGTAGAGACACATTTCTGGCATTTGGAGGAGTGCAGACGTTCAAAATAAGAAAGAGCTTCAGAGGACAACCGTCCCCTGGGTTCCCGGCCTTTTCCACATCAGAAGACTCTTTGATATGTTCCCCTCTTTCCCTAGGGCCCCTTGTTCTAAAGGATGCAGCCAGCAAACTAAACTGCTCTGATCATCTAAAAAAAAAGGATATGTTTCCCACAGAATAACCACAGATCTATATAACGAATGATCACTCAGTTAATATGATGCCTCTAAAAGATAAGTGGCCTGTCTCATCTAAAATAATCATAATATCAATAATAATATGATTTTATTGGGTGCTTACTAAAGCCCAGATGAGGGATTTACAATGCTTATCTTACTTAATCCTTATGAGACTGTCATAAAGTTGTCTTTATTTCACAGTTCAGGAAACAGAGGCACAGAGGAGTTCTGTAACTTACCAAACTAGGTTCAAAACTCAGATTTATCTGACTGCAAAGTCACTTTTTTTTTTTTTTTTGGATTTAGCTTCAAAAGGACATTGCCTTTACAAAGTTATTCTTAACCATGCTACAGTTTTTCTATTAGTTTTTTTGAAATATTGACACTCATTTGGGGGAATGCCCATCAGTTTCTTCACAAGCTTTTGCAAGGTTGGAGGCTTTAGGTTAAGTATTGTTGTTTTGGTCTCAACTCTTCCCTTAATAGTTAAGATAATGGAGACCCACAGAGGGCTAGAAACTTGCTCAGTATCAACCTAGTTAATTAGCAGTAACACTAATTTTAAATGCTAGTTTTTAAAATTCTGGGTCCTGAGCTCTTTATGTCACACTCAGCTTCAGCAAGTAATAGTTGAACACCTATCAGAGGGAGGGCAGATAAGTAGCAAGCATGTCATCACCCTTATAACCAAATAGCCATGGCAGACATTACTAATCAATCATGGAAATCTTTCCTGCTGAACCTGGATGTGGCTCCATGCAGGCACTCCCAATCAATTAGAATTGGCAAATGAGATAAAACTTATTCACTATTGACACCATATGCAACACTGTTCAAGGTCCTCAAGATGATGTAAAACAAGCACAAAATGAATGTCTGCTTTCAAAAATGCTATCACTTTCAGAAAATTATTTCAGTCCAAAGTAATTTATTTCAAAGTACTAGGGCAGACCAACTTCTAATGCCAGTGATTTTTGGAGACAGGCAATATCATGAATTGATATTGATAACCTGCTCACAAAATCAAGATCAACCAGGATGAGAGTAGGGATAGGGACCACCTTGAGGGGACGGGATATGAGAATGTGAGTGGGAGAAGGTGGTTGCTGGAGGGCCAGTCAATAGGAGAAGGCATTAACTCAAGAGAAATGTGTGAGTGCATGAAGCTGAGGGTGGAGGTGGAAGTGTAATTTGACAAGGAGGGACACTAAAATTGATAGCTGAGAGAGAATGCGGTATCCACTGTGCTTCAGGGACTGCAATAGTTTGAATGTTTGTCTCCTCAAATTTCATGTTGAGTTTGATCCCCAAAACTGGAGGTGGGGCCCAATGGGAAGTGTTAGGGTCAAAGAGACAGATTCCCCATGAATGGCTTTGCGCTGTCCTCATGGTAATGACTGAGTTCTCACTCATTACTTCCTGCAAGCGCTGGTTGTTAAAAAGAGCCTAGCATCTCCCCTGCCTCTCTCTCTTTCTTCCTCTCTCACTGTGGGATCCCTGCACATACACTCACCTTTGTCTTCCATCATGAGTGGAAGCAGCTTGAGGCCCTCACCAGATGCAGATACTGTTTCTTGTACAGCCTGCAGAACCATGAGTCAAAAAATCCTCTTTTCTTTATAATTACGCAGCCTCAGGAATTCCTTTATAGCAACACTAAATGGACTAAGACATGGACAAAGCTGAGATTTAAGGGTGGAAGGAGCAGGTTAAAAGTATTAATTTGTTGCATATCAACACTTGTGAGTAAGATAGCTCTTCTCTTTGCCTCTTCACCTTTTTAAAATAAGTGACCATGATAAAAGAAAAGGTTATAGAATTGGGAGAAAAGGACAATATAATATAGGCCCTCCCAAAACCTTTGGGACTGTTTCCCACTATGAGGTAGACTTGGACAAGGACATTTTCTGACTCCCAGAAGTGGTGAATGCCACGTGGTCAGCAAATTCTGTCAAGACTCTTCCAGCCAAACAAGTCTATGTCATCTTGCTTGTTACTTTACCTCTTCAAAGGCAATGGCTACTGGGATGATGGATCTTGGAAGCATTAGCAAATGGAGTCAAAAGAACTAAAGGAAGAGGACCCAAATGTGGAGTGAATGAGACGGAGATTGTGTGAGTTATTAAGTATAGAACAGCCCAACTCCAGGGTGGGAAAAGAGGAATTATGCAAATGCCAGGATAAGCATTTCCACTTTGGAATTCTAAGAAATGAGAGTTTTCTAGAGAAGTTGTTCATCAAGGGAGAAATTCTATGTCAGGAATGTGTCAAAATTTAGAACCAAGCCCCTTTCATAGGCAAGGGAAGCTCAGGTGCCCATTGAGGATGCCCTGAGTTTGGGAAAGAGGACGGTGTCTTCCTGGGCTAAGCAGCTGTCTGCACCACTTTGGATCAATTTCCACTTGAACATGTTGCCACTGCCTCCCAAACTCCATCTTCTAACCCCAAGAATGCATTGTATAGAATTAGTCTCACAATTCCACAGACAGAATTAGCCTCTGCAATGAGAGATCAGCCCTTGACTTGTGGTTAATTACGTACAATTCAAAATCAACCCCCTGTTGTTCACATTTCCCTTGTGCCTGGAGCTCTTGGAAGAAGAAATTGCATGCTGTCCTGGGAAAGGCTGGAGAAGGTGTATGGCACTAGGTTGCAACGTGTTGGCATGTCCTAAAGACACATGTGAGAATAATGTGGTCGATTATTGTGACAGCTGAGGACAGACTTTGCTAGTCAGAATTCTGGGGAAACAACTTTAAGCATAAAAATGTTTCTTTTAAATGATTATTTTATTAGCCTTGTGATCAGTGCAGTACAGGATTCTGTTCCTGTTGAAAGAAGTAAAGCATTCGTACATCCCCAGCGTCCTTTAGTGAGCTCTCTAGGGCAGGGACCAGGGAACTATGGCCTGTGGGCCACATTCTACTCACTCCTTGTTTTTATATAGTTTCATCAGAACATATAATTTGTTTACATATGGTCTATGGCTGCTTTGAACTACAACAGAAGATTTGAGTAGCTGCAGCAGAGACCAAATACCCTGAATGGCTCACAGAGCCTAAAGTATGTACTACCTGGCTCTTTATAGGAAAAAGTTCACCAACCCCTGATTTAAGGAAATATCAGAGAAACCACCTAACCTTGTGTTTTGAAGCTGGATTCTGCTGGTCCATGACCTCCTGACCTTTTCCCTGCTCTGTTCTGCAATGCAGGAAGTTGCAAAGGAGCTGTCTCCCACAGGTGTGTTTGAGGCTCCTGGGTCAACTGGCTTCTGTCTGGATTCAGCAATGGCAGATACTGACAGTAGACTAAAGAGGGAGAAGATTAAACACACACATACACACGTATACACACACAGATATGTATACACACATACACATATACACAAATATACATATACACACATCCACACATTTATACATACGCACACATGCACACTACACACATATGTACATACATACACACATGCACACATACATATACACATGCACACATATATACATATACACATATACATACAAACATGCATACATTTATACATATACACATATGCACATATATGCACATAAACACATGCATACATATATACATATACACAATATACACATATACATATATACACAAACACACAGTTTTACATATACACATATACACACATATACACAAACATACATATACACACATACATTCACACATACACATGCACACACCACATATGCACACATGAACACACATATACACACATACCACATATGCACACACATACACACACACACACACACACAATTCAGTCAGCATCTCCAGTGGCAACTGTGAACCTTCTGTAGCCCCAGCTACTGTTGGCTTGGCCCCCTGTAGTGCCAGCTTCTGCTGAGGAGCCCCAGACCCTGGACTCCAGTAACACTGTCCTTTGACCCTCCAGCCAGGAGGTGGTAGGAGCTTCCTGCTGTACTGTTCTCTGTGATATCCCATGGTTGTTAGTAAATTCCTCAGCCCTTCCATCCCCTGTATAACCAGTTTCTTTTATCAAATTCCTGATTTTAAATCCATAGATTTGTTTCTGTTTTGTTGGTTGGATCCTGACAGGTCCAGGTCCTGACCCTGAATCCTGGCCATAGCACCAAAGTCCTGTTAGGGTCTGCTTTCTGTTTTCCACCTTGATGGGGCTGTTGGAGTTTTGCTTTGAATACTGGGTGGCTGTGTTCTTCCAAATTGTTGGAGCAGACAGCTTCATTAGCTAAGGAGTCCTTGCTACAATCATGGGCTTCTCTAGCCTCACCAGATGAATATCCATCTCCATCCTCAAATATCTCTCTGCTGCTCACAGTGAGATGGGACCCCAGGGAGGTGGCACTATCATAGCTCTCAGTTCCTGTGTCCCTATTGCCGAGAAACGTCATCTACCACCAAGAAAGGTCATCTACCACCGAGAAAGGTCATCTACCACCGAGAAAGGTCATTCTTCTGATGCTCTTTGCTTGTTTCCACAGTGCTCACACTCCCAACACACCTCTGCCCAACTCCAGCCTAGAATAATAACTCCAACCTCACTCCTACCACAGATTGTTTGGCTTTGATGCTGTCAACATTTGAATCTTGGCCCTTCCTAGCCCATCATTTTTCCATGATTTAAAAATTGATGCTGAAAAACAAAAAAAATCAGTGGTCAGAACATTTAAGAAAATACTGGATTAAACAAATTAAAAGAGGTCTCTTCAATACAGGACTTCTCAGAGCCTTTAAAATAAGAGGCAATTGAGACAGCAGTGTTTTCAAAACTAATTTGAGCATGGAACTTTTCTTCTCTGTGTGGGGATCATCTCATGGGGCTTAGGATCCATGAAACATTATTTGATATGATGAATATTTGTTGTTTCTGTCTGTCCAGATTCCATCTTTCTCTTACCCCCTTCTTCTGGTGACAGTATAACTCTCTTGAGTCAGAGACCTTTTCCATCTGGTATGGGTGGGACTGACCTTCCTGCCATCATCTTCAACAACAGAGTTGTGATGTCATCCAGTTGTGTCCCCAGTGATTGAGGATGGGAAGGTATCTAAATTGGGACAACCAGAGTCCTTAGGGAGACTTTTCTAACAAGGATTTCAGGGAGAACTTGTTCTTTCTTTCACTGGGGGTATTGAGTTGCTAGAATAATAGTGGGCCAGGGGTCTAATGGCTATCAGGTATGAAGAAGCTATTGGAATAGAAACCAAGCCAAGAGCCATAACAGAATTGACAGCTAGAGAGAAAGCAGAACCCTGGCAATATTTCCTGAGCCCCTGGACCCAGTCAAGTCGGAAACTGGTTCCATTCCTTTGACTCCCTAGTTACATGAGCTAATAAATCCTACCATTCCATTTTTATTTTACTATTATTAATAATTTTATTTTTGCTTAAGGTAGGTTGAGTTCACCCTTTTGTCTCTCACAAATAAAATATGCCTGGCTAATAGATGGAGAAAACACAGCCTCTTCTGGCTCAAAGTACATGCCATGCTGCCTTGGGTCAGAATCCCCCTGCTGGCTTTGAATCCTTAGAATGCAATCCCCAAGGCCAAGCCCTGTGCTTGGTATTCTGTCCCAACCACTCAAGGTCCCCTGAAGAGAAAAGGCCATGTAGAAATCAGGGCTTGAACGGGAGAAGACAGATGGAGCAGGACAGGAACACAGGGTAGCCTCCATCCATAATTCATCTTTCCAAAGCCAGGTCGCAGTCTCAACATCCTGGATCTTGGTTTTGTGTGAACCCATGAGATGGGGCCTTCAGGGAATGGACACCCAGCACTGTGCCTCTTCTTAAATTATGCCATGATTCTACATGTGCCCTAAATTTCCATCTTCTCTGCTGTTACACCGTTCCAACACCAAAGATCATTGATTCCAGCCCTGGAATGATTTACTTGGTGCAACTAGAAAACAACATATGTTGACTTGAATGATATTCAGATTAATAAATGAGAGACTCCAAGGCCTTCCAGCTGAGAAGCAGTTTTCATTCAGAAATTACTCATGTGGAATGGCAGAAGTGCCAAGAATACAGGTGTAAACAAGTGGCAGAAATGAGAAGAACCCGATGCGTGAAGAGAACAATGAAAATATTACCTCGTATGCTGAACGCCCCTCAACATTGGAAAAGAGCTTCCACAAACAATCTTGGTGATGCTCAAACCACCCTCTCAACAGGTGAAGGTGATTAGCCCCATTCTTCAGAGGAGATCATCCAGGTGGCCAAGAATACAAAATGACCCAAAGTGCCCCATATCAGGTAGCCAGAGGGGGCAGTCAGGGCTTGAATGTGAGATGCCTGACTCAGGTCCAGGTCTCTTTGCACATCAGACAGGGATGGTTAGCTGGTTTCCATCTCTGATCAACATGGAGCTGACTCTATTTCCCATTTTTCAGCCATCCCAACAACTCCACCCCAAAATCCAAAGTTTGCCCCTCAACACTAAACACCACTTTGCTGGAATGTCTATGTTTTCCTTCGACCATTAGGCTTCCCAGTTGTCACCTGGGGAAACTGTGACTATAGATTCCAGCTCAAACCATAAAGGGTTAAGAACTAAAAATAGTGTGATAGCAATTAAAGCTCTTCTTTTTCCTAATCATTTATTTCTTGATTTGTTAGCTGAAAGCCTATTATGGCATCTTAAGACATTAAAGAGTAGTTTTTGTGGGGGGAGGAGGATCCATTATACTAAAGACAATCCTTCAAATATGGTGGACATAAGTAAATTTTCTCTCTCTTTGCAAACCCAACCAACTCCATTAGGATGAACTAACAGTCCCTAATAAGGACAGCGGCCATCAGTTAAACAATTAACATATCTTTAGTGTTTTTCTCCCCAACTCATCCATAAACTCCAGGAAAAATGTGCCTGTCTTGTTCATTATTCTATATGCTCAGTAGGAGCAGAGCACGGAGCATGAAGCAGGTGCTTAGATTAGAAAATAATACAATAATTGAATGAATTAACAAACCGTTGAGATGAGATAGTCAAGTCAGCATAAACATCTTTTTTGTTTGCTGATCCTAGAGAAACATTAGCTTATGAACTTTATAGACAATAATAGCTTTGTACTCAGTACACTTTACTGTCATTCAGCAAAGCAGTTATTGATCACCCACTATGTGTCAGGGGTGTCTTAGACTGAGAGCCACTTCATATGCTTTTTGGTAAATGCACAGACACTGAAACATATAAACATACATACACAAATGGAAACATGCACACACACATATCCACAGACATATACACATACAATACATTCTTAAAGTCTTGGCTTGATTTTCTACTAGTCAAGATATGCCTGGGTTTAACCTGTGCATGCCTGTACCCTTCTACACCTGTAAGGACTTGATCTTCACCCACACTTGCTCCTCAGCCTGAAGGACCGAGCTTGCCTACAGATGGGCCATATTTAAGCCTCTGCTGCACCCATGCCTTGGGGCTGACTTTGGGTATTTGTCTGCACTGGCCCATAATCTGATCTTCCACTTGGGCCTCCGCTTTGCCCTCTGTTCCCTCAGCCCTCACCTGTGCTCTGGTTTTTCTCAGACACTTTGGCCTGGATCTCTATCTCTGCCTCAGTCTTTCCAGGTCCTCTTGGGCCCTGGACCCCAGCACAGAGGCTGGATACTGAAACAGACTCCCCTGGTGCCCCCTTCTCTGATCTCTTCGGTGCCCTGCCTGTGGGACACTTTGGATTCCCACAGATCATGCTTGCTAGAACTTGAGCTGACTCTGTGAATGGCCAGCTTTTTCCTACCAGCTTGAACCCGCTTTGGCCACCAGCGTGTGGAGTGCCTTTTCCAAGAGGTGGGATTAGCTGTGATCCTTCTGCCTGCCCCACCCTATTGTAAGCAAATGGACAAGGTCCTGAAGGGAGGCAGGACTGTGGCCCATCTACCTGCTTTGAATAAATGTCCATGAGGCTTCTTTAGTTGTAAATGCTTAGAACAGGGTTTCTCAGCCACAGCATTATTGACATTTTGGGCTGGACAATTCTTTGTGGTGAATTGTCTCGTACATTCTTGGATATTTTGCAGCACCCTTAGCCTCTGTGTACTAGATACTAGTTGCAACCCCAAGCTGGGACAACCAAAAATGTCTCCAGACATTGCCAAGATCCCTTTGGGGGTAAAATTGTCTCCAATTAAGAACCACTGCCTGGCCAAGTGCGGTGGCTCACACCTGTAATCCCAGCACTTTGGGAGGCAAAGGCAGGTGGATCACGAGGTCAGGAGATTGAGACCATCCTGGCTAACATGGTGAAACCCCAACTCTACTACAAATACAAAAAAATAGTCGGACATGGTGGCACGTGCCTGTAATCCCAGCTACTCGGGAGGCTGAGGCAGAGGTTGCAGTGAGCCGAGATTGCGCCGCCACTGCACTCCAGCTGGGTGACAGAGCAAGACTCCATCTAAAAAAAAAAAAAAAAAAAAAAAAAAAAAGGAGAGAGAATGTGGGATAGCAAAGCAAACTGATGATGAGTGTGACCCAAAGCTCATGCACCTTTGCATGTGGCAGCCAATCTATCCTTTGTTTGCTTAAATATTTTGAGTTGAGTTTCTGTCCTTTGCAACCAAAAGAGTACTAATGAATATATCTAGGCTACATAGCACCTAGCACTGTGCTAAAACGTAGTAGTGACAATATAAAGTAAATATTGTTATTAATTATTTAGTTGATAACTATTTGTGTGCCTCGCATAACATAATGCTGATTGTGAAGTGATGAGAACAGCCATAACATACTAGAAGGCTCAGATTCCAGTCTGACCTCATCACCTACATGTGATCTTGGCTAAGTTACTAATCCTGTCTGAGCTTGTTTCCCTTATCTGTAAGAAGATAGAATTGGAACAGATCAGTCATTGCAAATTGGTGGTCAGGGAATGGATCCAGACCTTCTTTTGGTGTTTCATTTAGCCCTCACAGTATTTTACAATACATAAAATGTCATGAGAAAATTCAGATGTCCAACTTCTTTAGGAAAATTGGGAGGTCAGCAACATTGGGCCCCTATTACCACATGGCAATGACAAACAGGTTTTAGAAGGGGCATGTACTCTCTGAGCCACCCGAGACCCCACCTCCCTCTTCCCCTTATTTTATGCTTGCCTGCCTCACTCAGCCCACAACCTGCTGACTGCAAAAGCATTTGAGTTTGTGTTTTTGAGGCCATGTTCTTTCACCTCTGATATTTTCTGAGATGGCAGAACACACCCTTCATGAACAGGAGACCAAAAGGCAAGAGGGTCAAGGGAGACAGATTGAGCCCAAGAGGGAAAACAGCCACCCAGGAAAGCAATCTGTTATTCTAACCTCTGCAGGGCCACTGGCAGGTCCTCAGGCCTGAGACACAGCAGCAGTCAGGGGGTAGAGAGACAAACAAGCCAAGATTGTCTTTCTTTGCTTTTCAGCCAGACAAAGAAAATCCCTCTCTGCGTAAAGCCTCCTCCGCAGGCTTTGATGTCTCTCTTCCCAGCAGAGGCGCCACTTCAGACAAGAGAGGCAGGCAGGGGCAGAGAGCTGAGAACAAAGCGGCGTTTCCTGGGCTGCTAATTATTCTCCTTCTGTGTAAATAATTATCTGGAAGAGAAAAAAACAGTCCACAGCTAAAGAGCTAGAAAAGCAAAAGGAGGATGAAAGGAGGCTGGGGATTTGATGTGTCCCCGGGAGCAGTCCTTGAAGGGGAAGGGAGTCACAGCAAAATCCTTCTTACTTCCTGTGTTTTAAACACCTAGTCTGGGACTTTCAAAGCCCCTGGCACTGGTGCTGTAATTAAATCGTGGTTTGGGAAGCCAGCGTGCGGGTGATCTGACAGTTTCTGTCTCTGGATCCTGTTGGACTCTGCTGGAATAGAGACAGGAAGTCTTAGAAATTAAGGCTCTGGAGTCAATTGGGCCCCAGTTTGAACCTGGGTCTACTGCTTATTAGAAACAGGATCGGGGACAAGTTCCTTATTATAAATAAGATGGGGGACAAGTTCCTTCTTCCCACCTAGGGCCCGTGCAAAAGCAGTGTCTTCTACTTGGAAGACTTCCCCATCTCTCCAAATCTGTGTGCAGTTGATACTTACACATCTACAGTGAACGCTGCTGGTGCCCTGCCACAGCCCCTTGCACTTACCATTTCTGTGCATGCCCACCCAACTATCAACTGCCAGCAGCCCTTTCCAGCACCCTTGGAATGTTTCTCCTGGGCACTTGAACCCTGGCTGCTCTTGCACAAAGCACACCAGGATTAATGCTCTCTGGAAGCATCCCTTAACCAGTGACCGATGAGAATTAGGAGAGAACAACTCTGACCCTCTCATCCCTTAAGTGACGGGAGTTGGAGGCTGCAGTATGCTCTACAGAGCCTCCCAGATTTTCCAGATGGGAACTCTAGTTCCCTAGAATGGTTCCTGGCTGGATAATGCACCTTCTATTGGTTCTTTCCTATCCCTGTCTCATCTCTTCTCTCCTCTACAAGTGCTTCCCTGGATCATCTCCTGAATCAGCTACTTTTATTCAAATCTTTGTTTCAGGGTCAGATTCTGGAGAACTCAAACTAAGGCAGCAGCCTTCAACTCTCAGCTCAAATGTCATTTCCTGGGGGAAGAACTCCATCAACATCTTGGACCCAATCAGGAGTTTGAGTTAAATCGGAGTGATGCCCCCTCTATATTTTGCTCACAGCACTCATGCATTTGTAATTTTATTTTTATGCATCTCTTTATTTTATTAATATCTGTCTCCTCCAGCCAAATATAAACTTCAAGAGGAGTGTGCCCGTTTTATTTATTGCATTGTCAGATCCTGGTATAGAGCCTAACACATAAGAAGTGCTCAATAAAAACCTGGTGAGCCTGTTTCCTCTTATGTAACATAGAGACCCAAAACAATTTCTATTGCATGGGGAAGGATGTGTGGATTAAATAGTTCATAATCTATACAAAGTGATTAACTTATAAATTGATACAGTGTCTGGAACACAGGGAGTATTCAAAAAGCTAACATTCTCTGCAACCTTAACTGTTTCCTCCTGTCTTACCCACCACCGGTATCACATACAAAATTTAATTGTTCCTAAAATACTGTGAGCTTGGAATGAGTATCCTTGGGTCACAAATGAAGAGAATAAGCCTCAGAAAAGTGAAGTAACTTGTCTAGAGTCACACAGCATTCCAAGGGAATGGCCAAGATTCCAAACTGGCTCGTTCTGACCCCAAATTCTCCCCACTTCAGGCTCATCTGAGCCTGGATTGAAGGCAGAAGGGGGTGGTGTCAGGGAGGCCCATTAGTAGTTGAATCAGTTTTGGAGAGAAACAAAGGGTTGAACCATAGAAGACTCAAATGGTCAGAGAAGCAGGTTGGGGAGAGGAGGCAAACATTCCCAGTGTCAGAGAAGTTTGGTGAGTCTTCGTCATTTTTGCCCTAGGGGCACAGGGACATTTGAGTTTCTCCCTTGAGGCATGGGAAAGACGGGTAAGTGGGTATTGGAGCCGCTGGGCCTGGCAGAGGAAATAAGCTGAGTCACAGGACTTACTCCACTCCTATCACCTCATCTCTGCCTGACATTGGGGCCATTCATCAGCAGGACATTCAAAGACAAACAGGAAGGGCATTTAGAAGAAAGAATGAGAATCAGGACACCTCCAATTACCCAGCCATTTACAAAGATTCTTTGCAACCAGGGGCTTGTCTACCTGGTGGGCAGAGGAAGAAAACTTTGCATTTGGCTGTTTGGATACTCCCAAGTAACACATCCAGGTAAGCACGACATATTATCGTCTTATCTGTGAACTGAGGGAGCCGGATCCCAACGAGCTGTTCCGGAGTCTCTAATCAGCACCAGATAACCAGAGCTCCTAGCTTTGTGAGGGTCGGGAGGATTTCCTCCCCTCTTACAAGATCAAAAGACAGAAGATATTCAATATTCAGCCCAATATTGCATTGCTGTCAATTTTGGATGGCATAGGCGTTGTGCTGTGGATGTTCCAAGCCCCAGTTGCATGGGGCTCTTCCAGATATCTCTAATAAGCCTCTGTGGTCCCCATCCATCAACGGCAATAGGAGAAGGTGACAGGATAGACCTCAAGGGGAATTGTGGGCTGAGCAGCAAGAGTTATTGATGAAGGTGCAGAATTAGCACAGGCCCCAGATGAGCCTGGAGGTGAAGATGAAGCCAGTTTATTTTTTCTGTGTTGGGTAAGGCAAAAGCAGGTTTGTGGGGATAGGGTTGCTAACCTTAACCTTAATCCTAACCCCAGTTAAATTTGAATTTTAGATTTAAAAAGCCAAAAAAATAATTTTTAGCACAAGTATGCTCCGTGCCATATTTGGTTTGGATATTCGACCCCTCCAAACCTCATGTTGAAATCTGATCCCCAGTGTTGGAGGTGTTTAGGTCACAGGGGCTGATCTCTCATGAACAGATTAACAACTTCTGGGGGAGTGGGGTATGTAAGTGTGAGCTGTCGCTCGTTATTTCCTGCAAGAGCTGGTTGTTTAAAAGAGCCTAACACATCCCCCCTCTCTTTCTTTTTCCTCCTCTCTCACCATGGGATTGCTGTTCAAGCAGGATCCCCTTTATCTTCTGCCATGAGTGGAAGCAGCTTGAGGCCCTTACCAGAGGCAGATGCCAGTGCCATGCTTTTTGTACAGCCTGCAGAGCCAGGAGCCAAATAAATCTCTTTCCTTTATAAATTACCCAGCCTTAGGTATTGCTTTATGGCAACACAAACAGACTAAGACACTTATACTAAAATATTATTCATTGCTTGTCTGAAATTCAAATTTATCTGGACATCTTATTTTTATTTGCTAAATCTGGCAACCCTAGCTGGGGCTTGGTGGAAATTTAACGTAGGGGCTGAAGACCTGTGGCCTGCAGGTGGGAATGTTTTAGTTTGACCAGCACAGCGCTTAAAAATAAGAACATTTCACATAAAATTCAGACTTCCACCTTCCCTTGATATCTAGTCACACTTCCCCCTTTTTGCTAGCAGTTCATTCCCATCTCCACCCCTACTGGCCCACATGGCCAGTAAATAAAGAGATGCATAAAAATAAATGCTCATTTATTGTTACCTGCTAGGCCTATGAATCATTTGAGTTTTAGACCCATTGGCTTGCCTCGGGGTACACAGGGAGAGACCCTGGTTTACTCACGGCAATGACAAACCCTCCAGATCAAGAGTCATTGTGTGGAGACCCCGTTTCATCATGTTGTAGCTCTAGTCTCCCTCTAGGTGGTTCTTTACTTTCCCATCTGTAAAAATGGAGATAGATTTTGCCCTCCCTCATTCTGGAATGGATGAAGAGGAATGCAGATAAGAGCATAAAAGTTCTCTGATAAAGTGATCTTGATAATGGCTTTCTCCAGATGTCCATTCATGAGGCTTCCACCCTGTAGTCAGCATAATCTATCCAAAATATGCATCTTTCCATGCTTGCTTGCAAAATAAAATCCAAACTCCCTCAAGTGGCATGCAAGTTTCAGTGGTTTGGCTTACCCCATCTCATCTCCAAAACTGTCTACCCCAACTGCTTCCAGGCAGCACCTCAGATGCTGAATTTCTCAGTTGCTCAAACTCATTCTGCACCCTCACACTCCTGGGCCTTTGGGTATGATACTCTCTGCACATAGAATATGCTCCCTGCCCATCTTAGTGATTGCAATTTCAGTGCCATCCCTTCCCATTTTACATTTTGTTAGGATATAGCTGTCCCTGATACATATCCCACAATACTCTTCTTCTCCAGCAAAGACATTTCTCCTGCAGGTTCCAGCTAGGGTCTAAATGTCAAAAAACAACTTTAGCTCATTTGAATCAGAACAAGGAGTTATTGGAAGAAACCACCAGGCTTCTGAAAGGGCATGGACCAGTCAAGCTTTAGGGACCATAAAAGCAGGAGTTGGCAAATGGTCTCTCTACGACATTGCCATGGGTGACACAGTCTCAACTACTTTCTGTCCCTTGGTGGCCAATAGAATGTCATTGGCCAGGCTTGGCTTATATGCAAGTGTCCATGGTCATCTGCGATTGACAGTCTTAGCAGAGAATTTCTTGGGTGGATGGTGGTGCAGTTCTCCAAAGAGAAGGAGGGGATACTGTTATCCCAGAAACAGGGAAAGGGCACAGGTAGAAAAAACCAACAGGTTTCCTGTCCTGCACAGTCTTATATTGTCACTGCTTTGGTTTTTTTCTTTGTTCTTCCAAAGATTGCCCATTTCTTGAGTTCAGAACTTTCTGTTCTCTACATCTAGCCTTGTGGTCCCAGAAACTGAATAGAAGCTTCAAAAAGATTTGTAGAATGAGCAAAAGTGTTCCGAAAGGGAGTCTTTGCAGAAAAGAATTAAAACAGCAAGGCTGAGGATGTAATCTTTTAAAGGCCTGTTTGCAAGTTGCTCCTTAGCTGGCATCTGGGAACTTGGCTTTTAAAATGTCTCCTCCATTCCCTAACTGATAAGGTTGATTCTTTGTGCCTTGACTGTTTATAGAAACAATGTAATTTATGGTGAACACCTGCTTTCTTTCTGAGAGTCTGGAATTTTGGTTGTTGCTAGACAGAAAAATCGATATGAGCAGCCCCTAAAAACCACTCTAAACTCTAAATCTCAAACTGGCTACACTGGGCATTATAAATATTACAAATGAATTCCTGCATTATTGCTACTGGAAACAGTGTTCTGTGTGATCTTCCATAGGAGGAACAGAACATAGGAAGCCTGCACATGGCTTCCAGACCCTTATCTGTGTCTTTTCCTTTACTGGGTTGATTGTGAATCCTTATAGTGTTGCCTTAGCCATGAGTACAACTGCATGCTAAGTCCTGTGAGTGCTTCTAGTAAATCAGTGGATGGTCTTGAGAACCACACCCCCCGCCAACCCAAGCAGGACCAAATCTTTAAAGCACAGTCTACGATTTCCAAGGCACTTTACAATATTATTGCATTGATCTTCTTAACCACCCCCCCTCCATTGAGAGACATCCTGTTCTCATTTTAGGGATTAGAACACTAAGGCTCAGAGAGGTGAAGTGGTTTAGTCAAGGATGCAAAGCTGGTAAATGGAAGGATGGGTTATGAACCTAGGCTGTCCCATTTCAATGTCACACTATGGTAGCTTCCATTATAGAGAGGAGAGACTGTCCCTGTCATGATAACCCTTTAGTGTCCAAGACAACTTCGCTCTGTGAGCTTAGAAATCTGGAGTGTTCTTTTAGGAACAGTCAGTGGAATGAGTCAGTGACTTCTTTTTTGTCAGTAGCAGAGCTGATATTGGCACCTATGCCCATTATTTGACTCTGGGGCCCCTAAGTTCAAAAACATTACACTATTTTGACCATGTGACCTCTGATATCTTACTCATTTTCTCCAAGCATTCATCACTTCATTTGTAAAAAGGAATTAAGAACTATCTAATTGATTATGAAAAGAACACAACCCTCCCCTATGAAGCACCTAGTAGTGAGCCACCAAATGTTGGTTCCCTTCTCTTTCACTCCACCCCTTATTCACTGTGTGGGCCTGTGTGAGTCCTACCATTACCTCCATCTGTTTCCCCATCTGTAAAATGAGGGGGATGATTTTGACGCTCCCAGAGTCCTTCTGGGGCTGGCATCGTATATCAAAGAACAAGCGTTTTTCTGGTGAAGTCTTTTAAAATCCTGCCAGCTCTGATCATGAGAGGCAGATCAAACCCACCTTCTGCCCACTTAAGAAAAAGGCTGTGTGTAAGTTGCACAAAGGTGGTGAGGCAAAAACATGCTCCAGCCTTTCCCAGACACTGATCCAGAGAAAGACATGTCAGAGTGTTGAAAAGTTCTTTGTTTAACTAAGGCACAGGCAGAGGGAAAAGGAACAGTAGAGAATTTATAGATGGGGCTGTATCTTCTATATCCAGGGTTATCAATCTAAATCATTATAGAGTTCAGTGGATAATTTTTATAGAGCTTTGCGGAGAACAGTACAAAGACCAGGTCAATAGGGAGTGGTGGGGACTGTGGAAAACTACAGGACCTATGCTAGCCTTGGAGAGAGCATCCCAGCTCCAACTGATTGCTGCCAAGTGGGAATGCAAGCATGGTGTTGCCAGACTATCTCTTTCTCTCTTCATGTTTAAGAAGTCAGAGTTTTGAAGTACGCTATCTCAATTTGTAAGTGTTGCCTTGAGTTTTCTTCTCAAAGATCTTTGTGGGTCCAATATAACTCTTTGCATTTCCAATCTTGCCTATAGGCTATTTGTTTGCAATCTCAGAGCTACCAGGGCTTATTTGCAGCATCTTTGTCATTGAATCCTGAAGAATTTGTGACCAGAGGTTACCTTCACATCCTCCAAGATGGCCAGCTTCAGACATGGGAGAATGATTTTCTGGAAGAGCCAGCATCATTTAACTTTAAGCTATTCTTAAAGTTTACTGCTGTAAAGCTTACCTCTTTAGCAACTCCTCCTTGCCCCAGGACAAAGTTCTGACTTATTATTTCCTGGCGTGGATTTTACCTTTGATTACCCCTATATCTTTGTTCAGGTGCATCTCTCATCAATATAAAATCTTATGGGAAACCTCCTAGTTGGCCTTCAAAATGCAGCTCTCATGTTTATTCCTCTGTGAAACTTTTACTAATCATCACCCTCCTCTCCTGAGGTTTAGCTTCCTGCCTCACCTCTGTGTATCAACCACACCACTCTCTATGTTCATATCATGCATTAGTCAGGGTCCCAATTGAGAACAAATGCCACACTCAAACTAGACACCATAAGGAGACTTTAATTAAGAGACTGTTTACAATGGAGTGTGCATTACAATGGGCAGGGTTAAAGGAAACTGACAAAGCATAGTACAGCACCTGGGACCAGCAATACTGGAGAGCTGTTACTACCTCTAGTCCTGAAGCTGCAAAGGGAGGAAGAGCAATTATAACATTCACAGAGGCTAGAAGTATAGACAAGATTCCCTGGCAGGAGCCTTGAAAAAGGGACACACCCACACTGTAGTGACCTGTCAAGGAGGGAGCCAAGAGAATAAAATCTCAACCTCACTTCTCTCTGACTCTCCAGTATCTTGCTGCTGCCTTTCATTGGCTGGAAACAACAGGCAGCAAAAAGACAAGGAAGTCTGCTGACATGGTCCATATGGATCAGGGTCTGGAGGCCAGAGCAGGGTGGAAAAGGGTAAAAAGGCAAACAAAAGAAGCCCAATATCCACCATTCTCTGCATAGGTCTCTGTTATGGCACTTGCTGTTTAGTGCCAGGTCCCCTAGAGGCTGGGAAATGCTGGTGAACAGAGAATTAGTTTGTTTATATCTGCACCCTCAAAATCTGGCATATAGTATGTGATCGATAAATGGTTATAAGAATTACCAGGTACATCATACAGCACCTGGTAAAATAGAAAGATTAGGGATTCTTTTTAGATTATCCACAGGCATGAAGCAATCATGAACTTCTTCCTTTCATGCAATATTTTATCAGCACCACTGTGTGAGGTATTATTCCTGCCATCCAGGAGCTCTTTATCTCAAACTAGAAACTCCTAGAGCAAGGAAAGCAGTTATGCATCCTCTATTTCACATTTCCCCAGTGTGGATACTGTAGGTCACTGGTTTGATGTGATGCTCAGAGATGTCACATCAGAGTCCATTGTCAAGTGTAAAGTCTGTAGATTAAGCAAATGTCTTCTCTACAGAACTTGTCAGAGCCTTTAATGTGCCAAAGCATCATACGAAGCACCTAAAGGGGGCCACAGTAAGCAGCCTTTCCTAAATTTATTTTGTCATAAAATTATTTCCCCCCGAGCATCTTGTAAATCAGTAAGTTGGAATATGCTTTGGAAAATACTGCCCTTCTTTAACCAGTTCATTTTACAGATGAGAAAACTAAAGCTCCAAAGTAGTTATCACCAATCAATCTGGCAGGGAGCACAATTTGCATACAGAACCAAATGTCGAAGTTGCTTTCATTGAGTAGCCACTCATTGCCTTTGATTCTTTCTCCAAACTATTATCAATTCTTTCTCAATGGATACCTCTCCCAAACCTTGACTAGGAATGAACAGGAAGTAGCCAATGGCTCTTTTCCTGCTAAACCCTCATGGGCCCCTGTGTGACAGGTGTGACCCATTGTGAGATGTTGTCACCATGATGACACAGAAGCTTGTTGGGTCATATATGGAGAGAAGATGACACTGAGTGTGGGTGGGATGATGGTAGTTGAGTACTGCTCTCCTCTGTGGTGACAATTCACTTCGTCTCCTGAAAAAGTCCCATGCCATCAGCACTGGGCAGGGAAATTCCACTCTCAACAGGGTAGCCAGAATGATTGTTTGAAACAAGAAGTCTGATGATAGCTCTCCAATGCTGAAAACTCTAGCAACTCCTTGTTGCCCCAGGACAAAGTTCTGGTTTATTATTTCCTAGTATAAATTTTACCTTTGATTTTTCTTTGAGATGGGGTCTCCCTCTGTTGCCCAGGCTGGAGCGCAGTGGCACAATCTCGGCTCCCTGCAGCCTTGACCTCCCCAGGCTCAAGTGATCCTCCCACCTCAGCTTCCTGAGTAACTGGAACTACAGGCATGCGCCACCATGCCCAGCTAATTTTTTGTATTCTTTGTAGAGACAGCATTGCACCATATTGCCCAGACTGGTCTCAAACTCCTGGGCTCAAACAGTCCATCCACTTTGGCTTCCCAAAGTGCTAGGATTGCAGGCATGAGCATAAATTTTACCTTTCTCTTTGGCCTCATCTGGTGCCACCAACTGCTTCTTTGACCCTCTCCACCCACCCTACACACTACCTTCTAGGCAATATACACAGCATCCAGCTCCTCAGACTCACCACCCTGTAGATCATGTGCAGACCTTTGCATGAACTGTTCTCTCCAGCTAGCGCTCCCTCTTGCCATTCTATTTGTCTGACCAGCCTCCATACTAAGAGGCAGTGTGGTGGCTGATTAGTCCATGGGCTCTGAAGCCTAAGAGTCTAAGTTCAAACTCCAACTTTGCCACTTCTTAGCTGTGCAGCCTTGGGCAAATGACTTAACCTGTGTGGGCCTCAGTTTCCTCATCTCTAAGATGAGGATAATGATAATACTACCTGCCTCAAAAAATGTTTTAAAAAGTTAAATGAGATAATTCTTTACCCATCATATAGTAAGTGCTCACAAAAATGATAATTTTAATTCTATTTCTTTATGGTTTAGTTTAGATACCCAGCCTCTGGGAAAGCTTCTCTGACTCCTCTTAAAATATACATACATGCACATGCAAGCACATACATGAACACATATGCACACACACCTGCACTTACACATACATGCATTCACACATGCACACACACACACACACACAGCCCTCCCCACATCTCCCCCAAGGCATCTGTGCTTCCTCCAACCCTGCTGCCAATATTATTCTAACTTACTTTTCTATATCTCTGCTTCCTTAGACATCAGCTCTAGGCACGTAGGAACTACATTGCATCTCCAGCACCCAGATCAGTACTGGACTCACAGTAGGGGCATTTGACCCATCCTGGACAATTCTTCTTACTTACTTTTGTGTTAGGACAGAAAAAGCCAGTGTCAGAGTAGACAACTGAGTCCCAGCCTCAGGAAAAGGAAAGGATGTGCGCAAAGTCACATAGCTGGTTCACGGCAAAGCCGCAATTGAGCCAAAACTCTCAAGTGTCGTTTGGTATATCCTCAGTTCCTGCTGAGGCTATACAAAGAGACCCCAGTTTCCAGTACTGCTGATGCCTCGAGATTTGCATGCTCTGTCTAATTTGTGAAGGAGGTAAAGAAGAGCCTACTTCGCTTTTTTTTTTTTCTCAATTCCCTAAGCAGGCATCCTATTTCTCGAAAGAAAATGGATTCTAGTTACTTTTCAGTATAGCACCAATGGTCTTCTTGTTGAATTACAGCCACTGATGACTTCCTTTAAAGAGCGAGTACCCAGTTCAGGAAAATGTATTACTCAGGTAAAATGACTCCCTGGGGTGATGAGGGTGTGATTCAGGAGAGCCCTCCCACTTAGATGTCCTCAAATGAAATGCGGAGTGCATGTCTCTGTTTCAGCTTTGAACTGTGTCTTTCAGGCATCCTGGGTTTGAACTGGGTCGCCAACATCCTCCCTGGGAGCAGCTGCAGGGGTTTCTGAAAGGATGACCTCTTTTTAGCACAGAGATTATTCAAGGTGCTTAGAAACAGTGGGATGAGTTCAGAAATCAGTTCTTGCTACTTCTTTACCTAGGGAAACCAAGGCTGGGAGATGGAAAGCAATTGGTATGGGGTTGCTAAGCAGAACAACAACAGAGCCAACTGTCATCTGCCCACCTTTCCACAGCACCTGGAGACTGTCATGGCTATTTCTGTATATCCACTGGTAGACAAAGCAGTTAGATTGCAATAGATTTGGGATAATCACACAAAAAATGACAGAGCGCTCACTTAGTGGTTAAGCTCCTTCATGACACCCTTCATGGCTCACAACACAAAAATTAGAATACAGAAGATAAATATGTTAGCTAAGGTTTCTTGACCACTGACTAGATACCAAGAGCTCTCCTAAATGTTTTATATTCATGTCCTCATTTACTACTCCCAATGGCCCATTGAGGTGGCCAGCACCCTTTTACAGATGGGGAAACTGGGGATGGCAGAGGTTACAAGATTTGCCCAAGGTCACATTGCTGAGATGTGACAGAGTCAAGACATAACCCTGCTTTTCTAATGCAGAGCTTGTGCTCTACACTATTTGGTTATCCTGTCCCTTGTTCCACAAATATTTAGCGAGGACCAGTCTGTACAAGAAGCTGTTTTGGGTGCTAAAAAGTCAAGGATGAATGAGATACAGACCCCACCTTCAAGAAGCACATTGTCATTTGGGAAAGAAATACATATAAACAGATAATTGCTAAGTTATCTGTGATCAGAGCTAAACAAGGGAACTATACACTTTTGGGTTTACTTTTTCAAAGTGCTTATATCATTCAATCTATGATTACATGTGGACACACACATACGTACACACACACACACACACACACACACACTCCACCAAAGAAACCAAGGTAGGTATTATCTGCATTTGACAGATACAGATGCTGAAGCCCAGAAAAGATAGAGAACTGGCTCAGGTAACAGACAAAATTGGTATCATGCCCAAGTCTCCAGCTTCTAGCTTGGGTTCTTTCTCCACCAGACCACCAGGAGCATCCAAACAGCCTCCTGGTGGCCAGAACCAGTCCAAATGCTGAACATTAATAAGAGATGCTACAGAGAGAGACTGCTCCATTTATATTGTTCATCTGTGAATCCTCCTTAGTTTCACTGAGAAGGACATCAAAGAAGAGAATTCTGGATTCAGTAGAGGTTGAGTTAAGTCATTGGAAGACCTTGTTGGGGTCCTTTGATCTTAGTCTAAGACATTTAGAACAAGGGCTTGTTTGGGCTTATTTGAAGGGATTCACTCTTCTTGGTCTTCATGTTTTGGCCCTGAAATCCATCAGATGGAATTTTTGGATTTGTAATCTTAATGGTCTAACCCATGAGTTTGCCAACATGTTTTGTAATTTTCACCCTTTCCTTCATATCTTCCTCCCAGCCCCATCCTCCCTCAAGCATATGCCTGTTTCCTGAATAATGAAGGATACCTTATACTCTGCAGCTTTAATCTTACCGCTATTTCTTGAGAAAATGAGTTTTGGCCTTTATTAACTGCTCAGTAACTGGGCACATATTTCCCACTGTGATCAGAACAAAAAACTAGCCTTGAAGATAAACAAGAAGAGTGTAGACTGGGGGGATGTCTTGCGGAATTATAAAGTGAGTAAGGAGGCATTCAGACTCCCCCTGAAGATGCTATTTAATTTGTGGTAAGGCTGATAGTGGTTATGCTAGAATGAACATTAGGGGAATGTTGCTCTGTGACTTAAGTGCTTAACTCTTTAAGAATGCCCATCACTGTCCAAGGTACTGACCGAGATATTGCAGAGTTCAAATTGTTGATAATTTCCAAGGCCTTTCACATTCCAGGTAGGGCATAGAACAATGTCCTGGCCTGAGAGTGGGTGTAAGTGTTCATGGCTGAAAACGCAGAAGAAGATATGAATTGAGATTGCAAGCCTGTTATTGATTCCGGTGACATTGGGCAACTCTCTCAACCTCTCAAAACTCTGTTCTGTCTATGAAGGAAAATGTGCTACCCACTCCACAGGGATAGTCAAAAGATGCAATATCATTAAATATATTTCAAAGCCTGGTTTTGTGCCCTAAAAATGTGATGATGATGATGATGATGATGATGATTATGACGACGATGATGACAGCATAAAACTTTCAATAATATTGAGGGTTGTGTGCCTGCCAAAGTTCTAATGGCTTCACAAGTATGAATTCACTTAGTTGTCATAAAATTTCTTTATATTATTTGGAGATATTATTATGCTCATTTTATAGATAAGGTACCCACAACACAGAGAGATTAAATCATTTTCCCAGACTCACCCAGTTAATGGAGTACATCCCAAACACATTGTGTATAGTTATTATCGTGAAAAAAATAAAAGATCATAAACACATATTTTGAATTCCCGCCTGGAGCCTCAGCACTGCCCAGAATGGGATCCTAGACTTTCATTCTCTCCAAAGGGGAGCTCCATGACTATTTCCCAAGACTAATCTCCATGTCAGACATGAGATTGTTCTGAAACAGTTGCCCTATCCTGTCACCTTCACAACTTGAAACCCTCAATGACAATCATCCTCATAAGACCATGTTCAAACACCTTAGCCTGGCATCCAGGACTACTCAACATAGGACTTTTCTCTTTAGATGCTTCCTTCTCTCCTCAGTTGACATTCAAGGCACCCCAAATTTCTCCCCACTCTCTGAACATGCCATGACTTTCCTACTGCACGGTCTTGATGTTGTTTCCTCATCAGGAATGCCCTCCCTTGCCTAACAGTATAACTCCTATTCAGCCTCAGGAAGTCTTCTTTGATTTTTTGCTTCCTCCCTTGTGCTTCTAGATCCTAACACTTTAACTATTGTTAGGAATGTCTGTCCTTTTTCCCTCAGAATTTCCCACTCAGAGAAATTCTAAGGCCAGGCATACCTTATTTATCTCTCTATCCAGAAAACTTAACTCAGGGATTGTCATTTACATGTATGTATGTTTACAAACATATGTACATTTGTTTATATGAAAGGATGAATGTGGCTCTTCCCAGAAGGAAAAGAAGGGAGGTGTTAGAGACTTTTCTTTATGAAAAAGATTAAAAATAGCACCATAGTTTCAGATTTAAAAGGCTGTGCTTAGCAGTTGATATCTCAGCACAGAACAACAGAAAGCTCTAGAGCTTGAAAGCTGGTAGTTTCAAGTTGAACGTCTTTCTCTGCATATGCCAGCTGTGACCTGGGAAAGCCTCTTCCCATCTCTCAGCCTCAGTTTCCTGGTCCGTAAAACCAAGACGATCATATTCTACTTGGTGGGATCTCTGCAGAGAGCAAATGGGAAATTGGAATCAACTCATGTTTCTAACAATAGAAGAATAGATATAATGGAATATTATGCAGCTGTAAAAAATGAACAAACTACAGGCACACACATCAGAGGAGAATGGGTATAATGGAACATTATGCAGCTGTAAAAAGTGAATAAACTACAGCTACACACATTAATGGGGATGAATCTCAGAAACTTAATATTCATTCAAAGAGATAAATCCCATAAAAATCCAAAATATATAAGTCCATGTATATAAAGTTCAAGAACAATCAAAACTAATGCTATATTGAGAGACAGGAGAGCATAGCCATTATGGACTCTGGGGCCAAAAGTGGGTTCATGACTGAGTATTCCCTTTTTCTAGCTCAGTGACCCTAATGAGTTACCTAACCTCTCTGTACCTCAGTTTCTTCATTTAAAGAATGTCGAAGATAGCAGTGGTTCCTACCTCAAAGAGTTGTTGTGAGGATTAAATGAATTAATATATGTAAAATACTTAAAAGAGTACCTGGCACAGAACAAACACTATGTAAATGTTAGCCCTTATTATTATTTTTGACTAGTTGTTGTTATTACCTTTGTGATTACTATCATGATTTAGGAACATATACAAGATGGTTAAACTGTATGAAAAACAAGGGAATGATTAAAACAAAATTCAGGGTAGTGATATGTTTTAGAAGCTTCTAAATTATTAATAATGTTCTGTTTCATGAGCCAAATAGTGGGTGCACAGATATTTATGTTACTATTATTCCTTAACTGTATATATAGATTTTCACTACTTTTTTAGGTATGATATATTTCCCAGTAAAATTTCCTAAAGATTAAATGAAATTAATTATTGAAAAGGACCAACATCATTCTTTCCCCCCCTCCTGGCTAGAATCTCCCCTTTTCTGCAGGCCTTTGGATGATGTATTTTCCTTCACAAAAAGAGCCTCAACCTTCTGGAGGGGAACTGATCTGTTCAGCAGGCTCCCCCATTCATCATCCCCCAAGAAGCGTGTTTTACATTCATCTGCAGATGAAGATAAAAGGGTGGTGTGTTGCCCTCTTTAAGATTGCTAGCAGGATAAGCGTGAAGAGGAAGGCTTTCATATTTTACCCTAGGCTTTCCAGCAGTTGCCTTCCCCAGAATTGAAGAAGCTTGGCTTGCTTCTCAAGTGCTTGTTGAGAAGCAAAATGCCCAGGGAAGAATAGAAGATTCTGAACTCCAGAACTGCAGCATCTCTAGGCTAGATTTTATCACCGATGACATCGCATTTTACTGGAGCAGCTTGATGTTCTAGAGATTTGCCCAGCATGCTTGGTGGCTGTTATTTCACTATGGCTTTTGAGCTCAAAGGCTTTAGAAAAATAATAATGGTAAGAATTTATTAAGCATTTTCTATGTACCAGACTCTGGGCCAAGCATTTTTTATGCATGGTTTTCTGTAATTCTCAAACAGCCTTATAAAGCACTCACAGTTATCTCCATTTTATTGCTATACAAACAAAAGGACAGACAGGTGAAGATATTTACCCAAGGTCACACAATGAGTGGGAGACAGAGCCAGGATTTGAATAAAAATTCTTCTTTACACTCATAATTTCATTTGAATCATCCAGCATTCTGGCAGAGGGGAACTATTCCCATCCATATTTAACAAATGAGTAAACTGAGTCCCCATGAGATGAAGTCACTGGCTAAGGAGACACAGCTAGGAGGTGCTAGGACTCCATGTGAGTCCCATCTGAAAGGCTGGAACACTCCTCACCTTGCCTTCCTTTTCCATTAGCAAGAAAGAATTTCCTATGAACACACACTCAAATCACACTACACTCAAAACAGTGCATGAGGAAAGATCATTACCTTGCATGTAGAGTTTGGGCAGAATTGCCTTGAAAGTCCCAGACCAGAAGAAGAATGGCATCAGCACCAGAGTGGGCAGAGAAGACATTAGAGGATGTGAAGTGGGGTCTGCAAAGGCCATGAGCAGGCACAGGACACTGGTCCAGAAGTGAGAAAATACACAAGAATTTCTGGGGAAAAAAATCATTTGGCAGGGACATGGCTAAGAGGTAGAGGTAATAGAGTAGAAGAAGTAAGCACAGGTCATGAGGGGCTATTTGCAAAATGTCCTTGAGTAGATATGATTCCTTAGTATCCAAATGCTGGGTACTGTAAGGCTGTAGTGGGTCCCATTTGCCCTCCACTCCCATCTTCCCATCCATCCATCCATCCATCTGTTTATTCATCTATCCACTCAGAATGTGAGCTCCTTATGAACAGAAACCTTACTCATTGTGGTTGCCACTGTATCCCTAGTAACTGGAAGAGAGCCCAGCACAAGATAGGCATTGAAGAACTAATTGTCAGATGAATAAATTAACTCTTCTATTGAGCAAATATGTGCTAAGTACCCACCAGCCATCTCAAGAGGAGAGCATGGTGCATCTTTTTGGGGCTTGTATTCCAGTGGGAAGAGACAGATGACAAAGATAATAGATTGATAAATATACATCATGTCATATAATTGACACAAAAGTGGGACTTTGTGTAGTTTTCTCTAAAAGAAAATCCTGAGTGGAAGGTTCAAGGGGAGGTCATTTATTTAGGAGGTTATCCAAGAAAGCATCATTAGGGAGTGGGAAATTGAGACAAGAAAGAGAAGAAAGCCAGTCAAGGACATGATATTGAGTGGGTTTTCCTGTGGGCAGCTGAAATTCAATTCTGCTGGAGACCCTTGCAGAGACTTCAAAAAACATACTTTATATTTTCCCACCAACTGGGCATGGGAGCTGGAATAATTTCCACGAGCTCTTGCCTCTCCTGGCAGGATATATATGTATGTAGGGGCATGGGTATATTTTACATGATGTGTTCAGAAAAAAGTCTCTCTGATAAGGTAAGACTTAAGAAGAGATAACAGAAAGTGAGAGTAAGCTGTGCAAATATTCAGGGGAAGCACATTCTAGGAGGTGGGAAGTGCAAGCACAAAGGCCCCGGGGCAGGACTGTGGCTGGTATGTTCAAAGAATTGTAAAGAGACCAGGTGCTGGTTGAAATGAGCAAGGAAGATAGAGATAGTGGAGGATAGATCATGCAGGGTCTTTGCAGCTCATGGTAAGAATTACAGCTCTGTCTCCAAGTCAGATGGGAAATTATTGGAGAAATTCGAGTGGAGAAGTGACATAAAATGTTTCATTTTTGAATGATCCTGTTGGCTGCTATGTGGAGAACGAATGCTAGGGACAGAGATGGAGGCAGGAAGAACCAAGGGGAAGCCACTACAATAATCCAGATTTGACATGATGGCAGTTTAGACCAGAATAATAACAATGAAAGTTTTAGCAAGTCATCAGAGTCTGGCTGATTTGAGAAGTCTGGATTTCCTGATGGAGTATATGTACAGAGTGAGAAAAAGGAAGCAGCGAAATGAACTCCAAGTAGCTGGAAGGATAGGGTTGTCATTCATGAGACATGGGAGGTGCAGGTGTGCAGGGGGCTGGACACCTTAGGCTGGATGCCTAGTAGACATCTCCAGGTGGAAGATGATGAGCAGGACTATATAGGTTGGAGCTCGAGGGAGAGACTGAGGCTGGAGATATACATATTTTATATGGGAGTTTTTGGGGTAGAGCTTGTAGTTAGTGCTAGGAGACTGGATGAGACCCAGTCTGCATGAATGAGTGTACACAGGGAAGAGTCCAGAGTCCTGAGATTCTGTGTAGAGTGTGTAGAATTCAGCCAATGAGGGGGAGCCAGGGAAGGAGATGGGAAGGGAACAGCCACATAGGGAGGAGGGAAGCCAGTAGCATGCTTATGCTAAGTGGCTTCACTTGAAGCCAAGTGAAGAAAACATTTCTAGATGAAGCAAACAATCAGTTGTAACAAATACTGTTGATTTAGGTAAGATGAGCCTAAGAATGGCCCACTGGATGTGGAAAAATGAAGATTATCAGTGATCCCGACAGCACAGGTCTCAGGGCACCCTGACTGGAGTGAATGCAAGGGAGAATGGAAAAGGAAGAATTGGAGAACTCTGGATGACTCTTGAGTAACTTTTTTTCTGAAGGCAACAGATGGTGGCTGGAGTGGGATGTGGGTCAAAGTTCTTTGTTGTTTTTACTTGTTTTGCTTTAAGAAGGGAACGTTATGGTAAGTTTATTTGCTGATGGGAATAATCCAGTAAAAAGAGAAACACTTATGATTTGGGAGAGAAAGGGATTGATCACTGGAGTGATGTGGCTTGATGGGGTGTGGGAAGAGGAACCCAGAACTCCCATGGATGAGCTGTCAGCATCGACAGGCATTCATGGGACAGGGAGAGGACAGGTACATGAGCTCATCTGGGGAAGGTTGGCAGGGTGAGTGTGGCAGAAGTGTGGCATGGGGCAAATAACCCCTTCCTGTTTTCTTAGGGGAAAGGAAGCAGGGACATTAACCAAGACTGAGGAGGAAGAGTTGGAGAGTTGAAGGGAGGGTCGTGAAAGTTGTCTTGCAGCTGGGATCATGGACTTGCAATAGGTTCTGAGCATACATTTAAAGTGATACCAGCTGACCTGGGTGTTTTTTGTCTTCCAGCCATTTGTATCTGTAGAGACACAGGTGTGGAAAAGATCAGCACTTGGATTCAATCTGGGTTGAAGTTTTGCCAGGTGAGTGTAAAGGAGGAAGAAGAACAAGAATATTAAGATTGAAAGCAAAGAAGTGAATACGATAATGGGCATCTACCTGCCTTTCCCCACCTTTCTTTCTTTGTCTCTACAGCTCACTTTCTACACACACACACACACACACACACACACACCCTAGAGGGGACATGGAGAGAGGTATTTGTAACTTTTAGAAATATGACAGAGCTATCAGCTATGTGACAGCTCCATAATTGTGAAGTAGGCTGCATACATTTTGATCCGAACGTGACTGTTGCAATTGTTCTGCATCGGTGTATCATATTTTTTTCCCATCAAGCCAAAGAACAAAAACAAAGAAAAACTGTGTCTGAGAAGGAGGAAGTCAGGAGCGACAACTACAAAACTAGAAGTGTGTGGCTGAGATGCTTCTCTTCATTCCCCCAGCTCCATGTGCCTTTAAAACAAAGTACCAGGTTCTCAAGGGATCATGAATGATTCTTTTTTCCTCTCATCCAAATGCCCGTGAGTTCCTCCCCTTACCCTTCAGAGGCATAAATCTCAGTGGGGCCAATTTGGGACAAGCCAATTCTCATCAGTGTTTAATTCAGGTACAAGAAAATTGCTGGACTGCAGGCAGAGGGCAGGAAGCTAAATTCAACTGGGAGGTGGACAATGGCCATTGATACTAGTGGGAATGTTAAATCTTATTGGGAAAGTCTCTTAATTATGTGATTCAGCTCTTAGATAAAGGATTATTTTTAAGCACAAATAGCTTTTTCTGTAATAGCTGTTCCTTTTCTCAGGCAGAGAGCCAGAGGACAAGAGATGTCCCAGTGACCCATCTGACTCGAAACTCTGTGTGTTCAGCAAGGCATAGCACAACTGCCCAAAGCAAGGGACCAGGGGTGGGGGTGAAGGGTTGGGTGTGGGGAGAGAGTTGCTGCTCTGGAGCCCAACCTCTATCTGTTGTAAATGGCTGAACAGACACTTGCAGAAGGAGAGATTTTGAGGGTCACTTGGAAAACCTGTATGGATTGTTTAATAATGTCTGCCATAAGAACAGAGGTGGAGAGCAGTGGTACACATACCAAGTATCAGCCATTTGTAATCCATAGAAATCTACTGTAGGAATTGATTAGCAATGTCTGCCATGAGCATAGAAGTGGAGAGTGGCAGTACATATGCTGTATATCTGCCATTTGTGAACCAAGGATGTTTTTGTGGAAAGCATATCAGTCCAGCTAGATGGCAGTGTGGCTCTAAGTCAATAGGGTAGAGTTTCAGTAGACCCCTGCCAAAAGATAAATCCAAATCCTACTTTGCCCGTGTATTATACAGTGACTTTAACCAAATGACTACATCTCTTGGAGCTTCTTTTTTTCTTTCTTTTTTTTTTTTTTTTTTTACATCTGTACAATAGAGGGAACAATCACTATGTCATTGGTTGTTGTGAGAATAAAACAACTATTAAAGCCCTTGGTGTCTTGTGAATTTTGATATGGGCTTAAGATATTGTGATTGCGGTTATAATTATTTCTATTATTAATTGCTGATAAAATGTCAACTATGTGCCAAGTATTTTGTTTGGCGCTTTTATGTATATTAACTTATTTGTTTCTCATAATAGCTCTGCAAGTTAGGTACTAATCACAGTCTCCATTTTATAGAAGGGGAAAGTGAGTTTCACAGAGGGTAGGTGACACATGCATTGACACACAGACAGCAAAAACGGATCCTGGATATAAATCAGGATGGAGAGATTCCAAAGCCATTGTTTAAATCTCTACCTGTTGCTCTCTTAGCAGTACCAGCCTAAGAGCCCAGTTTTCTGGGTCTGATCCCCCGTTCTTTTGAAGACCTACTGTGTGTCTTGAGGCAAGTCGCACTTCCACATGCAACTCAGTCTTTACATCTTGGAAAGAGACAGTTGGAATAGACCCATGGTTTCTACACTTTGTTTGTTAGAGTTCCAAGAGTCTGAAGAGTTTCCCTGGGATGGAGGAAGATTTGTATACCCTCCTCCACTCAAACCTGGGCATCTCTCATTTGCTCTATTTTCTATATCAGAATTCCAGGTATGATTTAATTTGGAAAGGGATCCTGCTGCTACAAAAAGTTTGGAAACCATCTCCTTAGATGATGGTAGTTGTCACTTATTCATCATCTATTATATGCCAAGCCTTTCACATATGCTGTTTACAACCTGCAGTAACAAAACAAGGTAAAACATTATTATTCACATAATTTTTCAGGAAAGGAAACTGAGATTCAGAGCAGTTCAATCCCTGGCTAAGGTCACCTTGGTAGTTGTGCCAAACCAGGGAGTCCAATTCAGATCTCTCTTGATTTGGAAGCCCATAATTAAACCTTCAGGCTGCTGAATCACATCTCTTATTGAAGGCAGTACACAATTAGTATTATTTCATTATCAGGAGGAGAGGCATTCCCAGACATTAATAGTCCAAGTAATGGCAGTGAGGTCAGCTGAGATGTGTTTGGATTCCTCAGCCGTAGATCTCTACAGCCGCCAAGGGCGGTAACCTATTTTCACAAGCAGTGTTCTTCTTCTTTGAGAACTATCCAAACATAATGAGCATTAGTTGCAATGCAGAACTGAGAAGGGGATTTCGCCAGCCGAGACCGCATGCCCAGAAAACTTTTTTAGTCTTTTGGGAGCATCGCTGGCAAACATAATTTGAAAATCTTTCTCTTCAACATGCTGCCTCCTGTCAAAGAATAGGATTCTCATGCATATTTCATCCTGTTACTTTTTAATTAAAAGCTATCATATATTTATTTTTCAGCTGCTTTAGAGGGAGGGAATGTAAGCCTTCGTTCTATAAACATTTGTTATGCCCCTTTGAGGTGCCACCCTTTTAGTGGACGCTGGGACAGGCCAAGATGAGTGCACCACAATCCCTCCCCTCAAGGGCATTGCGATCTGGTTGTCGGGGGAGGGAATAGATATGAAAATTAAGTATAATAAAGGATGTCAAATGCTGTGATTGAAGTGTATTCATTGGGGGCATTTCTAACTGGTGCCCTCTGAGTCAAATTCAGCCCTTTAGCATATTTTGAAGTCATCATAAATATCAAACTTGTGGCCAAGAATCATCAGGAAGCATCTATAAGAATCTATAATAGAGGTCCACCCACACACACACACACACACACACACACACACACACACACACACACAATCAGAAGATCTGGAAATCCCGGGACTGTATTCCCACAGGGCCACCATTACCTGGAGTTGAATAGTGGCAACTCCCCACTAGAAGAGCTCAATTCTTCATTTGGCTTCAGTCACCACCACTCCCTATTGCTGCACCAGGTCTACTGGGCTTATTTATGCTGCCTCCCTGGCCTCTGGATGGTTTTAACTTACAACCTTTGATAGGAGCATAAGATGAAAATACAAAGGAGTCAGTGGTTACTTCTACGTGGGCGAGAGCCGAGAATGGCTTCAGAGAGGTTACCATAGAACACGTCGCTGCTGTGGAACCACTGGCCCCGACTTGCTGTTTCTCAGATTTTGCCCTGGGCTACACAGCCTGGGCTCTAACTCCAGCTCTTGTCTTTAGGTGAATTGCTTCTTCTCTCTAGACCCCAATTTCCTCATGTTTTATAAATGTTGATTTCTGGTAGAGGTAGGCATTCAAAAAAATTTGTTCAGGGAAGGAAGAAAGGAAGAAAAAGAGGGATGGAGGAAGGAGTTGTATCATCCTCTCAGACTTTCCGTGAGAATCAAACAGGGCATTATGAACATGCTTGCAAACTTTGAAGTAATATTCACATGTAAGGTGTTTTTATTCTTTATTTTTATTTTTTTGAGACAGGACCTCACTCTGTTGCCCAGGTGGGAGTGCAGCGGTACAATCATGGCTCACTGCAGCCTCAACTTCCCTGGCTCAAGTGATCCTCCCACCTCAGCCTGTTAAGTAGCTGGGACTACAGGCACCCACCATCATGCCCAGCTACTTTTTGTATTTTTTGTAGAGACAGGGTTTTTCCACGTTGCCCAGGCTGGTCTCAAACTCCTGGGCTCAAGTGATCCACCTCCTTTGGCCTCCCAAAGTGCTGGTTTTACAGGCATGACCCACCGTACCCAGCCAGTGTGTTTTTAGTGTCATAATTACATTTCCGCAGTTTTCAGAAAGCATTGTGTGGAATCACGGAACAGTGAGATTCTACTTTAAAAGCATGGATTATCAAAGACATTTTGGAAATAGAGTTCAACTCAATTATTATTATTATTTTTACTGCAATATTTGTTGGAGCCTTTATTATACCTTAAAATGCAGTATGCATTCTCAACAGAGAAAGATTTCCCGTGGGTTTCTCATGCCTGGTTAGCTGGGGAACTCATTTTTCACAGAGTGAAGGACAGAGGTTTTGTGGAACATACTTTGAGAAATGCTGAGCTGATTTAATGCATGTGGACATGGGTCCCTAGGGGAAGTGACATGCTCATTATCACATAAAGAGAGAGAAACAAACACTATAGACATTGATGCTGAATTTTAGTCCACTGCTCTTTGTTGATAGTGTCTTTTTCCAGTGATTCTTTCCTGATGACTACCATTCTCTGTTGATAATGTCTTTTTCCAGTGATTCTTCCCTATTGACGATCATTCTTCTCACCCTTTAGGCTGATTTTGGGCCTCCTGTTGACCCCATAGCTCCCCACTCCTCTGTACTTCCTCCAGGCCAGCATTTAACAGATGGATTGTAGTCCACTAGGTGATAATTACCGTGAGGTCAGATTGCCCCTGTCTTATTATGTCTGTCTTGTACATTACTAAATCCTCATAACCTAGCACGTAGTCTAATCTAATATATGTGTATACTCTTAGGAGTATAGTGCCTGATACATATATTTTCTCTGTGTCTCTGATACATTTTAGATTCATTTATATTACTTAATATATAGCTATTAGATTGTCTAGATAGATAGTATATATACCTAGATGGTTAGAACCTAATGTATATCTAATATATACTTAGAAGATAGATACATGGATGGAACCTTATATGTAATATATACTCAGATAGATAGAATATAATATATATCTAATACATACTCATGTAGACTGATAGAGAACAGATAGATGGATGGAATCTAGTATGTACTCAGATAGATAGATAAAGGATAGATAGACAGATAGAACCTAATATATATCTAATATATACTCAGATAGAGATAGATGGATAGAACTTAATTTATATCTAATATATACTCAGATATATAGAAGATAGATGGATAGAACCTAATATATATCTAATATTTACTCAGACAGAGGATAGATAAATGGATAGAACTTAACATATATATATTATATTCATATAGCTGGAAGATAGATAGATGGATAGAACCTAATATATCTAACATATCCTCAGATAGATAGAAAAGAATGAAAGGAAATAATAAAGAACAAATTTCTCTTCATGGTTGTGTTTCCACATAAAATTTGAAGATGTAAGATCTTTCGTGAAGCAGCCAAATAATTCAAGAGGTGAGGGAAAAACAAAATTTTTATGCCAATTATCTGACAAACAGCTTGTCTGGATGTTTGTCCGACTTCCCTTCTGGGTCTGCTGCTTCAGTGTGCTCCAGCAGACACAGCCTCGCTCTGTTCCAAGCAAATTACCCTCCGAGTTGATCACACTCTTGCAAGCATGATGGAATTTTCTGTTGCTTCACAAAGTGTTTCCACAAAGTTTGCCTTTGATTTGCCTTCCCAAGGCTTCGCAGCCTCCCAGCTTCTCCCAGAGTTGTTCCTTTGATAAAAGTGTTCAGTCTTTCTGGTTTCCGTTTTGCTCTGCACATTGAAAGGCTATGGGGAGGCAGATTTTGCTGGAAAATGAGAGGCATATTTCAGCCCATGGGACCTGAATTTCATGGTAGCTGCAGGCTCCTGGTTCTGAAGTTGGCAACTGAGTGTCTGCAGAGAAACCCACGACCTCAGGCAGGAAAAGACAGCAGTGGATATGTCCTCGCCATATTCCAGACCTAGAAACTAAGAATCAGACAGGGAAGGGGCCTCTCCCAGTCTTCTGAGATTACATTTCTCTGAGGCAAGAGGGATTTTGTATTTTTTCAACATTTCCCCTTAGATTTTTGTGTATGTGTGTGTATGATGGTGTTTGTTTACTTGATTGTTCTTTGTTTTGTTTGTTTGTAGCCACAATTTCCTCAGCTCTGCCTTGAAAGAGACAGTATAGTATAGCAGTTAAAAGCATGGCCTCTGAAGTCAGATTGCTGGAGTCTAAATCCTGGTTCCACTAACTCTTCTGCTGCGTGACCTTGGGCAAGTAAAGCAACCTCTGTGATTCAGTTGCCTCATCTGTAAAATGGAGGTAATCATAGATTGTTGTGTGGATTAAATGGGTCAATTTGTGTAAAGTGCTTAGAACCTAGTAAGGACTATAGATGTCCTTGCTACTTTTATTACTCATAAATGTCATTATTTTTCTAATACATCCTGTTTTAAGACTCACTTACATTGCATGTTCAACATGTTTGCATGAAAAGCTTCTTTATATTTTAGAATAGAGTTTATATATAGTTCTTTATCAGCATCATGGTTACGTGCATTCATTCAACCTAACACATATTCACAGGCTTACTAAGGGCAAGAACTACCCTAAGCAGAGGGTACCCAGCAGTGAACAAAACAGACAAAACTTCTATTCTATTGGCCCTTACATTCTAAGTCTTACATATAAGCAAACTAGTATTACCCTCATTAGAAAGCTTATTCATTTAAAAATACTTGTAGGGAGCTTATTGTATTCTAGGGAGTGTTCTGAGAATTTTACAAATAGTAACTCATTCAGTCCTCATGACAATAATCTCAATATCATTTCTATTCAGCAGAGAAGGAAACTGGGTCGCAGAGAAGATAAACAAATTGCCAAAGGTCATACAATTATTAAATGGTGAAGATACCCTATGTAACCTTCTTCCCGATTTGCCCAGTCATGACCATAGGTCTCAGCCTTCAGTTTGATTTAATTAGAGCTGATGAATTGGCTAAATTGTCATTAACCCGGCCTCAGTGTCAGCACGTTTACTGAGCATGTTAGCTTGGTACCGATCTTAAGCCATGAAGTGGTTTGTCTACCTCTCACATATTAACTTGGTGAAAGTAGGAAAATATCTCTGCAAAAAATGTCTCTGATTCCTGAGACAGGCCCTAATTAGAGAACAAGGGAGTGGGGTTCAAAACCCCTTGGTCATCCTTCAGGAAACAGCCCACGGGGCATTTGAGGACAAAGTGTGCTTGTATCCCGCTGCTAATGAGACCTCGGCGGTTCCAAGGCCAATCCTCACTCTGGTCCATCAGTGAAGAAATCCTGACCCCAACAGAGGGAGGGCACAATGCAAGGTTTCTCAAGAGTCAGTTGCAGGGCTAACAGCTGAAATCATCTCCTGACTCTCTCTCCAACGCTTCTTCCATGGAGGGAGGGAGTAGGCATGTGGAAGAAGGAATGGAAGGCAATGAGGGAACCGTTCCTCATTTCATGAATTCTTGTTTGCTCACCACATCCCCTTCCCTTCCCTGTGAGATCTCTCTGAGCATTGTTTTTTAATTCACTCAATCATTTATTTTTACTTTTATTTATTTTTTTGAGACGGAGTCTTGCTCTGTCACCCAGGCTGGAGTGCAGTGGTGCAATATCGGCTTGCTGCAACCTCCGACTCCCAGATTCAAGCCATTCTCCTGCCTTAGCCTCCGGAGTAGCTGGAATTCAGTCATGTGCCACCCTGCCCAGGTAATATTTGTATTTTTAGTAGAGACGGGGTTTCACCATGTTGGCCAGGCTGGCCTTGAACTCCTGACCTCAAGCAATCTGCCCGCCTCAGCCTTCCAAAGTGCTGGGATTACAGGCGTGATCCACTGTGACTGGCCTCATTCACTCAATCATTTATTCATTCAACAAATATCGGTTGAGTTCCTGTCCTGATGGGTGAGATTGATCACCATAAAGCAAAATGAGGGAAGCATCAGAGGCTTTGGCAGCCTGGAAGAGGTACCTGATCCAGGCTGGGAGGCTCAGGAAGGCTTTCCCAGGTAGTGATGTATTTAAGGAGGGATCTTAGAGGATGAAGGGCAATCAGCCAGTTGATGCGAGAGGAAGCCAGCACAGAGGGATCCACCCGTCAAAGGCATGGAGATGGCAGGGTGACAGGGCACTCGCAAAGAACCAAGAGGAACCAGTCCGCCTGGAGCAGAGGGCTGGGGAGAGGCAAGGCCTTGAGTTGAGCAGGCCTCAGGGGCCACAGCCTACAGGCAGAGCACTGATGTGGGAGCTGGGGACCCAGTGGCAATTCCTGTTCTGCCTCTCAATCCTTTTGGACAAGACTGTACCCTTTAAGACCTCAGTCTACACATCTGTCAGTGGGTGCACTGGACCCATTTGTAATCTGTAAGTTCCCTTCCCACTCTGACATCCTAGACTGAATTTCTTATTCTGGCTTCAGAGGCTTCAGCAGCCTCCTCCCTTGTCATGCCTGGATAGCAGAACAGCCTTTCATAGAGCCTGGCCTCTGGAGTCAGGCAGGCCTGGATTCAAATCCCAGCTCTGCCACTATCTAACTTAAACTCTCCAAAGCTCATTTTCTTTATCTGTAGAATATGAATACTAACATACCTATGCACAGAATGATAGTACGAGGTAACTGTACTCATGCAGGTCAAGAATTTAGCAGGGAGCTGGCTTCTGGTCTTCACAAATGGCAGCTCTTGTACTGTCTCCTACATGGTCTTGGCCCATCTGCTACCAGAAACAAGATCTCAGTCTCTGGAGAGAGAACAAGCTCTCACAGGGCCTCAGTCTTGAGACCAAGTGGCTGCAGCCAAGTGAGGGAATGGGAACTAACACTTAAGTCCCTACCATGTTTCCGAATGTAATGTTTACTCTTCATGATATTGTGTCCAGAGTTGATTCCTTCCAGTCGGTTTTTGGTCTCTCTGATTTCAAGAATGAAGCCACAGACCTTCACGGGGAGTGTTACAGCTCTTAAAGGTGGCACAGACCCAAAGAGTGACCAGCCGCAAGATTTATTGTGAAGAGCAAAAGAACAAAGCTTCCCCAGAGTGGAAGGGGACCCCAGCAGGTTGAGGCTGCTGGCTGGCGTGGCCATCTTTTATTCCCTTATTTGTCCCCGCCCACATCCTGCTGATTGGTCCATTTTACAGAGCACTGATTGGTCCATTTTATAGAGTGCTGATTGGTCCATTTTACAGAGTGCTGATTCGTCCATTTTACAGAGTGCTAATTGGTGCATTTACAATCCTTTAGCTAGACACAGAGCACTGATTAGTGCGTTTTTACAGAGTGCTGATTGGTGCATTTACAATCCTTTAGCTAGACACAGAGCACTGATTAGTGTGTTTTTACAGAGTGCTGATTGGTGCATTTACAATCCTTTAGCTAGACACAGAGCGCTGATTGGTGCGTTTTTACAGCGTGCTGATTGGTGCATTTACAATCCTTTAGCTAGACAGAAAAGTTTTCCAAGTCCCCCCCTCGACCCAGGAAGTCCAGCTGGCTTCACCTCTTAATATCTCTGTACAAAGGCTCTAAGAAGGGTCAGTTATTATTCCCAATTTAGAGATGGGAAAACTGAGGCTCAGAGAAGCAAAGCAAACTGCCCCATAACCATCAGGACATGAACTCAACTCTGTCTGATACCATTAGGTCAGAAGTCACTACACTTTAGCCAGATAATGAATTTTTTCAGCTTTAAGATCCATACCCTCTCTGTAGCAACTTCTCAATGCTGTCATTGCAACACAAAAGCAGCCACAGATAATACATATATACATGGGCATGACTATGTTCCAGTAAAACTTTAATTACTTAATTTGGCCCACGGACCAGTGTGCCACCCTGCACTACCTGCCACTTCTCCTGAGGCTGACTCATAAGAATATCCTTCGTTATTGAGCATTTATAGGTGCTGGTCACTGTGCTGGGCACTTGGGCTGCATTTTCTGGTTTTATTCTTACATCAGTTCTTATATAATCTTTACATTCTTGCATCATTATTCTCCCCATTTTAGAAATGGAAAAATAGAAGTTCCTCAAAACCTGCGTGTTGCACAAGCCAGCACTGCCAGTCAAGCACTCTGTCTGCAAACACTGTGTGGTCTCCTAACACATACATCACTGAGACACAGCCAAGGGAAACTTCTGGGGTCTCACATTTTCCTCTCCTATCACACGGGCTTTCGCATTTTCCTCTGCAACAGAATAAAATAAGAAGCAGACATGTGTTTGCAAAGGTCATGGAATTCAAATAAAGAGCGTGATGCTTCCTTCCCTCTTGCAGAGAGCATATAAGGAAATATAGCGAGACGGCATTCACTTTGAATTCATTGCCAGGTCAGTTCCTGTGCTGTGGGAAAGCCCAAGACCTGGAGAGGAGGGGAGCATCCAGGAACTAATGGGCTGTTCCCCTAGAATGGAGCTGTGTGGGTGCAGAAAGCCTCCCATGCTGGAAAACAAGCAGGAAATAATGGGCATCACCATTTCCCGTGAACAATGGAGAGGATTGGAAAATAAATGTATGCAGCAGAGATGAACATTTACATGGCAAGGGGCAAGTGGGGCCTCTACCCACAAATGTCTCCCAACATACTGTCTCTGTCCAGTGGTGCAATCTCAGCTCACTGCAGCCTCCCAGGTTCAAGTAATTCTCATGCCCCAGCCTCCCAAGTAGCTGGGACTACAGGTGCACACCATCATGCCCAGCTATTTTTTTCTATTTTTAGTAGAGACAGGGTTTTGCTGTCAGCCAGGCTGCTCTCCAACTCCTGGCCTCAAGTGCTCCACCCGCCTCAGCCTCCCAAAGTGCTGGGATTACAGTCCTGAGCCACCATGCCCAGCCAGATTTCTACCATTACTGTTACCCTCGTAAGAGTAGCATAAGTGCTTAGTCAATCATTAACACAGTAGTATGAATGAGTTAGACTTGAGAGCAGAAAAAACCCTGGGCTGGGAATAGAGAAATGTGGCTTTTAAACCACTGTGGCTGTACAGAGAGTTTATTAAGGCTGTGGCTGTCGGCAAATCACATTTCCCTCTGCAGAACACAGAAGATGAAAAATGGATCAAAGGTTACAAGTGGTCCATGAGCCACTTGCATCCCAGAGATCTATTTCGCCTTTGATATATTTTTAAAATTTTTTGATTGAGACAATTTTAGATTGGGTTTGTCCCAGAACCCAGCATTCCCTGATGTCTCATATGTGGCTGCTTCTCACATTTATGACAACTGAATGATATCTGGTTTTAATCCGGGATTGTAAACATCAGTTCTGGATTCTGATGCAATGACAAAAAGCTGAAAGTGGAACCGTAAAAGGGTGGGACTCTTGTCAGGTAAGTCTCAATGAAAGGGAAAGTATAACATCTGTCTTCACAAACAAAATGTTTTCTGTGGAAGGGAGGACTGTGGTAGGAAACCACCAGGTACCAAGGAGATAGGCGGAGTGCCATTTATCCTGCATTGTAGTGTCTTTGCTTTATGCAAGATATGTACATAATGAAAGGATCCTGGGGTCTAGTCTCAGCACAAAGGCTCAAACCCAACCCCAAACCCACAAGGAATGTTTCCATGGGCAAGTGACTAGACCTCTCAGAGGCCCTTAACCAATGAGCTAATGGTAGTCATTTCTTTCTCTTTTCTTTTTGTTACTTCATATATAATGCAAGATCTTTTCTTAAACTTTTTTTGACAAATAATAATTGTACAATATTCACGGGGTACGTAGTGATATTTCAATACATATAATATATAGTGATCAGATCAGGGTAATTTTATATCCTTTAATAAATCTTTCCCTCTCTCTCCCTTCCCCCTATCCTTACCAGTCTCTAGCATCCTCTCTTCTACATTTTATCTCTATGAGATTAACTTTTGTTTGCTTCCACAGATGAATGAGAACATGCAGTATTTGACTTTCTGTTCCTGGCCTATTTCACTTAACATAATGTCCTCCAATTCTATCCATGTTGTTGTGAATGATGGGATTTTATTATTTTTTATGGCTGAATGGTATTCCATTGTGTATATATGCCACATTTTCTTTAACCGTTTTTAACCATTCATCTGTGGTTGGATGTCTAGGCTGATTCCATATCTTGGCTATTGTGAATAGTACTGCAATAAACATAGAAGTGCAGATGTCTCTTCAAAGTACAGATTTCCTTTCCTTTGGATAAATTCCCAGTAGTGGAATTGCTGGATCATATGGTAGCTCTATTTGTGTTTTTTTGAGGAACCTCCATACTGCTCTCCATAGTAGCTATACTAGTTTACATTCCTTCCAACAGGGTATAAGGGTTTCCTTTTCTGCACATCCTCTCCAGCATTTGTTATTTTTTGTCTATTTGATAATAGCCATCCTGACTGGGGTGAGATGATACCTCATTGTGGCTTTGATTTGCATTTTCCTGAATGCAAGATATTTCTACATACACTGTCTCTACTCCGTGAAACAGTGTGGAAATTGTTTTCACCACTTTATAGATGAGAACACTGAGGCTCAATGGATGAATAAATTGCAGAAAGTCACACAGTGAGCCATGGCAAGATTCCAACCCTCATCTCTCTAACCTTCAGAGCCCACACACCTTCCATGTTGCCATGACAACCCCATGCTTCACTTGTCAAGCCGGGATGTTGACGAAACTCACCTCCCAGAGCAGGTGAAGATTGCTTGCCTACAGCTGCCAAAGGAGAGCACAATGCTAGGCACACTTGCAGGGCTGCAGGCCCTTCTGGATCCCAGCTGGTTCCAACTTAGTTATTTCATCTAGAAGGTTCTTGCCCATGAAGAATTCCATTTCCTGTTTCTGGTGAATTCTAGGCAATGAGGAAGGAGATGCCCAGAGGAATCCATTTCTTGCCACCTCCCTTGATTTAGTAAGCAATTATCAATCTGCTATCCTCAGGCTGCCCACAGGCCTGAGAAGGAGAAGATGCCTGGCTCTAGACTGGAATTATTGTCGGTGTTGTTGTTTTCTTCCAGTTGGTAAATTCCCTGGGCTTGTTTCTGAACAGAGCAAGATGAATGCTGAAAGCGAGATGAGAGCCCTGATGAGCCATTTCCCTTCAGAATCCATCTCAAGACAAAGAGGAGGCCTCTAAGGAAGAAGGGACCCGGGGTGTGCTGGAAACTGAAGATCACTTCCACAAACTGTTCCCAAAAGGAATTACCATGCAGCCATTGGCCCATTCAAAAAATAAAAATAAAAAGGTTATGAAGATTAAGCCAATAAGTCTGAGAGGAAGATAAAAATCACAGGGGATGTGTGCAATGGCTCACACCTTTAATCCTAAGACTTTGGGAGGTCAAGGTAGGTGGATGGCTTGAGCCTAGGGATTCGAGACCAGCCTGGGCAACATAGTGAGACCCCATTTCTACAAAAAATACAAAAAAAAAAGCCAGGTGTGGTGGCATACACCTGTGGTCCCAGCTACTTGAGAGGCTGAAGTGGGAGGATTGCTTAAGCCCAGGAGGTCGAGGCTGCAGTGAGCTACGTACGATCTCACCACTGCACTCCAGCCTGGGTAACACAGCAAGACTCTTACTCACAAAAAAAAAAAAAAAAAAAAAAAATCACAAGGCACCTCCCTTGGCCATACTTTATCCTAGTTGATCTGAGTGGCTTTGTTTTTCCCTTTTTTATTATCATTATTATTATATTATCATTACCATTCTTCTCCCTATTGAGTTTCATGGCCTGTTGTAAGGGGTTTTTCTCTGGAATAGAACAAGACATAAATTCTCTGAACAGTTTCCTCCCTCAGCCTGAAAATACAATGATCTTTTTACTGAGCAGATTGACTCCTCCTGGTTAAGAGGAGGACTGGAGAGTTATCCAGGAAATGCAACAAAGTGGGCCTCGACATCCACAAATCATACTAGAAATTTGTTACTTCTATATACATTTGTTTTCACTTTTTTGAACTTTTCCTATTTATTTATGTATTTACTTGATACAGGGTCTTGCTTTGTCTTTCAGGCTAGTGTGCAGTAGTAGGATCACAGCTCCCTGCAGCCTCAACCTCCCAGGTTCAAACGATCCTCCCACCTCAGCCTCTAGCTGGGACTACAGGTGCACATTACCATGCCTGGATAATTTTTTGATTTTTTTTTAAAGATGGGATCTCACTATGTTTCCCAGGCTAGTCTTGAACTCCTGGCCTCAAGCAATCCTGCTACTTTATTCCCTCACAGTGCTGGGATTACAGCATTGTGTCCAACCTTTTTTGAACTTTTCAAAGCCTGCCTGAGAACCATGATCTCATGTAAGCCTAATAAGTAAGCTTACATGATCTCATGTAAGCCCTGGAAGGTAGGAAGGACAGGCATGCTCTTTCCCATTTTACAGATGGAAAAATTGAGGCCCAGAGTGTTTGGGTGGGTTTGCCCAAGGGCACACAGCAAGTTCCAGCAGAGCTGGATCTGGATAGACCTTCTGACCCCTGTCCCCACCATCATCTCCTACGGGTGGCAAGGAGTCTGTTTATTTCCCAGGCTGGACTTCAGCCCATAGATACAGACGGGACACTCAGATGGAGTGTCCCAGTCAGGACACTCCAGGAGATGGGTCTTATGAACCTTCACACTGGTGAAGGCACCTGAGCTCTCTTACCTGGAGGACCTGGATGGACAGGAACAGAGGGCTTTGGGACAGATGAGGTCAGAAATCCACTTGCATCTCTGTTGGGATTGAACCTGGGGTGTTCACTGATTCTATTATCACCTGTGTCTCTTCCACTTGCTCTGTATTTCTGTCTCTGCCTCTTTCTCCACACACCTCTACACACACACACACACACACACACACACACACACCTGTCTCTTATCTGACAGTTTTCCTCTTCTTCCACAAGTGATATCAAGAACATAAAGGCAGCTCTTTCTCTCCAAATCGGTAGAAGCCATTGATCTGCAAGGTCTTAAATTTTCCACTACCTTGCTCATTTTAAAGGTAAGTTTCATGTCTCTTTGTTCCCTCCATTTGATACTATAATTGGGGCATTTTCTTGATTCCTTAATTCAACCGCTCAATTTTGGAAATGCTCTTTCCATGGTCTCCCCCTAGGCCTCATTTGCCATACTTCTCTCCCCTCCCCCTCTTCATTCATTCCACACCTGGTTTGCATAATATCCTTACAATTGATATATTTCAGGAGAAAACAGTAATGATTTAAAATATCTTTGGATCATTTTAAAGCTGTGTTTGCAACAGGACTGCTGCTCTAGTCGAAAAGACTGCCTACAAATCCCCTTCTTGCCATTCAGGGACAGAGAAATAAAGTAAGGAGTGGAGATAAAACGATTACACAAATCCTGTGTTTCAGATCTTTGTTCTTCAGGCTTCCTATCAAATATTAGCAACTCGCCTCAAGGTGAAAAGAGGGAAAATGAGATCTCAGATAGAAACAGCAGGAGTCACCAAGCAGCATGTTCTTTCAGCTCCTGGATTCTGTTCAGCCCACCCCAGTGAGGACCATCCATGGGACTTTCTGCTCCTGACTCGAGCAGAACTGGGCTCAAATCCCAGCTTTGTCACTTAATGGCTACGTAACCTTGAATACTAATTTTAATCCTCTGAGCTTTGGGTTCCTCTTCTGTTACTCATGGGTTTATTAAAATAGTAGTGATAGCCTGTTCTCAGGGATAGTGTCAGGCACTGTTAGTGATGATGACTATAGCAGCCAGTGGGTCCTAAGCACCCTTGAACGGGATTCTCAATGCATCCTCAGTACAGTCCTACAAGGGCTGATGTGATGATTATACCCATTGCACAGGTGCAGACACTGAGGACCAGAGAGGCTCAGAGACTTACCCAGGGTCACACAGCTAGTAGGCAGCATGCAGGAGCTGATTTTTTGAAGCCTGTCTTCTTAACCATGCATGAAAATGTCCAGATGCTATGACCTTCCCTATCTAGCACATACTTAGAAAATTTTTGTTCCTGCTCTTCTCCCAGAAAGGACACCATTACGACAAGAGATCAGTCTCAGAGCCTGGCATAATAAGTCTCTGTGTGCCTTCTCTCTAGAGGGCTCTGGAATGAAGACCTCTTTAATTAGTAGAATGATGCTCTTTGGGGCCAAAGTAAAGAGACAATAAAGCAACTCCCAGAGCGGACAAGTGTGTGAACCTGAGCCAAGCATTTCGTCCTGACATGGTGGAGATTAATGGTCTGTAAAGTGGTGCAACAACTGTTTGTTAGGTTCAGCCTGTGGCTTCTGGAGGGCAGTCAATCTGCAGTGGTTTTGGAATTGCAGATTGAAAAGATGTCAGACCTCCCTTTGCTCCCGTATGGGCCAGTCACCTGTGGTCACTGAAGCCCTGTCTGGCCAGGATCAGCAGTCCCCACCATGGCATAGGGTCCAGAAACCCCACTGCAGTCTTAGTTCTGGGACTGATCCCAGCTACCCATGAGGAATTCCGAGTGCTTACATACCTGCTGTGTTGTAACTGACCAGTTTGTCTTGTTCTCAAAGTTGCTGGTCTGTTTACACTCTCAAATGATCAAAGACCCCGAAAAACTTTTGTTCATGTGGGTTGTATCAACAAAATTTCTAGTATTAGAAATTAAGATAGAAATGTTTTTAAAAACATGCATTTATTAATTTATAAATAAAAATAATAGGCTGGTGTGGTGGCTCATGCCTGTAATCCCAGCAGTTTGGGGAGCTGAGGCAGGTGGATCACTTGAGGCCATGAGTTCGAGACCAGCCTGGCCAAAATGGCGAAACCCCATCTCTACTAAAAATGCAAAAATTAGCCGGGTGTGGTGGTGCACGCTTGTAATCCCAGCTACTTGGGAGGCTGAGGCACAAGAGTCGCTTAAACCTGGGAGGAAAAAGTTGCAGTGAGCTGAGATTGTACCACTGCACTACAGCCTAGGCAACAGAGCAAGACTGTCTCAAAAGAAAAAGAAAAAGAAAAAGAAAGAAACAATAATAAACCCAATAAGTAAAGTAACATATTCATTCTATGGGGAAATAACTAGATTTTTGCATAACCAAAGAAAAAATACGGAGAAGAGTGGCATTGTTTTACTTTTTTGCAATTCTCTTTAATGCCTAACTGAATAGAATGCCTAGATTCTTCTAGCTCCTTCTGCATGCAGTCTGTTGTGATGTGTTGGTTTTGGTGGAAGTCTATGAAGAAATTCTCACACAGACATGTATTTAGAGAAAGGAGGACAACCAGGACCCTCTGAAACATTCTTAGGCACTCCCAGGAGTCCTTGGACCACACTTTGAGAGCCACTGAATTTTAGGGTCAACATTATTTATTCATTCATCTAATCAGTCATTTACTCAGCAAATGGAAATTCAGCGTGCATTTTGGGTACTTTAAGAACTGGAGATATGGAGGTAAATAAACTGTGGTACTTATTCTCAGTGCCTCATCCACTATAGACGAGGAGACTGAGGCTCAGTATTTATTCTCAGTGCTTCATCCACTATAGATGAGGAGACTGAGGCTCAGAGGGGTAATGTCCCTTGTCTCTGGTTGTCTGTGTCCCAACCAGAGACAAGAGACATTACCTCTCTGAGCCTCAGTCACATCTATAGTGGCTAAAAACATGGATCTGTTTCTTAATCAGTCTAGATTCAGGATAACTGATGTAGGGGTCTGTATAATTTGACGATGATGATGATGATAATGGTGGTAGTGATGATGATGGTGATAGCGATAATTTAATGATGATGGCAATGATAGTGATGATGGTGATGATGGCCATGTTGGTGATGAAGATAGTGATAACTTGATGATGATGATGGTGATGATCATAATGATAATCATGGCAATGATGGTGGTGGTGATACTAATAATGGAGATGATGATGATGATGATAGCGATGATGATGATGGTGATGGTTATGATGCTGATGATGACAGTGATGATGATGATGGTGATGGTCATGGTATAATGGTGATGATAATAGACATGCTCACATACCAGATTCTGTCCTACCTTTAGGTCAGAATCTTTAAAACAGTTCCATGAAGTAAATCTGCTATTCTATTCATTTTACCAACAGGGACACAGAAAAGTTGTGTAGTTTGCCCAAGGGCACACACTAAGCAGCAGAGCTGGGATTCAAACCCAGGCATTTGAGTTCCAGGTACTGTGTTCTTGGCTGTCAGAATGTGCGTATAGTCCCTGTTACAGACAGCAGTCTCAGGCAGAGAATTGTCGGCCAAGGTGGGAAAATCTCTGGAGTTTCAGTCAGCAACTAAAAATACAGAGTGCATGCTAAATAGGCAAAGCTCGGTTTATGCAGTGTTATGTTTGTTAAATATTTGATCTGGGAGAATTAAATGGCATTTTCTCTCTAGAGGACTGAGGCTGACAGGCCCCCAAGAAATAAAGCTGATGAAAATAGCCCTGATTGTAATCATACTCAAATGTGTACAGTTCACAGAATGCCTCCATATATGCTAGCTTATTTAATCCTCTATTTAAATGATGCTCACCAGTCCCCTAGCAAATCTACCCTCCACTTTTTATTCCGACAGCTTTGGCCTTGAATCAGGATTCGTCACTACTGCTCTGGATTTTTGCTACAGCCTCCAAACTGCTAACCTCTGTCTATCCACTGCCCCATGGCCCCCGAATGCTTCCTCCAGAGGTTTCCTTCAATAATAATGCTAATGGCAGTTAGTATTAGTTAAGCACTTACCGTGTGCCAGGTACACTGCTCAATACTAGGTGTGGATTATATTATCTGCTCCTCTCCGTGATTATGACTTACATATTTTTATTACCACGTCCCCATTTTACAGATAAGGAAAATGAAACTTAGAGAAGTCACATGATTTATCCAAAGACACACAACAAGGAGACAGAGATCTGGGACTTGAATGCAGCTGTCTGATTCTCTAGCTTGTTTTTAACCGTAAAGCAACCCTACCTCCCGTCAGCAAAGTGACCTAATCCATTGTTGCCCTCTGTGGACTCTCAGGTCCTTAATGGTCATAAGAAAAAGTCACAATGATGGTGATAATGAAGATGATGGTGGTGATCCTATAATAGTGATGGCATTATTCAATATGGCACCCAAGTCCTTCAAAAGCTGATTCCTGACTTATCTCCTGGAGTCTCCTTCCTGCCTCACCTATCACCACGCACCCCACTCTCAAGCCACACCAAAATCCTTCATTCACCTTAACTTATCACAGTGCTTCATCTCTGCATGTGCCATTTCCTCCCCTGACCACCATACCTTCCTCACCAGTCAAATTCCTACATAGCCTTGAAGACCTAGCCCCATAGTCCACCTGGAAAAAAATAATGGATGACTTTCTGTTTCTTCAGTGCACTATCAGAGTACTCCATTCCCACTTGAATTTAACTTTATTATGTGTGTTTTGTAGGGCATTGGAGAAGAGCATGGGCCGTGGATTCAGAATCCCTGGCCCACACACAGCCTCTACCACTTACTAATTGTATGTTACTAATTGCCTATGCTCAGGTGATTTTATGAGCCCTAGTGTCCCCATCTGTAAAAACGGGTTTGACAACAGGGTTATCTACTCTCCCAAGGCTATTCTGATGATGCAGGAGGGGGAACTCTCTAGATTACTGGAGAAGAGAATAGCCAGATTGTCTAGGCTCACTGGACACTAACCCAGGTGTGGCCTTAGAATTAAGGATGCTGCTGCAGAGTGCTTTCACCAGGATGCTCTCCCAGTGCCTGGAAATCAAGAGAGACCCAGGTGTCTGTCAGAATGGCCTAAAAAGGGCATAGACCGTGTAGGTTCTATCTAAAAGGATAGCTCCAATAAATGGAGTTATAAGGCTGCAAGAAACGAGCTTCTCTCAGTTCTGCCAGGCCCCTTGGCTTTAGGGTATAGGTCTAATCTCACGGAGCATGTTTTGGGGTTGGGATGAGGCAAGGTGTTTTCCAGCCAACCCGTGGCCCACCTGGGAGTCTACAGAGGGCTCAATAGGATAATCTGTGACAATCACTTACACAGTGCCTGGGGCAAAGTGCTTTATAAATGTTACCTGTTTTTAGCCACAAGAATGATGCATTGCTGTTTCTCATTTTCTGCTTGAGGTATCTCCCCTATGGTTTCTTTGGGTGAAGAACTGGGGTCATTTCCCTAGCTACCAAAAACAAACAAACAAACAAAAAAACAGTTTGGCCAAGGCAAAGAGCCCCCTGGGCATTTGAAATAACCAAAGTGGAACCTGTGTGTAGGGGTGTGTGTGTGTTTGTGTGTGTGTGTGTGTATGCCTGCATTAGCACCTGAATCCCATCTAGTGGGATTCATACACTCACACACATACACACTCACATGCACACACACATGCATGCACACACATGCATTCATGTACACATGCCCACACATGCATTTGCACACACACATAGCCTTCCACTTTTCTCATGGTGCTTGCCCCTTCTCTGTCTTGAGCAGCCTCAGCTCAGCCAGTCCCTTCCCATCTTCCTTACAGCTGCATCTCCTCCATACTCTCTTCTTTCCCTTCCTCGTTACAACTCTTGCCCATTGCCTTATAAAAATCTGCACCCTTTCCAAACTGACTGCCACATTCCTCTCCGGCATTTTTCTTCCCATCCTATTTCCAAGTCCCCCGCCATCTCCAGCCCAGCACCAGGGACTTTTAGAGACCCTCAGTCCTCTAAATAGAGGGAAAATGTTGCTGCCTCCAGCAAGGTGTAGAGAAGCTGCCAGCCGCCAGCGTCATCATATCCAATAGGCATGATGTTTTCAGTAGTGGTGAGACTAAAACTTTCACTCTGTCCACTGCTGGGGGCTAGAGGCTGTGGCCCTGCTGCTCTCCCCACACCTGGATCCCTGGGTTTTGAACATGGGGCGTCCTCTGTCTAAAACTCTCATTTCCACTTCACCTTCTCTTTGCTTGTCTAGCTTCTCTAGTTTTAAGATTCCTTCTAGATATCCCCTCTTCCAGGAAGCCTTCTCTGATCCTCAGACTGAATCCGGTCTCCTCTGGACTCTCAAGCTGCCTCAGCTTCCCACTTTAGAGCACTCAATAAACTGAGATCTAACTGTCTGACAGTGATTCCATAAACTATACTTGCTCACCATAATATTTCTGGAACCTGGTACATATTTTTCATAATGAATAATGAAAAGAATGCAATTCTCCCCAAGTGAAACATGATTTGTGTGATACTAGATAATTTTCCAGGATGCTTCCCCAATTTGCCTCCTGCCCCAGGGGCAACCACACCAGGCTGCTGTTCAGCTCAGAGTTGTCTGCCACATGACATGTTAAGCCAGCCCTAAAATGACAGAGGATGTGGCTGAGAAGCCAATAATGCTCTTCTTTGTCCAGAGTGAAAACTCCATGGGTTTAGGCAGGGACTAAGCAAAGAGTGCAGTGGATACCATTAGCTATTGTTCTTCCCTCTTTCCAGGTGGGAAAGTATTTTCCTCCTAATAAGATATGGGCTGCTGGGTCCTGCACTCCCCTGGGCTGACAGCAACTAGGGAAATGAGATCCAAAATATTCTATTTGTTAGGGACCTGTATTAGTCCATTCCCATGGTCACTCTGCTATGAAGAAATACCTGAGACTGGATAATTTATAAAGAAAAGGGGTTTAATTGACTCACAGTTCCTCATGGCTGAGGAGGCCTCAGGAAACTCACAGTTATGGCGGAAGGAACCTCTTCACAGGGTGGCAGGAGAGAGAATGAGTGCAGAGCAAAGGGGTGAAAAGCCCCTTATGAAACCATAAGATCTCATGAGAACTCACTCATTATCATGAGAACTGCATGGGGGAACCACTCTCATAATCTAGTCACCTCCAAGGAAGTCCCTTCCATGACACGTGGAGATTATGGGAACTACAATTCAAGATGAGATTTGAGTGGGGACAGAAACAAACCATATCAGGGCCTCAGGAGGGTGTCCTACAATGGATTTGTCTCTTATAAACTCCTTTTGGGCCTTTGTGGTCACAAATCATGATAGGTTTGGTCTTAGGTGGACAGTGTTCTGTTGTGGAAACATGCATGGTTTCTACCCATTGTTATTCAAACATTGCCTTTTCTAGTAACCTTTGATGACATATTTTTACCTAAGATCTATGAAAGAACTTGGCAGGTTGTAGTTTTCAAAACTGTGTGTGTGTATATATATATATAAGAATGGTGGAAGTGATGCCATGGGACTTCCAAGATGAGGTCATAAACAGGAGACAGTTTTCTCCTGCAGCTCCCCTCTGCATCTCTCTCTCCTTCTCCTTCTCCTTCTCTCTCACCCCCCTCTCTCTTTCCAATTACTTCTGGAATACATCCATCATGCTATGAGGAAGCCCAAACCAGCCCATGCTGAAAGACTACACAGACAGGGGCCACACAGAGAAGAAATGAGTTTGCAACCGATAGTCAACATCAACCTCTAGACATAAGAATAAATGGGACTCGAGATGATTCCAGCTCCAGCCTTCAAGTCTTCCAGCAGAGATTCTAGGAATTGTGGAGCTGAGACAAACCATTCCTGCTGTTCCCTGTCTGAATTCCTGGCCCTCAGAATCTGTGAGCATCTAAATGGTTGTTTTACACCACTGAGTTCCGGGGCAATCTGTTATACAGCTGAAGCAACAGAAACAAGACTGGAATACAAAAATAGAGACTCAAAGAAATTGTGAATGCGTAGAAATTAATCAGAGGGGCCATTAAACTCTTATCTCTGTATAAGCAACGACCTTGAAGTCATAACTCATCAACTAAGTGGGAATATCAAAAGTGACCACCTAAAATGATCATGATGATTAATAACCTCATTTTATAGGTGATGAAGCTGAGGTCCAGAGAGACTGCCCATGAAATGATCAAGCAGAGACCCACCCACATCCAGGTTTGTAAAGCTCCTGGCATACAATACAGGTAACGTGATAGTCTCTCCTGGTGAGAATGGTAATAATTGGTAAAGATTTATTGAATATTCATCATTCACTGACATTGTTAAATGTTGTCTTCACCATACTCCTTCCAGGTAGGTGTTATTGTTTCCATTTCACAGATGATAAAATTAGGGTTCAAGGCGAGGAGAAGTGACTTGTCCATGGTGAGACAGCCAGGAAGTAATGATGCTGAGTCCAGAACCCAGATCTGTCCCTCCCCAGTGGCTGCTCACTGTTCATGCTGCCTGTTCTGTCGCCACTTTCTGCTTTCTGTATCTCAAGAACATGAACAATGTCTTCAGTGTTAATGCATGTGGAGACACTAAGCTAGAAGAGGGTTTGGCTATTGTCTTCCAAGTCAGATACCCATGCTTTGAATATTTCATCTGATACTTACAACCTATGAAACTTGGGTATGATGTCAATTCACCTCTTTGAGCCTCAACTTTCTTGTCAGTAAATGGAATTCAAATCCCTTCTAGATGTGAGTATCAGATTAGACAAAGTGTGTAAGGAGACTAACACAGCTCCCATTAAATATTAGGCACCCAATTCCATTTGATTCTCTCTTTTAATTATCATTTAAAGACCATTCCCCATCCTGTCCCACTGCAAAGAGCTTTCAATAACAAAACTAACAGCTTACAGTGGTGGAGAGCTTGCTATGTAGTAGGCATTGTTTCAAGTGCTTTACACAAGTTGCATTTAAGCTTCATAATCGTATTATGAGGTCTGGGTACCATCGCTATCTTTATAGACCAGAAAACCAAGACACAGGTAAAGTTCTTGTATTAGTGCACTATGGTTTCCATAAGAAAGTACCACAAATGGTGGCTTAGAACAACAGAAATGTATTATCTCCCAGTTCTGGAGGCCAGAAGTCTGAAATCAAGGTGTCAACAAGACTGTGATTCCTCTGAAAGTGCTAAGGGAGGACCTGTTCCAGGCCCCACTTAGCTTCTGGTGGTTTGCTGGCAATCTTTGGTGTTCCTTGCCTTGTAGAAGCATCACACTGATCTTTGCCTTCATCTTCACATGACATTCTCCCTGAGTGTGTGTGTCTGTGTTCAGATTCCCTATTTTTATAAAGACACAAGTCATATTGGATTAGGGGCCCACCTTACTCAAGTATGATCTCATCTTAACTAATTACATCTACAACAATCCTGTATCTAAATAAGAACACATTCTGAGAAACTTGGGATTAGGACTTCAACATGCAAATTTGGGGAGCACACAACTCAATCCATAGCAATTATCTTGTTCAAGATCACACAACTAATAAATGGCAGGGACAGGCTTCAAATTTGGTTAGGCTGTCTGCAGCATCTGTGTTCTTGAATATGCTGATAATAGTCTTCCCCATAGATGGATGGGGCAAAGGAGTCTCTGGAAAGAAAACATAGCTTGCAAGCCCAGTTGTGCCATCCTGGAAGTTCTCTAGCTCCCCATAACCAGCCCCCATCATAGTGTGACTCAGGCAGCTTGGGAACACTGGGGGTGGCTTCCCCAACAACTCCACTCAAGCACAAGAACAGTTCGTTTGCTAAAGTAATTAAAAACATAATCTGCGCTATTAAATTCCTCCTCCATTTTTCTACTGTACGTGTTCCTCAGCGTGCTGAGTTATATGCCTCTCCTAATCATTGCTGACACGTTGGCTCTGCCCACAGCTCCCTCCTAAACTGCCATTCGTTAGAGGTGATGGGGGTTTGAGACAGTTTGTTTTAATGTCAGGATCGACATCCCTGATAATTATATACACACCCCATTTGCTGGAAATTCACTGCTTAAATAAGAGGCTGGGTTGACAGCTCTGACGCCTCAGCTCTCTCATCAGCCGCAGATAGGGGTGCATGCCCAGGGTACGGGTGGTAGTCTCTTCCTATGGGAGTTCACTCTGAGCTGGCTTTTAGTGGTGTCAAATGACAGTCGTCATGCAGTTTGAACTGGAGGAGTCAGTCCTTGACAGCCCAGACCATTTGGAGAAGGATCACCCAACCCACCAATTGTCTCTCCCACAGCACATACCCTTTTTACCTGTGAGAGTAAAAAATTAAATGTACACTTAATAGAGAATGCTCTGGTTCTCTTTTTGTTGGAAGCATTTATTGATGTGTCTATCATGGGGGCATGATGAATGAAAAACTATCACTTATTTACGCACCCGCTGTACCTCACACACTACTAGACCATCCATATCGTCTGAATCTTCATAGTAGCCCTGAGATAGTATTTTTACATTTCTGGATGATGAAACCAAAGCACACAGAAGAGAAAGGACCTGACCAAGGCAGGGCAGCTGAATTGAGATTTCAAGATGCCTGCTATGATTTGACCTCTTTTTACCACTTTATGCTGTTGATAACACCTTTCCATGAAACTCCTCTTCTGTTAGGCTCGGAAGCACTTCCTTTTCTTGGTTTCATTCCTACCTTTCTGGTCTTTTCCTACTGTTTCTTTTTCTACTCAGGCTCTTCTCTGCTGTTTCAGCATAAAATATCAATGTGCCCCAGGGATTTTCTAAGTTCAGTCCTCTCCTCTTCCCACTACCCAAAATGTTCCCTGGAGGATCCCACCCAAGCCAGTGGCTTCATCCTTCAGCGATAGGCTGAGAGTTCCCAAGTCCATAGATCTAGCTGGGGCTTCTTGGCTGAGCTATAAATCCAAATATCTAACCACCTTCTGTACATGTACATGGGGGAGACACATAGACTCCATACGCATGTGTCACATCCAATTTGCTTCTCCTCTACAATCTCTGATTTGGGAATTGGTGCCATCATGCAATCCCCTGCCCAAATCAGAAACTGGACAGTTACTCTGGACTCCTCCTAACTCCCTATCCCAGACACACATAGGTAATTAACCCTCAGATTCTGTATCTGCTCCCTCTTTTTCATAAACATATTCTCCCTGAAGATTTTTAACTGCTTCTCTCAATTGCCTCCTTTTTGTCTCCCATTGTGGTGGTTTTCAAATGTGTTCATAAATTATTTAGCAACCTTCCTGGCAAAAGGTGGAGACTAATTTCTCTCCTCTTGAGTGTGGACAAGACTCATTTCTAACAAGTAGAATGTAGTGGGGGTGATAGTGAGTGACTTCTAGGATTAAGTCATAAAAGGCATTATTTTTGCTCCTCTTCTCCCCTCTCCTTTCCTCTATCCTCTTCTCTCCTCCTTCATCCCCTCTTTCTTTGTCCTCTGCTTCTTCCTCTCCTCTTCGTCTCTTCTGTTTTCTTCTCTCCTCCTCTTGTCCTTTCCCTCCTTCTTCTCCTTCTTTTTTTCTCTCTCCCTTCCCCCCGCCAACCTCAATTATTTGCACTGTGAAAAGCCAGTTGACACATTCTGAAGACATCCAGGCAGCCTTTTGGTGAGGTTCATATGACAAGGGATAGAGACATTCTGCCAAAAACCAGCAAGAAACTGAGGCCTTCTACCAACAACTGTATGAGTATGTCATCTTGGAAGAGAAGTTTTCAGCCCCAGTCAAGAATTCAGATGATTGCAGCCCTAGTTGACAGCAACCACATGAGAGACCCTGATCCTGAACCACCTGGTTAAGCTGCTCCTGAATTCTCAACCCACAGAAACTGTGAGGTAATATATGTGTGTTGTTTTAATACGCTGTGTTTTGAAATAATGTGTTATATAGCGATAGAAAACTGATGTACTTACCAGTTTATTCTCTACACAGCAGAAAGTAATCTTCTGAAATGTAATTCTTATCATGACACCCTCCTACCTTAATCTCTTAAATTGCTCCCATTGACCTTGAAATAAAATCTAAAATATTTGACATGGGCAACACAATCGTTTAGTAACTGGCCACTACCAACTTGTCCAGAAATTTTTCTCTCATCTGTCCTTGCAACAAACATCCTCTACAATCAATGCACCAAAATACCATAGTTTTTCTGACTATGGCATACTATTGCAAGCTTCTATGCCCCTCCCTTTGGCCTGGAATGCCCTTCTCAGTAGATTTCAATCAAAGAATTCCTACTTATTGCAAGTGTCATCTCTTTGGACTCTCCTATATCTGGCCTAAGGGGTAAATTAAATTATTAGTTAATTGGTCAATTAATTCATCCATTGAATATTTTGGGGGTCTACTATTAATATATCTAAGTGAACCTTTCTAGATTCACATAGGACCCTGTATGTCTTGTAGCACAACTCTTAACACATGTATTCTAATTTTTGGTTGATTTTTTTGTTTTCTCAAGTAAACTGAAAAATCTATGAATATGAGAACTACTTATGATTTCTCCAAAATAGTTCTGGTTGTAGAGTTTATTAGTCAGAGTTCTCTGGAGAAACAGAACTAATGGGAGGATACCCTAAATCATCTCTCTCAAGTTCAAAGTTCCATAGATCCCTAGAGCAGGGACACAATACCTCCAACCTCTTTGCTGATGCATAACAACAGTGAACTTTGCTCCAGTTCCCAATAAGTTCCTCATCTCCATCTGAGACCTCCTTAACCTAGACTACATAGACCATATTACTATCAGCATTTTGGTAACAACAATTTAACAAGTCTCTAGGAAGTTCCAAGCTTTCCCTCATCTTTCTGTCTTCTTCTGAGCCCTTCCCTTCTTTTCCAACCTCTCCCCATTACCCAGTTCCAAAGTCACTTACACATTTTCGGGTATCTTTATAGAAATGCCCCTCTTTTTGGTACCAATTTTCCGTATTAGTCTCTTCTCACATTGCTGTAAAGAACTATCTGAAACTGGGTAACATATAAAGAAAAGAAGTTTAATTGGCTCATGGTTCTGCAGGCTGTACAAAAAGCATGGATGGGGAGGTCCCAGGATACTTACAATCATGACAGAAGGTGAACGGGAAACAGACATATCCTACATGGCTGGAGTGGGAGGAAGAAAGAGAAGGGGGAGGTGCTACATACTTTTGAACAACCAGGTCTCATGAGAACTCACTATCGTGAGAACAGCAAGGGGAAAGTCCGTTTCCATGATCTAATCACCTCCCACCAGGTCCCTCCTCCAACACTGGGGACTACAATTCAACATGAGATTTTGGTGAAGACACAAATCCAAACCAGATTAATCTTCTATAGCATTGAGGTTTCCTAAAAGACTCTGATACCTGGCAGAGCTGAATTTGAATCCTGACCCTGCCTCTTCCTGGCTGTGTGATCCTGCATAAGCTACTTACCCTCTCTGTGCTTCAGTATTCTCTGTAAAATTATGGTGATAATAATAGTATCTACTTTTCAGATACTTTTTATTTCAACACTTCTGATAGTTGTGTAGTGATATGTTATTGGGATTTTAATTTGCATTTCCCTGATGTCTAATGATGTTGAGCAACTTTTCATCTGCTTTTCCATTTATGTATCCTCTTTGGTTAACCAATACTCCTTTACACATTTGTTACTAACTTTATGTTGCAGATTAAATGAGATACTTTCAGAAATTGCTTAGCATAATAGTAGGCACATATTCAGCACTTAAGAATTGTCCTCTTCGGTTCAACAAGAAGACTTAACTATCATATATATATGTGTGTGTGTGTGTGTGTGTGTGTGTATGTGTGTGTGTGTGTGTATATATATATACATATGTATATATATCTATCTCCAAGATTGGCATACCCAGACTCATAAAATAACTACTTCTAGACTTCTAGACCTATGAAAAGACTTAGGCAGCCACATCATAAAAGTGAAAAATTTCAGCACCTTACTGACAGCATTAGACACATCATCAAGGCAGAAAACTAACAAAGAAATTCCAGACTAAAATTTGACACTTGATCAATTGGACCTAGTAGACATCTACAGAATACTCCATCCATCAACCACAAAATATACATTATTCTCAGCATATGGAACATACTGCAAGATTGGCCACATTTTCAGCCATAAAGCAAGTCTCAATAAATTCAAAAAAATGCAATTATACCAACCATACTCTCAGACCACCAGTGGAATGAAAATAGAAGTCAATGCAAAGACGATCTCCCCAAACCACACAATTATATGGAAATTAAACAGCTTGTTCCTGAATGACTTTTGGGTAAATGATGAAACTAAGGCAGAAATTAAAAAAAAAATTTGAGATACGTAAAAAAAGAAACAACGTATCAAAATCTCTGAGATGTAGTGAAAGCAGTGTTAAGAGAAAAGTTTATAGTACTAAATACCTGCCCCCAAAAGTTGCAAAGATCGCAAATTAATGACCTAATATCATATCTACAGGGACTAGAAAAACAAAAATAAATTAACCACAAAGCTAGCAGAAGAAATGAAATAACTAAAATCACAGTAGAACTGAATGAAATTGAGACCCAAAAATTCATACAAAGAATCAACGAACTAAAAGTTGGTTTTTTAAAAGGTTAAGTAAGATTAACAGACCACTAGCTACATTAACAAAGAAAAAGAAAAGGAAGATCCAAATAAGCACAATCGAAATGACAGAGGTGACATTATAACCGATCCCATAGAAATACAAAATACCCTCAGAGACTATTATGAACACCTCTATGCACACAAATTGGAAAATCTAGAGGAAATGAATAAATTCCTGGAAACACACAACCTTTAAAGATTGAATCGGGAAGAGACTGAAACCCTGAACAGACCAATATGTGTAGAGAAATTGAATCAGTACTAAAAAACCTACCAACCAAAAAAAGCTGTGGACCAGATGGACTCACAGCAAAATTATACTAGACATACAAAGAAGAGCTGGTACCAATTCTACTGAAACTATTCCAAACAATTGAGGAGGAGGGACTCCTCCCTAATTCATTCTACAAAGCCAGCATCTTGCTGATACCAAAACCTGGCAAAGACACAACATAAAAAGAAAAAACTACAGGCCAATATCCCTAATGAACATAAATGTAAAATTTCTCAACAAAATACTAGCAAACTGAATCCAGCAGCAAACCAAAAAGTTAATTTGGTATAATCAAGGAGGCCTCTCTCCTGGGATGGAAGTCTGGCTCAACATATGCAAATCAATAAATGTGATTCACCACATAAACAGTTAAAAACAAAAAACATATGATAATCTCAATAGACTTCAATAAGATTCAACATGCATTCAGGATAAAAACTCTCAACCAAATAGGCATTGAAGGAACAAACCTCAAAATAAGAGCCATCTGTGACAAACCAACAGCCAACATCATACTGAATGGGCAAAAGCCAGAAGCATTCCTCTTGAGAACTGAAACAAGAGAAAGATGCTCCCTCTCACCACTCCTATTCAACATAGCACTGGAAGTGCTAAACAGAACAATTAGCCAAGAGAGAGGAGTAAGAGGCAGACAAAGAGAAAAAGAAGAATATTGTCTCTCTTCACTGACAACAACGTTCTACACCCAGAAAACCCTAAAGACTCTGCCAAAAGGCTCCTGGAGCTTATAAATGACTTAAGTAAAGTTTCAGGATACAAAATCAGTGTACAAAAATCACTAGCATTTCTATACACCAATAACATTCAAGCTGAGAGCCAAATCAAGAACACAATCCAATTTACAATAGCCACCTGCCCCCGCAAAAAAAAAAAAAAAAAAGAAAAAAACCTAGGAATACATCTAACCAAGGAGATGAAAGATCTCTATCAGCAGAATTATAGAACATTCCTGAAAGATGACACAAACAAATGGAAAGACATTCCATGCTCATGAATTGGAAGAATCAGTAACATTAAAATGGCCATAGTGCCCAAAGCAATCTACAAATTCAGTGCTACTCCTAAGAAACTACCAATGTCATTTTTCACAGGACTACAAGAAACTATTCTAAAATTCATATGGAACAAAAAAGAGCCCAAATAGACAAAGGTATCCTAAGCAAAAAGAACAAAGCCAGAGGCATCACATTATGTGATTTCAAACTGTACTATAGGGCTATGGTAGTCAAAACAACATGGTACTGATACAAAAACAGACACATAGACCAATGGAACAGAATAGAGAACCCAGAAATAAAGCCAAATACCTACAGCCATCTGATCTTTGACAAGGTCACCAAAAATAAGCAATAGGGAAAGGACTACCTGTTCAATAAATGGTGCTTGGATAGCTGGCTAGCCACATGCAGAAGAAAGAAACTGGACCCCTGCCTTTCACTACACACAAAAATTAATTCAAGATGGATTAAAGATTTAAAAGTAAGACCTCAAACTATAAGAATCCTAGAAGAAAACCTAGGAAACACCATTCTGGACATCGGCCTTGGGAAAGAATTATGACTAAGTTCTCAAAAGCAATTGCAACAAATCCAAAAATTGACAAGTGAGACTTCATTAAACTAAAGAGTTTATTCAGAGCAAAGGAAACTATCAACTCTGTAAACAGACACCCTAAAAAAAGAGAGAAAATATTTGCAAACCATACATCTGACAAAGGTCTAATATCTAGAATCTATAAGGAACTTAATTCAATAAGCAAGAAACAAACAACACTGTTAAAATGGGCAAAAGACATGAACAGACCTTTCTCAAAAGAAGACATAACAGCAGCCAACAAACATGAAAAAGTGCTCAACATCACTAATCATCAGAGAAGTATGAATCAAAACCACAATGAGACACCATCTCACACCAGTCAAAATGACGATTATTAAAAAATAAAAATAAAAAACCAGATACTGGTGAGGCTATGGAGGAAAGGGAACACTTACGCACTGTTGGTGGGAATGTAAATTAGTTCAGCCATGGTGGAAAATGATTTGGAGTTTTCTCAAAGAACATAAAACAGAAGTACTATTCGACCGAGCAATCCCATTACTGGATACGCATCCAAAAGAAAATAAATTGTTTTACCGAACAATGTTTATTACAGCACGATTCACAATAGCAAAGACGTGGAATTCACCTAAGTGCCCACCAGTGGTGGATTGGATGAAGAAAATGTACATGTACGCTATGGAATACTATGCAGCCATAAAAAGAATGAAATCATGTCCTTTGCATTAACATGGATGCAGCTGGAGACCGTTATCCTACACGGATTAACACAGAAACAGAAAGCCAAATACCACATATTCTCACTTATAAGCTAGAGCTAAACATTGGGCACTTATGGACATAAAGATGATAACAATAGACACTTGGAACTAATGGAGGGGGGAGACGGGAGATGGACAAGGCTTTAAAAAAAACTAGCTCTTGAGTACTATGCTCACTACCTGGGTAATGAGATAATTTATATCTCAGACCTCAGCATCACACAATATAGCCATGTAACATATCTGCATATGTACCCCTGAATCTAAAAGAAAAGTTGAAATTATGAAAAAATAAAAAATAAAAATAAGAATCATCTAGACCAGAAGCTCCCCTGAAAGACTGCTTTGACTTCTTGTTGACAAGAGTTGGCCCTATGCGCATCCCTAGCTGCAAGAAGTCTCTGGTGTGAACGTTTTCAAGTGAACACACCACCACTCTGATCATAATGTAATACTTTAGCAATCAAGAAGGAGAAAATACATACTGAGTAGGCAAATAGCAATGTCTGACACGAAATGTGACCATTAAAAATTATATAATTGTCACTATGGGAGGCTGAGGTGGGCAGATCATGAGGTCAAGAATTCGAGACCATCCTGGCCAACATGGTGAAACCCCATCTCTACTAAAAATACAAAAATTACCTGGGTGTGGTGGCACATGCTTGTAGTCCCAGCTGCTTGGGAAGCTGAGGCAGGAAAACCACTTGAACCCGGGAGGCGGAGGTTGCAGTAAGCTGAGATCACACCACTGCACTCCAGCCTGGCGACAGAGTGAGACTCTATCTAAAATTATATATATATATGTTTTAAATTTTACACAAATTATATTACTCTGCATATTATCTTTTGAAATTGGGGTTTTCACTCAACATTGCTTGCTAACTTTATTTATTCATGGAAATGTGGCTCATTTATTTCATCACTGATATTATTCCATAAGTAAATATTACTGTTAAAAAAAAATGCCCTTATGGTGCACCGAGAATAGAAACCATAGGACCCTCAACTTCCTGGCCTCAGAATCCAAGACTGAGTCAGGAGGCCAAAGCTCTATGTTTGGATCTGTTTCAATTTATTTGGTTCTTTCCCAAGCAATTTTTTTCTGCCTGTACATCCTCCTCAGAGCACCTGCCTCTTTGGATGAAGATTTGAATTGTTACCTCCCAGAGCCAATAATATACCTCACCTCTTTGCTGACAAAGGTAAATATAATTAAAAAGTGATTATGATCTGGGACTACTTTCATAAGCTTTGCTAGACCTAATTATACAGCAAGTGCAAGTCTCTGGGTATCAAATTCTTTCTAGATGAAATTTACTGACACCATCAGTTGTGTGCCAGTGAGCAAGGGTGAGGTTTGTACTGTTGGTGGCAGAGTCTGGGATGTGAGAAGGAGACACTGACCCAGGGCAAACCATGTCCAAGCTTCAACAATGTTCCTAGTTCTGAATTTGTTCATTTGAGTCGCATTTGTCCAGCACCGTCCGTGGTCGTATCTTGTTCTTGAGGAATTCACAGTCTAACTGGGGAAAGGGGCTTGTCCATAAAGGCAGAGTAATAAATTTGTAAAAGAGTATTTGCTGGTGCATCGAAGAGGATACACAGATGGCAAATCAACACATGAAAAGATGCTCAACCTCATCAGGCATCAGAAAAATGCAAATGAGACATCACAATGCAATATCACGATGTACCTATCAGAATGACTGAAATAAACAATAATGAAAACACCAAATGCTGGCAAAGATATGGAGAAATTAAATCACTCATACACTGCTGGTGGGAATGTAAAATGGAATAGCCATGCAGAAAAACAGTTTTGCGATTCCTTATAAAACTATATATGCAAATACCACAAGACCCAGCAATTACACTCTTAGGCATTTGTCCTAGAGAAACAGAAATTCATGTTCACACAAAAATCTATACACGAACGTTCATAGTAGCTTTATCTGTAATAGCCCAAAACTGGAAACAGTCCAGGGATCCTTTCATGAGAGAATGTACACTTACTCCAAATTGGCTGTGTTTGTTTCCGAATCTGTTTATGCTGATTGTACTTGGTGAACACACTGTGGTACATCCATACCATGAAACACTACACACCAATAGAAAGAAATGAAATTTTCATATCTGCAACAACTTGGATGAATCTACAGGAAATTAAGCTCAGTGAAGGAAAGACAATTTCAAAAGTCACAGACTATATGATTTCATCTATATAACATTTGTGAAATGACAAAATTACAGAAATGAAGACAGGATGAGTGGTTGTCAGGGCTTAAGGAAGGGGTGGGGTGAGAAGAAAGTGGCTGTGCCTGTAAAAGGGCAACAGAATGAATCCTCATGGTGATGGGGGTGCTCTGTGTCTTGACTGTGTGAAGGTCAATATCTACATTGTGAAATTGGACTAGTTTCGCCAGATGTTACCACTGGGGACGATTAGGTAAACGGTACATTGGATCTCTGTGTTTCTTAGAATTGCATGTGAGTCTACAACTATCTCAAAATAAAAAGTTCAATTTTTTAAAAAACAGAGTATTGGCTCCCTGCTCCAAACCTTTCAAAACTTCCTATTGCCTTTGTAATAAAATACAAATGCTCATCTTGACTTCCAGGCCCTGTTGACCTCCCAGACTGTCCCATGCTGCCCCATTTTCCAGACCCCAGTCATCCTGGGCTGTTTTCATTTCCTTTCTAACTTGATTTCCAGCCTTCTTCTGCGATGTTCTCACTCCACAAAATATCTTCTCCTGGCTTTTCTCCCAGCTGCTCCTTCTTGTCATTTGGGTTTCAGCCTAAACATCACCTCCTCATGGAGGCCCTCCTTGATTTCTTCCAGATAGGCTCCCTCTAAAGTTCTCTCAATGTCTATCTGTAATTATTGTCTTTTCTGGTTTACTGACTTAATTTTGTCCTCTCTACTAGACTGTAAGTTCCTTGAGGGCACGGATCTTGTTAACTGGGCTCACTAATGTTTCCCCAGAGTCAGCTGAGTGGCTGGCACATAAAAGAGGCTGAATAAATACTTGCAGGTAGGAGAAGAGGAAGGGAGGATAGAAGGGAAGAGAGGATGAAGGGATGAAGAGAGGGAGGGAGGAGAAAAGGGTAGAAGGGAGGAAGGGAATGATTAAAGGAGGGACGGAGAAAAGGGAGAGAAGGTGGGATGGGGTGGGAGATGTCAAAGAAGCAGCTCAACAGGACTTTGGCTATGGGCAAGGGGGAAAGAAGGAATGCATGATGACATCTGGTTTGGGCTTGGTCATGATGGCAGACGCTGGTGCCATTTGTTCTTCATGAGGAAGGAGAATGTTTGCAACAGGAGAAAAAAGTGTGAGTTCATTTTCAATGTGTCAAATTCCTCTATCTCCCTGCCTACCCCAAGTCCTTCTGCACCTGGTTATCTTGTATATACAGAGGAGCCCTTTTTACCGAATACACATAAGATAAGTAATTGGTCAGTAAATCAAAAGGAAAATGGTTAAAACTGAGAATGAAAATGATAAATTCCTTAACACATTTTATTAAACTTAAAGATGTGTACATTCATTCGCTGATCTTAAGACAAAAGGTGAGGCTTTTTTGGCCGAGAATGTTTTTTGCTATTGGTGTTTCATATAGTTTTTCTTGCCAAGTGATATCTATGTGATATGCACTAACTCTGATCCTAAACAGTCACCTCCCACACCTAATTTGATAGCAGTTCTTTAATAGGTTTACTTAATTAAATGGTGTAATTATAACAACATGTACAACCAGCATAAACAGGTTTGGAAACAAACACAAACGACTTAGAGTAAGTGTGCACCTTGGCTAAGAGGTGCCAAGTGCCCGGGGAAATGAGAGTGGTGTCTGCTAGCCATCAGTGGGCATCAGTCCTCATGATTTTTAGCAAGACTGAGAGTCTGTAAACATGGCAAGTTTGTTAAGAGGAAATTGGCTAAGATTTAGTGAAGTATTTACTTAAATATGCATTGAATAAATGAGTGAAATTTGCGATCTAATCTCAATCATCCCTCTGGCCTCAATGTCCTTTTCTGTAAAATGGGCCCAAGACTAGTTAAGTGGCAAAGTTATCATTGACACGAGATGAGCACAAGTGTATAAACCTGGCACCCAGCTCCTAGCTCCTGCCCAAAGCCAGGGTTGGAGCAGATCTTTCCGAAGCCCTCAGCCTGTGAGGTCTGCATGTCGACAACTTTTTACAAAAGCAGCCAGGACCCCCTGGCTACCTTCCCTGTTGCCCAAAAGACATAAAATAGGAATGTGATTTATTGTACCCCCAAAACTCAAATGACAAGAGACAATTAAGTACCTCCCTCATGGAGAAACCCTGGGCAGCCTGATAAGCAGATATGGCCCAGATATTGAGGGCAGGTAGACAGGGCTTGAATCCTGATTCAACTTCATATTATCTGTGTCTTCCTGGGCAAGTGACATTATCTTCCAGAGCCTTGGTTTCCTCATCTATAAAATAGGAGTTAAAATGAATGCATGTGAAGTATCACATTTATGTGTAGTACACAGTAGGTACATCATCAGTAGTAGCTACTAATATTATTGTTAATTATTATTATTGAAAGCTGGCAGAAACAGGCAGCCTGCCAGAGACCCTCTGGTCATACAACAAATGAATGTTGCTCTTCTGTCCTAGACAGGAAAAAGCAATTTGCCATTTCCTCTCCCACTTGAGTTGATTGCCGTTTCCTTCTGATTAATATTTATGAAACTGGCTTTGTGCCTTTGCAAGGGAAGTCCCCTGTTTGTCAAACAGAGGTCTATAAATTTATATGATAATTATCCTCCCCATCCATTCCAGTACCCCCCGGAAAGCAAAGATAACTGAAATGAGGTGTCCATGAGATTTAATGGGTGGGAGACTTTGGCCATGGAGGAACTACATACGCAAAACCTCTGTAGGAAATATGCTGGGGAAACCAGAGTGTCCTGGACTACTGGGATGTCAGGGTTAGAAGATCCTCAGGGTTTGTCTGGAGCCATCTCTCCCTAACTGCCGGGAGATTACAAGATACAGATGTGGTCAATCAGCATAGACCTCCCTCCTTCTCCACAATGATTGGTTTATAATGGGCACCCGCCTCACGCCGGTGCACTTGAAATGGATCTAGGGATTCTATCACAAGAGGTGCTGCTAAGCTGGAGAACGTCGTCTTAGAGGTGCCAGAGCTGACTAAAAGAGTCTGCCAGCACTATGGGAGGCTGAGGCGGGCGGATCATGAGGTCAGGAGATCAACACCATCCTGGCTAACACAGTGAAACCCTGCCTCTACTAAAATACAAAAAATTAGATGGGAGTGGTGGCACGCACCTGTAGTCCCAGCTACTCGGGAGGCTGAGGCAGGAGAATCGCTTGAACCTGGGAGGCAGAGGTTGCAGTGAGCCGAGATTGGCCACTGCACTCCAGCCTGGGCAACAGAGCGAGACTCTGTCTCAAAAAAAAAAAAAAGAAAGAAAGAAAAAAAAAGAGAGAGAGAGAGAGACTGCCCAAGAAGCAAACAAAATCAAAACCTCTGAAAGACAGAAGAAACCAATTCTTGATATTATTTGAGTACTGGATGCAACTATGCCTGAATTTCTACTCACTGAATTTTACAGTTGCATAAATCAATAAATTATTCATTCTTGCCAAAAGCCAGCTGAGTTTTGCATCTGTCACTTGCAACCAAAAGAATACTGTTAAAGTTTACCCCCTTATTTGATAGATAAAAATTCTGAAGTCCAGAGCGGGGAAGTGACTTGCCCAAAGTTACGCAGCAAGCTTGTGGTGGAAACCAGTATGAACGAAGGAACGTAGTTTCACTTTCTATATTTTAAAAATGCACATTAGACAAAGCTTAAAAAAAATTTTTTTTGTAGGCAGTTGCCATGGTTAAGATATGGTTTGTTTGTCCTCACCAAAACTCATGTTGAAATTGGATCCCCAGTGTGGAGGTGTTGGGAGATGGGGCCTAGTGGGAGCTGCTTGGGTCATGGGGAAGATCCCTCATGAGTTACTTGGTGCCATTCTTGCAGTAGTGAGTGAATTCTTGCTCCAGTGAGACTAGATTAGTTCTCTTGGGAATAGATTAGTTCCCAAGAGAGTGGAAGAGAGTGGATTGTTATACAGCCAGTGTGTTAGTCCATTCTTGGATTACTATAAAGAAGTATCTGAGGCTGGGTAATTTATAAAGAAAGAAGTTTAATTGGCTCACAGTTATGCAGGCTGTACATGAAGTATGGTGCCAGCATCTGCTTCTGGTGAGGCCTCAGGAAGCCTACAGTCATGGCAGAAGTCAAAGGGGGGTCAGCAAGTCACATAGTGAGACAGGAGCAGGGAGGTGCCACACACTTTTGAACAACCAGATCTCTCATGAACTCAGAGAAAGAACTCACTCACTCATCACCAAGGGGATGGCAATAAGCCATTCATGAGGAATCTGCCCCTGTGATCCAAACACCTCCCATCAGGCCCCACCTCCAACACTGGGGATTACATTTCAACATGAGATTTGGAGAGGACAAACACCCAAACCTTGTCAGCTGGGATGTTCCTCTGTTTTTCCCTTTTCGCACATCTGCTTCCCTTTTTACCTTCTTTGCCATGTTGTGATGCAGCATGGAAGCCCTCACTAGAAGCCAGGACCATGCTGTTGAACTTCTTGGTCTACAGAATCATGAGCCAAATAAACCTCTTTTCTTTATAAATTGCCCAGTCTTAGGTATACTATTATGGCAACACAAAATGGACCAAGACACAAATGTTGGCTTGGTATGAGGAAATATCACACTTGTACACTAACTGGAAAGTGTGGAAATTAGTAAGCCTTTCTGGAGAGAGAGGCATTTTGGCAACAGAATACTTAGAAATCATGTTGATATTTAATGTGTAAATAGATCATATTATACCACAGGACCCCGGATGCATGAATCCTGCCTCAAAAATATGTGTATCTTCTCACCTAGGAGGAATTCCCCTTGAAGAATTTGTCCTAAGGAAATAATCTAAAAGGCCTGCAAATATTTAGGCACAAAGATGTTCATTACTGTGTTGTTTATAATAATGGAATTTGGGGGGAGAGGAAATCTCAATAGGGAAAATGGCTAAATAAGAAGACTACATCTATAAAAGAGAATACCATAAAATAAAAAATTAAAATCATGTTATGAAAGAGTGTTTTATTACACAGAAAAATGCCCACAATATATTAAGTAAAAAGGCCAGGTTACTGTCTGATTTATACCATGTAACAGCATGTGACCCAAATTAAGGGAGGAAGCACCAATATTTATGCACATTTGCATATGTGAATACAGCATAGAATATAGACTACAAGAAAGAAAGCCAAAGCATTAGCAATGTTTTTCTCTGGGTGATATTTATTTGCTTCTTTGTGCTTTTCTGTGATTTCCAAATATACTACAATGAACATGTGTTACTTGTATAATCATAAAAAATTGAAGTTTAATATTTAAAAAAAATTGATTTAGGTTGGTAAAAAATAACTGGGCCAGCCAATGATGGATACATGGTCCAGCCTCTGTTAGCCACTTTGTAGACTCCACAGAGGTTTTGAAATAATTGCCTTGGACATAGAACTGCATTCATAGTCTGAATTATTACAGTAGCAAACCCTGGTTCATAGGCAGTGCACTATATATGTTCCATGCACTATTTTAATTCTCTCATTGACCTCAAAGAATAGGCATTATTACTCCCATTTTACAGGTAAATGGCTGAGGTTCAGAGAGGGTAATAATCTTGCTCGAGGTCACACAGCTAGCAAGGAGGCATGGTTGCAACCCTATCCAGCTGATTCAAGATTTAGCTTGAATCCTGTTTGACTAAGCCTTTAAGCTGGCTTCCACGGGGTGGAGAGTCTAAGCTGCAGCTAAAGTCTCGCTGGAAGGAAATTGTCTGCATTCCTTCATCATAAGCCTGCAATGGCTGCTGCTCTTCTCTGTTCTGGTAGAGGCTCTGTATGGCATAATGTGGCCCCATTTTACAAGGGAGGTCACTGAGGCTCTGTGCCTGAGATTACTCAGCTAGAAAATGGCCCCTAGGTTGTCGGTGAAGGCCAGATGCGTTCTGCAGCCTTGAGTGCATCTGCACTCAGAACTCAGGCTGCAGCAAGAGGAGCAGCCTCTCATGGGCCTGGGCCTTAGAGAACTGCCGAGTTAATTGCCAGAATCAATTTGCGCTAATCCCCCGCAACTCCAAGCCTGCTGAGACCTGTTTCTATGGCCTGCAAGCCTCAAATTGACCGCAGGTAATGGAAGTCATTTGTAAAGAGACATTTATTGTTATCATCTTCAGCTGTGATCCAAGCCATGCCTACTCTTCAAACAAGCAGTATCGAAAGGGTCTTTGAGAAGGGAAGCAGAGGAGAAAACTCACCCATTCCACCTGATCATTCTAGAAATGAAAAGGAAATGAAAATGGAAAGGGAGGTGCTCTGGCCCACCCTTGGCAAAGCAGCTGCTGAAAGCATTGTTTAAATTTAAGGTCTGAGAGTGGAAATGGGAGTATGCTGATTCATTCATGTTCTCTTGTCTAAATCTATCCTCCTATGGAACGCACTTGCCCATCATTCCTCCTGCACCTATTGATCACCTGTTGTGTACCTGGAATGGTGCTAGGTACTGAGGTAACAGGTGAAAAAGACACAGTAGCTCCCTGTGGAGAGTTCACAGCCTAGAGTGAGAGGCAGGTAGAGCTACCGTGCATTCAGAAAGGGATTCACTCCACCATTTATTCATGCATAAAATGTTTAGTGAGTAGCTCCTCAGTACCCCTAAACTCTGCAGGGACTGAAGATGTTGCGGGTCAGGTTCTCAGGGAAGCAGACCCAGAGACAGTTAAGGAGCAATGGAGAGAACCTTTAGGAGGAACACCTGTAGAAAGAATGGGGAAGAATGCAGAACTGGGCAGAGAGACATGAGGAATCGTGATACAGATCAGGGCCAGTCTTGGCCATCTGCATGGGAGGCCGGGGCCTAGGATGGCCCTTCAGCATTGTCCTAAATTTGGCCAACAAGATCAGGCTTTCTACCCCACATCACCCAGGAAGGCCAGGCCCTGGGGCGAGGCAGCTCTCTGCAGCTGAGCCTTCCCTGGCAGCAGAGGGCCATCTGCCAATAGTGCTTGAAGAGGGATCTGGGCTGTGCATCCCCATGTCCATCACAGGAGAGAGGACGATGAACACGAAAAGCACCATCCCATCCCCCCGAAAGAGCTTTCCTCTGTCTGAAAAAACAGGTGTTCTGTGGAGCAACATGGAGTAACTAGGAAGGTGAAAAGTCATTCATTCATTGATCTATTCAATATTGATTAAAGAACTGCTGTGTGCCAAGTTCCGCTAGCTGCTCAAAATGACAGCCAAGACAAGAGAGACACAATCCCTGCTTTCATTGGTTTTGATATGGAGGTGACAAGAGCTGCAAAGGAGAAGAAAAGCATGGTTTATAATGAAAGCAGCTTTAACCGTGTACAAGGTAGGAAAACATTTCTATGAGAGGCCTTAATTCTGGAGCAAGGGGTGTTGAGGAAAGACTTCCTGGAGGAAGTGACATTTGAGCTAAGTTTTGAAGGCTGAGTAGGTAGTTCATAGGTAGGTGGAAGTGGCAGAAGAAACATTCAAATGGAAGGAAATAGACTGTGCAGAGCTGTAGAAATGCAAAATCATACACCCCAACTGGATGAAAAGATGAAGCTGGACCCTCAACTGAATTTTGGAAGCCTACTTTCTCCCAGTAATTGGGGGAGGTTAAATAGGGGTTGTGATCCAGCAACTAAGACAACCCAGTCCATACTTTGAGGAGGTTATGCCAGAAAGCTTGAGTTGGTGCTTTGATAATTCGGGGGCGGGGGGGCGGGTACAATGTCTCTTTGATAGCTGCTGCTTTTTCAGCCAGGGAACAGTTATAGTGGCCTCAGTTGGTGTGACAGTGACTGCATGAGCCTATTTGATGCAGAACCTTTCACAGATGCTCTTGGCAGCTCCTGGGAGAAGGTGAGTCACAAGTAGCCTGAGTTTCTGTCTCAGCCATGCACCACTAACTCCATTTACAAAGCTCAGTAGACAATGACAACATCACTCTCCTTTCAGGGCAAAGAGCCCATGCAGCCTGCTTCCTTTGGACTAAAGAAATCTGGATTTTTCGGCTGTCATCAATTTCTACCAGTGTCTCTTTAAGACGGTCTCTTGGCAATAATATTAAGAATAGCTAATGTTTATAGAGGACAGACTACATGCCAGGTACATTGTTAAGTGATTACCCACATCATTTTGAATAATCCTCACAAGCCCTGTGTAGGGACACTATTATTATCTCCATGTTGCAGGTGAGGAAGAGAAACCACTTACAGAGAGGTTGAGTCCTTTATACAAGGTCACAGTCAGTAATTGCCTAACCAAGACTCGAAATCTGTTTAATACCAAGCCCAAGGCCAAGTTCATAAGCACCATGCAACGTGCCTCCCTACACTGCCTTCATCTCCTCCTTCCCTTGATCCCTGTATCAACATTTGAAAACCTGGCTTCTCGCAGGGCTCAGACCATTTCTCCAGTATTAAGCTAACTGGCGATGGCTTTTCTTATTAAAATAACTTCCTTCAATTATCAAGTGCCTACACATTATAGAAATATGGTTGCATAAAGTTGAATGAAGAAAATTATTAACAGTTCCATGACTGCAACACAACAGTGGTTAATATTTTGATACATTTCCTTCCAGTTTTGTTCTGAATGATATTTGCTGTTGCTGATTTGTCTTTCTGTAGTTGATATTAAATACACATTCACTCAACTTTATTATAAGCATTGCCCAGTTTGGCATATGTATTTTGTAATCATCATTTTTTAATGGTTATGTAATATTCTGTTGAGTGGAATGAGGCAAAATTTATTGGCTGTAGTTTTGCACAGTTAGGTTGTTTTCAATTTTTCACCTGTTACAAGTAACAGCAGCTAACACGATTCTATCCATAAAGTTTTTATTTCACATTTAGGATTATTTCATGAAGAAAGGATCTGGAAAGTACTGTTATTGCAACAAAAGTCATAAACAATTTACGAATCTTAGTATCTCACTGCCCTCACCACTTTCTGTGAGTGTTTGTATTCGTACACGAGGCCTCTGGCAATGAATGAAAACAGTGTTATTTCCCCCCTTATTTTATTTTTTTTACACAAATAAAGCACGTTCATGACAGAACGGCAGTGCAAGTTCTTAATAAACCTGAATAGACATTTCTTCCCCAAGATCATGCGATCCATCTTTCTTTGAGATACTGACAATTTAGTCTGTTCCATTCTTACGGGGGTCTTACTTACGGGGTTCTTACTTTCATCATGAAGGAAGGTTACTATAGCAGCACAGAAAACTGAAAGTGATCATTGATTCTCACGAGCTCAGCATTGTGATACAAGAATAGGACACTTAGGGCACCCACCTTAACAGAAACAGGCTTTAGAATTTTTCAACGAGAGCCTCCTGTCAGTTGGTCCCATTAGAAGGTTTCACTAGCTTGCAAAATTACCTGTGTAACTGCAGTAAACATATGGAGACATTCCAGCCCTCCTGGGCATCAGGTCTGCCTGCATATTGTGAAGTCCATGCTAGCTGACCTCCAGCATTGGGGGGGGCTCATTCCTGAGCTCCTTGTCCCAACCCTTGTCTCCTTTCTTGCTTCCAATTTTGGCTCATGACTACGTCCCAGTTTACAACCTTATCCATCTCAGATCAAAACCTGGCACAGTTGCCCCATTGAAGACCTGGCTTCTGATTCCTCACTTGTGAGGTCTCCTTACTCACTATCAGCTGCTGCACTAACTCCTGCCCCTACTGCCACCCCTGGGTGCCAATCCACCATCACGTCTCACCAGGACTAAGGCAATAACCTTCTTCTTAGTCTCTTCCCTTTTGCTTTTGCTTTCTACAGTCTATTCTGCAAAAGAGTGACTTCTTTTCTTTTTTTTTTTTTTTTGAGACGGAGTCTCGCTCTGTCGCCCAGGCTGTAGTGCAGTGGTGCTATCTTGGCTCACTGCAAACTCCGCCTCCCGGGTTCAGGCCATTCTCCTGCCTCAGCCTCCTGAGTAGCTGGGACTACAGGCACCTACCACCATGCCCGGCTAATTTTTTTTTTTTTTTTTTTTTGTATTTTTAGTAGAGGCCAGGTTTCACTGTGTTAGCCAGGATGGTCTCGATCTCCTGACCTCATGATCTGCCCACCTCGGCCTCCCAAAGTGCTAGGATTACAGGCATGAGCCACCATGCCCAGCCGAGAGTGATCTTTTCAATGAAGCTGGAATCAGCTCTTTAAAATATGAATCTGGTCAGGAGGAATCTGGGTATAACCTTCCAATGATTTCCCATTGAACTTGAGATACAGACAGATACTCTACTCTCCTCTGCCTCTTCAAACTCACCTCCCACTACAATATCGCCATTTTATTTCTCAGCCTGCCCTATCCACAGACATCCTGCCTCCCACCTTAGGCCTTTCTCACACCATTCTCTCTGCTTGGAATGCCCTTCCCTCCTTCCTTCTTTGTCTTCTTGACTCCTCCAACTCCTCCTCCCAGTCTTGGCTTAAGTGTCAACCCCTCAGGGAAGCTTTTCTTGGCTTTCCTCAAACAGGATCTGGGCATCATCTGCCTCATTGCACCTTGGTCACAGCTCTGTGCTTTTCCCAGATAGCATTTGTTAAAGTTTAAAAGCATGCACTTGGGAATTTGTTTAAATTGTGGTAAAATACACATAACATAAAATTTACCATCTTAGCCATTTTAGAATGAATAGTTCAGTGGTGTTAAGTACATTTACATTGTTGTGCAACCACCACTGCCCTCTGTCACCATAACCCATTTCAGGTGGCAAAATTAAAACTCTATAGCCATTAAACAATAACTTCAGCCAGGTGCTGTGGCTCACACTTGCAATCCCAGCACTTTGGGAGGCCGTGGCAGGCAGATCATGAGGTCAAGAGATCGAGACCATCCTGGCCAACATGGTGAAACCCAGTCTCTACTAAAAATACAAAAAATTAGTTGAGCGTGGTGGCACGCTCCTGTAATCCCAGCTACTTTTGGGAGGCTGAGGCAGGAGGATCGCTTGAATTCAGGAGGCGGAGGTTGCAGTGAGCCGAGATCATGCCTCTGCACTCCAACCTGGCGACAAAGTGAGACTCTGTCTCAAAAAACAAAACAAACAAACAAACAAACAAACAAATAACTTCACATTCCCCCACTCCCGCTAGTCCTGGCAACCACCATTCTACTTTCTGTCTCTGAATTTGACCTTGTAGCTACCTCATCTGAGCAGAATCTGGCACTGCATGTCCTTTGTGACTGGCTTATTTCACTTTTGTTACATCCCCACCAACAGTACACAGGGGTTCCAATCCCTCCACATCCTCGCCAACACTTGTTATTTTTTGTGGTTTGGATAGTAACTGTCCTGATGGATGAGAGGTGGTATCTCCTGGTGATTTTGATTGGCATTTCCCTAATGACTAGTGGCGTTGAGCACCTGTTCAGGTGCTCCTTGGCCATTTGCATACCTTCATGTGCAAAATGTCTGTTGAAGTTATTTGCCTATCGTTTAACTGGGTTTTTTTTTGATGTTGTTGCAGAGTGTAGGAATTCTTTATATATTCTGTATATTAACTCCTTATCAAATATTCAACTTTCAAATATTTTCTCCCATATCATAGGTTACTGGATGATTTTTTTACAGCCTATCTCTCTACCCATGACTTTAAGATTCACGAGGGCAGGGAGGCTGTCTGTTCTGCTCATAAATGTGTGGCAAACACTTCGCACAGTGCCTGGCACATAAAGGTGCTCAATAAATATTTTTCAAAAATTCATTATTGAATGAATTAATGAGTGAATGAATGAAACAATGGTTGTTTGGAGACTCTTCCGGCTGGGCTGCCTCCCTGTCCAATACCTTTCTTGGCTTCTGTTCCTAATAAGGCTCCTAATGATTCGAACCCAAGTAGCCTGCTTTAAGCAAATATTAGTAGCAAGAATGTTGCCACAAGAGTTACGTTTTTACTTCCACTCCTCACCACAGCTTTTCCCTAATGGTTAAAAAAGTATTTTATGGGAAGCTGCAGTGTTTGCTGGTTTTTGTTGTTTTTTTTTCCTGTAACGAATAACATTTTGGTTCACTGCAAAGCTGGAGCATCTCCAGCAACTGTGCCAAGAATAAAACCTTGAGAGAATAAGAGAGGGGAAAAAAATCAGCTTGGTCAGGCAAAAATAAGCCATGGAATCCCTGAGAAGTTGCCTGAAGCCAGAGTTCTTGCAGAGGAGGCAGGGCCGGGAAGCTGTTGGAGGGGAAGCCAGTGCGATGTTTAATTTGTGTGCTCAGAATGGAGGCTGGGGTGAGTCTTGACTGTAATAACAAGCATTATTATGAGACGTGCAGTGCCCCCCGGCCAGACATCAGCTCCGTGATGCTGAGAGTAGGGGGATGAGGTGGATATGCATCATGACAGTGCTTTTGAAATGGAAATATCCACGCATTAGGCTGAAGGCAGAACCACTCAGAGGGAGAAAAGTGCTGCACCTGGGTCAAGAGAGTCTGCACCACAGGGAATGGCATAGGGCAGTCCTGTCCTTGGTGAGCAGAGATTTCTGAGAATGCTCATATGTGGCAGCAGAGCCTGCCCGTAAGGAATGCAGCGAAAGACAGGCTCTGGGTATCTGGAGGATGCAGCCCCATCCTTATCCTCACCTCCAGCTCCTCAGGTGGGCGCCCGGAGCAAGCCTGTTTGTCCCATCACCTGAAATGGTCTCTCTCCTTTAGACTTTCTGATTCCCTAAAGCCACCAACAAAGGGGTGACTCTGCCAGATGCTCCAAGGGCAGAGACCATATCTGTCTTGTTCACCACAGTATCCCTAGCACCTAGGACTAGCCTGGCGTGAAATAGGCTCCCAATAAATATATAATAAATGGATGCATGGATGGATGGATGGATGGATGGATGGATGGACAGATGGACTGACTGTCTTACACATAGTAGATGCTCAATGAGCATTTGTCAAATGAATTGACATATCCCTGTGTAATTTATGGTAACCTCGATGTCTGCCATAGAACCATGGGTAAGAGTCAGAGATTTGATGAATGAATGAATAACTTTGTTGGATACCTGGTAAGTACTGAATGAACGTTTGTTGGGTGAATGAATGTATCCCTGTGTAATTCCTCATGGTAGCCTTGGTTTCTAATATAGAACCACAGAGAAGTAGTCAGAAAGGTGATGACTGAGTAAGTGAATGGATGAATGAATGAGTCTCTTTCATATTTATTAATACTACTGTATCTTTAGTACCTATTCCAGGGCCTGGCAAAGAATAGGTGCTCAATAAATGTTCAGCAATGAATTGATTATATTAAGAGTACAGCAGTGTGTGCAAGTTACCAGCCAGAAGTGCAGCCTTCACCATAGAAGTGTGTGTTCAGTATCTTTTTAACTTCCTAATTTGAGTATCAAAAGCCTGTAAAATAATTAATTATTAATGCTAAGTTCTGAGGTTAAGAGACTTTTGAAAACTTAACCGTGTTTTTTTTTTTAAATTATACTTTAAGTTCTGGGATAAATGTGCAGAACGTGCAGGTTTGTTACATAGGTGTACACGTGCCATGGTGGTTTGGTGCACCCATCAGCCTGTCATCTACATTAGGTATTTCTCCTAACGCTATCCTGCCCTTAGTCCCCCACACCTGACAGGCCCCGATGTGTGATGTTCCCCTCCCTGTGTCCCTGTGTTCTCATTGTTCAACTCCCACTTATGAGTGAGAACATGCGGTGTTTGGTTTTCTGTTCTTGTGAAACTTTACCATGTTTTTGCTGTATCACTAGCCCAGGTATCTTTGAGGACAATCACCTCCACCTCAGAAAAGTTGATTAGTAGTTCTGAATCTCTCCCCTGTACCATCCTTCTCATGCTCATGTCATGGTCCTGGTAATGAAAATTCAACAACACAGGCATTAGCATTATCCTTGTTCTCAGGTGATATGGGCTTCTTGCTAAGATGTGATCTCACTCATAGGTGGGAATTGAACAATGAGAACACATGGACACAGGAAGGGGAACATCACACACCGGGGCCTGTTATGGGGTTGGGGGAGTGGGGAGGGATAGCATTAGGAGATATACCTAATGCTAAATGACGAGTTGATGGGTGCAGCACACCAATATGGCACATGTATACATAGGTAACAAACCTGCATGTTGTGCATACGTACCCTAAAACTTAAGGTATAATAAAAAAATAAGAAAAAAAATAAATAAAACAACAGCATGTTTGGCCAGGGAAAAGAAGAAGCCGTGGAGTTTGGGATTGCCCCCACCTTCTCCCTGCACATCCTTGATTCTTGCCATCACTGGCCGCAGAGCTAGCTCAGGCATTCACCCACCCAGAAGACTCTGAGGAAGTCCTTGCTCCCCTCTCCACACTCACACGCATACACTTGTGTGGGCTCCCACACTCATGCACACTCCCATGCTCACATTCATTCACTCACATGCACCCACACCCCCACACCCTCAAGCTTGCTCACAGACCCTCTCATACACACACTTGTATAGGCTTCCATGCTCACATTCATCCACTCACATGCACCCACACCCTCACGCTTGCTCACAGACTGTCATACACACATGCACCCACAAATTTGCACACACCACATTCACACTCATTCACATGCACACTCATCAGCTCACTCATACACCCTCAATCCTTACAACACAATCTCACACTCACTTATAGATTCCCACTTACTCCAACACACACCTCACCACAGGCACATCCATTCACACGTGCATATAGTCTCATACATTCACACTTACACACTCACTCATGGCCTCACACTTATACAGAAACACTAGCACACATTGACAGTCTCACTCATACAGACCCGTGTACATTAACACACACTCTACCACAAACAGGCACAGACTCAGATGCACACACTCATGCACACACAGAGGCACATTCTCTCTCACATTACACTCAGACACACACCAGATACTCATTTTCACTCCCTCATTCATATATATTTCCGTGCTCACATTTATTGTCCTTCACACACTCACTCACTTCCCCACATGCACCTGTATCTTTACACACTCACACTTGCTCACAGACTCACAGCTACTCTCACACGTATGCACATTTGCATAATTATATACTCTCACACACAACACCACACTTGCTCACAGACTCAGACCTGCTGTCACATATATGCCCAATCAAATAATCATTTACTGTCATACACACTCTCACACTGATAAACTCACACATTTGCACACTCATAACTCATAGCATATTCACGCTAATGCACATTCACACATATTCATTCAGACTCATACACACCCGCACATACTCACTCCCACACTTATTCATATGTGCACATGCAGAGGCACACTCTCACAATAACATTCAAACATGTATTCACACACTCACCTGCCACTCAAATGCACACACACAGACATTCACACATACACCCTTAACTAACCACCTGTTACTGACGTCCTCACCTGCTGCATGGCTGGCAAATAATGCGTTAGACAAGGGTCAGGCAGTCTAGTTTCTGGTACTGCCTTCCTTCCCTCATTCCAGAAACTCTTCTTGAGTTCCTAGTCTGTGCTGGACACTGTGCATTAGCTAGCTGCACCTGTGACCTTGAGCCAGTCATTAATCTCACTGTGTCCATTTTTTCTTCCATAAATTGGTGGCTAATTTCTAGGTCAAGACACATTTATGGAGCTCCCCCTACAGGCCATGTCCTTTGCGAGTTCCTGGGGATACTCAAGTGTAAGATGCAGCCTGTCCTCAAGGAGTTTGCAGTTGGACATGAGAACTACGTGGCCACATATGTAACGGTTATGGATAGAATTGTGTCCCTCCAAAATTTACATGCTGAAGTATTAACTGCCAGTATCTTGGAATAGGATCTTATTTGGAAATAGGGTCATTACAAGTGTAATTAGTTTAGCCAACATGAAGTCATTAGGATGAGCCCTTATCCAATATGTCTAGTGTCCTTATAAAAGGGCTATTTGGGCACAGACACATACACAGGGAGAATGTCATCTGAAGATGAAGGCAGAGATCAGGAGATGCTTCTACAAACCACAGGACACCAAAGACTGCCAGCAAACCACAAGAAGCTAGGAGAGAAGCCTGGAATGGACTCTCCTTCACAGTCCCCAGAGGGAATCAATGCTGCTCACACCTTGATCTCAGACTTCCAGCCTCCAGAACCTTGGAACAATAAATTTCTGTTGTTTAAGCCACCTAGTCCATGGTACTTCATCATGGCAGCCCAAGCAAAGTCATACATTAACCAAAGGCTATTCAACCAGAATTTTCTCATTCACTCACCAGGCATTTCCTGAGATGGCTATATACTGGACCATGAGCTTCATGAGGGCAGACGCTGTCTCTGGTTGATTTTTCACTGGATCCCTAACTCAGAGTGCAGGGGTCAGAAATACTATAGGTGAATAGATGAATCAATAACAGAGAGGAGGAATGAAAAATTGGCACCAGGACTCTAGAAATAAGTCTGGTACAGCCTTCTCACAGTGTGGTTGAGATGGAAGTGTGATGATGGATGGGCAGAAATACCCTTGGGAAAGTAGGATCATAGCCAAAGATATATAAGCACTCCTGGAAATAAGTCAGACGAGATGCACAGCTTGTGTTTACATGGTTCTTTTCTGTATCAGGAATGGAATCATTTTGGTTTGTGGATTTTATAACATATTCCAAATTTATCCATAGCAGCATAATATATTGATATTAAAAACTGTATTTATATTCAAGTCCTTGTACTCCCTCTTTTTGCCTATCTTTCTAGCGGCAGTGAGGGATGCCATCAGAACGCCATCAGGAAAGGGAGTCAAAAGAACAAAAAAAAAATCAAGAATCAAAGTATCAGCTTTGCATCCTTGGATAGATGTTTATGAATCTATAACAGAAGCCGTGGTATGGAAGCCCATGTATTTCAACCCTAATCCTAACAAGGGTAATGCTAATGCTAATGCCCTTGTTGTTGAAGTATCAAATGTTTGCACAGAAAAAAAATCTCCCCACCTTTTTTTAAAAGTCTGGAAGCTGGCTTCAGATATCAAGAACCTAGAGCATAAACCAGAAATTGGAAGAATGTATGAAGGCATAATATCCATTTTTCCATGCTGCAGAGCTGAAAGAATTAGCAAAGTGTCCCTCAGAAGGGTCCCAGGGCCCTGACTTTCAGGTTGAATAAGAGACAGTGGCCCTTGGAACCAACATAAGTTGAGGTACATCCTAGGCCCCTGGCTTTCCAAACCACAGGATTCATTGATAAGACTGACATTCACCATAACTCCTGGGTTAGAAGCCCATGGCCAAAGGAGTTGTCCACACCTCATGAAGCCACTCAGCGCTCCCTGGGCTGCAGTAAAGCTATCTCCTGATGAGGCTTTCAGCTGGAATAAGAAGAATGGCCTGTGAGCCCAACTGCAGATGTGGGTGTGCTTTATACCTTAGCAGGGTGACGGCTGTGTCCTGGGCTCTGGCAGGAGGTTAGCAGAGCCAGCGAGGACAGAAGCCTTCCTTTTTAAAAAAATTTAAATTTTTATTTTTAGATTTTGAGTCTTTCTCTGTTGCCCAGGCTGGAGTGCAGTGGCATGACCACAGCTCATTGCAGCCTCAACCTCCTGGACTCAAGCAATCCTCCCACCTCAGCCTACCGAGTGGCTGGGAGCTACAGGCATGCACCGCTACACATGGCTAACTTTTTAAATTTTTTGTAGTGATGGGGTCTCACTATGTTACCTAGGCTGGTCTCAAACTCTGACCTCAAGCAATCCTCTGGCTTCGGCCTCCCAAAGTGCTGGGATTACAGGATGAGCAACCATACTCAACCTGAAGCCTTCCTTGAACTCAGATGCCACCTAAGGATAAGGAAAAAGGGCAAGGAAAGAGAACGCAGAATTAACCAGGTAATTGCCCAAGATGACTCAGTTGCCTTGATTCCACAAGATGAATATCTTCATTTGCAGGTAGAAAAAAAGGCTCATGGGGGATAAACTGAGTTTATTATAAAGAAGAATAAAGTTTTCAGAAGTCTGTGGCCATTGTGAGCCCCGTAGCTCCCTATTACCTGTGATTTCTCTTTCTGCAGTTTCAGTTACCAGTGGTCAACTGCCATCCAAAAATATTAAGGTATTGAGAGAGAGAGAGAGAGAATACACATTCACATAACTTTTATTGCAGTATATTGTTATAATTGTTTTATTTTATTATTAGTGATCATTGTTAATCTTTTATTGTACCTAATTTATCAATTCAACTTTATCACAGATGTGTATGTATAGAAAAAAAAAACATAGTGTACAGGGTTTGGTACCATCCATGGCTTCAGGCATCCACTAGAGGTCTTGGAACATACCCCTGCAAGGATAAAGGAAGACTACTGTGTATATCCAGTGTGGCTAAAGTTGAGAATAAATCTAGCTGCCTTAGAGATACTCTCAGAGTCTCTTGGGTTTGTAGCTCTTTCGGAGTAGACAGATTCAGCAAATAAAAATACAGGATGCTCATACTTTATCTGATGACCCTAAGCTCTTGGCCCCCCTCTCCCAGTGCTTAAGTGGAAGGCATCTGATCTTTGAGACAGTGTTGAGGTTCTTTGTAGGGCCCTTAGAAATCCACTGGTTTGGGATTTGCAAATGCCTAGCTCATGTTTGCCTTGAACCACCTCTACCCATTAGTGATAGACATCGCTAATTGATCGTTGAGCCTCACAATTCTTTTCAATATAGCACTCTAGACAGCAACTTCCAATTGATCAGAATTGGTATGTAAGCTGGAATTAATTGGCCTCCTAGACGGAATCTGAATTTAAGCTTAAGGCGGAAAAGGCCAGACAATGAATGGCAGTGCCAAGAACAGAACCAGGGCTGGGCTCATTGGCTCATGCCTATAATCCCAGCACTCTGAGAGGCTGAGGTGGGAGGACCACTTGAGCCCAGGAGTTCGAGTCCAGCCTAGACAACAAAGTGAGATGCTATCTCTACAAACTAAAACTTAGCCAGGTGTGGCGGCACACAACTTTAGTCCCAGCTTCTTGGGAGACTGAATCAGGAGGATTGCTTGAGCCCAGGAGTTTGAGGTTACAGTGAGCTATGATTGTGCCATTGCACTCCAGCCTAGGTGACAAAGCAAGATTCTGTTTCAAAAAAAAAAATTTAATTTTTAAAACTTAAAAAAAAAACAAACCAAGTGTCTCTGCTCCCCAGCTGGGAATGTTTTGCTGGAGCCACAGAGTTCTGTGTTGCAGTACCTATAACTTTTTTTGTGGCCAGCACCACATCATGTGTGTATAGGAGAGAGGGCACCAGAGATTCATCCCATGTGAATGTGGGTGTAGCACACCACCTGGGCTACACACAGGAGGGACAGGTCACCACCACATGGGCTGACATTCACAGGCAACAGAGAATTTACTCTGAAGCCCCCATCTTGAGATCAAATTCTGGCCCCTGCATTTTCTGGCTGTGTGACCTTGGTCCAGCTATTTTTCTTCTCTGAGCCTCAGTTTCCACATCTGGAAAATGGAGACTGTTAGTATTGACCTAGTTGGGTTATTGTAAGGATTCAATTAGATATGAAAAGCCCAACCCCGGCACATCTTAGATGCCCAGAAAATGGTACTTGGTACCATTCTAGACTCTGCAAGACAATTCTTTTGCCACTAAAATCCTCCTCTTTATCATCTGCTGTTAAGACATCTTTCTTTGCATGCAGCTCTCAGAGGAGAGCCTCACATTTCGAGCTTTGTTAGTGAGTCATTTGTACCTAAGAGCAAACAAGGAAAACAAATGGCATAAAAGAAGGGACAACTGGCATTGGAAGAGACCTGGAATCAAACCCCAGTTGTTACTTTTTGCTCTGGGATGCTTTGCAAGAGACCCTGTATAGCCAAGCCTCAGTTTGTCATTTGGACAATGGGCCTAAGGACAGGTGTCCCCATGGGCTCCATGATGGCAGGGGAGAGGATGGATGTGTGAGTGCCTGCTTTCACTGGCACTGTAAGCAGAGCTTTCACACAGCATCAATTTCTTTGCCAATAACACTCTGGCCTGGCACCTGGCCCATGGCTGGTGAGGCTCCCTAGGCAAGAGGAAATGAAGTTTGACTCAGGCTTTTGTTAATGCCTGGCTGCGGCTGGCCAGACCTGCCTCCTCTGGGGTTAGAGCTGGCCTCGCAGCTGAGCTTGGCTGGGTGCATGGGGTTACAGGGAAGTCGGCTCTGCCAGGCCGAGAATGGGAGACTCTAAGTTACACATCACTGCCATTGGCAGTGGACCCAGGCCAGAGGAGAGAAAGAGGCAGATCAAGACTCAGCATCCCCATCCCTCATGTCTGGTCCTTTCCCCCATCAGAGGACAAATGTTATACAAGTGAAAAATGACCCCAACTGCTCTCAACCTGCAATAGTTGAGGACACCGAGGCACAGAGAGGGTGTGCAATGCGCCCAGGGTTTCACAGCCAAGAAACAGAGGAGCTAGGATGTAAATCGAGGTCTATGAACTTCCCAAACCCAAGCAGTTAACCAGCTAACCTGCCTTCTGTAAGAAACCTGGAGAGTTTGCCCTGAGGAAAAGATGGAAAGAAACATTAATAGTAATCAGGCACATATCATGGGTTGATCAAGATATTTGCCCCTTTTCACATGAATTTATCTACTACCACCCTAGTCATTTTCATTGTATTTTACTGATGAAGAAACTGAGGTTCAGACGCTTGAAGTGGCAGATCCAGTGTGGCATTATTGTGTCTCTGAAGTTAGAGTCCTTACTTCGGCATCCACCTGCCCCAGAGGCAAATGACTTCCCCTCTCTGATCTTATGCCCTCCTCTGTAAACTGAGGATGATCACAGCACTCACCTCACTGAAATATCTTAAAGACCAAATGAGTTTGTGAATATAAAGTGGTTAGAATGGTGCTTGGTACATAGAAAGAGTACTGCAGGTATTTATTTCTGCCATTATTGTTGCCATGATTATTACTACCCAAGATCAAGCTGCAACAAACAGACAGGGTTACGTTTAAAACCAGGATTGTAGAATTCAAAAGTAGGTTTAAGATGCTTCACGCCTACAGTCCTGGCCACTTTGGGAGGCCCAGGCGGGAGGATTGCTTGAACCCAGGAGTTCAAGCCTGCAGTGAGCTATGATTGTGCCACTACACTGTAGCCTGGGCAACAGAGCAAGACCCTATCTCTTTTTAAAAAGTAGATTTAATAATTTCTCTCCTATCCCCATGTTTTTGCTACCAAGACAGTGGCTCCCAGATATTTGGACATCACTTAGCAGTTGAAAAAAATTAAATGATAGGTAGATAGATAGATAGATAGATAGATGATGGATAGAGAGATAGAGAGATAGATACATAGATAGATAGATAGATAGATAGATAGATAGATAGATAGATGTAGCATATTCCATTTTCTATTTTACCAAAGCAGACATTTTTAAAAAATTACTACCATCTTTTACTTCCATTATTTCAGAAGGTAAGGGCATTTTAACACCTAACGGTGGGGGGCAAGAATCACAGGATACAGGAAAGCCCTTTAAATTAAATAAATGTAGCTTTCTGAACACTCTCTCAACATTATTCTCTTCATTTCCACAAAGACCAGTGGACACCTCATCAGAGGTCATCCCAGGTTTTCAGGCCAGCATTTTAAAAGCACTGCCTTACTCCCCTGCCAAGGCTCTGCAGGAGGGTGCACAGAGGTTTGGGGTGCCAGAACACATTTCTAAAATAATGTGTTTCCAGAAAAGTATCAGCTGATAAGTAGCTGGAGGAAAAAAAATTTATATATATATATATATACACACACACACACATACACACATAAATACATATATGTATATATACATATATACACATATATACCCACATATATATACATATATACACATATATACACACACACATATATATACATACATATACACACACACACACACACACACACACACACAAATATATATTTTCCTCCCCAGGTAACAGCACAAATTCAGCAAACCTAAAAGAGGATTTTTTATAACAATAAAGTAGTAACAGACTCTGATGAGCTTATCTTGCAATTTACAGAGTGTCTTAGTCCATTTTATTCTGGTAAAACAGAATACCACAGGCTAGGTAATTTGTAATGAACAGAAATGTATTTGGCTCATGATTCTGGAGTCTGGGAAGTCCAAGATGGATGGACTATATCTGTTGAAGTTCTTCCCATGGCAGAAGACATCACATGAGCAAGAGAGTGAGGGAAGGGGGCCAACTTTGATAAGGACCCCATTCGCAAGGTAACTAACTCACTTCCGGGGTTAATGACATTAATCCATTCATGAGAGCAGAGCTTCATGACCTAATGACCTCTTAAATGTCCCATGTCTCAACACTGTTGCATTGGGGATTCTTTCTAATACACGAACTCCAGGGGACACAATAAAATCATAGCATAGGGGATGCGTTAAGTAGAAGCCAAAGAACTCCTTTTATAAATACTCATCTGGGAATAAGCACATGGGGCTCAGACACACCCAAGCAAGCACTGATTTCCCTTGGCATCAGTTGTGTGGAGCAGCAGGCGTGAACGAGTTGTTTTTTTGCAGTTGAGTCTAGGCTGCAAACCTGCAGGCCCAGCCAGCCTCCAGAGGGACTGAGAGATGGGTGGAAGGGGATCTGAGATTGGAGCATGCCTCTCTGGTGACTGGAACAGCAAGCCAGGGGCAAGGTTCCAATGAGAAAAGGAGGCAGACACACACAGCTCACAAGGCTTAGGTTTACATGACAGATCAATGCAAATTTGAATCTAATTTTCTCTCTCACCCGAGGGTCTCAGTCTCGTATCCATAAAATGTGGACAGCAATATTCAGTTGAACTACATGAAATGCCATTTTTGTGGGTCAAAAGCTGTTGGTAGTCAAAGGAACTGACAATAGCAAGTGTTGGTGAGTATGTAAAGAAGCTAGAACTCTCATCCATTGCTGGTGAGGGTGCAAAATGGTGTAGCTACTTTGGAAAACAGTTTGGCAGATTCTCTCAAAGTTAAACATAAACTTGTCATATGACCCAACAGTTCTACTCCAAGAAATCCATCCAAGAAAAGTGAAGGGATATGTACACACAAAGACTTGTACACAAATGTGTACAGCAACAGTATTCAGAATTGCCAAAAAATGGAACTAATCCAAATGCCCATAGACCGGTGAATGGATAAACAAAATGTGATACATCCATGTAATGGAATACTATTCAGCAATGAAAATGAATGAAGTATTTGATACATGCACCGGCATGAATGAACCTCAAAAATATGCTACATGAAAGAAGTTAGACACAAAGACCATATATATTGTGGGATTCCATTTATATGAAATCTCTAGAAAAGGCAAATCTGTAGAATCAGAAAGCATATCAGTGGTTGCCTACAGCTGGGGGTGGGAAGAGAGGACTGACTGCAAACAGGCAAAAGAGATCTTTCGGGAGTGATAAGAATGTGCTAAAACTGGATGATAGTGATGTTTGCCCAAGTTTCTAAATGTACTAAAAATCATTGGATTGCACACTTAAAATGGATGAATTTATGATATGTAAATTATACTTCAATAAAGCTGTTTTAAAAAGTCAAATACAGGCCGGGTGCAGTGGCTCACGCCTGTAATCCCAGCACTTTGGGAGGCCGAGGCAGGCAGATCAAGAGGTCAGGAGATCAAGACCATCCTGGCTAACACAGTGAAACCCCGTCTCTACTAAAAATACAAAAAATTAGCCGGGCGTGGTGGTGGGAGCTTGTAGTCCCAGCTACTCGGGAGGCTGAGGCAGGAGAATGGCGTGAACCTGGGAGGCGGAGCTTGCAGTGAGCCAACACCGTGCCACTGCACTCCAGGCTGGGCAACAGAGCGAGACTCCATCTCAAAAAAAAAAAAAAAAAAAAAGAAAAAGAAAGTCAAATTTTTGTGGTTCAACCAAATTATTTGCTTATGGGGGTTTTGAGGTTTCAATCTACAAAAATACAATTAAATTTCTGTTTGTGACCACAATGGTAGACAGGTGTGATAGATTGCTAAAAATGGCTCTAATTCTCTGCCCTTTCCCTTATCCATACCCTTGGCAATGTGACTTTGCAGGTCCTACCATCAAGAAATGGGGAGTCACTAGACTTGCTTTGACCAATAGTATGCAGTGGAGGAGGCTGGGCGCGGTGGCCCATGCCTGTAATCCTAGCACTTTGGGAGGCTGAGGTGGGTGGATAGCCTGAGGTCAGGAGTTGCAGACAAGCCTGGCCAACATGGTGAAACTCCATCTCTACAAAAATACAAAAATTAGCTAGGCATGATGGCAGGTGCCTGTAATCCCAGCTACTCAGGAGGCTAAGGCGGGAGGATCACCTGAACCTGGGAGGCAGAGGTTGCAGCAAGCCGAGATCGGGCCATTGCACTCCAGCCTGGGCAGCAGAGTGAGACTCTATCTCAAGAAAAAAAAGAGAAAAGAATGCAGCGTAGGTGATGGTGTGCCAGTTCTGAGTCTAAGCCTCAAGAGACCTTGAATATTTACTCTTTTTCTTCTTGGAATCTTGCCACAACTAAGAACAATTCCAAGTTTGCCACAACTAAGAGCAATGTAAGCTAGTTCACTGAAGCATGAAAACCACCTGATCCAGCTTATAACCAGTCTGCTGCTGCATATGTGGATGTGGTCATCCTAGAACAGCCAGTCCTCAGCTGACTTGCCAGCTGATCACAGGTGCAACAGCAGGTCCAAAGTCATCTGACCTTGGCCCAAATCAACAGAACCATCAAATTGACTTATAGATTCATGAGAAATAATAAATTCTTGTTGTTTTAAGCCCCTAAGCTTTGAGGGATAGTTTGTTATGCAGCAATAGATAGCTAATAGAGTTGGGGTTTTTTTAATTTGTTTTTTCACCACTTTTGAAAGGTTTGTTTGGAATGGCCTGGCTTAAAATATAGGTGGTATAAATGAAAGCTTTTCTGGGAGCATCATGAGTTACTGCAATCAGGAAGGACATTGTATGTTCTAAGATGATGCAGTGGAGGAAATGGACAATGGCCTCAAATAGGAACCCCAAATTAAAGGCCATAAACTGAGTTGCAGATGCTAATTTGTGATCCGGTTGCATCTCACACAGGTAACTCTTAGAGGCACCTCTAGGGTGAGTTACAGTAAGGATTTATTTATTTAACAGTAGCTAATGGTTCTTCCAAGACATGCCAGGGAGCCAAGCTGGAATATTAAGTAAATTAATGGCATACAGGAGGTACTCCGTGTCTTTATACAATTTTCAGAGAATGGAGAAGAACAGATTCTAGAAGCACTAGACGCATTTAAAAGCCTTCATGACAGAGTTTAGAGGCTCAGAGTCCAAACTTCTTTGACTTCACAAGTTAATAAAGAGGTTGGTCCAAACTTTTTCTATGGCTTATATGGCTGTGTTCAGGATATTTAGTATTACCTAAGTAACGTATTCATATGGGTTTGTTTCCAAGAAATCCCCAACTTTGATTTTTCACCACTTTGGTGTATTGAGAGAAGATCCTTGTCTAAAAACCCATTGCCTAAAGGAGGAAGACAATGCTTTGGCTTGTCTGGTCCTAGATTGAGCTGTCCAGTGTGGCAGAGCCAGATATGGGCGTTGTCATTGTGGGTGGCTGCTCTGCTCCTTCCCTGTTATGAACCAAAAGCTTGTGGCCTTCCCAATTTATACCTTGAAGCCCCAACCCCCAATGTGATGGTATTAGGAGAGTAATCAGTTCAAGAGGGTGAAGCCCTCATGATGAGATTAATGCCCTTACAATAAGAGGCACAAAGTGTGTGTGCTCTCTCTCTCCCTCCTCCACCCCCCTTTGCTCTGCCATGTGAGGACACGGCAAGATGATAACCATCGGCAAGCCAAGAAAATGGGCCTCATCAGGAACCAAATTGGCTGACACCTTGATCTTGGACTTTCCAGCCTCCAAAACTGTAAGAAATAAATGTGTATTGTTGAAGCCACCTAGTCTATGATATTTCATTATAGCAGCCCCCATGGAATAAGACACTCTCCTTGCCCCATATTGGGGGAGCAAAGAGAAAGGATGAGGTTTTGGCTTTTCTAAGCCCTTGGGTACAGGTCTTTATTCTCTGGCTGTTAGAGAAAATCTCCCTTACTTTTCCCATGGGCAAGCTGACAAAAGACAAACCTAGGGGATTATCAGAAGGGAGCAATGGAGATGCTATCAACTCCTGTCTTTAACAGATGGAATTTTTTCACATCTCTGGTCAAAATAACTAAAATTCCTTAGAATTTTAGATGTGGGGGTGGATCATTGAATTACTACCTCCGGAACTGCGAGAAAAGGAAACTGTAGGGAAAAGAATCTTATATGGACCCCATGCCCATACCAAATGACCAACCCAGGCTCAGAGAAGTGGACAAGAATTTGCGTAATTCCTGAAAAGGGCGATGGATGAACCTCAAAAGACTTGCTTTGGATTGTTCTTTTCTGAAAACTGGCTGTGTGGCTTTGGGTGAGTCACTATCCCTCTCTGGGCTTGAGTTTCTTCATCTGTAATGTGGGGGCCATAAACCTGCCTTCTTCGTAGGCTTGATTAAAAAAAAAAAAAAGCAAATGAGATTAAGGTTGGCCCTTTTGCACAGTCTTTAAGGGGTGAGCTGTGAGGAATGGTGGTCACTATAGCTTCAGATCTTCTGCCCAAGAGAAGCCCAACCTTTGTTCAAGCCTTCTGAAAACTGCCCTGTCCTTTACTACCCATTATGGCTACCTTCTCTAGTTACCTAAAAGATTACTCTCCCTTTTGGAGCCCCTGAATCTTGCAGCCTCCTGCTGGACTCTGTCTAAACCAATCTTCACCTACTGGACGTCTATTATAGGTAAGACCCAGGAGAGATGGAATGAACAGCAGGATGCAGTTCTTATCCTCAGGAAGCTCAAAGCCTAACCAAGAAGGCAAGACGGGTACAGGTGAAGAGTTATTAGCTCTCGCTTCTGCATCCTCAGGGTTTTTCACATTGAATTATTGTTTTGTAGCCTTCTCCTCTAGAGCAGTGGTTCTCGAGTATTGCTATGCATCACAATCACGCAGTGGGACTATTATTTACAGATTACAGGGTCCCACACCCAGAGTTTCTAAATTAGTAGATAGAGCCTAAGAATCTACATTACTAATTAGTTCCCTGGTAAGCTCATGCTGTTGGTCTGCAGACTGCACTTTGAGAACCACTGGTCTGTATTCAGAGTTTTTGAAGACAGGTGCTGTGTCTTAATTGTCTCAGGAGTCTTTGTCTAACATTTGTTTTAAACTTACTCTTGTTACAAGACCCTCCTCAAATATCTTCTTGTCCTGGAAGCCTAAAGTGACTCCCTACACAGAGGGAGTAGAACTGTCTTGTGGTTTCTCAAGCACAGCTCTCTATTTTAATGCATATATGAAGCTGTCTTTCATCTGTGCAGATGTTTGCTCTGCCAGACTGTGAGCTCCTTGAAGGTGGGGATTTTGTCTGGTTGTTTTTTCCCCAGAATAAGAATGCTGGGTATATACATGTCTAGATAATGGTTTAGATGGATGGATAGATGGTGAATGAATGGATGAGTAGATGTATGGATGGATAGATGGATGGACATGTGAATGGATGGGTGAGTGGATGGATGGATGGATGGATGGATGGATGGATGGATGGATGCATGCATGCGTGCATGTACGGGTGGACAGATAAATGAATGGGTGGATGGATGGATGCATAGGTGGATGGATGGAGGGATGGGTGAGCAGATGGATGGATGGATGGATGGTTGGTAGGTGGATGGATGAATGAATGGATGGATGGGTGGCTGGTTGGGTTGATGGGTGGACAGACTGAATAAATGGCTATAGTACAAAGCCATAGATGGGAAGAAGTATATGTTAATAGAGAGAACTTGAACCCTTAGACTTCATTTGTTGCCTATTTGGGGGAAGGTGGATAATGAAAGGCAAAACAACCTCTCCTGAGGGTTGACTCTCTGCATTCGTACTCTGTGCCCTGTCCTTTTGGGCCTTAGCTTCCCCCTTGGGCAAAAGAGGGGAGCTGGATGAGACAACCACTAAAAGTTTTTTACATTTTGAGCTGAAATGATTCTTTTTCATAAAATGAAAAATAATAGCAAAAGCCACCATGTAGTGAGACTATGAATGTGAAATTAGCACATAAATCACTTGGTACAGTTCCTGGAAGATAGTAAACAGTTAACACATGTCAGGTATTTTCTTCTTCATTGTCATTATTGTCACTCCATAATGAATCTAGGTCTTTACCAATATGAATCCCTTCAGTAACTTCACCTCTGTGGTTTTGAGAAATAGCTGGTATCTTAACAAAGTCTATTTCAGAGTAAAGAACACCATCTAAGGATAAGGAGGGTCATTCCATAATGATAAAGGGGTCAATTCATTAGCAGGCTGTAACAATGATAAATATGTATTCACCTATTACAAAACTTCAAAATATATGAACCCCAAACTGACAGAACTAGATGCAGAAGTAAGCAAATCCACAATTATAATCAGAGATTTCAGCATCCCATCTAAATAATTAATAGAACGGTAGACATAAAATTAATAAGGGTTTAGAGACCTGAAAAACATGGTCAACCAACTAGACCTAATTGACATTTATGGAACACTCTACCTAACAATGGCAGAATACATATTCTTAAAGTGCTCATAATATGAGCTCATATTATGGGTCTTACCTTAAAATATGGAATATTTTACTAATACAGGTTATATTATGAGCCATAAAGTATGCCTCAATAAATATAAAATGATTCAAATTATACAAAGCATATTCTGTAACCACAATAGAGTTAAACTATAAATCAATAACATATCTGGAAAATTTCTAATATTTAGAAACCAAAAGCAAACTTCTAAATAACCAATGGGGCAAAGAAGAAATAAAAAAATTAAAACCTATTTGAAATAAATTTCAAAGTACAATATATCAAAATTTGTTGCATGCAGCTGAAACAGTACTGAAAGGAAAATTATAGCATTAAATGGTTATGTTAGAAAAATAGAAACGTCTCAAATCAATCACTTCAGTTTCTACCTTAACAAACCAAAAAAAAGAAGAATGTCAAACCCAAAAGTAAGCAAAATAAGGGAAATAATAAAGATCAGAGCATAAATCAATAAAATAGAAAAAAGTAATAGAATCAATGAAAGCAAAGCTAGTTATTTGTGAAAAATTAATAAAAATGATAAACCTCTAGCCATAATTATCAGTAAAGGAAGATATAAATTACTAATATCATGAAGGAAAGTGATAACATCGCTACTGATGCTATAGATATTAAAAGGTTAATTAGGGAATGTTATTAGTAACATTACGCAAATAAACTCAACAACTTAGGTAAAATGGACAAATTCCCTGGAGAATGCAAGCTACAAAAGCTCACTCAAGAAGAAATAGGTTGCCCAAATAGCCCAGTATCTTTAAAAACTTGAATTTGTAGGTAAAAACATTCCAAAAAAGAAAATTTCAGATCCAGGTGAGTTCGCTGGTAAATTCTACAAAGCATTTAAGGAAGAAATAATACAATCAAACACAAATATTTTCAAAGCATAGGAGAAGAGGGAACTTCCCAATTTATTCTATGAAGCCAGCACTAGCCTGATACCAAAATCAGACAAAGGCATTACAATAAAATTTTAGATCAATATTCCTCATAAACTTAGACACATAAATCTTTAACAAAGTTTTAGCAAATCAAATCCAACAATACATAAGACAAAATATATCTTATGATCAAGTACAGAAATGCAGAGTTGGTTTACAACTTGAAAATCAATAAATGGAATTTGTCATATAAGAGACTTTCTTTAAAAAGGGAAACAAAGTAATCTCAATAGATGCAGAGAAAGTATTCATTAGATGTTGAAAAAAATCAACATTTATTCCTGATTTTTTTTTAAAAAGTCATCAATCCAGGTGTAGAAGGGAACTTCCTCACTGGGTGAAATGGCTCAAGCTTGTAATCCCAGCGCTTTGGGAGGCCGAGGCAGGAAGGTGGCTTGAGCTCAGGAGTTTGAGATCAGCTTGAGGAACATAGTAAGACCCTGTCTCCACAAAAATAAATAAATAAATAAATATTAGCCAGGCATGGGGGTGCATGCCAGTGATCCCAGCTACTCAGGAGGCTGAAACAAGAGGAATGCTGAGCCCAGGAAGTTAAGGTTGCAGTGAGCCATGCTCGCTCCAGTGCACTCCAGCCTGGGTGACAGAATGAGACCCTGTTTCAAACAACAGCAGCAACAACAACAAAGAACAGAACTTCCTCAGCTGGATAAAGGGTATCTATTAAAAAACAAACAAACAAACAAAACCCTACAGCTAACATCATCCTTAATGGCAACAGACTGAATGCTTTCTCCTTTAGATGAGGAATAAAGCAAGATTGTCCGGTCTTATCATGTCCATTCAACATTGCCCAGGGCAACGAAGCAAAAACATATAAATTGAAAAGGAGAAAGTAAAACTAACGTTATTTGCAGAAGGCATAATCATCTCTGTAGAAAATCCTGAGAAATCTATAAAGATGCCACTAGAAGTAATAAGTGAGTTTTGCAAAGTCAGTACACAAAAATGAACCGCATTTCTATAAACTAGGAACAAACTTTTGGAAGTTGAAGTAAAATAATCTACCACAATAATATGAAGAATATGAAATACTTAGTGACAAACTTGCAGGCGTTATTCAAGATCTGTACTCTGAGAACTATGAAATGTTGCTGAGAGAAATTAAAGAAGACAGAAATAAATGGAGAGATAAATTGCATTTATGGGTCAGAACACTTGGTATTAAGATGCCAATGCTCCCAAACATTGATCCATGGATTGAAGGCAATTCCAGTCAAAAACTCAACAGACCTTTTTGCATAAATTTACAAGCAGATTATATAATTAATTTGGAAAATCAAAGAACCTAGAAGAGCAAAAAAAAAAAATTGAAAACAAAGAACAAAAAGGACCTACACTGCTTGATTTTAAGATGTATTATAAGGCTACAGTAGATAAAGTAGTATCAGTGTGGTATTGGCATAAAGATACACAGATCTGTGGAATAGAATAGAGCTGAGAAATAGACACATACATATATGATTAATGGATTTTCAACAAAATTACCAATTTAATGGGGGAAAGGAAAATCTTTTCCTTAGGTGATGCTGAAACAATTTGATGGTCATATGCTGAAAAAAACCCACCATATACGAAAAAATTACTCTAAATAGATTATAAACCTAAAAGTAAGAGTTAAAAATACAAAATGCCCAAGAGAAAACATAAGAGAAAATCACTGTGGTCTTGGGTATGGCACAGGTTTTTAAAACATGAAACAAACACAAACTATAAAAGAAAATATCAATTAGTTGGAGAAAATCAAAATTTAAATATTTTGCTCTTTAAGAGACACTTACAAAAATGAGAAAGCAAACCACAAACTTGGAGAAAATGTTTATAAAACACATATCCGACTGGGCGTGGTGGCTTACACCTGTAATCCCAGCACTTTGGGAGGCCGAGGTGGGCGGATCACCTGAGGTCAGGAGTTCAAGACCAGCCTGGCCAACATGGTGAAACCCCGTCTCTACTAAAAATACAAAAATTAGCCGGGCGTAGTGGCAGGCGCCTGTAATCCCAGCTCCTCGGGAGGCTGAGACAAGAGAATCGCTTGAATGCAGGAGGTGGAGGTTGCAGTGAGCCGAGATTGCACCGTTGCACTCCAGCCTGGGGAACAAGAGCGAGACTTCATCTCAAAAACAACAACAACAACAACAAACATATCCAACAAAGGTTTCTGTCTCAAGAATATATGAAGAACTCACACTATGCAAAAATTTAAAAATATGAAAAATGAAAAAAGAATTGAACATACTTATTAGTAAAGAAAATATATCGATGGCAAATAAACACATGAAAAGATATTCAACATCATTAGTCATTAAGGAAATGAAAATGAAAACTGCAATGAGATACTACCACCACAAGCCCAGTAGAATGGCTTAAATTTGAAAACCTGATTATCCCAAGTATTGGCAAGGATGTTAAGTGGTTGAGACTCATACGCTACTAATGGAAATGCAAAATAAAACAGCCAATTTGGATAACTATTAGGTAGTTCTTTAAGCAGTTACACATCCACCTGCCATATATATAACAATTTCACTCCTAGGTATTTACCTAAGAGAAGTGAAAACATTCACCCTCACAAAAACTTGGGCAAAAGTCCTTGTAGCAGCTTTATTTGTAGTAACCCAAAAGCGGGAGCACCCTGAATGCCCAACAATAGGTGAGTGGGAAGACGAATTGTGATACAGGCATACAATGAATACACTGGTGTCTTGAGTTTTCTGATCCGTCTAGTGGGTGACAGTACCTGTTTTCTTTTCCTTTCTTTTTTTTTTTTGTTTTTTGTTTTGTTTTGTTTTGTTTTGTTTTTTGGAGACAGAGTCTCGCTGTGTCACCCAGGCTGGTGTGCAATGGCGCGATCTCAGCTCACTGCAAGCTCCGCCTCCCGGGTTCACGCCATTCTCCCGCCTCAGCCTCCCGAGTAGCTGGGACTACAGGTGCCCACCACCACGCCCGGCTAATTTTTTTTGTATTTTTAGTAGAGACGGGGTTTCACCGTGTTAGCCAGGATGGTCTCGATCTCCTGACCTCGCGATCTGCCCACCTCGGCCACCCAAAGTGCTGGGATTACAGACATGAGCCACCGAGCCAGGCCGGTACCTGTTTTCTTGACAGCATCGGACTGTATGGGAAATCTGTCTGCTATCAGAGAATTTAAAATGTAAGCACTTCCAAAGGTAAGTGCTGAGGTCTTTTTAGACCCACCTTTGTAATCATCACACCCAGAGTCCATATCTTCATACTGATTGAGGGATTCAGTCTCATTTCCACAGATTTGTGTAGTTTTAAGGAATATACCATATACCTTAAGAATATAAATAAATATGGTTACTTACTTATCTTCACATCTCAAGCTTCATACCTTTGCAAAATGGGGAAAAAGGGGGGCTCTTTGACCACACTCAGGGATTTGGGCTTGGGAAATATGGTCAGTAGGCTTGATTTGGTTTCCTACCCTACCTTCTCTTGGTGTGTCTTTTTATTCATTTTGGATTCCCAGGAGCATGATGCTATCTCTTCTCTTTGACTTTATTTAAGGAGAGGTAGTGTATTCCTAAATTATAAGAAAATATGGATTCAAAACTTAGTTCTTCTACTTACTAGCTGTGTGACCTTGAGCAGATTACTTAACCTCTCTGTACCTGTTTCCTCATTTGGAAAATGGGAATAAGCAGAGTACTACCCCCTGGAGCTGTTGAAAGCATGCAAAGCTCTTAACATTGGGCCCACCCTAAGTGGACAACAAATATTTGTTATTCTTAGTACATGAACCCAGTTTCAGGAGAGGGTCTGAAGGTCGGATTCATCTTATCACTCAGTGTTATAATGGTCACTCTCAATAGATGACCACCCAGACAGAGGTTGCATTTTAATATGGTCTTGTTACAGAAAATAGATTCTAACTGGGATTTGGGGCATGATTAAATTGGTCTGGGGTAGAGGAAGGGCTGGGAGAAGGGCATTATTGTCTAGGACCAAATTGTGTCCTCATGACAATGAAGACTATATGAGAGACTCATTAAAATCAGCATTTTTTGCTAAAATAGAATAAAAATATAAAGAGTTTTAATAAAAAATTTAAAAATTTGCATCTTCGAGCCAGGATCACTGGCGTGCCCCTGTAATCCCAGCTACTCGGGAGGCTGAGGTGGGAGGATCACTTGAGCCCAGGAGTTCGAGACCAGCCTGGGCAACACAGCAAGACCTGTCTCAAAGAAAAATAAACAAAATAAACAAAACCAGCATCTCTGAGGGGCAGCCTGGGAATCCACATTTTAAGAAACTCTCCAGACAATTCTCATTTCCAAGAAAGTTTCAGAATCCCAGTCTAAGGCATATATATCAGAATGTATTTTTTTTTCACTATCTCTTGCTATGACATTCTTGTATTTCTCTCTCCTCAATTTCTTTTTCCTACTTTTGTGTATGTTTGGGCAAGGGGTGGCGGTGGGGGGGGGGATTGACCCAAAAAGTCCTTAATTACCTGAAAATTTTTTTTCTTATTTTGTTCTTTTTAGGACTTGTATAGCTGCATTTTAAAAAATTGTTATACCTTGGCAATAATATATATGTAGAATTGTATATTCTGCATCAATTAACATTATGCCATATGTATTATCTCATCCTGATACATTTTGTCTCAGGCCTTCTCTTCCTCACCTCTTGCTTCTGCATTCAGGTAACTACTCAGTGTGGACAGATAGATGCATGCCTGTGTCCATGTTCATACCATCCTACTCAAATATAGACAGATTGCATGTTTGAAAATTTGACATATTTTGGTTTCTCTTACTGTATGTATTTTATAAGCACTCTGGTATATTTTTCTTGAAAGCTAAATGAATGAATAAACAAAACTAAAAGAGATATGGTTGGCCTATGCCTGTGCTTAAAGCTTCACATGAGATTTCTATAGTGGAGAAAGTTGCTTTACATTAATGAGGATCATATTTACTCTTTTAGTCTTACCTGCAATTATTGGGTGAACTCAGGTCTCTTTAGTTCATTACCCCATTAGTGCCTGTCAATAACGGAGAATGTGCCTGAAATGCTCAAGTGGCTGGGAGCTTTGGAAATCTCATCTCTTCTAACGGAGGGCAGCTCTGGCTTGTGCAGTGGGGAGCTTGGATCCTGGTCCTGTGGGTCACTGCAACTCGGGTCTCTCCCTGAGCCTTAATTTCCCCAACTGTAAAAGATAGCTATTAGGCTAAAGCAGTATTTCTTTCAATTTGCCCTGTGGGCCATCTGCTTCAAAATCACTCACACACGATTTAAAATGCAGATCCCCAGAGCACACTCTAGACCTATTGAATCACAATCTGGGGTGGGGCCCAGGAACCTTCATGCTTAACAAGTCTCACAGGTGGTTCTTATGGATTATTACAGGCTGAGCATCACAGTTTTGTGGTTAAATATTCTGTGTGGTTGAACTCCAAACTCCTTTCTATTCTTTGTCAGGCAGAAAGCGATTGGCCTGGGCTGGTTAGCCTGGTTCTCATCTCCATGCTCAAAAGCTATGTCAGGCTCCTGGGAAGGGATGCTATTGATACCTGGCTACTTGCCTAGCTGCTGTGGCCTCCCACAGGTCATGGACAGGAGCCACAGCAACCACAGCTGGCCTGCCCCATAATAGCTCAGACCTCAGGAGGGCACTCCAGCATTGACTGGGCATCCAGTCTACAGAGGGTACACTGGGATCTGTCAAGCCTCCTCTTACAGTCCTTAGGGGGACATGCCTTTCTTCCCAGAGCCTGAGATTAAAGCTGAAATCCTAAGCATCCAACATATATCAGGAACCCAGTGCAAGTTTAATGAATGCATACAGAATACCGAGTGAGTGGTGTACTCTGGGGTGGATAAAATAAGGAGTGTGGGGTGGGATCTTATGTGCAAGCCAGATAGTGGTGGCCAATAAATACTTGTTGAGCAAATGTATGTCACTAAGTGAAATTCAAATACCTGGTGCATAGTAGGTATTATAAATGCAGCTATAGTAAGTCAATTTAATATCTGCCCCTGCTTATCCCCCATATGCCTTCAGCCCTTAACATTGCATTGTGCTGACCCCTAACTGTTATATTTACATGTCTTTGGCTGAAGGCCTTCTCTACTGCCTGCAAGCACGGCAGCCCGGAAATCCTCAGGAATTGGCTCATGACCTCCAGCAGTCCTGGAACCAAGAAGTGATTGAAGTTGGTGTATAAATACCCCAGCTCCCTCACTCCTCAGAAGGATAACTCTGAAACAAACACACTATACCATCTGTAGGAGTCCCCCAGTGGAGTGGAGCCCCAGATGCTCATGGAGGCCATTTGCTTGATAACACGCACTGTCTTTGGCTCCCGTCCTGTTTTCTCTCTCACTTCTCCACTCCCCTACTGATATTTTCCAAGATCACCTCCCAAATCAACCACTTGCACTCAAGTGGTCAGCTTAGGTCAGCTGCTGAGGGACCCATGCTAGCCTTAGGGTCAGCTGCTGAGGGACCCATGCTAGCATGACTGTTGAATTAATGAAGGACTAAAGATTTAATGAACAGAGGTGGAGGGCTAGCATACTATATGCTTAAAACATAGGAAGCCTTTGTGGGAGGTTACTGAATGAATAGCATTCAACAAATGCGTAGAGTTCAAGGTAGATCCCTATAAATCTTGTACTTGAATTTCTGGTACAAAAAAAATGCGTTTTGAAAAAGTGAATGAATGAATGGTCATTGAAAAGAGTCAAAGGCTAGAAGTTTATGCTTTGGTACATAGTGTTCAATAAATGCTTTTTGTATGGATAGGGAAGAAAAAAGGAGGGAAGGAAGGAAAGAAGGGAGAAAGGGAGGAAGGAGGGAATGAAGGAAGGAAGGGAGGGAGGGAGGGAGGGGGGGGGGAGGGAGGGAGGAAAGGGAAGAAGGTGTCTCAGAGGCTTGGAGCTTGAAGTAGCCAGGCACTGAGCATTCATGAAGTGGCCTATAAAACCCCCCATGGTCTGGTCCTTGCTCAGACCACAGGTTCCCCTTGCACCACTCATTCCCTTTTTCATAACACTTCACATCAGCCTCCTTTCAGCTCCAAATCTTTACAAATTCTGTTTCCTTGGTCAGGAATGGTCTCTTTTTAAGATGTGTCTCCTTACACTTAACTAAGTCTCAGCCAAGAATTTGCTTCCTCTAGGAAGCCCTCCCAGAGTTCTCCATTATGTCACACGTATATGTAACTATAATACCTCCTGTATCACCTGGTATTTCTCACTTATGTAATTAGCTGCTTAATGGCTGACTCTTCCCAGTGGAATGAAAACTCTCTTCCATGTTCTCGGGGCTCATCACGGCACCTGGCACATAGTAAGTGCTCAATAAATATTTGATGAAGGCTCAAGTGAGTGATGCAGCCATAGTGCCTGGTCTGGCTTTAACCTTAGATCTAGGGCTTTCCTGGGAAGAGCCGGGCTTCCAGAAACTTTCATCTACAGGCATGCTGTTCCCACTCCCACAGCACCCCAAACCAGCCAAATGGCAAAATGCACCCAAAATCTGGGAAAAGCCTTCAACAAATCATCTTAGAATAGTTACAGCTTCTGTCCCAGCCAGCACTGTCACAGGCAGCTTAATTATGGTCATTAGGACCCACATTAAAACATGATTATAACATAAAATTGAAATTAGCTGTATAACACATCCAAATTTTTCGGTATGCTTATTGATTTTCCTCCTCTATTAATCAGAGGGCTACAGTAAATTCAGATAGATCTGGTATAATTAAAACCGAGCCTGTAAATTCCAGTGAAAACTCTAATTAGCATCTGTCTTTTGTTAAGGATAGCGAGGTGGGAATGTATATTTTTCCGCGAAACATAATCAGGGCTTTCATGTTTCTTTCCTGGATCTTTGGTGGGGCAGGTTGTCATTCCTTTTTAAGAGGAATTTAAAATTGGTTTGAAAAAAGATGCAAGTCATAAAGACATCTAAGAGATGCCAAAATAAGAAGTGGTTGGTTAAAAGAAAAATGATTAGTCGAACCGGGTGATTGGAGGCATGTGGATGAAACAACCAATTGAATTGTTCTCTTTTCAGTATGGTGGAGTGGCTTTGAAATCAGACAACTTTGAGTTCAAGTCTGAACTCTGCTATTTACTACCTAGGTGATATTGAAAAAGTGCTGTTTTACCTAGCTGAGCCTCGGTTTCCTCATCTGTGAAATGGGGATAATGATAGAACCTACCCCATAAGGTATTTGGAAGGATTAATGAGATTACAGTTTTTTCAGCTTGTAGTAAAATATTGATAATTAGGAGTTGCTACCATCTTCATCATCATCACCACCATCATCCACACCACCACCATCATCTTCATCACTATTTACATCATCATTATTATTTTCATCTAATAAAGAGAAAACTCAATGCTTGTCATGGCTTTAATGAGCTTCATGGCATAGTGAAAACATGACTTTGAATTCAGGTAGCCTTCCACTCTGTGCCACTCATAAGCTATGTGACCTCATACAAGTCATTATATTTCTCTAAATCTGTTTTCTCATTTGTAAAATGAGCACAGCTTTCAAGAGGATGTTGAAGAAGTAATGAGGAATGTTGATTATGCCTGGCATGGAACAAGTCATTTAACCAATGTTGACTCCCCATCTCCCATATCCAGTCCTGTATCCTCAACAGACTGCTTAGTTGGTGGTATATCTCAGGCAAGTACAGAATATAAAATAGTCTCTGGGTTTCTAATCACCAGATGTCTTTAAGAGGCATCCTGTTGGCTTTTCAGTACTGCCTCCTATAAGGCCAGTGTTCCATTGTCATGGCTTTAGTTGCTGGGGAGTATTTATGTCATCATAGAAGGGATTGTAGAGCTCATCACACATTCCACCTGCTCCCCTGCATTTCTCAGCTTTCTCTGTGGCCAGAGTGAGGTTGTGTGACTACTTCTATCCAATAGACTATGGACACAAACATGGCATTTCCATTTGGAGAGAGGGAAAGAGCAGTGGTCAGAAAGCCATCACTAGAGATAACAAAACTGCAGAATGGGAGTGACAGATTATCAAGTCACTGCAGGGAAGACGGTTGTCCTGGAAAGCAGCTGAAATTCCACAGGACTTTTGTGAGCGAAAAATAAACCATTGTTGCATTAAGCAACTCCAGTTTTGAAGTTTGTTACAGCGGCATACGCTAACCTATACTGATTAAAACAATGATGATCAATCAAGTCCATTTATCTGATTGTGGTTCTTGCTCTGAATGCATTAGTGGGTTGGTGGATACTGCCCTCTCAGGGGCTGATGGACTTACTTCCAGAGCAGATTTTGGGTAGAGCAGATGGAACCTGGAACTCCTGAGTCCAGAGATCTGTCATGACACTCGTGCCCTTTTATGCAATCTGAAGCTGTTCCCTTACAGTTCACATGCCTTAAATAGCTGAGAGGAAGGAATGTGGACAGCCCAAACATCAGGGGCCTCAACTGGCTCCTTTACAGTCACATAGTCCCCCTGGGCATATTGGGGTGCCCAGTGGAATTAATATGTGGAATACCATGGGCATCTATTGTTTTCCCTGACCAGAATCCACACTCACCTTTATTTGGATACCAGCACCTTAATTTTGTTTTGAAAACCACTGATTGGATGCAAGCTTGGTGGGCTTTTCAATCAAAAGGCACCATCCTCATTTTCCCAAAAGGGGGCACATGACTCAGCCTCAGTAGTGATTCATGCCAAAGTGCAGCCACTTCGAAGAAGTGGGGAGGGTCCCTGCTTCCTAGATCCTCAGAACTGGTTTGGTGCTCTCCCAGGTTCAACTCCCTTTGGTCTGTGAGATACTCCTATCTTTCTAACACAGCCCTCCAACCCTTTTCTGGCTAAATGTAGTCAGCCTCAGTTCCTTTCCACCAAAGAACCCTAAGAAATGTATAGTCATGAAGGTCATCCCATGTCAACAAAGCCCCTGTCATACGCTGGTGCCTTGCTGCACTCTGTTGTCTCATTATTCTAACCTTGGAATGTATTTTATGTCTGATGTAAACATAATCATAAACGAAGTCAACATAACTCAGTAGATAAGGAAGATGTAGTTTTATGTATTCACTCGACAAACATACTGTGATTGCCAACTATAAGCAAATGCACTTCTAGGTACTAAGAATAAAGCAACAAATGAAACAGATTTAAAAAAAAACACCGCCCTCATGCAACTGACATTCTAGTTGGAAGAAGCAGACATAAACAGCGCAAATAAGTAACAATATAATATTCAGATGCTGAGACGTGCAATGGGGAAATAAAACAGCGCAGGAGGACGGAGAGAACATGGAACAGGAGCTGGGGGCAGATGAAGAGGCATCGCAATTTTAAACTCCTTGTTCAGGGAAGACCTTGCAGAGATTCGAGCAAAACCTGGATAATAGAGTTGTGTGTTCTCTTGTTCATGTCTCCAAATTCCATTTTGCAGGTGATTCGGTTTATAGGGTTGTTGTGGGAACAGGATCTGACACTTAATAAGTACGCAATAAATATCATCTGGAAAACGAGCTCGAAGGAGCCGCCATTCAGATGCCAAGTCAGCTCTGGGTGTGTGGGGAGCGTCAGTGCTCACCCTCCAATCCCAAGCTGTCACACCGAGGCTGCTGCATCTCAGAGGCCCCATGCAGAGCACCTTCTCCTTCAGGTCCTGGGAACTGCTAAGGCTGAGGCCTCAGAAGTTGTTGGGCCTTCAGATCACCAGACCCTGACCCAGACTGCTCTAATTAGGGACATCCAACAGAGATGGGGGCAGGTGGGGAGAGAGAGAGGGAAAGAGAAAAGTGGGGAGAGGAAGAGAAAGAGGAAAGAGAGGGAGGAGAGGGAGAGGAAAGTGAGACAGAGAAAGAGGAAGGAGGGGAGAAGAGAGAGGAAGAGAAAGGAGAAATAGGAGGAAGAGAGAGAGAAAAAAGAGATGGTGGAGAGAGAAGAAAGAGAAAGAGGGGGAGAGAGGAGACAGAGAGATAAAGAAAGGGAGAGAGAGGTGAGAGACAGACAGAGGAAGAGAGAAGAGAGAGGGGAAGAGAGAGGAAAGAGGGAGGAAGGGAAGTAAGAGAGAGTGGAAGAGAGAGGGAGGAAAGAGAAGAGGAGAGAGGGAAGGAGGGGGAGAGAGCAAAGAGGGAGAGAGAAAGTAGAAAGAGGTAAGAAAAGAGAGAGAAAAGAGAAAGAGGGATAGAGGAAGAAGGAAAGGGGGAGATGGAGGAAGAAGAAGGAGAGGAAGTAGAGGGAAGGAGGGAGGGAGAGAGAACAGAAAAGCAGTGCACTAGGAGGTAGGGGATTGTAACTCATTGGAGAGAAGCAGGTAGAACTGTGGGGCCTCTGAAGTGGGTTAGTGGCTTTGACCCAGGTGGCTAGGGTACAGTTCCTCCAACATCTCCAGCTCCTCCCTGCTGCCCTATCCTGACTACATTCAAGAAATGGTCCAGGGCATGGATTTGGGATATAGGTGAACCTGGGTTCTCCTGGGTTCGAACCCCATCTCTGCCATTGCCTGGACAGGTGAACTTGAGCAATCCCACCACTCTTTCATTCTCAACTGAATAATATCAACTTCACAGGTTAAAGTGAGGATCATGATGTGGTTTACGGAAGGCATGCTGGCATGTGCCAAGCACACAAGGGGTGCTTAGTCAACATTCGATGCTGCTGTTATCACTCTAACCAGGTTTGGGGATTAGCTCTGTCCTGGCTCTGGGTCCTTGGACTCTGGGGTGAACTCAGCCCCTGAGGAGATTCCTGGTCTCTGAAACTTTCATGCAAAGCCATGGTTATGGTTCTGAACAGGAACTTTCTGTGCAGTGGTTCTTAGTCCCAGCTGCACACCGGAATCACCTTGGAACTTTAAAAAAATACAGATCCTGGGCCCACACCCAGAGAATCTCACATAATTAACTCAGGGTGCAACCTGGGCATCCGAATTTCTAAAAGCTCCATGGATGATTCCAAGATGCAACCAAAGTTGAGAAGCACTGTCTAGGGCTTTGATTTAATCTTCCATATTTATTCCTAAAGAAGGAGATATACCCAGACACCATTTCCTTAGGCAGCCACACAGACCACTGGATTATTAATTTTTTTCAAATTTGGTTCCAGAAACATTTGTTAAGCATCTACTATGTTCCTGGAACATTGTTAGCCACTGAATAAGCACTGTTCCTGTCCTCAAGCAGCTTGAAGTCTGGGTGGCCATACAGTGAGTAAACACAGTGCTTGAGAAGGCCACAGGAGCGGTGAGGAAAGAAACATCACCCAAATGCAGGAATACGTTGGAAAGAAGTGGGTGCAGGGTCACACCTAAAGCACAACGTGGAAAAATGAGTAGCAGTCTTCTCTAGTAGAGAGGTAGGGGGAAGGTGGATAGCCCATGCTGTTCAGGGTTGAACAGCATGAACAAATGTGGGTTGGTGAAAAACTTCTAGGGAGAAGGGACAAAATGAGGAGGGAAGTTGCCTATAGGCAGGACTATATAGCAAAGGGTGAAAGGGTAGGAGAGGAATCCAGGTAGCAAAGGTCTTACAGCCAGGCTTAGATCTGTGGGGTTCATATTATGGGAACTGGGGAGCCATGGAAGGCTGTAGGTTAAGGGGAAGCCTTTATCCTGTGCTTAAGACTTCAGGGTGTGGCTGCTGTTAAGTGCTGGAGTGTGGGGCATCTGAAGAAGAAAACGTCTGTGCTTGGCAATTTCCTCTCAAGTAATTTTATTCCATTCCCTTCCATCATGCAGAAACCTGAAGTTATCCTGAGAACAAACGTCACTGCCATGGAAACAGTAAGAGAAACAAACAATGCGTGCACTGTATAAAATTGTACATAAAGGCTGTTTATTTTTCATGCCATTATTTTAATAGGTGGGGATGGCAGTGATGGGCTGGAGGAACAGCAGGCTTTAATGGTGCCGCTAATGTTGCCTATTCTTAAAATGACTTGAAATGCTCACAGACATTCAGCCATTGGCACTTAGATCATGTCTCTGGCTGGGAACTCCCGCTGGTTTCGAGTCTCACTGCCGGGAAGCATCACCTGTTCCTGGAACTGAAAGGCAGTATGGCCAAGCGGTTATAGACTCAAGCCAGAGGTCAGACAGCCCTGGGTTCCAGTCCTACTTCTGTCACACTTACCGATTGATGACTGTTGGCAAATTTCATCACCCCTCCAAGCCTCTGTTTACTCATCTGCGAAGTGGAAATATAGTCATTCGTTTATTCCTTCATTTGAAAGTTAACAAGGCTTCACTGAAAACTTGCTATGTGCTTTGTTCTAAGGGTCCTGGCATCCACTGAGCTTAAAGTCTAGTGGGAGAACAGAGATAATATACCTGCAAACACATAAATAAGAGACATAATTGTAGATAGTGATAGAGGCTAAGAAAGATTTAAAGCCAAGGTTGTTCTCTCTGATGAGATGCCAGTCTAGCTGGCCACAGAAAGAGGAGGAAGAGCCAGCTGCTTATATATCAGAAGGAAAGGCCTTCCAGGCAGGGACACGGCAAGAGGAAAGTCCTAGACAGATCTAAGATTAGAATCCTTGCAGCTGGGGTTTTATAAAAGGAGGTACAAGATAAGGCCAAACAGGGAGGAGAGACCAGATCAGAAGGGTCCTACAGGATAAGGTAGGAGTTTGGGTTATAATAATACTAACCTTCTAGAGTGGTTGTAAGGATTACATGAAATCTCAAGTGGTAAACTCTAAGCAGCTGCTTAAAAAAATGTCAGCTTTTACTTTCATCAAGACAACTGTAGCAGAACTCATCATCTCTTGGGTCCAGTTGCTGACATCATAGAATTATTGAATTTCAGAAGTGAGAGATCATTTTTCCTAATTTTTCATATGGGTGAATTAAGGGCAAGGGACTTACAGAAGTCACACAGGAGTTAGTGGTGGAGGCTCTGGGCTTTCCAATTTCTGCCCGCTGTCCATTGAGTTCTTGAACTCAAGCCCATGCCATGATCTCTATGGGGAAATTCCTTGGCTTCTGTTTCTGCTGGGTGGTACTTCCTTCTAGGGGACAGTGTAGGGTCATGAAAAACCACAGACCTGGTGCTGCGAGTGTGTGGCTTCTCCCTGTGAGCCTCAGAGTGTCCACAGACATTAGTCCTTCTTCCCTCCTCCTGACACAGAGGCTGTGTCTGTCCTCCTGTATCCTCCTCGGCACAGAAGCTGGGCGTTGGCTGGGGAGCTGAGAGAAAGGACAGGCTATTGATCAGTAGGGACCTGACCCAGTATGGCCTTTTCAATATTCCATACTAAGAGAGTGGTGAGATTTGAGAGGAAGTCAAAGGGCTGGAGAATGTTCCTGTAATTGAACAGAGCAGTGCTGCCTTAGTTAATTTCGAGTGAGGAGGCTCACACAAAAAATGGGTCAGATTGACCAAGCCCCTGATGGGTTTGGAAGTTTTACTTATTCTGCACCCTTAACCCCAGCTGGGCTTTCCTCTGGGTATAGACACCCATAAATACACATAATAAACCCTATGAGAGAAGAGATTTTTCTAGCATTTGGGTTCTATTTTTCATATACAATTTATATAATGCATGATCATTGCTCCTGTTTATTGAGCACCTACTACAGGCTGGACAATCAGTTCAGCAGTGAACATGCATCCCCTCTTTTACTTCCATAATAACCCTAGGAAGTAGTTATTAATAGTCTTCACCTTATACAGACAAGTAAATCCACATTTAAAAGTTAGTCACATAGGACAGAGTTCTGATATGTCTGATTCCAAATAAACCTGCTGATTCCAGAGGGTACATGAACTCATGGGGTCCCCAAACACAAAAGTCTTAGAATAACTCATAGATGTGTGCTGCTGTGCTGATGTGTGCTGCTGTGCTGATGCAGGCTGTTCTTTATGGACTGAAAAATGTATGTGTTACAGTTTATAATGCCAAAAGAGTGTATAAATATACACAGTATCTTTAATTGATTTTTCTTCTCACCTTTGAGGCCCAAGAACATAACCCTTAGTCAGGAAAATCTCCCAGCTTGGTTTGCAGGAACTTGACTGTGGGGGCCCAATCCAATCCAATATGTTTGTCCCTCTCTTTCAGCCTCCTCCACGTTCCCGATGGTGCACTGGTTTTCTTTCCTGTCTGACCAACAAGCCTCTGGAGAGTGGCCACCATCTTACAGGCTCACTTTGTATTCTGTAAACTTTCAGTTGGAAAATAAACACACTGTCTCCCTGTCAAAGCTCTACCGTGCATGAGTATTTCTCAAGAGCCAGGGCGGATGGTAGAGACAGACCAAGCATTTCCAAGGAAACCAAAGGGGCATAATTGCTTCTTTCCAGGTAATGTGGATGCACTGGATGGGGTCGGCTGCGTCACAGTGGATCATTTTCTTGTTAGCGTCTGGCCAGAGTGATGTGAGTACCACGGGCTTCCTGAATGACGCTGCACAGGCCCATCTGCAAGTTACAAAGACCAAATTGAAAATAGATCATGGAGACACTGGTTGGATACTCTGCCTTCCCTTGAAAGATCCACGGTGGGTTTGTCCACTGAGACATACTATTGCTGGGACTTTTTTGTTTCTTTTCATTTTCTTCTTATCTTTTAAGATGACTTTTTTTTGTATTTCATTTTTACCCCAAGACAAAAGATTTTTCTCTTTTTTTCTCTCAGTGATTAAAATCTTTCCATCAACCAGGTGTTCCTAAGGGGGATACATGATGCAAGGTCTGGCAGGGTGGGGGTGTGAATAAATGTGCATTGATGGAGAAAGTAGTCACTGAGCATAGGCTGTCTGATGACCTCAAAATCAAGCCCCTGATTAATCATAATCTGAGTAGACAAAGAAATGGGATCACAGACACATGACGACAATGACTTCCATTAATTGCAATGATGCTGTTTTAGCCTCAGGACCTTGCACTTGCTGTGTTCTCCACCAGGAATGTGCTGCAATCTGCGCTTGGTGTCTGTCTCATCATTCCTTTCTCTACTTAAATGTCTCCTATTCTAGGAACCCATCCCTGATCATTCAAAAAGAATTTGCCTCTTTTACTCTCAAATCACCTTGCTTTATCTTCCTCATAGAATTAAAGCTCTCTGAAATTCCTATTTATTAATGACTTTATGGTCTATTTCTCATCTGTACAAAATAAGCTCTAGAGAGCAAGAACTTTGTCTTGTTCACTGTGTATTATCAGTGCCCAGAACAGTGCCTGACATATGCACTATCCTAAGTGCTTTATAATGATTGTGTCATTGATTGCTAAATGATAGCCTTTTGTTGAAATGATTACTGGAAGGTTAATTCAGTTGTTCAAAATCACACCACTGCTAGTTAGTGGCAGATAAACCATTTAAATTGAGGCTTGTTGGGTTTGAAGGTCCAGGCTTTTAACTGCTCTGCTAAACTGCCTCCCCTGGCATACAGCATTAATTTTGGAAGTGGTTTGGGCCCTTGTGTTGCCAGACTTCACTAGACTGTCAGCCCTGGAGAGCCAGAGACAGAGTCTGTTGCATCCACAGCACTCAGCACTGCTTGCCACGTGGTAGCCATTCAATAAATAGTAAATGCTCAAACAGTATTTGTAGATAGATGGACAGATGGGTGAGTGGGTGGGTGGTTGAGTGGATGGATGGGTAGATGAATGGATGAATGGAAGGGAGGAGGGAAGGAAGAAAAGAAGACAGAAAGGGAGGAAAGAAGGAAGGGTAGGTAGAGGGATAGATAAATTGCTGGATGGATGCATGGACTAGTAAATACATGGACAAATAGGTGGGTGTGTAGATAGGTGGGTAGATGAATAAGGAAACAGAGTCCCAGAGAGACTGGTGACTCACTTAATATCACACAGCATTAGCCTTTAGTCCATCAGTTCATGGGATCTTCTCTATAACCCTAGGAAATAAGTGCCATAATATCCCCTCATCCACGAGGATATTATTATCCATTTATGTCAATCACTCCATGTGATAAGTGTTATTTTTATCCCTACTTCTCAGAAGAGGAAAATAAAGCTCAGAGAGGTTAAGTAACTTGCCCTTGTCATCCTATAAGGAAGAGGCAAGGCTAGGATATAACCCTTTGTCACCACTGTACTAATTTTAACCGCATAAGAGCTGATGCTCTGTTTATCACATGGCAAAATATAAGGTGAATAGAATTGTAGGCACACATCATCTAATCAGCAGAGAAGCTAAAATTATCTCCCCAGGTGGCATTGGGTAGGAGGAAGCTCACCCTGACACCAGAATCTAGGCAGGATGTGCCCTATTAGACAGACCACAACATCACTGCCATGGAAACAGTAAAAGGTAAAAGGTAAACCAAGTGTGTGATATCGAGCAAGTTACTTTGCCTCCCTGGCCCTCAGTTTCCTCATCTGTAAAATGGCTATCAAAATTGTGATTGCAGATTTTCATCTGCAAACTGTTCTAGTCCCTTTCAGAATTCTATTTCTATTATGCTATTTCTTCTTCCAAAAATAGTCTTGATACTGCTCCTAAATAATCACTTTATGTTCCCAACATCACAATCTCAGATAATCAGGTCTGTGTCTCATTTCCTCAAGACTTTTCTCTGTGCCTTGTTTTAGCCAGCAAATGGAATGAGTAAATCACGGTCCATATGTTCAATGGGTTAATGGTTTACAGTGTCACTTCTTCCACATAAGACACCTGCATGCAAGCAATGATCTAGAAGTTCAATGTACTTACCAAAGTGAGTAACCCCATTGATGGACTTTTAGTGATGTGGTCCTTCTGGTAGTGATGAGAGGTTGAAGCTTCAGCAGGTAGCAACCAAATCATAGCACAGAGGCAGCCACCAAATTTCTGGGAAGTAGGCTGTGAAGGTGAAATGGGTTCTGGCTCTGTAGTCAGGGCTGCCCTTGAATCTGCCAAATCCCACCGCTTCCTGACTGAGTGACCTTGGCTGGGTTGGGACCCCCCATAAAAAATCAGATACTTATCTTTCAGATGGCAATAACCACACCTCGTTTTCAGGAAGATTATGAAATTGAAATGAGAGACCATGCTCGGTGTGGGACAGCACCTGGCAAACAGTGGATTCTTTACACAATAGTTTCCTTCTCAGTTGGGTTGTTTGGTTTTTTTCCTGTAAATTTGTTTAAGTTCCTTATAGATGCTGGATATTAGACTTTTGCAGATGCATAGTTTGTAAAATTTTTCTCCCATTCTGTAGGTTGTCTGACATTACTGGGTATATACCCAAAGGAATATAAATTGTTCTATTATAAAGACACATGCCCATGTATGTTCATTGCAGCACTATTCACAAGAGCAAAGACATGGAATCAACCTAAATGCTCATCAATGAATGAGCATATATACGGTACATATACACCATGGAATACTATGCAGTCATAAAAAAGAATGAGATCATGTTCTTTGCAAAAACATGAATGGAGCTGGAGACCATTATCCTTAGCACACTAATGCAGGAACAGAAAACCAAATATCACAAGTTCTCACTTATAGGTGGGAGCTAAATGATGAGAGCACACAGACACATAGAGGGGAACAACACACACAGAGGCCTACCAGAGGGTGGAAGGCAGGAGGAGGGAGAGGATCAGAAAAAAATTACTATTGAGTACCAGGCTTAATACCTGGTTGGTGAAATCATCTGTACAACAAACTCCCATGACACAAGTTTGCACACATAACAAACCTGCACAAGTACCCCTGAACCTAGGAATTAAAAATAGTTTCCTTGCCTCCAAGTATGGAGCTAAACTACCTCTTCGTTTTTCTCTCGCTCGCTTTCTTCCCTTTCCCCTCCTCCTCCATCTTCCTTGCTTCTTTAGGTTTCCATTGAACAAGTCTCACTGAGCACCCGCTGCATGCCTGCATTATACTATACAGAGCCTGAGCGTATAGCCACAAACAGGCAAGGTCATTCCACAGAGAGCTGGCAGCCTCATACAGTAAAGCATGGAGTGCTTCATCTTCTCCAAAGGAGAAATCAGCACTCCTGCATCCCTGCCTCAGCCACCTTCTTTATAAAAGCCAGTTGGGTTTACTGCCAGGAATGGAAACCTCTTGCAGCTGAAGATAGGATTTTATGGGGGGGCTCTCTGTCCCCCAAAGCCTGAGGCAGGTCTGGGCCTATAGTCAGTGGCCTGTAAAAGAGCATTGTTTGAGTGAGTAAATGGGGAAGCTCTGGGTGTGGAGCGTCTTCTGAAACCCTGGGCCAGAGTGCTTCTCCTTCCCTCCTCCATCCAGTGTTCACCTCCCCCACCCATTCTTTCTAGGGACTCCCGGCTCCACCACGCTGCTAAAGACATATTCCTCCCCCTGTTGCTGCCTGCAACCTTCTCTCCATCTGCTCCCTCTGCCTGTTCAGGCTGCAGTGTGTAGATAGTATGGCAAGGTAGGGTAGGGGGAGGAGGACAGCTTCTAAATTGGGTGAGAGGCCTGTAAAGCCTGACCGGTCTGCCAAGGCTACGCAGGGAGAGACAGTCAGTCTCCAGGACTGTGCATAAGCTTGTCCCCACCTAGCTCTCTGCCAATGTCTGTCCCCAAGTATCTGTTTATCTCCCTCATTGATTGTCCCTCACTACCTCTATTTGTGGAGAAAAGACTTTGCTTGAGAATCAGGCCTGGGCAAGAATGCTGCAGAGGTGGGCCTTGTAGTCCTGCTCAGATAGGGAAGCGGGTACAGGAAGAGGCAAGCGGCTGACCTGAGAGGAAGCCTCGCAGCGCTAGTGCCCTGCCGGCAGTGGGGTTATGGGAGACAGGGCTCAGATTAAAAAGTGGAGGTGGATCTTAATTTAGAGTTCGTGATTGGGCTTCAGAGGGGTCCAGACCCCCTCGTGTTAGATGCACGATTTTGTGGCTATGTGTAGTGTTCTAGTAGATTCACAGCTGTCACCAGATCCACAGAGTTACAGACTTTCTAGGTTATGGGGACTCACTTTGGAAGCAGTGAGGCCCTGGCGGGGAAGCAGGCTGGCTGGATCCCAGAGGGCTCTGGAAAGAACTGGAACTGGGATGTATCTGGAAGGCTGGGCAGGCAATGGAAAGCTCCGGGCTGCTCATAAGCTCGGTTTCCAGGGCTCCATCTCACCGTCTGGAAAATGGTCCGGGTGCTCTCCAGCCTGGCCTGGCCAGGCAGAGCTGCTGGGAGCGTCAGCAGGGAGAGAAAACGCTCGGCTCCCAGGACGCAAGGGGAATTGGCGTTAAACTTTGCAGGGCCGACGGGCCGGCGGCCAGAGGAGGCGGCTGGCACCCCCGGCGCCGCCGCGGCCCCTCCAGCTCACTGCCCGCTCGCCCGCCCCCTCCCTCCCTGCACTCGCTCGGCACAGACTCGGCCCCAGCCCCCTCCCTCCTCCCGCTCGCTCCACGCTCGTTCGCTCGCTCGCCGGCTCCTCCTCACTCGCCCGCCCGCGCCCGGCGCAGCTCGGCCAGAGCGACCGCGGGGCTGAGCGCGCGTCCGCCCAGGGGGCTCCGGAAGCTGCCCCGGCCCGCGGCCTCCTCCCTCGCTCCCGCTTCCCCTTTCTCGCTCACCGCCGCCCTCCTTCCCCAGCTCCCTCGCCGTCCGCCCGCCCCACAGCCAGCGGCTCCGCGCCCCCTGCAGCCACGATGCCCGCGGCCCGGCCGCCCGCCGCGGGACTCCGCGGGATCTCGCTGTTCCTCGCTCTGCTCCTGGGGAGCCCGGCGGCAGCGCTGGAGCGAGGTAAGCGCCCCGAGGGGCGGGGCGGGCAGGGGGCAAAGTTGCCGGGAGAGCGGGGCAGCCAGGGGTCGGGGCTGACCAGGGCGACTCAGGCACCACCCGCCGGGATGGGAAGCGGTGGTGGCTGTCCAAAATCGGGGCTAGGAACCGCACGTCCCCTTGGCCCGGGCTGATGGGAGTGTGGAGGCGGGGATGTGTTGAAGGACTCGGGCGCTTCCCTGCTTCGGCTGCGGGCTCCCTTTCGGTCTTCCCCGGCTGCGGGGCTGATTCTCCTTTGCAGCCAAAGAGGTTCTCCTTGGAGTGGGGTCGCCTCCAAACCCCAAATTCCCGGCGCTTCTCTGCAACCGCACCCGGGGCTAGGTGCCAGATAATTATCTTCCTCTCCGGGAGAGGACAGGAAGGGGGGTGAGAAGCTGACCCACCCTGCAACTGAGGACTAGACTCAAACAGTGCATTTGCCGCTCCCCCCGACACCACAGAAACCCTTGACTCCTTTGGTTCAGGCTACCCCGAGGGTCTGTGTTCCTGGATCGATCTCAGCCAAGCGTCAGGATACCGGACTTGGGTGTGGCTTTCGCTAGAGGCCGGTGGAGGGGGCTGAGGGCTCTGAGAACTTGGTAGGGGAGGGAGAAGAGATGTTAGTTAGCAGTTGGGAACCTGAACGGGCTCCCCTCTACTCTCTCCCCTACTGCCTAGCATCTCTGATCACTGTTAGGAATGGGGGGTGAGGGGTGTTAGTTTCATCTACCACGTGTTTGTTGAAGGGGAAGAGGGGCCCAAATTTAGCAGAGAATGACAGCTCCTCTTTCTCAGACCTGGAACCATACCCTCTCTCCACCCCGGTAAGGTACCCCAGGAAAAGTTATGGGTGGGGGAGAGGGCCAGATAGAGAGAGGGGTGCAACGCCTAACTCACCCAAAGCTAACCCTCAGAGCTTCGGGGGTTTTCTCAGGCACCTAGGAGACCCGAAAATCAATGGGAGGGTTAGTTGGCCACAGGACCCGGCCTTCTTGCAAGGTCCCAGAAATGCGCTCCTCACGTGTAAAAAAGCAGACAGCTGCAGGGTCTGCCCAGGCTGAAGACAGAGGGAGCGCAGGCACTATGCTTATCTGGGGCTCCGCCTCTGTCATTTGCACCGTCTTGACTCGGAGTTGGGGGACAGGCGGTGTTCTTCTCCGGGGAGTTCTGGACCCCCAGCGCGCGCACCTGCTTTCAGCACCAAAGGCCCTGGACAGCTCTCAGCTCCATGGGCCCTGGCTCTGGGTCCCTTTCCCTTCAACCCTTCCCGGTGGCCTGGAGTGCCCCCCTCAGCATAAATCAGGCATTTTATCCCCCATCTCCCCGTCTTTTTAAATGTAGAGCCCAGAGTGCAGAGCAAAGGAAATTGTTCATCACCTTTTGTTTAACAAAGCATATCATTGAAGAACCCCCACCCCTTTTTTATGGGGCAATAATGTCCACAATTTACACCAGGTCTGGACAGTTTCTCTGGGAAAGATAGGGAAAGAGATTTGGTTTAAACAAATCGTTTCCACCACAGCATGGCCTTTCTTAATTAGCTGTCTCTTTCTAACAATGGCTTGGTGGCCTTGAACTGAGTCCAGCTCTCCCTCCCCCACCCCCTTTTGAATCTGTGTTGTGACTAACACACATATAAAAAGAACCTGAATCTACCCAGCAGCTTACTGGATTTTCTAAAGCAGTTCTACCTCTGAGAACTCCACTCTCCAATACACCACCTTGCAGGGAAAAAAAAATTGTCTTAATGGCACGTATTGAATTGTCATCTAAGACAAGGATTTCCTATTCTGTTTCCTTCACGGGCTGCAAACACATTGTAAGAGCAGGGGGAGACATGTGTGTGTTTTAATTTTTAAGACATTTCATACTATTTTTCCAACTGCTCAACACCATGGCTAGCCAGCATATTTTTTAAATTGACTTCAGGTCACCACCAAATTAAAGTCAATTGATGTGCTACTTCAGAAAGCTCATTAATAAGTGTGTGGTTCTGACTCTGAGTCATAAGGAGGGAGTGATACTGGCCAATGAGCATTGCCGAGTCTGATGGTGCATTTGGAGACAATTGACCTTCCACAATAAATTCTATTTTTAATGTAGAGCCCAACATCCACTAATGTCAGATGGAGAACCATTCACCTAACTCGTTGTTGCGAACTAGTTCTTCTGCTTGCGGTGAAGTGAGGGGATTTGTAAATACTCAAAAGGGACTTGTTGCTACATTCTGATGCAGGTCACGTGGTTCTCTGGGCCATTTCGCTGTAAGGCATGAATAAGTATAAAGTATAACTTGTTTTTGAAGAGCCTCCTTATTGTCTCAGATATGCACATGGGGAATAATTGTAACTACATGCAAAGACTGCAAAGCCTAAGAATAATTTCTTTTCTTTTTCTCTTGAATTAATAAGGCAAATTCAGTATTGCTCAATAAGGCTCAAATTTGCTGCTTCCCCAGTCTCTAACGTGTGTTGTGGTTAGATTCACTTAAAGACTATTTTCATTATGGATTGGCATTATTTTCCATAGAGTTTTGCCCGTTCCTGCCAGGGGCCACCGTATCTAAGCTTGAGGGATTCATCTTGTGTTCATATGGCTCAGTTAGGTATTAAGAAAATAATGTTACATTCCTTTCCTTCCCCTTCCAGGGCAAAAGGATATTTTCTGATCAGAGTGGCTTGTTTTCTTATTTTTGCTTACAAGTCCATTCCTGCAAGCTGTTCAAATGAGCTCGATTTACTGGCCCTCCTATTCTGTCCAGAGACAATTTATCCAATATACCTACTGTGCAGACCTCCACTAGGGGCGCTCCAAGATCTAGCTGGCGACTAAGGGCAGAAGAGAGGGGAATTCTGACCTGTGAACAACCAGGTGTGTGCAACACCAAAGGTCAGCAGAATGGAGCTCCTCTCAGCCTGGAGGCCTTGCTATCATCTCTCCCCTCCCTCTTTCTGATTACTACATTTTATTACTGTTTCTCAGAGAAAAATTATTGGTCACCCTTGACACACGCAGTGAAAAAGAGAAAGAAAAGGTAAAAAGAAGCCCGGAGAATGCTCCAAGGAAAATGTCAATCCAACTGCCCTTTTTGTATTTTTGCAGTTTTCTTCATGAAGCCAAATTGCAAAACATCCAAGAGGCTGTGGAAAGGCTGTTCTGGGGAGTTTGACTGAACTGGGCACTGGAATTAGATTTATAAAGTCCAGGAAAAGAAGTGCAGCTCCATAATTAGAGTGACCTGGGTCCAGAGGCCAGCTCCATTGTCTATTAACACATGGCCTTCAGCAGAACTATTTTATCTGAACTCCCATTTCACCATCTGAGGAATGGGGGCAGGGCAAGGAGGACTGATGATACCAGCCTGGAAGGATGGCTGCAGGGATTACATAATGCATGTAAAAGCAGCTGGCACGGAGTAGGTGCTCAAGTAATGTTTATTTCTTTCTTTCCCTGCTTTCCAAAGGGCAAACTGCTCCTATTAGTAGACACCAAGAAAACAAATCTCTGCGATTGGCATGAAGCAGATGTTGGTGTAAATATTGGGATAATTCAGGCTAAAGTAGAAAGGGGTTGAAGGGCATAGTGAGTAACTCCAGTTACCTGTATTCTCACCTTTGGCAGATGAGAATTTGACCTTGCCTGGTGCAGACACCCTTCCCTTCCAAACTCTCATGCTGTTTCTTTTTGAACCTAAATATTACCATCAGGAATCAGAGTTCATGGTACTGGAGATCGAGCGGATGCAGGAGAGCAGGTTAATGGTTGGGAAGAAGACATAAGAAGCAAGTCTTCTGGAAAAAGATATTTGCCCTTTCATTCATTCATTTGAATTTACCGAGCACTTCCTATGTGTCTTAGTTCAACCTGCTATAACAAAAATGCCTTAGATAGGGTGGCTTAAACAACAGAAATTTATTTCTCACATTTCTGGAGGCTGGGAAGTCCAAGCTCAGGGCGCCAACAGACTCAGTATCTGGTGAGTGTCTGTCATCTCTCTTTCTGCTTTGCAGACAGCCACTTTCTAGCTGAATTCTCATATGGCCAAGAGGGACAGAGAGCCCGGGTCTCCTCATCTTAGAAATGAACTAATCTTTATCATGGGGGCCCTATCTTTATGATTTCATTTTAACCTAATTAATTCCCAAAGGCTCCACCTCCAAATGTCATTACATTGGTGATAAGGCCATCAACGTATTGATTTAGGGGGGACACAGACATTTGATCTATAGCACTACGCATGCGGTAGACCTTGTTTTGGGTGCTGGAGTACTATAATATGATAAGGCTCCTGCCCCAGTAATGGCAGCCTAGCAAGAGACATCTGCAGGTAAACTACTACCATCCGTGCCATGTGGTAAGTTCTTTGGTGGGGGGATATCAGACATCTATGGGACCTCACGTGGATGTGTTTAATTCTCACCAGGGGTGGTCAGTGAAGGCTTCCTGGAGCACGTAGCATTTGAACTGGCCCTGAAGGGGATAGGACAGGTACCAGCAGCCAGAGGAGAAATTTCTACAGTAGGATAGGGAAAATCCTGAAGGCTTCACTCTCAGAACACATCACACCCCCGCGGAATTGGAGAGAGGAAACAGAGGAGCGAGTGGGAGGAGAAAGTAGGCAGGTGCACATGCTCACGCTCAAAAAAAAGATAATCTGTCGGACCTGCCTGTCCTCCCTGCTCTCCCCTGAACTTCACGGGCTGGGTAGACGAGAGCTGGAACAAAGGACTTTGAGCCGCGGTGTTCGCTGTTGTCCACTAGAGGTTGTGATGACACCGAAGGAATCTTCTCAGAAGGGAGCGAGGCCCAGCTGCTGAGCACAGACAGCATCACACAACCCTGGGTAAACACTGCTTTAGTGGATTTGCATGTTTGCATAATCCTCTGGTTACTGTAGTTCCTTAGAAGCATCCCTTTGGTGGCTGTGACAAGAGGGAGCAGGGCAGGGAATAGGACTGCTTTGAGGAAAGGGTAAAAGTATGGTGAGTTGGGAGGAGGTCAGTGGACGCACGAGATATAATTTACTAGAACATGGCAAGGACTGAGTTTAAGCAATGCAAACAGCATTTATTGAGTGTTGATTTTGTGCCAAGCCTTATAATAAGTGCTTTATATAGATATGTGCAGAGAATTCTCACAATAGCCCATGAGAGAGATGCAGTTGTTATCTGCATTGTATGGACTGGGGAAACTGAGGTACTGAGAGGTTAAGCAATGCCTAACATCACAAAGGGATTGAAGTCCAGCCTCAGATCCAGGCTGGTGTCAGAATCATGACATCAAGTCCCACTACTACCTTTTATATCCTGCATTCCCCAAGACCACATGCAGATTCTGATGGTTCATAGGAAGGGATGGTGTGTGTTTGCCAGATGCGCATGGGATGTGTACTCAATGCCTAACACAGTCCCTGGCACACATAGCAAGCATTTAAGTAAAGCTGGTCAAATTGAAGTGAGTCATAAGGTAAAACAGGTTACAATTTTATTTATAGGCAACTAATTCACAATCATTATAGTTACTGAGCATTTACTATATCTCAGGCACTTACGTTGGTTATTTTAATTAATTTTAACAATATCATTTCATTTTATAGATGAGGAAACCAAGGCTTAGAGAAGCTGAGTTATGCATAGGTAAGGTTTAAATCCTTGGTGCCTTCCAAGCTGGGTCCTTCTGTATTTCTAAATGAAATGTGTGAGAAAGACCGTTTCACCATTAATGTGCAGATAGTCTGGATGGGTAAGTGCACCAAACTCCAAACACTGACAGGACAGAAACCAAAACCAACCCTCAGTAGTTCCCAAAAAAGATGAACATAGGGATTATTCTTTCCAGTTGAGGAAAGGAGAAGACCTCGTAAAAGAGAGTGAGCAGTCCAGCTGGTTCATTGGTTGACACCGAGATTATGTGACTGCTTGCAATTTCTCAAGTTTCCAGGTCACCCAACCATTAATGGAGAACTCACATTGTATAAAATTGGTTTCTGTAAGCCCCTAAATTCAGGACCTAACCTAAACCATTTCCTATCTATGAGTCTCAATTTTTCCTTCTGTAAAATGGATCACAATAATCACTACCACATTCATCAAGCTGTCCTTACAGGGCTGGGATGGGACAAGAGAGTTAAGATGCTTTGCACATACCAAGAAATCAGTCCTTGAGGAAGTAAGTGCTGGCATGGAAGGCTGAAGACCTCAAACACCCCCATGTGTTTCTTCCTGGGCTGGTTATAGCCAGCATTATAGCAAATATAACACTGCTGTTTGCCATTGATTGTGGACCTACTCTGTGCCAGGGGGCTGTCTTTGTGCTTTTCCTGTATTCACGTATTTGATCCTCATGTGTTCCTATCAGGTGGTATGATAAACTAGATTTTACAGATAAGGCAACTGGGTCAGAACGGTACAAGCACTTGCTCAGGGTCTCATGGACAATGAGCGGTGGAGTCAGGATTCAACCCCAGAACTTTTGATTCCAAAGCCCACGCTTGTTCTAAATACTGGGGCATGAAGATGTGGGTATCACATAGCACAGAGCAAAATGGAAATGGAGAGCTGATGCAAGCCTGGAGATCAAGGTGGTTTGACAGGACTCCAAGAGGAGAGATGCTTTCTCATCCAGTGGCAAATGCCAGGTGTCCCAAGTCAGCTTTCTGAGACAGAAAACAGTTTATCCCAGCCTCTTTCATACCTACTTTGATGGCTTGTGCGTGAGCCTTATTCTCATCTTACTCATGCTATTCCTGCAGCCTGGACTGTCATCCTAGAGGAGCGCATGGCTGGTTGTGTAGAGAGGACTAAATCAAGTTCCCAACTGGCTGATTTTAACAGTATGATCTTGAGCTATTTACTTTAGTTCTCTAGGCCTGTTTTGGCCTGATATATAAAATGAGAGGATTAGATTTACATTACAAGATTGTTAAGACTCGTCAATATATGTGCATATTCATAGCTCATTGCAAGCACTCAATAAAAATTTGCCATTATTGCTCTACTATTAACCTGGTAAACTTCTATTCATCCTTCAGAACCCAGTCCTAATTCTCCTTTTCTGTGAAGTCTTCTCTTGCTTCTCTCCTGTCTATGCCAATTATGAATGATCCTCTTGACCCCTTATCACATTTTATCCCTCTACTATGGGTAATTCATACACTGATAATGCCTGAGTTGCCAATTTACATAACTCCCTCCCCCTAAACAATGAACTCTTAGAAAACCTCAACTGAATCTTACTCATTCATATGCCCCTTAGCCTGTATCTAATCAGGTATAAATTCTCAACCCATTATGTTAAATGACTTTTCCTCTTAATCTTAGTTTTGGGGAGGTGAAGTTAGAGTCCTGACATCTGAATTTAATTCCTGACTCTCCTATCCTGTGTGGTCTTAGGCAGCCTGTATAAACCTTGATTTTTTATCTGAAAAATGGGAATAATAATAGTGTCCAACCTCATAGGATTGCTGTAGAGGAAAACCAATGAGATAATAGATGTGGAATCACTAAGTAACTCTACAAAAAAGGAGGAAGAGAAAGAAAAATTAAAAAGTGGGAGGAGAGAAATACACTTTGTAAAGAGAAAAGAAAAAACCTTTGTGCAAACACAAAACCACAAGATAGGCCATTCATCGGGTCCTCACTAAAGCCATCTTTCTTTCCAAAGGAAATATTGGATGCAATTGTTTGCCCTGTGCCTAAGCTCATTTCAAAGCAGAAACCTTCTGGACATCCTACTGCTTATTGTTGAATCTGCCTTCTCTTAGGTCTCTGGCAGCTGCAAAAACAGCAAATGCCCAGCTGAAAACTGGGACAGTATAGCAAAGTGAATAAAAACCCAGGCTCTAGAGTCAGAGCAGCCTGGGTTTCAGTCTGTTGCTTCTTATTAGATGTGTATCCTTAGTCAAGCCACTTTGTCACCTTGAGCTGGCACCGGGCCTTGCATAGGAGTGAGGGTCTATGATCTGCCCACTTCTCAGGGATAATATGATATGGGAGAGAGGTTGTATAGTTAGAGTAGGCCTCCTTGGTGTCTGTAATATTAATCAGATTCTAGCAGTTATTTGGGATTCTTATCTGCCTCAATCCTCTCCCTGATATTTTCATTTTATTGAGGAAAGAGACCCAGAGACAAGAAAGGGCTTACTCAAAGTCCCAACTGTGAGTGGCAGAGCCAGGACTTGAACCCCTCACTCATGTCTTCTGACTCCCATGCTAAAGTGACTTCCACCTACTTTCAAGAAAAATGGAATCCCTATCCCTCTCAAGTTTATGTCCTGAGACCCAAGGAGTGTGGCAATGGAAGTTTTAAGGGTATCTGTTTTCAGTAAACCACTGGCGTCTATTACCCACATGGGACATTTACATTATGTGGCCATGGAAGACTGACTGCATGAAAGAGGCTTTGGTAGAAGTGGAAATCAAGCCATAGCTCCCTCCTCTGCTGACTTGGCACTTGAATCTTCAAGGCACCAGCAGATAAGCTTGCACCGGGGAATGGTGCCATCCAAGCATCTGGCTTGAGTCAAGCAAGCAAGAGTTAAATGAAGAGGCTCAAGGAGACCCAAGGCCCAGGCTAGGTATCCCTCCTAGGCTTCCTCACTCTCACCATGGGTCATGGATAGTGGCTGATTGAGAAACCCACTGGGGATCTGGGATGTGGAGAGCAGGGAAGGATTGAGTGAGGCATAGCTAATGTAGTTGGTGCCAGCCCGGAGCAAGTAGTAGGGACTGGTGATGTTTTGGGGCTGGAGATTAGAACAAGGTAGGTGGATACAGTATAGCACCTGGGGTCTGGAGCTCAGGACAAGTCTTAGTGGGTATAAGCCTCTGGGTGTCAGTTTCCTTGTCTGGTCTCACCTATTCCCAGTTTAGCTTAGTGTCATAAATTGGTGAGTTCACATTGCCAAAATGGAATGGGCTCTTCAAAGCCGTACACCATAATAAAAAAGACACAGACCCTGGAGTCCAAGAGATATGGGTTCAAACCTAATGCTGTGATCTTGAACAAGTCACTTAACTCTGAGATGATGGGAGTGGGTGGTAGTGATGAGGATGAAGAGGGGAATTATGAGTTGCTGTTGTTACTGATGGACCGAGCTGATTCTCAGGTCAGCGATGGCTTCCAAGAGAGGAAATAGTATATTCTAATGTGATTTTTGTGGTATAGTGCTATGGTTGGAATATTTATGTCCCCTCCCCCGACACCAATGTATAGGTTGAAATCCAACCCCTCTGCTGATGGTATTAGCAGTGGGGCTTTGGGGAATTGATTAGGTCATGAAAGTAGAGGTCCCATGAATGCAATAGGTGCTCTTAAAAAAAGAGGCTTGAGGCCAGGTGTGGAGACTCGTGCCTGTAATCCCAGCAGTTGGGAGGCTGAGGCAGGAGGATCACTTGAGGCCAGGAGCTCTAGACCAGCCTGGGCAACATGGCAAAACCCCATCTGTACAAAAAATTCTAAAAATTAGCCAGGTGTGGTGGCATATGCCTGTAGTCCCAGCTACTCAAGAGGCTGAGATGGGGGGATCCACTGCAGCCCAGGAGTCCAAGGCTGCAGTGAGCTATGACTGCACCACTGCACTCTAGCCTGAGTGACAGAGCAAGACCTTGTATTTAAAAAACAACAAATGGAGAGACACACCTTACCCCTTTCACCATGAGAGGTAGAAATGTTGAAACAAGAAGCTGTGATGTATAAGAAACAGGCTCTCACCAGACCCTGAATCTGCCAGCACATTGATCTTGGACTTCCCAGTCTCCAGAACTGTGAGGAATAATGTCCAGTTGCTTATAAGCTACCCAGTTTATGGTATTTTGTTGTAGAAGCCAAAAAGGGTCTAAGGCATTTAGAACAAAGACTCATTCAGGATAGCTGAAGAATAAGAAGGTTTGCTCTAAGGACACTGCAAATATTGAGCCAAGAACATTCCAGGACTCTCTCCACTTCTCTCTTGCATGCATCTGCTTCTCCCCACGCATCTGTTCATTCTGGCTTCCTCTCTATTGCCTAACTCCTCTGCTCACTCACCATAGATCTCTCATCACCTCCACTTACCCATTCGCTATTATGGCTTCTCCAGCATAATCACCACATGTGCACTCTCTAATATGGTAGCCATGAACCACATGTAGATATTTAAATTTAAATTAATTAAGATCAGATTGAATTAAAAATTGAGTTCCTCAGTCCTACTAGCGACGTTTCAAGTGCCCAGTAGCTATGTGTGGCTCATGGCCGCCATATTGGACAGCATGGAGAGAGCACAAATGATTTCTGCCCAGTCCTTTGTACTGGGCAACTGGGCAATAGGTTGGTTCTTCATACTTAATCCAGTCATCTCTAACTGGTATGGGAAGCATGCCATGTGACACAAAACCATACCTTGGGATACAGCAATCGCCACTGATGGTGTCTCACACACTTTCACTGCTGGCCTTGATAGCTGCTTCTCAATTCTTCTCATTTTTAGGATGTGGCTCTGCAACCCTTTTGCCAGTTAAGACACATATTCATCAAGATGTGGCCTGTCTGATAATCACATCTGAGAAAACTGGGAAGAATCCTATCATCATTGTAACTATCTGTTGACTTGCCTCCCTCCGTGCTGTACAATGAAATTTTCGGGGTTAGGAGTTGACTTTTATTATCTCTCTATTCTTAGCTATTCAGTTGAATAAATGAGTGAATGGATGAATCAATGAATGAATGATATGCAGTCTTCAGCTATGACTCAAAAGTGTTTGGACATAGAACACAAAAGTCTTTGCAAAAAATGTGCAGTCTTCACATTATTTGGGTAAATGACTTAGGAAAAAATAATTTAGGGTAGGAGTTGTGGGTGATAGAGAGCTAGAAAAGAGGAGCCTCATAAACTGGTGTATTTAGACATTTAAAAGTGATCCAGGCATTGAAAATCAGGTTGGAGTGGAAAATGAAGAGAAGCCTCAAGGTGGGGTCCCAGGAGCTCTCCCCTTTTCCCATGAGAGATTCATCTGGAATGATGACAGTGGATTTAAGAGCAATAAGGGAGGTTGGTAGGAACACAGAATGTGGCTCCATGCATGGTTTTGGTAACCATTTTTCTACAAAGTTTTAATATTATGGAAACAGGGAGAGATGTTTAGAACAATGTACTCAGAGTGAGCATTCTGAATGGGGGACTCAGCACAGGATTAGGACTGAGGTAGGACTGACTGTGGATCCCCACTCTGCCAATTCTGTGTTGTGTCATGCTGGGGCAAGTCACTGAATCTCCTCAAGCCTCAGTTTCCGTCTGCAAAATGAGAATAGAATTCTTCCCTTGCCCCTCTCTGCAGGGTGGATAGAGAGAATGCAATGCATGTCACTACTATCCTGCACAACTCCAGAGGGAGCTATTTATACTGCAGTGTATGTGAATGGTACCCCTGGAATTAAGCAGTATACAACCTATGCTGCCATATGTGGCAGCCCTGAATATGGAAGTATGCCACCAAACTATGAATCAATTTGCAGAGGAAGAAGGACAGAGCTCCCAAGACTTTTCATTCCCTAAGGACTTCTGATCAGGCCTCCACCTTCTATGCCCCCTTTTAAAGCAGGTTTAACAGAGTGGAAAGCTAACTTGGGGCCAACCACCTTGGAAATTAATGTAAAATATGTGGAATCAAGCCTAGTTTTCCAGGGCTTCAGGAAAGGAAATTTGCATAATTTATGGCATAAGTAAAAAATGATATGCCAGGTTAATTTGCATACTTTAACTTCAGTTGGGGTTAAAAACAAAGTTTTTGTTGTTGTTGCTATTTGTAGTTGTGGCTTTTAAAGAAAGCCTCTCTTGTTAATCCGACTGTGTAAGCTTGAGTAAATTACTTAACCTCTCTAGGCCTCGATTTCCTCAACTGTGAAATGAAAATGATAAATGGACTTACATCCTGGGATTGTGGTGAGGAGTTATGAGGTGACTCTGTAAAACTTGTAGAATAGTGGCTGGTACGTAGCAGAAGTTCAATAATTATACAGTATATGTAATATATAATAACATATTATATCATTATCATTAAGTATGCAATGTATCTTGTCCACTTGATATTACAAGAAATTCTAAAAAATGCATATCATTGTGTACCCACATGAAGTTATTTTGAGCTCAGGACCTAGAATTGTGCTAGAACACAGCAAGAGCTCAGTCGTGAGACGCATGGCTGCCCTACAATGAATGCATTATTATCATTATTAATCACTGCCCCATAGGTGCATGTGTTTGAAAGCCTTTCTCCCCTCTAGACTGAGGTCCCTCCAAGGCAGGCACTGTTTTATCTCCCTCCCAATCCCCACCTCTCAACACTACATCTCCCAGATAGTAGAAACTCAATAAGTGCAGACATGTCGAATGAATAAATGCTGAAGTGTTATTGTTCTTAATTAGTATGCAAGAAATGATTCTTATTAGCATGCATATGAATGAATGGCTGTCTTCCTTGCAGACTAGAAACTCCTCACGTCTAGGTCACCAATATTTGGCTCAGTGCTTGGCGTATCAGATAGTCAGCAGGTGCTCATTTGGTGTATGATGGTGCTTAAGACCTCAGAATTTAAGGTCCAAGGCCTGACTCTGCATCCCAGCTTTATCATTTACTGGCTGCATAACTTTGGCAAGATATTTGTGCTTTATGGAAATAGCATGTGCAAGGAAAATAACTAACTGTACCTTTTTCATTGAGTTGATGTGAGACAAAAATCAGGAATTTTTGATCAAGAGCTTAGCACAGTCCCTGACACACAAATTAGGTACCCAATATAGATACTACTGTGAATAAATGAATGCATGGCCTTTCCCAAGTGTCTTGATACAGGAAAGGGGCCCTGGTGTATAATAACCAGCTAGAACAGAATTTACAATTTTATGATCCCCATAGAGAAAACATTCTGTGGGAATTCAACGAGGAGCATTGACTTTACAACAACCACATCTATGCACACCTTCCCAATTTAAGGTATGTTATTATCTCATTTGATAAAATGGAAGTTCCAAGCAGAAGGCAGGGGTCCAAGTGAGTAAATCCATCATTCTCTGGCTGTTGTTTTATAATCAAATTTTATCTCAGATCAGCCATAAAACCCTAGAGGAGGCACCACATGGGCGTGGCCTGTCTGCCGGGAGCCTTTCCATCTGTGAATGAGTGACGTCAGGAGCAACTTCTTAGCAAGGGGCTTCCAGACAACAGTGCTTGTGTCTCCACCAGACTCCTTCCCTGTTTCTAAAGAAAGCAGACCCCTGGGAAGGCTGAGAAGGAAACAAACTCCTATAATGCACTAGAATCCTTATTAATGGCTTCATTTACAGAATCTTGCTTAATTATTAGCAGAACCTTCAAAGGTGCCTTACAGCCATTTGATTATACATAAAGAAGCTGAGGTCAGATGGCTAAGCAGTGCTGGAGTTGTGACTCTTTTATTCTTTCATCCAAGACCTACTTTCTCTTTATTTCAGACATTCTACTCTGTACCAATCACTTGATAAGTACTAGGGATACAGAGAGAAACAAAACATATCCTTGCCCTCAAGAACTTATCTAACCATTCTTCAAACTCAGGTAGGACCAAGTTCTTTTCTTCTGTCTTCTCCTCACTTCTACGTTGTCCTGATGACTTCCGGGCAGGGGGCAACTTTCTCCAAGGGACCAGGGTTGGGAGCCATGAATTTCTGGGACCACTCCCTATAGCCCTAGTTGCTATTGAAACAAAGCAAGCTCGTTTGATCTTCCTTAACTTCAACAAGAAAAAAAAATCTAGTTGATGTTCCTTTAATGGGTGAAATAAATGTGTCACTTTAAGAGAACCTCCAATAACCATCCCAGACTTCACAGAGGCAGAGGAGAACTCCAACGGGGCCTGCTGAGAGCGACGTTGCTGCCTTCAATTATTGCAACAATATGTTGGCATTTCCTTCTTTTGTGAATGTGGGAAAATATATCCTGAGCAGAACTGCAGAGAATTATATAGATGCAGCTGAGCATGTGTATAGATATAAATAATATGCACACTATTTCCATAAAGCATAAACTTGGACAATCAGTTAATGAGGTTTGGCCAGAAACAAATTAATTCCTTTGGGTCCTGGGGTAGTTTTATTCTAAGTAATAATAAAAATAAATAGTCATTTCTTATGCTTAGCACGTGGCAAAGGATATCCATTATTGCATTTGATTGTCAAAAACAACTCCGAGGACCTAGTACTATGGAAAATTACTTCTGTTTTTCAGCAAACTGAGGGTCAGAGAAACTCCACCATGGAACAGTGCCTTGGTTTTTATTTATCCTGACATTGACATTTTGGAAGAGAACAGACCCATTACTTTATAGAATGACCCTCAATTTGGGCATATAGACTTTTGATTCTTACAAAATGTCAGCATGCAGCCCATATTGGCCTATCACTTGCCTTTCTCCTTTTTGGGTGTCTTTGCTATGATTGAAACAAGGCCTAGAATTCCCCCAAGTCAGGCTGTCTTCACTGGTTCCCTCTACCCCAGTGTCTAGTACCAAGCAAGGGTGCCCCTCTACCCCACTTCTGGGATCCCTAACCAGATGCCTGCCTCCCTCTCCACCCCACTTCTGCCACAATGCTTCCACGGCACCAGGCTGGTACCCTTGCTATAGTAACGAGCCTGCTCTAGTCTTAGTATTTGTTTATGCATCTCTCTTTCCCACTAGGCCATGGGAAATTCAGAATCTGATTCACTGATTCAACCCCAAGAAGCAAATATTTAATAAATGTCTACTTTGTGGGCTCTGCTGTAGGTGCTGGAACAAAAACTAATAGTGCCAGCCCTCAAGAAATGTATACTCCCTGTGATCTTTCATTCATTTACTGGCCCAAAACATTCATTCATTTATTCAATAAATATTCATTAATATTTTGTGTGCTGGGCTGCATACCCCAAAGCATGCGGATCATTCAATGTTTGCATAATGGGGTAGAAACAATGGTCTACTCCTACAATAAAAGAAAAAAAAGTTTAGGCTTATTAATCTCTGATAGAGGCCAGCTGTGGTGGCTCACGCCTGTAATCCCAGCACTTTGGGAGGCTAAGAAGGCAGGTGGATCACCTGAGGTCAGGAGTTCGAGACCAGCCTGGACAACCTGGTGAAACCTCATTTCTACTAAAAATACAAAAATTAGCCAGGCATGAAGGCATATGGCTGTAGTCCCAGCTACTTGGGAGGCTGAATCAGGAGAATTGCTTGAACCCAGGTGGCAGAGGCTGCAGGGAGCTGAGATCGCTCCACTGCACTCCAGCCTGAGCAACAGAGCAAGACTCTGTCCAAACAAAACAAAACAAAACAAATCTGTGATAGTAAACAAGATTAAGGGCTTCCAATGAACTTCAGACATTCTAATGCACACTATGTATGTGAAGGGGTTAAAAAGAGAGCTGGGGGATTCTGAGAGCATCTAGAATCTCAAAGAGAATGGGAATCCCTCTGTCACACTGCCCTTGGGGGCACCAGCCACAGCCAGACACCTTGATCTGACATATAATTTCTCAGCATGAATTACCAGAAAGACCACCCAGTGAGAGTCAGAGACCTGAGTTCTGGAGATGACACGGTTGCCAAAAATATGCTGTGTGACCTTGGGCCCATTTCTGTCCCTCTCTGGTCTTTAGTTTCTCCATCTCTAAATTTAGTGGCCTGGGCTGAATCATAGTTTCCAAAATGGACTATGAGTTAAAATCACATGAAGAGCTTTTAAAGACCCAGAAACCCAGCTATACCCCTGCCTACTGAGTCGGACCCATGATTGAGCTATACATGCTGCCTTCTGGATTTTTCTGAGGCCATCAGTAAACTTCACCTGGATGATTCGACCCCCAAGCCATGACCTTTTATGATTCCTTTGTTCATGATAATTATGTCCACCATTTATATGCCAGGCATATGCTAAACCCTTTACTCACATGATCTCATTTAAGCCACATATGAGACCAGTGGGGTGGGGCCTGATACTTCCATTTTACAGCAGGAACCACTGAGGCTTGGAGAGGTTAAGCAGTTCTCTCAAGATCACACAGCTAGTAAGATCCTGCATGCATATCTGTGTCTATGTGACTTTAAAAGAATTTGCCACCTCTCTGTAGTACGAATAGGGGTGGGAATCTACTCTTAGCCCACCATATTCCCTCCCCAGAGGTAGCCCTGTTCTCCTGCCTCCTCTATTCCCTGAAAATCTAGTTAACTCTTTTAATAAGCCAAATAAATGTGCCCTGTGAAGTGTGTGATCGATCACACCCTGGCTGCCCATGAACCAAGCACAGGTTTGCCGCACACCGGGGACAGCCTCCCTGACATGAATTATTGCTACCATCAGCCCTCCTTTCCGCTCCTACACTTGCAGGGGAACGGCTGAGCCAGGGACCTGTGGACACTCAGGATTCAACTCTGGGCTTGGCCAGAGATAAGTCCTTAGAGTTTGGGGCATTTGAACAACTGACAAGAAGCCAGCATGGCCAGAATATCCTGAACAGAGAAGGAAGTGGGCAAATGAAGTTAAGAGAAAGTATTAAAGAAAAGCAATGATTCAGTTGTTATACTTGTTAGAGCATAATAAAGCAAACTTTATTCAGGACCACCACATTGATGGGGACCACTGCAATGGGATTTTGCAGTGGGGGAGATTGGGCTAACTCCAAATATAAATGGGAAAGTTGGAATTTATAGCCAAGGTGCAGAGTAGGGGTGGGGAGGTTAGTGGATGGAAAACTACTGAAAGGAAACATCAGGGGTAAGGGAGATTCTCCTAAATCCACCTAACAGGATTCTTGCTGAAGGCACACCAGCATGATCAGACATCACCTGGAGATGGTGGAGGATGAGGGACCTGATCAGATATGGAAGGTTATCAGATATCCAGAGCATAGGGTTCTTGCTAAAGTGACTAGCAGGATTCTTTGCTAAAACTGGATTCCATAAAGAAGTGCACAATTGGCCTAGAAGAAGGTTCAGGAGCCTGATTAAAGTTTGATCAAGCAGAGAATCATTGTCAGTGGCCAGGCCCAGATCCTATAGGGCAGGGAGGACTTGCTGAGAGGTGTTGGGAGTTTATTCTCAGCTGTGCTTAGGAGCACGGGAGGGGATTTTTGGGTTGGATAATGCTGTCTATGATGTGAAAATGGGAGCATTAAAGACAAAAGAGGAATCATTTAGGAGGTCCTCACAGATAGGACTTGAAGGAGTTAATTCTACCTCACACCTCCCAGCTTAAGATAGGGTCACCTCTTCTAGCCTCTCCGCTAAGGTTAGGGACAATTTGTGTATTAGTTTGTTTTCATGCTGCTATGAAGAACTACCTGAGACTGGTTAAATTATAAAGGAAAGAGGTAATTGACTCACAGTTCTGCATGGCTGGGAAGACCTCAGAAAACCTACAATGAAGGCAGAAGGGGAAGCAAACATGTCCTTCTTCACATGGTGGCAGGAGAGAGAAGTGCCAAGTGAAGGGGGAAAAGCCCCTTCTCAGGCCTTGTGAGAACTCACTCACTATCACGAGAACAGCATGGGGGAACCACCCCCATGATCTAATCACCTCCCACGAGATCCCTCTCCCAACACGTGGGGATTACAATTTGCCTTACAATTCAAGATGAGATTTGGGTGGGGAAAATTTCATTCCACCAAGCCCACTGCTCCTGGTGCAATTTCTCTTCAATTGCAATGGGAGGGAGGCTGATGCTCTGCACTTACTAAAACATCCACAGGATTCCCAGCCTTTGACCCTTTGGCTGTGTCTAAAACCTCCAACTCATCTGCAGACTTGCCGTCTTAAACATGGCTGGGTGCTTTGAAAGATTTTCTCTGTTGCTCCCCCATAGTGTCTAGAATACAGAAAAAGCAGCAGAGAGGAGAGGAAAAGAATATAAATTTGGGCAAATGATGATTAAATCCACCCCTCCCCGCCTCCCAAACCCCGATCAGACTGTACAGAAAGAATCTTATATATATTATCACTGGCTCTCAGTTTAATGTAGGGCCAACATTGCTGGGTAAATTAAACAACATTTATAATATAGCTGAACTATAAAAATGTGCTTGGGGCAGAAATTAGACATACCAAGCTTTTTCCAGCAAAAGACATTTTTACAAATGCATGAGAACCTGAACCAATTTGGAAGCCCTGTCATTTTGATTTAAAGCCGGGGAAGTGGGGCTGATCCCTAGAGAGGAGAAACAATAATCCAGGTGAGAGGAGATTTTAAAATTCTGGTCCTCATTACTGACCTAACTTGGACTCAAAATGTATCATGTAGAGAAGAGAGTTGACCCATAACTGAGAACTGGGACCCTTCCTTCTTCACCTGCATAACCAGCAAATCTCATATGATTTCCACATGTACCCTCTTCCAGGGAGCCTTCCCTGCCTGTCTCAGCTGAGTTAGGGGCATCGCATTGGAGTACCCATATCCACTTTGTTTTAGTTAACTATTGTTGTGTAACAAACCATCCCTGAAATTCAGTGGCTTAAAATAACAAATATTTACTATTATCTCACATGATTCTGTGGTTTGACTGAGTGCAGCTTGGAGATTCTTCTGCTCAGCATGGTGTTGAAAAGAGCCAAATCATCTCTGAGCCTCCAAGGGGTTCAACTGCATGTCTGGTAGCTTGAGCTGCTTGTCACCCGAGCATGTAAGTTTTCCCTCATGTGACTTGGCCTTCTCCCACCATGGGAGCTGGATTCCAAGAGAGAGTGTCCTAAGAGCAAAAGTGCAAAGTGAAGCTCTCTAAACATGACTTGGCAGCCATCTATAACCTACCACTCCCTTGTACTAAGTCATGATATAGTGCTGTTCCCATGTACTGAGCGGGTACTATGCTAGGTATTCGGCACTCTGTACTCCATCATTGGTTTATGTCTGTGTCTCTTTGCACAAAGGAACCCTTGTCTAATTCATTTCTGCAACGAAGGATGTGCAGTTAGTTCAGGTTCAACAGAAAAGCCATAGCTCTAAGTGTTCACGCCAAGTGTGGTCACTCTTAACCCGGGAGATTATGGTGAGAGAATTCAGGAATCTAAGGGCCAGCATCAGTATTCTTTTATAGTACCAGCAGTAAAAATAATAGCAGTAGTCATAATGATGATTAATAGTAGTAGGAAGTATTAACAATAGTATAATTTCTACTGCTCTAGCATTAATACATGTAATTCTGCCTTACACTTAAGAGGAATTTGACCACTTACAAAATAATTTTTTTCCGTTACCTTACTTTGCTATTCAACAACTTTGTGAAATGGCCCAGGAGGATTTTTGTTATAAGTCATAGTTTATAAATGAGGAAACTGAGTCTGGGAAGGAACAGAAACTTGTCAATAGTCAATTAAAATTGATATTGTCAAGTACCTACTATTTGCCCTCTACACCAATGACTTAATTTCCTCCTTGCAGCAATGTTGTGAGGTAGATACCATTATTGCCACCATTTCACAGATGAGGAAACTGAAGCTCAGAGAGGCGAAGTCCTTGACTTGTCCGGGATTTTATGTTTCCTGGCTGGGATTTGCATCTGAATCAGTCTAACTCTTGAGTCAAAGACTCTTTCCACAATGCTACACTTAATTCCTCCCAGATTACCATTTTCTAAATTACTTTGAGCTGAGAAAACATTCACATAAAAATACAGTCAATCCTCCCCTCTGTATCTGAGAGCTTCTCATCTGAGTATTCAACCAGCTGTGGATTGAAAATATTCTTTAAAAACAATGAAAATAACAATACAATGATAGAAAATAATACAAACTTAAAATTTAAAAACCAATATACTATAACAACTATTTACGTAGCATTTATATTCTATTAGGTATTATAAATAATTTAGAGATGATTTAAATTGTATGAGATGATGTGCATAAGTTGTACGCAAATACTACTCCATTTTCTATAAGGAACTTGAGCATCCGTGGATCTTGGCATCCTGGGGGTCCTGGAACGAGTCTCACATGGATACTGGCAGACGACTGTAATATGAAAAATCAGAATGAGGGACTCTTCCATGAAAAACTTCCACCAGGTGCGGTGGCTCACGCCGGTAATCCCAGCACTTTGGGAGGCCGAGGCGGGCGGGTCACGAGGTCAGGAGATCGAGACCATCCTGGCTAAGATGGTGAAACCCCATCTCTACTAAAAATACAAAAAATTAGCTGGGCGTGGTGGCGGGCACCTGTGGTCCCAGTTACTCGGGAGGCTGAGGCAGGAGAATGGCCTGAACCCGGGAGGCGGAGCTTGCAGTGAGCCAAGATGGCGCCACTGCACTCCAGCCTGGGCGACAGAGCAAGACTGTGTCTAAAAAAAAAAAAGAAGAAAGAAAAGAAAAAAGAAAAGAAAAGAAAAACTTCCACCAGTTTTAAAGCCCGCTTTGACCATTTGGAAGTTTTTATTCTTCACCCATTGTTAGTTCTTGGTGGTTTCCACATAGCTGAGGTTACCACGAAACAAATTTTCAGATAAACAAGTTGTCATATGTGTAAAGTTACATGAGGTTATTGAGTCCAATTTTCCCAGGGATTAACTCACTTTGAAGTTATAAATTATGCACTTGATGGGAGCAAAGATATATACATATATATTTTAGCACCTATAAAACCCATCAACTGGTACTTTTGGAGGACATACTGTACTAAAAGGCAGGATGATGATAGGTTAAGCACGCTGACTTAAAATCAGGCTGCCTGAGTTCAAATCCCATCTCTGCCACTTATCTCAGGCAAATTATTTCATCTCTCTGTGTCTCAGTTTTCTCATCTTTAACAGGAATTTATAATAGTACCAATTTCACAGGGTTGTGGAGGAGATTAAGTCTATAGTTGGCCTTGGTTCATGTGCTCATCTTTGAACAAGTCGCTGAGGCTGGAACCATGTAGGACCCTGATTGGCCAGCCCTGACCTCCCCCAACACATGGACTGAAAGAGAGAGGTGGGGACTTGCCAAAGGAATGTCAGGAGATGTTCGCCAAGAGAAAAGTCACAGAGAAGTCCAGCATGTTAAGGAACTAAGAGTTTTCTTTTTATTTTTTTCCTGCCATGTCTCAATCAATATCTGAAAGACTCATAAAGGAACTGAGTGTGTGCTAATAATAAAATGACCCAATTGTGAATTAAGCAGATATGTTTCTCTCCAGCAGGGTTAACAAAGTGGCTTGCATCCAGACCCAACACTGCCATTTACTACCTTACCTTCTGCAGGAGAAAGCATGGAAAGTGTGCAGAAAAAGATACGGGGTGTGGCAAGACAGAGGCATGTCAGTTTAGCAGTGACTTGTCATTGGTTGTAAAACACTATCCTATAAATGTAGGATGTTTGAGCAATAGGTCCATGCCAGGTCTCTCTAAGAGGCAAACATTTAAGCAACAACCTCTTGTTTAATGAGAATAAAGAAAATCTGCCACCCAGAAATAGCCTTTGACCCAGCAATCCCATTACTGGGTATACATTCAAAGGAATATAAATCATTCTATTATAAAAATACATGCATGTGTATGCTCAATGCAGCACTATTCACAATAGCAAAGACATGGAATCAACCTAAATGCCCATCAGTGATAGACTGGATAAAGAAAATGTGGTACATATACACCATGGAATACTATGCAGCCATAAAAAGGAATGCAATCATGTCCTTTCCAGGGACATGGATGGAGCTGGAAGGCATTATCCTCAGCAAACTAATGCAGAAACAGAAAACCAAATACTGCATGCTCTCACTTGTAAGTGGGAGCTGAATTATGAGAACACATGGACACATGGTGGAGAACAAAACACACTGGGGCCTGTTGGAGGGTTGGGGGGTGGGAGGAGGGAGAGCATCAGGAAGAATAGTTAATGAATGCTGGGCTTAATATCTAGGTGACAGGATGATCTGTGCAGCAAACCACCATGGCACATGTTTACCTATGTAACAAACCTGTACATCCTGCACATGTATCCCTGAACTTAAAATAAAAGTTGGAAATAAGAAATAATTTGCCATCAACTAAGTCCTTTCCCTTCTCTGAGCTTCAGTTTCCTAATCTGCAAAATGAGCAAGTTGTACCATCTGGCCTCACAGGACACTTCCAGTCCTTGTGTTCAAGTGATTGTGACTAAATTTAAATGTCTTTAATGACAGCTTGAAAGTCAGGAGTGAGGGCACATCCACTAACTCACTGAATGATATTAAGCAAGTCACTCCATCCATCCATCCATCCATCCATCCATCCATCCATCCATCCACTCATTCTCCCCTGTCCATCCATTCATCAATGCATCCAGTTATCTGTCCATCCATCTACCCACCTCTTCATCCATCCAACCGTCCATTCATCCTTTCATCCATTCATCTGTTCATCACATCCTGTCCATCCATTTATCAATGCATCCTTTTATCTGTCCACTCATCCACCTGTTGATGAATCCATTCCTTCATCTGTCCACTAATCCATCCTTCCATCTCTCCATCAACCTGTCCATTCATCAACCCATCCTATGCAAAGCCATTTTAAGACCTTGGTTTGATCTAAGCAGTATTATTCTGGAGTCTCACACTCACGTCATAGCATATACATTTAAAGAATTCTTATTGTAACATTTAAGAAGAAGTATTAAAGTTATGTTTTTGAAACTATATTGTTACCAGTAACTCTCTCAATTTACATATACCTGTAGTTTCTTGAAAATCATCAAGCATACTCAGGAATTCTTGTGAAATGAGACTCTAACTCATCAACTTTTTTCAAATATAATGAAACTTTTATGAACACTAAATTTAAAAAACACTGAGGTTGATATAACGGTATGTTGTGGAGGCATTTAATTTAAGCCTTTATTAATTTTGCTTTTGCAGTTTTCTTTTACTATTTTGGAGCCGATATATTACTTTCAGCTCTCAGGCATTTTCATGGGCTCTTAAAAAGCTTGTAGGCCTCAGGGCCTAATGGGTAAAATAGGCCCATTTCCAAAGTCTTTTAACATCCCTCCTGCATTTCCCAGATCCTAATTGGATGAAGACAGACAGATTATGCAAAAGGCCTATCTGGTCAACCCAAGATAATAAAATAGATGTGTAAAGGAAACATACATGAAGCATCAACCTCACACTAAGGAAACTGCTTCACGTTTGCCCTCCACCCCTTTAGGTATTCCTGTCCTGAATAGAAACAATAATTCTGGGCAGATGCGGGGTGAAGATAAGGATGATTTCAAGGGTTCACTGTAAATCGTAATGAGTACCTACTCTAGCAGGGAGTATTTTGATTGCTTTTTGAAATGTGAAATCGCAGATTTATCTCCTGTGATCACATTGGGAACATTTTTTTTCCTATATAAAAAGAGGTTTCAAGAAGTGCTGAAAGGTTTAGGATAATGAAGGCAAATTACTTTTACAACAGCAGGGAATTGTGAGCAGTTTGTGTGTCTTTGAACATGGGAAAATAAGAGAATTCTCCAGGGAGAAAAACTCCCAGTTTGTCACTGGAAAAAATTCGTGTGAGACAAATATGGCTTAATGCTTCAGCATATATATGAACTGGAGCCCTTGGTGAATATCCTAGCCTGTCTCCCTTTTTTAATGATGAAGCATGTTCCACACAGGGAGTGGAGGTAACATACTCAAGATCACAAGGCAAGTTTGTGCCTAGACAGACCAATGGCTGACCCTGGCCCAATGTGGTTCTGCTATCACATGGTGTGCCTTGTCCTAAAATAGTGGAAAATGCATAAATGAGAACGGTATGCTTTTTTACAATTTGCTTTTTTTCTTTATTAGACATTTTTGAACATTTGGGAGATGTGTTGAGAAAGTTAATTAACCCATCCTCATCCCACTGCACCAAGGAATCCTCTGTTAACAGCCTGTGCAAATCTTTTCTTTCTTTTGTTACAATTTTGAAAAGCAATTTTCTCTTTATGTTTCTATATGCTTCTTGAGTCTCCATGATATACAGACTTCCCATGGCATTCAATTCTGCTCAATCGTCTGTTGCTATTGGACCAAATTCTTCCAGGAATAATTACCATGCTGGAGTTCATGGTGACGTGTATGCAGTACACTCATGTTGGGTATCTCCTGGATATCAGGAACTGTGCTAGTTAATGAGGGAAAGAAGTTAACCAGAATGGAATCACTGCCTGCAAGAGACTTAGAGGCTGGGGGGAGGTTCTGTGTATAAACAATTTTGACAAAGAGCAATGTGTCCTGTGATAGGGATAAGACACAGAAGTCCAGGAATGCACTGACCCAGACTGGGAGTCAAGGGAGGCTTCCTGGAGGAGATGATCCCTCCTAGATCCCAAAGGATGAGTAAAACTTGGCAATGTAAAGATGAGAGAGAAAGGCATTGCAAGCTCAGGAAAGAGCAAGCTCAAGGCTTGTAGGCAAGAACTTTGGGGCTGAAAGCAACCTTACATGCCACCATACTCCCATAATTCCTATGTCACAGATGGGAAAATGAAGATCTTTTTGAAGCCCTTGGTGCCATTACACAAGATAGCACATTCTGTTGTTCTTTTTGGCCTTTACAAAAGCAAACGTTATTTGCAGTGGGATGCAAATGGAAGACAATGGTATTGTCTAGCATGATTATCCTGCAGATCTTTGTTATAACTAGGGCATCCTGAAGTTAAGAAGATGTAGATTAAATGTGTGCATGGAGTGCTATCCTTACCCCTGAATTCAGAAAGCCTGGCGCTACAGTCACTGGGTGGCAAGATTGGATTGCAGGTCAACTGTTTGTGATCCACTGTAACTTTAATCCTGGCCGAGCTGATGACATTTTGGAATCAGCAATGAATCAACCATTGGACATAATATGCACTAGGCTCTTAGAAAAGAGTTGAGGGATCATGGGGAAGAGATGTTCCTGGTAGTGTAGGAAATAGAACACAATTGTCAAGAGCTTGCACTCTGGACTTGTACCTACCTTGATTTGAATCCCAGCTCCTCCACTTACAAGCTGTGCAAACAAAGCAAGCAACTGCATTTCTCTGTCTCCTCACCTGTCAAATGGGAGCTGGAATAGCTCCCACCTGGAGGGACTTTGTGTAGATACAAAAGCATGTAAAGATCTTACTTAAGTGTTCAGCATATCCTAAGTGCCCAGCAAATGGTGTAGTTCGAATTATCTTATTTTAATCCAAACCAAGTTCCCTCAGCTTCCAGAACTGGTTGGGGTCAGCTTTATCCACTGACATGTTCCTTTTAATAACAGTTTTTGCTGGACAGGACATAAAGAAATAGAAAGATGCTCTGTGCTGCAAAGCCTCCCAGGCACAACTGGGAATGACTCAGTGTGGGGAGTTATTTTGGTTCACTCTTTTGTCTGCTCTGCTCTGGTTGTTCAGATAACTGGACTTTGCCTGACTTTGCAAGACCAGCCAGACTGGGCTTACCTGACGTGCCACCTCAAACTCTCAAGCTATCTTTGATACACTGCCAATGAGTTAAATATTCCTTGTATGATAAAGCAAAGAGGGGGTGATGAAAGTGTGGTAAAACTCTTCAGAGTATTAGGAATTATATAGTGACTTAAAAGCCCAGCTTGGAAAGTCAGAGGAAGCTTAGTTCTCATTTCAGCCTCGCCACTGCCTACCTATGTGACCTTGGTCTTACCAGCACCTGTCTCCTAATCTCAGTTTAGTCATTTCGAAAATGGGGGTACTCATGCCTGTCTCATTAGGTTATCATGAAGATTAAATGAGATCATAATATGTAAAGTGTTTGGCACTGTGCTTGGAATGTAGTAAGCACTCAATATATTCTAGATATTCTATTATGTTGTATTTATTCACTTATTTAGCAAAAAGAAATATGTAAAAATTATCACTATGTGTCAAGCCCTGGGGTGGAAGCTGATGATACAGTGACAAAATGGATGTGGTCTCCATGCTCAATCTATCACAGAAGAAAGACAATAAGTAAGTTAATATGTGTGTGTATGTATACGTATGTGTATGTATGTGTGTGTGTGTATATGTATAGTGTGTATGTACATATATATAGTGTGTGTATATATATATATAGTTTGTGTGTGTGTGTGTGATTACAAATAGGAATAAATGCTGTGAAAGCATCAATCAGGGTGCTGAGATCAGGTGGTCATGGAAGGCTTCTATGAGGCATTGACCTTTAAACTAAGATCTGATGGATGAATAGGGAGTTATCAGGCCAAGAGCAAAGGAAACAGCATATGCAAAGCCCCAAGGAAGGAATGAGTGATATAGTTTTGATCTGTGTCCCTGCCCAAATCTCATGTCAAATTGTAATCCCCAATGTTGGAAATTGAGTTGGTGGGAGGAGATTTGATCATGGGGGTGGTCCTTCATGAATAGTTTAGCACCATCTTCTTGGTACTGTTCTCATGATAGTGAGTGAGTTCTCATGATATCTGGTTGTTTAAAAGCATGTGGCACCTCCCCTTTCTCTTCTTGCTCCTGCTGTGGCCATGTAAGATGTGCCTGCTTCCCCTTCACCTTCCACCAGTTTTGTAAGTTTTCTGAGACCTCCCCAGAAGGAGAAGCCACTATGCTTCCTATACAGCCTGCAGAACCATGAGCCAATTAAGCCTCTTTTCTATATAAATTACCCAGTCTCAGGTATTTTTGTATAGCAGTGCAAGAACGCCCTAATACAATGATCTCACTCTGTCTGAGTAAGAACTAAGGCCAATGTAGCTGGAGCATGGCAAATGAGGGCAAGCCTGCTCAGAAATGGGGTGGAAGACAAAGTCAGGCTCCAGAACACACACAGCCTTGCAGCAAAATTTGGAGGCAACTTAAGAACAGTGGGAAGGAAGCCACTGAGAGGTGTTAAGCAGAGGATTGTGTGATGGGTCTGAGCTTCAATTTTCAAAACTCACTTTGACTGCTGGGTGGAGAATGAATGGTAGGGAAAGACCAGGCAGAAAGCTGGACTCATCTCAGTGAGGCAGACTGGTGGTTTGGACTTGAGTGGACCCTATGGGTACAGGGAGAAGCAACAGGTTCAAGGTCTATTTTGAAGTTAAAGTCTATAGACTTGCTGATAGATAAAATGTGGGGAAATGGGAGAAAATAGATTCAAGGACGTCTCCCAGGTTACTGCTTGAGTGACTGGCTGGATCAGATGGTACCTTTGCCGCAATAGGGAAGGCTTTAGAGAGTAAACAAGATCAGTTGTAAGGCTCTTGCAACACTAACGTTGAATGGAAAATCCCTATTGTCAGCAACACAGTGCATAGGGCATGTGGATGCATCTTGTTTGCTGATACATTTTAGAGAGATGCATGTAGATAGTTTTAGGTATAGCTACACCCACTTCCATACAGACACTACTTCTTTCACATCATCTTATTTTATTTCCTTCAAGCCACTCACCACAATCAGAATTATTTGTTTTTTTTTTCTTGTTATTTATTTCTTTTCATTTTATCTCTCCGACTAGAATGGAAGGTCCATGATTGTGAGGCACTTACTATCTTGTTCCCTATTGATTCCCAGCAACTAAGCCTGGTTCTGGCACATAGTAGGAGCTCCATAAATGCTCATTGAAAACAAAATTTTTTCACATTGCTACGTGTACATTTACCTTCTATTGCATGACAGGTGTTCAGTTTCACATAACTAAAATGGCCAAGTGGGTTTTCGCAGGTTGGGGAAAGCCCGAGCCTGGTCTTACTGGGTGAGTAAGTAACATTGTGCATACATTGTCATCCTTCCCAGGAGGAGAGAACTGCAACTCTGCTGAGGAGACAGACAGGAGGGGTCCTGGTATAGTGACAAATGAAAGGCATGAGCTTTCTATTATGGAAATGGGGTGGCTGGTGGCCTTCCAGGAAGACTCAACAATGTTGATTGACTGTAGGAAGAGTTAATAACTACTCCCAGCCCAGTCAACTGGGCTCAGTTGCTAAGCAACTACCTCCCCAGGGTTATATAATATGTAAGAGAAACACTTTTTTTTCTAAATGGAACACAGGCTTCCTTCCTAGGTGACAGAGACTTTTCACCTTGATCTTTCCAATCTCCAGTAGACTTGGGTGACTTAGACATGCGAGTGGCCTTTGGGTTGCTTTCAAGCTGCTACCAAAGAGAATGCCGCCATCCAATAAAGGATGGATTTAGAGAAAGGGGTAAATGGGCAATCTGTGTAGCTTCCTTTACTTGCATGGAATTCCTAGGCAACCCTGGCATGGTCGTCTCTCTCTGTGGATTCTCTAGAGGGCTTTGGTGACACCAGATCTCCCTGAAGATTTGACCAAACTTATAGATGGACTGGGGCAAAAGGAGAAGCTACTGGTCTACCTAGGGTTTTCTTAACTCATGCAATTATCCATCTCTTTGCTCTTTGAGACTACAAATGTGTACAAATCAGACACAACTGAGTTCAAATCTTGGCTTCCACTGGGCAAGTTATTTAATCATGCTGAGCCTCTGGTTTTGCTTCTGTGAAACAGAGGTGATCAGAATGATAACAATTATCATGATGATGACAATGAGGCTAGTCTTAAAGGCTTAGCAAGGCTCTGGCCAATATCTAATGGATAATACATGTAAAAGTACTTCAGAAAGTCCATAAAGCTATATAAATGTTGATTGTCACTGAGATTATCCAAAGACTGTAAGCTTAGATTCAGGGATTCCTTTGAAAACTTGTGGTATGGACAGTCATTGCAAGAGCACAGATGTTCAGAGAGACAATGGGGACAACAAGCATAAAATAAAACCAGGAAGTATCTTGGTTAGTTTATGCTGATATGATACCAGCATATACACAGACTGGGTAATTTATAAATAATAGAAATCTGCTTCTCACAGTTCTAGATGCTGGCATTGGCAGGTTTGGTGTCTGGTGAGGGCTGTTCTCTGCTTCCGGGATGGTGCCTGTTGTTGCATCTTCCAGAGAGGATGAACACTGTGGCCTCACATAGCAATAGACAGAATGGCCAACAGGGCCTCGCTAGTTCCCTGGAGCCCTTTTATAAGGGCTCTGATCCCATTCATGGGGGAAGAATCCTTGTGACATTTCCTTTAGGACCTGTGAAGCTGAGACTGCTCCCGGTAGACATTCCCACCTCCTCCTGTCTTTAATAACAAAATCTTCACATTAGCTGGAGATGTGGCCACCTGGAATATACTGCAATTCTCTGCCTCCCTTGTGGTTGGATGTGGCCATGTGGCATGTTCTGGCCAATGGGAAGCTGGTGGGAATGTTCCCAGTAACTTGGAGAGACAACTGGATAAGCAGAGTCATTGGAAACGTCATGACACATACAGCTTACTAAGGACAAGTCAGAGATTATCAGCTCTGGACAGGTCTCTAAAATAATCTTCTGCCCATTGAGAAGATGAGAAAATTGAGGCCTAAAGAATGGAAAAGGATGGTCCAAATCACTTACAAATTAGCAATGGAGAAAATTAGCCCATTACCAATCACCAACCAACCTTTTGCACCAATTACTGAGTTAAAGCCTATGGCGCAAAAATGAAGAACCATACCCAGCGCTCAAAGAACCCAGGGCCTGTTGCTTAGTAGGGACTGAACACAGCTCCCAACTTCCAGCTACTGTTTACCTTCTGGGCTAATCTTTAGTCTGTTTTTTTCAGAATAGAAAGCCTGGGAGGGAAAGGTTTTTCTGAGAACTGATTTAACTTGTATCTATTCATCCGAGAGAAAACCCAGAGTTTGATGATGTTGGGAGCCACTTTATACAAAATGACAACTTAAAGGAGAGGCAAAAGTAATCTCTTTAATTGCATTGGTTCAATTTGTCTACCTGATGCTTTTGGGGAGAGATTAATTTAATTGATTCTCTCATATGTGAAGTTCCATTACCTCTCGATGCTTCCAGGGCATATTTATGCAGCAAAACTTAAGCAAAGAGAAGTACATCCAGGACTAGAGGCAAGGATTCATTTCAGACTGTCAGTGCAGCTTTTTAGCAGTTTGGTGAATTCCCTTCTCCTAAGTTATACTCTCAGCAAATGGGTAGAGTCCTCTTTCAGCATGACAAGACTGGAAGTTGTAGATTCAGTTCTACAAGACTTGAGGCCGAACTAAACAAATGAAGAGGAGGAAAGGGAGCTGACAGCTCTAGAGCACCTCCCATGGCCAGTGAGTCTCATACATCTCATATTCACCACCTTACATCTGTGTTTATCAGGAGTAAGGTGCTTGGCTGAGCATTTCACATGAGTTGGCCCGTTTAAATCTCACAACAGCCCTCCAACTTGATACTGTTATTTTACAGGTGAGGCACTGAGACTACGTAGTTAAGCTACTGAGCAAAGATCACACCAATAGGAAATGGTGGGGATGGGACTGGAATGTAGCACTGCTTCCCAAGCATTCCTGAATTCCCCTCCTTCCTTCTCCCTGCCTCAAACAACTTCCTCCTTCTAATGTATATATTTCCTTTTAACTTCCCTTCTTTCTTCCAGTATTGAACTTTGGAAGTGTGTGTATGATGGTGTGTGTATATGTTTGTGTGCGTGTATGTGTTTGCATGTATGTGTATGTGTGTGTATGCATGTGCATGCCTGTGTATGTGTGTTTGTGTGCATATGATCCATCCTTTCAGTAATTTTTTTTGAGCACTGACTATGCACCAGGCTTGGTGGTTGGTGCAAGAGACACCGCTTCTGCTTTCAAGGGGTGCACAGGCTGACAGCAAGTCCTTCTTTCTTCAGTCCCACCTCAAGTTAGTGGACAGGACTTGTGGAATCCCCACCAGCCACCTCCTTCCCAGTATCACCTTCCTGGGCTGAGATCTCACTATTTCTGAGCTACTGGAGTCCCTATGTGAGAAGGGGTGGAAGGAGATGAGGAACGCAATGTGGTGCAGTGGGCATAGCCCAGGCTTTGGTCTCAGTTAATATGACTTGGAAAGCCAGCTTGGCCACTGCTCCCAGTGTGCCATCAGCCTTCTCAGCCTCCAGCCAGTTGCTGGATTTGTCATTTTAAAGGACTTCTCTCATCATGCCTATCCCCTGATTAAACATACTCTGTGCCTCTGTCCAGTTCCAGCTTTCATCCTGGGGTTCTGGGTAACATATCTAACCTCACTCCTACAATCGCTCTCTGCTTGAACCACGTGGATGACTCACTATCCCCCAAACACATTCCCCACCTCTCAGCCTTTGTTCAAGCTGGACCTTCCATATGACTTACCTCCTCCAGTCAAAACCCCAACCAGTCAAAACCCCATGCAGAATCCCAGCCCAATCCAAAGACTCCTCCGGTTCCCCCAACAGGGCTGGTTCCCCCAACAGGCCTTCTTGAAGCCTTATGGGTCCTTGCACTCTTTTTCCTATGTCATCTAGGTTTTGCTCCTCAGTGAACTTGTCTTTTCTCTCAGCTGAACTGTAAGCTCTTCAGAGAGAGCATGTTTTATGCAGCTCAGAGCCCGAGCCTCTGGCAGAGACTGGCATACAGTAGACACTCAATAAAAGTTAACGTAATTGATTAAAATGTCTCTGGAGGCTGGGCACGGTGGCTTACGCCTGTAATCCCAGCACTTTGGGAGGCTGAGGCTGGTGGATCATTTGAGGTCAGGAGTTCAAGACCAGCCTGACCAACATGGTGAAACCCTATCTCTACTAAAAATACAAAAATACAAAAATACAAAAAAAAAAAAAAAAAAAAAAGAGGAAATTTGCCGGGTATGGTGGCTTGTGCCTGTAATCCCAGCTACTCGGGAGGCTGAGGCAGGAGAACGGCTTGAACCTGGGAGGCAGAGGTTGCAGTGAGCCAAGATTGTGCCACTCTACTCCAGCCTGGGAAACAGAGCAAGACTCCGTCTCAAAAATAAAAAATAAAAATAAAATAAAATAAAACGTATCTGGAGGCGGTAGAAGGGTGGGATGTTAAAAAGCATAGGCTTTAGCAATGACTACTTATATTTAAAGCCCATACTACCACTGCTTGTGACAACTGCCTTAATTTCTCTGAGCCTTGGTTTTCTTATCTTTAAAATGAGAAAAGTAATATCTGCCTTCCAGGGTAGTTGAAGTTGGTCAAATAAGCTAATACCTCCAAAAACATTTTCACAGCCCTGGCCCAGAGTAGGAGACCAATACATAGTAACTGATATTATTATTATTTTATTATTTTTCTAAAAGGAAGGCAACAGCTGAGTCAGATTTTTTGTTGTTGTTTGTTTGTTTGTTTGCTTGAGATGGAGTCTGGCTCTGTCGCCCAGGCTGGAGTGCAGTGGTGCAATCTCCGCTCACTACAATCTCTGCCTCCCAGGTTCACGCCATTCTCCTGCCTCAGCCTCCCAAGTAGCTGGGACTACAGGTGCCCGCCATCACGCCCGGCTAATTTTTTTGTATTTTTAGTAGAGACGGGGTTTCACTGTGTTAGCCAGGATAGTCTTGATCTCCTGATCTCGTGATCCACCTGCCTCGGCCTCCCAAAGTGCTGGGATTACAGGTGTGAGCCACTGCGCCCGGCCAAGTCAGATTTTTTTATTCTCTCTCATGCCTGCATCTATCTGCACATACATTCCTTTAAACAAATGGTTAAATCTCTGAATCGTGTAAAAGCAGAATCTATTGCTAGATGATCCCATAGGAAAATGAAAAGGTCACTTCCCCATCCTCCTGAGCCACAGGAAGGTACAGCTGAAGCAGCACAAAGGTTCTCATGGGTCTTCATAAATTCATGATGGCACATTCCCTAATAGACAGTGAAGGAGGCACGGGTTGTCTATGGAATGTTCCTAACCCTTGAGATTGATGGATGAGAGGGCTACCCAGCTTCCTCCCCAAAACTCTCCCTTGAGGACACTGTCAGGCACAGAATCCTAAGCTAGAGCGACAGGAAGGTGACAGGGGTTAACTCTGATATTCTTTTTTCAGTAAACAATTCATCAATTTTATGTCTTACTTTTTTTCAGATGAGGTTAGTGGCAGAGGGGAGGGAGAATTTAATGATGATGTGGGTGGAAGGGCAGGTCTGCTATTCAATCACAACCACACAAAAATAGAGGAAACCTTTAGAAGAATGATCAGCCCCTGGATGATTTAGAGTATTCTCCACTAACTGTAGTATCGAGCTTGCATAGGACGAGTCATTAGTCATCATTAACTAAAGTTCAAAAGAAATAATTTAATACCTTAACACTGGGCTGCAATAATTTTTCCTAATTGTAATATTTAGAGAGCACTATTTAGTTTTCAAATTTGTAACAAAGTTTCCATATATTGCAGACCACTTTTATTTTTCTGCTTACACCACTGAGGACAGATTATCATTGCAGCTCCCACTGGTGGAGCAATTCCTAGAGTTGCTTTGGTGAGAAGCAGCTCCACTGCAAATCTGTGCCTGCAACTTAGAGCTTCTGCCTTTGTGTTTCATTCATGAATCATCAGGGTGTCAGTGTCTAGAACATCTCTCTAGGTCCTAGAACACTGTGGAGTACAAAAGTGTGGCTCCTTAGACATTTGTTGAAATGAAGCTGTCAGTTGCAAGTTGCTCACTTTCATCTCTGTGCCATGCACCTTTGACTGGAATGTCCTTAGCCCTCTCTGGACCCCTCCAGATTGAGTTAGATGAGGCCTTTTTGTTCTCTGCATCCCAGATATGTTCCTTCACGTATAGCACCATTGGGCATGTTGTGATTGTTAACTAATAGCTCTATCCCCCTAGCCTCTGAGCTCTCTGAGATGAGGGTTGTTTATTGTTCACATCTTTGGCAAGCAGCAAATATATAGAAGGTGTAGGTACAAGCTTCTTGAATGGATGAGTCAATTCATTTGGATTTATCATTTGTCACATTTCTTTCCTCTCTGAGCCTAGTCTTCCTATATAAAATAAGGATGTAACAATCACAGGAACACTTACTAAGCACATGCTGTATGCCAGGCATCATCTTCTCATTTAAGTCTTACAACAACTCTAGAATATGGACACTTTATTACTCCATGCTACAGTTAAAAAAAACTGACGTTCAGAGAGGTGTTGGACACGACCAGGGTCCCACAGTTAACCAGGTTTGGAACCCTGGTATGTTTCACTCAAGAGCTCAAGACCTGAACCATCATATGGACCTCTAAGTGAGGTGCAGAAAGGGTTATTTTGAACAATGTAGACCCCTTAAGAGCTGAAGAAGAGTAGGAGCAGAGAGAGGGAGAGGGTAAGGTGATGTTTCAACTTTTATTTCTGGTAATTTGCCCTACATTTGATGAGGCAAGAGGGTTGTTACTGCCATGGCTTTGAATGGGGGAGAAAGCTTCCGAAATGCTTCCCCAAGTGTTTCAAATCTCCAGACACCCTAATTCTAGAACTTACTCTGCAATTCTAGTACCCACTCCTCTGTGACCTCAGGAAAGTACTCTTCCATTCCTACATCTTATTGCTTTCTCATGTGTACTATGAAAATTTGATTAGATACTGCCATTCAATACATAGTTCTTGAGTATCTACAATGTGCCAGGTACTAGAGTCATAGAAAGGTACAATACAGACATGGTCCCTCTTGGGACTCTTAATCCATATGGGAAGTCAGTCATGACACAGATGATCATACACATAATTACTAACTACTATTGTGATGGGTGCTTGAAAATAACAGTATAGAGGGCTTTAAAATAATAGCCATACCACAAATATAGCACTTACTACATGCTAGTCATCGTTCTAGGCACTTTACATCCATTAGCTCAATATATAATCAAATTGAATTATGAAACAGATATTACAAATATCACCCCATTTTACAGATAAGGAAGCTGAGGCTAGAAGAGGTTAAGGAGTTTTCCCAACATCACACAGCTATAAGTGGTATAACTTAAATCCAGGCATTCTGATGCCAGAGCCTTTGTTCTTAACTACCAAGATCTATTGCTGTGAGAGTATCTAATATCCATTTCTAATCTAGTCTGGAAGTTTGGTAAGGCTTCCTTTTTTTTCTGAGAGTGGACAGAGGTGAAGCAGTTTCCTAGGTGGAGAGCAGGTCGAAGAGTGTTCTGCCAGAGGGAACGCTATATGGGAAGGCTCCAGGCAGGTTGGAGCTCATCACATTTGCCAAAGACAGGAGCAGATATGCTCTAATGAGCTGGATCCATTTTCTGGACCTTCTGACAGCTTTTTCAAGAAACTTCACAGCAATCTGTGCAGTGGTTCTGTTCACTGCCCCTGCCCAGCTCTATCTCTCTTTCTGATAAAAGACCTCACTTCAAACCTATGTGACATGTGCCAGCCAGAAGCCCACTTGGCTTGTCATGTGAACAGACCCATGTCAGGTAATCAAGAGATAACTGAACCACCAGATCTGGTTCCCTTTCATCCTTGTTTTCCCATTCATTATTCCTTTCCATTGGTATAACTGGCAAATAAATCTCAATGTCAAATTTAAAGAGAAGAGAAACTCGCTTTATGTGGCAGATTTCACTGCCTCTTACTTGTTCAAGAATAGGGATGCCTGTCTTTGGTACAGTCCATCAACTTAAACACTGCCAATTACCAACGCCTTCCTGGCATTCAAGGCCCTTTCAAGTCTGGTGACTTTTTACTCTCCAAGATTATCTTCAGTGACGTACATGCATCAGGATGGTCTTCTCATTGCCAGTGAGTAGACATCAGTTGTTACTAGTTCTGAATTCCTCACCTAAAATGTGCTCCCCACTCCTCTTCTCCTCCTTTGTGTTTCAGCTCACAACTGACCTTCTTCCTCAGGTTTACCTTAATTGCTTATCTCACAAAGCCTTGCTTCAATTCAGTTTTGCAAAGCTTTCTAACTACACCATGCCTGTAACTCTTTTATCCCTAAACTGCTGTTTCTGTAAGTGTGAGTCCTGGACCACCTACATCAGAATCACCCAGGGCAACTATTAAAAATGTGGTTTCTGATTCTCCATCTTAACCTCTCCGCAGCAAAATCTCGGTGGTGGGGGATGGGGAAAGGGAAGGCTGAAATTGGCATTTTAGCAACTCCTCCAATCCAATCACACTGCTCTAACTAAATTTCTTTATTCTTGAATTAATTGTAATTCTCCCGAGAGTCTCTTCAAGAATCAATTTAGCAGAATCTCTTCCTCCTCAAGAGAATGAATCTTTTTTTTCTTTTCAAGCATTTCCCAGTGACTAGCTAGTAGTCTGTGTAATGATTTGAGATACCAACGCTGTCCAGGCCACCATTCCCACTCATGGGAACCATCATGTCAGAACTTCCCAGTCCCTCCAGGTGTCCAGTTTATGCTCTGGAACTCATCCTTCACCCTCCTGTTACAGTGATCTTCCCCTAAAAGAGCCTGCAATGTGTCACTCTCAGCATCCAATAACTTGGCCTCTCCTATAGAATAAATGTGCAACTCCTTCACTCTACAAACATAACCCTTCACAACTCTGCCATATCATAAATTTCCAGGCTTATTCCCACCACTCTAGGCAATGCTTCACTACCTGTCTTTGCAAATACTTTTAGTACAATCTGGAATAACCTCTTCATTCTACTCCCTTTGAAAATTACTGCTTGCCCTTGAGGGCCCAACCCCAATCGTCCCTTTTCTGAGAAAATGTCCAGAACCACCTCCTTTACCCCCAATTCCTGCTCCAGAGAAGTGACAGCACCTCACCCCCTATGATCCAAGAGTTCTGCATAGTATATAATTTTTAAAACATTGAATTAAGTGCTTACTATATGCCAGCCACTTTGTTACATCCTTTGCATGTCTTATCTTAACTACCTTTCAAAACTCCCATGCAGTAGATACCATCCCCATTTTGAAAATAAGGAAACTAAAACCCAGAAAGGTAACATTCCTTGTCCAAGGTTACACAGCTAATGAGATGAAGAGCCAGGATTCAAAACCACAGCCATCTGATTAACACTAAACTGCTGCCAATAACATGAGCGACCTAAAAATCCCAAAAAGCACAGAATGGCCCTTGTCTGTGACGAAACAGTGAGATGGTCTAGACATCCATAATATATTACCTCTAGCGTAGATAATCACAGTATCCTAGGAAATAAAAAAACAGCACCCATTTGAGTTGCTGTCACATAACCTAGAGAAACTTGTTTTAAATTAAATTATCAGAGAAAGTTAGATGAACTCAGAGTAACTGAGCTATCTCTTTCTGGACAGAAAATTCAAAATGGCATTGAAGTATTGGACTTAAAGCTAATCTTCTAGGCCTGATGAAGCCACAGTGATTTATTTTGAAAGCTCCAGGGACAATTTATTTCTAATAGAGATCTCTGGAATAACCCAGTGTTTTGTGAACCTCGACAACGCTTATTTTCTTCTTAATGCATCTAAAATTTTGTTTAAAGCAAAAAGCATAAATTCAATATTAGCTTTACTAGGGGTTGGCATATAGGGTCACTCTTGCCAAAGGTAGACGTTGGGACAGTTATTTTTCTCTTATGGTGCTCTTTTTCTGTTTTGTTTTGTTTTGTTTTCAAGTCACTTGCACCCACTATAATTGTTAGGAGATAACTGGGAAGGAGAAGGCACCACAGTATTCCATTCATCTTGCTTTGACACCACAAGGCATGGTAACCACCTTAGTTAGAGGCAGGATGCTGTAAAATGATTGTAAGCTTTGCAGGGAGACCTCATATATTGGCTTTATCAATTGTTGCTTCATCACCTGAAGCAAGACATTTAGCTTCCCTGACCCTCAATTTCTTCATCAATGAAATCAAATATTTATCTTACAAAGTTGTTATCAGGATCAGATGAAATAATTCACGTAAAGTACCTGGCACATCATAAGTCCTTAACAAATGTTAGCTATCATCATAACAACACTTAAGGTGTTTATTGATATGGGTGGATTTAAATCTTCCATCTTAGTATTTTTTTCTATTTGCCCTTCTGTTTTTCTTCCTCTATTCCTCCTTTCCAGTCTTTTTTCAAATTATTCTAATATTTTAGAATTACATTTTAATTTACCTGTTGGTTTTTTTGCTATACATTTTTGCATTTTGGGTGGTTGTTCTAGGAATTACATTATATATCCTTAACTTTTCATATTCTACTTAAGGTTACCACTTTACATGAAATTTAGAAACCTTGCAATTATTGACCCTTTGACCCCTCATCCACCATCCTTTATGCTGTGGTCGCTGTGTGTAATACATCTACATACCTTATAAGCCCACAGGCAATGTTATAATTTTTGCTTTAAATATTCATGTGTATTTTTTTTTTTTTTTTTGAGACGGAGTCTCGCTCTGTCGCCCAGGCTGGAGTGCAGTGGCGCGATCTCGACTCACTGCAAGCTCCGCCTCCCGGGTTCACGCCATTCTCCTGCCTCAGCCTCTCGTGTAGCTGGGACTACAGGCGCGCGCCACCATGCCCAGCTAATTTTTTTTTTTTGTATTTTTAGTAGAGACGGGGTTTCACCGTGTTAGCCAGGATGGTCTCGATCTCCTGACCTCGTGATCCGCCCGTCTCGGCCTCCCAAAGTGCTGGGATTACAGGCGTGAGCCACTGCGCCCGGCCATATTCATGTGTATTTTAAGGAAACTGAGACAAAACATTAGTTGGTTATTTACATTGACTCACATACTGACAACTTCCAATGCTCCTGATTTTTCCTGAAGAACTTAATTTCTATTTGGTGTCATTTTCCTTCAGCCTAAAGAATTTCCTTTAGCTTTTCTGGGTGATAGATTTTCTTAGTTACTTTTATCTGAATATGCCGTTAGTTTACTTTTCATTCTTGAAAGCTATTTTACCTTGGTATAGAAATCTATTTTGAAAAATATTTTCTCTTTTAAAACTTTAAAGCTATTAGTTCTTGGCTTCTGGCTTCCATAATTTATGATGAGAAATCTATGAGGTTTCAACTTATCATGCATATGCATACAATATGTACACAGTTTCAAATACATCCTGTATATGATATGTTTGTTTTCTTTAGATGTTTTCAATATTTTCTCTTTATTTTAGGTTTTTAGTAGTTTGACTATGACATACATAGTCATAGTTTTCTTCATATTTATCCTGCTGGAGTTGGCTAACTCCTTGATTCTGTAAATGTATGTTTTTCATCAAATTTGAGAATTTTTCAACTATTATATATTTAAACATGTTTACTGCCCCATTCTGTTTTTTTCTACTTCTTGACTCTCTCTCTGTGTGTGTGTGTGTGTGTGTGTGTGTGTGTGTGTGTGTGTGTGTGTGTGTGTGTAATGTTTTGATATTTCCCGCAAATCCCTGGGTTTTATTCTTCTTAATCTTTTTTCTTTATTTTCTTCAGATTGAATAATTTCTGTTGACCTATCTTCGAGTTTATTTACACTTTCCTCTGTCATCATTCTGTTTTTAAGCTCCATCAGTGAATATTTAATTTTAGATATAGTTTTCAATTCCAGAGTTTTTATACTTTTTACTTCATTACTGATACTTTCTATCTTTTCATTGATTTCAACTATGTCTTCTTTTAGTTTATTAGGCTTAGTTATAGTTACTTCCTTGACATCTTGGTCTCATAATTTCAACATCTAGATCATCATGGAGTGGGTCTTAGTTGATGTCTTGTTTCCTGAGCCTGTGTCAAATTTCCCTGATTCTTCATATGTCAAGGTATTCAGGGTTGTAACCCATATGCTGCCAATACTTTATTGTAGAAACTTTAGATTTGGTTACATTTCTTTGAAGAGTGTTGATATTTTTGTTTCAGTTGGCAATTGATTTAGTTGGGCTCTAGCAAATGGATGGATGAAAAGGAGAGGGAAGGAAGGAAGGATATATGGATGGATGGATGGATGGATGGATGGATGGATGGCAGGGAGGAAGGAAAAAAGAAAGAGGAAAGAGGAAGTCAAGGAAGGAGGGAGGGAGGAGAGA